>NC_000003.12:179955574-181205574 GCF_000001405.40 Homo sapiens
TGTGGGCTATGTAATTTCTTGACTGCTAAATAAAGTCTGGGAGCCTCAGCATGATTTTTGCTGTTCTAGGAAAAATATTGTGTTCATTTCAGAAAAATAGAATCTATAGTGATTAAAGTACCATTATTTCTTTAGAACTACGTATTATAATATAATCTTTTGGGGCAGTTGAAAAACATAAATATGAGTATTCACTTTTTTCTTATTACGATTAGAAAGTTATCTAAATAATCACTCAAAAAACCCAATGTAATTAATTTGATGAGTTATAAATTCATAAAATCATGCCATACTTTACCCCCTCCCAAAGTACTACCGATGTAAAAGTAATCATTATGGATGTGTTCATTTTTCTACAGGGGATTTAATTTTTAAATTGCTCTTAAACACAAGAAAGTGATTCATAACCCTAGGGCATTAGTGGCTTCCTTACAGACGATACCATCTTGGATTTATTCACAGGAAGTAATCCTCTCGAGTGGCTCAAATGATTATTTTTATAGTTTTCCTTAAGAAATTCTCCCAGAATTCTTGGGAGATAGAAGTAGGGAAACTATTATCATTTTGCTGATAGGGAAGTCAAGGCTTAGAGATGTGTTCAAGGTCAAATAGAAAGTCATTGGCAGTGTCAGGAACTTGAATTTTAGCACCCTCACTTGTATTTCAGCTCTGCCTTATAGATCTTAATAACTTTCTGTACCTTTGGTTCTTTATCAGTTTAAGAGTTTTGCATTTTGGAGCCCTAGGAAAAATGGTAAAATCTAGAATGCTTATAAAATAATACATTCTAAAACGAATTCACGATTATTTCTTTTCATCACTGCCTTTCAATATGAAGCAGTCTTAGGTCTGAATTCTATATCCCCTTTAGTGGTAACCACTTCATACAAGTTGCTTAGACTTCAATATGGGTTTCTAGAGTGTATTTTTTGGGCATAAGAATACCCTAGTGGATATATATATCTGTGTCCTCAATGAATGAGGTACCAAAGTAAATTATCTCCTAAGTTTCATGTGGCTGTAAAAATATTTAGTTAGTTTCTTTTCTCAGCTAACTTAAAAATTCATGCAAACTGAATTTATGCAAATCCGTGTTTGTGGTTTGGCTGTGGTCAGCCTCAGGAAACAGAAATGCTGTATAACTGCCACATAGAATATAGTTTAAACCTGAGGTTTTACGGAGCGACGCAACATGCACGGTGCCATCTCCAGTGATGCTTAACGGTGCATCCGGGATATGAAAAGATGACACTGCAAATTCCCACAAACATCATGCAGAATTCACGGTAAGTCAGTACGTATATGTCTAATCATAGTAATGTACATGATTTTTTTTTGCAATCCCTTCTTTTCCTCTTTAATTTGATAACTTGCATCTTAAAAGATGAGTAAGGTTTGAATGGTCACTGCATGAGCCAGTGAAAATCCTGGAAAAAAATTGCCTAAGGATCACCTTGATTCAATATAAGGAAACCACTAAAATGACATTTATAAAACTATGTAGCAATGTGGAAAAATGAGCGTAACATAATGTTACATAAAGAAGCAGGTACAAAATTGAATGCACACCGACTGCGACTATAAAAAAATTAAAATTATCTTGCAATTATGCAAAAGTGAGAGTATGCAAAATGAAGAGTTCTCAGGACCATGGGTGATACTTTCTCTCTTGTCCAAAATTTCTGGAGAAAGGTTTCATATATACATCATAAGCATAATGTAGCTGGGGAGAAGGGCCCCAAGGGTGATTGCCAGTAGTCTAGCATTAACAGGTAAGGCTCAGGGAGGAAGGCTGGGGCGCTGCTTTTGGGAGGATCACAGAAGGAATCACAAGGAGCTGGGAGGGGCAGAGTCATGTCAGGTGAAAGTCTAAAGGGGTGGCTAAATATCAGCTCTCAGACCACTTCTGTAGATGGGCATGCAGTGACACTGGACATGTGCCAACAACTTGGGATAAACTAGCTCTACTAAACAGATCAGCAGGAACTTCAGCCTGAGAAGAAAGGTCAGCTCCTGTAGGGCAGCTGGTGGAGTGACATTTTCAGAGCACAGAAATATACTCCCATAACAGAAAGCTGCTCAACAAATACTGAAGTGACAGGCTTTCTGGTTTTGTGCCAGGTGTAGAATTTTTCAAATGTGGTGGGTACAGAGGTAATTCTAATGCAAAGTAAGGATTTAATTTATCATACGTAGCACCTCAGACACAAGCACTTGAAACATATGTAGCAACCTCAATGCAATACATGGTTGTTATTGGTTATATTACAGGGCCATCTGGTCACCTGGTCCTGGCCATTCAGTATTGTGTACTGCCCCAGTGGCCTCAGAATGGGCACGTATTTAAGGATTAGGCATCTGCTCTTTTTTGCAGCTTTGCTTTTGATTATGCATGTTTATGGCTATGTAGCCACACATTCTCCTTTTCTCTATTTCTTCTCTCTCTCCCTCTCACACACATACACACACACATGCACACATATATACATACACACTCTCAAGAATACTTTTTTTTGGGAAGGAAAAAATATATTTTCCAGTTTCCCCATCTTAATGTATTTATGCTCTTCTTTATCATATATGGCATATCTTTCCTTTAAAAATAGGAAGGCTTTTTCAGATTTTACCATCTTATGTTATTTCCTAACAGTCAAAATTGCAAGAAATTTCCTTAATAAGTGAGGGAGGTATGATGAAAGGAAGTTTTTAAACGTGAACTCACTTGACCCAGCACTGCCATGTACTGCCGCACAGGCTGTGTAGAGAGCATAGCCTTCTGGGGTTGTGCAACACAGCAGCCCTGTGTAAAATTCCCTTTGCCCCATTGTGTATTGTAAAATGGGTATGATAGTAACCTACATGGTGAAGTTGTTGGGAGGATTAAATGAGTAATATACAAAAAGTCTTTGGAACAGAGTGTAGCACATACTAAATGCTGTGTAAGTGTGTCTTGTTATCATTAGTCTTTTAATAAACGTGGTGTAAGACCAGAAGAGCTTAAGACAAATATCGGGTTAACAAGTTTCACCTCTTGGTCTCCCTCATTTATGCTTTCTTTTTGTTACAATTTGTTTTACAGGACTGATTACTGAGTAGGTTCGCTTTAATGACGAGGCAGGAAAGGAATATTTGCAAGGTTAGGGACATTCAGATAAAGGATTTAAGATACTTAACTTGTCTTTATTCTTTTTTGTAGGCCTAGAAAATCAAAATAAAAAATTAATGTCTTTATCAAAGTATAAATGATCCTTTCCTGACACCAAAAATTGGAATAACATAAACCAATGCTTCCTAGGAGCCACAGTGTGTACAGGATTCTTCTGCAGGGCTTGTTAAAACAGATTCCTGAGGCTGAGGCAGGAGAATGGCGTGAACCCTAGAGGCGGAGCTTACAGTGAGCCGAGATCGCGCTGCTGCATTCCAGCCTGGACGACAGAGCGAGACTCCATCTCAAAAAACAAAACAAAACAAACAAAAACAAAACCGAAAAAAAAAAAATAAAAAAAACCAGATTCCTGGGCCCCACCTCCAGAGTCTGAAGCTCAGAGTATAAATTTCTAGCAAGCGCCAGGTGATGCTGATGCTGTGGTCCATGAACCAACCACTCTTTGAGTAGACAGGTTCTAAAAAACATCTTTGGTAATTGTTCCCAAAGCCCACGTCTCCTCCTGGGAACACGTGGAGCACTGGAAAACCTTGTAACTTTTTCTGGACTATGATTAGGGAAGGAGGAAATAACGCACATCTTAGTTCTTAGAGTTCTGAGGCTCCCAAATGCTCCTGGGAGCCCTTGGTTCCAACTACTGCAGCACGGGCACTGTAACTGTCTGTTGACTGTAAGTCCAACCATACCGGCTTCTTAAAGGCCGTGACTATGGTTATGTTATCTCTGTGTTCCAGCACCTAGCAAACACCTACCAAAAAATTAGGCTGTAAATAAGTTTGTGTAAAATAAGTAAAATAGATTAAATCATTTCCATCAAAATAATGTATTTTTTCTTTTTTTTGAGATGGGAAATAATGTATTTTTTTCAAAAGCAGCATTCTATCTTCCTCCTGAAGTTATTTCATAATAAAGAAAATGAAAAATTATATTTTTTCATATAGCTTCTCTCAGGATCAGTATCAAAAAAATATGATTCCCTATTTAGTTCTCTCACCCCGAACACTGAGGCTAAATGTCACCAGCATTCCCTGACCTGGCTCTGCTGTTTCTCCACTGTTCCTTCTCACTCACCACATGGGAAGAACCACTGTGGCAGCAGAGCAGAATAAGGACAAATTATTTTTTAGAACTATAGCAGGTATTACTGTACTCAGTGTAACTATGTGTTTTCCTCCAAAACTATGCCTAGAATATATATAGCAAAATTGTTTACATAATAAATTTCTCCAAGTAATAGAGTCTCAGATTTTTCTGTTTCTCCATTTTCTGCCTCTTCTTTTCAAGAGCAGGCTTTATGTTTTGCTTATTTTTTTTCTCATTTCTCCCTTATATTTGTAAAGCTGAAGAAGTCTGTCCATCTACAGAACCTAGGGGGACTTGCTCTTTCCCTCTTTGTTCTCTTACCATTTGGATTCTCCAAGGGGCCAGCCTTGGTCAGAACTATGAGGAGGTCTCCTTCCTTGCAATCTATATCCTCTACTTCTAGCAGATATGCCAAAATATTTGTGATATATGTTATATTCTTACACATAGGCAGAAGGAAGAGCAAGAGCAAAGTGTGAAGGGAGGAAGAACATCAAACACTCGATGCTTCAAGGTGTTCAGTATGAATGGGGCATGAAGTTGAGGGGGCATTAGATAAGCACAATGAGGTAGTTAGGGGCTGGATGACAATGGACAGCCTGCAAGCCCAGTGGAGGAGTTTGCATTTTATTTGGGAGACAGTGGGAAACATTAGTTCTCACTATGTATTGGGTGCTCACCAGTAAGCTAAGCAGTGTTGGGGTCCATGGGGTATTGCTACTGTTGTTCATAAAAGTCCTGATCCAAGGGTATGATTTTAACTCAAGTTCCTTGGAGTCTGGATGCAAAATTAAAATGGCTCATTCATCTAGACAAAAACAAGTTGCTTCCTTTTTTAAAAAATGCAAAGTTTACAAGGTTTTACATTTTTAGCTTAAAAATTTAACAATATCTAACCTGTTTATGAGCTCAATATGTTTTATCTTGTAGTAAATGATTTGATTAATGAAATCCATCAACTTATGCAACATAGCTCATTTTTTTCAGGGACTACTCCAATAGTTCATAAAATTTCATGTGTCAATTTTGGGGACACATTTAAAGTTTAAAGAGAGAAGCTGAGAATGCAGGGAAGTGATAACTGAACAACCCTTGACTGGAAGAAAACAACTTCTATGCTTAGTGTTTTTCTACAACAAAATTAGTTAATTATTCACAAATTATACAAATGAGATAATTTTGTTAGAAAACAAAGTGATGAATGAATGTTTTTTCTATTCAGAACATCCAGCACAAAGCCTGGATGGTACATTCTCTCACCATTTCCATTTCTTTAATAAGTTACTTATTCATATATTTCAAGAATGAGATCATTTGGCCAAAAAATACGATGAGGAATAAATAACAATTGTATTGAATGATCACTTGTGTATGTGTATGTGTGTGTGTGTGTGTGTGTGTGTGTGTTTCCTAGATCACAAGACAGGAAGGAAGTGGTACCCATTTCAACTGGGGGTAAACCATGTGAAAAATTAAACCAAAAATGGAAATGACAGAATTCTAGAGTTGTTTTGGAGAAAAGGAAGAAAGCAATGGAGCATAAAAAAAAAAACAGGTTTGCAAGAACTGCATTTCTGTCAAACCTTATATATGCAGTGTCAGAATAAGAGACACGTTCCAGAGGCAGGGATCAGAGAGTGGTGCTGAGCAGAGAAGAAAAGACATGCACTGTAAAGTCTGGATGGAGAGAAGTAAAAGCGCAACCACAGAATGACAAGGTCGGGGCAATGGCAGAGCGTGGGCATCTCAGTCCAAAGTCGAAGAGAAAAAGGGAACTTTACTCTGTAAACTCTCCCTGTTGTTTAAATATGAAAATAAGAAAAATATTTTGTATGGTCTTCCTGATCCTTTGTCATTTTTATTATAAGTGATAAAATTGAATTTATAACATAAATCATTGAGGGACAAATATTTCCACTCACAACTGGTTTTCAAAGCCCTTCTGACAATAGACGCTGATTCAATCAGTAATCACCGAGTTCACCTGCATGGTTCATTAGACAAAAGCACTGGCAGCTGACTTCAAAACGGATGGGCCTGAAAGCTGAACTGTCGATACGGTTCACAATCACCATGGCCAGTTGAGGGGGAGATGATAAACTGAACCAGGTGGAGAGGCCCTGAGAGATGAGCTGTAGAAAAACCATCTGTGTCAACAGGGAGGAAACACTTTGTTAATCCCAGAGTAGTTTAGGAGATTTCAAAGTTTACTTTAAAAATCTTTAATATCTATACCCTGATGGATACTGGGAAGATGTCACAAAGTTTGTGAGAACCATTTTATGAAGAGTTAGGAGGTATCTAATATAAACATCTTTTTATAAAAATCTATCAGACAAATAGACTTTTAGCTGTGCACTTGAAATACACACTTTTCTCAAATGACTATTCTGGTTTGATTACTATGCTTATCTTACCAACATGGGACATTTGGAAGAAAGGAGAGGAAGTATCATAATTTAGAAAGGCAGTTACAGGAGTGGCTGAATGAACTCAAGACTAGAGGCTGCAGATCCCAAGTTCAAATATTGCCTGTGATGTGAAGTAACCTGGTGAACCCAGTCAAGTTACCTTTTTACTCCAAGACTTGCTTAACTTATTTTGATTATAACAAGTAATATGATTAAGCTTCTTAGAACAATATCTTTTCATCAAAGTTTATCTATACACCTAAGTTGTTCCTTAAGTGCTATCACCATAATCATACACACTCCTTCCCCTATTAAGGTGACTAGAAATGGGTTCCATGGGATGGAATTTTTAATTTTTTAATCCACTGGATTAGATTATCTTCTGAAATTCCTTCCAGATCTAATATTTACAGTTCTTATTTTGATCAGATGAACCTACTTAAAAATCAACAGCAAAAATAAATAAGTACGGCAACACTCCTTCCACAATAAAAGGCTGAATAGGTTTCTTTTCAATTTCTCTACCAAATGGCTGAGTCTAATTTTAAGTACTACTGTCTCTGACTGTTACTTTCATATATAACATCATTTTTACACTCAACCTGTCAGCTCATGTCATTTCAATTATGCATTTGTTTTCTCACTGACTAAACATTGTGCCAGCACTTCTCCCTATTAGATTAAAAAGAAAGAAAACATGGGCTATTTGAAAATGACTTAACAGCAATACATTTTTCCAGCTTGAAAGTCTAGTATTTTTCTTTTATGCTGCATGTAATGAACATAGGCTGAATATTAATATCTTAAAGTAAAGATACCTGATAGCATTTCAGATATTTGTTGAACTTGAGATGGTGACTCATGATGTCTCTCTTGGTGATTACAGTTTTTAACTGAGCCCTGTGAGTTAGTTGCATTACTGCTTGGAAAACTGGGGAAGATGGACTGGTAGAGGAGAGCTAGGTGTGTGCTTGTTACTCAACAATGCTAGAACCTTGTTTACTCACAGAGATGGCTAGGCTGGCAAGAGCAGAAGACAGTAAACACAGTCCTGCATAGGTAGAAACATCAGCAATGCCTCCTGCTCATAAATAACTGCCCTACTCATTTTATCAAATGGGGATTTTTTACATTTTAAATTGGCCAGTTTTCTTTGGAAGTACTTCAATTTCCCAAGGAACATAAGGCCAGCGTCAATGATAACTTAATGTCCATTAATTTAATCAGATCAACAACTAGGTTAGGTTAATTTTCAATGGGGAAAGTGTAAAATGGGAGAGAAACAGAGGAGAGCACATAGGACTCTTCCTGGATCTTAGAGACTCATGAATATAGCAAGTCATAAACTGGACCCCATGGGTTGTATACACAGACTATTTTGTCTGATTATATACTGTTTAAAATTTTAAAAAAGATTATAAACATGTAAAAAAGCAGAGATTAATGCCTTTTTTGAAAAATTCCTATGTGTGGTGACACTGAGCCCATTTCCAACAAGGTGGCAATCCGCTGAAGCTGATACGTGCTGCCACCTCTACTGGGGCCAGCTCCCACCAAGTAGCCACTGACTCCCTCACTCCCTATGTTTCTTATGCACAGTCTACTAACCTCATTTCTGGACCTGGATGATTGGAAAAGGCATTTGCATCCATGACCCCAGACTAGACTTTATTGTTTAAAATAATTATAATTCAATGTCCCCAAATTCCAAGGACATCTTTTTTTTTTAACTCTTAATTTAGGTTCAGGGGTACATGTACAGGTTTGTTATATGGGTAAATTGCATGTCACGGGGATATGCTGTGCAGATTATTTCATTATCCATTAATTCATTATTTCATTATTCCTGTGAATAAACTTAATAATCAGGTAATAAACATATTACCTGATAGGCAGTTTTTTGGTCCTCACCCTTCTCCCACCCTCCACCTTCAAGCAGGCCCTGGCGTCTGTTGTTCCCATCTTAATGTCCATATGTAATTGATGTTTAGCTCCCACTTGTAAATGAGAACACGTGGTATTTCCTTTTCTGTTTCCTGGTTAGTTTGCTTAGGAAAATAACCTCCAGTTCCATCCACGTTGCTGCAAAGGACATGATCTTGTAAAAACCCGGGAAGATAACCTAGGAAATACTATTCTGGACATAGGATTGGGCAAAGAATTCATGACGAAGATGCCAAAAGCGATTGCAACAAAAACAAAAGTTGACAAATGGGACCTAATTAAACTAAAGAGCTTCTGCACAGCAAAAGAAACTGTCAACAGATTAAGCAGACAAGCCATAGAATGCAAGAAGATGCTTGCAAACTATGCATCTCACGAAGGTCTAATACCCAGAATCTTTAAGGCACTTAAACAAATTCACAAGCAAAAACCAAACTACTCCATTAAAAAGTGGGAAAAGGACATGAATAGACACTTTTTAAAAGAAGACATACACACAGTCAACAAGCATATGAAAAAATGCTCAACATCACTAATCACTAGAGAAATGCATACCCAAACCACAATGAGATAACAAGGGGATCTTACAGCTATTTAGTCTAACTATCTACCAACTACCACCATGCTTTCACCTCAGTACCTGCCATTTATAAAGCACTTACCGCACGCTACGTACTTTGCTAGGCATTTATATACAAGAACTTATTTCTTTCTCCCAAAAACTTTATGAAGTAGATATTTTCCTCATTTTATAGCAGAGCAGCCTGTGGCTCACAGAGCTGGTTAATTTTCCCAAACAGTTATGACATGGCCATAGCCTGTTTTCACTCAGATTTGTGACTGTAAAGACCTTGCTCTTAACCACTGTGTAAGAGTGATACACACACATTCTGTGTTATATTCACAATGCTAACCACATGGCATGGCAGAAGAGCTGGCACCGCTGAAAATGTGCTAGACTAGAGTATCTGACACTGTTCCACAGAAGGCATGCCGAATGTCTAATAGTAAACCAGTGGAAATAACCAAAGTGAAAATGTCATGATACCACAACCATCTCCAACTCACCATTCAGGAGGCACGAGTTACAGAGGAAAAAGTCCCAAAACAAAGGAGTGGTGGCCCTGGATTCTAGACTTGGGACTGACCAAAGGAGGCCAAGCTGGACACATGGCTCTACAAGGGAGCATCCTCATTTGAGCCTCACAGCAGGCATCTGAGCAGATGCTATTATTGCATTGTACAGATGAAAAAATGTAAACTCAGAGAACTTAAACTGCTTACTCCAAAGTCTTCTGCTTAGTAAGCGGCAGGGCCAGACTAGGAACCAGGGCAATGGATTCTTTCCTCAGCTATCTTACCTGCCTCTGTGCCGCTCTATGACACGTGACTCTCTGTATTTTCTGGCTTTATACCACCAGACTTTAACAATCGGTCGTAAGATTCTAAAATGAAGGATATTAGATTTGCCCTTTGTGTTTTTCCTAGAGTCCAGTGATGCTTAGGAGAATCAGTACATTAAATTGAAATGCATGAAGCTAAACAAACCAAAAAATAAACTCAGCATCGTGAGTTTACAAGGAAAATACAAAGTAAGATAATTTGCATTACTGTTATTTTGCCCTCCAAATTATCAGTAACTCAGAATTATTTTTATATTACTTGATACAAATAGAGAATATTTAGGAATAAAACACAGGGTGATTATGCTTTCACTCTAGTAACTTTTCTATTTAACCTAATGGAAGAAATTTCCCCCTTCTGTGTACAATATTTATTGATGATAAATAGTTTGCAGACAAGATGGGATTGATTGGACTGCAACAGTGAATCTTTGTTTACTCCAATGCTGATTTCAGATAGATAGCAAATTTGAATAGTCTCTCTCATTCCAAATAAATCTGGCTTCTTTTCATTCAATTATTTTTCATCGATCAATCTTTCCTGAGGAAAACACTAATGAGCCTATGTCTGCTGTGAGTGTAATTAAGGCAACTACAACTGCATAATGTGCTGTGTCCTTCGAATGTCTCAGAGTTTCATGCTTCAGAATCTGCAGGCTGAGCAGGTGGTCTCCTTTCTGCAACTCTAGAGGAGGTTTCTGTTCTTCTGACCAAATACAGAGTTCTAAGAAGGTACCCAGGGACAGTGTTACACCTAATACCAAGAGACAGGGTATCATACTTTGTAAGTGTCCTCAGGGGTAAATGGGATCTGAATTACATTTAAATTAAGTCACCACATTGATATGACCAAGAAAGCATTGGCCAGATGGGGCTGGTGACCACAACAACGACAAGGCAGGAACACATATTACCCTCATCCTTTTTACTATTTGTGAGTCTGAGACCAAAGTTAGTTGCTTAGATGTTGGTAGGACTATCTATTAGCACCAGATAAGCTGGGTATCTTCTCCGTTAATCTGTTTTTCTTGTTCTTCCATTTTAATTTCATGTTGGCCTATATTTTCCTCTTGAGGATCCATTTTCACAACAACCACTAGGACAGAATTGCAATCCAACTTGAATGCTTATGAGCTATTGGAGACACAAGGGTGAGGTTATAATTTATCTCTTCTTTTTCTTTAGAAAAAGATCACAGAAGTTCTAGTGTCCGTTGCTTTCTGCTCAGGCTTCCTTTACAAGGTGAAAATGAGACTCTCAAAAAGGCTGTAAGCTAAGATGAGTATGTGTTGTCTCTTCCCAGGGCCCCTTCTCATGCCTGGTAGACGTTCTCCTTGAGGAGGTTGTGAGAGGAAAGGCAAGCGGTCTTCATAACTACTTTTAGCTCTAGTTTTATTTACATTTGCTTTAAGGGGCATTTATCTCCTGACAAAGCCATAGGGCTCAAGAGGGAAGTAAACAGTTAAGGAGTGTTTGTAGGGAAGTTTATTCCTGTGAGGGTTCAATAAATAAATGTTGACCAATTACGATAATTCCTAGTAGATGGTTATTTTATACAATTAGAGCACTGAGGCAAAACAGCTTCTTAATCCATTCATAGCATGATCAGTAATGAGCAATGGTACAGAGCTATGTGAGGTGACAGAAAGAGCATGGGACTGGATGGCAGGAGGGAGAGCTGGCTTCTAGGGCTCTTCTGCACCTAATCAGGGAGTTGGGCAACTTAATTCACTTTTCTGGATCTCAAAGTTCTCATTTGCTAAACTGGGGATGAAGGGAGGTGGAGAGTGAAGTGGTGATGCCTAGCTAATTAAAATGACATAAATGTTATACACTTTATAGAGCACTTTTACATATTTTAACTCAGAGAAACTCTAGGAGGTGGGAAAAGCACAGTATCATTTTACAAATAATATCAGAAAACTTATTTGAAAATGAGAAAACTGAGCTTAGAGAGGTTCAAGATTACCAGATTTCCATGTGGATTTAGCCAGACTGCAAACCTGGTTCTTTAAAGGTACCTTTGGTTGTAAATGGCTGTGGTTTTCTTGTTTTCTGGTCTTGTTATTACGTTAAATGCTGATGAATTCCAGTTTTTAGATCCCTGGGTAAATGCCAGGTTGAAGAATGTTAAATTTATCACAAGTTACATATTTTTTCCTCCTTTAAAACTGCATTAGTTGTTTTCTCTGACCCGGTGATTCATAAAGTGTGGTCTGGAACCAGCAGCAGTAGCTGAATACTTAGAAATGCAAATTGTCAGGCTGCACGCATCTCAGACCTGAAGAATAAGAAACCCCGGGGGTGGGATCCAGTAATCTATGTTATATCAAGCCCTCCTGGGGATGCTGAAACAGCTAAAGCTTGAGAACTATTGCTCTGACCTGGATATACTTGTTCCCCTTGTAACTGGCTGAAATTTGACATTTCCCAACCTGCTTGCACTAAAGGCTATGAAACTGCAACTTTGAGTCCTATAACCCAATAAATCCACAACATGCTGTTAAACCCATTTTTACAATACATGAACCTGTAACTGTATCCATCATATAATCAAAATAGTCTATAAATTTATTAGTCTTTGTTACCTCTTTTAAGTCTACTTGGAATTTGAAAACATTTTAAAAAATTGTTATCTAGGTCCAGCTTATCATAAACCTTGAGTTAAGTTGGCTCTAACTAAAAATAGTAATTTATAATAGAATGAATTCACTAAAAGTGGTTAATGTTTTTAATCCCTTAAGTCAAGGCACTTGACTATCTACTCCCACACTTGAAATATCAGTAACTCCAGAAGGAAATTAATGTGTACATGAAACCTAAACAAGACCCTCCTTTCCTCCATTTAGGAAGGAATAGCTTCACAAATAATAAAAATATGCCATAATAGATGTTTAAAATTTATCTTTTAATATTTATTTTACAAAGACAAATATAGCATTTACTAATTAGTTATATTATTTTTATGTCAAATGTTTGGGTTTTGGAGGCATTAAGATTTTAATCCAATACATTCCCTTTGATTACCTTCTACGCTTAAAGTTTGAAAACCTTGGAGATTTCTGGTGGAAAATATGGACTCTGACCCCAGTGTGATACATTTCTATTTAAATGACTGTGTGTGTGTGTGTGTGTGTGTGTCTGTGTGTGTCTGTGTGTCTGTGTATCATATGGCACCTATTACCATAAGACATCAACACTCATTTAAGTGTTCTCTGAAATGTTTTTATACATATCCCAAATAAATTTTGTCAATACAATTTCACAAAGAGAGAAACACAACATTGTCTTTAAAGAATAGAACCTTACACATTTCCGAAATACACTTTTTTTTCCATGTTGAAATAACACAGAAATCATCTTTTACCTCCTTGAGAGAAGGCAGCCAGGGAGAACAAAATCCACATACATGGTGCTGCTTCTGTTATTAATTTGCTTATATAAGCAAGACTGTAGGCTTTCCGTGGAAGTACAAGATTTGCAAATCACATGACTGATAAAATGGCATATAGCATACACAGCATTTGTAGAGTGACAGCTTCTGAATGACAGATTTAAAGAAATTAGGAGACTTCTGCCCATTGCAGCATTCCAATTATTTTATTTATCCTCTTTAGATTTTCTTTTGGCACCACTTACTGAAAAATCTACTTGCAGTTACATGAAGATTAACTATAACATATTTCTACCATGTTTTTGAAAAGATATAGGAAGAATAAACTGAAAATAAAGATTCCTGACAAAATGGCATATAATGCTATAGAGTTTTAATTTTATTATACATATAAAATACATATATATGTATAATGTCATCATATATGTATAACTCATATCTACGAGATGAGGCAATATTCATTTTCTGGAAAACAAATGTACATATACATACACACATGCTTAATTTGTTGACCTCTTAAACTTTGGGATAATTTCTTATAGCTTTATAAAGACCAATTACAGTGTTTCCCCAAATATTTTACTTTGAGATATCAACATTGTCGTTGTTTCAACCTAGGATTTGCTCACAACATCAACACCAAATAAATCTTTCAAAAAAAGGAAGGACTACTCTTTCTGCCAACAGCAAACACCAAAGCCAACTCATATTCATAATTACTCATCTTTTGAAACATGTTTTGACATGAATAACTCAGCAAAGCTGAGTCACTGCCAAACAGTACCAACTTGTGCAATGGCACTGGAAGAAATGTGATAACTACAGAGGCAAACAGCGACTCTGAGAAAATTGAATCCACCCTCATTTGATCCAGGTAATAAAAGTGCTATTTTCTGAAGAAGCAGGAAGGTTTTGTTCTCTTATTTTTTCTCTTTTTTCTTTAAGATTCCTTAACAATTAGTAAAATGTGTTTAGTCACAACAATAGAAATTTTGTCAAAGGTATCATGAGAAAAAAAGAACAATGGCTTCCTTTGGCTTTTCACCACAAGGATCTCAAAATATAACTTTGCAGTTTTCTGAACACCAAAACTCAGTTAAAATGCAAAGATTTAGGCAAAAAAGAAAGAAAGAAAAGAAAAGCTTTGGGGTAGGAAGATAGTAAATAAGAAGAAAAAAAGAATTTAACTTCTATATGATTAAGGAAGAAAATAACTAATTTTTCATTTTATTAGAGAAATGTACACATATCTGTATTCTCATAATATACCCAGGTGTATTTTACTAGTTCATTTGCCAGGTGGGTCCAGTCCTTTGATCAGAATCCCAGTCTATGGGTGGGATCAGACATAGACTGCATGCCCCAAGTATTTAATCTGGCATAAAGTGATAGTTAATAGCCCAGTAGATCACATGGGCTACAGTTCCACCCACCTTATTAACTAAACTGATAACTTGGCACTCCACACATCCCCTACCCTGTTTTACCCAGGAGCAGGAGAGCAATGATAAGAAAAACTCGGAAGCATTTTGAGTGAATGCTGTAAAATCAATATATTCTGCACCTCGGTAGAGAGATGTTTTGGCAAGTTTTTCCAGAAGACCACCTCAGTTACCTCAGTTATTCCAAGACTAACAAGCAAGTCTCTAAGTCAGTTATTTCTGGTTGCTACCTTCTGATGGTCATTTTTCCTTTTTTCAGAAATATGTACAACAGCTCCCTGAATGCAACTGTTATGATGCAAAACAAACTGCATGATTAGGAAATTGAGCAAATTCAGGTGCCTTTCTGTAAATTACTGACTGCTTTCTCTCTAATCTCTTAATCTACTCAGATCTCTTTGAATTATTTCTCTCTCTACAGCTTTTGCGTCGCTCTCAGATGCTGTGCCACCCAGGCATTAAATAAATGTGCAGTTATCTTGTCTCCTTGATAATTAACAGAGATGTTAAGGGCTAGTACCAATTCAGTGGCATGGGCTGGAAACCTTCCATTACCTGGTATGTCATTGTTTATGCTCTATTAAGCAGTTTTCATTTCACCTTATGGGCCCATATAACATCCAAGCTAGTGGTTTCTCAAATTACAGGTGGTACTACAGATTTTATTAAATAGCCTCTTCTTTTTGTTTTCAGAATCATCTTTATATATATTGCAGACAATCTGGAAAATTAAATTGGGCAATATATATGTCTTAAGGTTTTCAGTTTTCTCTCTTTCTCTCTCTCAATTATATCCATTGTTTTACAAGATAGAATAATGGCAGTGTTTCTCATTTTCAAGATAATATATTTTATTGTTCTTGTTTATCTTTTTCCCAGATTATCATTGGTGTTTTGACTCATTTTATCAAGAGATGCCTTTAATTTTCCAAAAGTTCTTTTGTTCTAGCTTTATTTCCATCATTCTTACATACAAAATATGCATGTTGGCATCATGCAAAAGTCAGTGGATCAGAGGCATCATATGGAGCGGCTTAGCTGCTCTCAAAATCTTGTTATGCAGGCTTTAGTCAGACAGGCTAATACAGCTGCCAGAGAAGGGCTGAACACTCAAAAGGCTTTAGTCATCAAAATATACAGTAGAACAGTAGAAAATGTACGTAAGTATTCACTTACCTGCTTTTGATCAACAATTATTTCGAGGTCTTCATCACTGCTTAGTTTTCCATATCCTTGTTCTTTACTTTTCTTGTGAAAGAATAATTTTAAATGATCATTTAGTTTCTATCCATTAACAATCTTAATTCTACTTAATATTTTTAAAGATAAAAGTCTTAGCCTTGTTCACCAGTCATAATGCATCATTCTTTATATAAATTGCTCATGTACAACAGCAAATGTTTTTATTGTTAAACTGCTGTCTTATAATTATTCATTAACAATATCTGCTTAGCCTCCACTACCCAACTTATACCTTTAATCTTTTTCTCAATATTCTTATGCTTCTCTTTTTAGTTCTATAGTATCAGAAAAGATTCTTTAACACTTTGGGATAAATAAGCAATTCTTTGAAGAGCCTTAGCACATTTTTCTTAAAGATTGAAAGTTCATTTAGCTTTATACTCAAGACTTCCAACTATTCAATGTTTTGTTTTAATGTCTTACATATTTTTAAGAATAATAGAAGTATTATGCAACTCAGATAATGAATCTTCAGATTTTCAACATTTGCTCACAAGTCAGATGAATACTGACATTGGAAAAACCAACTCAGAAATAATTTTAAAGAGATAACTAAAATAATTTACAAAATTAGGTATTCGAAAAGTTGGAGGACAGACTATTTTAAGAGTTTATGTAAATGCACTTTTTTTTTTTTGGCATTTTGTCATCATTTATTTTGTCCCAATGACCACTCTCCATCTATTTCCTCCATTGCAAAATCTATAAATTCTAAAGTTAGAAAAGGACATAGATAATGATAATCATTTTACACTTGTGCTACAGCAGAAAGATAATATGTCTGAGCCTTTTTTTCTCCCAACGCAACGGTTGATGAGAATACTAGAAATGTCATGTTGTGTCTTCATACCAGCAACAAATGAAAAATAAAAACCACTACATAGTTAGCTGTAGTTCAAGGTTATTTATTTATTTTAAAGATTCTTGCTTTAGTTATTAACTACATCAACTTGAATTAAGGGAATTAAAAATACTTATGTTTGCATCTACTGTGTCATATTAGGGTCCTCATCTCATTCAGGGAAGAGATATATCCTTCAGTGAACATGATATAAATCTTCACACTGTGAGCACAATTCTTATTTT
Organism: Homo sapiens; assembly: GCF_000001405.40. Lineage (NCBI taxonomy): Eukaryota > Metazoa > Chordata > Mammalia > Primates > Hominidae > Homo > Homo sapiens. The sequence goes on from NC_000003.12 coordinate 179,972,746, forward strand.
TTCCCCATAACATTCAAAAACCAGATTTACACATTTTTTTCCCGCAAAAACATATCTCCAATTTTTGTGGGTTTTTTTTTTACTGTAATAAAGAGATTTCTGCATCTTCCAAGTATTAGGATGCATAAATAAAACACAAATTCTCATTTATATATTAATGAACTTAGCCACTCAGAACAGAACAGATGGCCACAGCATTTCTCCCTATTATTATTCTTGTCCTCATTTGAGGTTCCATTTCAAGATTGATGGAAAACAAAAAGAACAAGGTTGGTTTCAGTCAAGCTGACTTCCTTCCTATCATTTTGCTTTTGTATTCTTTTTGTTCACTGGTTGCCATAAGATTTTGTCTAGAGTGTCTCTAATGTAAAACACTTAGAAGTGCCTTTCCAAATATTGATCTGTATACGTACCAAGTAGCTCATTTGCATGACCCGGTTTCTGGACAAAAGGGCATTAAGTAGAGATGGAATGTGGGTCCTTCCATCCATTTCACTGTCAGACATCCCAGAATTCTTTATGCCACTGGCAGTGGCTTCCTTGCCAGAACTTGCTGACCAGAGAACCACAGATCTTGCCCAGGAACAGCATTAATAATGTACAACAATAATTGAAGTATTCCTGAATCATTGTCTTGACTTTGTAAACATTGTGAAATTTTTGGCTAGCACAAAAAACTCACTGAAATGAAAATTTCTTTTTCTAACTAATTTTTATCCATGCACTTCTATGCTCTTTGACTGTTGTTCCCATTTAATGTTTTAAAAAATCTACCTATTTTAAATTATATAATTTTTGTATTTACTTCTCTGCATATGGACTCTTCAGCCTCCTCATCATAAAAGCTCTTGATTTCCCCTTTTTAATCTCCTATTCTAAACTTTCTTGACAATCACTGCTAACAGATAGAATGTCAGCACTCACAGAACATCATTCGAAACTGCAACTTCTACAAATACCAAAGTCCGCCTCTCCAATCTCAACTCCTTATCTAATTTAGTAGTAAATTTTCCTGGGAAGAGGCTAGTTCAGGGAAGGAAATTATGTCCCCCAACCAATCTAAATAGAAGCTGGCATTTTCCAAGAGTGGGAGGAGGCATTTAGAGCTCTGGTTTTGTACTTAAACCTCTAGTCTCCAAACAGCACACAACAGTACACAAAGCTGGAGCCTTACAGTTTTACTCTAGAATTAAGCAATATTTTCTAGTTCACCCCATAACCCCGGGGGGATTAATCCTTTTCTAAGCCATAATGGTATTCACTCACTTACTGCTTATTTCTAGTGCGAGCATAATCCTCTTTCAAGCACTCAGCTTCCCACTTTGCTTAGCTCAGCCAGCCCAGGCAGGGATCTTCAGCTCTCCTCCCTCCTCCCAGCCGGGAATCCCTGTCTTCTATCTATGCACTTTTGTCAAGCACAAAAAGCAAGTCCACAGCTTCTGCGTGGTCTTTCACAGTAGCCAAAGGACTGAACTAGAAGGAAAAAGAAAGCTAATCTCTCCACCTTCCAAGTGTGAGGGGGCAGGGCTTCTGTGGGAGGAGAAGCCACAGGGCAATCACTTCCTGTGCTCCTCCCACCTTCAGTGGCAAGACACTGGAGCTGAGGATTTCCACTGAGGCAGTAAGGTTAGGCCCCTGTCTCCCTGGCCTTAGCATGCTGCCCATTTATGGACGACTTTGTGCACTGTTCCCCTAGGTGCAGCCGAGGAGGGAGCATTAGTGCAGTGGAGCTAAAATGGTGAGGTCCTAAGGCGGGAAAGGGGAGGAAAGAGCGAAAGGACATAGTCTTTCTTTGCTGACAGTGCTTCACCCCCATAAGAAGCTTTCAGCTCAGGATAACGTGTCCAACTTCTGAAACCCCAAACACAGTATCTCCTATCTTTCCACACCATTCTGAATCCTTTCTGACCTGCAAGAGACGTATCTTTGTTAGTTCTTTGTTAATGCTGATAACTTTTTTGATACTATTGCATTAGATGGGTAACTTTCTTAAGAACATTGAGCCTAACTGGTAATCTTGCCTCTCTACAGACTTCCACCATCTCTCCTTAACCCTACCTCCTGTTTCCTACCCCTTTGTCCTCTCCTCCACAAAAGTAAAACAGAAAGGTGAGTTTATTTTAATTAAATAAACTTGCATTAAACTTGGAAAATCTATAGAAAAATATAGGCCAGGTATGGTAGCTTAAGCCTGTAATCCCAGCACTTTGGGAGGCCTAGGCAGGAGGATCACTTGAGGCCAGGAGTCCAAGACTAGCCTGGGCAACATAGCAAAACCTCATCTCTATAAAAAATTAGCTGGACGTAGTGGCGTGCACCTGTAGACCTAGCTACTCAGGAGGCTGAGGTGGGAGGATCGCTTGAGTGCAAGAGTTTGAGGCTGCAGTAAGCCATGAATGCACTATTGCACTCCAGCCTGGGTGACAGAGTGAGACCCTGTCTCTAAAATAAAGAAAAATTAAAAAAAGAAAAACAATATAATGGCCACAGATATGGGATGTATCATATAGGAACATTTTGCAAGTAAGTAACACAACAATGAAATCTGATGGGCTAGAGATCTGAAAAATGAAGTAACTCCTGTTCATTGCAGGATATGAATTTCTTAAAAGTAAGGGTTTTAATTGAAAAATACTAGTTGTGTATGAATTGAATTAAAAGGACTCTTCATACTCATTAGGAATGGAATATATAAAGAACATTTTGAAAGGGAAAAGGAACACTTGATTTGGCTAATTGTACAAATTAGCCCTAACTGCAATTTTTGCCTAACTACAGATGTCAAAATAAATATAAAGGTTTGCATGTAAATAATTCAAATTTTTAAAAATCAATGCTGCTATGAATGATACATAGTAGACATGAATTTATTAAAGCACATGTCACATATACAATATAAAATATAGCTACAAGAAGAAAAGACCTTCTTACTGTTTTCTTCATGGTTGTCAGGATTCAGTTCCTATCCTCTTTTTCACCTATCTTCAGCCTTTTCTCTACCACTTTCCTTCCCACAGCTGCAAAATTGCTCAGATTTTCCCTGTCCTAAAAGGTGATTTCCTCATATCTGCTTTTCCTTGAAGACTTTGATCTAATCTCTCTTTTGAGTGTCAATGAGGAGAAGGGTTGAAAAAGAAGAAAATGTGCTGAAAAGATACTTGCTGAGTTTGTGGTGTCTTTGGAAAGTTCATCCCAGTGGAAAGATCCAGTCACCCATTTGGATGTAGGTGTCTGTATCTAAGAAGAGAGATAAGGGCAGTGCATATAGATCACTAGGGTTAATTGAAATTGCAGGAGTGGATAAGCTCACCAAAGAAGAAAACACAGAGAAGGAAGAGATGAGGACTACGGCCAGAGTCCTAGAGAACAGTTGCATTTAAGTAATGGGCAAAAGGAAAGAACTCAGTAAATGATGAGGAAGAGGAGTGGTCACGATGCAGGTGGCGAATTAGTGGAATACAGTCAAAGGAAACAGAGTTCTGATAGTGTCAGATGCTGATGAGAGGTTACATAAGGATATGAACTAAAAACTTTCAATGTATTTGGCATTTTGGAAGTCATTAACGACTTCAGGAACAGAAGTGGTGAAGATGGAAGCCAGGTTAGAGTAAATTATTGAATACATTGGTGGTGAGCGTAGGAAGATAGTGAGAAAAGACTTGTCTTCCCTTAGGAAATCTTTCTTTTCTTTTTTTTTGGAGGGGTGTGGGGGGAAGGAGTCTCGCTCTGTCGCCCAGGCTGGAGTTCCGTGATGTGATTTCGGCTCACTGCAACTTCCGCCTCCTGGGTTCAAGCGATTCTCCTGCCTCAACCTCCCTAGTAGCTGGGATTACAGGCACGTGCCACCACAGCTGGCTAATTTTTGTATTTTTAGTAGAGACGGGGTTTTGCCATGTTGGCCAGGATGGTCTCAAACTCCTGACATCAGGTGATCCACCCACCTCAGCCTCCCAAAGTGCTGGGATTACAGGTGTGAACCACTGCATCCAGCCAGGAAATCTTGAATGGAAATGGAAATGGAAAGCAGGAGTAAGAATGCTAGCTAAAAGATAGAAAGTATAGGGAAAGAATACTGGGAAATGTATAACTGTTTCCTCCTTCCCTTGTGTAAAGATACTGATCATGTTTATAATTCATGAAGAAGGAACTAGAAAAAAAAAGTGAAAATATAGATACCAGAGAATGAATGGGGATAATTCATGAAGCAAGAAAGTAACAGCAACGATCCTTTGGAGAGAAACTGGTTCTCTTTTAAAATTTATTAATACAATTTTGTGCTGTATATTTGTAAGAAAAAAATCTTGAAGGATGTATACCAAATACTAAAAGTCTTTTTCTCTTGGAGATGAGGTTGTGCATGATCTATGCTTTTCTTTATACTTGGGAGTGCTTTTTGAAACAATAATGAATTTTTTTATAATTAAAGAAAAGTAAACAAAATGTGATTCCTTGAGAGATCCATAACATTGCCACAGAAAATACTCATTTAAAGACTTCTTTGCAGTAAAAAAGATGGGGCCAGGACTTTACCCTTCCTTTATGATGTTCCTGGGAATGAAGGTTTTTTGTTTTGTGTTTAAACGCTCGTAGAGATACATGTTGCAGTTTTTACTTGCGACCCTTGCAGTAAGCCTGGTAAATGGTGAACTGAATGCTTTGTTTATTGCATTTAATATGCCCCTTTCCTCTTGACTCTCCCTTATAATACAAAGCTTCTCAGTTCTTTGACAATATTTTGGTTCCATGTCCTTTCTTCTTAAAAATATCCACAGTGTCAACACAGCCACAGACTCATTTCTGTGGCAGCCAAAGAGGCAATGAAGAGAGAAAACAGGAAGTAAGGAAAAAGGATAAATTTTTCCCAAAAGGCCTGGAAGTAGAGCTTGAGAGTGATCGCCTTTCAAGGACGTAAGCTCAAATAGACCTTTTGAATGGAGAGTAATTGCCTTACCAGTTAAAAATGCAATTTTCAGATGTTTAATTTTTCTTAGGTATGGGGGAGATCAATTTTCTGAAGGGAAATTATTATTTTTACAGAGAATCATTTACAGAGGGGCTGGTTAAGTCTGGCATTTTTTAAAGAACAATTTTTGTCTTGTCTTTTTAAAAGACACTCATGGGCTTTTCCCCCCTCTCTAACTGTGATCATGCTACGGTAAAAGAGAGTGGCCACACAGTACACTTTTTTATTTTTGGGTCAAGCATGGGCAAACAAAACATATGGCAATCAGACTCACTTCTGAATGTACGTTGTTGGGTGAGAAAAGAAATATAAGGACAACAAGTATGTTGTAGCATTTTAAACTGTTTTGCCATATGCATGAGCCCAGACATTTAGTAATTTTTTGGATTTTAAGGTTAAATCTAATTGGAAAATAGGTATTCCAGTTACTAACTAGCTGGATAATAAGATGGCAGGGAATCACAATACTACAGCCTGGCAGTTCCCCCTTAATGCTGGTTTTTCTACCTTTAGGGTGGCTTTTGGTCTGTACATTAATAGCCTGAAGGGTTTATGAAGCATCTTGAAAATATTTTCTATTTTCCAAGATTTCAAAAAATAAGAATGTTCCAACATAAGTATCCATTAAGATTACACAATCTTACATCATTGTCCAGTGACATTTTCTTAAATATACAAATTCAACTTTAGGTATGTACCTTTTAATATATCTTTTCTAGTATTTTATCATGAAAATTTCAAACACACTGCAAAGTTAAAATAATTTTTACAGAGAGACCCTGTGTACTCAACTACCTAGATTCTACTAACTTTTATTATACTTGCTTTTGCCCCAAATTTTTCACCCACTTGACATATTTTTAAAGTATATACACTATCACATTTCTACACATTCTTTCCTTCAAGTTTTATTTTATCTAATTTACTTTTAAAAACTCAGAAAAGTAAGACTATTGTTTCAAAAAGCTTCCAAGATCAGAGCACTAAAGTTTAGGAGTTGTTTTACTGAAAATCTTTGCTTTTATTTGGAAAGCAAATCAGTGAACTATATTCTCACCATTAAGTGTTGTATAGGTCCCATCACTAGGATTAGGAGGAACGATTTCTGATCAAAGCGTTAGGATTTTTATAGCTCTCAGTCAAAAGCTAGTGAGCAAACAACTCAGCTTTCTGGGATTAATCCATGGAATGATAGGCAGTTCAAGATGATATTAATTACCACATCCTCAAGTTTATGTCCTTTGATCATCAATGTTTCCTGCATCTATGAAAAACAGCAAACAACCTCACTATACTCTGGGCTATATAGTATGTAATCACCTCTGGTACCTGCAACGAAAGTGGCAAGTGACTTCTCAGAGGGGTTACATTTGCTTTAAGGGACAGTACTTGGCTGGCATATTGAGATCAAGTAGGCAGAAAACAAAAATTCAACTTGAAATTTCAATTATGTCAGATTCAGCAATGTTCCACATTACTTGGAGGACAATAAGTAAATTCATTTTAATCCTCTTTCACCCTCAAAACCAAATTCAAATTTTAAAAAAAAAACAAAGATAATGTTCTTCTAAACAGAAAATTGAGTCCAGTTTTTCTTTCAGCTGGCATGTTCTTGTCTCCTTCCCTATAGACTTGTCTCTAGAAGTTATAAATGTAATCATAGGATGCAGTGACCAATATGTAAAAAATTGTTTTCTGTGGGCTGAAGATAATGATGATTGAAAAATTATATATTTTAATCTGATAATCTCTCTGGCAGTCTTAAGCAGTCTGGGTGCTATTTCCAAAACAAGATGAAACTAGCAAGCACTCCTTTTTGGTGGTTTTAACCCTGTCATCCCCGACACAACAGGACTGGAATGGTTGTTGGTGGAAGATGGTGCAGAGTCTAAGAGAATTGACGTATTATCTTGGATCCCAGTGGCAAGGGAACACTTCTGTCCTACAATAATCTCTCCCATCCCCAACAGGAAAAAGGTAAATTGTGTATTCTGTTATCTCTGCAGTCTGAGAAAAATAACAAATAATCTATTTTAAGTGAAAATTTATTGCTTGATGTTCTGCTTCTGATCCCCGTTGACACATTATTTTTTATTTTTGTATGCATTGGCCCTATTAGATGGGGATGAAACCTTGTTACAGCAATCTCAAACACAGGTGTACTTATCATTGGCTTTTCCAGCGACTCCTCTTCCTTCTCACTGGCAGCCAGCACACCTGGCATCCCGCACCTGCCACTGACTTCCTTTTAACAACTGATCTGGACATCATGATTTTATGACCTTGCAAACTAAAACGCGATCTCTTTACTGTAATAAAGAAGAAAGAAAAAACCAGCTGCTTCTATAGGCATTCTGTATCCTCACTTAATTTTCCCTCGATGTTTATACCTTCTCTAGACCAGCATATTTTTTTGGAAACTCTGACACATGCTTGAGAAAAATTTGCCTATGAAATTTTGTTTCTGACAAGAATCAACCCAAAGTTTGTGCTTCGGCCATAAAATTCATGCAGAAAGTTATTTATTTTTAAGCTACATGTATGTGACTGAATGGCTTATAATCAGCATTTCTATTATGGCTCAAATGACTTTTGAGGGTTATTATTATTATTATTTAGATTTTATATGGATCTACACACAGTCATGACATCTTAGAATAAATCTTTCCTGTTCCTGAGAGTGAAAACACTTCCTGGAGGTATAACTCATTACTCTCACCCCTAGATTCCATGGCCTTGACAACTGCAGGCATCCTAAGTTAACATCACAATTCTTGTCATTTCTCGATCAGTCTCCTTATGGCTTCTTTTGCTCATCCTTTTTCTCCAATGGCTTATATATTCACTATAACAACATTATAGATAAGATGTGACAATTTCTAGAGGGTAGGCGTGCCTACCATATTCTTCATGAATATCCTTCATGAATAAAGAATTCTATACTCTTCTGAGCTACAAGATATGTAGGAACAAGAAAGATCTGGGGCCACAGACAGGTGGTTCATCCACTGGACATGTGACAATCAGTTAAGAAATTAAAACAGCAGAGTTGGCCAGGAGCGGTGGCTCACACCTGTAATCCCAGCACTTTGGGAGGCTGAGGTCAGGAGTTCAAGACCACCCTGGCCAACATGGTGAAACCCTGTCTCTACTAAAAATACAAAAATTAGCTGGGTGTAGTGGCGAGCACCTGTAATCCCAGCTACTCAGGAGGCTGAAGCAGGAAAATTGCTTGAAGCCTGGAGGCGGAGGTTGCAGTGAGCCGAGATTGTACCACTGTACTCTAGTCTGGGTGACAGAATAAGACTCCTTCTCAAAAAAAAAAAAAAAAATTAAAACAGCAGAGTCTCAAGGATGCACAGCCAAATCCAAATCATATCCATCACTTTATCACAAACACCAACTAATGCCTTGCTTGATATAAAAATTATTACTGCTAATGAGGAGGATGGGGTGGCTGGAACAGAGTTGCCCAGGGTTGTGGGGGTTGATCCAGACGAGGCTGGAGAGGAAGGCCAAGTCTTGAAAATCACATTAAGGTGTTTGTTCTTTATGTTAAGAGCAATGTGGAGCCATTGCGGGGTTTTAAGCAAGAGAGTGACGTTATCAGATATGTGCTGTAAGAAGCCCACTCTGGCTAAAGGGTGAGGAACGGATTGGAGGAAGGAAGGCTGGAGTCAAAGAGAGAAGTTGAGAGCCATTGAAGTGGTCAGTGCATGACAGCCTGGAGCCTGTTTAGACGCTGGTTGACAGATAGCTGACCCCACACCAATTTTATAATGACATGCTTCATTCATCACTTTGTGTATCATGAGATTACTTTTTCAACACCAGCTTCTCTAGGTGATAAAAGCATCTATATTTTTCTGTAGTCAAGAATTAAATTAGCAGAGTATGGGCCTACAACAGACACATCCTAGGCACTCAACTTAGTAATATGAAAAATTATTTTTGAAAAAATTCAATGAAACAAATAATGAGAGAAAGAGAGAAAAAAACTTGGGCTAACAGGAAAAAATTTTGTGCTTAGTGAAGGATGCATATTTTTCCATTCTGTAAACAGTATCTAAACTGTTCTTGTTGTTTCATGCTATTTGAAAAAAAAAACAAAGGGAGTCTGTTTAAAAAGATACAATGTGAAATTGTTCAGTGCTGTAGAGCATCTAACAGGATTTATTGTGTTTTTTTGGACAGCAACAACAGGAACTATTTATGCAAATCTAAGAACTAACTGCCCAGGGAGTATAAAATATTGAAAAGAAATATATTTACTTAAATGTATTTGAGGATATCATCAAACCTAATGTGTTTTTAAGAGAATTGAGGTGGCATATTTAAAGTGTGTTTAAAGAACTAGTTGATTCCCTTGCATTTCACTTGTTTTTAACGTATCAGAGGACAAAACCTTATAATGGGGAAAGATTGGCAAGGTAAGGTAGAGTAAGGGACACTTGATCATAATGTTTATCCTCTTATTCAAAGTTTGTAATCCTCTCACTCAATGTTATCCGCTTACTCAAAGTTTGATTCTTGCTTCTTAGTGAGACACTTTTGTTCTTAATATTTAAAAATAATAACGTGTTACATGCAAAATATTGAAGTATGTTCAATTACATGTAAGCACACCTCAGAGTTACAGAATGGACTTATGTCTACAAGATCACAGTATCCCAGTGAATATAGATGACTACTGACGATCTTCTTCCATTTGCACTTTTAATCTTTGCATCTTTCCTGTCTTTCTTCTTTAGAAATCAAATCCCAAATCTTAGGTGCTTCAATTAGGGAAATTGCCAGAAAATTTTACAGAGACAATGGGAAAGATTTCTTGAACAATGCAGACCAGAAAAATTTCAGTGATGAGGAGCATGAAGCTAGTATTAACTTGAGAGCACTGTAAGAGTTCCTTTGATGACTCTTCTTGCAATCTCTGATTAATATCCCACAGTGAAAAATGTATTGGTAATATACTGAGAGACAGAAGAATGACTGATACTTAAGGACTATAAGTGCATCTTTAGAAGTAGACACAGGGTTTAACGAAAAGTCTTTTACAAACTGCATTCTTATAAAATTGTCCTGGGTAGGTGAGTGTGGGGATTTTAAGGAGAGATGAAGCAAGGCTTTAGTAAGGAGCATCTAAAATGCCATGGATGGTACCATGTCCTAAATAGAGAAAAGCCTTTTTAAATGATCAAAGTATCATTTTTCTTTTAAAAAAAACCACTAAAAATCTTAATCATGTATACAAGTGTACCTATTACATTGTAGGTATTTAGTAAGTTTTTTTGAATAAAAGCATTTGCTTTATAACAAAAAGGAAAATATTATTTTCACTACTCTTAATCTCCCTTACTGTTTCTTGCTGATGCTATTACAAAAAAGTTGTATAACTACTTTCAATCTATTTTTATACATAGATACATGTATGCATGCATAAATATACATATTTATATGTAAGTATACCAATATATACATATGTATTTAATGACATGAACATGACTATAGTATAAATACTACTTTTTAATAAAAAATAAATTGCGACTACCTTTTCATATTAATACACATATATCCACCTTACACATCCAAATCTACCTTAAATTAATAATTTTTATTAAGAAAATTCAAGAAATCCTAGAAACCATCAGAATAAAGAATCTACTTAACACTTAAGAGACAATAGCACATAAGTATTGTCTGCAGAACCCTGATGGTTCTTCAGAAACTTTGAAGGGAACTGTGAAGTGAGAACTATTTTCTTAATAGTACTAAGAAATTGTTTGTCATTTTCATTGTGTTGAAATTTGCACTGATGGTATAAAAACAATCTTGTTAGCACCTTGGCATGAATCAAGATACTGGCACCAAACAATACTAGTTGGGAAATAAATTAGCCACTTAAAAAAAACTCCACCATTTTTACTTAAAAGTATGACAAGCTATGATTACTCAAACTTGGGACCCTGGCTTTTTTTCTTTTTTCCTGAAAATTAATGAAAGAAGTCATTAATTTCAAAGAAAACAACCAATAATGTTTGTTGCCAAAATTAAATAGATGAATGAAAATTAGAGATTTAGAAACTTGAATCAGCCACTGTGAGCTCAATAGCTTCTCAATAGTTAAAGACGTTTCTGATGAGATCAGTAGTGACATGAATGAAGTGTTTTTTGATATTGTATAATGAAGTATGACAACATTGGAAGATATGAACCAATGAACCAATCTCAGTGAACCAATATTTTTCAAATGACCAACACTAGAATGTTACCAAAATCATGCATGAGTTAAAGATCCATTCAAAGTGTAAGGGAGACCAATGGATGTTAACATAAAGAGTGTACCAAATTTATTAATATGACTTCAGATTTCACAGTGCTACTAAACCTCAAGAAATTACATTTCTCAAGTTTTGGTGTAGTATGAAAGAATATCCACAGTTATTTAAAAAGGCTTTTAAAATACGATTTCCTTTCTCAACTGTATATTTGTGTAAAGATTTTTTTTATTCCTATATTTCAATGGAAAAATCTACTGCAAAAGATTAAATGCAGAAGCAGATATGATAGTCTAATTTTCTTCTATTAAGCTCTTTTATTAAAGAGATTTGCAAAAATATAAAACAATGTCATACATCTCACTAAAATTTTTTTTTGGAAATGAAGTTTTTAAAAAAATTGTGTATGTGTGTATACATGTAATGAGTTGGTTACTGCTATTTTTCAATGATTGTATAAGTAAATAGTTAAAACTTTGCTTAATTTTTTTCTAATCCAGTAAGCGTGAACAGATATAAGCCACATAAACAAAAGATCTTTGGGGTATTCAATAATTTTCAGAAGGATATAGACGCATGGAGACAAATGTTTGAACCACTGCTATTCTAGAAATAATGTAAACTTTTTCTGAGTTGGTAGAAAAATTAGCCTTTGGAAAATTAATTTTTGTTTTTCCTTTCTCTAATAATTATAAAGTCAATTTGTCTTTTTTAGATTCTCATGGAAAATTCCATAATAGACTATGCCAAAAATTATCTCATTAGCCTTATGATAAATAGCTCTCTGTTGCTTAGTATATATCTGAATTGTATTTAATGATACTAGCTTTAGTGCTTACAAATACTTATATTTGAGTTATATCCTTTAATCTTCATAGGCGATTCCAGGAAGGTAGGTATTTTTCTCCCCATTTATACTGAGGAAATGAATTTTAAGAGAGAAAAAGTGCTTTGTCTATCTAGAAAGTGCTTGAACACAAAATCAAATGCAAGTCTGCTAACCTTGTGTTCCCGTGCTCTTTTTTTACCTTTGGATGGAAAAAAATAGCTTTTTGGTTATTATCAACGTAGACTATGCACTTCTGCTCTTGTACAATCAAAGCAAGGGCTGAGTATTGAGACACCTTTTGGATTTGGGCACAGCTCCTGACTTCTTTTCTCCTAGGCCATTTCATCTTACAAGGATTACAGGAAATAATATATTCCAAGGCCTCTAGAACAGTGCCTAATATATAATGGTCTCTGTTATTATTGTTTTTCATGATTAGCATAACAACATAACTCTGTACATGGCCAGGGTAGCTTTGGCTTCATCCAATTCAAGCATGAAAGGTCATCTCGGTCACTAAGACAGAAATAGAAGAATGGCATATGCAAAAGCTTCAGAACAATTCCAGGTCTGAACAATAACCAAAATGCAGGCTTTTCCAGGCTGGAAGCCAAAGCTCATTCTGTATATGCTATTGATCTACACCTCAGCTCTATATTCAAATTTAGGGGTGACCAGATAGGTCAAAAGGTCACTCTTCTGCTTGCCAGGACTGGTTCAAACCAGCTTTGAGTAGCTGCTGGATATCACCACCTTTAATCACTTCTTCCCTGTCCTGAGCTGAGGCTGCTGGAGCCATATAAAAACCCTTGAGAATCCAAGCAAAGCCAGTCCACCTTAGCTTAAAACCCCCTTTTCCCCTTATTTTCCTAGTTTGGGTCCTGTTAGCTTCACACCTGAAGCCTCTCTCTGCCCAGTACCTTCAGAATAATGTGCCATTTGAATGGTCCAGATGGATCTTGATTAATACCTCTCTGGGGGCCTTTCTGCCTCCCCTCAGTCCCATTTTGGGTGCGCACGAGGAAACTGCTTCTGACCCAGGCTTCCAGTCCACTCTTGTGGAGGCCGCACTCGGGCTAAAGAGGTTTACAGTGTGCAAGCAGTGAGTGAGGCTTCCTGGTGGCCCATGCAGAGTCCTTCAACTGCTTGGCATTCAGGGGCTATACTGGTAAGATGTGGCTGGATGTGGATGTTTCTGCAGGAAGTAATTGGTTAGTGGAGGAATATTAACGGTATTGATCTGGCTCTCTCTGCACATTGATCCCAACGTAGTATATGTACATATTGATACCTAATAAGATAATAATGATAATAATAACTGACATTGATAGGAACAATCTCATGTAATTTAAAATATATATATATATATAACTTTATGTTTATGCAATAATAATAAAATGAGAATGATCCACTAAACATTGTGGTTTGTTATAGTAAATTTACCCTGGGGAGGATGCTTTGCTATGTGCTAGGATGAAAAGTTTGCATATTTTATCACATTTCATTCTTAGAATAATTCCTTGAGTTTGTTTGTATTTTCCTTGGTTTCCAAATGAGGAAATGGAAAGTCCTAACCATTTAGTAATTTTTTTTTTTTTTTTTTTTTTTGAGAGGGAGTCTCGCTCTGTCACCCAGGCTGGAGTGCAGTGGCGCGATCTCGGCTCACCGCAAGCTCCGCCTCCCGGGTTCACGCCATTCTCCTGCCTCAGCCTCCCGAGTAGCTGGGACTACAGGCGCCCGCCACCACGCCCGGCTAATTTTTTGTATTTTTAGTAGAGACGGGGTTTCACCGTGTTAGCCAGGATAGTCTCTATCTCCTGACCTCGTGATCCGCCCGTCTTGGCCTCCCAAAGTGCTGGGATTACAGGCGTGAGCCACCGCGCCCGGCCAACATTTAGTAATTTTTTTTCAGGATCGTTTGAAAGGTCACACAACCTATAAATGGCAGAGCAAAATTAGAACTTAAGATTTTCTGACACTAAAGGTTAGATTCTTTTCAGCTCAGCCCCCTGCCCTCAGCATATTTCCATTTCATTGAAAGTTCGAATAACATAATGCAAAAATACATATTTGATTAAATAAAAAGAAAAATATCAAAAGGTCAACAGCTCTTTATTACTTTTTTAGACAAACTTTCAACTCAAGAACTTGAGACATGTAATGGAATAAGTAAGAGGTCAGTCTCTGAGGTCATGTTGCTTGGTTCAAAGCCAGGTCTGCTATGTACCAGTTGTATGGCTTTGAGCAAATTGTTTACCTTTCTGTGCCTAAGTTTCCTCATTTGGGAATAATAACAAAACCCAGCTCCTTCAGTTGTTAAGAAAAAAAAATTAATTAATACATGTCAGCTGCTTAGAACACTGCTTGACATATTTAATAGCACTCATTAAATATTATTAGCTGATATCTTTTCCTCCCTCCCTCCCTTCATTTCCCTCCCTTCCTTCCTTCCTTTCTTCCTTCCTTCCTCCTTCATTCCTCCCTTTCTCTTCCCTCCCTCCCTCTCTCCCTCTCCCCATTTAAAAGGTTGAATTAACAATGTGTAAACAACTAAACAATCTTTCTAGCAAGTTAGAAAAACGCACTAAAGATGGCTCAGAAACTCAATATTGAAGTTTTGGGGGTGCTGGGATTTAAAAATAGAACCTGGTGAGAAGCAGTCTTGCTGTGTCAACTCTTAGAATTCTGTATTAAGAAAATCCAGAAAAGCTTTATTTTAAGCAAACTCTGAATGGCTTAGCTGCAGTTCATGGATACATCAGAACATTCCCTTGATGGTTCACTTTCTTGTGAACTTAAAATCAAGCAGCATGAAGAGTTCTAGTTCTGGCCTGACCAATCCTCCTACCCCCAACCTTACAAAAAGCCAACTGAACCAAACTCAGGTGCTGCTAAGTAACTGGAGCAGAACCCCAGCAGTGAACCTTCACTGCCAACCATTTTGAAGTCCACCTCTTTGTTAAATCTTCTTTTAACACAGACTGGATTTTTTATAGTATATTTCAGGGATGATGTAAAATATTAAGGATACAGAAAAAGAATGACTGCAGATGGTGGATTTGGAAAGTGGGTAGAGAAGAACTTTGGTTTGTGTCAAATCAGGGTTCTAGCCTTGTTTTGATCACTTTTTTCTCATAGGGCTTGCCATTTCAACTCTTTTGAGCTCAGTTTTTCCCATATTCAAAGGCTTGTACCTTTGAGGTACCTGAAGACCAGACGATCTTTCACATTGTTAATCCTATGATTTCATTTTTTAGCTATTGGAAAGTCAGTTCATTAGTAATTTTGTAGTGATTAAAAAAGAGGGCTGGGCATGGTGGCTCACGCCTGTAATCCCAGCACTTTAGGAGGCCAAGGTGGGTGGATCACCTAAGGTCAGGAGTTTGTGACCAGCCTGGCCAACATGATAAAACCCCATCTCTACTAAAAATACAAAAAATTAGCCGGGTGTGGTCATAAGTGCCTGTAATCCCAGCTACTCGGGAGGCTGAGGCAGGAGAATCGCTTGAACCCGGGAGGCAGAGGTTGCAGTGAACTGAGATCATGCCACTGGGCGACAGAGTGAAAATCTGCCTCAATAAATAAATAAATAAATAAATAAATAAATAAAATAAAAAAAGAAAGAAGAGGTCCATTGTTAATTAAAGCAAGAAGCTAACCCTGATAAAAATATACCATTAACCCAAATACCCAGGAGGATTTAGTGTCTTCTACCAGCTGTTATGTACACTTCCCCCACATCTGTTAAACTTAATATTTCATAATAACCAACTGAAATGGTGGCAACAAACCCAAGTCTCCATTCTAATGCAACAAATAAAAGTAGTTGAAATTGGATGTGTAAATACGTTTCTCAAGAAGGAACTTGCTGGTGCTCAGTTGTCTTTAAGTGTGTATGTAAACACCTGCTTTAGAAAAACTAAGCAGACAACAAGATGTAGAATTCACTGAAGATACATTTGTGGAGACACAAATGTAGTTAGGAGTTAAATCATAGGTAACAACCCTGAAAGAAGGTAGCAGCACAAAGAATGGAATTGCCAGGTTTTGGCAAGTTGGGCATTGTAAAGAAATAAACTTGGATATATATTCAAGTGCCATTTTTGGAGATTATTTTCTGAAAAATCAGTAAAATGCCATTATCAAGATAAAACTTCAAAATGCAAGTATACATATTGTCTCACAAAGAATGGGGGATGGACTTGGAATGCTGATTCTAGCATTGGTCTTGGAATTGACTGACTTCATTAGCAATATCTTGCATAGACCTTCAAGGAAACAGAAATCCGTGGTAGGGATAATTCTGAGGCCATGGAACAGAGCTAAGTTGTCTGGTTCTACCCACTATAGGCAGACAGGGACCATGGTCTGGCATCTTATATGTATTCTTCAGCATATCTAGGAAAGTTTAGATGCTTCGTAGAATTAAGAAGTATCACCACGATCTAGGAGAGCATGATAATACTTTAAAATGAGACTATCTCTACTAATGATTGACTGTTTTGAACAGAGTTCCTATATTTAGGTATAACTTTTTCAGAAATGCTCACCATGCTTAGTTTACATATTCAACCTTCTACTTAAAAACCTCTCATGACATATGTGATAGATATGGGATTTCCTCTTTTATTTTTAGTAGAAAAATAAAAACAGAAATGTCAGATAACTAGTTTACAAAATTTATCCATTTATACATTATATTCCTACCATACTAGCTATGTTATGAGATGCTTAAAAGTATTATTTTCCTTAATGACATAATTGACATATTTATATCTCAATGTAATGATATAAAGCAATTGTAATTTATATCATTTGTAATGATATAAAGCAATTTTTATTTCCCATAAACTTGGCCTTATGCACTTAGATTATGAAAATGATTGATTGAGAATAGTGGCTTATTCAATCAACTTTGACACAATTATTCCATGAATATTGTTTATCAAAAGAGTAGTCACCTAAAAGAATTACATAAAAAATCAAGTTTGGCTGTTTCCACAGCATATATCAATTCAAATGATAAAAGTGTGATTTGTGTATCAATATAGAGGTGCCCTGAAGTTAAGAATATGTTATTTTATACCATAAAATCACATTCAGGTTTTGCCACTTTCCGATAAACTCCTTACCACATATTTCCCAACATTCACATGGAGGGCACTTATTAAATTATAGCATTAAATGTTGCATAGTTGAGCTGAAAATTACTTATAGGTACAGATGATAGTGCTTAGTTGATAAAAGTCAGTACATCTTTATTTCAGTGCTGCCATGGCCAGTCAGTACCATTGGATCTTGTGCCAGTTACTTAATACATTTAAACCTTCATTTCCTCATATGTAAGGTGAATGGATCAGATGAGATTATTTCTAGTGTCTTCCAGTCCCACTATTCTATGCATCTATGCTTATAAAAGCATGTTTCTTTGGTCGCATTTAGAAATTTCACATAGGTACTTTAATCATTTGCACTAGAGAAAAGATCTTGGCCCATGTCTTTCTTACATATTTCCCCCATATTTTAAAGTAACATGAAATTCCTTTCATTAGCTCCTATTTCTCCTCACGGTATGTCATTCTGATATCTTTTTTTTTTCTTTCAGTGATAGGGTCTTGCTCTGTTGCCCAGGCTAGAGTGCAGTGACATGATCAATGTTCACTGTAGGCTCAACCTCCCAGGTTCATGTGATCCTTCTGCCTCAGCCTCCCAACTAGCTGAGACTACAAGTGCACAGCACCACACCAAACTATTTTTTAAAAAAATATTTTGTAGAGATAAGGTCTCAATATGTTTCCCAGGCTGGTCTTGAACTCCTGGCCTCAGGTGATCCTCCCACCCCTGCCTCCCCAAGTGCTGGAGTTGCAGACATGAAACACTGCCCCCAGCCCATTCTGATATCTTTACTGTTGGTTGTTAGTACCAATAATTCCTTGAGTGCTTACCTTGTCCCAGGAACATTGCTCAGCATTTTACTTACATTATTTTGTTTAATTTTCACAGACTCCTGAGGTAAGTACTCTTATTATTCTTATTTTATTGATGAGGCAACTGAAATGTAAATGTGCTGGGTATATTTCCATTAGCTCACTTGGCTAGTCTGCTTTGAAGCTATGATTAAAACCTGTTTATATAATTCCTATCCCCATGTATAAACAACTCTATAATACCCCCAATGGACACAGGATGTGCAGCCCATTATCCCTGAAAAAATCTGGGGACATGCCTAACACTTAGGAACCACCACACTCCTTGCATTCTACATGTATTCCTGAGTGTAGCTGAAAACTCTGGAGACTCCTGGCAGCCTGCTTCCTCACCTCCACGGAGATAGCACCAAACCGACTTACTGTCTTTAACCTGACTTGGAGCTCCCGGATGCTTGCCCATTTGACCTCTGGTATCTGTTGATTGTATAGCACTGGGGCAGGCCACAAATAATTTCAAGTATGTGCTTATTGCATCCTGGATGCACTGTCACTCCAGCTCATCAGGTTTTACAAGCATAGTCGCAAGGCCAAGGTGACTATATCTACTGCAGACTCATGCTGTTTTATAATAGCTGGATCCTCACAGCTGCTGGGCAATTTCTTATCATCACTGCTACAAAGATTGACCCCTTTTGCCAACCAGAGCTCTTTCTTCTTCAGGATGACCTGGCTGCTTTCCTGAGCTGCCCAAGGTCTCAGCATCCTTTTTTTTCCCCCTCTACTCATCTCTGGGTGTTTACCCTCTGGTTCTTTCTTTTTGTCTATTTTTTAGGAGAAAGCATTGTCTGGCAGGATGAAGCTCTTTACCTGTGGTTCAGATCTCATTGCCCTCACATTGATTTTGCCACTTTGCTTCACCAGCTATTCATTCACATGCGTCTTCCATCTCTGACTCTCCCTCAGTTCTTTCCCTCTATGTATAAACAGGCATAGCTCTTCTTCTGTCTAAATAATTTCTAACACTATACCATCCATTCTCTTTCTCCCTGTCTCTCTTTTCTCTTTAGAAGACATGATGTTCCTTTTCTGTTAACTTTTCAAGAAGATAAATCATAGGTAGACATAACAAAGTATATTTTCTTAGCTTTAGTTATTTATTTGATACAAAAAAATCAAATCTAGGCTCATTCCTAGTTCCTAGATATTTAATTCCCATGGCGCTTATTTATAAAAGTAGCATATTAGACATTTGTTTTTGTTCTTAAAACATAGAAGGAGACAATACTGATGTTATCTCCTGAGCCCTACTTATGTGTGAGGGTCTGTGAGTCATAGGCATGAATCAGACCCCAGAGAACAAATAGTCTAATCATCAAAATGAAGACAGAGTAGAGACACAGAAAGCAGATATACCCTGATGTGACACTATATGCAATATATTCTTCCCAGCCTCATAGAAGTGTCCAAATTGTTAGATTGCTTAAGATTTGGTCATGCCAGGTATATTATTTAATTTTGAAAGCCAAAAGGAATCTTAAGAATATTTAGTCTGACTTTCATTCCCCCATGTTACAGATAAGAGAAAAAAGGAGGCTCAAGAAAGGTTGAATGATTTACTTAACGTCACACAACTTATTAATGACAGAGTTGGTGCTAATCTAATCTACAGTGCTCTTTTTATTTTATCAGGATTAAAAAATCTCTTCAAAGCTTCATTTTAGCGGTTAGCATAATTATGATGCATGGTAGGTGCTCACAAATGTTTGTAATGCAGATGAGAAAAATCAATGACTGTGTGTTTTTTAAACACTGAATTTTATGCCAGAGCTGGAGTAGGTAAAACAGAGATGCAGTGGAAACGTAACAGATGGCTCCCACTCAGAAAAAAGTACTGTGTGTAGCATGTAAGTCCTCAATAATTATTTGTGGAATAAATAAAATTTCCAGAAATGGAGCAATTAAAGAACAAGTATTAAATTATGTGGAGCAGCGCACACGAATTTCAAGATGGTTAAGAAGCATGTGAGATAAAATCATAATACAAGAAGACTTCAGAGGGAATTCATAAGACTTTATGAAGAAGACTTCATAAAGTATTTGATTTTTGACCTGGTTCTTTGCATGTATGTATGTATGTATGTGTCTATGTATGTATGTATGTATGTACATATGTATGTATTTTTCCTTGCAGAACGCACAGTCTATAACTTAGTTTTTAGGTGATGAAAATAAGATTTAGTTAAAAGATTGTATAATCATTTTTACTGGGTGTGGATAACACTTAAAAAAAAACTCCCCCCCGTTATTACAAGAGTAACATGTTCACTATAGAAAATATAGATAAGAAAAAGAAGGAAAGAAAGAAAAACTAATATAACCACCAGCAAGAGTTCACTGTTCACATTTTGGTGTATGCTCTTCCAGAGTTTATATAATTGTCTGTTTCTTTGATTTCCATTTATCTGATTACTAGTCAATTTGAGCACGTAATTAATAAGTTTTTCATCAATTTGCACAAGTTCTTTGGCAAAATGCCTACTCATATCTTTTGCCCATTTTCCTATTGAGTTTTTGATAAATACAGAAATGATTTTCTTAGAAAGGGATCATAGTGTGTACAATTGTCCCTTGGTATCCATGGAAAATTGGTTCCAGGACTCCTCATAGATACCAAAACCTGAGGATGCCCAAGTACCTTATACAAAATGCTGTAGTATTTGCATATAACCTATGCACAACCTCCCATATATTTATTTTATTTTATTTTTATTTTTCAAGATGGGGTCTCACTCTGTCACCCAGGTTGGAGTGCAGTGGCATGATCTCAGCTCACTGCAGCCTCCACCTCCCATGTTCAAGTGATTCTCCTGCCTCAGCCTCCTGAGTAGCTGGGATTACAGGCACACACCACCACACCCGGCTAATTTTTTTTGTATTTTTAGTAGAGATGGTGTTTCACTATGTTCGCCAGGCTAGTCTCTAACTCCTGAGCTCAAGTGATCTGCCCGCCTCGACCTCCCAAAGTGCTGGAATTACAGGCATGAGCCACCGCATCCGGCTTTCCCATATACTTTAAATCATCTCTAGATTGCTTATATCTAATAATAGTCACTATTCCCTAAATAATACAGAAACACAGGAAAATAAGTCTGTACATGTTCAATGCACACACTTTCTTTTTCAAATATTTTCAACCTGCAGTTGCTTAAGTCTACAGATGCAGAACCCATGGATACCAAAGGCTTACTATATATCATTTTATAATTGCTTTTAAAATTTAATATATTATGAGCCTTCTTCCTGTAAATATGTGTAGTTCC
The DNA here is from genome assembly GCF_000001405.40 of Homo sapiens. Lineage (NCBI taxonomy): Eukaryota > Metazoa > Chordata > Mammalia > Primates > Hominidae > Homo > Homo sapiens. The sequence goes on from NC_000003.12 coordinate 179,994,063, forward strand.
ACAATGTCACTTTCAATGTCTGTGTAGTGTTACATAGTTTATCTCTAATGGTGGACATTCAGGTTTTTAGATCAGTTTGCTGTTGTCCAGCTTGCCAACTGCCACCCAAGGAAAGCTATCACAAGCCGAGCCATTCCAGACCAGAAGAATCACCCAGCCATCCCATAGATAAATGGGAAATAACAAATGTTTGAAGTTTAAGCTGCTACATTTTTGGAAGGTTTTTTATACATTAAAAGTTAATGAATGTGAATTCTGACCTTCAGATTAACCTTTGCCAGCTTCTAGTGTGTGATGTCTTCTGGTTGTGGGAATCCACTCACTCAAATCTTCTAGCAAAGTGCTCCAAATATTTTTCCATGGCCTCTTTGTTACCCCTCCATTTTTATCCAGCTCCTCCTCCTGGGCTATCTTTTGTCCCTCAACCCCTCAGACACCCCTTATCCCAGAGTAAAGTGTTTAGGGCACACTTGACACCCCTGGATAGGGCCAGAGGGGCTGGGCAAGTGAAGGGAGTCATCATCCACTGGCTGGAAAAACCATGTACATAAATGTGATGGTTAATACTGAGTGTCAACTTGATCGAAGGATGCAAAGTATTGATCCTGGGTGTGTCTGTGAGGGTGTTGCCAAAGGAGATTAACATGTGAGTCAGTGGGCTGGGAAAGGCAGACCCACTCTTTATCTGGGTGGGCATCATCTAATCAGCTGCCAGCGTGACTAGAATATAAGCAGGCAGAAAAATGTGAAAAGACTATACTGGCTTAGCCCCTAGCCTACATCTTTCTCCCGTGCTGGATGCTTCCTGTCCTTGGACATCGGACTCCAAGTTCTTCTGTTTTGGGACTCGGACTGGCTCTCCTTGCTCCTCAGCTTCCAGATGGCCTATTGTGAAACCTTTTGATTGTGTGAGTTAATACTTAATAAACTCCCATCTATATATATGTAGTTAGTGTGAGTTAATACTTAATAAACTCCCCTATATATATATATGTAGTTATATATATAGCATAGAGAGTATATATATAGTATATATATACACACACTATATATACTATATATATACACTATATATACACACACTATATACATACTATATATACTATATATGTATATACACTATATACTATATATAGTGTGTATATATACACACACTATCTACATAGTGTGTATATATATAGTATATATATTTTTTATATATGTATATAGTTCTCTCCCTCTGGGGAACTCTGACAAATACAGATCTTGGTAACAGGAGTGGTTCTAGAGGAACAGAATATTAAGGATGGGGTTCTTTGGTTGGTTTTGGGGTTTCTGGAGTTGGCTGCTTAATATGATTAGACCCCAAAATGCCAAGGACTCTACTTCTAATAATATGGAGAACACTGATAGTCCTTAGTGTGAAATGTTTAGAGAGTTATGCAAAATAAATGCATTTGACACTCCTGATTCACTGCTTGTGAGAGGCAAGCTGTTTAGTGACTCTATACATAATACCTCTGACCATATGTGGAGAACCAAGGAACATGATGAAGCTTGTTTGTTGCTCCTTAGTTCAGTAGACAAAGTGATGAAAGAAACTGATGAACTCAGGGATTCTAACTCCCGGCTTCAGAAGCAAATAAGACTCATATCTACTAAGATTGCCCTGACTGAGAGTCTTATCTCCTGTAGAGAATGAGCTGAAATTGTAAAAAAACAGACACAAGCTCTTATGAAGCAAGTGGCTGACCTGCAACGAAAGGTGCATGCACAGCCTCTCCAGGTGTCTACTGTTAAAGTGAGCGCATTGATTGGAAAAGAATGGGACCCTGCAACTTGGAATGGGGACGTGTGGGAGGACCCTGATGAAGCTGGGGACACTGAGTGTGTAAATTCTGATGAACCTTTTTTGCCAGAAGAAACAGCTTCCCCATTCCCGTAAAGTGGCAACATCCCCTTTCCAACCCACACTGCCATCAGCCTTTCCACCTTTGTCTGAGGAGATAAACTCTGCTGCCTGAGGTAAGAGTGGTGGCCTCCCTTGAGGTAGTTGCCAAGCAAGATAATGTTGATTCTCATCAGGAGCCACCCCCAACACCCCTGTTAGCTTCTAGACCTATAACAAGGCTAATGCCCCAGCAGGGCCCTAGAGGTGAGGGTGAGGAGGTGTGCTACACTCGAAAAGAGCTGCTTGAGTTTTCTAATTTATATATGCAGAAATCTGGAGAGCAGGCATGGGAATGGATATTAAGGGTGTGGGATAATGGGGGAAGGAACATAGAGTTGGATCAGGCTGATTTTATTGATTTGGGCCCACTAAGTAGGGACTCTGCATTTAATGTTGCAGCTTAGGGAGTTAAAAAGGGTTCTAATAGTTTATTTGCTTGGTTAGCTGAAATATGGATTAAAAGATGGCCCACTGCGAGTGAGCTGGAAATGCCTGATTTCCCTTGGCTTAATGTAGAGGAAGGGATCCAAAAGCTTAGGGAGATTGGGATGGTAGAATGGATAAGTCACTTTAGGCCTACTCATCCCAGCTAGGAGGGTCCAGAAGATACACCCTTGACCAATGCCTTGTGAAATAGATTTGTGAGGGCAGCACCTGCATCTTTGAAGAGCCCTGTAATTGCTCTTCTCTGTATGTCACATCTAACCATGGGAACTGCAGTCACTCAACTACAAAATTTAAATACAATGGGAATAATTGGATTGCAAGGTGGCAGGAGCCAAGTGGCAGCTTTCAACCAACAAAGGCAAGGTGGGCGTAGCTACTGTAATGGACAGCAGAGGCAAAGCAGCAATCAGAATAGTCTGACTCATGTAGAGCTCTGTCATTGGCTAATTAATCATGGTGTTCCTAGAAGTGAAATTGATAGGAAGTCTACCGCATTCCTACTTAATTTATATAAGCAGAAAAATTCCAGGTTGAATGGACAAAAGACTAATTTGAATTATAAAAACAGAGAATCATAGCTCCTCAATCAATTTTCAGACTTGAGCCAGTTTACAGACCCAGACCCCTTGAATGAAGGGGAGGCTGGGTCCCCCTGAGGAAGGATCCCACTACATCACCAACAATTTATGCTGTTAATCTTTCTCCTATCCTTCCCCAAGGAGACCTCCAGCCTTTTATCAGGGTAACTGTGCACTGGGGAAAGGGAAGTGATCAGACATTTCAGGGACTACTGGACACTGGCTCTGAGCTGATGTTGATTCCAGGGGACCCAAAACAGCATTGTGGTCCTCCAGTTAAAGTAGGGGCTTATGGAGGTCAGGTAATTAATGGAGTTTTGACTTACAGTGGGTCCAGTGGGTTCCCTGACTCATCTTGTGGTCATTTCCCTAGTGCCAGAATGCATAATTGGCATAGACATGCTTAGCTGGCAGAACCCCCACATTGGCTCCCTGATTGGTAAGGTGAGGGCTATTATGGTGGGAAAGGTCAAATGGAAGCCATTAGAGCTGCCTCTACCTAGAAAAATAGCAAATCAAAAACAATATCACATCCCTGGAGGGGTTGCAGAGATTAGTGCCACCATCGAGGACTTGAAAGATGCAGGGGTGGTAATTCCCACCACATCCCCATTCAACTCTCCCATTTGGCCTGTGCAGTAAATGGATAGATCTTAGAGAATGACAGTGGATTATTATAAGCTTAACCAAGTGGTGACTCCAATTGCAAGTGCTTTACCAGATGTGATTTCATTGCTGGAGCAAATTAACACATCTCCTGGTACCTGGTATGCAGCCACTGACTTGGCAAATGCCTTTTTCTCCATTCCTGTCCATAAGGCCCACCAGAAGCAATTTGTCTTCAGCTGGCAAGACAAGCAATATACCTTTATTGTCCTACCTCAGGGGTATATCAACTCTCTGGCTTTGTGTCATAATCTTATTCAAAGAGACATTGATCACTTTTCGCTTCCAGAAGATATCACACTGGTCCATTACATTGATGACATTATGCTGATTGGATTCAGTGAGTAAGAAGTAGAAAACACACTGGAGTTATTGGTGAAACATTTGTGTGCCACAGGATGGGAAATAAATCTGACTAAAATTCAGGGACCTTCTACCTCAGTAAAATTTCTAGGGGTCCAGTGGTGTGGGGCCTGTCGAGGTATTCCTTCTAAGGTAAAGGATAAATTGCTGCATTTGGCCCCTCCTACAACCAAGAAAGAGGCACAATGCTTAGTGGGCCTATCTGGATTTTGGAGGCAACACATTCCTCATTTGGGTGTGTTACTCAGGCCCATTGATTAAGTAACCCGAAAGTCTGCCAGTTTGGAGTGGGGTCCAGAACAGGAAAAGGCTTTGCAACAGGTCCAGGCTGCCGTGCAAGTTGCTCTGCCACTTGGGCCATGTGACCCAGCAGATCCAATGGTGTTTTAGGTGTCAGTGGCAGATAGGGATGCTATTTGGAGCCTTCGGCAGACCTCTATAGGTGAATCACAGAGGAGGCCTCTAGGATTTTGGAGCAAGGCCCTGCCATCTTCTGCAGATAACTACTCTCCTTTTGAGAGACAGCTCTTGGTCTGTTACTGGGCTTTGGTGGAAACTGAACGTTTGACAATGGTTCATCAAGTCACTATGTGACCTGAACTGCCTATCATGAACTGGGCGCTTTCTGATCCATCTAGCGATAAAGTGGGCCATGGACAGCAGCATTCCATCATCAAATGAAAGTGGTATATACATGATCAGGCTGGAACAGGTCCTGAAGGCATAAATAAGTTACATGAAGAAGTGACTCAAATGCCCATGGTCTCCACTCCTTCCACCCTGCCTTCTCTCTTCCAGCCTGCACCAATGGCCTCAGGGGGAGTTCCCTATGGTCAGTTGACAGAGGAAGAGAAGACTAGGGTCTGGTTCACAGACGGTTCTGCAGGATATGCAGGCACCACCCAAAAGTGGACAGCTGCAGCACTACAGCCTCTTTTTAGGACATCTCTGAAAGACAGCAGTGAAAGGAAGTCTTCCCAGTGGGCAGAACTTCAAGCAATGCACCTGGTTGTGCACTTTACATGGAAGGAGAAATGGCCAGATGCTTGATTATATACTGATTCATGGGCTGTAGCCAATGGTTTGGCTGGATGGTCAGGCATTTGGAAGAAGCATGATTGGAAAATTGGTGACAAAGAAATTTGGGGAAAAGGTATGTGGATGGACCTCTCTGAATGGTCAAAAACTGTGAAGAAATTTGTATCCCATGTGAGTGCTCACCAATGGGTGACCTCAGCAGAGGAGGATGTTAATAATCAAGTGGATAGGATGACCTGTTCTATGGACACCACTCAGCCTCTTCCCCCAGCCACCCCTGTCATCGCCCAATGGTCCCATGAACAAAGTGGACATAATGGCAGAGATGGAGTTACACATGGGCTCAGCAACATGGACTTCTACTCACCAAGACTGACCTGGCTACAGCCACTGCTGAGTGCCCAATTTGCCAGCAGCAGAGGCCAACACTGAGCTCTCAATATGGCACCATTCCTCGGGGTGATCAGCCAGCTACCTGGTGGCAGATTGACTGTATTGGACCTCTTCCATCATAGAAAGGGCAGAGGTTTGTCCCCACTGGAATAGACACTTACTCTGGATATGGGTTTGCCTATTCTGCATGCAATGCTTCTGCCAAGACTACCATCCATGGAATCACGGAATGCCTTATCCACCATCATGGTATTCCACACAGCATTGCCTCTGACCAAGTCACTCGCTTTATGGCTAAAGAAGTGTGGCAGTGGGCTCATGCTCATGGAACTCACTGGTCTTATCATGTTCCCCATCATCCTGAAGCAGCCGGATTGACAGAATTGTGGAGTGGCTTTTTGAAGGCATAATTATGAAGGCACAATTACAACGCCAACTAGGTGACAATACTTTGCAAGCCTGGGGCAAAGTTCTCCAGAAGGCCATGTATGCTCTGAATCAGCGTCCAATATATGGTACAGTTTTTCCCACAGCCAGGAGTCACGGGTCCAGGAATCAAGGGATAGAAGTGGAAGTGGCACCATTCACCATCACCTCTAGTGATCCACTAGCAAGATTTTTGCTTCTTGTTTCCATGACATTACGTTCTTCTGGCCTAGAGGTCTTAGTTCCAGAGGGAGGAATGCTGCCACCAGGAGACACACAATTTCATTAAACTGGAAGTTAGGATTGCCACCTGGACACTTTGAGCTCCTCCTACCTTTAAGTCAACAGGCTAAGAATGGAGTTACAGTGTTGGCTGGGGTGACTGACCAGGCTATCAAGATGAAATCAGTCTACTACTCCACAATGGAGGTAAGGAAGAGTATGCATGGAATACAGGAGATCCATTAGGGTGTCTCTTAGTATTATCATGCCCTGTGATTAAGGTCAATGGGAAACTACAACAGCCCAATCCAGGCAGGACTACACATGGCCCAGACCCTTTAGGAATGAAGGTTTGGGTCACTCCTCCAGGAAAAAAAACCACGACCTGCTGAGGTGCTAGGTGAATCAAAGGGAATACAGAATGGGTAGCAGAAGGAGGTAGTCATCAATACCAGCTATGACCACGTGACTAGCTGCAGAAACAAGGACTGTAATTGACATATTTCCTCCTTCTTTTGTTAAAAACATGTTTGTGCATGTATATACTTGTACTAAGAAGATATGTTGATTTTATTTCCTTTTTCCCTTATCACGTGACATCAGATTTATTGATTTCATACCAGCATTTAAGTATTGTTAACTTTATGTAGTAATATTTAGGTTGGGGATTGGTGCATTTCTGGTTGTACGAGGATAGTTGTATTATGTTAGGTGTAATTATGACCTTATTATTGTCTTTATTGAAGATTATGTGTGATCTCAGGAGATATGTGTGGGTTCAAGTTGACAAGGGGTGGACTTGTGATGGTTAATATTGAGTATCAACTGGATTGAATTGAAGGATGCAAAGTATTGATCCTGGGTGTGTCTATGAGGGTGTTGCCAAAGGAGATTAACATTTGAGTCAGTGGGCTGGGAAAGGCAGACCCACCCTTAATCTGGGTGGGCACCATCTAATCAGCTGCCAGCTTGGCTAGAATACAAAGCAGGCAGGAAAATGTGAAAAGACTAGACTGGCCTAGCCTTCAAACTACATCTTTCTCCCGTGCTGGATGCTTCCTGCCCTTGAACATCGGACTCCAAGTTCTTCTGTTTTGGGACTTGCACTGGCTCTCCTTGCTCCTCAGCTTGCAGATGGCCAATTGTGGGACCTTATGATCATGTGAGTTAATACTTAATAAACTCCCCTTTATATTCATATATATATATAAAATAAAATATATAATATATATGGATATATAGAAGATATATATATATATCATATTAGTTCTGTTTCTCTAGAGAACTCTGACTTATACACCCACCGTCTCTCTGATAAAAACGAACTTGGTAAATAAACTCTTTGTGCACATGTTAAAAGAAAACAAATTTTTTTTTTGTTGTCATTGCTCATAGAGGAACGCTTCAAACCATATATTTGTAGCTAAACCTATGTACACATCTTTTGGACAGAGGGTTGATAAACAGTGTTCACTACATTTATTTTTCATTGTGCTTTCAAGTAATAACCTGTGAATTTTATTTGAAGTCATTAAGTTTTAATCATTTTTAATAAACTATTTTATGCATATGTTTTATACACATATGCAACTTGACATAAATGCTTTACTGGGGTAATATCATATGTGCTATTTTTATAGTTTAGTCTTTTCTTTTTTGCTTACCTACCCTTCCTGCTTCCCAGTACATTTACATCATCAAATACACACTTATCCATCCATGAATAATCAACAAGATAATGTTTATTTTATCTATATTATCCATAGTCATAGCCAAACACACATATTTGTAGGTAAATATATTTAACCATATACATATAGACGTTAGCTGGGGTTGTCGTTATTTTACAAGTAGTATGATATTGCACTTACTTCTTTGTACTTGTTTTTCATCTCTCAACTATACTTCAAGAACAACCACCTAAATCCATCTTCATAGCTCTATTTCATTCTTTTTAATGCCTGCATGTTATTCTAGGTATGAATGTACCATGAACTTCTCAACTTTTTAAAAAATACGAGCATTCCTTTGGTTTCCTTTTTCTCCTAACTGAACAATGCTGCATTTAGTATCTTTGTGCATATTTCCTTAAGTTCTGGTTGCTTTAGTGCCATGTGATAGATTCCTAGGGATGAGATTGCTGATTAGAAGAGTGTATTTTTTATTTAAAAATTGTTTTACGATGTTGCCAGGTTACAAGCTTGCTGACTGCCACACAAGCCTTTCTTAGTTATGCCTTTTCTCCTATTCTTGACAGAAACAGGTATTATTACTTTAAAAATATTTTTAAGTCTGATGAGTGTAAAGTGATATCTTTCATTGCATTTCCCTAACTATTAGTTAATTTGATCATCTTGTTATATGTATTGATCATTTGAAGGTTCTCTCCTAGAAAATTCCCATTTGTATATTATCCCCAGTTGTAAATTGTGTTTTGGGTCTGTTTATGGGCAATTTGTGAGAACTTTTTGTATAGTATATCCATTTACTCTTTGTCAAATGTGTTGTAAATATTTGTCCAAACCTGTATTTTTCTATCAATATAATCCTTTTGGGGGGCATATTAATTTTTCCATCAAGAAATATATTTTCTTCAGTTTTAACTATAGCTAGAAATTCAGCTGCCCTAGAATTGTGTGAAGACTACCTCACAAATAGTATTTCACAAGAGAAGACTGAGATAATGGCAAATATAATAAACCTCTTCCTTGCAGAAAAAGTTAGGAAGTACAGTAAATAATCTTGCTAAATCAGGAAACAATTGCAATAACACAAATTGTCCCATAAAGATCTAAATTATCTTACATTTTCATAGCTTGTTAAATTTGGAGCGTATTTTATCTTCACATAAATTCTCATTTCACAGGGTAGGAAACGATTATAGATGAGACCAAGGAGTTTCTCTTTTCAAACAGAGAAAAGAACGATAAAAATCGAATTCATTCTGTGTTATTAACGGAGATGTAAACTGACACAAATCAGGTGAGGATTTAGAGCCTGACTTCAAATACCCTATTGAGACTTTTCTAAATAAAGCCAGAAGTCTTAGCAGCTCTGTAAACAAGGTGATTCAGAAAACTCAGTCTCTAAAGGGAGCTTAGCTCATTCTATCCTATCATGTGAAACATGGAAAACATCTGGGATTTAATCCATTATTACAACAATCTGTATTATGCTCCATGCTTATGTGTTTCTGAGTGAGGAGCATATTAGGTTTTGTAAAAGACTGTCTAATTTATGTGGGCTCAGACTGGGCACTAAAAAAAAGAAAAAAAAAGAAAAAAATAACCTGCCATAGATTTTAATACCAAATTGCAGAGAGCCAAAATATATTTATTTGACCAAATTTGTATTAGTGATATTTTAATTTTTTAAATAAAATGCCACAAACATATGTAAACTGGAAAATGATATATATAGGTCTTTCTTATTTCAACAATTTAATATAAAATAAAAATGGTTTAATCTCACATATCTAAATGCTTCAGAGTCCTCAGATCTTTGATTCAAGCTCAAGTATGATACAACCGTTCTTCAATTTGGAAAATATTTTTATTATTTTATAAGAAAGTGTCATGAGTTTAATCTAAATTTTTCAATAAGAACAAAAGGCAACTAAATAATAATGACATCTTAATGCTCCTTAAAAGGCTACTTTTGGCTTCCGTTGGCTACTAAGGTGATATTAAAGAATAAATAAATTTCTTAATATCCAGTAGACATCTGTTGGACAAATAAGTGAAGGGAATTCACACAATAGTGATTTGAACTTACAAATGAGCCATGTGAAGAAATGCTCTAGCAGCTTCTACTGACCACTGCTTTTATCCCAATCAATATCTTCATTGACTATTTATACAGGACGTCTTATGTTTGTCCCCCCGCCCAAGAGGTGTGACAATTTCAGTTATGAAGACAGAGTGATATTTGGAACAGCCTTTTCAATTTGGAAGCAATGTTATTTGAATAGTAAGAGTTTAGAAAGGTCATCCTACAAATTTATTTTTTGCCGTTGAACTGACTAAAAAAACCCCTGGCTGGGAAATTAAATCCTGAATATCTTACCAGTAGATTTCTATGGTCCTCAAACGTAATGTTTAGAGACCACTGATGCTAGCTACATTGATGGTCAAATTTAGTCAGACACATCAGATTATATTTTCACAGTTTCATATTCAAAATAGGCAAGCCAAATTTGTTTTTAGTTATTAGTGAAGAATATTTATTTTATGGTAAGCATTTGGTAAAGTTTGGAAATAAGATGGAAAGGAGACTCAAACTGCAGATAAATCTTTTTGGTCAAGCTAATGGAAACTATATGTGTTTCACAAAGTACTGAAAAAATGTCCAAACAGCTGGGCATACTAATATGAATGAAATGGTTCCAGTTCTACAGTGGGACCCAAACCCATACCAAACAAAATGAAATAGAAACTTGGTATGAACTATCTAATTTATTGTTTTTGTTTTGTTTTGTTTTGTTTTTTGCCGAAGTTCAAAGTCTTGCTATATAAATCAGAGCTACCCGGATTTATGTTAAAAAATGACATCCCTGGGCTCCACCCAAGATATACTGAAGTTAAACCTCTGGGAGGGGCCCAGGAAGCTGCACTTCCAAAAGCAGCCCCATGGGACTATTTATGCAGTCAAATTTGAACATCACTAATTTAGACCAAGCAGAATATCTAGTTGCCTTCACCAACTGTTTAATCTGAATCATGCTATAAGAATTTGAATAAAAGAAATGTGAAATGCATACTAGAATTAGTTAAAAATTGAGCATCTCATATTGATCTTAGGTAAAATTTTGCTTAGTATTTTTGTAAATGTGGTGTCTAGAATACATTAAAGTAACTTCACAAAATATGTCAGAGGTTTTAAATATATTTAAAAATTGAAAACTTAGCTCGTGAACACTTTCTATTATTGTGTTAATGTTTAAGCATAAGAGAGTAACTTTTTTTCTTATAACATATAGCAGGAATGTGTAATCTTTCTGACTGAAAGAGAAATAATGTATTAAAAATAGCATACGGAATGGTAAAATCATAATGAATTACTCTGCATCAAATTGCTACTTCTGAAAATAGCTAAGTGTAAATGGATTGATGAGCGGGGATTTTAAAAAGTTTTTATTTTTTTTTGTTTGTTTTTAGAGATAGGGTTTTCCTGTCACCCAGGCTGAAGTACAGTGGTACAATCATATCTTACTGTAGCCTCAAAATCCTGTGCTCAAGGGATCCTCCCACCTCAGCCTCCTGAGTAGCTATGACTACAATCATATGCCAACACACCTGGCTAATTAAAAAAATATTTTTGTAGGCTGGGCGTGGTGGCTCACGCCTGTAATCCCAGCACTTCGTGAGGCCAAGGCGGGTGGATCACGAGGTCAAGAGATCGAGACCATTCTGGCTAACATGGTGAAACCCTGTCTCTACTAAAAACACAAAAAAATTGGCCAGGCATGGTGGTGGGCGCCTGTAGTCTGAGCTACTCGGGACGCTGAGGCAGGAGAATGGTGTGAACACGGGAGGTGGAGCTTGCAGTGAGCAGAGATAGCGCCACTGCACTCCAGCCTGGGCGACAGAGCGAGACTCTGTCTCAAAAAAAAAAAAATTATTTTTGTAGAGACCAAGGTCTCACTGTATTTCCCAGGCTAGTCTCAAACTCCTGGTCTCAAGTGATCCTTGGCCTCTCAAACTGTTGAGATTACAGGCATGAGCCATTGTGCTCAGCTAGGTGAGTCTTAATTTATTTCTCAAAAAGGTATGCCTTTCTTTCTTATCTTTTCAAAATAGAAATTTTTACAAATGTGATATATCATTATTAGACATGAAATATCTAGGCATTAGAACATCCATTTTTACCATGTTTATCTTTTAGAAGTCTCCTGCTATTGTTATTAATTCAAACTTTTTCAATACTACCTCAATCAAGTGACACAAAAAAGTACCCAGTTTTCCACTGGAATAGTACTCTTTAATGTATTCATTGTTCTCAGGTTGTTCTGTGCTTCAACCTTGAGTAATTAACAAAACCTCTCTGTATTAATTGCTGATCCCTCCCTTGATGGCAGTCTATGACATTGTTAATTAATTGCTTCAGCAACCTTATTTCCATTCATACCAGGCCTTATATTCCCTTCGCCACTTCCTTCTTTATTATTATTTTTTTTGCTATAAATGTACACAAAACCTAATCCCTGAAGTAGTGAAAAAAAAAGTTTTAAAAGTTTTCATTATTTTTTTTTCATTTTTACAAAAAATATATAAGGTCATTGACATTATACAAGGTCAAAAGCACACCCTAATCTGTGGAAGAGAAACATACCTATTGCTTTTAAAAGTGTCAAAGTTAGAGGAAGTTGAGGTGAGGGCTTCTGGGAAGGAGAATATAGAAAGTGGAAACAAACTCTCCAATCCCATCTTTTGGTACCATTTCTTGTGAATTAGTCCGTTTTGACACTGCTGGGCAGTGGCATACCCAAGACTGGGAAGAAAAAGAGGTTTAATTGGACCTACAGTTCCACATGGCTGGGGAGGCCTCAAAATCATGGCAGGAGGTGAAAGGCACTTCTTACATTTTGGCAGCAAGAGAAAATGAGGAAGAAGCAAAAGCGGAAACCCCTGATAAACCCTTCAGATCTTGTGAGACTTATTCACTATCATGAGACTAGCATGGGAAAGACAGGCCCTCAAGATTCACTTACCTCCCCTTGGGTCCCTCCCACAACATGTGGGAATTCTGGGAGATACAATTAAAGATGAGATTTGGGTGGGGACACAGCCAAACCATACGATTCCACCCCTTACTCCTAAAAATCTCATGTCCTTACATTTCAAAATCAATCAGATCAAATCAATCATGCCTTCCCAACAATACCCCAAAGTCTTAACTCATTTCGGCATTAACCCAAAAGTCCACAGTCCAAAGTCTCATCTGAGACAAGGCAAGTCCTTTCTGCCTATGAGCCTGTAAAATAGAAAGCAAGCTAGTTACTTCCTAGATACAATGGGGGTACAGGTATTGGGTAAATACAGCTGTTCCAAATGGGAGAAACTGGCCAAAACGAACGGGTAACAGGACCCATGCAAGTCCAAAATCCAGTGGGGCAGTCAAATTTTAAAGCTCCAAAATGATCTCCTTTGACTCCAGGTCTCACATCCAGGTCATGCTGATGCAAGAGGTGGGTTCCCGTGGTTTTGGGCAGCTCCACCCCTGTGGCTTTGCAGGGTACAGCCTCCCTCCTGGCTGCTTTCACAGGCTGGCATTGCATGTCTGCGGCTTTTCCAGGCACACAGTGCAAGCTGTCAGTGGATCTACCATTCTGGAGTCTGGAGGACAGTAGTCCTCTTCTCGCAGCTCGATTAGGCAGTGCCCCAGTAGGGACTCCTAGTGTGGGAGTTCCTAGTGTGGGAGCTCCCACCCCACATTTCCCTTCCACACTGCCCTAGCAGAAGTTCTCCATGAGGGCCCTGCCCCTGCAGCAAACTTTTGCCTGGGCATCCAGGCATTTCCATACATCTTTTCAAATCTAGGCAGAGGTTCCCAAACCTCAATTCTTGACTTTTGTGCACCTGCAGGCTAAATACCACATGGAAGCTGCCAAGGTTTGTGGCTTGTACTCTCTGAAGCCACAGCCCTAGCTGTACATTGACCTCTTCCAGCCGTGGCCGGAGTGGTTGGGACACAGGCACCAAGTCCCTAGGCTTCACACAGTGCAGGGACCCTGGGCCTGGCCCATGAGGCCACCTTTTCTTCCTGGGCCTCTGGGCCTGTGATGGGAGGGACTGCCATGAAGGTCTCTGACATGGCCTGGAGACTTTTTCCTCATGGTCTTGGGGATTAACATTAGGCTCCTTGCTACTTATTCAAATTTCTGCAGCTGGCTCAAATTTCTCCCCAGAAAATGCCTTTTTCTTTTCTATCACATAGTCAGGCAGCAAATTTTCCAAACTTTTATGCTTGGCTTCCCTTATAAAACTTGATGACTTTAACAGAACCCAAGTTACCTATTGAATGCTTTGCTGCTTAGAAATTTCTTCCACCAGATACCCTAAATCATCTTTCTCAAGTTCGAAATTCCACAAATCTCTAGGGCAGGGGCAAATGCTGCCAGTCTCTTTGCTAAAACATAACAAGACTCATCTTTACTCCAGTTCCCAACAAGTGCCTCATCTCTTCTCCATCTGAGACCACCTCAGCCTGGACCTTACTGTCCATATTGCTATCGGCATTTTGGGCGAAGCCATTCAACAAGTCTCTAGGAAGACCCAAATTTTCCCACATTTTCCTGTCTTCTTCTGAGCCCTCCAAGCTGTTCCAACCTCTGCCTGCTTCCAAGTTCCAAAGCTGCTTCCACATTTTTGGGTATCTTTTCAGAAACACCCCACTCCTGGTACCAACTTACTGTATTAGTTCGTTTTGATGCTGCTGATAAAGACATACCCAAGACTGGGAAGAAAATGAGATTTAATTGGACTTACAGTTCCACATGGCTGGGGAGGCCTCAGAATCATGGCAGGAGGCAAAAGGAACTCCTTACATGGTGGCAGCAAGAGAAAATGAGGAAGAAGCAAAAGCAGAAACCCCTGATAAACCCATCAGATCTCATGAGACTTATTCACTATCATGAGACTAGCATGGGAAAGACTGGCTCCTGTGATTCAATTACCTCCCCACTGGGCCCCTCCCACAACACATGGGAATTCTGGGAGATACAATTCACGAAGAGAATATGGGTGGGGAGACAGCCAAACCATATCATCTTGCTTTTTCATTCAGCTCAAACAGTTCATTTTAGAATAAAATGTTTTGATTAATATGTTTGCATACTTCAGATTAACCAAATAATTGCTAAGGTTTAACCTCATTTCATTGTGTATAAACATAGTGTTGATGAATAAATGAAGATTTTACTCATCATTGCTATTTCTAATTGGTTAAAGGCCAGTTTTAAAAAAACTTATTTTTCCCACTCATTGGAGTTTGACCTTCATGTGTTATGCTCTCTTCTTCCTAATATTCTTGGTTACAAAATTGAGAGAGTCTGCATTTCTTTATGGATTCATTCACTAAACAGATAATTAATAACTACTATACAAGGGTTGCTTGTAGGGGTTGTTTTCAGATCACATTCCTTAACTTTTCTTATATTTTTCAATATTTGGTTCTATCTTGTTACACGTCCTCATAAGGCACAATAGAGTAATTAATTACTTTATCCCAACCAGGAATTAACAGAGGTATGCCTATCTACTCTCTTATCACTTATTAGATTATATTCAGACTTCCTCCAAAAAGCATGTGAAGCAGTTTTACAAATGTAAGCAATAAAACAAGCAAACAAAAATTTAAAAAATAAAAACAGAGGAAAGTCAGTAAAAATGATCAAGGAAGCAGAAGTTTGTAGGAACTCAGCATGAGTTACTGAAAAAATTTTTTTCTTTTCTTTTTTTTTTGTTTTTAGAAACAAGGTGACAGGGTCTCACTATGTTGTCCAGCCTGGACAGGAACTCTTGGGTTCAAGCAATCTTCCTGCCTCAGCCTCCTGAGTAGCTGGAACTATAGGCACCTGTAGTTCCATGCCTAGCTCTATTTTTCTTTTCAACACTTGTCATTCTGCTATATAGTTGTTTTTTTCCTCTGTCTCATCACCAGGATGTAACTTCAAGGGCTTAATTTAGTTCACCTCTATGTGTCTGGCCTATAGAAAGTGCTCAATAAATGCTTGTTTATGGCTGTGGTTCTCCATATTGGGTGATTCTTCCCTCTCCTCCACCTGCCAGAAACATTTGGTAGTGTGTAAAGACTTTTATTTATTTATTTATTTATTTGAGACAGAGTCTCACTCTGTTGCACAGGTTGAAGTGCAGTGGCGCGATCTCGACACACTGCAAGCTCCGCCTCTAGGGTTCATGCCATTCTCCTGCCTCAGCCTCCCGAATAGCTGGGACTACAGGCGCCCGCCACCACGTCTGGCTACTTTTTTTTGTATTTTTAGTAGAGACGGGGTTTCACCATGTTAGCCAGGATGGTCTCAATCTCCTGACCGTGTGATCTGTCTGCCACGGCCTCCCAAAGTGATGGGATTACAGGCGTGAGCCACTGCACCCGGCCTCTTTTTTTTTTTTTTTTTTTTCTGTAGAGATGGAGGTCTTACTATGTTGCCTAGGCTGGCCTTGAACTCCTGGGCTCAAGCCATTCTCCTGCCTTGGCCTCCCAAAGTGTGTCTAAAAATAGTTTTGATTATTATAACTGGGAGGGTGCTAGTGGCATCTAGTGGGTAGACAACAGGCATGAAGGCACTCTACAATCCAAAGGACAGTCCCCCAAAATAAAGAATTATGTGTCCTGAAGTCTTAATAGTGCTGAGGTTGAGAAACCCTGGCATACCCTCTACATAAATTACCACTGAGAAAATGTAACACGTTTGCCTGGAGAGGCATAATTACAGGGGTGGTTTATCAAATGACTACACAACTAATGTTTTCTCCTAGTTTTCTTACTTTTAAGGCAAATGAAATGAAAAGGTATCTAAAACTGCTCTTCTTCAGTAACTTCCTTCTCATCTAGTATCAATCTCATACATTTATCTATAGAAAACTGACATTTCATTAGAAGACTTCAATAATGGCCTCTCTTTTCATCTTTGCCATATCCCATTGCCCCAACTGGCTTTTCTTGTATATATTTTGTGGCATTGTTAATAATTTTGTGTAATTTGTTAAAGTATTTTTTAAAAACGTGCTTCTTGACATTACTCCTTCTTAATCTCACCTATGAAATGAGTTACATTTATAAAAGAGAACTGGCAAGGGGAAGTGGAAGGCGTGCTGGTCTGTTGAAGACCTGTGTTCAAATACAGGGTCTTCCACTTATTAGCAGGTTAATTGAGATGTAAGTGTGAGAGTACCTCACACACGGCCCAGATAGCGAAAGTCTACCACCATCCACACCACTTTCCCTTCCTTTCTATCAAAACTCTGTGAATTACATGAAACTGAATACACCTTGAAAAATATCCTTAGTGGTCGTCACCTAAAAGCAAGGTTAGCTCTCAATTACAGTGTATTATTGAAATCCAAATCATGAGTCTAACAATTTTGTGGCAGATGAAACTTCAGAACCAAGGTTGGATTAGAAGTTCCTTCATATCTTTTTGTTGCTAAGAGAAAAGCTTCTAGGCAGTAAACGACGATTTAGCTATTCAGAGCAGGTGGCTTCATTATTTTAAAATGTGTTAAATTACACTAATTACCAAAAAGGGCAGTGCAAGCCACTGTATATCGTAAGAAAACAGTAGCATGCTCCTCCAGAAAAGAAGACTGAGAAAATGCATGTGACTTACGGTTACTAAGATACTTGATCATTCAGAAGTTGCCAAGCATTTTACTAATGTAACCTTATCCGTCTTCTCCATCTTATACCATTATAGAAAAAATTTAAAAACGTGGAAAAAAGGAGCATTTTTAGTAGGTCTTTGTGATAATTTGCTTAAGTGATTGTAAATAAAATAGAATCTTTAATTTTGAATAAAAATGAGATATAGTTTGCTAATGCAGTCTTCTACCCCCATAACTGAAATATGAGGTTCCATTAGACAGTGAGCTATCCCTCACTCCCTCTTTCATCCCTTCCTCCTGCTCCCTTCCCTTTTTATCCTTTTCAAAGAAAGGACAACAGACCACATTTAAAGGGCTATTTTTTAAACTCAAAAAGACTGAAAAGAGCAAGAGTTTTTCAAAGGCAGAAAGCAACCAGGCACTGAACTTTGGAAAGAAGAACGACCATGAACACAGCTTCTTAGCACTGACTATCTGAGATGAAGCCATAAAATTCAGTATCCAACTTGGCAGCTGGTATTCTTATAGAAAGAAAACAATCTTGCCCCTTAATTTGATTTTTTCCTCTTATCATCTCACAGCAATTTGTCTAGTAGAAGGGAAACGTGTGGCCTAAAATAACTTAATCCTTAAATGGATTTATATTATCGTAATTCCATCTGCCCCAGGTTTGGTAAATAGCCCATCACACAATAGTGATACAATCTCTAATCAGGCTTTTAGAAACTACTCTGAGATGAACAGTGAAGAACAGGGTTCCTAATTTAATTTATTTGTAAATCTTATGATAATAGACAGATATTTTGCCTTATGTATATGTTAACGCTGTCTGTCAACCATGATCTATTTAGGGTTATTTGAAGACTAGCATAAAACAATATTGATTTAAGCAGAGTATTTTTGTATTCTTGCTTTTTATGGGAAAGAGGCAAATAACCCTCCCTCTTCCCATCAAAGCAAAATGATAACAGATTTTATTTTTTAAAAAAGGAAAGAAACAAACTGGTAGGTTTTGTTTTGGAGTCAGTGCAATTTAAACCCATTGTCTTCTTTAGAAGAATTATATGATTATAGCACTCAGCAAGGAGAATTGATGTAAAAATATTGACCCTGGTCTAGGTACTACAAAAAAGAGTTAAACTTAATAAGGCAAGTATGTAAGGTAATAGATAAAGGATTTCAATAACAACAAGAAAATATAAAGGTGAATGATACTTATTTTATGAAATATACAAGAGAATAATAAATTCCAGTATATGAAATATATAGCATACTTTTGAAGAATAAGTTAAATTACCTATGATAATCCATTTTTAATACCTATATCTTATTAGGTTGTCGACCTAATAGTAAATCTTTTCTAATTTTATATGATCAAACTATTCTTTGGGATGCAGAGTTAATTAAAAAAATACGTCTCTGAATCACACTGAAAAAAATCAAGTATTCATAACATGGAGCTTAAAAGAATAAAATTCTATTCACGATTATGTTACAAAGTGATTTTTAAAAAAATTATTCAGCAGTCTTCCATAAGAAACTGCAATGGTCCTCAGTTGAGCTTTCTGTAGTTTTGGTAGCAGTATTTCTTTCTGGATTGAATTCATTTTAGGAAAAGTGATCAGTTTTGCTGTCTTGGGTAAATCAGCATTTACGTTTATAAAACTGAACATGCACAGATTATTTTATACAAGTACAAAACTATAAACAATTGGTTCTTAATAATATGCCCTAGCAATGTATTACCCATGACACTTTTTGTAATGTTAAAGCATTAAATGCAACACATATAAGTCTTCATGTGTGTGCACACAAGTGTATGTTTAAAATTCTCAATACTTCGTTTTTCTCATACCCAGATTAGGTCTCAGTAAATCAAAATGATGGCAAAGAGTATATTTGGGCAACAGCAATATACAAGTTTACCATGCTTAAAATTCTTACTTCTCTTACAAAACAAAACAAATTCCTTAAACCAATGTTTTAATCTTTAATTTGTCATTTAAATACTTATTTTCTATAATATTTGGATCACTTGTGACTAAGGGCTCCATAGTCACAAGTGATCCAAATTAGTTGTGACTCTATCTGGTGTCTTCAACTATGGCTTGGAACTACAAAACATTTCTTTAGAATTGATGGCATTGCCAGAGAGGACTGAAGTTTGTATGTGATATGCTTAGTAGAACGCCTGGTATATGTAAGCATTCGAGACAATTTAGCTATTGTAATTACTACTCAAACAATAGGGATAAAATGTAATTTGTATTTCATAGTTCCCTGAGGGTATTCACCTCCACTTGTAGAAAGAATGCAGGAAAAACAACTGGAAGAAAATAATAATGATTGTATTATGACTGATTTTTAACTTTTTTCTACCTTTCTTTTTGTCCAAATTTTCTACAAGGAACACGTGTGACTTTCATAATAAAAAATCAAATTTTAATTTTTTCATTGCCCTTTAAATTTTGTTGAACCTCTTTAGCATGTCTGTTTGTCATATTCCATTGCAAACTGCAATAACTACAAGTATGGACTGAAGGCATTGAGAAGTCTTGGCACCATTGGGTGGGAAAGGGAGTAATGCATCCATGCTCATGCCCTTGAAGAGTATGAAAGCAGAATGAAAATTAATGAAATGTGTTTTATGTTTTCTGTGTCATGTCACTAGTTTCTCTTAGAAAATTATTAGCTGAGGAAGGAACTATCCTGAATTCTGTGCTTCAATTAAGGGACAATGTCTAATGCACATCACCTTAATACCAAGAAGAGATTAAAGAATGCAGACACAGGAGATCGAGACCATCCTGGCTAACACGGTGAAACCCCGTCTCTACTAAAAATACAAAAAATTAGCCAGGCGTGGTGGCGGGCGCCTGGAGTCCCAGCTACTCCGGAGGCTGAGGCAGGAGAATGGCGTGAACCCGGGAGGCGGAGCTTGCAGCGAGCCAAGATCGCGCCACTGCACTCCAGCCTGGGTGACAGAGCGAGACTCCGACTCAAAAAAAAAAAAGAATGCAGACACAAAACTCCCAGGTTACAGGAAAGTAGGGCTATTACTTTCATTAAAACTTAAAGATAAGCTTAGAGTTTTAGTCTCTATAAAGCATGTCTAAAGTTTAAATCTGGAAAATTGTTTGGAAAAACAAAATAAACCACGGAAAGTAGTGTAAAAGAAGCTAAACTTTTAAGTCATATAAAAACAGTTTTAAAATTCATTATAAAAAGTGTGTGTTCTATTTTATATGTATAATACTACTGGAAAAAAAATAAGGCAAGTCTCTTTCCACTAAATTTTTTCTTTTTTTCTAGCAGAGGAACAAAGAAAAACCACAAACGAACCCCGAAATCTGAATTGGGATTATTATGGTGATTTCGATCTTGCAATTGCAGCTATTTCACCAAAGGCTTTTATTTCATCCTTGCACTGTACTTACCATAAGATGCTTGCTACATGTAAACATCAGTACCTATTTCTGTTATTGCAGAACCATTTTATTCAGCACTGACATAGAGCATAAACATGAATAAGGTATATTCTTTTCAAGCAAGAAATGTGAGAGGTAAACACAAATAGCAATAACATACTTGTAAAAGTGCTCTGAGAAAGAAACAGATGAAGTGCTGTGGGGATTACCGGCAGAAAGGGCTCTGTCTCATTCCTTAGCAGAGCCTTAGAGAAATGTTTTGCTGGAAGATGGGTTGGCTCCGTAAACCCCTTGAGGACAGGAACCACACCTCATTCATCTTTGTATCCCTTCCTGCTAACATTTGATGAATGTTTAAAACACATTTTTTAAATAATATTGTATACAAGGGAGTTGACTCTGGAGCCAAATTTCTGGTTCAAATCCCACCTCTGCTAAGTTAGCGAACGAGCTACCAAATTTTAATTATATTTTATAGAAAACTTGTTTTCTCCAAAACGAGGTGTGTGTGTGTTTTAATTCTAATGTCATGCTCTTAGTATAACAGAAGAAAAATGTTTCCTATTGAGGACTCCATTCATGGTAGAAACATCCATAATTGTCTTACATGGTGAGAGAGTCTTTAAAATTATCATCATTGTATATTATTAAAAACTAAAACAAAGCAGTATCCCTGATGTCTAATTATAGTGAATTGTTCCTTAGTGTTTTCATGGACTTCTGGGAATTCACAAAATAAACAAACTGAGAGGATGGCCATGGTTATTCATGAACTAGAATTTCAGAGTTAGAGAGGGCCTCAGACCATTCTATATATTAATCTCCTCACTATTGGTGAGGAAGCCAAGCTATAGAGAAGACTTAAGTCAGAAGAATGAAGGGCAATGATAGAAGAGATTTGAAACTAATTTTCTTGACTTTTGTCTTGATACATAGGAGGTACTTCATAGAATATAATAATATATAACATATAATATATAATATTTAATATATTATATATAATGTATAATAAATAAACAAAAGTGTAAAAGTAGGATGAATAATCAACACATGAAATTATGAAAAGGCATAATGGGATATTTGGGTTTAAACTACAGAGACAGAGAAATAATGGCTGATAGTGATTTAGGTCACAACAAGTGAGCATGACTGATTTGGGGAAAAAACATTCTTTTCCACAAAGAGAAGTAAGTGCTGTAACACCACCACCACCACCACCACCAACACTCAATATCTTATCTTTCTGTTTTTAATTCTATCCTTAATTTTATTCTAATGTGTTAATCTTATCTCCAGAAAAATGTGGCTAGGTCATACCATGGGGAAGGATGACTTTGATCAATGATTATATCATAATACTTAAAGTTTTATTAAATCCTTACTGCTATCTCTAATGTTTAAGTTAGCCTCCTATTAATTGGATGTCAGCTCAGTGCTATGAAATATTTTTATATATCTATCTCTCTATATATGTGAATGTTTAAAATCATGCCCTTGTCTTTAAGAAATTTCTAATTTAAAATAGATGAGATTCACAAGGTACTAACACAGTTCACCTATCTCTGCAACTGACCTTTAATTTGGTTGTTTAATTTGTCCTTGAATATACCTGGTTCAATTATCACGCAGGAATGAACAATACAGAAAATTCTTGCTGATTTTTATCACAAAAGAAGTAGACATGTACCAGCAGTGCAGCTGGAGCCAGAGGGGCTCCAGAGGTGACAGTGCTCTCAATAAATGCCTGACCTTGACCTTCACCCATGAAGTGAATGATGCTGAACTTCCAAGAACTCAGACAGGGTTGCAGATGGATTTTATTACCTTTCTGATGTAAATCTATACTTAGTTGTAAAGTGTTATTCTTAAATGTTCCTACTTATTAATTTAGCTGATTTATTTGCATTTATATTTGAACATTTCTTGCAAATGTAAATAGCTTTCCATTTATGCTCTTGATCATTTGCTTTGTCAATAAACATACTTAATTCCACAGGAATCCTAAAGAACAGAGCATTATAGATTCATGAATCCAAGTATTTAATTTCATATTTTATTGCTAACTTTTTATGTAAAAAGAGTGAGTAATGTTCATTAACACATCATATTTATTTATGAAGTTATATTTTCATGATGAAATTTTATACTAGCTTAACATCTATACAAGATTTTCTCTAGTGGGTAAATTGCTGTCTCATGATAAAATAAAAAAAGATCTGTTTACAGATTTGAGTCTAAATTTTGGTCTAAAGGAAATCGGGAGAACCACTACGCCACCATATTTTTGACTTATGAATAGCTTGAAATGGCTGTTTACCAAACTTAAATGTTTACACATCCCCAGACGGAAATATCTTTTATGATTTTCTCTCTGCTGTTTTGGGAAAGGGACATTTTCCTCACATAACATCTAGGTTTTGAAATAACACTGGAAAAAAGAATATATGGATTACAGATTCAAGCCCCAGGATGCCTTTGCAAGTTTCTCTCTCTTATACATTCCTAAAATGTATTTTAAAGCCGTTATCAGTGTGAACTATGTGAAAAGTTGCCATTTTTAATAGAGATTTTAAAAACCATTCTATTTGATTGGGGACTATCTTTCAATATTTAATTCAAAACACTATACATATGACCTATTAATTTACTCTCAAACTGAGTGTGTACTTCTGTCACTCATGTACAACTGAGCCATATTTTCAAATACCCATTTTCCATATACTTTATATATAATTATATTTCCTTATAAAAATTATTTATTTCTTTATTTTATTTAAATCTGATCTTCCTACATAAGTTTGTGTCTTTTCAGCTAACTTTTAAGTTCCCAAATAAGAGGGAATATCATAAAGCTTTGTTTCTGTAAGAAGATAAGATGCTAAAAAATATTTGATAATGAATGAATGAATAAGTATTTACTTCTATAAACATGACTTGGATAAGCACTTCTGAGAAAAGGTTGAGGTTCAGAGAAAGGAATCACGATTCAAAATAAAGAAAAATTAAGATGAAGAATGAGGACTCAGGGTAGGTGGATATCAGATATGCTGAAGAGATCTATTTCTTATTCTGCTCTGTGTTTCTCAGATTTTATTTTAGCACCCACAGTTTGGAAATCAGATAAGCTTTCCTGGGAGTATAGCCAAAAGGCAAAGTGGATTTCAGCAATTTCTATTTATTATGGTTGTACAGTGTGTCAGGAACTGAATGGAACATATACGTTACATTAGAACATCCTTTCCCACCAAAGGCAGTGTTCTGGTTCCTCATCTATTAATATATACCATATACCTCATATGAACAAAAGTAAAACATACGTTGTTTCATATAATATTTTTATACATATATATTATGTCACGATTAGTTTTATATTTGCAATTTTTCCATCATTTGGTAGGTCTGTGTTAACCTTTCTATTGAATGGGCTGGAACCATTTTAGCCAGTGAATATCTCATGTAAGAATATTCTAAAAGAAATAACACAGAATGCAACATAGTCTTGCTTTACCACTAACCGGCTGATGACAAGTAACTAACAGTCGGTGCCTTGGTTGGTGATATGGCCAGTCCTTCTGACTTGACAATGCAGTTATGAATATAAACTATGTTATAAATGAAAACATATTTTTTGAAGTGAAAATCATGTTAAAGATAGCGCCAATATTTATGGCTGTGCAAGTCATTTCCAAACCTGCCTTTCATTTTATTCGTTTTTAGAGAGGGGAAGAGCTTCTGTTGGCCTGGGAACCTTGTTCATTCTAATAGGAGAGTGGGTGCTGCTCTGAAATGAAAAATGACACACACGAATTTGCAGAAAGCTTGAGGTAAACATTTAGACAGCTCACACGAAGCCTTTCACCCAGGCCTGCCTGTCTTACTGGGTGACATCCAGTTGCTATGCTTCTCAAAGGGCTCCCCCTGCCTCTGAGATGGCTCTCTAAGGTTGCTGCAGATTCAATTTGTTCAAGTTGTCTGTTTTTTGTTGTTGTTGTTGTTTGTTTGTTAAAATCCAGAACAGCAAGCCTAGAGTTTTCGGGCCACTCTATTAAAGGCATCATAGAGCCACAGAAATCAATACAATCAACTTTATTTCACAATCAGGTGTGAATGGTCAATATGCAGAAATCCATTTCTTCTAGCTCCGTGTATTGGTGTCTATTTTAATTGTGTGCATAAAGGAGTGGAACGTGTGAAGGAAGTGTGCCAAACAATCTTCTCCATTGCTCAGTAGGGTAATGTCTTGTAGGCTGTGTTTAGGGCCATGGAATAGATCATAAAGGTTTAAGGCCATATAGGGTCACAGTTGGAAATAAAGTCAATAATTTGAACTCCAGGTCTCTGGGATTTTATGTTTCTCTGTAGACTGTAATTTACTCATATAATCGTGCTTACTTAAAGAATGCATATATAAATGCATAAATATTCCTCCCAGTCAACCAACTTTTTCTGATCTCCAGTAAATCAATGTTTGCCAAGAACTTTCACTGTCCCAAGGTATTAAATTTGCTAACATTCTATAAAAGTGTGCTCCTGGCTCTGGTTGGAATTTTAGCCTCTGGTTTCTACTTCTGACTTATGAGGATACCTCATTTTAAATGTGCAAACAGGCAATTTCAGTGATTTAAGGTAGAAGCATACCTTGAGGTTCTAGTTTCCCATTTTTATTTATCATCATATTTCCTCCTTCAATTCTCTCTAAGTGGGTATACCAAAGGCAATTCACAATTCTGCATCTAATATAACTGTCAATGAAAATATTTGTATTTCCTTGGGACTGAGGAAATCAGAGAGATAAAAGGAAACAGAAATACTTCCCACTGCAACTAACTTATCCCATTAATTAGTTTGAGGGTATAATTTCCATATGATCACCTTATTGTAGAATTTTAAATGATGGGAAGTAGTGGTCTCTGTTTTGATGAGATAATCTTTATCAACTGGATAATGTCCCCCCTCAATAATATAAGGATATTTCTAAAGCAGAGAATCCAGTATTAAAACTTGGCAACAAATCTGTGAATGTTCTTATCGACAAGAGTCAGAAATCAAACAATTAGGCTTCTTAACGAATTAATGTACACTTCAATTTTCAAATTTGAGATGGTCAGAGAGATTAAGAAACTTGTCTAAGGTCACACAGGTAGGAATTGCTACAACTTGGATTAACATCTCATCGAAAATTTCCCCCATGTCTTCAAAACCAGAAGAAAAATATGAAAATAATCTTCTCAGTCAAATAACGCCATGATATTCATTTCGCTTACAATTATATAATCCATGGGGATAAATAACAGATGATTATCATTTCATATAATGAGCAAATCATGCAATTAATTGATAAAATAAAAATTTAAACCAATACAACAAAATATTAGAACTAAGTAGAAAAAGTAGAATAAATATAACATTGGTCTAATTTTATCGTAAAGTTAGATCAACAGCTTCTCCCCCAATAAAATCTAATTTTACACATATATCCTATTTTACATATATCTTATATATAAGATTTATACACATGATAAACTCTAGATACTATTTAAATTGCTTTTTTATTACATTAAGTACTATCTCAAAATGTTAATTTATTAAAGTTTAGTTTAGAATAATAAAATTATTTTACTGGGAAAAGCTTCAGATTCTACCAGTCCTTTTGTGATGTGAATGAGAAAACTGAAACCCACAGAGATAAAGTGATGTTTCCCAAGTCATATACAAGTTAGAGCAGAAACAGGCCTGGGATCCAAGTGTTTTGCCTGTTGGCTTATATTCTTTCTTTTGTTCTTCACACTTGCCTTAAAAAAAATCAGACAGGAATTTGAATGCATTACTCAAGAATAATTGATTTTTTAAAGGGAATAGTTCATTTTCATAATAATTTAATTTCATCTTCAAAGATGCTAGATAAAATGCTTAATCTATACTAGTCTATGGGACTCTTCAGAAGTTTAAATCAAACCAAGCAGACTAATTAAGGCTAATTAAAAGATGAATTTGTTCAACAATTCTTTATTTAATCCAACATGTATTGCTTGCCCACCATGACTAGGCTCTGTGCTAGGTACCAGGGTTGAAAAGATGAACAAGATACAGCCAAGAGAACCACCCCACCAAGAAGTAGGGTAAGGGGAGCTGAGACAGAGTTCTGCACAGGCTCAGGGTGCTATGAGAACATGAGGAAGGCATCTAACCCAGCCCTGGAGGTTTACGGAAGACTCCTTATAGGAAGTGATACCTTCAGCTGGATTTTGAAGGATAAGCAAGGATCGGCCAGGTAGGTGAGAATGTGGGTGACCCGGTCAGAGAGAACATCACTAGAGAAGGCCAGAGGCATGGAGGCACAAGTCCAATTTGGGGACATGTTCAAAATCTAGTAAGGTTAGAGTTTGGAGTTCTTATGAGGACATTGTAGATGAGAAAACAGCAAAGTAGGGCTTATAAGTCATATATTATTGTGGAGGCCAGTGTTTTTCATACTTCAGTGTGCATTAAGTTCAACTGTGGAATCAGAGTCCCAGGCCTCGTTCTCAGGGAGCCTTATTCAACAGGGCTGCAGTGGGGTCCAGGAATCTACATTTCTAACGAGCATTCTAGACAATGATTCTAAAGATGATTGCACTTAGAAACACTATTATAGATGATGCTTAACATGAAAGGACTTCAAATAAAAGGATGATATGAGAGAGGAGCGGATGACTCCCAGGTTTCTGACTTAGGTAATTGAGTGGATGGTGGTGCTATTACACAATCCAGAAAAATAGGGGAAGAGGTAGGCCTTACGGAAGTTGGTACAGTTGGTGGTGGTGACAGTGAGTCCATATCTGAACATGTTGACTTTGAGTTGGAACAGGTACAGGTAGTCAGTTAGTGAGACTGGTGTTAAGTTGGGGAGATGTAACTGGTTTGTGGACAAATATTGAGGATGAGCATAGATGCTTAGTTACTTTAACATTTCTTTATCTGTTTAAGCATTTATTAAAACACCAGAATAATGTGCAGTATAAGCCACAGGTAAAATAACAATTTTGGACAAATGAGACCCAAAAACACATGTATTTTAACTCTTAAAATAGAAGATGGGAGTAATGCTTCCTTGATATAACACAGAACATTTAATTTCTATTACTTATTGATTCTGAAACCAGAATATAAT
This sequence comes from Homo sapiens, assembly GCF_000001405.40. NCBI lineage: Eukaryota > Metazoa > Chordata > Mammalia > Primates > Hominidae > Homo > Homo sapiens. The sequence goes on from NC_000003.12 coordinate 180,022,049, forward strand.
CACATGAATGTGCTAGGAGTTGATTTCTAAAATATTAATTTTAACAAAATCAGCTATGAAAGAAAACATGATTTTTATTTTGGTATTTTAATTTTACATTGAATAATTTGATCAATGCTATCACATTCTGATTTTTATAATGTTACTTCTTAGTCCTTCCACACTCCTAAATTAATTGAAAGTTTAAAATTAATTTTAAGACATTAGGGAACAAATGTTCCATTTAAAATAGATATTTTAATATGAATTGAGATTAGTAAAATAAGAGCTGTGCATATTTCCTCCACAATAATTTTGATCCTGCCATTTAGAAGTAGTTTCCTTTCAACAAAGCTGGTGTTTTCTCTTCCTGCATAAATGGATGTCTAAGATCATAAGAAATTAAGAGAACTCCCTCAAATAAATAGCAACGGATTTTTCTCAAGTAAAGTCTTGTATTTAAAAGAGGGGTTAATTTAAAGGAGGTTAAAACATTAAAGTAATACATGAAACACTTGGTTAACTACCTTATTAATGTTGAATGTTTTACAATAGCAAAGTACAAAATAAAACATAAAAATATTTAGGTAAGTAATAGAATTTTGAGTGGGGATATTTCAGCTTGGTTTATACATACAATCAAGATAATATTGAGGATCTTGAAAAGTGTCTCCACACTGGGCTTCTGAGCTCCGATTAATCCCATAGCCTCAATATTATTCTGGCCTTCTGGGCATTTCTGATTCTAGAGGGGATTTCTGCATAAAAGATGGGTGTTTTGTGACTGTTCTGTACTCCACTAAGCAAGTGCACTCCATCCTACACAAAGGGGCTCTCAGAGTATTACATGCATAAATGTTACAGGTGTTGAGTGCAGAGTATCGGTAAAGCTATTTGGATTCTACATCTGTGTTGAGTAAGTGGTAGAAAGAATGCATCAGTGATTTCTACCCTCCAAGGCCACCGCAATGTCCAGAAAACTTGCAAAATCATTTTATCTCCTGTTAGTTGAGTCATTTTGCAGCGGCTGAGGTACCGACATGGAGATATGGCCTGAATTTGCTATGCAGGCGCAAGCAATAGAGTGAAAAACAGAAGACCCAGATTCTACTCCTCAGTCCCCAATTGATTTGACAAGGAAGTCTGGGGGAGGTGGTCCAACCTGTATGCTGCATTCTCTTTATCAGCATGACAGAGATAAAATATCTATCTTTTGCCAACCTCACTGAGGCACTCTAAAGATTAACTTTTACGAACATCTCACTGTCACAAAAAGTGACTATTGTAGCAGAGATATCAGTATTATATCACAAATAAGAATCTGCTATATCAGGGATAGCTTTACAGGAAAATGTCTTATTTGCAGAATGAGGAGACATACGGCAGCATGCTCCCAAACAGCACGTCCTCTGAAGAATTAGGAGAGGCTGATCTTTGGCTTCGTAAGAAATATCAAGCTTCTCGATGTTAGCAAAATTTTAAAATGTATTTTCCATTATATGGTTAGTAGTAAACTGGGGGAATCGGCCCTGACCAAGCACTCACAGATGTATTGTATCACTAATTAGAGGCCTGATAATAATAGAATCCTAGAGCTGGAAGGAAAGCCAGTAAGCCTTTAAAGAGACCATCCTCTATAAAAGCCTTAGCAAACACATCCAATTTGTGTTTGAATATATTTGGTAAAATAGAGCTAATTTATTCACCTTTCACCACTCATCTACACACACACACGCACACACACAGAGAGAGAGAGAGAGAGAGAGAGAGGGAGAGACTAGCTGCTTGGTAGAGGAGACCCCCTTCAGAGCCATACCTAGCTCCTTGGTAGAGGAGACCCCCTTCAGAGCCATACCTAGCACCTTGGTAGAGGAGACCCCCTTCAAAGCCATGCCTATGGTTGTGCAGATTGGCTGTGCAAAGATGTCTGGGTGAGGGGGCACTATTCAGGTCTGAAATCCAACCCTCTACCTCACATACCAAGTGTGTGCCTGGGTGTGGGATTGTGTTCCCCAGGAAAAAACACAGTCTTTGTATATTTGGTCCACCCAGAAAGGGTACATTTTTATTATTTGCACAAAGGTAGTACATGTCACTGGCACTGGTATTTCTTGTCTCCTTTTAGAAAGACCTCTGTGTTGACATGGGATTTTTGAATCTTCTTAGCCTGTAACTGAATGGGAAGAATCACTCCTCCGTATTTCGGGCTCACATATAAGAGTAACTGTGCCCGGCACTTTGGGAGGCCGAGGTGGGTGGATCACGAGGTCAGGAGATTGAGACCATCCTGGCTAACACTGTGAAACCCCGTCCCTACTAAATATATATATATATATATATATATATACACACACAAAAAAAAAAAAAATTAGCCGTGCGTGGTGGCAGGCGCCTGTAGTCCCAGATACTCAGGAGGCTGAGGCAGGAGAATGGCGTGAACCCAGGAGGCGGAGCTTGCAGTGAGCTGAGATCATGCCACTGCACTCCAGCCTGGGAGATGGAGCGAGACTCCGTTTCAAAAAAAAAAAAAAAATAGAATAAAAGGAACCCATGGTTCAGATAGGTGCACAAAATAGACAAGTCCACTGGATGACCATTGTATGACCATTGTGAGTACAGCTCCTTCCTTGGATCTGATGTGAAAAGCTGCATGTGTGTGTGTGAGAGAGAGAGAGAGAACTCACATGTGCATGCATGTGTAACTGGGGAGGTCAGGGCTGGGGGTATAAGCAACCCTTACAACAGGGTATAAGCAAATGACAGCCTCCGACAGCAGTTCCGACATCATAACGTTCTGTCATAGCCTCAGTTGTCTCAGGGGTGTGTGTGTTAGCATTATTATCAAAATTGTTGTTGACAACCAGCTGAAGTGGTGAAGAGGTGTCCAGAACTTTAGAGGAATGGCTTCTAATTCCACATGATCTTGGCTGGTTAGAGATACAGTTAGAAACCATTAGAAGAATCTATTATATTTCTAAGTCTGCAGTCCTAAATTGTCCTCCAGATTTAAAGAGGTTGAACCCATTAAACTGCGTAGACTGCTTTGACAGTGGAGTGTTGGTTAATTACAGTGGCAATCTAATTATAAGGTTTATAAGGTTTCCCTGTAATTGATTTCATTTCAAGTGTGTAGAAACTTCACTTGATATGCATTTGTTTCCACAGCTCATGGGAATAGACCAGATCCTGAGGCTGTGTGTATCTTAGCATCACGGAGACCATCTCAACTGCACTTTGGAGTCCTTACTCAGGACAGTAAGGACTCTTCTGAGTATTTCACATTCATTCATTTAATCATCAAGTCATCTATTCATTCAATAAGTACTATGTAAAGAGTATATACTTTGCACTACTAGTCTCCAAGAATATAAAGATGTATTGGATAAAGTCACTGCCACAGATGAGCTTACAAGAAGTTGGGGAGACTGACAAAAATAAATAATTAAAGCTATATGTTAATTATGGTATTGTATTATCAATGCATGTAAGCTGCTAAAGAAGCATCAAGAAAAACATCCTTAATTCTGCATTGCTGGGAGAGGGGTGGTGGTGCAGAGCAGCACTCACTGAGGGGGTAACATTTGAAGGGAATAGTGACGGATGAGTAAACATTCAGAGCGTATGTAAGGCAAGGAATTGAGGACGAGGAAATAAAAAAAAACTAGAACTGTGAGAAAACAAGAAAAGTAAGCATCTGCCACTATTGTGAACAACAGGTATAACAGGCACGCCGTGGCTAAACTCTTTATTCCACAGATAGTATGTTAAGAAACATTTTGGTAGCTCTATAAAAACATAAGAGCTAGTATAATTGATAAATTATTATATTCTAAGACCCTTATACCTTCATTATCTCATCTAGTCCTTATGAAGTCATCACAATGTGTGGGTACTTTTCTTATCTCCCTGTCACAGGTGAGGAAAGCGGGGGTTAGGGAGGATAAGTTCAAGCAAAATCATAGACACTATGTGGTGAAGCCATGGTTTGAACTTGGGGCTGTTATGCTGGAGCAGAAGCTCTTAAGCACTATGTTTTGTTCCCTCTTCAAATGTGAGGAATTATTAAGCGACGTATGATGAATGTCATCAAAAGCCTTTCAGCATTCTTTTTTTTTTTTTTTTTTTTTGCAATTTGGGAATAGGCAATTAATTGAAGAAATCTGAGCCATCAAGACCTAGCCCTCAGTTTCCTCACATGTGAAATGACCAAGTTGTGCTATGTGAACTCTAAAGACCTTTATACCTCCAAGATTCCATTTTAATTTAATCTTTCCTCAAGCTTAAGAAGACTTTCTTTTTGTCTTACATAAATCTTCCTAAAGGGTTATATAAGAGACTGTATATCAATATTAATGACTCAAATGCACAGGGCATCTTGATTATCATCATCCTTTGCATGAATATGAAACATGAATGTGCCCAATATTTCACAGTAAATTCCCGCACATGGAGGAAAAAGATGTTCTTATCATTAAGGTATATGATATGTATTTTAATTCCCTAATTAATTACTAAACTCTTTATATGGCTCTTTCTAATATCTCAAAAAGGAGTGAGCAGTAGATGGACATTGATCAATGATAGAGGAACCATTCTGCTCTTCTCTGCTACATGATTTAATAAGCCAATATAAGCTAGTTCTACCATATTCTCTTACAGTCCTGTCTCTAATGGCAGGTAGTACTAAATAAACGCAGGCTTAAAGAGAATTATTTCCTTTCAACTCTTATCTCTCAAGCCAGGCTGGACTCTAGTCAATCAAGATAGAGACCAAGGTGTCTATTTTACATTCAAGCAATATCTGAACATGTTACGGTGGACATTCACTTAAAAAAAACTTCCCCAAATCTAAACTCTCTTTCTACATTTGGGAAATTGCCCACACTCTCAGTCTTGGTGAGAAGCCAATATGCACTTTTACAGACTATCTTGGAGCCCCGGTATGAACGTGTGGCTCAGCTCCACCAATCAGCCGTATCTGCCCTCCATTTTGAAATAGGATTTTGGACACAGACAAGTAGCCATGGTAGAGAGTCCATCCTGGCAGTAAGGGCAGCCATTGAAGCTGTAACATGGGGTTTCTGTGGGCAGCAGCAGCAGCAGCAGCAGGGTAGTTGCGGAACCAGTGTCTCAGGCCTGCTGAGTCAGGGTGCAAGCTCTGCTGTTCTTTGTACTGTGAAGGCAGCAGTGGGGTCCACACTGACCTGTTCAGGGCTTGACTTGGGCTCTGCCCCTGCCTGTTCCCTGGACCCTTCACCCCTAGCCTAGATCTAGAAGTCTGCCAGTGCCCCAATGTACTTTTTTTCCAACACATTATTTATTTTGAAATAGTCTCTTAAGCTTACAGAAAAATTACAAAAAGAGTACAATGGACTCCCATAAACCCTTTCCCCAGATTTAGCAGTTTTTAATATTTTGCTGTATTGCTTTATCATTATCTTTCATTCCTTCTCCCTCCCTCTCTCTCTATGTATATATACACACACACATGCATACACATAAGATTATTAAATATACACACCATGCTTTTTATCACTTCATACAGTACGTGTATGTCCTATGAACAAGGATTTCTTTTTAACATAGCCACAGTATAGTCATCCAGTTCAAAAATGTAAAAACAAAAATAATACTGATCAAAAGTCCATATATGAGTTCTGGTCAATAGTGTGTGCCAAGGGTGTCCTTATAGCAATTTCCTTCCTAGCCCAAGATCCAGTCTAGGATTATATATTGCATTTAGTTGTCATATCTCTTTGGTCTCCTTTTAATTTGTAACAGCTTCTCAGCTTTTTCTTGTTTTTTCATGACATTGATATTTTGGAAAAACACAATCTGCTTATTTTATAGAGTAGCCTTTATTTTGGGTTTGTCTGTTTTCTCATAATTAGACTCAGGTTGTGCATTTTTGGCATGATTATTACCTGAGTGACGCTGTCTCTTTTTCAGAGCATCATGTCCAGAGGCACATGCTCCATCTGTCCATTATTGGTGATGTTGATTTTGATGACTTAGTTAAGGTGTTATCCAATTTAGCCATTGAAAAGTTCCTTTTTTTCTTTTGTAATTTATGGATGACATTTTGATGCTATGTAAATACCTTATTCCCATACTGCCTTCCTCCTCAGATTTAACATCCATTGATCATTCTTATTTGAGTCACTTTTTACTCTGGAGATTGCAAAATGGTAATTTTTAAATCTTCATCATTCTTTCTATGCTTATTCAAATGGCCAGTCTAGTCAGTCCAAGGAGAAACAGTGGTGAACACCTTTAGAACAAGAAATGTTCTAAATTTCTAATTCAATTTTTCAGGGCACTTTATTTCACTTGTAAAACATGCTTACAGGCCGTATTTTCTTCCATTGTTAGCCAAATGACTGCTAAAGCAACATATAAAATATCAAATAGTTATACTACAACTGAAAAGCAGAAAAATATCAATTTTAATGACTAAATGCCAAACATCTAGCTATTTGGAAACTGTCAGTGGTTTATTGTAATATTTATTTTCATGTTGATTTTTGAATGTAATAAGTCTTAAAATAGAGAATTATGGTGTAATGAAAATAATATACCAGGGTAAGGCAGATTTCACTTCAGCACTAGCTCTGTTAACTAACCAGTGTGGGACTTTCTGAGCAAGTCTTCTAACTTTTCTGGGCCTCAGTTTCCCCATCTGTGAGATGAGAAGGTTGAAGAAAACTTTTTCAAAGGTTCTTTAAACAAAGGATTCTGTGACCTCAAAATTGAACATTAACACCATCGTTGGAGACATAAGGAACTGTTGACCTAGAATATTTTAATCATCACATTTAGATTTAAGATTATTTTGGTATAAAGACCAAATACCTGTGAAATAACTCTCAAGTGATTTAGAGAATAGAAACATCAGAACACTTTATAGAACAATTTAATATAAAGAAGCTAATGCACTTTTAGGCTGTCTGAATAGGTATCTTTCCCAAGAGACAGATAATCTCGCAGTGGTTGGAATTCACCTGATCACATCTCTAGCAGTGTGTCTTGTTTGGAGGGCCATATTTTCGTGCAGCCTTTAAAACATCAGAAATATCATTATGAGAAATGCTTGAGTGCACTGTTTATCTTGGAGGAGAAAAGATTTAAGGGAATGGGGACATAATAGTTCTCTAAATAAATAGTTTATTTTGTTATTTTTTAATAGAGACGGGGTTTCACCATGTTGGCCAGGCTGGTCTCGAACTCCTGACCTCAAGTGATCCACCTGACTCAGCCTCCCAAAGTGCTGGGATTAGAGGCATGAGCCACCTCTGTTTGTTTGTTCTCCAAACAAACGAATTGTTTTGAGAACTATTATGTCCCCACTCCCTTAAAATAAATTAGAAATAAATAAAACTATGTATTTATTTATTTGTAAATAAAACAAATAAATGTGTTAGGTGAAGCATCATAGGTTTGTTGTGCATTTTTCCAGAAGGAAAAACTACAACAAATTGGCTGGTCGTTATGGAGTCAATATAATGAAGACATTTTTATTCAAGTATAGTTGTGATAGCTGCTCTTTCCAGCTCTTCTTTCAGGGACTTCGTCTTGCCTCTGTGATGTCAGAAAGCTACCTAGGAATTAAGCTTTCTGCTAGGGTCTCAGCTCAATAGATCACACATTGTTTTTTACCTACAGTTTTCTCAGACCTGTGCTTCTCAAATGTTAGTGTGCATATAAATCACTGGTTCCTTCAAAAAAATCAGTTCCTGATTCAGTAGGTCTGGAGTTGGACTTGAGATTCTGCATTTCCAATAAGCTCCCATGTATCTCATGTGTACATAATCCCCTGCCGAATCAAATGTTATATCCCTACATGATCAGCAGATCACTGAGGATGGGCATGCACGTTACAGTTAACAACCATGTGAAGGGAGGTGAAGGGGTGCTTTGCAGCTCTAGCAGGTTCATTTGCTCATGGTGTTTTAATTTTTCTTCTTTCTCACTTTCTTAAGGAGCTTCCATATTTTCTGACCTTTCACTGTTTCTGATCACTTTTCATGACAGTACTGGCAGGGCTCTGTCAGAGGCTCACCCAAATACTGACAAACAGGGAATATTTTCCCAGGAAATGTTGGATTTTGCTGGTCATTACTTTAGTCGACTACAACCATTTCGATAGGGACACAAACTCACATATACCTAGTGTGAGGGTCTTTCCCATGGTGCTTCTCACTGGGTTTCTCCACAAGGCATAATGTCTTGGAATAGGGGCCTATGTGTGCACAGTGTCACTGTGATCTGCTCACCCATATCTCTCCCTTCACCCTACGCCTCTTCCATCTCCAAGAGGGCATCTTGCCAAACTGGGTGCTAGATCCGGTACATTCTTATTGTCTCCACCTTGAGGAAACTTTTTACCTTACCCTAACTTAACACCAGTTTTAACCCTCAAGGCTGTATAGAACAATGTTATCCCTTTCCTAAATAGCCAGCCCTTCAAATACTTATATAGAGTCATCATGGTCTCCTTGAGTCTTTACTTTCCCAGCCAATATCCCCAGTTCTTTCAATCATTATTCATATGACATGGTTATGAATTCCTCTACCATACCAGTTGTTTTAAGAACCACATGATTTTTAAGAGGGTGTGTGGGAGTGGGGATTTTGTGACTCCCTAGGTAGATTTCTGGCATCACAACAACACCGTTCTTCTCCTGGAATTTCCATGATTCATAGATCACCATATGGCATTCTGTTTGGGGAAAATAACTTGCTACATCAAGTCTCACTTGCAGGGTTTATCTGGTTTTCCAGAGGTACGTGCACATGAGTAGAAACTTTGGGGAGTTGTGCATGCACCTGAAATTCTAACTATTTCACTTGGGTCAGGTTAACCCCATTTTGGAGCTGCTGGCGGGGATTTTTGTCTTTTTTTTTTTTTCAATGAAATGGCAAAACAGCCTCTTCCTATCTAAATGAGCTCATTATTTTTCATCTGTGCTATTTCTTACAGTGGTGTCTAAAAAACAATCCAAAAGTTTGATCCATTTAGTGAAATCTTACATGGAGTATGACAATGGATATTTATCTAATGGATATTTATACTAATAAAAAAATAGTATATTTGTTACTAACTAGTAAGAATCAGTCAGCATGACATTATAACATTGGCAGTGTGTTGTATTATTACGCCTTGAGCAATTGTCTTGATAGTTAATGAATAGAGTATTAACTATCTTCCTGTTTATACTCTATAATATAGTAATATATAAGCTATAATAATTTTTCTGAGCAGACTGGGAAAGAAAGTCTCATTTGGTATCCCTACTAAAGGGGATGGTATAGGTGAGGTGAGGTAGAAGTGGATGAGGTGGGGGGTAAGGAAAAGGTCACTGAAAGAAACATAACCCCCACTTCATAGCACTCTGGCCTTGGATTCATGCAATAGTTCAAGATGATTTGTGTTTTATATGTTCTGAATTATAAAAAGGTGAAAAATGTTTCAGGAACTTGGTTACTAGTTTTCTCTGTCAGCATATTTGAAATTATATTTTTAGATGTCCCAAACATTCAGATTGGATTTAGGTTTCTTAATAAGGACACACTAGGCTGGAGTTTACCTTTACATTTAGCGTTAGAATTGCACACTGGTTATCCTATAAATGTATCAAGAAGGTAATTTTAAAATATAAAACCTTTTAACAGCTTTAGCTTATGTTGGAAACATGTGATCTCAATGAAAAGTGTAAAAAAGCAGCCTGCCAGATGTTTTGACTACATGGTGTATCACATCTTAATGTTTCCAGGATTGGCAGTGGTAATACTAGAGATTCAAAATTGTAGAGTTAACAAGTTGTGTTTTAACCTTTTCTTATTCTTTACTTTAAAAAATGTTTTATAATAAAAACATTTATATGATGAAATTTTTACTTTCAAACACATGTTTTTAGGAGGAATATTTATAAACCACAAATAAAATCTACAAAGACTATATTGTGTTTCTTATAGTAAGTATATAAACTATTGGCCAGTATGGCTGGGGAATGAGATTTTCAGATTAATCAAGTATTCTGCTAATGCATACCACAACTATTATAACTTTCAAGTGTTAAAAGCTCAACACTACATCCATACCAAACATGATTTGCATGTGAATATACAGGAAGACACTTCAGAATCTTGCTGGAGCTTGTGTCATAATTTTGATCAACAGCTTAAATGTACATGAATTTGCTTCAACAGAGTTCTAGTTAATATTTCATCATACTTATGCTCATCATTACCTATAAGATGACATTTGAGGAAGAAGACCAGGTGCCACTTGAACTGAGATAACAAAGGGGGAGAGGAAGGCAGCAGCAACCACTGACCAAAACAACACAACAAACCCCAGCACTGCTCACTCTCCTGAAAATGCCACCCCCGTTCCAACTCTAAACTAATCTCAAAGACTCGCCTCTGAAAATGTGTGTATGTGTGTGCGTGCAGGTGGTTTATTGCTATTAGTCATATCTTTGCTAGCAGTTAATGCCTTAGCAAAGGGTTAAGAAAGAAAGAACACAGGATGGAAAAGGGTGAGCCGGGAGCTGCGGTTCATGCCTGTAATCCTAGCACTGTGGGAGGCAAAGGCGCGTGGATCGCTTCAACTCAGGAGTTCAAGACCAGCCTGGACAACATGGTGAAACCCTGTCTCTACAAAAAATACAAAAATTATCTGGGCATGGTGGCATGCACCTGTAGTCCCAGCTACTTGGGAGACTGAGGTGGGAGAATTGCTTGAGCCAGGGAGGCATAGCAAGCAGTGAGCCGAGATTGGGCCACTGCACTCTAGCCTGGGGGACAGAGAAAGACCCTGTCTCAAGAATTAAAAAAGGTGGTACCAGGAGGGAAAAAAGTGGATCTGTTAGAGAGGTGGAAGTACCCATGATAAATATCATCTGCTTTACAGTTTTGCTGAGGGCCTCAATTATGATAACCTACTGTTTAGGGTATTGAAAACAACGTTCTACAGTCTTACCTTCAATTGGTTTCTTATGTATTTTGTTTCTAGTGAACCTAAATAAATCACCAGGGGCGAGATCTAATGTACTAACATAACTTAAATTACCTAAGCTATTCCCCTTTGTAGAGATTTTAAGAAAAATCTTAAGTAAAGTCATATAGAAAAACAAATGCAAAACTCCCCTGGGGGAAAACAAATGGCTACTTTTTGGGCTGTTAATAATCTTACAATTTTTGTCATTTAAATTTTCCTTAGTTTATGTCTTGTGAAGCTAGAGGGTGTGGAATGATTCCCCAGACAGCTTGAATAAGTCAAAAAGTCTGCTTTGAATGCCTAAAATAAAGATCAGTTACAATTACAAATAGATTTTTTGTTTGATTGCCTTCTGAAATAACTTTCTTTTATTAAAAAACCCATTGCTGTGGATTCTTCAATAACAATTCAAAAAATCTTAGTAGAAAATTGAAATTATATTTCTCTGTATTTATACCACCCCAGAAATAAAACAGCTAGGTTAAGAAAACATTGAGAGACATGTAATAATTTCCTCTAACTGGAAATGTTAACTCAAATGCACATAGGCAAATAATCACCTCAGCCCTGAACATACAGAGGTATTGGTGGAATTAAGACCATAGGCCCTCAATGAGCAACAGAGTTTTGTCAGAACCGATGCTAAAGTATATTCAATCATCATCAGTGCCCTTGGTCAAAAGAAAAAAATAAGTAAATCTAAAACAGTCACAAAAGAAGCAACCTTTGCTTCATTTACTGGGGTGACTAACTCCCCTTGGAAATAATTGGTAAGGCAGCTGGATAAAAACATAGCTCCAGGACCCTGCTCCTAAGAAATATACCTGCGGCTTTTACTATGAAACCAAGAAATATCTGTTACTCTATGCTCTATCTGTAATAGATGCCAACTTTTATTTTCTAATGAACTAGCAGAGCAAACCAAATGTGTGTTTTTAAAAGTCTGCGGTTTCTAAAATGAATTCAGATTCTACCATAAACCAGATGAATTAGCCATATGTATGAGAATTAATAGACTTTATCTGCAAAATCATTAAGTTGCAAAAACAAAGGCACCACAGGAGTTTTAAATTAGACTATTTTTAAGTCTTCCTGAGAACACCTGCCCCTACTTCAAACTGCTAATTTACAAAGCACTTTATTTTAAAGTCTCTTGGATACAGAAAAGAGAAGAATTAGAATGCATAGCAAAAGATTGCAAACATTTCTGTTTCACTCTTGTTTTAAGGTATCAGTCAAGTAACATTATGTTTCAAATTAACTCCAAAGCTGGCAGAAATGTTAGTAAATCTGCTTATCCCTGGTCCACTTTACCAAATATGGATTCAGATTTTAATCATACACATTTTGGAGTGTTTGGAATGTGTTTCTTCTTATCTGTGATTAGAGTCAGGTACACACAGGAAGATGATAGTATCTCTGATAAGGAAACGTTATTTTGTCCATAGGCTAAATAATATTCTTTGGGGGAAGAGATATGAGTTTAAAATGTAAGCCAACAAGTATATTATGAATCAATCTGTCATAGGTATTTTTTTGTTGGGGGGAGCAGATGCCCATTCAGATCATCATACTATTGAATAACTACTAAACGTACCTACTAAGGCCTCGGAAGTTTTATGCTTAACATTAATGGTTAATAGTAAGTAGGAAAAAAGTATTATGCTCTGAAATTTTGGTGGATGTATTGATTACAGTCTTTATTTAGTAATGTTTTAATTTAAGCTTGGCAGCAAAGATTTGTGAGTTTTACTGCAAGTCATCATATTTGCTGTTACAGCAGTGCACAAGCAAAAGACATTAAGTTGGGAGAATATGCAGAGTCTTATATTTTGTTTATTCTTTCAAAGTGAAATTAAACCCTCAGACATTGTTCCAGGCAACTCAAGTTTCAATAACATTCTCCTTTGAGATATTGAGAAAATTGAGTTAAAATTGTTTTTGGGTGCATGAATTTACCATATTGTTGCTTCGATTCTTCATTCACAGTAACATATTTTTTAAGCAACAAAACAATACTGTGCAAAGTTTTTGTTAATTTCCCCTTAGTGGTCAATTGTCAATTTTGTGTAAATGAACAATTTTTTGAGGGTTGACTCTATTAAAATCTTCCTGTTTTACCCTTGTGAAGAAACTGTTTAAAAAACAGATAATATATAAAATTGTAAGTATCATTCTTGGGTGAAGATGAAGCATAAAACTATAGTAATAATTCTTTGTTAATTTTTTCAGCAGTCATTATTTGAATTCTTCTATGTTACTTAACTTTTCAATTGGTGTAGCTTTTATAAGAAACATGCAGATCACATTGATCATATATAATATTTAAAAATATACTTCATTCACTACTTTTTGTCTATCAAATGTGATATAATCACATTAATAATTTTCAAAACAGGATGATGTTAGTCATACGGGAAATCTTTTGGAATTCTGGCACTGTATATTGAGAATTCTTATAAAAATTGAGACTATGATGAAATATTGTGTTTTATTTAAAAATGGATTATAGTCCAAAAGAATTTCCCTAAGTTATGGAAATTAAATCTGGGTAGTACTAAGTCATAAATATAACAACATATTTATCTATTTCCAATTGCTCTAAAAGACACAGAAGCAAAATCCTCAGTATTCATAAATGTTATACACCAGGATAAAGGCATCACACATAATGATTGTATTTGACCATCTTTGGAATGGAAAGGAAGCCCAAACATCAAACCTGATGACTAAACCATTTAGGTGCGATAAAGAGTCCAGTTCATACTTTAGAAAGCTGAGTTAGTATTTTATTTTTCTCCCAAAGCATATATCTGCCTTTATAAGAACCAACCAACCGTATGAATGAGAACTGGAGTCAAGGTTAAAGTAATCTTGCCCAAGAGAGTAGAGTGTGTTTGCATCGGAAAGAAGCAGCGGCTCAGCTCAGATGAATATTAATAACAACCGGAGGCAGCACCTCCCCTGAAAAACATTAGAGCTCCTTGGACATGTGTTTGAAATTCATCCTCCCAAGTCATCCTGTGACTATTGGAGTAGATGGCAATGTCCCATAATGTGAAGGGGGAAAATACACTATAAATCGTTTTTTAAATATAACACTTTAAAAAATGAAACGAAAGTGACAGAGTGTTCTAAGTCAAGCAACCTTTTCAGATGGTAAAGGAAAAGCTTTGTCTTTCCTATTATTGTTTGCCCTTCAGTTGACATACATGCTGAGATGCATCAATAGGATTACAACGGAAACACGGTCATCTCTAGGGTTTCCTCTGTTTCGATTCCTTGATCCTGTTTAAAGAAACAGGCTCAGGGAATGCACAGAAAACAAACTTCCCCAATCGAAGTTCTGAGGTCTTCCCTCCCCTTCTCCCACCTTCGGAAACCGGTCTAGTTTTCCCGGCAGCACCGGACAGAAATGTCACGGTCATGTTGCATCACTTCACTTGTTGAGCTGTGCGAAGGCAGCACTTGACCACAGAAACTTGGTGAACCGCCTTGCTCTTAAATTAGCCCCCAAGAATTCTCTCCAGCCCTATAGAAATGTCTTACCTGCATGTGTCCCTGGTACATTCTGCTTCGGTTTCTTCAGGGCTCCCTGAGGCCACCGGATGCTTTTCCCCCGTGCTTACTTGCCCACCAAAAGAGGGGAAAAGGTGGGTGCACAGCGGGTTCTCAGAGGGTGCTCCTGAGCCCCCTGGAGCTCCGGGTACTCGGCCGGCCGGCGGCCACTCGGCAGCGCTGCGGGCTGCCGGGAACTGTTCTCCGCTCGGGGTGCTGAAAGCGGACGCGGGAGAGCGCGCAGAGAAGGCGAGGAGCCGGGTCGGCCAGGCTCTCCTGCAGGCGCGGGTCCTGCTCGCGGGGCGTCTCTAGAACTCACTCCTTCTTCGCCGAACTCTTTCTCGCTTCCTGCCAGGTTGCCTCATGTCTCTCTCTCTCTGAGCTGCGAACCCCCTCCTCCCAGCCCTGACGTGAGCGCCTACACCAGCCGCCGCCGCAGCTGCCGAGCGGGGCGCGCGCCGTTCTCCCAGCCGCGTGCCTGCCGAGAGGCCGCGGGACCGGGCACGCGCGCGCGTTCCCAGGGGCCTGGGAGCGGCCCGAGGGCGGCCCCGGGCGGTGCGCGCTCCCCGAGCGCGTCCTCGGGGCTGCGCGCGCGCGGCGGCAAGGCGAGGTGCCGGCAGGCGGTGGTCGCGCTGGTGTACAACGCCCGCAGCAGCGCGGCGTTCAGGTGCGGCGTCGGCGGGCAGGGCGATTCTAGCGGAGAGGATGGCCGGCCGGAAGAAAGGCGGGAAGACATGCATCGTCTCTCCGGGGGCCATCCACCGCGGCTGAGCCTGTTATCCTACAGACATTATAGGCTGAGTGCAGGGGTTGCCGAAGAGTTTACTTCGGTTCTGATTCAGCTCTCGAAAGTTACGTCCGTATCACCCGTTAAATAAAGACTCCCCGCTCCCCTCATCCCCAGTTCATCGCCGAGCATTCTATTTAAAACGGCAAACCCTAGTCCCTGAGGATCTGGCATGTTTTATTTTTTTCCCTAGCACGTAACATCACCTAACATCCTTTATATTTTCCATATTTATTTTATGTACTGTCTGTCTCTCCCTCTGTACAATGTTATTTCCATGAGATCAGGGACTTTTTTTTAGGGGGGTGGAGTGTTGCACTTGGTTTTGCACGTGTGTGCACAGTAAGGTATTTAGTACTTCCTGACACATGGCAGGCACACAATAAATATTTGCTGAATGAATAGACCTTTACTACTATACACTTACACACACATACACACATATATGAAGAGTGCATTTAAATATGTCTCAAGTTGAGACTGGGTAGTTTGATGTGTCTACACAATAAATGTTCATATATACACACACACCACGGGGTGGTGTATACTGTGATTACCTAATTTTGTTGGTAAAAACATCTCCAATTCTACAGGCCCCTCATATTATGTACAGCATGATATCCCCAAAATATTGCATATAGCATAATATGCTTTTTATAAAGTTTAAAAAATCCCTAGAAATGTCAATGTGTATTCATATATTCATATACAACAATATAAAAAGGAAAGCAGTGGAACAATGAATATAGTGTTCAGAGTGTTGGTGACCCTGGGTGAAGGGAGGCAGGGAAATAGATGGGGAAGCATTTCACTTGAAGTTTAGATGTTAATGTCTTATCTTCTATGCCGGGTAGTGATTCATAGGACACCTAATATCCTATTAAAAATTACTGTGTAACTAAATAAAATAGAACCATGTATGGACTAATGAGGAGAATGTGAAATGAACAAAAGGATGTGAAATGAACCAATTCAATGCATCTGAGGTCCTAAAACAACCAACCAAACAAACACAAAAGGACTAAGACCTGTAAGCAGGAGACATGGATTCCTATTAGATTCCACTAGTAGTTACCCTTGGACAATTTCCTTTTACTACTTTGGACATCAGTTTTTTCATGTCTAAACTCTGTATAAAAAACTTATTTTTTTTACCCTGAAAATAGAGATATGTTCATAAGCACTGTAAACTGTAAAATGTCATCCAGTTCTTATTTTATTGTTCTTTATAGGACAAAGCACAGGACTTGGAGTCAGCAACAAGAGGTGCTAGTTCCATCTCACTACCTCAATGCTCTCTTGGGCAAGTGTACCAACTCTCTATTTCCTCAATTTTGAAATAAGACAAATATCTACCTAGTGTGCTGCACAGAGCTGCTGAGGACTGAATGTATGCAAAGGAAGTTGTAAATTACCAACCATGATATATGAATATGCAAACAGACTTTTTTTTCCCAGTTCAGAAAAGATGAGGACTGATTTTCTGAGACCTCAAGTACTGCAGATTTTAAAATGGTACTAATTATCATATAATACTATCATGTTATATAAAAACTGGGAAAAGTATAGTGCTTTGATTTAAAAGTACTAGAAATCTGTGAAGTAACAATAGGGTCAAAGTTTTCCAATCCATTATATGCTTGTTATTATCTAACGGCAGGTTCAAGGAGCCAACAACCATAAAAGCATTTGGATCAGAATGGCAACTGCCTAGTGTTGAAGCTAGAACTCAATATATTCTCTTCTTAAACCTGAGTCACTGATTTCGTTACTGCCTACATTCTCAAAATCTCAGGAGTGAAAGCTTTCCTTTGTGAAGAATTCCTCTTCACACTTATTCCTTCTGTTAGAAGATAAACTAAGGCACATTAAAATTTTAAAGGGTTTTTTGAGCAAATAGCCATTCATGCATCAGGCAGCAGCAGACCGAAAGCAGTTGGGGACTCTGTCGGAAGTCGTTAAAGGGAAAGATTTTATAGGGTAAATGTGGAAGCAGAGCAAAGAAATTATTTGGTTAAAGAGGAATACTGGATTTATTTGGATCATTCTAATGGAAAGTCCATAGTTAGAGGTTAGTTTGTGGTTTCTGATTGGTTAAGCTTAACTTTCACTTTCCTAGACTATTTCTTAGACTAGGAATGAGATTTGAATTATCTTTATTTTCCTCAGAAACAATGCATGTCTAATAAGCTAGGTCCAGAAAAATATTTTACAAAAGATTTATTTTGTAATTAAATTTGAAGACCCTTGTTACTCAAAACGTGGTGTGTGGACCAGCAACATCAGCATGTCCTGGGAGCTTGTAAGAAATGCAGACTCTTGGGTGCCATTTCTGACCTACTGAATTAGAATATGCGTTTCAACAAGATCCCCAGGTGCTTGTATGCACCATAAAATTTGACCAGCACTGTGGCCTAGAAGGTTTATTTATTCATGTAAATATGTGGCAAAGCTAGCTCTTGCCTTTTGCAGTGATAACACATGAGCAACCTCAGTACCACTAGAGAAGAAGAATGCATATTGCACTCCATTTATAAAATAATCTCACTGTATTTTGAGTGGTCAGTGGACTTGGCATAAAATCATAGCACATTCAGCTTTCTTACAGCAAGAAATGTGCTTAGTACCACTGCAATTTTAATCACTGTAATACAATTAAATAATTGAGAGGTAGCAGTAGAATCTATTTTGTATTGACAAAATTTAATTTTGCTTATTAGTAAGCGAATCCTCCTGCATTTCAAATGGGTATTGAAAATTCAGGATTTATTAAATCTTTGAAAAAACTTAGTAAAAATGATGAGGTTAGTGTTCTTGTGGACTTAAAAATCAGAGATAAGAGTCTTTTGATGATTCAATCATTCTTTCATAATCTGTAGAATTCAAACTCTGGTGCTGAAAGATGGTGCAGGAGAGAACAAAAGTCAAAATAATTGTAGACCAAAATTAAAATGACTAATTGGTATTTGTTGTTCAATCAGAAGGAGGAACATTTTGTTAAAGTTTGCCCACTTACCCTTTTTGTCTCTTCGACACATAGAATGAGATTAGCTGGTGTTTCAGGGCATTTGATCTGGAAAAAATTTGGGAACCCCAGGCTGCCAGGAAGAATTATGAATAATAAGAGTATGTGGACTCTGATGACGAGGAGATGGCAGCAATGTTCTTCCAAATGAACAAACAAGCTGGATGCTTCAGAGCTGGGCCTCCTATTAAACCAATTTAAGAAATTACACTATATTTGTTTACTCTTTAGGACAATGTTTTTTCAGTGATCCAATATTGCTTTTAATATTAAGTGTACTTTCTAGAGTTTCTTATTCCTGGTGAGAAAACATTTGTGAACAAAAATATTTCTTGCTTTTGACTACTCCTTTCTACTGTTGCCACTGCCATCCTAGCCCAGATTCCCTAAACCTCTTATCACTTAAAGCTAGTTTTATCACCTCCGTTCATCTCCTACATCAACCTGTCATATACATCGCAGCCAGATTAATTTTATAAAGGTCAGCATTAATCACAATGCTGCTCAGGTCAGAAATCTTTAGTGGCTTTCCATTGCCCACTAATGTCCCAAAACTTCAGCTTTTTATTCACAGTCATGGAATATCGTTTGCTGCCCAGAGCAACATCCTCTTCTAGTGGCAGGAAGCCTCTTTTCTCAAGGCTCTTTGCTTTGAATAACCATCTCTTCCTCACTCTGGTCCACTTGTGTGGTAGGAAACATTTTACTACCAGGCTTTGGGGTTGCAACATAGCACCCAGGCTGAGCCAACCAGTGCATTCCGTCCCCATTGGTCACAGTTGGAGATGGGCATATTACCCACGTCAGTCAATCAGGGAAATGAACTCAGCTCCAGGACTACTCGGGAGCAGATTGATTCTTCCTCTGGACTGGATGTTCTACTGATGTTAGCTTGGAACTGCCAGAATCCAGCACACCAACTCTGAAAAGAAAACCAACCTGGGGGAATAATAATCCAGGCAGGCTCCAGGAGACAAAATTTGAGCCACTAAATAAACCACACTTAAAAGCTAGTCTAAAGTAATCTTTATTTCAGCTAGTGCCATCTCTTTTCTGGTTTACTGGATTTTTGGTCACTTGCAACCAAAAGAATACTTATGAATACAGTGGCTTTCCATAGACTGACCCTGTCTTTTTTCAGTTCTGTATGTTCTCTACCTTTTGCAATAACCCTGCTTTTTAATTATTCCCCAAAGTCAGCCCAAGTTATACTCATACTCTTGCCTCTTCTTGGAATGTACTCTCTCTCCCCACTCCTCTTGAATAAAAGCTCATTCATTTATCAAATTTGGTTTCCAATTCCATTTCCTTCCTGAAGCCTTTCTTCATCCTCTAACTGAATACTTCTCTTTGCTGGGAACTTCTTTATGATACGCCAAATGACATTTTTTTAAATTATAGTTTTTCTTTTTTTGTTGTTTTGGAGACAAACAACAAACTGCCGTCTATTGTTTAGACGGCAGTGCGGTGGCATGATCATAGTTCACTGTAGCCTCAAACTCCTTGGCTCAAGTGATCTTCCTGCCTCAGCTTCCTGAGTTGCTGAAACTACAGGCATGCACCACCATGCCTGGCTAATTTTTTTAAAAACCTTTTTTGTAGAGTTAGGGTCTTTTTATGTTGCTCAGGGTAGTCTTGAATTCCTGGCCTCAAGGGAGCCTTGTGACTCATCCTCCCAAAGTGCTGGAATTACAGGTGTGAGCCACTACACCAGGCCCCCAAAATTTTTCTTTTGTTTAGTTATTTCTGTGCTTTTTAACTCTCTATTAGACGTAGGCAGATGTAGAGACAAGAACCTTGTTTTATTCCTTTTTATTCTTAAATAACTTATGAATCATGTATGCAGAAATACCGCCCAAGGTAATTTATAGATTCAATGCCATCCCCATCAAGCTACCAATGACTTTCTTCACAGAATTGGAAAAAACTACTTTAAAGTTCATATGGAACCAAAAAAGAGCCCGCATCGCCAAGTCAATCCTAAGTCAAAAGAACAAAGCTGGAGGCATCACACTACCTGACTTCAAACTATACTACAAGGCTACAGTAACCAAAACAGCATGGTACTGGTACCAAAACAGAGATATAGATCAATGGAACAGAACAGAGCCCTCAGAAGTAATGCCACATATCTACAACTATCTGATTTTTGACAAACCTGAGAAAAACAAGCAATGGGGAAAGGATTCCCTATTTAATAAATGGTGCTGGGGAAACTGGCTAGCCATATGTAGAAAGCTGAAACTGGATCCCTTCCTTACACCTTATACAAAAATTAATTCAAGAGGGATTAAAGACTTAAACGTTAGACCTAAAACCATAAATACCCTAGAAGAAAACCTAGGCATTACCATTCAGGACATAGGCATGGGCAAGGACTTCATGTCTAAAACACCAAAAGCAATGGCAACAAAAGCCAAAATTGACAAATGGGATCTCATTAAACTAAAGAGCTTCTGCACAGCAAAAGAAACTACCATCAGAGTGAACAGGCAACCTACAGAATGGGAGAAAATTTTCGCAACCTACTCATCTGACAAAGGGCTAATATCCAGAATCTACAATGAACTCCAACAAATTTACAAGAAAAAAACAAACAACCCCATCAAAAGGTGGGCAAAGGACATGAACAGACACTTCTCAAAAGAAGACATTTATGCAGCCAAAAAACACATGAAAAAATGCTCACCATCACTGGCCATCAGAGAAATGCAAATCCAAACCACAATGAGATACCATCTCACACCAGTTAGAATGGCAATCACTAAAAGGTCAGGAAACAAGAGGTGCTGGAGAGGATGTGGAGAAATAGGAACACTTTTATACTGTTGGTGGGACTACAAACTAGTTCAACCATTGTGGAAGTCAGTGTGGCAATTCCTCAGGGATCTAGAACTAGAAATACCATTTGACCCAGCCATCCCATTACTGGGTATATACCCAAAGGACTATAAATCATGCTGCTATAAAGACACATGCAAACGTATGTTTATTGCGGCACTATTCACAATAGCAAAGACTTGGAACCAACCCAAATGTCCAACAATGATAGACTGGATTAAGAAAATGTGGCACATATACACCAGGGAATACTATGCAGCCATAAAAAATGATGAGTTCGTGTCCTTTGTAGGGACATGGATGAAATTGGAAATCATCATTCTCAGTAAACTATCGCAAGAACAGAAAACCAAACACCGTATATTCTTACTCATAGGTGGGAATTGAACAATGAGAACACATGGACAGAGGAAGGGGAACATCACACTCTGGGGACTGTTGTGGGGTGGGGGGAGGGGGGAGGGATAGCTTTAGGAGATATACCTAATGCTAAATGACGAGTTAATGGGTGCAGCACACCAGCATGGCACAGGTATACATATGTAACTAACCTGCACATTGTGCATGTGTACCCTAAAACTTAAAGTATAATAATAATAAAATAAAAAAAACAAAAAAAATAAAAAAATAAAAAAGAAAATTCTAATAACTGTAGAAAATAAATTAGAAGTATTGAAACAGTATGAAAACCAAGAAAATAAAATAATTCTAAAATAATTTATTCTGAATATGAATTTAAAATATAATTCTTTTGAATAAAATATTAATGAAACTGTCATTGATTTTATGTAGAATCACGCAATATTAAGGCTGGGGAGAAAAAGCTTATAGCTCTGTGGACTGATTCCCTGCTTTTTCAAGTAAAGAATGTCAGGAGCAACAAAGTCAAGTGCCTAATTCCTAAAGTGATTTTTTAATGTGAAATAAATTATTCTATTTATGAATAAATAAAGGAATTTGGGGGTATAATTAACTCAAAGTACACTAGTAATGACCAAATTCAATTCATGCCACAAAATACTGACATCTGAAAAAATATTTTTGATGAATTAGTACATTAGGGAGAAAATATAGTGGATGAATAATTAGACTTAGGAAAAGGTGACTATCCTCATGAACATTTGCAGAAAGGCATTTCAGGAATATTATTGAACCAAAGCTCTACTTTATATCAGTGAAAATGACGTTGGTTTTGTTACTCACAAAAAGAAGGGATTTGATTTTTAAAAGAGTTCATGCTGCAGAAAGAGATAAGCAAGATTAAAACAACTATAGAGGTGATAAAATCTTATAAGGAATTGGGAATTATAGTTTCTAATCCTGGTTAAAGTAATTATCTTTCCTTGAGTATCCTATTCTGATTTACCTCTTTTACAACAGACAGTTGTCAGCAGGAAAATGAAATCTTAAGGCTACTTTTGAAAAAAGAACTAAGATTTTGATGTGATATATAATGCCTATGTGTAAATGCTTGTAAAATTAAAATGTTTTAAAACAAGGTAATTGGTATTTGTTACAGCCTATGGCATTTTGCAACTGGATGGTAGAGCTTAGGTTTTTTAATTCCAAAAAGGGTGAATCACTAGAATATTATATATTATTGTAATAAACATTCATAGTGTCTTAGTTTCGACTCATATCTCTCCTGGACTATTTGTGAAAGCCTCCTACATTTTTTTGTCCTCCTCTTTTTCTTCATTCTAGTCTATTCTCTATGAAGTAATGAAAGTCAACATTCAAAAATAATTGTAAATTACTTTTAAATATATATATATTTGAAATAAATTAACTTTCTCCATTAGCAGGAGGATAAAACCCACATTTTATTTTAGAGCAAGCAAAGCTGTTCACTATTATTCCTTCCAAACTTCTTTTCCTACAAGTACCCAATTATAGTTTAGACTTCTTCAGCTGATGGCAGTCCCCTGCATATGCCACAGTGGGTCATACCTCCATGCCTGAGCATTTGATGTTCCCTCTACTTGCAACTTGCTCCCTTCCTTCTTCTCCTTCAAGTGCTAGGAAATACATATGTTTGCTTCAGGCCTTTGTTCAAGTGTCAGCTCCACTATGATGTTTTCCTTTACTCTGCATGCTTTATTCGTGATTACATAGTGGTTGCATGCACTCCTCAACAGTGTTATCTCACAAGAGTGTAATTGTTTATTTGCAGACCTGCCTTCTCCACTATGCTGTACATCCTAGCAAGCAGAGATTGTTCTTATACACTACTGTTTCCTCAGGGCTGAGCACAGTGCCCAGCATTATTGAATGAATACATTTCCATCTTTCCATTAATAGTCTTTTCAGTTTTCCAAAGTGATGCAGTCAATTTTTTGTCAGTAAATATGCAAAAAAATGAATGTTAATAAAAAAAATTATGAATTTTACTCATTTGGCAAAATAAGGAATTCAGCATTGAAAACCAACGAAGTCTTTTAAGCCCTCTAATGAAAAGTTATTTTCAGGCACATGTACTATTAACTGTATCAGAGATAAAACTAAAATGGATTATGGTAATCACTTTACTGCTGAAGAAATTGAGAGCTGGACAAGTTAAGGGACTGATCAGATCAAGGTCTCAGCTCTGGCCAGTCCTCTTTGTCCACCTCAAAAGAGCTGGAATCCCAGGAAAAGGAATGTGAGAACCACTTGACCAGCCTATCAGACCTTCCTGAAAATCAGGGACACCTAGGCCAGTGTTGAAGCTGTGGTTCTTCTAACCAATGTGAAGAAAGATAAGGATTTGAGTTGGGGGGCGGCGGGGGCGGGGGGGGTGAAAATTTGGTAGATTCTCTGCTCTAATGAATGGATGAGGCTCATTTTATACTAGCAAATACTCCTAAGGAAATTGATTCAGTTTGGTAAATGAAAATATACTTGAGCTTTGAAATTTCTCAGACTTTGAGAAGAAAAATTATTCACAACATAAATGACAGAAAATGGGCAATTATATTGCAAATACCTTTTATGAATATATTTTTGAAAGATAAAAAATCCAATAGGAACAAGGGCAAAATATAAAATAAAAATTCACTAAATAAAGAAATTTAAATGTTCAAAATAATAAATGATTAATAAATAAAGAAGTTAGCAAAAATAGTAATGAAAGGAATGGTTACTTAAACATAGCAGTGTCATTGTTGCTTATTGAGTTGGCAAAGTTCTCTCTCTCTCTCTTTTTTTTTTTTTTGAGAAGATGCTCAGTATTGGAGATGTGCTTGAAACTGACCCTTTTCTACATTGCAAGGGGCATTGTCCTTAGTGCAACTTTTCTGGAGGATGGTTTGGCAATACAGATCAAGAGCTTCAAAAATAGTAATGTCCAGTGACAATATTTCCACTTTCAAAAATTTTTAAATAATCATGAATTTCCACTAAGATTTATGTATAAAGAATTGCTTTTTAATAATGGGAAATTGGAAACAACTTAAATGACCAACAATAGGAAAATGGTAATTTATTCATTTGAGTATGATAGAATACCATTCATCATCTAAAAAGAGTGATTTAGAAACTAATGGCATGGAAAATATGTTAGTAAATATTAATGAAAAAAGTGATTTCTATTATAATATATATAGCAGTATATGTGTGTATATATATACATAGGGCATATGTATGTGCATGTGTACATATATATGCATATATATATAATATAATCTCTTGCTGTCTGACTCTCTCTAAAGGAACATTCACTATAATTATTTTTGAAAACAATTACCAAAAATTGACAAAACAATTCACCATACAAATTCATTATCTTAAAAAAAAACTTATGAGGAATTTGCCAACACTAGCTAGGGAAAATTAGTAATGTGAAAGCAAGAAGGTGTACTGACCACTGCAGTCTTATTGCACCTATTCCCTATAAGAGTTTAAACATGCTGTGAATTATCATTTATGGTCTTTCCAACCCTTTCCCTGTGGATCTAGATATTCAAGGGTACCAGTGATTGCTTCTGTGAGGCACCCGAAGGGGTCTACCAGCCCAGGTTTAATTCAGATGTTACTTTAATTATCTGATTCATTATTTTATTGTTTGCATTACAGGCACACTTTCTGTAGTGTAGAAGGAAAATGTAATTTACATTTGCTAATGTACAATCTCCATGTGTACTGCATGCAAACATGCCTACTAATGAGTTCATTAAGAGTTTAATAATTAGGTAATTGGTGTTTTATCTGCTTTATATTATGCAGAAATTCTTGGCGACTTGTTATATTGGTGTTTAAGAGTGTTTTAATGATATTTGAGGAAATTATTTGGAGGGTTTTGATGGGTTGAAAATTTTTTTCATATTAAAGTGATGAGATATAGGCTCCTGTTAACTGAAAATTTACTATTTCAACATTTTTTAAGAAGCAGATTATTTTCAGATAATGAAGATAATGAGAGATGCTTATATATGTGTGTAAGTGTATGTTTTCAATATTTGTTCTAGAATCAAATACCTCTGGGATGCTAGTAGTGATGCCTACTCTGTGAGTTTATGTTGAGTTTTGCATTGTAATTCTGTATTTTCTAAGTTTTGCAAAGTGAGGTTTGCCATGAAGTTTTGCCAATAAAGCAAACAAACTAAAAAGGAAGATAGATAAATGAGGGTCCCAGACTTCATTTCAGTGACTTCAGTGAGGCGGGAAGAAATTGAGTGCTATTTGTAAAAGGGGTGTGGCAAGAATGTGTTTTTGGTGAAAACATGATGAAAACCTAGAGCATATGACACGGGTTCTGAGAAAGGAGTGAATAGCTACTTAGTAGATTCTTCTGTGTTGCTCTTTTGTATCTGAAACATTCATATAATTTTGTGTCTTTTGAACACCAGTGCAAGTCAGAGGGTAGGACTCAGAAACTCTAGGGGACAATCACAAAGGCATTTAACATTAGGCTGGATACCTTGTATTTATGTTATCTGTAAGGAGCTAACATGAATATTGACAAGTACTGCTGAAAATGTGTGGTAGAGAGATACAGAGTTTCTGTAATTCAGCTGTTCCTAAGTTTCCTATGTTAACAGCAGTGATGGTTCCTCATCTCGCTTGATTAGGAGGAAGTCCTGTTTGTTACCTTCTTCCTCTTTTTGAGACTCTCCAGTAATATATGTCTTCTCATCTGGACAGTTTCTTTAGGTTTCTTGGTTTCTCATAACCATTTCTTAAGGCTTCTGCAGCAATTCACACAACACCTTGTTCCATGTGTGGACCTAGGTCCCATTCTAAATCCCCCAGACCTGTAAGAGCAGGCTGTGGTTTTAAATAAAACTTTATGAAAGGCTTGAGGCTAACAGAATGGGGTTTACGATGCAGAAGAAAACCAACTGGAGATTAGATGTTGCTATTCCCAACTGGCCATTCTCCCATTTTCCTTGGCCAGTGCCATGTTAGAGAAGTGTGTTCTTCCCCATCATTTAGAGGTGGCATTGACAAAATACTCTCTGTTCTTGGGTTCAGAACCCCTAAAATTGGACAATTTATGGTTTTCAGAAACAGCACTCAATGAAGAGGCCCTTTATTTATAATGCAGTGCAGTTTAGCTCCTCATTGTCCATTTGAGATTAGGATCTTAGTGTGATAGCTGTCTTGCTAAAGTTATTGAATTGTTTTTTTTCTCAAATAAGAGTCCTGAGCCATAAGGGTGAAATCAAGCCACCACCATGAGCAACAGAAAGAACTGTAGAAACTTTGACATTACAAAAAAAAAAAAAAAAGTTTCAAAAAGTTTCAAAGCTCTTAGAATCAATTCCTTGGGCTTGGCTCAAGTTCAAAAATCTGGTTACTCAGCCTATTCTGCTCTTATCAAAAGGTTTTGCAAACAGAAAATTTCCTCAAGCACTTAAATTAGCATGCCATGATTGGTTGGAGTGTATGTGAGGGGTATTTTCCAAAGCTGACTCCAGCAGTCACGTTTTCATTTCTCCCTGTTACATTTCTAATGAGCCACAGATGGAAAATCAGAATTAATAATATCAGAATTTGCATATCATTATTACCAATGTAAGATATGCAAAATGTCACTGAGTCCCAGCTCTTATACCTACTAGATATATGTGGCTTTTGTAAGTCACTGAATCTCATTCAGCCTTAGTTTCTTAACCTGAAAAATGGAGATAATACTTACCCTTAAGGTTTATTGCAAAGATTGTAGATCAGTTCCATAAATTGCTGGGCATGGTGTCTTGCACATCACAGATAATGAATAAATTATAGCTATTGTGACTATATGATGAGGATTCATCTTCACCTTTCTTGCTCCTCTTTCCCTCTGTCACAATCACCTGGCAAAAACTCAACTTTGATTAGATTCAACTTTCTACTGTTTTCACACCTGCAAAACATTGCTGGCCTCATCTGACATTGAAAACCACAAGCCGTGGTGGCTCACGCCTATAATCCCAGCACTTTGGGAGGCCGAGACAGGCGGATCACCTGAGGTCAGAAGATCGAGACGGGCCAACATGGCCAACATGGTGAAACCTACTAAATACAAAATACTAAATACAAAAATTACTAAAATACAAAAATTAGCCAGGCGCGGTGGTGTGCGCCTATAATCCCAGCTACTCTGCAGGCTGAGGCAGGAGAGTGTCTTGAACCCAGAGGCTGTGTGAGCGAGATCGTGCCACTGCGCTCCAGCCTGGGTGACAGAGGGAGACTTCCTCTCAAAAAGAAAAAAAAAAAAGAAAAGAAAAGAAAAAAGAAAACCACAAAATTCGAGTACATTACTGATGCTGCCCAGCAAATCTTGCTACATTTCTTTAGTCAATCTACTGTTACACTCTACTGATCCCAAGCACCTCCTTCCCCCTCTTCACCCTCAGCTGGTTACTTCTTTCTTTAATTTCACTGGGTAAAGAGGGAAAATCAAGAATATAATTTCCTTATCCTTCTACCACATTTATTAATCTACTTGTATTTTGACCTGAATATTTTACTTTTCCATTTGTTTTAAATGACAAACTTTCTTCTCCCGAGGCCAGCTCTTCCTGTTGTGAACTGGATGCCACCCTCTTTTATCTCCTCAGGAACTTCATGCCTGCACTTTTCATCTTCATTTTGCATTGTAATTTGTCCCCTCTCTACTGGCTCATTTCCATTAGCCTAAAAACGTGTAATATCTCCCACCTCAAAATAACAACATACTTCCATGCCTTCTCGATATTCCCCATCTACCAAGCCTTTTCTCTGGTCCTTTATAGCTAAACTCCTTGAAACTTGACTATTTCAGCTGTCTTTACTTTCCCTCCTCAATTTCTCTGATGTCAAATCTATTCAGGTCTTTGTTCATCCTGCACCACTAAAACTGCTTTTGTCAAAGTCAATAATGACTTTTATGTCATCAAATTTAGCGGTCAATTTTCAGTTCCCATCATACTCAACCTGTTGTCAGCATTTGTCACAGACTGTCACTCCCTCCTTAAAACGTTTTCTTCGTGTTACCCCATGGACATCACTCTCCTTGGCTTCCTCCAATTTTGCTGTCTGACCCTGCTTCCTCTCATTGGTTGGCTTTTTCTCAGCTGAACATTGTTGTGCTTTGGGGCTCAGTCCTTGGGCCTCGTCTTTATCTCCATGCATTCTCTAGATGACCTGACCCAGTTCCCTGGCCTCTCTACACTGATGACATTTTTATGTCCAGCCCTATTCTCACCCCTGAACTTCAGACTCATATTTTCAACTGCTTACCTGACGTTTCCACTTAAATGCCTAATAAACATTTCAAACCTAACAAGCCCCCACCAAATCAAACTCTTATTTCCTACTTCCCTCTAAATCTGTTTTTCCCGCTGCTTTCCCCCTCGGTAAATGGCAACTCCATTCTTGCAGCTGTTCAGGCAGAAAACATTTAAACATCCTTGACTCCTGTCCTCTCATACTCTAGATCCAATCTATTAGAAAATTCTGTCAGATCTACCTTTGAAATAGGCAGATTACTTCTCTCCATCTCTCCAACTACCACTCTGGTCTGGGTTGTCATTATCTTTCACCTGGACATGCCAGAGCCTCTTAACTGGTCTTTCTGTTTCTGTCCTTGCCCATCTGCAGACTTTTCTCCACAACAGCCAGAATGATCGTTTTCAAACACTATTCTGTTCAAATCTCCACATCTCACAGTAAAACTCAAGTCCTCGGGCCTGCAATATTCCAAGATCTGCCCACAGTAACTACTTTGACCTCAGCCCCTCTTACATGCCCTTTTGGACAGTTGGCACCAGGCACACTAGCCTTCTTGCTGCTCCTTGACCTCCCAAGAATGTTCCAACCTTGGAAATTTTTACCTAGAAGCATCTTCCTTCAGATATCTGCATGGCTTGCTTTCTCACTTCCTTTAAGTCTTTCCTCAAAAGTCATTATTAAAGATACCTCTGTGATCATCCTACCTAAAATAACACTGTTACTCTCCACACCCTTTGTCTTGCTTTAATTTTTTTATATTATTGTCACCAGTTGGCTTCAGTATATTTTTCTATTTATTTTTTGTTTTCTCTTACTGCAGTACTAATTCCCTAAGAGCAGAGACTAATTTGTCTAATTACTGCCACATCTTTAAATATATACACACATATTTAATACATATATACACATATAATATGTATACACATACATATATGTACATAAACATACATATGTACATATTTGTATGTATATTTATATTTTTGTTGAATAGATTACAATTCAGAGGACCTTCAACTAGGTCTAAGTTACATTTACCTATGGAAGTATCCAGAGATTGGACCGTTTCTCTGTGAAGCAGCTTCTTCACATGACCTCTTGCTCTGCTTACTTTCTAACCCAATTTTGATATCTGCTGATACAAACCAGTATTTCTTCCTCCATGTAGAATCTAACCACAACCAGTGCCTAGGACTGTTATGCTTGCCTGACTTTAAATGGCTGATGCCCATGCCTAGCCATAACCTGTGTTCCTGACGCCCCTGCTTATTATGCTAGCAGGTCAGCTGCTGTCTGAAGCCTAGCTTCACAGAATTATCTCTGATAAATACTCTGATATGTTATAGCAGAGATGCTCAAACTTTATCATGTATAAGAATCACCAAGCGAATGTAATAAAAATCTAGACTAATTGGCTTAGGCCCAGGGATTTGTACTCTGAGGGTGTGAGTGGGGCATTTTTCAGTAATCATTTCAGGTCCTTCTGATGCAGGAAGTTCTCAAATGATATTTTGACTACACATTGTTTATGTTCTCTATCACCCTAATAATCTACATACTACTGTGTTAGAAGATTTTCGAAGGGTTGGAATTAGCAATGCTGCAAATGTGATCCTTGTTACAAATTCAGAAATGCTTGTATTTTGGATTTTGGTCTGGTAGCCTTATTTTTTTTCTTGTAAGTTCTGGGTGAGTTGTGACATACAGCATATATCATTAGCTCTGGAAATGTCACTATGTGGACCTGGGTGCTCCCTATATTGCCTCCAAGTGGCTTAGAGGCAATAAGTGAGATGAATTTTAAAATTACACAGACATCTACAAATAAATAGGAGAAAGAGAAAAGGAAGCAGTGCTCACTATCTGAGAAATGCAGGTTGTTGCTGGATGGGCCTAGGCATTTGTGAAAAAGTGCAGTGTGTTACACGTAACCTCATGATATAAGCCAATGAGAATAGGAAATATGTGCTGAATTCAGACTTGTCCTTCTTAAATATGTTCTCAGTATAACTTAACTCATTTTTTAAAAATGCTCACAGTTTTAAGCCTTACCCATCATAACACAGTGACAGAAAGTAAGCTATTGATTTCTGGTTAAATGAAATGCTTATCACTTCAACTACCTTGTGAAGTTTGTAGAACGTGGTTTATGTTCAATGAGTAGTCACTCTTTTTTTCAAACCTTTTTTTAAAAGCAATCCCCCACACCTGCCAAAGGTCTCTGCTACATTGTTCTAACATATAAAGCACATAAGTAACTGCTATATCTGGTTACTGAGGCAGCTGTGCCTAACTGTGATAAATACATTAAGTTACATTCTAACATACCCAGAATATTACTGACAGTCTAATGCTAAGAATTGTCTTGAAAATATAATGTACTAAATCAGTTATACAGGGAAATATATAAGTAATAGATTGCCTTTTGTTAGATGAATATTTATAAGTTAAACCTAAACTCTGACTAATAGCAGCATTCTTATTTTTAAAAAAATATTGTAATCTTTTATGTCTGTTCTAATGGGGTAACTTTATGTTCAGTATTACATTTCTCTACAATGATTAAAAGTGGAGTTAATCCTAATGGCATCTCTCATTATGAGAGTCTGGCATTTTTAATTTTGCAACTGCAGAATATCTCAGAATAGCCTTTATTTGTGAACTGGCCACCTGTACTTTTGACTTTGGGCAAATATTTATTGAGAACTTTATATTTACAAGCTGCTGTGCTAGAATTATAATAATAATCCCTAATTTATCATAATGCCTTACATAGTACAAATTGTTTTCAGATTTAAATGACTCTCACTTGATCTGCACAAAAACCTCCCAACACAGCCAGGGAATATGCCAGTATCTTCGGGTGACTTTACTACAGCTCCACTCCACTGCTTCTCATCCTGGGATAAAATAATCAGTTTAATCAATTTAATATCCAGGACTTAAGAGAAAAAGGGGAGCTAGAAACCAAACCAGTAATATTAGTTGTTCAATTAAAATTTCAGTGTTGTTTTTATTGGCCTATTTTTATTCAGATTTTAATTAATATCTGAGCATAAATATATCAGCACATAAATTAATTATTGTTGATGAGATGGAAGAAAATGAAAATAATAAATTATCCCACATACTAGACTCTGGTGAATATATTTTTCTAATCTGCTTGGGTGTATATAAAATTACACTCAAGTACATTAGCAGAATGATATTCTAAAGGTCATATTAACATTTCTGAATAACATTTATAAATATGGAAATTTCATATGATAACTTCAGGTACATGTGAAACTGCATATGAAATATAATCTTAATTTTAAAATATATGTACATTATACACATACATATAGAAAAAAGAAAAATATATCACAATGTTAATAATAGGAGTTCAACTTTATTAGTCATTAGGCAAATATAAATTAAAACCACAGTATAACAACATTCTGTCTATTGAAATGGCTAAAGCGTAAAAGAGCACACCAAATTTTGGTGAGATGTGGAGCAACTAGAGCTCTCATACTCATCTAGCGGGAGTGTAACTTGGTCCAACCACTTTGAAAAACCATTTGGCCATATACTAAAGTGAATGTATGGATATCCTGTGACCCAGCAATTCTACTCCTAATTATATCTCCAACATAAATGTATATATATATGTTCACCACAAAAGATGTACAAGAATGTCTATAGTAGAACAATTTGTAATTGCCCCAAACTGTGGCATATTCACAGCTAAAAGAATGAGTAAAATATAACTATACAGAACAATATGAATAAATTTCACAAATGCCCATATTCTCTTAATTTAATGTTAAGAAAATGAAGATGTATATATAAAAATGTATAGAGCCAGGCACAGTGGTACATGCCTGTAATCTCAGCTACTCAAGTCTAGCCTAGGCAACACAGTGAGACCTTGTCTCACATATATATATTTTTATATATATATGTATGTATATGTCTCATATATGAGATATACATATACATATATATTTATATGTATACATATTTATATGTATAAATATGTATACATATACATATTTATATATGTATATGTATATCTCATATATGAGACATATACATATATATGAGAGCTCATATATGTATATGAGACATATACGTATGTCTCATATACATATATATGTATATGACACATATATGTATACATATATATGTATATGACACACACATATATATGAAACCTTGTCTCATATATATACGTATATCTCATATATGAGACATATACATATACATATACATATACATATACATATACATATGAGACAAGGTCTCACTGTGTTGCCTAGGCTAGACTTAGTATACATAAGTATATGTATATATGTACACACATATATTTACATATATACAAAAATATATATTTTACAAATATATATATACACAGACACACACAGATAAGTCAAAAGCACACAAAACTTAAAACTTACCTATGGCATTGGAAGTCAAGATATATTTTTGGTGGAGTGTTGTAACAAAAGGAGGCATGAAATGGGAAAGATTCTGAGATGCTGATAACATACTATTTCTGGATTTGGGAGCTGGACGCTGGTTACACAGGTGAGTTGTTTGTGAAAAGTCAACTGATCTAAACGTGTGGTTATTGCAATTTTCTTTGTGTTTTAATAATTTAAAAGTTCCATAAAAGAAAGAAAAGCATTAACTTTTCTTTCTGGGATATGAGCAGATTCTTATTTATACCTTTCATTGTCTTCCAAATTTTATATAATGAACATGTAATACTCCTATAATTAGAAAAAAGTTACTGAAAAGAATCTTTTCCAGCTGAGTGTGGTCCTCATGCCTGTAATCTTAGCACTTTGGGAGGCTGAGGCGGGTGTATCACTTGAGCCCAGGAGTTTAAGACTAGCCTGGGTAACGTAGTGAAACCCCAGTCACTTGGGGAGAACAAGGCTGCAGTGAGCCATGATGTGGCTCCAGTCTGGGCAACAGAGTGAGACTGTGTCTCAAAAAAACAAACAATGAAACTGGAAACCATCATTCTCAGCAAACTATCACAAGGACAAAAACCAAACACCACATGTTCTCACTCATAGGTGGGAATTGAGCAATGAGAACACAGGGACACAGGAAGGGGAACATCACACACCGGGGACTGTTGTAGGGTGGGGGGAGGGGGGAGGGATAGCATTAGTAGATATACCTAATGCTAAATGACGACTTAATGGGTGCAGCACACCAACATGGCATATGTATACATATGTAACAAACCTGCACATTGTGCACATGTACCCTAAAACTTAAAGTATAATAATAAAATTAAACAAATAAAACAAACAAACAAACCTTTTCCTATGTGGTTTCTTAAATGCATTAATTATAACAATAATAATTTCAACTCCATAAAAATAAAAATTAAAAAGAAGTCTTTCAAATCTGCTGTCTCATTATCCCATGCAGCAGTCAAGGCAGCCATCATTATTTCCTACTTCCTTAGAATCTCTTTGGGTTAGATTCAGGAATTTGAATTTTTTTCAACATCCTTAGTTTATTCTTGTTCACAGCTGATTTTGAGAACTAGGCAGTGCATAAGGTTGCAAAGGGAAATTCCTTACAAAAGAAGAGCAAAATGGGGAGAAGTTTGTTCTCTTTGCTAATCAAAGTCATTTTCATGGTCACAGGTGATATTGCCTAAAAACTTGAAAGTATTTTCACGTATGCGTTGCATATGTAAATTATGATATGTCAGAGAAGATTACTCTGCACTGAAGGCTGGCTCCATTATGATCTAAGAAGAGTTCATATAACATTGAAAATAATAAGTAGTTATGTGAGCTCATTGCCCAAACTTGCCCAGTTTGT
Organism: Homo sapiens; assembly: GCF_000001405.40. Classification (NCBI taxonomy): domain Eukaryota; kingdom Metazoa; phylum Chordata; class Mammalia; order Primates; family Hominidae; genus Homo; species Homo sapiens. The sequence continues at coordinate 180,056,747 of NC_000003.12, forward strand.
GATTTATGTGAAATTATGTCAAGATGATCCTAGTAACTGCATTGTGCCCAAAGACTATTTGTAATAAACATTTATTTTAATCTGAATTCTCATTAAAGACATTATTGATCAGTATTTTTTGAGTGTTTGTTATGTATTAGGTATTGAAAAATAGAACAGGATGTCAAATAACACAGCTATTTCCCTCTTCTAGTCTCCACTGCTTCGAAGATAGTATATAGTAATGATCTGTGATTGGAGAGAATTTCAGATGCAAAAATATCTAACCATGTGCTCCTGTGTAGAGGATAATGTGATTAGGCTGCTAATTTTTCATCTTAAATGCTTCATATTTATGAAGCTCAGCAAAATTTGCATTACTCTCACACAGTAGTTTCCAGACTAGATAAATCCATAGCACGTAATTGTGAAATTACTTCCAAATGATAATCTTTTACTATTTTCTTCTAATCAATGCCACCTGCCTTCCTTTTACTAACCATAGTTATTTATAATTTTTTCCACTTTGTGCTTTTGTAAAATGTCCTTCACTTCAGAGGCAGGTGAAAATAATTCGAAAGAGTCTTTAAGAGTCTTCTGAAGGCATGTTTTGAGCTTGAATAATATTATAATAAATTATTCCCCAAACAATACTAATTATGACTATCTTGACTCTATTTTTGAATAAAAAATACAGTTTTGCTTCAAAATGCATTTAAGCAGAAATTTTAAAAAGATAAATACTTCATCTGTGTGCAATTTTCTAATCTATTTTTCTAGGTTCTGCTTCAAGAGTCTTGGATGTGTTTAATTAAGGTATCACAATTATTTTTATGATAGTTGATTGTGATGTCAGGGATACCAAAACTCTGAAGGAAGTAGGTTGGCAGGAATCAAAATATATTTTCTGTATGTATGTGACTTCACTTACAGATAAATAGTCATCTTTCTACTACCGTTTGTACATAAATAAATGCATCATGAAGTGATTCTAAAGAATAGAGAGTTTTACTCTCATACGTGACAGTGGTAGCAAATGAGCCCTAGAGATGTTAGGGGCCACATCCAAGCACACACAGCTGGTTAACAGCAGCTGTTTCTCGTTTTTCAAAAAAGTTCCCGTGACTCCCACTCCTTTGCTCTTTTTATTCCTACAGAATCAGTTCTACTTTTTCAAATGCATTGTCCTATGATAGTAAAAGGAGCAATAAAATATCTGAATAGTATTAATATTTATTATTTTAACCTATGATACCTTCTGATAAGAATCTAAGAAGTCAGTATGGCACTGTTAGATATAATCTATGTTTTAGCCAAACTGAACTTCTTGGAGTCCTCCCCAGCGTCACTGACTGCTCTTCATACTTCCCCTGTTCTTCAGCTGGCTGCCTACTAGTTCTCACTTCTTATTATAAATTGCTAAATTAAACCTCACTTTATTCATAAATTTATGAAAAAGAGTATAGAGTCAGGACACATTTGCATAATGTGTGCCTTTGCCTAGAATTAATGGAAGTGAATAACAAAAATATCAAAAACATAAACAGAGGCCAAACTTCAGCTTTAGGAATACCCTAGGTGCATGGCTATAGTCATATTACAAATCTGTCAGATAAGACAGCTGAGGATGCTAAGCTTTGAATTGGTAAGTGAGTATGGAAGTTCCAGTGGTGAAAGAGAGCTGTGAGAGAACAAAAGGAAATGGCTCACTTGAGACTCATCCTTCTCCCACAGAACACAAGAGATACAAATCTAATAGAAAAACTATATTATGCTACCATTTTAACTGCCTAGATGGGGTTTTAATGGGAATCTGATGCATGATTGGAGACAAGATTAAGCTTAAAAAGATAACTGTGAATAATACTCAGTGGAGGAGGGAAATAGATTTGTAGCTACTTAGTGAAATCTGTAAAAGGCTGATTAGGGAGTCCAAAGCTGGGGAACAGAAAATATGGTATAAGGTGTCCTTTCTTTAGAGATTATGGAAAGCTCTCAGAGCAAGGTGCTCAACAAATTTACATAGAAGTAGGTAGATAAAAATTTCCCCAGAGATACTCTTCACACAACTTCCAGCAAGTGAATGATTAATTAAGAACTATGGGCTTCAACACTAGGTTTCTAGCTCATAGCATAAGGAAAAATACAAGCCATACCAAGGTAAACAAGGAATACAACCTTAGTGAAGTTCAATGAAAAATAAAGCATTCTATAGCTATCTTGACATTGGAAGTAGACATCTATCATGGGGAACAAATGAGTATGACCCAAGTCTTTTCAGCTTTACTAGAAGTTAGAAGATAATGGAATAACACTAGAAGGTTTTGAAGAAAACAGGCGTTAGTCTTCAAGGAAGGAGTTTAAAGCTTCTCTTCATTACTTCTTCCACTCCAGGAAAGAGGAGAGTTGATCTTGTTTAGTCAGATACCACAGCAACAAGTAGGCTTGCTAGTGAGGCATGTCATGTATAATAAAAGTTAAAAGATTATTGCTAATGGATATGTCTCTTTTTTCTTGTTTCCTGTCTGTAATGTTGAGGTGGTAAATACAAAGAACTTTGTTTCAGCATTATGGAAGTAAAATAATCCAGATCAGCATTCAGAATTAAGGAAAAATTATTATCTATGTTTGTTTGTTTATACTGCACTTGGTGCTGGAATGTGTATATTTTATCAACCTGGGAAAAAGATAGAGCCTATCTTAGCCTTAGTTTTCAAAAGCTGTGTAAGCCTAATTTACTTATAGCCTAGGAATGGTTCAGATGGGCCATTCCAGGCCAACAGAGTTCTCTGCACTGGGCTCTGGGAACAGTGTTAACAGTAGTTAACTCAGAATGACTCATAAAGGATTAGAGTTGGAAAGTAATCCACAGCCTCTGTTCAAGATGTGGTTATGATTTCATGTTTGAGTCCTCACTTGCCATTCTAAATATATAGCAATGATAAACTCTAAAATGAAAAAATTGAAAAGACATGGCTGAACTAAAAATTTATCTATGCATCTGAAATTGTAAGAGAAAACTAAAAATAGTAAATTATAAGCCTGCTAAATTTTGGGACCAGAATTAGGCAAAGCTGGGATGGAGTAACAGGGACTAATGGTGGCCCATGTAAAGCAGGAAACTGGGGCCAGGCTTACTGCTTAAAAACAGAGGCTGTGTTGGAGCTTCATAATTTATGAAAGGAGGTTGTAAAAAGCCGAAGCCAATGATTTCCTGGGTTACAGATTGCACAGAGCTGAGTATTTTGAGAGACAGAATTACCAGAAGCAGGCACAGATTCAAATCTAGGAAATGGGCCAATCCACCCACTTACTTATTGAATAAATACCGGTACTTGAAAGGAGACCCTAGAGCAAGTGGAGCTTGCTGATAATCGTGGTGCTCTTTGACTTGTAGACGCACCACCCTGATCTCTGCCTTGATCTTCATACGGCATTGTCTCCTATCTCTTTATGTTGTTGTTCTCCTATGCATGTCTGCCTTTTTGTCCAATTTTCTCCTTTTAATAAGGACATCAGTCATATTGGGTTAGGATCTATCCCAATGACCTCATTTTAACTTGGTCACTCCCGTAAAGACCCTGTTTCCAAACAAAGTCACATTCCGAGGTACTAGGAGGTTCAGACTTTAACGTATCTTTTTGAGGCAGACACAATTCCAACCATAACACTCACCAGTCATTTAATAGGAAAAGTAGAGTGAGACCTCAGGAAATCAAAGAGCAAGATAACCAGAAAGAAGAGCAAAAATTCTCATCAGCAGCCAGAGTTCTCAGAAGACAAAGGAATGTCTTCAAATAGTTGAGGGAAAATAACAGTTAGGCTAGAATTCTATATCCTATTAAAATATCCTTCGAGACTAAATGCCAAATAAATCATTGTTTTCAACACATAAAGACCAAGAAAGTTTACCACTCATAGATTCTTACATAAAAACCTGCTAAAATGGAATAGAGAAAGGGAAAAAGTAGGATTCAAGGACCTACAGTGAGTTCAGAAATTGGTGAAACATATTGGCATATGCAATTAGCAACTACATGTAAAAAAAAAAAAATTTTATATGAGTGCTACTCTTAAAGCGGAGCAAAAGAACCTAGTTAACAAAACCAGGAAACATTGGGAGAAGAAGGGTAAAATAAGAGCTTACCTTATTTAAGAGAACAGAAAAACTGTGTTTGTTGGAGGAACTTATAGCTAGATACGTATGACAAATGGGTATCAGACAAATACAAGCAACAAGAAAGTAGGAAGTAATGATATTCATATCAAACAAAGTTGATTTCTAGGCAATAAAAGTGGCAAAATATTAATGTTACAAACATTACAGATTCATGAATCAGGAGAAAAAAGTGAGACCTACAATGAGAAAAAGAATTAATATCCCCATTGAAGAATGGACAATGGTCGTACAAAGGTGATGAACAGAAAAAAATACAAATTTCCAGGAAACATGAAAAATATATCTAACTGCATTAATAATTCCATCAGTGCAGAATGCATGATAAAATATACTTTCACTTTTGAATGAGTATAGGTTAAAAATATTGACAAAATTCATTATTAATGAAGGGGTAGGGAAATAATAACTCATGATTTATTGATGGGAGTTACATGGGTAGTTCTTTCTTTAAGTAATTTAGTCTATATATCAAATTGTAAAGTGAGCAAACTATTTGACCCAGGATATTATCCTACTTTTAGAAATTTAAGGAGATGATTACAAAGGTGTTCTTCACATTATTTATAACACCACCTTGAGAATTCAGATAGGATAAAGTAATCATTTTAAGATGACAAGGCAAAGCAGCATAAAACAGGGAATTTTTTCAGGCATCTTCATTTTTCTCTTTAACTTTTATCTTAATAACTTTAAACCACTTTTGCATGAATTATAAATGCTCCTTGCTATAAATTACAGAAACAGAAGCTTTCCCTTTTAAATTGAGAACGTGATTGTATTGTCGTAAACTAGGAATTCCCTGAGTAGACAATAGCCAACAAGACATACTTATTTTCAGAAAAAAGGATTTAAAATCCGTTGCTCCCAAGCCAAAGTCATCTTTCTTGGCAGACATCCTCCATCACATTAACTCATTAAGATACTCGCAGCTAGTTTATGTGGAAGGATTTCATTAGCAGTTCAATTATAGGACTATGGTTTTAACACTTTATCTGAAAAATGACTAGGGTGAAGTCATATAGCCCTGTCCTGTGGTGAAGTCACAGACATATACAGGTACTAGAGAGGTAAGGTAATTGAGTAGAGCAGCCTGGGTGGAAAATGTCGTCAGTTGGGGTAGCATAGAACCTATCTCAAGAACTCTGAATAAGCACCGCCATGCTGGAACATAGACTCAGGGTTTCTAAACCTTTATATTGCTCTAGGACTGGTGTGTGTGTGTGTGTGTCTGTGTGTGTGTGTGTGTGTGTGTGTGTGTGTGTGTGTGTATTAAAGCCCCCCATTTTTAAATATTGACTTAATGTTTAAGAAGATGTTTTTTAGGTCAAAGGAAACATGTCTATAAGTCATATCTGGTTCACTGACTATTTGTTATCTTTTGTCTTTAGTGGAGGAAGTTACTTTGGTGACCCTTCCTTTCTTCTTCAGCCTGGTAGCTATGCCGGAACCTTTACTGAGGAAAATTTTAGCCTACTATCCTCACTCCTTTCCCTGCACAATTTATCCCACCTTCTGCTTCAACATATAAAATGGTTAAAATTTGTACTTTCTTGGGCCATTTTTGGCTTTGTTCTAGTTTAGTCAGTATTTTTTATTTTCCTAAGAGGAAATCGACTCTATATTTTGCTTTGCTCATTAGTAAAGTGGTAACGATCAGCCCTTACCTGGGAATTAGACTTCCTGGACTCCAGATCTTGCTGAAGACTAAAACCTCAACTTCTCTCAATTTTTTCCCCAATTGTTTAGACCTCATTGGAAGAAAGAAGATACTCATTATTTACTTACTTCCTTTTTTAAAAAATTTATTTTTATTTTTATTTTTTTTACTGTGATCTTCTGTAAGAAAGTCTTCAGCTTTAACACCTTAGATTTTTTTTCCTTCCTTTGAAAGTTGGTTACAAATTTGACCTGCATAGTCTTGTGGTTCACAACACCCTTAAATGCCACTGGGTCTAAAATATTGTTTGAGGCACTGATAACGTTAATTGCCAGATGTTTAAGGCTCTCAATGAAATGTCCTTTCTCTTCTACATCTGTACCAGACAATCTTGCAACATCACAATGGTGTGCTTTGGCCAACATCCAAGTGCCTCTTTCTTGAATGGGGAATCAGAATTCCTTGGAATAATCTCCATTTTTTGCAGTTAGGAAATTTGGTGGACAGTCTCTCTAATTGTTTCACTCAACCAATAAGTCCAGACTTTGGGGGGATTCTGTGCTGTGGGCAGTGAAAGCTACTAGATTGGAACATTAAATTAAGAGTGTATCACCAGGTCTCTGGTCCATTTTAATGAAAGCAGCTTTTTCAGAAACGTTGTATCAGCTGAGATTAGCTTACCACCTTTCAGGGCCCCTCTTTCCTGGTTATTTTCCACAGAAGTAGTATTGTGGTATATGTGCCCAGGTCACCATATAAGATTGTATAAATTTTACTGACTAGTCCAGAATGGTAATTTCCCTCACAGGATCTGGTTCCACCAGTGAGGTATGTTCCATCACTATCTTCTTTAGGAACAGTGTCGTTCGAGATAAGTAATCTTCATTTCCCATCTTTACCTTTTCAGTAGTTGAAGGCCATTTTTGACAAAAATGTTCTCCCTCAGCCCATTCTTGCCACATGTAATTTGCTGTCTACACTGAAGCCAACATGACCTTTCTATGATGCAAATCTGATCATCTCATGACACTACTTAAATCTTTTCAGTTGTCTCCTGGTAAAGTTCCCAAATGCCTTGCCATGTATTATAAAGCCCTTTAAAATGATACCTACCGACCTTTAAATCTCATTTCTCACCACTCTTCTTTGGTAATCTGATCATTCTGAATTATATTCAGTTTTTGAAATAATGCCTTTCTCTGTTTCCTTAATCTTTAAGTCTTTGAACATCATTGTCTCTCTGAAATTCTCTTTCATTTGCTCTTCACCTGGCTAATTTATGAGAACACTTCAGCTCTCATTGTGATATCACTTGCTTAGAACGTCTTTTCTGATCTCCAATCCTGACTTAGATGCTCCCTCTGGTGTACTTAACCCATACTACTTATAACACATTGTAATTGTCTATTTACTTTCCTATATGCCAAACCCCAGTATACTATACCATACATTCCAGAAGGCTGAGATCATCTTTGTTTTATTTCCCTAGCATTCAACACAATGCTAGGCAAATAAAATGCCTAATATTCACTAAATGCCAACCACTCACTCACTGAATGAATGAATGAACTGGAGTAGATCTTTGCTAGAGATATATACTGTGAGCAAAGTCTATATAGAAATTAGACTATGCCAAAATGAGGCTTTTGTGGGCATATATATATATATATATACACACATACATATACACACATAATCTTTTAAATCCATATATAATAGCATTAAGCAATATGGAAATTTTTTTAGCATTCAGGATTGTTAAATATATATTGAACTCATGACAAATAAATATTAATGGCAAAGTTCCTATCATTAAACAGATGTGTGAACCTCTAGGCAGAATGTTGTGTTAGATGAAGTTTCTGCTTGGGAACTAAATTTGACAGACAACATGCAAACACAGTACAAGCCTTAATTATGCTCAACAGAAGGAGGAGCTATGAGGTTCTCCAGATTGCATGTAAGCTTTTTCTCAATAGGATGTTAAATTTATTAGTATGGAGAAGACTGTTTAGAAATCTGTTGCACTTGAAATTATGGGGGTTACCAGCTTAGGCTTAGGAGTCAAACAAAGGTTAAGTCTAATACTGGCTCTTCTATTTACCGCTTGGTCAAGAACCTTAATGATGCTGAAACTCAGTTTTTGAGCATAAATGGGATAATAATAATACTCCTTCCCTAGACTTACTGTGAAGATTAAATGACATTAACTATATTCTTGGCATAGTATTAGGTACAGAACAAATCTTCAGTAAGTGTTAGATACTGTAATTCTTTAGTCCACCCTCACCATCATATAGGTGAAACCGAGGCACCAAAGATGCATAAATGAAATCACATATGGTCTCACAGCTAGTTAGTGACAGACAGAGGATTATAGGCAAAATCTTCTATTCTTCATATGTTTCTCTTATACCTGGTGCTCTTCACCTGCTTGTTGGATGAATATAGTGTATGAATGCAAATGAGCAGGTGTCATAACTCAGAAGGAAAAGATTATAATCACATGGTGACAATGCTTTTATGAAATATAAGTATTGTTAACTTCTTGTAACTCTTCCTATATTCTCTGTTAATTATTAGTAGTAATAAGGAAAAAAAAGAACATAACTATAAAAGCAAAAGAAAAAAGCCATCATTTGAAGAAGATGATGATGAAGTTAGAAAGGATGTTAGCTGTGTAGACTTGCTCTTTTGTGTTATAAGTGCAGTACTAAGATGGTAAGTATGTATTTGATATCAGAGATGACTTCACTATAGGCAAAATGTGTGGCAAAATGGAGAGGGAGCAATTTGAGGATCAAAAGGAGCATTCTTTGTCCATTAGGTTTTTAAAAATAAGTTAATAGAGGTGCATGAGAGCTTAAATATTTATTCTTTTGATTTTTAAGGCTTTTCTCTTTAAAGAATAATTTTTGAAAATGCAACTATCCTAATATGTTAATAGGAGTTTTTCTAGGGAATGAGACACATGATAGGTAATGAGCACATAGGAAGTTGCCAGGAGGCTGATTAATAAAGCATACTTTAAAAATAATAGTTCCCAGTTTGGGCAAGATATATTTCTTTATTCATTTCAAAAATGTTTAACAAGACATTCATGTCCAGCTATTACTACAATATTGGTTTTGGACTTTCCCTTCTGACATAAAAAACTATAGAAGTGTACAAATTAGACAAGGTAACTCTTTATTGGCACTGGTTAACACGCAATGCACTGAGAAGTCAAAAATTTTAAAGACACACTGAAGTACTATACAATACTGCAAACCATTATAAAATAATAACTCAGAGAAGAATGTAAAGGATAAAGGGAATTGAAATCTGATCATTTGATTATTTAATCTCAGTTTTTGTTGTTCCTTACATTTCTTTTTGAGTCTTTTCCTTGATTGTATTATGTCCATTATTCAGAGACAAGTTATTACTAAAATTCTTTTTTTCAGCTAAAATTCTCTCTGTCTCCATTTTGTTTTTGTTAAGTTTAAATGGGTATCTATTGTTTAGATGTACAGTATGGTGTCAAGTACACCCTCCACCTTGTATGGTGGACAAGTGTTCCCTCCACCTGGTGAGATCATTAGCCATAATATCTTATTTCTTTTGAGAGGTGTTTGATCTAGGTTGGCCAAATATGAGAGTATATGCTAAGCCTTTACCACACAGGCTGTGTGTGATCTAAGTACAGACAAATATTTCTGCAAAAACTGATGCAGATGTTGGAGGGAGAGAACCTATTTCCTTCTGAGATCGCATGTAGGGAAGACATGATCTGGAGCAGCTGGGTGGGGGCAGCCATCTTTGCCTCCACTTGGGTGAGCCTGTGGTGAGTGAAATCAACACAGAGGAAAGTAATGCTGAGAGAACAAGAGAGATGTTTGATGACCTCTTGGATCCAGCCTGCTTGTAGACATTTGAGTTATGTGAGCAATTAAATAGTGTTTCCTCCTTTTTGTTGTTGTTGCATAAGCTAGTTTGAGAGGCTTCTGCTAGTTGGAGAAGCATCTGCCATTTGCAACCAAAGGAGACCTGATTAATACTGCTAGCCTAGGACTGCTGTTTTAAGAAACTTTCCACAGAGAGTTCTAGAAGGAGCCTGCAGGAGGTATTCAATGACCTTACAAAATAGTAGGAGTTTGATTGACTTTTTGGAAGAATGAAAACTGAACATGCTCATTCTTATTCTCAAATCTATTGGGGAAAAGCAGATGGATCTAGCAATCTCCAGTAATTGCTTACTTGGCTAAATCATTAAAGACTACAGGGATTTGCCATTTTATGAAATTAAAAGACGAAACAATAGGGGCTATTACCCAACTTCTGAAAAAGAAGAATGTATGCAGGTTCTTGGGGCCCAGCAGGAAAGAAGGTTATAATCAGTCCATTAGTCTTACAGTAGTTAAAAGTTGCATGCTTTGTGCCTTGCTATGGTTAGCGTCAGCTATTTTCTAGCTTCCACACAAGGAGACTTTCCATGTTTTCTGGGAAAAGAGTTTAGGATCCAAAATGTTCATCTTTCAATTTAGGTTTCTTCAGGGAAGAAAAATAGCTAGTCTGTAATATTGACCGCAAAGAAATATTGGATATGAAATCTCTGATTGAGACATCTGAAAGATTACAAGTCACACTGGCAGGGCAGAGGTTAAAGGCAGACATCCTACAGGGAACCCTTGAGTTAGACCATCCTATTTTTTCGTTTTAACAAGATAGCACTCAGATTGAGGCAGGCCAAGCAATAACTCAGTGGCATCCTGAGTCTGAAAGGGAAATGCCAGGAGGCTAAGAATCCTGGAGGGCCTTACAGGAGGGCAATGCAGTAGGGTCTCTTAAACCAATACTTGCTGTATGTCCTTCAAAGACGCCCACCTCCCCCAGCATATGAATCAGAAAATTTGGAAAATAAAGAGAATACTCATGAGTGAGTAAAACCTTTCTTTGCAATGTTTTGTCATATTTCCTTCTAGTATTTTTACCTTTAAATATGTTCTTTAAGTAGTTATTACTATATACAAAAAGTTTAGCATTGTACTTTTTAAAACATTATAAGCAATTCACCATGTGTTTACATAACTTTTGTAACAAACGTTTTAAATTATTATATGCTATTTTTATCTACAAAAATAATTCTTATGTTTTAGATAAAAATCTCTTTGAGAAATATAATGAAACTTCTACACCAGTGATTCTTATCCCTCAGCGTGCTTCAGAATAACATGGGAGCTTTAAAAAGATCACTGTCCAGGCCTCATCCTCAGAAATTCACATTTAGTTAGTCAGGAATGGGGCCCAGGCACCAGCGGAAAAAAAAAAAAGATGATTCTAATGTGTCCAGGATTAAGAACAACTGATACAGCCCGCACCCCCCAAATATATATGCCTGTAAAATCTATGTACAGCAGTGGGGTTCATAAATTCTTTGGTTTTAAGAACCCTGAGTTATCATCTAGTTTTATGTAATCTGGTGTATGTAATTATTACATAATTTTTAGACAGACTTCTTCCAAGGTTTCCCCATTATAAATAGTGCAGTGCAGCTCTGGATGTGTGGATGTACATAACATTTTTCAGAAGTAAGGTTTCCCTGGGTCAAAGTGTGTGACGTTCTGTGACTCCTTCTACATATTACCAAATGCCTCACATTGGGTCCTATTACCATATTTTCTTTTGTCTCATATATGTACATATCAGTACTCAGCCAAAGACTCAAGGGTGTCCCTCTGCAGATCTTTGGAGCTCTCTCTCTTCTGTCCAGCCTCTCTTCTCTACAGTACTCTTCCTCATAATTTCTAGTAACTGTGACCTCTCTGAACTTCAACTTCTGTCTCCTCACCTAATCAAGATTAAAGGGCTCTGTTTGGATTTCCTCTTGTTCTGCAACTTACAGCACGGAAACTGCCTCTAGGTAGTAATCTGGTACAATAGTGTTTGTTTTCCTTCTCCCTGTATCACAGTCCTGTGCTATTTCTTTCCCATTATCTGAAAACCAGTTTCGTGTATTTTTTATGGTTTTCTAGTTGTTTAAAGCAGATAGAGTAAACCTGGTGGCCCTCTTACTCCATCTTGGCTGGAAGCAGAAGTAAGTCCATTTATATTTAACATAATTACTAATATGCGGGGATTTATTTCTACGAACTTATTCTGTGCTTTCTACTCTTTCTCTTTGTTCTGTTTTTCCTCCTTTCTTGATAGTGTTTTTCAGACCTTTCTTCAGGAAGTGCTCAAGACTACTTTTGGCAGTGTGTATAAGAGATGTGTATACATGTAGGTAGGTAGTCTTATAAAATATAATGTTTGCAAAAAGAGTGCATCGCAAATAAAAATTGAAAACCAACTAACCAAGACACTTTGTGATAAGTTATACAGCTAATTCGACAGCCTACTATGTTTATCCATTTAATATTTGATGAACATATGGATATCAAGGACAATGCCAATATGTGTTAGTTATTTCAGGGATCACATTTCTGTAACAGATTTCAAGCACTTATTTCTAACAAATGAAAATTTCAGGCATGTTCTTTAGTCTATTATCATATTGGTTTTCTGTGATTATATTCACCTTTGTATTGGAGTTATTTGTATAGATCTGCATCTGTCTCCTTTATGAGACTCAATGAACGAGAGGGCAGAGATCTAGGTACCAGCTTGTGGTAGATGCTGGAGAAGTATTTAACTAATCGACTTGCACGGAACTGTGGAAATAAAATTGTAAAAACATTGTTGAAAAAGGAAAGCTTATGGTTCCTCCCTGAATTTTTCAGGTCAAAGTTGGCTCTGCCTTTGTTTCATCACTGTAGTTCTGTTAAATATAGCGCTTTATAGATATTAATATGGTTGCAACTATATTATCTCTGTTAAATATAGTTCCATATTATATATAGATGTGTTGTTATGTATATGAATGTTAGCTTCCCCTTTTATAGATTTGACCTGTGCTTATACAGTATGGCTCAAGCACCTAGAACAGAATCAATTGCAGCGCCTGTTAAAGATGCAGATTTTTTTGATCTGTACACATGGACTATGCAATTAGACTCTCTAAGGAGGGTTACGTGAAATGTACATTTTAAAGCAGTGATTTAGGCATACGATTCTGATTTATTAAGGAAAATAAACCATGTTTTTTGTTTTGTTTTGTTTTGTTTTGTTGCTGGGGAAGGGATTCTCACTAATTCAGAACTGTGCCCTGGTCCTCCCATCCCAAGATGGGTAGAAGGCTGTCCTAGAATACTCATGGCTTATCTATTTAGGAGTAAGATTATTTCAGAACATACCCCTTATTTACTGCCTTCTTTAGAGATTACTAGTAAATTAATCCTAATTAAGAATATGAAACATTAATGAGGAGCAGTTGTGGGTTCAGCAGCTAAGTGCTGCTCTTACTAATGAGAATAAACTCTTAGCTGTTTTAAAGCAGGACTCTTTAGCATAAAATACTTGGGTCAGAAGTCTTTACCACCACCATAGCTCAGCTAAGCCCTCAGAGATGACCTCTAATGCAGCCAGGAATGAAAGAACATCTTTTCTCTGGCTTATTTCTGTGGGCCAACCTGGACTTACTCTGTGGATTGAGCCCTGGTTTCAAAGTCTGAGCAGAGTCTGGGAAAAATGAAGTCTGGCTGTGTGCTAAAGTCTGGCTGTGTGGCATTAGATTCACCACTTGGCCGTATCACTTACTGGCTCTTTGACTTTGGGCAAGTCCATCACTTTCACTTGGTTTTAGCTCCTCTGGAAAATAAATATAATCATACCCTACCTATTTCATCAGGGTATTGTAAAATCCATGAGATAATACCTCATCATGGTTTAAGTTCCTGGCATTTCAGCATGCAGGCAATGAAAATTTCTCCTTATGATCCCAGCTCCTTACATCCCTAATTGTATCTGTCTTTTGCCCTGTCCCCCTATTACTTCTTACCAGGTGTGAATTGGGGCAAGGGAGAAAAAAATGATTTGTTCAGACATATAAATACACAACAAAGTATTAGTCAGTGCATCAAGCTAAATACTTTAAGCTAGCAATGATTCGTTTATGTATTTATTCATTCATTTGATAAATATCTATTAGCCACCTACTAGTAAAATATATTTAATTTTGTTTTATAATATTTGTATTAAAGATAATATATATTTTTGGATGAGTGAGTAAAAAGATGATTAAGTATAAATCCAATGTATTGAGACTCTAGATGGTAGCAGCAGCTGCGTGGCTGAGTAAGGACATAAGCCGGGTCTGTGGAAATGTTATAGAAGTTGGTCTAAAGAAAGGTTATATACAGAAAGACTATTTGAACAACAAAGGACTTATTAAATTGAATTCATGTTCAAGGGGAAATTATGCTTGAGCCATGAATGACAACCTGTCAATCAAAGTAAGTTTCAATATCCAGGGTAGGAGGGAGGGAAATATTTAGCTCCCTTCTTTCCACATCAGATCTGCCCCCGCTTTCCACCCTTTTCTTCACTCACTTACTTGCTTGCCCTCTAAAAGATGCAGAGTGGCAACTTGCTTCATGGTGGTCTTTTAAGAAATGAACCTGCATTCTACTTCCTGTTTCCTACTTTAAAGTGAAAACGAGGTCAAAACAGAGTTTGGCTCTTCGAAACTAGCCAAGGCAAATTAACTCTAACATTTCTTTCTGTCTCTTCCATACATTTAGTTATTTGGATAAGGTAAGCTGGACCTTTACCCCTTCAACTTCCTTCTGTTTCATGATCAGTTAGATGTGGTAAGATCCCAGGATTTAGATTTGGAGGAACTAACACCTTTTAGTCCTTGAGCCTCTAAGTAGTGTGGAATCTACCTTTTACCAGTGCTTGTATGAATTTAGTTCTGTAGTATAATAGGAAATCACACTAATAACTAGAATCAAATGCACTCTTCCCCTCAAAAAGGATAATATGGGAAGAATTCCAAAAAATAAAACTTGGGAAAGGCTCTATAGTAAAATATAGTTGCCCAAATATCTCTTTATTTCATTGGGTTTGTCTAGGCAAGTTGAACATTTCTGGTCCAGAATCTTTAGTTAATCCCAACTAAGATACAATGAAGAAGTAAGACCTCAGAACTACTGTATTAGAGTTTGTGGATAAATGTAGAGTTATAACAGCCAGTATAAGTATGAGCAAAGACTGGGATCATTACCTTGAATAAAATGGTATGATTTTTCACAGAGCTTCTAGAGCAGTTTCTAAAATAAATATGGAGAAGATAGAAGAGCCAAGAATAGCCAAAAGATTTTAAAAACAAAGAGTATGAGGGGATGTCAATCATTACTGCATACCTCCGTACTTATTAAAAGAGGAAGAATATCACTGAAAAGGCTCTTAATAACATAACATCTGGCTTATAAAAATCCTGAGTTAGGAAGGACATTCCTTACCTCTTAGATTTATATACATAGGTCCACGAACTCCTTGATTGCATACACCCCATTATTAATATTTCATGAATCTTCCAGATTCATTCATTCACAAATATTTATTGATCACTGCCTATGTGCCCAGTATTTTGCTAGTTGCAGGGAACTGATTGCTAGTTGCAAGATAAACTATTCTTCCTTGCTTTCCTCAAGCAAATCTCCAACATTGAAGTGAATTACCTAATGTGATAAAAACAGTAAGTGGCAGTGTGCGGTCTTCTAACTCTAAACCCAATCTTTGAGGTAAACAAGGTTGAGAATTAGGAGAGATCTAGCAGACGGTATTTTAAAAGATAGAATAAAACTCTGGGGGAAGAGTTTATTAGCAAAGACACTTAGGCCTGGACATGTGGGAGGGTTTCAGTGAGGGGGGTAGGAGATATCAAAAACACACTCTCTTCCTTTTGGGATAAAAATACTCTAAAACTAATTATGGTGATGTTAGCACTACTCAGTAAAGTTGCCAAAAATCATCAAATTGGACACTTAAAATAGATGAATTTTATAATATGTAAAATGTAACTCAATAAAGCTGTTAAAATATTTTTTTTTAGCTGTGACATGAAAAAAGCTTGGAAGTCATCACTCCCACACTCAAAATGGTAAAAACATTGAACAAACTGAAAATCAATGACATTTCTTAAGTCCATCAAAGAAGTAAGGTTACAGGGCAAACTACCTCCCCACTGCCCTCTAAATCTGGAAAGACTGGCAAATACAAAGAATCAGAGCCAAGATCAGTTTACCTGAAGCAGAAGCCACCAGAACAATAAATGGGTAGAAACACTTGTATGGTAATTTTGAGGAATTTCTGGAAGCTGAGTGTACTAGCTTGAGGTTTAAACTCTTAAAGGTCTAGTCCCTATGGAAGCCAATACTTTGCAGATTTACCTCCTGGAGCTTCACCAGGTTCTTTTCTTGAGGATCAGAGAAAAATTTCTATCTGTATTTGGAGAAGAGGGAGGGGAAGAGTAACCATTTTGAATATACTCAGAATTCCTCCATAACAAAAGCCTACCCTCCCAGGGGAGGAGGTGGAGCAATATGGTGGAATAGAAGGGCTCCAGCAATCATCCCCCACTCATCACAAAGACACAATTTAAGAACTGTTCACACACAAAAAAGCACCCTCATAAGAAAAAAAAACTCGGTGACCACTCAAAGTACCTGGTTTTAACTTGATATTGCTGAAAGAGGCACTGAAGAGGTAGCATTAACAGTCTTAAATTGCTGATGACACTGCCCCCCACATCCTAGCAGTGGTGGCGTGGTATGGACAGCATTTCTGGGTGCTGGGGGAGGGAGAGCAAAGCAATTGTGAGACATTGAACTCAGTACTGTCTTGTTATAGCAGAAGGAAAAACTGGAACAAATTCAGCTAACACCTGCCCACGGAGGAAGCATTTAAACCAGCCCAAGCCAGAGGGGAACTGCCCATTCAGCTGTTGGAACTTGAGTTCCCACAAGCCTCGCCACCATGGGCTAAAGTGCTATGGGGCCCAAAATGAACTTGAAAGGCAGTCCAGGCCACAAGGACTGCAACTCTTACGTGAGTCCTAGTTCTGAACTGGGCCCAGAGATAGTGGACTGGTGGGGACATATGACCTACTGAAACACCAGTTGGAGTGGCTAAGGGAGTGCTGGCATCATCCCTCCCCTAACCTCAGGCTGCATAGCCAGTGGCTCCAAAAGAGAATTCTTCCTTCTGCTTGAGGGGAGGAGAGGGAAGAGTGGGAAGAACTTGTTCTTCCATCTTGGATACCAGCTGAGTCACAGCATGTTAGGGGATGAGTCAAAGACATGAGGCTTTAACTCCCAGACAACTTTTCCAGACACATTCTGGGCCAGAAGGGAACATACTGCTTTGAAGGATCTAGTTCTTGCAGAATTAATTACCTGCTAACTGAAGAGCTCTTGGGCCTGGAATAATTAGCAGTGATACCCACATCAAATGCCTTGGATAAGACTCAGACTTGCTGGCTTCAGGTGAGACTATGCACATTCCAAGCTGTGGTAGCTACAGGGCAAGCCCCCTTCTGCTTGAGAAAGCAGAAAGAAAAGTAAAGAGGACTTTGTCTTACACCTTAGGTACCACCTCGGCCACAAGGATGTAGAGTACCAAGTGGGCTCTTGGGGTCCCTGATTCCAATATTTGGCCTTGGATGGCATTTATATACCTGCCCTGGGCCAGAGGGGAGTGTATTGCCCGGAAGGGTGGGTCCCAGGCCAAGCAGCATTTGCCGCAAGCTGACTGAAGAGCCCATGGGCCTTAAGGGAACATTGGCGGAAGTCTGGCAGTATTTCCAATGAGCCTGTGGTGGCAGCGGCTATGTAATGAGGTTCCTCTGCCTTTGGAAAGGGGAGGGAATAGTGAGAAAGACTGCATTTTGTGGTTTGAATGCCAGCTTAGCCGCAGTACAATAGAACACCAGGTAGACTTCTAAGGTTTTTGATGCTAGTTCCTGGCTCCCTGACAGCACCTCTGGATCTGCCTGGAGCCTGGAGGAACACATTGCCCTGAAAGGAAGGACATAGGGCTGGCTGGCTTTACTACCTGCTGATTTTAGAGGCCCAGGGCCTTGAGCAAACACAGGCAGTAGCCAGGGGATGGTTACAGCAGGCCTTGGGTGAGACCCAGTACTCTGCTGGCTTCAGGTCTGACCCAGTACAGTTATAGTGGTGGTGGTCTTGGGGTGCTTGTGTCACTTCACTCCCAGCTTCAGATGGCTCAGAACAGTGAGCCATCTCAGAACAAGACTACTTCAAGACATTTAATAATCAAACTCCTAAAGATCAAGGATAAAAAAAGAAACCTAACAGCAGCAAGAGAAAACAAATAACATGTGAATGGAGCTCCAATACATGTAAACAGCAGACTTTTCAGTGGAAACCTTACAGGCCAGAAGAGAGTGGCATGACATATTTAAAGCACTGGAGGAAAAAAATAATTTACCCTACAATAGTATATTCAGCAGAAATGCTCTTCAAACATGAAGAAAAAATACTTTCCCAGACAAAAAAAAAAAAAAAAAAAAATGCTGAGGGATTTCATCAACACTAGACCTATCCTACAAGAAATGCTAAAAGGAATACTTCAATCAGAAAGAAAAGGATCCCAGCACTTTGGGAGGTCGAGACGGGCAGATCACGAGGTCAGGAGATCGAGACCATCCTAGCTAACACCGTGAAACCCCGTCTCTACTAAAAATACAAAAAAAACTAGCTGGGCGTGGGCGTGGTGGCAGGCGCCTGTAGTCCCAGCTACCCGGGAGGCTGAGGCAGGAGAATGGCGTAAACCCAGGAGGCGGAGCTTGCAGTGAGCCAAGATTGCACCACTGCACTCCAGCCCGAGGGACGGAGCGAGACTCCACCTCAAAAAAAAAAAAAAAAAGAAACAAAGAAAGAAAAGGATATGCAGAATAATGAACCTAGACCCCCATCTCTCACTCTATACAAAAATCAAATGAAAATAGATTAAAGACTTAAATCTAATACCTCAAACTATGAAACTACTATAAGAAATCACTGGCAGAAATCTTCAGTACGTTGGTCTGAACAAAGATTTCTTGAGTTATACCTCACAAGCACAGGCTACCAAAGCAAAACTGGACAAATGGGATCACATCAAGTGGAAAAGCTTCTGCACAGTAAAGGAAACAATCAACAAAGTGAAGAGACAACCCACAAAATGAGAGAAAATATTTGCAAACTACCCTTCTGACAAAGGATCAATAACCAGAATATGTAAGGAGTTCAAATAACTCTATAGAAAAAAAACTGATAATCTAATCAAAAAACGGACAAAAGATTTAGATAGACATTTCTCCAAAGAAGGCATACAAATGGCAAACAGATATATGAAAAAGTTCCCAACATTACTGATCATCAGAGAAATACAAGTCAAAACCACAATGAGATATTATCAAGTTATAATGGCTTATATCCAGAGACAGCCAATTACCAATGCTGATGAGGATGTGGAGAAAAGGGAGCCCTTGCACACTGTTGGTGGGAATGTAAATTAGTGCAACCACTATGGATAACAGTTTGGAGATTCCTCAAAAAATAAAAATAAAAATAGATCCATATGATCCAACCATCTCATTATTGAGTATATATCTAAAAGAAAGGAAATCAGTATATTGAAGGGATATCTGCACTCTAATGTTTGTTACAGCACTGTTCACAACAGCCCAGATTTGGAAATAATCTAAGTGTCCATCAACAGATGAATGGATAAAGAAAATCTGATACATATACACAATGGAATACTATTCAGCCACAAAAAGAATAAGATCCTGTCATTTGCAACAATATGAATGGAACTGAAGGTTATTGTGTTAAGTGAAATAAGCCAGGCACATAAAGACAAACATCACATATTCTTACCTATTTGTGGGATCTAAAGATAAAAATGATTGGAATTATGAAGACAGACATTAGGAGGTTTGTTCCTAGAGCCTGGGAAGGATAGTCGGGGGGTGTGGGGGGAGGTGGTGATGGTTAATGAATACAAAAATATAGTTAGAAAGAATAAATAAAACCTACTATTTGATAGCACAACAGGGTGACTATAGTCAATAATAATTTCATTGTACATTTAAAAATAACTAAAAGAGTATAATTGGATTGTTTGTAACCCAAAGGATAAATGCTTGAGAAGGTGGATACCCCATTCTCCATGATGTGATTATTACTCATTACATGACTGTATCAACCATCTCATGTATCCCATAAATATATATACCTACTACGTATTTACAAAAATAAAAAATTATGAAAAGAAAAAAATATCCTGCCATGCAAGGGGAACTACATTACCAGAGTCTTACCTGATGTAGGGGAGGGGCAATTGGCCAGATCTAGCCCTCTCTATCCTCCCTGCTACAGATAAGAGGACAAGGGGGAAGAAAAAAGACTAGTCCCTGAGAAAACTTAACACCAAGAAAAGACAGCTCTCATTCAGTATTAACAGGTGATTAGTTCCTAGAACCTTTTCACCTGTGGATACCAAAATCCAGGGACACTTGAGTTCTTCAAAATATAAAATTGTATGGTATTTGCATATAACCTACGTACTTCTTCCTGTATATTTTAAATCATTTCTAGATTACTTACAATACTGAACACAATGTAAATGCTACGTAAATATAGTTGTTATACTGTATTTCTCCTTGAGATAAATCTTGCTATGTTGCCTAGGTTAGCCTTGGACTCCTGGGCTCAAGTTTTCCTCCTGCCTTTGGGTCCTGAGTAGCTGGAACTGTAGTCATATGCCACTGCATCTGGCTTGTTTATAAATTTGTATTATTTTAAATTATTTTGAATATTTCAATTGAAAATTGGTTGACTCTACAGATACAGAACCTGTGACTACAGAGGGCCAACTGTACTGCTGAAGGTCACAGCCCAGGAACCCAAGCTGAACACCAAAAATGAGATCTTATCATAAGATTATAGAAAGCTTCTCATCAATAACACTTTACTATCTGTATTAGTCTATTCTCACATTGCTATAAAGAAGTACCTGAGACTGGGTAATTTATAAAGAACAGAAGTTTAATTGACTTACACTTCTACAGGCTGTACAGGAAGCATGGCTGAGAGGCCTCAGGAAACTTACAATCATGGTGGAAGGGTGGAGGCAAAGCAAGCATGTCTTCACATGGTGGCAGGAGAGAGAGAGAGAGAGAGAGACAGAGAGAGACAGAGAGAGACAGAGACCAAGAGAGCAAAGGGGCAAGTGCTACACACTTTCAAACAACCAGATCTCATAAGAACTCTATTTTGAGAACTCCAAGGGGGAATTCCGCCCCCATGATTCTATCACCTCCCACCAGCCCCCTCCTTCAACACTAGGAATTACAATTTGACATAAGATTTGGGTGGGGTCACAGAGCCAAACCATATCATTCCACCCCGGCCCCTCCCAAATCTCATGTACCTCTCACATTTCAAAACACAATCATGCCTTCCCAACAGTCTCCTAAAGTCTTAAGTTGTTCTATCATTAACTCAAAAGTCCAAGTCCAAAGTCTCATTTGAGACAAGGCAAGTCCCTTCTGCCAATGAATCTGTAAAATCAAAAACAAGTTGGTTACTTCCAAGATACAATGAGGGTATAGGCACTAGGTAAGACCAAAAGGGAGAAATTGGCCAAAACAAAGAGGCTACAGGTGCCATGCAAGTCTGAAACCTGGCAGGGCAGTTATTAAATCTTAGAGCTCCAAAATAATCTCCTTTGACTCCATGTCTCACATCCAAGTCACATTGACACAAAGGGTGGGCAGCTTCACCCCTGCAGCTCTGCAGGGTACAGCCTTCGTGACTGCTTTCATGGGCTGGTGTTGAGTGCCTGCAGCTTTTTCAGGTGCACATTGCAAGATGTCAGTGGATCTACTATTCTGGGATCTGAAGGATGCTAGCCCTCTTCTCATAGCTCCACTAGGCAGGCCCCAGTGGGAAATTGTGTGGGGGCTTCAACCCTCTATTTCCCCTCTGCAGTGCCCTAGAAGAGGTTTTCCACAAGGGCTCTGCCCCTGCAGCAGACTTCTGCCTGTACATCTAGGCATTTCCATACATCCTCTGAAATCTAGGCAGAGGTTCCCACACATCACCTCTTGCCTTTTGCACACCTGCAGGCCCAGCACCACGTGGAAGCTGCCAAGGCTTGGGGCTTTCACCCTCTGAAGTCATGGCCTGAGCTGTACCTTGGCATCTTTTAGCCATGGCTGGAGCTGGAGCAGCTGAGATGCAGGACACCATGTCCTGAGGCTGTGCAGAGCAGCTGAGTCCTGGGCCTGGCCCGTGAAACCATATTTTCCCTCCTAGGCCTCTAGGCCTGTGATGGGAGGGGCTGCTGTGAAGGTCTCTGAAATGCCCTGGAGACATTTTCCCCATTGTCTTCACTATTAACATTTGGCTCCTCTTTATTTATGCAAATTTCTTCAGCAAGCTTGACTTTCTCCCCAGGAAATGGGTTTTTCTTTTCTACCACATGGCCAGGCAGCAAATTTTCCAAACTTTTATATTCTGCTTCCATTTTAAATATAAGTTCTCTTTGCTTATGCAAATGAGCTAGGCTTTTAGAGCAACCAGGCCACATCTTGAATGCTTTGCTACTTAGAAATTTCTTCTGCCAGGTACCCTAAATCATCTCTCTTGTGTTCAAAATTTTAGAGATCCCTGGAGCAGGGGCACAATACTGTCAGTCTCTTTGCTAAAGCATAGCAAGTGTGACCTTTGCTCTAGTTCCCAATAAGTTTTTCATCTCCATCTGATACCACCCGGCCTGGACTTCAGTGTTCATATCACTATCAACATTTTGGTCACAATCATTCAACACGTCTCTGGGAAGTTCCAAACTTTCCCACATCTTCCTGTCTTCTTCTGACCCCTCCAAACTGTTCCAGCCTCTGCCTATTACCCAGTTCCAAAGTTGATTTCACATTTTCAGGTATCTTTATAGCAATGCCCCACTTCTCTTATACCAATTTTCTGTATTAGTTCATTCTCACACTGCTATAAAGAAGTACCTGAGACTGGGTAATTTATAAAGAAAAGAGGTTTGACTCACACTTCCACATGCTGTACTGGAAGCATGGCTGGGAGGCCTCAGGAAACTTAGAATCATGGTGGAAGGGTGGAGGGGAAGCAAGTATGTCTTCACATGGTGGCAGAAAAGAGAGAGAGCATGAAGAGGAAAGTGCTACACACTTTAAAACAACCATATCTTGTGAGAATTCTATCATGAAAACAGCAAGGGAGAAGTTTACCCTCATAATTCTATCATCTCCCACCAGGCCCCTCCTTCAACATGGGAAATTACAATTCAACATGAGATTTGGGTGGGAACACAGAGCGAACCCATATCACTATCACATCAGCAAAGCTGCAGTATAGTATCAGTGGATTACAATGAAGAGAGGTACAATACACAAACTCAACTTAAGAAGGAATCCTTAGGTAAGCACAAAGACAAGAGGGGAATAAAACACACACACAAAAACTAGAGGCAACTAAAATCTCTGGTATCTACAGCCACAGTAAATAAACATTAAATACAGTGGAGTGCCTAGTTAGATTACCATAAAACCTCACACCAAAAGCCTAATCACCCCTGTTCCTATTACCCAATACATTATGTCTGGCTTTCAACAAAAAGTTACAAGGCATGCTCAAAGCCAAGAAAAAATATAGTCTGAAGAGACAAAGTAAGCATCAGAAATAGACTTAGATATAGCACAGATTTTGGAATTATCAGATGGTGAATTTAAAATAACTATGATTAATATATTAAAGAACTTGAAGAAAAAGTTGACAACATACAAGAACAGGTGAAGAATATAAGCAAAGAGATGGAAACTTTGGGAATTAAAAGAAATGCGAAGAACTAAAATCTTGTAAAAGAAATAAAGAATGCCATTAATGAGCTTATCAGCAGACTAGACATTGCCAAGGCAAGAATAAATAAACTTGAGATATGTTAATAAAAACTTCCCAAACTGAAACGTAAACATCGTTTAAAAAGAACAAATATGAATATCTTAATAAACTAGGAATATTGGAGAACATTTTCAACTTGATTAAAAATAGCTATAAAAAATCTATAACAAATATCATAATGCTGAGACACTCAAAGCTTTCCCACCAAGGAACAACATCCCCTTTTACCACTGCGATTTTAGTATCATACTGGAAGTTTTAGCTAATGCAATAAGACAGGAAACAGAAAAAAAGGTATACAGATTGGGAAGGAAAAAATGAAGCTGTTTGTTCACAATTTTCATGATCATCTATGCAGAAAATTCAATAGTTGAAAAAACACCCAACTCCTAGAAAAAATAAGTGATTATAGCAGGGTTGCGGATTATAAAGTTAATACACACAAGTCAATTGCTTTTCTATATACCAGCAGTGAACAACAAGAATTTGAAATTTAAAAATACAATAGCATTTACATTAGTGCTCCAAAAAATGAAATAACTCGGTAGAAATTTAACAAAATATATATAAGATCTATATTAGGAAAAGTAGAAAAGTCTGCTAAAAGAAATCAAAGAACTAAATAAATGAAGAGATAGTTCATGTTCATAGATAGGAAGACTCAATATTGTCAATAAATCAGTTTTTCCAAACTTGATTTATGGGTTCAATGCAACAGCAATAAAGTCTCAGCAGGTTATTCTGCTGATGCTGACAAACTGATTCTAAATTTTATATGGAGAGGCAAAAAATCCAGAATAGTCAGCACAATATTGAAGGATAACAAAGTTTGAGAATTGACACTACCTAATTTCAAGACTTACCATAAAGCCACAGTAACCAAGACAGTGTGGTACTGATGAAATAATAGACACACAGATCAATGGAACAGAATAGGGAGCTCAAAAATAGACCCACATTAATATAGTCAACTGATCTTTGACAAAGACCCACATAAATATAGTCAACTGACATTTGACAAAGGAGCAAACAACTAGACATTCAAATGCAATGCAATTAAAATAAATGTAGACACAGACTCTCTTAGTTCATTTGTGTCACTATAAAGAAATACCTGAGGCTGGGTAATCTAAAAAAAAAAAAAGTTATTTGGCTCATCTTCCTGCAAACTGTACAAGAAGCCTGTCACCAACATCTGCTTCTGATGAGGTCGTCATGGTGGAAGGTAAAGGGAGCCACTTGTCACATGGTGAGAGAGGAAGCAAGGTGTGTGTGTGGGAGTTTCCAGACTCTTTTTAACAATCAGTTCTTTTGGGAACTAAGCATGAGAACATACCCCCTCAAGAATGGGCACCAAGCCATTCATGAGAGATTTGCCCCCATAACCCAAACACCTCTCAGCAGGCACCACATCAAACAATGGGTATCAAATTTAAACATGAGATGTGGCAGAGTCAAACAAACCATATCCAAACCATAGCACAGATTTTAACCCTTCACAAAAATTGACTCAAAATGCATAATAGACCTAAATATAAAATACAAACTATAAAACTCGGATAATAGACCTAAATATAAACTATAAAACTCTTATGAGATAAAATAGAAGAAAACCTAGATAACCTTGGGGTTGGCAATGACTTTGTTGATACAATACCCTAGACACACTCCGTGAAAGAAAGTATTGATAATCTGGACTTCAATAAAATTAATAATTTCTGCTCTGCAAATGACACTGTTAAGGGACTGAGAAGACAAATCATAGACTAGGAAAAAATAATGCAAAATTTATATCAGATAAAACACACCTTTAAAATATACAAAGAACTCTTAAAACTCAATGGAAACAGGATTCAATTAAAAATTGGGCAAATAACTCACTGAAAACCATATAGATGGCAAATAAGTATATAATAAGATGTTCCACATCATATATTATTAGGAAAATACACGTTAAAGCAACAATGAATAGCACTACACACTTATTAGAATGGCTAACGTCCAGAGTACTGAGAACACCAAATTCTTATGAGGATGTAGAGCAACAGGAACTCTCATTCATTACTGGTAAGAATGCAAAATGATATAGCCACTTTGAAAGATAGTTTGGTGGTTTCTTACAAAACTAAATATACTTTTACCATGTGATCCAGCAACCATGCTCCTTGTTATTTACTCAAAGGAGTTGAAAACTTATGCCCACACAGAAACCCACACACAGATGTTTATAGCAGCTTTACTTATAATTGCCCATATTTGGAAGCAACCTGTATGTCATTTAGGAGCTGAATGAATAAACTGTGTTTTATCCAGACAATGGAACATTATTCAGGAATAAAAATGAATAATTTATCAAGAAATGAAAAGACATAGAAGAAAGTTAAATGCACATTTCTATGTGGAAAAAAAGCCAATCTGAAAGACTGCATACTATATAACACTCTGGAAAGGGTAAATCTATGGAGACGGTAAAAATATCAGTGGTTGCTAAGGGTTACTGGGGAAGGAAAGATGAATAGCCAAAGTATAGAGGATCTTTAGTGCACTGAAACTTCTCTTTATGATATAATGGTGAATACGTGTCACTGTAATTTGTCCATACCTACAGAATATGCAAGACCAAGAGTAAACTTTATGTAAACTATGGACTCTGTCTGGAAATGATGTTTTAATGTAGGTTCATCGACTGTAATAAACAAACCACTTGGGTGGTAGATATGACAACAGGGGAGGCTATACATGTGTGGGTGCAGGGGACATGTGGGAAATCTCTGTACCTTCTGCTCCATTTTGCTGTAGACCTGAAACTATCTAGAGAATAACACCTATTAAAAATATAGAACAGAATATCAATGAACTGTGAAAAAATTACAAAAGGGGTAAAATAGATGCAATGAGAAAATGAATAGAAAAGGGAAGAAAAAGGAATAGAAAAAAAAGTGAAAACATCTGAAAACATTCCAAAATTAATGACAGACATGAAACCACAGTTCCAGGAAGCTCACAGAGTGCCAAGCAAGACAAATATAAAAAAGAGAGAAAAATCAAAACCTAGGCATGTAGTATTCAAACTTTAGAAAATCAAAAACAAAGAGAAACTCTTAAAAGAAGCCAGAACAAAATAAAAACCTTACTCGAGAAGAACAAGTATAAAGGTTACATCATACTTCTAGTCAGGAACCATACAAACAAGATGAGAATGGATATTTAAAGTGTTGAAAGAAAAAAAGAACTACCAGTCTAGAAATCTGTATCCAGAGAAATCATATTTCAAAAGTAAAGGAGAAATAGACTTTCTCAAAGAAAAACTGATGAACCAGTACATCTTCCCTGAAATACTTGTTAGGAGAAGTTCTTCAGAGAGAAGCAAAATGATATGTGTTAGAAACTCAGATCCACATAAAGAAAGGAAGAACATCCGAGAAGGAATAAATAAAGATTGTCGGCTGGGCGCGGTGGCTCATGCCTGTAATCCCAGCACTTTGGGAGGCCGAGGCGGGCGGATCACGAGGTCAGGAGATCGAGACCATCCTGTCTAACTAAAAATACAAAAAATACAAAAAATTAGCCGGGCATGGTGGCGGGCGCCTGTAGTCCTAGGTACTCGGGAGGCTGAGGCAGGAGAATGGCGTGAACCCAGGAGGCGGAGCTTGCAGTGAGCCTAGATCGCGCCACTGCAGTCTAGCCTGGGCAACAGGGTGAGACTCCGTCTCAAAAAAAAAAAAAAAAGATTGTCATGGTTTGAATGTTCCCTCTAAAAATCAGGTGTTGCCCACGTAATACTATTAGGAGGTGGAAAATTTAAAAGGTAATTAGGCTATGAGAGGCCCTCCTTTATGAATGCGATGAAGACTTTTATAAAAGAGGTTTACTGCAACATTTAGCTAGCTTGCCTTTATACATGTTGCTGCATTCCTCTCCTCCAGAGGATGCAGCCATCATCAGACAACGGAACCTATTAGTGTCTTAATCTTGAAGCCTCCAGAAGTATGAGAAAGTAAATTTTTATTTTATAAATTACCCACACTGTGGTATTCTTTCATAGCAGCACAAATTGGCTGAGACAGAAATTGGCACCAGAAGTGGGCTGTTAATATAACAAATATCTAAAAATGTGAAAGTGCCTTTGGAACTGGGTAATGGGCAAAGACTGAAACAGTTTTGAAGCAAATACAAACAAAAGTCTGTTTTGCCATAAAAAGAGCATTAAGGGCAATCCTGGTGAGGGCTCAAAAGAAGAGAAGAGCTTTAAAGAAAACCTTAATTTTCTTAGAGATGACTTAAGTTGTGACTGTGGAGATTATTCTGATGAGGTCTCAGATGAAAATGAAGTATATCTTATTGAAAACTGAAGGAAAGGTCAGTCTTATTATAAATTGGCAAATAACCCGGCTGAATTATGTCTGTATCCTAGGGCTTAATGAAAGGCAGAAGTTAAGAGCAACGAAATGTGATATTTGGCAGAAGAACTCTCTACACTCTAAAGTATCCAGGATGCTGCATGGCTTCTCTTTACTCCTTCTAGTAAAATGAAATAAGAGAGACATGATTTAAAGATGAAATTTATAATTTAAAGGGAAGCAAAATGCAAAGATCCAGAAAAGTCTCAGCCTGGCCATGTAAAGAATAAAAATAAACATGTTTAAGAGATAAAACTCAAGTTGTGGTCAGGCAACCATTTGATAAGGAGATTAATATGGGTAAAGAAAATCCAGGTGCTAGTCATCAAGACAATGGGAGAATGATGGTCAAGGCATTTCAGAGGTCTTCACAGCTTCCCCTCCCATCAGAGGCCCAGAGTGCCAGTGACTTGGGGGCAGAATGGTTTTGGAGGATGGGTCTAGGGTTCCTGTTGGACCTTGAGGCTTGCTGCCATGGCTGTCTCAGGTCTCTGCTTCTTGCATTCTGGTGCAGCACTCTTTGGCTACTCTAGCCATAGCTCAAGTGGGCCCAGGTGCAACTCAGGTGCTGCTCTGAAGGGTGCCAGTGGTGAACCTTAGTGGCATCCACGTGGGTTTATCTGCAGGTGCACAGTGTGATATGGTTTGGCTGTGTCCCCACTCAAATCACACCTTGAATTGTAATAATCCCCATGTGTCAAGGGCGGCACCAAGTGGAGATAATTGAATCATGGGGCTGGTTTCCTCTGTACTGTTCTCATGGTAGTGAATAAGTCTCATGAGATCTGATGGTTTTATAAACAGGAGTTCCCCTAAACAAGCTCTCTTGCTTGCCACCATGTAAGTTGTGACTTTGCTCATCATTTGCCTTCCACCATGATTGTGAGGCCACCCCCGCCACACAGAACTGTGAGTCAATTAAAACTCTTTCCTTCATAAATTACCCAGTCTTGGGTACGTTTTTATTAACAGCATGAGAACAGATGAATACAGAGTGCAAGAGCTGTCAAGTTATGGCTTCCTCTACCTAGATTTCCAATAATGTCTCAGACAGCCTCAGGGCCCAGGCAGAGACATGCTGCAGTGGAGGTGCCTCGCAGAGCCTGCACTAGAGCAATGTCTAGTGGAGTTATGGGGTCAGGGCTGCCCCCAAGACCTCAGAACTGTACAGCCACAAACATGCAGCACCAGCCTGGGAAAATCACAGACATGTGACTTTAATGCACGAGAGCTAAGGGGTGTGCTGCACCCAACAAAGCTGTGGGGATGGGACTGCCCAAGTCCTTGGGCATCAACCCCTGCCCCAGTGTGTCCAGGAGGCAAAACATGAAATCAAAGCAGATTATCATTAAGCCTTAAGATTTAATGTTGTTTGCCCTGTTGGATTTTGGATTTACTTGGGACCTGTTACCCTTTCTTCTTTTCTAGTTCTCCCTTTTGGAACGAGAATGTTTGTCCTTTTCCTGCACTAGCACTGTATTTTGGCAACACATAACTTATTTGATTTCACAGGCTCACAGCTGTGGGGAAATTTGTCTGGGGATTAATTGTGCCTTGAATCTCACCCCTATCTGATTTAGGTGATAGCTAGATGAAACTCTGGACATTAGAATTTAAAGTTGTTGCTGGAATTAGTTAAGACTTTTGGGGCTATTGAGATAGAATGAAATGGATATATTTTTTATGTGAGAAAGACTTAAATTTTAGGGGCCAGGGGCAGAATTTCATGGTTTGAGTGTGTCCCCTCCAAAATTCAGTTGTTGCCAATGTGAGTATTAGGAGATGGGCCTTTATGTGGTGTTTAGGCTAGAAGGGCTCCTCCTTCATAAATGAGATTAATGCCCTTATAAAAGAGGCTTCACACAACACTTGGCTCATTTGACCTTCTACTTTCTGCCATTTGAGAACATAGCATTTCTCTTCCCCAGAGGATGGAGTGCTCACCAGACAGTCTAACCTGTAGGTACACTGATCTTGGACTTCCCAGCCTCTAGAACTGTGAGAAAATAATTCCTGTTATTTATAAATTACCCAGTCTATGTTATTCTTTCATAGCAGCACAAATGGACTAAAATAAAGATAAAGTAAAATCTTTTATTTTTAAAATTCTTAATTGATCCAATGGATTTTGTTTATTCAAAGCAATAATAATAATAATAATGTTTTGGTTGATTATAGCATATGAATAAATGAACTGAATGATGATAATGTAAAGAATGAGAGGAAGAATTTGAGAATACTCTGTTATGAGGTATCTGTATTTCAGCTTGAAGTGGTACAGTATTATTTGAATAAATTAGTTGTTAATGTATATTGTAAACTCTAGAGCAACCACTAAAAAAATTTATGATATGCTATTTACAGGCTAAACAAGGAGAGAAAATGAAATCATGTAAAATACTCAATCAAAACCATAGACGACAGAAAAAAATGAGAAGACAAGTAATAAAAAAAAGTGCTGTTATGTTGTTTTTTTAGTTTGTATCCTTTTTTGATGTATGTGGTTATTACTATAAACTTCCCTCTTAGTACTGCTTTCACTTTAACCCATAGGTTTTGGTATGTTGTGTTAAAATCTTCATTTGTTTCAAGAAACTTTAAAATTTCCTCTTAATTTTTTCATTGATCCAGTGGTCATTCAAGAGCATATATAGCGTTGCATATACATATATATATATATGTGTATATATATATATATATATATGACTAATATATATGGCATTTATATATGCAATTGTTGTATCCTCTTGCTAAATTAACTCCTTTATCATTATGTAATGACATTCTCTGTCTCTTTTTACAGTTTTTGTCATGCAATCTGATAAGTATAGCTTATATCAAATAACTATAGCTCTTCCTGCTCTTTTTTGGTTTCCATTTGCATGGAATATCCTTTTTCATCCCTTATTTTCAGTCTATGTGTCTCTTTATAGGTGAAATATGTTACTTATAGGCAACAGATCATTGGGCCTTGTTTTTTTAATCCATTCTACCATTCTCTGTCATTTGATTGGAGAGTTTAGTCTATTTACATTCAGTGTTCTTATTGATAAGTAAGGGCTTACTCTTACCATTTTGTTATTTATTTTCTGGCTGTTTTGTGGTCTTCTCTTCCTTCTTTTATTTCTTTCTGTCTTTCTTTTAGTGAAGGAGATTTTCTCTGGTGGTATGTTTTAATCTCCTGCTTTTTGTGTGTGTGTCTGTTGTACGTTTTTTGATTTGAGGTTTACTATGGAGCTTGCAAATAATATCTTATAATCATTATTTGAAACTGATGACAACTTAACACTGATTGCATAAACTAACAAGCAAAGAGAGAACTAATAAAAACTACATTTTAACTTTGTTCTGCTTTAAAACTTTTTGTGGTTCCTATTTACATCTTATGGTACTATGTCTTGAGAAGTTGTAGTTATTATTTTTTACCAATTCATCTTTTAGTTTTTCTACTTAACATGAGTAGTTTAAAACTCACAGTTACAGTGTTACATTATTTTGTGTTTTTCTGTGTACGTACTATTACCAGTGATTTTGCACCTTCAGATAATTTCTTATTGCTCATAGGTCCTTTTCTTTCAGATTAAAGACCTCTCCTTAGCATTTCTTGTAGGATAGGTCTGGTGTTGATAGAATTCCTTCGCTTTTGTTTTTCTGGGAAAGTATATTTCTTCATGTTTGAAGGATATTTTCACTGAATATACTATTCTAGGATCAAAGGGTTGTTTTCTGTAATAACCAGTGATGATGAGCTTTTTCTTTCGTATGTTTGTTGGTCACATAAGTGTCTTCTTTTGAGATACCATCTCACGCCAGTTAGAATGGCGATCATTAAAAAGTCAGGAAACAACAGATGTTGTAGAGGATGTGGAGAAATAGGAACACTTTTACACTGTTGGTGGGAGTGTAAATTAGTTCAACTGTTGTGGAAGACAGTGTGGCGATTCCTCAAGGATCTAGAACCAGAAATACCATTTGACCCAGCCATCCCATTACTGGGTATATACCCAAAGGATTATAAATCATTCTACTATAAAGACACATGCACACATATGTTTATTGCAGCACTATTCGCAATAGCAAACACTTGGAAACAACCCAAATGCCCATCAATGATAGACTGGATAAAGAAAATGTGGCACATATACACTATGGAATACTATGCAGCCATAAAAAAGAATGAGTTCATGTCCTTTGCAGGGACATGGATGAAGCTGGAAACCATTGTTCTCAGCAAACTAACACAGGAACAGAAAACCAAACACCGCAGTTTCTTACTCATAAGTGGGAGTTGAACAATGATAACACATGGACACCAGGAGGGGAACATCACACACTGGGGCCTGTCAGGGGTGGGGGCCTAGGGAAGGGATAGCATTAGGAGAAATACCTAATGTAGATGATGGGTTGATGAGTGCAGCAAACCACCATGGCATGTGTACATGGAATGTAACAAACCTGCACATTCTGCACATGTATTCCAGAACTTAAAGTATATAAAAAAAGGAAAAGGGTTGTTTTCTTTTCTTTTTAGCACTTTAAATATGTCATGCCACTTTTCCTGGCCTGTAAGTTCTCCAATGAAAAATCGGCTGTAAGATGTATTGGAGCTTCTTTTTATGCTTTTTCCTTTCTCTTTTAGGATTCTTCCTCTATACTTGACTCTTGGGAATTTGATTATTAAATGTCTTGAGGTAGCCTCATTTGAGTTAAATCTGATTGGTGTTCTATAACCTTGCTGTACTTGAATATTCATTTTCTTTCTGTAGGTTTGGGAAGTTCTCCATTATTATCCCTTTGACTAAAACTTTCTACTCCTATCTCTCTCTTTGTGTCTTCTTTAAGGCCAATAACTTTCAGATTTACTCTCTTTTAACTTCTATTTTAGGGTCAGGGGTACATGAGAAGGTTTATTACACAGGTAAACTCATGTCTTGCTGTACAGATTATTTAATCACTCAGGTATTAAGCCCAGTAATCAATAGTTACCTTTCCCACTCCTGTCCCTTCTCCCACCCTCCACCCTCAAGTAGACCCCAGTGTCTGTTGTTTTCCTCTTTGCATTTGTAAGTGATCATTTAGCTCCCACTTATAAATGAGAACATGTTATATTTGATTTTCTGTCCCTGCAACAGTTTGCTAAGGATAATAACCCCCAGCTCCATCCATGTTCCAGCAAAAGATATGATCTCATCCTTTTTTTGTAGTTGCACAGTATTCCATAGTGTACATGTAACCACCTTATCTTTATCTAGTCTACCATGATGGGCATTTAGGTTGATACCACGTCTTTGCTATTGTGAATAGTGCTTCAATGAACGTTCTCATGCATATGTCTTTATGATAGAATGATTTATATTCCTCTGGGTATGTATCCAGTTATGGGATTGTTGAGTTGAACAGTTCTGCTTTTAGCTCTTTGAGAAATCACCATGCTGCCTTCCACAATGGTTGAACTAATTTACACTCCCACCAACAGTATATAAGTGTTCCCGTTTTCTCTGCAACCTTGCTAGCATCTGTTATTTTTTGACTTTTGAATAATAATCATTCTGATTGGTCTGAGATGGTATCTCATTGTGGTTTTGATTTACATTCCTCTGATGATCAGTGATATTGAGTGTTCTCCCATATGCTTGTTGGCTGCCTGTATGCTTTCTTTTGGGAAGTGTCTGTTTATGTCCTTTGCCCACTTTTTAGTAGGATTGTTTGTTTTGCTGTTGTAAATGTGTTTAAGTTCTTTATAGATGCTGGATATTAGACCTTGTCAGATGCATAGTTAGCAAAAATTATCTCCAATTCTGTAGGTTGTCTGTGTAGTCTGTTGATGATTTCTTTTGCTGTTCAGAAGCTCTTCAGTTTAATTAGATCTCACTTGTCATTTTTTGCTTTTGTTGCGATTGCTTTTGGTGTCTTTGTCATAAAATCTTTGCCCGTTTCTATGTCAAGGATAGTATTGCCTAGGTTATCTTCAAGGGTTTTTATAGTTTTAGGTTTTACAGTTAAGTCTTTAATCCATCTTGAGTTGATTTTCATATATGGTGTAAAAAAGGGGTCCAGCTTCAATCTTCTACATATGGCTAGCCAGTTATCCCAACACCTTTTATTGAATAGGGAGTCTTTTCCCCATTGCTTGTTTTTGTCAGCTGTGTCAAAGATCAGATGGTCATAGGTCTGTGGCCTGATTTCTGGGCTCTCCATTCTGTTCCATTGGTCTATGGGTCTATTTTTGTACTAGTACCTTGCTGTTTCGGTTACTGTAGCCCTATAGCATAGTTTGAAAATAGTCTATGGGTCTATTTTTGTACTAGTACCTTGCTGTTTCGGTTACTATAGCCCTATAGCATAGTTTGAAGTTGGGTAACATAATGCCTCCAGCTTTGTTCTTTTTGCTTAGGATTGCCTTGGCTATGTGGGCTCTTTTTTGTTTTTCTAAATTTTTTTAATAGTTTTTTTTCCAGTTCTGTGAAGAATGTTGTTGGTAGTTTGATAGAAATAGCATTGAAACTTTAAATTGCTTTGGACAGTATAGCCTTTTTTTTTTTTTTCTTGAGATGGGGTTTTGCCCTGTCACCAGGCTGGAGTGCAATGGTGCAATCTTGGCTCACTGCAACCTCCGCCTCCCGGGTTCAGATGATTCTCCTGGAGTAACTGGGATTGCAGGCGCCTGCCACCACGCCCAGCTAATTTTTGTATTTTGAATAGAGACAGGGTTTCACCATGTTGGCCAGGCTGGTCTCGAACTGCTGACCTCATGATCTGCCTGCCTCAGCCTCCCAAAGTGCTGGCATTACAGGCATGAGCCACCGCACCCAGCCTAGCCATTTTAATGATATTGATTTTTCCTATTTATGAGCATGGACTGTTTTTTCATTTGTGTCTTCTCTGATTTCTTTGAGCAACGTTTTGTAACTCTCATTGTAGAGATCTTTCACCTCCCTGATTAGCTGTATTCCTAGGTAGTTTATTCTTTTTGTGGCAGTTGCAAATGGGATTGCCTTTCTGATTTGGCTCTCAGTTTGACTGTTGGTGTATAGAAATATTAGTGACTTTTGTACATTGATTTTATATCTGGAAACTTTGCTGAAGTTGTTTATCAGCTGAAGGAGCTTTTGAGCTGAGACTATGGGGTTTGCCGATATAGAATAATGTTGTCTGCAAACAGACAGTTTGACTTCCTCTCTTCCTATTTGGATGCCATTTATTTCTTTCTCTTGCCTGATTGCTCTGGGTAGGACTTCCAATAATATGTTGAATAGAAGTCATGAGAGAGGGCATCCTTGTCTTGTGCTGGTTTTCAAGGAGAATGCTTCTAGCTTTTGCCCATTGAGTATAATGTGGGCTGTGGGTTTGTAAT
Source organism: Homo sapiens (assembly GCF_000001405.40). NCBI lineage: Eukaryota > Metazoa > Chordata > Mammalia > Primates > Hominidae > Homo > Homo sapiens. Next base: position 180,092,184 of record NC_000003.12, read on the forward strand.
AGATGGCTTTTATTATTTGAGGTAAGTTTCCTCAGTACCTAGTTTATTGAGAGAATTTAACATGAAGCAGTGTTAAATTTTATTGAAAGCCTTTTCTGCATCTATTGAGAAAATCATTTGGTATTTGTCCTTAGTTCTCTTTTTATATGATGAATCACATCTATTGATTTGCATATATTGAACCAACCTTGCATCCTGGGGATGAAGCCAACTTGATCATGGCAGATTAACTTTTTAATGTGCTGCTGGATTCAGTTTTCAAGTATTTTTTTATGATTTTTGTATCTGTGTTTATCAAGAATATTGGCCTGAAGTTTTCTTTTTGTTTTTGTGTCTTTACCAAGATTTACTCTTTTGATGCTTTATTCTAGATCTTTTGATGTGTTTCATCATTTTTTATTCTTTTTTTGTCTCCTCTGTGTATTTTCAAATAGCTTGCCTTCAAACTCATTAATTCTTTCTTCTGCTTGATCAATTCTTCTGTGGGAGACTCTGATGTATACTTCAGCATGTCAATTTTATTTTTCAGCTCCAGGATTCCTGCTTGGTTCCTTTTAATTATTTCAATCTCTTTGTTAAATTTACCTGATAGGATTCTGAATTCCTTCTCTGTGTTATAGTATGTTTCATTGCGCTTCCTCAAACAGCTGTTTTGAATTCTGTGTCTGAAAGGTCACATATTGCTGTCTCTCTGGAATTGTTCACTAGTGCTTTATTCAGTTTGTTTGGTGAGGTCATGTTTTCCTGGATAGTCTCAATGCTCACGAATTTTTATTGGTGTCTGGACATTGAAGTGTTAGGTATTCATTTTAGTCTTTGCAGTCTGGGCTTGTTTGTACCCATCATTTCTGGAAAGGCTTTTTAGTTATTCAAAGAAACTTTCGTGTTATGATCTAAGTCTTTGGTCACTGAAGCCATAAGCCATATTAAATTTAGGGGAAGCCCAAGCCCAGTAGCACTGTGGCTACTGAAGATTCAGAGGGGTAGCCTTTTAGTGCTCTTGGGTAAAATTCAGGAAAATTCTCTGGATTACCAGGCAGAGACTCTTATTCTCTTCCTTTACTTTCCCCATCAAAAGTGGAGTCTCTCTGTGCTGAGCTTTCTGGAGCTGGGGGAGGGGTGACATAGATACTTCTGTGGCTACCCCCAATGGCACTGCACTGGGTCAAATCTCAAGCCAACACAGCACTGGGTCTCACCCATGGCCCAAAGTAAACAGTACCTGGCTGCCATCTATGTTCACTCAAGGGCCAAGGGCTCTCCAATCAGCAGGTGGCAAATCCAGACAGAGTTATATCCTTCTTTTCAGGGCAGCAAGCTCCCCCTGGCCCTGGGTGGGTCTGAAGATGCTGTGTGGGATCCAGTGCCTCAATTTGGGAAACTTAGGAATCTACCTTGTGATCTATTCTGCTGTGGCTGAGTTGGCACCCAAGACACAATGCAAAGTCCTTTCCACTCTTCCCTCCCTTTTACACAAACAGAAGAGGTTCTCCTCATGACTACCACCACTTCAGGCCCATGATGAGTACTGCCTGAGTATTGCCAATGTTTACTCAAGGTCCAAGGTCTCTACAGTCAGCTTGTGGTGACTGCTAGGCCTGGGACTCTCTCTTTAGGGAAGTGGGCTCCCCTCTGGCCCAGGGCAGGTCCAGAAATGCTGTTCAACAGCCATGGCTTAGTATCAGGGACCCAAAGTGCCTACTTGGTCCTCTACCCCACTGTGGCTGAGCCGGTACTCAAGCTGAAAGAGAAAGTCCCCTTTATTTTTCCCTCTCCTTTCCTCTAGTGGAAGATGTCTCTCCCCATAGCCACCATAGCTGGGAATGTGCTGCGTCACACCTGAAGCCAGCACAGCTCTGAGTCTTACCCAACGCCTGTGGCAAGTACAGCCTGTCTACCATAGCTGACTGTTTGGGAACTAAAAGCTCTTTAGTCAGCAGGTGATAAATTATGCTAGGACTCTGTTCTTCCCTTCAAGTCAGTGGGCTCCATTTTGGCCCAGGGTGTATTTAGAAAAAAAGTCTTCCAGGATCTAGGGCCTAAAATGCAGGTGTCAGAACTCTACCTGGTACCCTATTCTACTGTGTCTGAGCTGGTATCCAAGTTGTGAAACAAAGTTTTCTTTAGTCTCCCATTCCCTCCCCTCCCCTCCCCTCTCCTCCCCTCCCCTCCCCTCCCCTCTCCTCTCCTCCCCTCTCCTCTCCTCAAGCAGAAGGAAGTAGTCTCTCCTGGAACTGTGAACTGTGCTGTCTGGGGTTGGAAGAGGGGTAACATAAGCACTCCTTTGGCCACCCCGGCAATCACTTGGATGGTTACAACCTTCTTTAAACCTCCTTTTCCAGTCTAGTCCTCATCTAACCTCCACTCTGATGCAGGAGTGGTCTTTGTAAAAAAAAAAAAAAAAAAAAAAAAAAAAAAAAAAATCCCAATCATGCCCCTCTTTGCTAAATTTCTTTGTAACCTTCCATTACCAAAATAGGAATTCCAGAGCTGAATCTTCATCAAAATTACCTGGGGAGCTTAAAATAGACACACACACACACACACACACACACACACACACACACACACACACACACACACACACATACGGTTGCATGACCCCCCAAGTCCACTGGCTCAGAGCCCAGCACAGCACCAGGACCTGCCCAGGAACTGTAGTTCTTATGGCCGAGACTGCACTTCAAGTTTATTTAGGACCACAGAGCACCTTGCCCATAGTGGCAGGGCCTGCTGGAACTCAGGTTCTGACCACTAGGATGCAATTCCCCTCTGGATAGAGCTGATCTAAATGCTCCCTTCATGGGTACCCACTGAGTTCTGCCCGGTGTTACTTTCTCCTGTGACAGGGAAGCACTGAGTTCCAATGCAAAATCCCACAATCACCGTGTTCTCCCTCCCCTGTGTACAGATTCTCTCTCTGTGCCATGCTTCCACGGCCACTGCCGGGGGATGGGGGAGGGGTGGTGCAGGTGATTCAAGACTGTCTTTTCTACCCTATCAGTGCCTCTTTCCTGAATATGATGTTATAACCAGGTACTGTGATCATTCATCTGACTTCTGGTTCTTATGAAAGTACTTTTTTTGTACGGATAGTTGTTCAATTTGGTGTTCATGTGGAGGGGGAGTGGCAATCACTGGAGGTTTCTATTTGGTTATCTCACTCCACCTCCTCCTCTAAGTTTCTTTTGTGTATTATAACCGTTAGGTTGAACTATATGAAATTGTTGATAATGAACTGTTTTCACCTACAAAAATGGCAATTTTCTACAATCCCACCAAATATAGGTAGTTGTCTGTGTGAGATAAGAGGTCAAAGATAAAAGATTACACAGTTTTAATTTTTTTCTTTTGGGTCCTTGAGGTTATTTGATATGGCTGTGAATAATTTTATCTTTGGTACAAAAAGTTTTATTTAAGTGAATTGTTCAACAATGTGCTTTAAAATATCCTAATAAACAAACCCAACATTTACATCACTAAAGGTACAACAAAATTTTAAACACTATGGTGGAGCTGAATTTCATTTAAAATAAAATTCCAATTTTCTAGCTTTTTGTGGATGAGCATTTGAAAGTTTGTACTGTCAATTGTTTTACTCCATAAATATTTGCTACCAAAACAAGTGTTCATTTTGGCCTGTGAGCTATAGAATTATTTTAGAAGGCCCTAGAAACACCAATATAACTTCTTGGTAGCACTGTTAATAAAGGGTGTACTGAGTTGCTCATTCAACATGACACCTACTCTACTTACTGGCTTTAAAGGATCCACAGAGCTGAAAAATTTATTAAACATTCACCAGCAACGATAAGAATTAGACCCTATGCTTTCTGTGCATATGAAAACTTTAAAACTTACCCTCCCCAACCAAATACAAAAAAACACTACTCTGGACATGCTAACCACAAAGCAAAATAATCAACCAAGCTTAAATCTAATCCACAAGGGTTGTTAATTCAGTTTCCTACCTTTCACCCAAATATGCTTCCTCACTCTCTTGCCACTGCTCTAATTTGGGCCTTCATCAACTATTATTTGGATTGTTACAACCTTCTTTAAACTTCGTCTTCCAGTCTAGTCCTCATCTAATCTCCACTCTGATGCAGGAGTGGTCTTTGTTAAAAAAAAAAAAAAAAAAAATCCAATTGTGCCCCTTCTTGCTAAATATCTTTGTGACCTTCCATTACCAAAATAGGAATTCCAGAGCTGAATCTTCATCAAAATCACCTGGGGAGCTTAAAATAGACACACACACACACACGCATGCATGCACACATACGCATGCATGCACACATACGCACACAGATATGTGTGCATATGTGTGTATATATATATGGATATAAACAAATACATGTGTGTATATATTTTTTATTTATCTTGGCTCAACTCTAGGCTTACTAATTCCAAACATTTGCAAAGTAGCTCTATGGAATCTATGTTTTTTTAAAAATAAAAGTGATTCTGATATTCAGTGTATCTGGGAAGCAGATATACTGCCTAGAAGATAAAGTCCAAGCTTCTAGAAAGGCACAACAGAGCCTGTATGATGTGATCATTATGTCCACACCTCCTGGCTTTCTTCCTCATGCTACCTTTTCCCAGTCATACTGACTTGTTTTTCATTCTCTCACCATGCCGTTTTTACTCATGTTTAGCATATGCTCTGTCCTCTGCCTATAGGCCTCTACTCATTTTGCTTCAACTTTGTTTATCTCATAAGCTCTTGCTTATTATTTATGCCTCAGTTCAAATGTTGTCTTCTCTGACTTTTTAAAAAGAAATGTCTCCAGGAAATTTAAAGGATCCTTTTTCATGCTTTCAGGCATTCTTGTTCCCACCTCTGTTGCTATATTCAATGTGATGTAAATATTTATGCCCTCACTTCTCCTCAAATCAGTTCAAAGACTAAAGTCTTTTTTTATTAACAATGCAAGCACCTACTATAACATCATGTGAATGGAGGTGCTCCAATGTTGAATTCAGTGACTGAATGAACAAATATAGTGTTAATGAGCTCTTGCTATTCAAATAGCAAATATACAAAAATTAGAAGATCCAACTCAACTGCTTTACTGTTTATTGATTCAACTAACATGGATGATCACATTCAATGGCCCTTGCATGGTGCTTGGTATTTCCCTCTACAGTATCTTGTTAAATCTTCTTAGTGATCCATGGGAAGGCATAGGATTTATTTATCTGTACTTAACCTTATAGTTGAGGTAAAGACAGAACTCAGACCCGGATCTTCTGTCTTAATTCTGTAAGTTCTTTCTTCACACTCTCATAGCCTTACTTCAGTAAAAATAACAACCATATCAGAGAAAATTCTTTTGGGACTCAGAAGAATGAATTGAGGCCATGTCCCATTACATTCTAGAAGAATATTTTTCAGGATTTATTTTATAAACATTTCAATAAAACATTTGCATGTGAAGCAGGTCTTAATAAACATTCATGTCCTGACCAAACAATTTTCTTCTTCTGTTACGGGAACTTGAGCTATAAAGGCAAGAGGCATGAAAGAATATCAGCAAAGCACTTTATGACAACCATCCTGGTGAGCCAGTAACTCAGAGAAAGGTAATTACAAGAATCATCAGAAAGTGTTCTCAGCCCTAATAAAAGCTTTTCCTTGGGGAAGCTCTTGCTGGTAGTTATTCACACAAATTATTTCTCAGAAGCCCACAGCAGATTGCCTAGACCAATTTTCAATTAAACTTCAGTGCTTTCAAAGTGGTGAAAGAGTGAAAGGCTTTTTTTTTTTTTTTAAGAGAGCAGTTTTCTGCTAACAAATAACTATGTGCCATGGTATGAAATTTAATAGTAGTTGTGGCATTGTATAACAAAAAGTAAACTGCAGTATATGAACTTAACAAATTCTTGGTCTAGATGCTGCTAGCTTATTCTTTCCTAGAGGCGTCAAGCAGTGACAAATCATGAAAAAGGTACTACCTTGGCTCTTGATTCCATGGCAGACTGTAGAGGTATCTAAAGTAAGGCTAATCATCTTAGCAAGAATTATGAGTGAGGTTCTATTACGGTTTTCCCTGCATTTTTGTGTACTAGCATATTATTGGTGGATATTAATGTGAAACTTATTAATAATATCATAGCCAAAGACTCTATAAATATAATTGATATGCCTACTCTATATTTCCATTGCTTATTTTGTATTTTGACCTTTAATGAGAGCTAATATATCACAAAAATATATTGATATGATTATCTCAAAAAGCTATAATTTCCTTGAGGGCAGGGACTGTGATTTAATATTTTTTGTTTTATTAATATTTGAATGAATGAAATAATGGAATATGTATCATCACATTTTCGATCATGAATAATAAACATTTGCTTTTGCCAGCCTGGCATCATTTCCTTCTTCTTCTGGCAATGCCACTTCCATTATCCTATGGAAAATCACTCCTTCCTCACTCTCAATGCACATAGTATGGAAATGGGATGGGGCGGGGTGGGGTGGAAAAATAACTTTAACATTAATCCCAGACATGGCAAAACTATATATTCCCTTCCTTTGGCTCAGTGATTCACAGATAGGCATGTAAGTAAAATTGGTTCAAATGGAGTGAATCTTGGGACTTTTGCTGGGTTCACTGGAAAAGAGTTACTCTCTTTATTTTCAGATTGGCGAAATAATAGAACTAATCATAGAGTGCTTGGTGGTAATAACAGAACCACATGGAAGAAGAATAGTCAAGAATGAAGCCAGTGTAGAAGGATGTCTTAATCAGCTGGGGCTACATAACAAGACACTATAGAATGAGTGGCCCAAATTGCAGAAATTTCTTTCTCACAGTTCTGAAGGCTGGAAAATCTGAGATTAGGGTGCCCATATAGGGTTCAGGAAAGGGTCCACTTCCTGATTGACAGATGGCCACTTTCTTGCTGTATCCTGGCAAAAAGCAGAGAGGGAGAGCAAGCTCTCCTGAGTCTCTTCTTATAAGGGCACTAATTCCATCATAAGGGCTTTACTCCCACAAACTAATTACTTCCCAATGACCTCGTCTTCAAATACCGTCACACTGGGGATTAGGGTTTCAACATATACATTTTGGGGGAACACAAAATGCATACATAGTCTATAACAAAGAGAAGCAAAATTGGAAAAGAGAGACTCTAGATGAATGCAGCTGGGCACCAATACCGGCTCTGCTTTAGGCTTCTCATTTATGTGAGCTAATAATTTCCCAATTACTTGACCAGTTTGACTTGAGTTTGTGTCGTTGACTCCTGTACTGTTTTTACTAAGGTTTAAAAAATCTTTCAGATTAGATTCCAATGACACCCTATGATGCTAGAATAGTCAGCATGGGCTAATTGGCCTCAGCCATTCTCCAACACTCCCGAAATTTGGTATTTATCAAATGAATAAAGAAACAAACAAATGGATAACTAAGTTGATATATAGATAAATAGATGAAGGGATAATCTGCAAAAAGACGTGATTCACAGGCCTGAAAATAATTGATTATTTAGCCAAATGCTCCCGTATCCATCGTCCCGCACGGAGCTTTTGGAGGCCAGGTTATCTTCCTGTGTTCAACATGGCACTGAAATAGTTAATCAGCTTCTTGAACTACTTCAGAGGGTAACAATTCATGGGCCCAGCATATCTTGGTCAACAAGTCAAGTTACGTATTTTACAGGCTAGAGAATGGAAGGTTGACATTTCCCAGGGTTTTTCTCATCTCCACTTTATAGGTTTGAGAAGTAAGTCATTTTTGATGCTGAGTTTCCTCATCGATAAAGGGGAAAGATTTATCTGCTATATGCATAGCAAAGAAAAGAAGATTGAATAAGGCAGAACTTTTGGTGGTAAAGCTTCAGTGGTGGTTTTATTTTTATTATTTTTGTATAAAATAATACTGGAGAACAAAATACTGGAGACTTTGGTGAAGAGCCTCAGGACTTTGCCTGCAAATTAGCTGTATATTCTAGGATACAATTACAAATCGTGGTATTTGTTTCACTACTTGAAAGGACTGGCTGAGGAGACATAATCAAGAGCTGAGGGAAGAAAATACAAGTCAGTTTAAATGCGACAAGGGATTTTGGGTCAGTGAAGTCAATCAATCTTGCTTAGAGACGTAATCAATAGACGAGCCACAAGAAAAGGGAGGAAGATCTCTACATCGGTCAGCATAAATTTAGAAAACATTATATAATTTTAGAATTTAGAGCTACAAACATAGTCGGCTCCATTGGAATGTACCCAAAACAGGATTTGAATCTCACTCTTCTTATAACCCCCCATCACCTCCACCTTTTGGAAATTGAGAAAGACATAAAACCTTGGTTTTTGTAACATGGAAATAAAAATAATTTTTGCATCTTATCATTGCTTAGTTGTTAAAATAAATTATATGATGAACATTGTTATGGTTAGCGTTAACTTAATTTAGTATCTAACATGGGCCAAGCACTGTCCTAAGTGGCCAGTGGATGGTCTCATTAAGTTCTCAGGAAAACCCAATGAAGTAGGGGTACTATTATTTATATTTTACAGGTAAGAAAAATAGAGTGGGCATGGGGTGTCACACAGTTCATGCACTTTGCCTAAGTTGCACAGCTAGGAAGTGACAAAACAGGTTTTTCACTGAAGTAGTCTACTCTAGAATTCTGCCAGGATTTTAAGTTTCTCTGTATTGGTTTTCTCTCAGAACAGATAGCAAAAACTTAATATATGTATATAAGTTGACATCAAACCATGCGCACATTGACACTGTGGAAGATGAATGGGGTTACCCAAATGGGAATAAAATATAGCAGAGAGGTGACTTGTCCATGGCTTCATTTTCACAAATGTAGTGTTAATTCAAGATCTAGGTGCCTTGCTCTAGATCTAATGCTGGGTCTATTTTTTTTCCTCTATCCATGCTGGCTTCTTTCCCTATCTAAAATAGTAGCTCCCTTATCTCCTGCCTCTACAGTTTGAAGCAGAATGGTGAATGAATTTATGCAGCAGCATCTATGTAACATTCTCCAAGTTTCTTAAATTGTGATGCCTGCAGCAGGCACCACCTTAAATCATCAATTTACTGAGATTTTGTCACATCCAGTAAGAAGAGCCTGAACTTTGGGCACTGACTTCCTGCCTACATGGACTCTGGTTCATACGATGCCTTTCCTACTGCATAAATATTTAAAAGATGGCCTAGATAATCTTTTGTTGTATAACTTCTCGAGGTCCTGAAGTCTTTAAACTATTAAAGAGAAGATTAAGAAGACAGAGGCAACCTTTACCAGATATTAAAACATAAAATAATAATACTTAAACTAGTATGGTAGGGCATAGGAATAGACAGATCAATGGAACAGAACTTGAAGCCCAGGTACAAATACAGCAAATAATCTAGTATGTCGTAAAGGTACTTAAATCCATAGGGAAAAGATGACTTACTCAATAAATACTTTCAGGGGAAATAAGTAGCCATGTAAGACAATAAAATTGAAATCGTATCCTAAGTCTCATGCCTAGATAAATTCCAAAAATACCAAAATTTTAAATGTAAAAATTTAAGGAAGGGCCAAGATGGCTGATTAGAAGCAGCTGCAGTCCATGGCACTTACAGAGAGGAATGAAAGGAGCCAGTGAATTCAGCACCTTCAACTGAAATATCCAAGTTCTTGCATTGGGAATGATTAGGCAAATAACTCAACCCGTGGAGAATGAAGAAAAGCAGGGTGGGGCAATGGCCCACCTGAGAGCTACATAAAGTGAAAGCAACCCCCACACCGAGCCAAGGGAAGCAGTGAGTGATTGTGCGACCCTGCCCAAGAAACCAGGCATCTCCCACAGATCTTTGCAGCCCACGGATCAGGACATCCCCTTGTGAGCCCACGCCACCAGGGCCTTCGGTCCCATACACGGAACTGTGTGGAGTCTTGGCAGAGCAGCCACTTAGGCACACATAGAGACCGAGGAGTTTTACATACTCCGGCTCTGGGATCTGCGGCAAGGTGGGAGATCCATGCGTACATATCTCTAGGAAGGGGGCTGAATCCGGGGAGCCAAAGAGCATCGTTCTGCAGGTCCCACTTCCATGACACCTCACGGGTTAAGACCCACTAACTTGGAATTTCAGGCAGCCAAAGTCAACAGGCTGGAGTCTGCCGAGTCAGGACTAAATTCCTGAGGGGAGGGGCGGTTGCTATATCTGCAGGTTGGTAGACTGAGCCATTCCAGCCTGCCTGCCGGCTTTGAAGAATACAGATGATCTGGAATAAGAAGGGTCCCCGACAACATAATCCAGCTGCGTTGCCAGATTGCAGACAGGCTGCTTCTTTAAGTGGGACCCTGATCCATTCCTCTTCACTGGGCAGGACCTCCTTGTGGGGGCTTCAGCCACTCTAGCCAGGGTTCTACGGACAGAGCCCTGATCTCTTCCTGGGATGAAGCTCCTGGAGGGAGGGGTGACCACCATACCACTTGTTTGGTAGACTCAGCTGTTCCAGCCTGCAGGCTTTGGAGAACACAAATGGTTCAGATGAGGAAGGGTCGGTCCCCTACATTGCAGCACAACTGCTCTTCAAAAAAGCAGCCAGACTGATTCTTTAAGCAGGTCCCTGATCTCATTTCTGCTGATTGGGCAATACCTCCCAATAGGGCTCTCCAGCCACCTCTTATAGGTGCACTTGGGCTGGCAGCAGGTTGGTGGCTCCATGAGACAGAGCTTCCAGAGGAAGGAGTGGGCTACTATCTTTGCTGTTTCACAGACTTCACTGGTGATACTTCCAAGTACAGGAAAACCCAATGCAACTAGGGTCTGGAGCAGACCCCCAGCACACTGCAGCAACCCTACAGAAGAGTGGCCTGACTGTTAAAGAAAAACAAACAAGTAAACAGAAAACAACATCAAAAAAACCCCATTAAAAGCCCCATTCAAAGGTCAGCAACCTCAAAGATCAAATGTAGATAAGCCCACAAAAATGAGAAAGAATCAATGCAAAAACACTTAAAATTCAAATAGCCAGAGTGCCTCTTTTCTTCCAAATGACCACAACACCTCTTCAGCAAGGGCACAGAACTGAGATAAGGCTGAGATGGATAAATTGACAGAAGTAGGCTTCAGAAGGTGGGTGATAATGAACTTTGCTGAGCTAAAGGAGCATGTTGTAACCCAATGCAAAGCAGCTAAGAATCATGATAAAACAGTACAGGAGCTGATAGCCAGAATAACCAGTTTAGAAAGGAAAATAACCAACCTGATGGAGCTGAAAAATACAACATGAAAACCTCACAATGCAGTCACAAGTATCAATAGCAGAATAGACCAAGTGAAGGAAATAATCTCAGAGCTTGAAGAATATCTTTCTGAAATAAGACAGGCAGATAAGAATAGAGAAAAAAGAATAAAAAGGAATGAAGAAAAACTTAGAAAAATATGGAATTATATAAAGAGACCAAACCTACGACTGATTGGGGTATCTGAACAAGATGGGGAGAATGGAACCAAGATGGAAAACATACTTCAGGATATCATCCAGGAGAACTAAAGACAAAAACCATGTGATTATCTCAGTGGATGCAGAAAAGGCCTTCGATAAAGTTCAACATCCCTTCATGTTAAAAACTCTCAACAAACTAGGTATTGAAGGAACAATAAGAATCATCTATGACAAACCCACAGCCAATATCATACTGAATGGGCAAAAGCTGGAAGCATTCCCCTTGAAACCTGGCACAAGACAAGGATGCCCTCTCTCACCACTCCTATTCAACATAGTATTGGAAGTTCTGGCCAGGGTAATCAGGTAAGAGAGAGCAAGAAAGAGTATTCAAATAGGAAGAGAGGAAGCCAAATTATCTTTGTTTGCAGATGACATGATCCTATATCTAGAAAATCCCACTGTCTCAGCCCTAAAGCTTCTTAAACTGATATGTAACTTCAGCAAAGTCTCAGGATACAAAATCAATGTGCAAATATTGTTAGCATTCCTACATACCAACAACTTGCAAGCAGAGAGCCAAATCATGAATGAACTCCCCCCATTCACAATTGCTACAAAAAGAATAAAATACCTAGAAATACAGCTAACAAGGGATGTGAATAACCTCTTCAAGGAGAACTACAAACCACTGCTCAAAGAAATCAGAGAAGACGCAAACAAATGGAAAAACATTTCATGCTCATGGATAGGAAGAACCAGTATTGTGAAAATGGCCATACTGCCCATAGTAATTTATAGATTCAATGCTATTCCTATCAAACTACCATTGACATTCTTCACAGAGTTAGAAAAAAACTATTTTAAAATTCATATGGAACCAAAAAAGAGCCTGTATAGCCAAGACAATCCTAAGCAAAAAAGAACAAAGCTGGAAGCATCACACTACCTGATTTCCAACTATACTACAAGGCTACAGTAGTCAAAATAGCATGGTACTGGTACCAGAACAGACAAATAGACCAATGGAATAGAATAGAGAACTCAGAAATAAGACTGCACATCTACACTCATCTATTCTTGGGCAAACCTGACAAAAACAAGCACTGAAGAAAAGATTCCCTATTTAATAAATGGTGCTGGGAGAACTGGCTAGCCATATGCAGAAAATTGAAACTGGACCCCTTCTTTACACTATATACTAAAATCAACTCAGGATGGATTAAAGACAAAAATTAACTCAAGATGGATTAAAGACTTAAATGTAAAACCCCAAACTATAAAAACTAGAAGAAAATCTAGGCAATACTGTTCAGGACATAGGCATGGGCAAAGATATCATGATGAAAATGCCGAAAGCAATTGCAACCAAAGCACAAATTGATAAATGGGATCTAATTAAACTAAAGAGCTTCTGCACAGTAAAATAAACTATCATCAGAATGAACGGACAATCTACAGAATGGGAGATAATTTTTCTGATCTTTTTATCTGACAAAGGCCTAATATCCAGAGTCTCCAAGGATCTTAAATGAACTTACAAGAAGAAAACAAACCACCCCATTAAAAAGTGGGCAAAGGACATAAACAAACACTTCTCAAAACAAGACATACATGCAACCAACATATGAAAAAAAGCTCAACATCACTGATCATTAGAGAAATGCAAATCAAAATCACAATGAGATACCATCTCACACTAGTCAGAATGGCTATTATTAAAAAGTAAAAAACAATAGATTCTGGTGAGGTTGCAGAGAAAAAGGAATGCTTTCACACTGATGGTAGAAGTGTAAATTCATTCAACCACTGTGAAAAACAGTATGGCGATTCCTCAAAGACCTAGAGGTAGAAACACCATTTGACCCAGCAATCCCATTACTAGGTGTATACTCAAAGGAATAGAAATCTTTCTATTATAAAGATTCATGCATACATATGTTCATTGCAGCACTATTCACAATAGCAAAGACATGGAATCAACATAAATGCCCACCAATGATAGACTGGATAAAGAAAAAGTGGTACATACACACCATGGATTACTATGAAGCCATAAAAAGGAATGAGATCATGTCCTTTGCAGGGACATGGATGGAATTGGAAGCCATTATCCTCAGCAAACTAATGCAAGGACAGACAACCAAACACTGCCTGTTCTCACATATAAGTTGGATCCAAATGATGAGAACACATGGACACATGAGGAGAAAAAACTCACACTGGGGTTGTTGGAAGGGGTCCCAACAGGAAGCATCAGGAAGAATAGTATGGATTCTGGGCTTAATACCTAGGTGGCGGGATGATCTGTGCAGGAAACCACCACGGCACACATTTACCCATGTAACAAACCTGCACATCCTGGACAAGTACCCCTGAACTTAAAATGAAAGTTGAAGATAATTTTTTTAAAAATTTAAATGTTTAAGACGAGGAGAATGATCAAATAATCCAAGATTGGGGAAGGCCTTTCTAGCTATGACATAAAACTCAAAAACCACAAAGATAAAGATTGATAAATTTACTTTCATCTATGTTTTAAATTGCAAAGATTGAACATATTCTAAGACAAATGACAAAATATGTAATAGGAAGATATTTGCAACTAAAGTAACAAATAAAGAGCCAGTTTTCCTAAAATATAAAACACTTCCACAAATTAATTAAAAAAAGAAGGACACTAACCCAATTGGAATAAACAGACAAAGAATATGAATTGGGAGGTCACAAAAAGGGAAATATAAATAATACTTTAATATAAAAGTGTTTGTCATCATTTACATGGTATTTATATTACATTTATATTATATGACAGATTTTTCACTTAGCAAAGAACAAAATTTTGATGATGCACTGTGATGGTGAGAATGTGGGGAAACAGATACTGTCATTACATTGATGGTGTAAGTGTAAATTATCCTATGGAGGACAGCTTGGCAATATCCATCAAAATTACAAATGACATATATCCTTTGATCCAACAATTCCACTTGTAGGAATGTATCCTATACATGAGGGAATTGATATGGAGTTATCTATCTATCATCTATCCTCTATCTATCGTAGTACTTTCATATGGTTAAAAATACAAAATATAAAAATGGTCAAGAGTGAAAAGGCTCCTTCCCTTCCATGTTCTCTGGCCACTCAGTTCCTTTCCCTATATTCAGTTCTCGTGTATTTTAACAAAAGCTGTCCATGTTATCTGACAGATATGAAGCTCTCAGTAAAGGCCATGACTTCAGTTCATTTTGTCGCCCAGATAGTTTGATCTCCAAAATTGTCAGATGTCATATTATATATATAGTATATATATATATAAACTCCAATATATACTTAAGTGAAAAAAGCAAGGTGCAAGACAGGATATATGGGTATACCATCATATATAAAATATATTTAGAAAAACACATGAGAACTGAATATAGGGAAAGTTCTATACTGGCCAGAGAACATGGATGGAAAGGAAGCTTATCACACTTGACCATTTTTATATTTTGTATTTTTAACCATATGAAAGTGCTACCTTATCAACAAATAAAATGTAAAATAAAAAAATAAGCATTAATCCTCCATATATATGGCTACATTTAAAAATAGATTTTATATGAGTTTATGATTGATAAAACGTGTTAAGGGGAGTGCTGAAATAATTTTAGAATAAATATGTTTTTCAGCAATGTTATTCGATAAGCACAGACCTCACCTTCTTTTTATCCTCTTAAATTCCTATTTAAGAGGTAAAAAAAGTACACAAATGAATTTTTTTAGCTGCCTCAGAAACCAAGGCTAAATATCACTATTTAGCCTTGAATAGGCATTTGAAAAACATCTATAAGGTAAAATAGTGATTCGATTGATGGGAAAAGGTGGGAGATCTATGGTCTTGTTCCTGGTAGCCAAACAGGAAAAAGCCCCATCTACATGGCACAGCTTTCTAAGAGACAAAGGTTTTCTGACCTGTATATGGAGAGCAAGGACAATCTGAGGGATTCTTTAGTGGTGTCTCTTTGGCTTCCCCTCATGTTATAGATTGGCTGCAATAAAAGTACCTGGAAGGACCCCAACCTGGATCCAAGCAACAACTGTCACTTAACAGAGTTCCAGTTCAGTGAGGGGCCTTTCCTCAGGGATGCTGTCCGTGTTATCTTACAGATATGAAGCTCCGAGTAAAGGCCATGACTTTGGTTCATTTTACTGCCCAGATAGTTTGATCTCCAAAATGGTCAGATGTCAATATTTACATATTTTTAAATGTTATGCCACTGATCTGAAAGCAAAGCCCTCTTTGGAATTTTTGAGTTAAATTTAACTCTGATTTGACTTCAGGATCACTATGGACAGACACAAAACTTCCTCCTTATGGATTAGTAAACAAGGAAAATCATAGAACTTATAAAAAACTCTGTGGCTTGAGATACCGTGAAGACTTACAGGAAGACTTATAGGAGTTGACTCCCTCTGCAATAATAAAAGTAGTATATGTGGCCATTTATCTGACTGCTCTTAGCTTCATCTTGCCCTTTCAAGCTTTGCTATATATTACAGGGAAATGGAAGTCTGAAAGCTACCTTTCACAGACTCCCTTACTAGCATGGTTCTTCTGGGTAGGGTCTATCAGTGAAAAGCACTGTTGGAAATTAGACTGAAAGGCATGAGGAAGAGAGAAGTAATCTTTCTTCCTATTTTAGGTTTTTGGTGGCTTCTCCAGCAGTGACAGCTGCACAGGAAAAATGCAGGCTCCTGGGTTCTTCAGATGTAGTTTCAGCAGCAGTGCAACGTGAGTGCTCTATCATCCCCATCAACATAGTGCTCAGGTGCTCTGGCTCCGGCAGCAGCTGTATTAGAAGTATTTGAGATCCTGCAGCATCAGTGGAAATGTGAGTTCCAGGCTTCTGCCATAGAAGCAGCAACAGTGGTGATAATGGTGGTAGCAGATGCTCCTGTAGCCTTAGTGATGAAGTTATTGTGGGCACTATATACTCTTTCCCCATTTGTCCTTTAGCTTAAGTGGGCAGTGGCTTCCTGAGTTACTAATAATATCCTCCTTT
The DNA here is from genome assembly GCF_000001405.40 of Homo sapiens. Taxonomy (NCBI): domain Eukaryota; kingdom Metazoa; phylum Chordata; class Mammalia; order Primates; family Hominidae; genus Homo; species Homo sapiens. The sequence goes on from NC_000003.12 coordinate 180,108,650, forward strand.
TTAAAAAAATTATTTAACCCTACTATCGTTTTTGTAACCAATGTCCTATATTACATTTCCATTGATTGAAAACCTAGCATAATTTCTTTTCCTTACTGACTGACATACAAAGCAGATTAATATTTAGGAGATTCATAATTTTTGGATTCAAGGAGATTGAAGATGTAAGAGAATGTACTTTTTTCAAATCAGTTTGGGATACCACAGAAAAGCAACCATGTAAAATAAAGAAGTGCTATGTGGAGATGAAAAATAATATTGCTATATTTTAAAGCACCATGAAAACTCAGCAGAAGAGCAAAATAAGGCACTAACTCATTACTCTGAAAACTGATCAAAAAGGTAAAGGATCAAGCATTTATTTTCCCTTTCCTGTATTTCAGGGTATTTCCGGTATTTCAGGGTAACCAAATAGCTATTGAAGGAATATTATTCTTTAATAAAATTATCATAGCTAATATATGCAGGACAAATGACAGAATTAGAAAATTGCAATTTTGCTATACCAATGGAATAATGGATCTAGGTTACAATCATCAGTGGCTGCTAACACCATTAAGTGAATGGTTAATGGAAAATTATAATGGACAGATCCCAGTTGACCACCTGAGCCCCCTAATTAATCTTAATATCACCAAAAGTAGACCAGATATTATGTGCACATAATGTAAAGCCACAGAAATTATACAGCACCTCTTATAAAATATTCCTGAAAAAAGACTTTATCTAATTAAGCCTGCAAGTATAACTACTAATTCAAAGAAAAAAGAGAGACAGGAGAATATGCTAATTTACACAAAAAGAAAAATAAGCAAAATCCAGAATGTGGGAAGTTTTAATTGTTCCCCAAAATAAATGATATTGGAAGGAAATGGGGAGAACACACTAATAATCATTAAAACAGCAATCAATCATTGTAAAGTGTGGCCCTTATCAACAGGAAAAAGGTAGTTCTTGGGAGAACTACGGCAAATTAGACACAGACAAGTCATTAGATGATATTAAACAATTATTGTTAATTGTGTTGGGTGTGATAATGTTGTTTTGTGTGTGTTTTAAGAAAAATCCCTTTTTCATAGGTATGAAGTCTTTATAGGAGAAATAATATAATGCATGAATTTGCTTTAAAATGCCCTAGTATCTCCTTTCTATTAAAAGAAGAAAAAAAGAGTTTTGTAATGGGTAGAGATTAAACAAGAACAGCGGACTGGTTATAACTGTTGTAGTTGCGTGGACTAAATATGAGAACTCATTTTATTATTTTTTTGTATGACATTTCTTCTAATGAACAATTTAAAATAATTTTGTTTACAAAATGCTTTTACGTCTCATGTTTTTTGTTTGTAATTTTAACAGCTAATTCCCATACTTATAAAATATTTAAAACCATAGCAAATATTAGGATGTGTTATCCCAATTAGTTTGAGTTTCAAGTTTATGCTGAGAAGCACTGCACTGCTCTAACTGTACATCAGGATAGATAATTCATAAAGACAATGTTTAAAAGACATCCCTGCTTTAAAACAAGATAAATACTTCAATTGACCAGAAGTGGAATGTAACACGGAGTAATGTGAGAGGGGCTGAGGCTGCAGGCCTTTTGGAGTTTTGGTTGTTTACACTAGAAACACAAAGAAAAATATTTGTTTACCAGCCTGTCACCATTATAAGACAGCGAGCTGCTTAAAGATGGAGGCCATCTGTCTTCATTTTAATATGTCTTGAAAAGTGCCTAGAACATATTAGGAAATAATTCAGTAAATAATGAGCAAACAAAAAGCTCAAAGAAAAGGATGCAAGGGTCAAACAAAATGCAAGCCTAAATTTGCACAAGCACTAAATGGATATGTGTTATTATTCTTCTGTTAATAGAACAGTGAAAAAAATCCTCTCTGTAGGACTCAAGAGCTCCTAGACAATGATTTTTTGTTTTTGTTTTTGTTTTTGCTTCTCATAGGAAGAAGACTGATAGAAGACTGTGGCCATGATTTACTGCCTGAAGCAAAGTACTGCCAGCCAAGGTACCCCTTTGAAAAAGAAAGATGGCAAATCTGCAATGGGAAAGAAGAATGCGTAACAGTCACAGATCTCTGCTTAAAACCTCTTTGTTTAGAAATCCTGCTTGCTTTTTTTTTTTTATTATACTAAGTTTTAGGGTACATGTGCACATTGTGCAGGTTAGTTACATATGTATACATGTGCCATGCTGGTGCGCTGCACCCACTAACTCGTCATCTAGCATTAGGTATATCTCCCGATGCTATCCCTCCCCCCTCCCCCCACCCCACAACAGTCCCCAGAGTGTGATATTCCCCTTCCTGTGTCCATGTGATCTCATTGTTCAGTTCCCACCTATGAGTGAGAATATGCGGTGTTTGGTTTTTTGTTCTTGTGATAGTCTACTGAGAATGATGATTTCCAATGTCATCCATGTCCTAAAAAAAAAAAAAAAAAAAAAAAAAAAAAAGAAATCCTGCTTGCTCCTTGTGGTGATAGACATATATATGTATGTGTATATGCAAATAAATCAGAGGGAAATGCATCCTTTACATCACAAATAAAGTGAAAATGAATATTATTGGACCTGGACCACAATTTCTGCCCCAGTCAAGGTATAAAATAAATCAACGTTACCCCACTCTTTTACCTGGAACTGTCCCAGTTTTTCTCTTAGGGGCTTGTCTGGATGTTGATGGCCGTGTCCTATGCATGTTTCTTTTACTAACACCAGCTGTATATTTTCCAGGATCATGCTGTTTGGACTATCAGACAGGAATTGAGGAGAGAGCTACAATCATTGTGGAAAATATTCGGATAGTGCTTACATGATACATGACCAATAATAAAGAAAGCAAAATTCTCTCTGTCTCATTTTTTAATCATAAAAGCCACATTATGGTTTATCCAGACAGAAGATGCAGGCTTGTAATGGTAGGCCCTAGGAAACCACCTCAAAATGAAATGCTGACCTGCCTATATGTTACAAATCTGGGTGAGATTTGGCCTTTACCCATCACATAAATGCTCAGTTGCTGAATGATATGCAAGACAAGTCATTATTTCCTAAAAGGAACTCTTCCAACTTATATTGAGAGAAGAATTATGGCCTTTTGCATTTGTTGCTCATTTTAATTAATAAAAAATAAAATACTAACATCCACACTTATGGCATCACTTCATTTATATAAAATGCCTTAGCTAAGTATTGAAAGCTAAGTTCTAGTGTAAATTCTGACTGGCCAGTTGTGTGATTTCAGGAAAGTCACCTGACACTTTGAGCCTAAGTTTTCATACTTCTAAAACGAGGGGGTTGGGCCAAGGCTCAGTTGGGTGGTCTTTAAAGTTTTTTTTTTTTAGCTCTGTCATGTGAATTTAGGCTCTATAATGTATGTGAGTAAATTATATAAGGATTTGAAATGGCACATAGACATGCAGAGAAATCAATGAATAATAATTTTGAGAATTTGGAGTACCTACTATTATGTGAAATGATACAGCAAGAGAGAGAAAGAAAAAGAAACAAAGAGTGTTCTTTGCTTTTTGTTTTCACTGAAGTTCATTAAATGGTCCAATTTAAGAGCTATGAAAGATAGAAAATGAATTAAAATTTTAAGTATTGTGTATGAACAAGATCTTCTAAGATATAAAGTTACCCAACTTTTAATTGTAAAGGTCATTTACCAGTATGAACTTCTCTGAACAATAATAACCACATTACTACTCATTTATATATTTGTAATTAGTTGCTACTCTTTCTTTAGAGGGTTGGCAGGCACTTTGGTTTGTCAGCCACCAAAATTAATTGTAATCATATGTGATTATTTGTATGCATATGTGTGTGTGCATGTGTTTTTAATCCTCCTGTTACAAGTCAGCAGTCAGGAACACAAACTACACAAATCCAGATACTGTTGCTAATACATAGCCTCAAGAGATTGGCATCAGAATTCCTAGAGTCTGCAGATATGGTCCTTAGATATGAATAAATGACACTCATTTATAACCTGCTACCTCCTTTTGGCACATCATAATTTTATCTTCAAAGTCTTGTGACATGACTTACTCTGTTTTCAGTCCCTGCAAAGTTGTGTAGTTAAAGTGGGAGTGGTATCAGCAAAAAGTGAGAGAGGGTGATTGATATGGTATGTAATTACTTTAGGTATAAAGACTTTGGCATGTTGTTTACGAGAAAATCTATCTTGTTAGAAAGTCACCAAATGATGTATTGGAGGGATAGGATATTTGTTTAAATTGCTATTTAAAATTTCGTTTTACTATAGATAGAGAATCACACAAAAAAATTGCAGTGTAACTTTTTAAAAATTTAGGAATAAGAGGCAGTGTGGTATAGTGTTGAGAACGCTGGGCTGAGAATCAGAACTTTTACCTATTTTGTGCTTCCTCACTTCAAGCTGTGTGAGCTTGGGCAAACCTTTCTACCTCTCTGAGCTTTGTTTTTCTCATCTGTAAGTTGAGGGTAATATGACTGGATTTGTCTACCCCACAGGGATATTAGGGGCTCCAATAAGATATAGGACATGAGAACACGTTTGCTTGTGGTAAAGCAAATAACTGATACAAAGGATTCTTTCTCATTATTATCAAGAAACGTATGTTATTGATAGTTCCTATCATCACAGCCACGGAAGTGTTTAGAAAAGCCAAATTCCCTTGTTCTAATGTCTGTTCATGAAATGTGAACTCTAACTTCACAAGTCACACAATTCCCCTGGATTCTACATACAATTCCTCCATGTTTTCTAAATATTTTAAAGAGAATGGCTTAAATACACTATAGTTCTTCTCCTGATTCAAAAGTATTTGGATGATTTTAAAGACCTGCTTTACCCAACTACTGAAAATACCTTTCATCTTGAAGACCAACGGAATGTGCGTCCAGTTTGTTAGTCTTAAAATGTATATGTGGGCCAGGCGCGGTGGTTCACGCCTGTAATCCCAGCACTTTGGGAGGCCGAGGTGGGCAGATCACAAAGTCAGGAGATTGAGACCATCCTGGCCAATATGGTGAAACCTTGTCTCTACAAAAAATACAAAAATTAGCTGGGTGTGGTGGCACATGCCTATAATCCCAGCTACTTGGGAGGCTGAGGCAGAACTGCTTGAACCAGGGAGTCGGAGGTTGCAGTGAGCAGAGATCGCACCACAGCACTCCAGCCTGGTGACAGAGCGAGACTCCATCTCAAAAAAATAAAAAAATGTATATGTGGCTTTATGTGTTCAAAACTGATGCCAAACCTCACCTCACAGATATTCTCTGCTTGTACTATCAGAATCCCATTTACCTTCATTGAAATCACTTCAAGATGTTGCTTTCTTATGGCTTCCATTCACTCTGCCAACAACGCAACAGCCAAAGCAACAAGCATGAGAGCCTCCATGCATTGACCTCTGACCTATGGGATGCTTACATATTTTACTTCATTTCTTTCTTATGACTATCCAACAATGCTGATGTTAGTTTCTCATTTTACAGAAAAGAAAACTGTGGCTTATAAAGGGTAAGTAACTTCCTGAAGGATACATAGTAAACAGTGGAACTAAGAATTGAATTCAGAGACACTTAACAGCAAAGTCTGTGTGGGCTCAACAACCAGAATATCTCCTGCTCCCCTGTCCTATTTCTTTCTTCCTACAGGTATGGATTTTATTAAACCCTGAGTATCTGGCTTCCTCTGGTGATATACTCAACATTTTCAAAACAGCCCAAATACACATAATGACAATTTTTGCCTGTCAGCATTTCAGCATTTTTTTTTAATTCTGAGAGGATCCTATCAAATTTGGTAAGCTTGATATGTTCTGTAAACCCCTGCTGCCTCTTTTAATGTAATCATTGCTTCCTGGAGGCTGGTTCCTAGGGACAAAGCTTCCTCTTCCATAACTTTTCAGTGAAGGATTTACTATGTGGTGGGATTAAGTGCAGTGCGTTTCACAGCTTTGCCACCTCAAATGACATTTCTCAGTCAGCACAGTAGGTTTCCCATATGTATTGCCACAAATAGTAATTCTTCCTCAGAGTTCAGGAAGATTTGCGGAAACAAGTATTTCCAAATTAAATCTTATTCGCAGTTTCTGCTCAGCATAAACCAGCCTAACTTGATGAGTGCCTTTGACATGTTGGGGAATAATTAAATTTAATTTTCATTTACAGGATAGAAATGAAGAACATTTCTGCAGCCCTGCAGTAGCTGACACGATTGCCTTCGAGCTCTCAAAACAGAAGGGAAATAGAATTCCAAGAGAATAGTGCATTCTTCAAAGTTCTAGGACAAAACATTCTAGCCTAATACAATCTCTGCTGATACGGCAGCTTTTTATTCTAGCCCTTAAGAATGTAAGCGGGAAATACACGTGATGGATTTTTTTTCTTTTGAAAAGATATTAATAGAAAGGTAATTTGACCTATTTAGCATCAAAATGTTCTTCAAAAATTCATTGGCTCTAAAAAGGCAGGCCTGAGAAGAAAGCTATTACATCGTATCTTCCAAATGGTCAGCAAGCTGCTGGAATGGAGTGGGTTCTTAATTAGTGGACTCTTCAATGTTACTAATAAAAACTAAGACAATAGCCTTAATGTATTGAGAATATCTTATGAATCAGAGTTTGTGTTAAAATGTTTCTAAACCTCCAAGTAACCCTATCAGACAGCCTTCTTATACCTATTTACATCTGAGGAATCTGAGCCTTACAGCAGTGAAGCAATTTTCCTGATGTCTCCCAGCCAGTAAATAACCAAACTGGGCATAGAGTCTAGAGTCCTGGTAGCTCCAAAGCCTGTGCCCCTTCTAATGCAATGTATCATAAGTAAGAGTACAATTTCAAAAAGCAGACATGTGCTTTTAAACTCATGCATTGCCACTTTGTGGCTGTGTAAATTCAACATTTCTGAAGCTCAGATTCCTCATGTATAAAACAATAATAAACATATAGGAAGGCCATCGTGGGGATTCAATGAGTGAATACACAGAGAGTCCTTAACTCTCTGCATGGCCCATCACAGTACTTAGTAAGTTTCAGCTGTTTTACCTTGCCAAGTAGACCCTCTTTATGGAGGTTAAGGCATGGAGAGTTGGGCAGTCAAGAAAACTACCACTGTAATACATGATTGAATTGGCTTAGAGACAGTAAACAGATTCATTGATAACTTAAAAGAAAGGGGGTTAAAAGGAGCTATGACCCACAAATCAAACCTTGTTGCCATATGCTATTCAATCTGAACACAAGCAATAATGATGGAAGGACATCTTAGACCTATTCATTCACTCATGCAACAGATTCAACTCATCTATTTGCTTCTTTCTCCTGAAGAATATGAAATTATGGGTCAAATTCACCCCTGGGTAAGAGTTGCCCCCATCTGAAAATCCCAAGGTGTGTCAGAACCGTGAACAGAGGGCTGAACTTTATAAAGCTTGAGCCAGTTTGCTTTTATTAAACTCATTACTGTGTACCACTCATTTATTTTAAAAAATGTTTTTAAAGTGAGGTAGTTTCTAAAAAGAATACAGAATAACTGTCTTTGTTGTCTAATTCAGAGCTCTTTACTGAGAATTCTCTTTATTTTAACTTTTTATTTACATATTTTTTGGTGTTTTGACGGGAGACACTAAAGGTAGACTGAGGTAAGGTAATCTGAGAACAGCTCTGAGGGAAATGGCGCCAAGGCCTGCAAGTCCCTACCGGGGCTTAGATCTGTTTCAGTGAAACAGCTTTGCTCTCATACACAGCTGTATCAATTACACTGATTTGAAAGAAACAAAACACCTTTTGTGCTTGTCTTCCTCTGGGTTCTTTTTCATTCTTGCCAGAATTCTTTCTCCATAAGAATAATAGCGAAGATTTGCTTTGCAAAACTCTGTGCTCAGAGCTGGAAGTGGGGGTTGAGAGAAAACAGGAATTTGATTCTGATTTTTTTTTTTTTATCATGTAGTAGGCTGAGATTTTCTCCGGTGTGATAAAAAATAAAATGAGGCCAGATGGTAGTTGTTTATGGGTTCTGAAGTAAAAGTATTAAGTCATTAAAATTGGAGACTTCTCTCATTTATGCCAGCTTCTTCTTCTCATTAAATCCATGTTTTATGTGGATGAAGGTGCAGAGAGAGGATGTCTGGGCAGCAGATCCATATGCTTCCTTGCATTGGGCTCTGGCAAAGCACTTCTTTGCTCCTCTCAGATCTCCAGCCTGGAGTGAATGTAAAGGAATGTGTTTTCCCGAGAGGATTCTGGAAAGGTGCATACCAGTCCCTGTGCTTACAGCTTTCTTGTTGATGATAGGAAAAGGTTATCTATTCCCAGCTGTGAGGTGTTTCAAATCTGAATATACTCTGAGGTCCATTTTTTCGGTGTAGACTTTTCTGAGGACTCCTTCAAGAACAGCTTATTTTCATTGATGGATATAAGAGGGACATTTTCCAGGGTAATGAATCCTAAATGGAGATGCTCAAAGTTGGTTTGAAAACTGCTGGCTGATGTTATCTGTAAAAAAGAAACGATGACATTGTCCTGCTGTCAGGTTTTTAGAGGATAAAATCAATACAGTCCCTCCATGCTGCTGGGAGAAATGTACACCAGGTTGGGACTTACCCTGCTATTTCATGTAACTCTTGTCATATAAATAACCCCAGAGTTAAGCAAACAGCTTGTCTTAAAAAGTTCTAAGGTATAGGTTCCATTTTGTCAAGGAACAGTTTTTTTCTTGTTCAGCCCACACTAGTTCTCATGTGGTAGTTAAGTTTACAGGGAATTAGACTGATTGGGTTTGAATTTAGGTTTAAGTCCTAACTCCTTCTACTCACCAACCACGTGAACTTGGATAATTACTCTACACTTCTAAGCTACAGTTTCCTCATCTGTAAAATGGTGATATCAATAGCTGTTACCTCATAAAGTCCAGAGGCTAAATTGAGCAATGCATGTAAATGTATTTTTACAGTTCCTGGCCTGTGGTTCCTGGCTCTTGATAAGAAATATTCATCTTAAATAATGATATCTATCTAATCTTCACCACTTCTGATAAAGAATCCTTTACAGGAAACCTACCAAAATAGATGAGAAGGCTTCAGAAATCACCCGGTGAATTCAGAGCCTCCATGGGGAAATTCAACGGCCAGCTGCTTTTTATAATTGATGAGAAACAGGAGTGTTGTGTCAAGCTGCAGAGCTCTCCCCAACAACATGGTGTGGCTGCATGTCAAGGACCCCACACTGTCCCCCACAGCGTGGTGTGACCGCATGTCAAGGACGCCACACTCTCCCCCACAGCATGGTGTGGCTGCCATGCCAGGGACCCCACACTGTCCCCCACAGCGTGGTGTGGCTGCCATGTCAGGGACCCCACACTCTCCGCCACAGTGTGGTGTGGCTGCCATGTCAGGGACCCCACACTCTCCCCCACAGCGTGGTGTGGCTGCCATGTCAGGGACCCCACACTCTCCCCCACAGCGTGGTGTGGCTGCCATGTCAGGGATCCCACACTCTCCCCCACAGCGTGGTGTGGCTGCCATGTCAGGGACCCCACACTCTCCCCCACAGCATGGTGTGGCTGCATGTCAGGGACCCCTGTGCTGTGATGCTAAGTAGAGCTTGGTGTTGGAGGGGCAGGAATTGGGATGAGGAAGAGTTGTGGGAGACTTTCATTGTTTTGGGAGAAGAATCCCCTCCTAGGTCTATCTCATTCTTTTTAAAAAATTAGTTTCCACTTTTTCTTGGAAATCTAGATCTGAACAGAGGCCTAACTCATTCTTAATCTAGTGTTCTGGGACAAACAGAGAGTGAGGGAGAAAACACACACACACACACACACACACACACACACACACACACACAGCGGAAAAGGAAGTCCACCAAAGCCTTGGGGAGCCTCTTTTATATTGAGATGAGGAAAGACCATGGACAGACTTCTCACTGCAGAATTTTACTGAAGCCTTCTTTCAGCATTTCTCAGTTCCAAAATGCATACTCTGAGTTTTCAGAGCCTCTGAACCTTGTTCCCTTATTTAAAAATTTTACCTCTAAAAGCACACAAGTGCTTGCATTCCATCGATTCTAAAAATAAAATGTAATTATATGTACAATATAGGAAAACATTTTTGGAAAAAATAACGTATGTAGGGAAAGCTTCCCTTTATCGCCACCCAGAAACTAACCATGTACATATATGCACATATATGGTTTGTTTGTCAGTAATTTGTGATAGGAATGGGATCATAGTATACATATTTTTCTGTAATTTTTTTCACTTACCAATATATCTATAAGATTTCCAAGACAGTACATATATATCTAATTTATTATTTTCAACTGTTACATAGTATTCCATAGTATAAACAGCTGATAATTTAAGAATTTCCTCTATTGATGATTATATTTGGTTTTTAATAGTTTACTATTAAAATGATATAGCAGTAAGCATCCTTTACTGCTTAGAAATAAATGCTTAGAAACAATTGTTGAATATTAGAATACGCAAATTTAAAATACTGATCAAAACTATTATTTCCCTTCAAAAATATTGTACCAATTTATATTCCTTGCATGGTTATGAAGAACTTGCCAACTGTATACTATTTATCATCTACATTTTTGCTTATCTAATAGGTGAAAATTATTTTATTAATATTTTAATATGCATTGCCCTGATTATTTATAATGTTAACTCTCATGTTAACCATTTATATTTCTTCTGTGAATTGTTTATTTAATATCTTGCCTATCTTCTATTTGGTTTGTCTTTCTTTTCTTATTAGTTGGTAACTGTTGGCTATGGATAGGTTTTTTTTTTTTTTTGCGACACAGTCTCTCTCTCTCTCACCCAGGCTGGAGTGCAGTGGCGCAATCTCAGCTCACTGCAACCTCTGCCTCCTGGGTTCCAGTGATTCTTGTGCCTCAGTCTCCCAAGTAGCTGGGACTGCAGGCACACACCATGATGCCCAGTTAATTTTTGTATTTTTAGTAGAGACAAGATTTCACCATGTTGGCTAGGCTGGTCTCGAACTCCTGACCTCAAGTGATCTGCCCACCTCAGCCTCCTAAAGTGCTAGGATTATTGGCATGAGCTATGGATAGTTCTTATCAAGAGCCAGGAAACATGGGCTAGGAACTCTAAAAATGCATTGATATGAATTGCTCAATTTAGCCTCTGGACTTAACTATGAAGTAGGAGCTATTAATATTCCCAATGCTGGCCTCATAAAATGTGTTGGAAAATGTTTCCTCCATTTTTGTTCTTTGGAAGATATTATGTAGAATTACTTTTCTTTCTTAAATATTTCTCCTTAAATGATAGAATTTAACAGTACAACCAACTGGGTTGCAGTTTTCTTTCCTCCATGGTTTTAAACTATGAATTAAAAATTTTTAATAGATATAGCATTATTGAGGTTATCTGTTTCTTCTTGAATGAGCATTGATACTTAGATTCTTTCAAACACCACGTCCATTTAATCTAAGTTGTTGAATTTATGGGCATAAGTATTCTCTTATTGATTTTTCCTAATGGCGATGGGGCCTTTTTTTTAAATCTTTTTTTTAATTATACTTTAAGTTCTAGGGTACATGTGCACAACGTGCAGGTTTGTTACATATGTATACATGTGCCATGTTGGTTTGCTGCACCCATTAACTCGTCATTTACATTAGGTATATCTCCTAATGCTATACCTCCCCCCACTCTCCCCACCCCACAACAGGCCCCAGCGTGTGATGTTCCCCATCCTGTGTCCAAGTGTTCTCATTGTTCAATTCCCACCTATGAGTGAGAACATGCGGTGTTTGGTTTTCTGTCCTTGTGATAGTTTGCTCAGAATGATGGTTTCCAGCTTCATCCATGTCCCTACAAAGGACATAAACTCATCCTTCTTTAAGGCTGCATAGTATTCCATGGTGTATATGTGCCACATTTTCTTAATTCCGTCTATCATTGATGGATATTTGGGTTGGTTCCAAGTCTTTGCTATTGTGAATAGTGCCACAATAAACATACGTGTGCGTGAGTCTTTATAGCAGCATGATTTATAATCCTTTGGGTTTATACCCAGTAATGGGATGGCTGGGTCAAATGGTATTTCTAGTTCTAGATGCTTGAGGAATTGTCACACTGTCTTCCACAATAGTTGAACTAGTTTACAGTCCCACCAACAGTGTAAAAGTGTTCCTATTTCTCCACATCCTCTCTAGCACCTGTTGTTTCCTGACTTTTTAATGATCGCCCTTCTAACTGGTGTGAGATGGAATCTCATTTGTGGTTTTGATTTGCATTTCTCTGATGGCCAGTGATGATGAGCATTTTTTCATGTGTCTGTTGGCTGCATAAATGTCTTCTTTTGAGAAGTGTCTGTTCATATCCTTCGCCCACTTGTTGATGGGGTTGTTTGATTTTTTTATTGTAAACTTGTTTAAGTTCTTTGTAGATTCTGGATATCAGCCCTTTGTCAGATGGGTAGATTGCAAAAATTTTCTCCCATTCTGTAGGTTGCCTGTTCAGTCTGATGGTAGTTCCTTTTGATGTGCAGAAGCTCTTTAGTTTAATTAGATCCCATTTGTTAATTTTGGCTATTGTTGCCATTGCTTTTGGAGTTTTAGACATGATGTCCTCGCCCATGCCTATGTCCTGAATGGTATTGCCTAGCTTTTCTTCTGGGTTTTTATGGTTTTAGCTACGGGGTCTTTAGTCATATTCTCTCTTTTGTTCCTGATATTGGTAATTTGTAGCATTTTTTTCTTGTTTAACATTTTGGTCAGTATTTATCAATTTTACTGATTTTTCCAAAAGATCAGCTTTGGATTTTATTAATTTTTCACTATTGTTACTCTATTCTTAATTTCACTTACTTCTGCTTTGTTCTTTATTTCAATCCTTTTGCTTGCTTTGGATTTCATTTGCTCTTCTTTTTCTGTTTCTTATGTGGAAGCATAAATCATTTACACTTTCTTCTTCTTCTAATAGCATTTAATGATATAAACTTTTCTCTAAGCACTGATTTAGTTGCATACCACAACTTTTGTTATGTTGCATTTTCATTTGCATTCAGCTCAAAATATTTTTAAACTTCTATTAAGAATTCCATTGATAAATACTTTTTTACTCATGGGTTATTTAGAAGTGTGTTGTTAAATTTCCAAATACTTGGCAGAAGGTGGGGAGTGGTTTCCAGATTTCTTTCCGTTATTGATTTTTGGTTTATTTCCTTTATGGTCTTAGAGCATACTTCGTGTGATTTCTATTCTGTTAAAATTGTTAAGGATTGTTTTATGTCCCAGAATATGGACTGTATTAGTGAATGATCCATTTAAATTTGAAAACAAATGTATTCTGCTACCTTTGGTATTAGTAGTTCTGCAGATGTCAATTAAATCCATTTGGTTAATAGTATTACTTAGGTCTTCTTTATCCTTGACAATTCTCTATTGATTACTGAGAGAGATGTTTAAGTCTCCAACTGTAACTGTGGATGTCTATTTGTCTTTTTATTTCCATTAGTTTTTGCCTGATGCATTTTGAAGTGCCTGTTTTGTTTTGCTTTTGTTTTGAGATGGAGTCTTATTCTGTCACCCAAGCTGGAGTGCAGTGGTGCGATGTTGGCTCACTGCAACTTCTGTCTCCCAGGTTCAAACAATTCTCCTGCCTCAGCCTCCCGAGTAGCTGGGATTACAGGCACCCACCACTGTGCCCAGCTAATTTTTTGTATTTTTAGTAGAGATGGGGTTTTACCATGTTGGCCAGGGTGGTCTTGAACTCCTGACCTCAGGTGATCCGCCCGCCTCAGCCTCCTAAAGTGCTGGGATTACAGGCGTGAGCCACTGTGCCTGGCCAATGTGCCTTTTTTGTTTGTTTTGTTTTTTGTGCATCCACATTTAGAACTATTATATTTGCTTGGAAAATTGACCCTTTTCTTGGTATATAATAGTGTTCTTTATCCCTGATAATAATCATATCTTTTGTTCTGAAATCTAGTTTCTTTTAGTTTAGTCTAACTACTCAAGCTTTCTTTTGGTTAGGGTTTGATATATCTCATCTCATCCTTTTATTTTAACTTGTGTATTGTATTTGAACTTTAAACAGCTTTCTTACATAGGCAGCATTGTAATTGGGACTTGCTTTTTAAATTATATCTGAAAATCTGTCTCCTAAGATTTTATTTTTAATTGACAAAAATAGTATATATTTATGATTTGCAAAATGACATTTTGATATAAGTAAACATTGTGGAATGGCCAAATCAAGCTAATTACATATGTATAACCTTGTGTACTTATAAATGTGGCCTAACACTTTCTGCTCTCTTAGTAACTTTTATATATACAATATATAGTTATTAAGTATTGAAAATTTCTATCTTTTAACTGGTGTATTTAGATCACTCACATTTAATGAGATTAATGTTGTAGTTAATAAAAAATATAACATTTTGCTGTTTTCTTTTATTCCATTGGTTCTTTGCTTCTTCTTTCCTCTTTTCTGCCTTCTCATGTAATAATTGAATATCTTTTATGATACCATCTGATATGGTTTAACTGTGTCCCCCACCCAAATCTCATCTTGAATTGTAGTTCCCATAATCCCCAAGTGTTGTGGGAGGGATCAGGCGGAGATAATTGAATCATGGGGGCAGTTATGCCCATGCTGCTGTTCTCATGATAGTCAATGAGTTCTCACAAGACCTGATGGTTTTATAACGGGACTTCCCCACATTTGCTCATTCTTCTCCTTTCTGCCATAAGGTGAAGAAGGATGTGTTTGCTTTCCCTTCTGCCATGATTGTAAGTTTCCTGAGGCCTTGCCAGCTATGCTGAACTGTGAGTCAATTAAACCTCTTTCCCTTATAAATTACCCAGTCTTGGATATATCTTTATTAGCAGAATGAAAACAAACTAATACACCATCTCATCTACTCTACGACTTACTATTTGTACTTTAATTTTTTTTTTAGTAATTGCTCTAAGGGTAACAATATACATCTTTAATTAATCAGAGTCTATCTTCAAATAATACTAGTATCACTTTAAGTTGTAATTATAGGAACCTACAAAAGTATATCTGCAATTATTCCCTCCTCCACTTTGGGTTATTGTTGCCATACCTTTAACTTTTACCTATGCTATAAACACATACTAAATTCCTTCAATTTTTGCTTAAAGTCAGTTATCTTTTAGAGCAATTAAAAGAAAATCTTCACTGATTCCACTTCTAGTGGTCCTTATTTCCATGTGTATATCCATGTTTCAGTCTGATAGTATATTCTTCCTGCTTGAAGAAATTCCTTTAACATTTTTCTTGTAGACTAGCTCTGTTGGTAATGCTCATTAGTTTTTGTTTGTCTGATAACATCTTTATTTCTTCTTTATTTTTGAAAGAGATATTCAGTAAGTATAGAATTCTGGTTTGACAGTTTATTTCTTTCAGCTTATGAAAGATGTCATACCACTGTCTTTTGGCTTGCATGGTTCTAATGAGAAATCTGCTGTAATTCTTACCTTTGTTTCTGTCATTCCTAAGCTACATAACTCTTGCTTGTTGTCTTGCTCTTTTTCTGTTTTCTCCCACTTATTTCTTTCATCTATGGTTGCTTTGAAGATCTCTTTGCTTTTTATTTTCAGTAGTTATAAATATGTTATATATTGTGTTTTAGTGGTTTAAATTAATTAGTTGACTAATATTTTGTATTCATCCTATTTGGTATTCTTTAAGCTGTTTGAATTATTGATTTGTTGTCTGTGATTAACTCTGAAAAATTTTCAGATGTTATTTCAACTATTTCTTCTGCTCATTTCTCTCTATTCTCCTTCTCGAGTTCCAGTTTTGCATATGTTAGAATGGCTGACATTTTTTTGCCCAGTTCTTGGATGTTCTCTTCTGCTTTTGTGACTCCTTTTTTTCTCTTTGTATTTCAGTTTGGTCAATTTCTACTGATCTATCTTCAAGTCTGATTTTTTTCTTTAGCTAGTGTTGAGTCTGATAAACTCATCAAAAAAGATTCTTATTCTTGGTTTAAATGTTCATTTCCAGCATTGTCATTGATTTTTAAAGATTATTTCTATTCCCTGGCTGAAATTACCTCTCTGATCTTTCATATTATCTATCATTTCCAGAAATTTCTTTCATATATTCACAATTATTTAAAATTCTCTATTAGATAATTCTAACATCTATGTTATATCTCAGGTTGGTGCTAGTGATTTCTTTGTTTTTGCCAAATACATATTTTTGTTGTTGTTGTTTTGTATGCTTCACAATTCTTTTGAAAGCTAAACATCTTGTGTAGGATGATAGAGACTGCAGCAAAAGGTTCTTATATCTGAAAATTGGCATTTCTTTTTTTCCTTCTAGGGCTTGATTGTAGTTATTCAAGTAGCAGTTTGCTAGGCTTGAGATATTTTTGTTGTTATGGCTATCTCCAATGCACCATAGGCTTCAAATTTCCCATATAGATTTGACCTTTGAAGAAACATGGGTTTGGACTGTGTGAGTTCACTTATATGCAGTTTTTTTTTCAATAAATATATTGGAAAATTATTTGGAGACTTGTGAAAATTTGGAAAAACATTAAACTGCATAGTCTAGAAGTATTTTAAAAATTAAGGAAAATTTAGGTATGTCATCAATGCATAATACATATGTAGATACTCATTTATTTTATCATTGACTGCCATAAGATATACACAAATTTGTTTTAAAATGTTAAAACCTATCAAAACATATGCACACAAACACAAACCATATATGGTGTTATTTGCACTTGAAAGAAATGTAAACAAATGTAAAAATACAGTATTAAATCATAACTGCATTAATTATAATACAGTTATAATATGTATTATAATTAATATATATAGAGTATGTATTAATTGTAATACATACTCTACAACTGTAATAATTTTGTAGCCATCTCCTGTTGCCATTGTGATGAGCTTGTATTATATTTGCTTAAAATGTCATGTGATGCTAATCATCTCCTTGTGAGCAGTCCATTTCTCCAGGAAACAGCATATTCCAGTAAAAAGTGACCTCTCATGCTTTTCACATATTTTTCATCATGTATAGCACAATGTTGTAAACCTTGAATAACATCATGGGACCCATACAAAGTGCCATTGGTGATGCTAGAAGTGCTCTCAACAAACAGAAAAATCTCATGACATTATAAGAAAAAGTTGAACTGCATGATATACCATATATTGAGGTCTGCAGCTGCAGTTACCTGCCATTTCAAGATAAGTGAATCCAGTATAAGGAATGTTATTGAAAAAAAAAGACAAGAAGAGAAAATTCATGAAGCCATCTCTACAGCTATGCCAGGAGGCTTGAAAACCGTGCACTATTTGTAAACGTTTTATTTTGTATTGAAAATGCAGCTTTTATGTGAGTGCAGGAGTGCCATAAGAAACATATACGTATAGAATAATATTATTTGAGAAAAAGTGAAGTCATTAAATGGCAACTTAAGGGAAAGGAAGGTGAAGGATTTAAGGCTGGAAAATTTAATGCCAGCAAAGGATGGTTTGATAATTTTAGAAGACGTCAAGATAACAAGAGAAGAAGCTTCTGCTGACCAAGAGGGAGCAAATGAGTTCCCAGACATCATTAAGAAAATCATTAAGGAGAAAGAATGTCTGCCTGAACAGGTTTTCAATGCAGATGAAAGTGCCCTATTCTGGGAAAAAAGAAAAGCCATAAAGGACATTTATTATCAAAGAAGAGAAGCAAGCACCTGGATTTATGGCAGAAAGGAATAGACTAACTCTACTGTTTTGTGAAAATGCAGTCAGGTTTATAATCAAGACTGCCCTTATGTATAAAACTGCTAACCCATGAACCTTAAAGGAAAAAGATAAATACCAGCTGCCAGTCTTTTGGTAGTATAACAAGAAGGCCTGAAAAATGACAGCCTTTTTTCCTGAATTGGTTTTATTGATGCTTTGTCCCTGAAGTCAGGAAGTATCTTGCCAGTAAGGGACTGGCTTTTAAAGTTCTTTTGATATTGGACAATACTCTTGTCACCCAGAACCCCATGAGTTCAACACCAAAGATGTTGAAGTTGTCTACTTGCCCTCAAACACAACACCTCTAACTCAGCCTCTAAATCAGGGGTTTATAAGAACCTTTTAGACTCATTGTATACAGTACTCTTTGGAAAGGATTGTTAATGCTATGGAAGAGAACTCTGATAGAGAGAACATCATGAATGTCTGGAAGGATTACACCTTGAAAATGCCATCATTGTTATGGAAAAAGCCATAAAAGCCATCATTCCCCACACAATAAATTCCTGCTGCAGAAAGTTGTGTCCAAATATGGTGCATGACTTCACAGAATTTACAACAGAGCCAATCAAGAAAATCATGAAAGAGATTGTGGATATGGAAAGAAA
The DNA here is from genome assembly GCF_000001405.40 of Homo sapiens. NCBI lineage: Eukaryota > Metazoa > Chordata > Mammalia > Primates > Hominidae > Homo > Homo sapiens. Next base: position 180,127,036 of record NC_000003.12, read on the forward strand.
AAGTTTGTGGAGGTGAAGTGTTTCAAGATATGGAGAAAGTTAAGAGCTAATAGACACCACACCAGAGGAATTAACAGAAGAAAACTTGATGGAGGTGAATGCTTCCAAACCAGTGCCAGATGATGAGAAAGAAGACATAGAAGAAGCAGTGCCAGAAAAAATATTCAACATTAATCAATCTGGAAGAAGGGTTTCAATTATTAAGGACTGACTGACTTTTTTTAAAGACATTGACCCTTCTGTAATATGGGTGCTGAAACTAAAGCAGATGGTGAGGAAGGATTGGTTGCATATAGAAACATTTTTAGAGAAATTAAAAAGTAACAATTAAGACAGAAATTACAATGTATTTCCTCAAAGCGACACCAAGTACGCCTGCTTCTTCTGCCTCCCTTTTCACTTCCTCCACCTCTTCTGCCTCTGCCCCTGAGAGAGCAGGACCAACCCCTCCTCTTCCTTTTCTTCCTCAGCCTAGTCAATGTGATGAGACAAGGATGAAGACATTGATGAGTGATATGGCTCCAATGAGTGGAGGAACACCAGATTCTTGGTCCTCATGCCGGTTTAGATAAAATGACACAGAAACACGTGGAGTGGTTTTAAGGAGTGGAGAGTTTAATAGGCAAGACAGAAGAGAGAAGAAAGAAGGAAGAAGCTCCCCTGTACAGAGACAGAGGGAGGGGGTTTCCAAACCTTAAAGAGGAGGTCCCCACCTGCCAGGGATACCAGCCAGGTATATACACAGAGGCTGGAGGAGTGAGTGTCTGATTTGTATAGGGCTCAGGGGATTGGTTTGACTAGGCATGTCATTTGCATAGCCCGTGAAAAAGCTGGCACCTCCCACCACAGCCTTTTAACATGCAAATGCTTGGGAGGCTGAGGTGGGCAGATTACGAGGTCAAGAGATTGAGACCATCCTGGCCAACATGGTGAAACCCCATCTCTACTAAAAATATAAAAATTAGCAGGGGGTGGTGGCGCCTGCCTGTAGTCCCAGCTACTCGGTAGGCTGAGGCAGGAGACTCACTTGAACCCGGAAGGTGGCAGTTGCAGTGAGCCAAGATGGTGCCACTGCACTCCAGCCTGGCAACAGAGTGAGACTTATCCCCCACACCCCCCCAAAAAAAAGCAAATGCAGGGCACCATGATGTTCTACCCACGTGGGGATATGTGGGGGTGGCCATGTTGCCAGGAACATGTGGGGCAAGGGCAAGAAGGCCATGGGAATCACCATGTTGGGTGGACCCAGTTTCTAATGGCTTGCATTTGCATATCAAAGGTTGCCAGGTTGGCTCTAAGAGCCGGGGCTTTACAGGAAACTTTCCTGGAGCAGCTTTAAAAATGAAAACTTCCTAAGGACCCATTTTTCTATCTGCCTAAAATAAGTTCTTAACAAATCCTACAACACGAGGACCCACTTCCACTTAATAAATAATAAATATATTTACAGTTCCTTATGATTTTCTTAATAACATTTTCTTTTCTGTGGCTTCATTGCAGGAATACAGTGTAATACATAAAATATGTATTAATTGACTGTTTATGTTATTGGTAAGGTTTCTTATTAACAGTAAGCTATTAGTTGTTAAGTTTTTGGGGAGTCAAAAGTTATATGCAGATTTTCAATTGCATGGGGGGGGAGGGAGTTAACGCCTCTATCCCCCACACTGTTCAAAGGTGAACTGTACTTTGTGTCAGGGTGTGGGCTGGATTATCGAAGGAATGTCTTATTGAGTCTAAGTTTTAAGTCTTCCCTTTGTACTTTGCCTCAGAGAGGGTAACTTTGCATGCCCTTTTGTTCCTCTTGCAGTATTTCTCTGCTGTTACTCATTTTTCTAAGCTTGTTTAGCTGACATTGGGCAGTGATGGTTGTGAGAGGGTATAGTCTCTGTTTATCTGAATAACCCTCAGTTTTAGTATTGTCTGATGTCACTAAGTCTTGGGGGTATGACTTCTCAATTCTCTTGTCTCTCCTCTGGCAGTATTGTGAGTTTGGGACATTATCTTGTCCCTACTCCAGAAACAGGTTTTACTTTCCCATTCCCTTTCCCCAGCTGTAATGAGTGTTGTTATAAATAAAGTTTCGGTGCCACAAAAGGAATAGCACTTGAATATAAAATCTTCTTTTTAATTCTCAGCAAGGCAATGTACTTCTATAGAAGGGTGCGCCCTTACAGATGGAGCAATGGTGAGCATGCACTTTGGACAAGGGAAGGGAAGGGGTTCTTATCCCTGACGCACATGGCCCCTGCTTCTGTGTTGTTCCCCTATTGGCTAGGGTTAGACTGCACAGGCTAAACTAATTCCAATTGGCTAATTTAAAGAGCGACAGGGTGAGTGGTTTGGTGGGAAAAATGGTTACGGCAGAGCAGGAAATAGGAATGAGTCAGGGTGGAGAATGAGCAGGTGATTGGAATGAGTCAGGGTAGAGCAGGTAATCAAAAAAGGTTGCTTTATGAGGAAGTTAAGTTTAAAAGAAGAAGGCAAAGAATTGAACATATTGACATATTGATTCTTTGAAGAGAAATTTAGAACTCATATCTAACAGTGTTTAACAATGTCCTAAGAGCAGGGTGCTTGTTGCCTTTTAATCAGATTAAGGCTCTCATTCTGTAGTAGAAATATGAGGAAAGATCCAGTTATATATATTTTTTCCTCCCCAGCTCTACACCACAATAGTTTAAAAATATTTTACTAGTAAGTTTTTCTCAAGTGTCCTTAAGATGTCCACTTAAAAGAGAATTGTTACCAAGAGTAGGTAGACTGTTAAGTGCTTAATATCCTTAACATATCGAAGTAGTGAATTACTTTAATAGACACCTTAATATTAGATCATTCTTTCAATCTTGAATAATTCCTTAAGCATAAAATATTGTTTTGTCATAGTTTAGTTATTATTTTATATAATTCTGGATCTATATATGTAGGTGAAAATGACCCATATTTTTCTTTTTTTGTGCTATTCTTGCCAGTTTTTTGCATTATGTATAATATGAGTTGAAAATTGTCTTATCTTTTTCTGTGCTGTGGAACAGTTTATATTACATAAAAATAATCTCAGAACTGCTATGTCTACATTGCATCCTCTTGTGTAGTTACCTAGGTGATAGAACACTTTTCTAGCCTGTGATTTTCTGTTCAATTTTCTGCAGCATTTTTATTCCTATCGTTAGGATGACCATATAACTTATCATCCCAATGGGGACATCTTTGAGTATGAAAGGATGCACCATTAATAATTATTATAGCAGGACAACAGGTGTAAATCATGGTGTTGAAGTGCAGCAACCAACAGTGAGCACATCCCTACGTGACTGCTTCAATGTTGCAATACTTAAAGGCAGTTAAGTATTAAGTATGATTCCAAGGGAGAAAATAAAAGGAAAAAAAAGAGAGGTGAGGAAAAGAGGAACAAAGTATCTCAAAGCTCAAATATGTGTTAAATCCCTCCTTAGTGATTAATATTCTGATGGAGATTGGAGCAGGATGGGGAAAGAAATAGAACATCAAAAATGTACAAGATATTGCTTCTGAGAGGGTTCCCAGTGTAATTACAGAAAGAAAATTAATACATAGGAAAGAGCTGTAGAAGATAAACTGTTGTCATGTTTTAAATTGTGAAAAAAGAGTGTGTGTGAATCAAAGAAAGGGGTGATAAGTGAGACAGAGGACTGCTTATGTACTCAAGGAAGCTTTTAATTTTTTTGTTTTTGTTTTTTAATTAGAGACAGCCATAAGTACTACAGAAAAAGGAATTTGTATCTGCATCAAACTACCTAGCATAGTGCCTGCTTCATGATGTATGCTTGATAAATTGTGGTTATTACTGTCAGTTCTCTGAGCCCAAGCTAAGCCATCATATCCCCTGTGACCTGCACGTATACATCCAGATGGCCTGAAGCAACTGAAGATCCACAAAAGAAGTGAAAATAGCCTTAACTAATGACATTCCACCATTGTGATTTGTTCCTGCCCCACCCTAATTAATACTATATATTCTCCCCCGCCCTTAAGAATGTACTTTGTATGCCTATCCCAAACCTATAAGAACTAATGATAATCTCACCACCTTTTGCTGACTCTTTTTTCGGACAGCCCGCCTGCACCCAGGTAAAATAAACAGCTTTATTGCTCACACAAAGCCTGTTTGGTGGTCTCTTCATACGGACGCGCATGACAATTATTATTATATTAGACCACTTAAAGAATTTAAACACTGAAGGAAGAAAGCAATGACATATGAATTTGCATTTGAATATGCCTTGCTTAGAAAAATTGCATTGCTCACATTCTGTTAGGTTTAGATTATTCATTCATTCACTGCATTTCATTCACTGAACTCTTTAAGATGCTTATTGTTGAATAACTGAATTCTATTATGCTAATTGTTAGAAATATGTAGATAAAAAATCTGACACACCCATCCCTGAACAGTTAATAATCTAGCAAGACCTACTTTGGTATATGTAGTGAGACAAGAATCCAACACATTCTCCAAGAGACATAATAAATGATTTATCTGGAAGAGAGATAACTACATAGTGCAGTAGTAGTAGTTTAGCCTGAGAAGTCAAGGAAGTCTTTCTAGAGTTATGGTTGACCTATGCTCTGAAGGGCTTATAGGAATTCACCAGACAGAGAAGAAAGCAGAGAGAAAAGTGGGCAGAGTATTCCAGGGGAATAAGTTGAGAGAAGGCCCACAGGAATGAAATACTTCTGAGAAATGTCAAGCAGCCAGAAGGACAGACCATAGAGTATTGAGGGAGTAACTGGAAAAGACAGACACTGGAAGAGAATGTAAGGCCAGAGGTAAAAGGTTGGGTTTCTTTAGTAGTTACTAATGGCCAAGTTTGAGTCTATTAAAATTATAAGCAACTGTTTTGTGGTGATGGCAGAGGGAAGAAGGTTCTTCACTGTGTCCTCAGAACTATCTAAGCAATACCGCATTTGCATCCTATGAAGATGCCCTCGATTCCATTAACTATACATCTATATTGAATTATAGTTTATAGTATTTTTAGCTATTAAAGCTCCACATTATTAAGTCAGGAAGTGTGTCCATATTATATAATTCTATATCAAAGCTGTTCCAAAATTACCCTTAATAGGAGTTAAATCAGTGATCTCAATTTACAAAGATCATTAGAAGCTTAATTGCAAATCACATTAGTGTTAGAGGCCATGTGGAAGTTTAAGTCTTTCAATATACAATAATGTGACTCTGAGATTTAAAAAAAAGAGGCCCAGAGTGAAAATCACACACCAAAGAAACCATTTCAGAAAGACAACCTCAATGAGTAAGAGAAAACTGATTTTGGAGAACTCGGAAGTTGCTAGAACACTTCTGAGTGTTTAAAACACAGTCATTCTAGGTATTAGAATTATAAAATACTTGCAAAAAATATTACTTCCATCACCTATAAAATGAATATTTTTTAGTTGTTTTTCCATAGCCAGATTTTTCAACTATCCTCCATAATGTCTGCAATGAATCTATTGTCTATCTTGGAAGCTGAAAGTTACTCTGAAGTGATGCTTTCTGGAAAGACCATCATTTCTTCTCCCCAAGCCCATGTCCCAATCCGTGAGGCATCAAATCAAGGTAATGTTTCATTAATACTATAGAGCACATAATACCTATAATGTTCCACAAACACTGTTCTGGTACATGGGATACATTTGTGAGCAAAATAATTTCTATTGTCATGAAAGTCACATTCCAGAAAGAGATTTATGCAATACGCGTATCTAAACATATGTGTTGTCACCTTGGTTTCAGAATTATCTTTTAGTCCAAGTCTTCTCGAACTTGAATATGCAAAGGGTCATCTTGGAAATCTTGCAGATGCTGGTCAGTAGATCTGGGTGGGGCCTGATACTAAGCCTTTCTAAGATAGTGAGTGATGCTGGTGCTGCTGCTGTTACAGTCTTGTCAATGCACCACAATGTGGCAGTCTCTCATGGTTTGAGGTATCACCTGGAGTTCTTTGTCTCACGACCAAGAAATTTAAGGAGCATGGACACCAAGGATGAAGTTGCAGTGAAAGTTTAATAAGAGAAAGAAGAAAGTTCTCCACTGCAGAGAGGGGGCTAGAAAGAGGGTTGCCATTTTACGTTGAATACAAGGACTTTTATAAACAGGCTGGTGGGCCAAGATGCTTTATTTGCATAAGGCAAAAAAAAAAAAAAAACTCATCAGGACTAAGTGTTTCATTTGTATAGGGTGTAAATTCCTGACAGTTCCACCCTGTCCCTCTAGTGCACATGCGGGCTCTTAGCCTGAGTTACTCCATGTTGTTTAACCTCCCTTACCGTGCATGTGTCAGGGGGCGGAATTTTTAACTGTGGACATGCCTGGTTCTGTATATCTTATCTGTGCATCTGCAGGCATGTTTTAGGCAAAACCCCCTGTACAAGTTTCCTTATCTGAGTATGCCCCAAAAAGGAAAGGGAAATGCACACTGAAGCCCACCGTGTATATCGTGAAACTTACTGGCTTCACAGAAGGCTTTTTTTTTTTTTTTTTTAATGTTGGACCTTGCTTTTTTATCTGTGCTTGTAGCTTGATCTTCCAGGCTGCTCTTTTTGTTAGAAAATAATTCTTCTGAGGACTTGTCCTAAATATCTGCCTAACTTGCTCCTTCCGCTCTCCTTTCTCACTGGTCCATGTACCACATTTGATAGCAAGGTAACTGATGATTTCTCTCTGTTTACTATCCAGGAAAAAAGTTGAGAAAAATCTTCTAAGGAAAAGAAGAAAAAAAAAGAATATATATATTTTTTTGAGACGGAGTCTCGCTGTGTCCCCCAGGCTGGAGTGCAGTGGCGTGATCTCAGCTCACTGCAAGCTCCGCCCCCCGGGTTCACGCCATTCTCCTGCCTCAGCCTCCCGAGTAGCTGGGACTACAGGCACCCGCCAACACGCCCGGCTAATTTTTTGTATTTTTAGTAGGAACGGGGTTTCACCGTGTTAGCCAAGATGGTCTCGATCTCCTGACCTCGTGATCCGCCCGTCTCGGCCTCCCAAAGTGCTGGGATTACAGGCATGAGCCACCGCGCCCGGACAAAAAAAAAAGAATATTTTTAATCGTATAACCTTGAAAAGCTTATATGATTTAATCTTCTTTTAGAGATTCATAATGAACATTACCATATGAAAAGCTCTGACAATTTTTCAATAAATAAAACTTTAACTTTTTTTTCCCTAAAGTGTCCAAAAGACATTTGTCCAGGAGTCACTTTAGTTTTCACTTGAGGGACTCTTCATGTTTGCTGTTAGCCATCTACAGATTTTTCTTTTACTTACCTGTTATCAAATAATTTTCCATTTTGGAATCAAAGTTGTAAGAACCAAAAATGGAATTAGCTGTGGTTAAAATTAAAATTACTTATAGATAATAATGGGATTTGATGAGAAACCCTTGGAAAAAAATAATCTTGTTGACAAAAAATAAGTCTGAAAATTCTAGAGCTTTACTGCCCTTTGTAGCAAGATAAAAAAAAAAGAATAATAAATATTAACATTTCCAGGACCATAAAACTACAAAGAATGAAGAGATTCTTTGAGGCTAGATAATTGTGGCAAATATCTTATGCAATTTTAAAACTATTTATCTTGTTTCTTGTTACCATGATCACAGTTTCTCTTTTTTCCATACTTAAGAAGAACAAGAAGCTCTCTGGGATATTCCACTGTTTAACTACAAAGTTTACAAAATATCTTAGGAAAAAATACCTAATTGTGAGGCTTGCAATAACCATAAATCTTAGGTAATATATTGATATAAGGAATCTTATTTGTTTACTTAAGCTGTAGGTAAACTCCCCAGGCTTGTGTTAATTTTAGCCCACTCCTGTAAACAAGCTCTTCAAAAGCCTGGTGTCAATTAGCTCACTATACTACATATTGTGTGGATTGTTTTGTTACTGAGAAGTACTTTACTATAGGTTACTTCCTCTCTGCAGGCCTGATGGAAATAAAGGGTGCCTCTAACAGAGTTTGATCCAAACACAATGGGAAGCTACATCCTTCCACCTGTATAGTCCACAATTTTGTGGATATTTGAGACTGATCCACTCCACAGTTGGATGTAGAAGGTACAAATGTAGTAATGTGACTTGCAGAGCAGCACCTATCTCACCCCTGCTGGAGCTTAGAAAATGATATGCCAGAGTAGGGCACTTTGACATGCTGAGGACTTTGAGCTTTTAAGAAGCAGCCTCAGAATCAGGCTCTCTGGCCCTCTCCCACATCCGTCTCTCACCCCTCTACCTCTCCCAAAGCACAGGAAGAAACTTTCTCTGAAGTTCCCTTACCTGACTGAAGGAGGTTCCTCCAGAAGAAATGCAGTTTTCTGGGACATCCTCCCTATATATAATCTCATCAAACATAGAACATTAACTCGAAGAAGGGAAGATTACAGTTGACACCACACCTGGAGCCCAGATAAAATTTGTCCCAGGCTATTGTCTGTTCTTCAGGCCCATTCTCACCCCAAACATAATTTACTCTTCCTTTAAAATTGCCTACAACCCCTACTTCCCTCTCCCCTATGAAGAGGATATTTTACCTTCAATCAACTGGTCTTTCTTTGATTTCCATACTTTGTGTGATGTGGTGTACTTGCACATTAATACATTTGTATGCTTTTTCTCCCATTAATCTGTCTATTGTCAGTTTCTTTGTCCACTCAAATTACCAGATCTTCAGGGAATGGAAAGAAAGTTCCTTTCAACCCTACACCTCTAACACTGAGGGGTAATGGACAGAGGTAAATAATGTTGTTAGTGTCCCTTTACTGTTGTGAAAGAAAAATATCTTTGATACCCAAAATCACTAAGCTAAAAGGAAAATTCAAGCTGGGAGCTGCTCAGGGCAAACCTGCCTCCCGTTCTGTTGAAAGTCATCCCTCTGCTCACTGAGATAAATCTGATTGCGTCCTTTGTAAAGGCTAATCAGAAACTCCAAAGAATGCAACCTTTTGTCTCTCACCTACCTGTGACCTGGAAGCCTCCTCCCTTCAAGTTGTCCTGCCTTCCGGACTGAACCAATGTTCATTTCACATATATTGATTGGTGTCATGTCTCCCTAAAATGTATAAAATCAAGCTGTGCTCTGACCACCTTGGGCACATGTGAACAGGACTTTCTGAGGCTGTGTGACAGACACACATCCTTAACCTTGGCAAAGTAAACTTTCTAAATTAACTGAGACCTGTCTCAAATTTTCAGGGTTCACACTGTCTACAGAGACTGGAGGTGGCAGGCCTGGCCCCAATGGGACAAATGCTTTACTTTTAAAGCTTCTGCTTGTGTGTGACTCAGGTAAGCGTAGGGGAGAAAAGATAATGTTTTCTTTAGCCTTCATAGTTCTTAGTTGAGATAGGCCCCTATAGAGCAAGACAGATTAACAAGAGAAAAACAAACATGTTTATTAACATGTGTATGTCATATATTTGTAATTGTAATAAGTCTGTTGTGCAATATGCACAGCAGGTCAATACACCAAAACAATGCGTTGCAGCAAAGAAAGACATTTAATTGTAGGGCTGGTGAATGAGCAGATGGGAGGACACCTCAAATCCATTTTCCTGAGGAGTCTGGGGCTACAGTTTTAAGGATTTTGGAGTGGGCTGACGTGTGGAGATCGTTCATAGGTCAAAGAGTGCAAGGAGAAGTCACGGGACAGGGAGCTGAAGAAATTGTATTCATGCTGATTCAGTTCCTCTGTGGAGGTCTTTAAACTGCTTGGCATCAGTTGTTCCACCCCAACTCAGGATCTACTTAAGGAATTCTTAAACAAAAGTCTTATGATTCTAATGTCATAAATCCTATCTATAGAATAATGGGGATGCAAATGGTCAGTATCTAGTACTATGTGACTTTCAGTTACAAGGCTGTGGGTCAAATGTAGCCTGAGTAATGCTTCATTATAACAATATTTCAGTCCAGAAATCTTGTTAAACCTGTGAAGATAGCTTCATATACCTGGGAGATACCCAGAGAAATGAGTAAATCTCAAACAGGTGGCTTTGAGTTCAGGCTTAAATAACATCCTCTGCTGAAACAAAGAAGAATGTAGGGAAGGCAAGGTTATGGGGAAGTGGCCAGAAAAAGCACTATAAACAAGGGTAAGGCTTGCTTGCAGATTTATGTCAGTGCCTTCTCTGTTTATGAGTCTCTAGTGATTTAAAGTCATCCTTCTCTTCATGGTATAAAGAGGGAGACATGTTTACAAATGGAGATTTCCTTTATAGATGTCAATTTCTCTTATAAAAGATAACTTCTGTTTTCAGAGCTTCTCCCATCGCTGCAGTTTCTCAAAATAATCAGCTCAAAATAATCCTCATGCCACAGAGGCATTTTGGGGGTGGCATACCCTAATCTCCAAAAGTCATACTTTGGGGTGACATATTTTGGTCTCTTTTATAGATATCAGGATGTTCTGTTGTTTGGCCGGGCTCCAAAATATATCTCATTCCTTTTTTCTTTTATTTATCTTGACGATTCTGCCTAATAATGTATACCAATCTCTTTCTTTGGGGCATACATGATATTCTGAGACCTAATTATTTGCTTCAGAACCAAATCTGCATTATTCTATCATAGTTGGAACATTTGTTTTATATAATGACAAAATCTACTGATGTTTATACCTTTTGGAAAAGGAGATGAGTATTAACCTCATTCCTTCAGGTTTTGCAGAACCAGAAAAGTTAACACTGAATAGGATGGCTTTCAAGACAGTTATCTTCAAAGTGACTTTTTGAGAGATTATTTCAGAAATAACAAGTGGAAAAAGGCAAAATCATCTGCACATAATAGACATGTACTGTTTAAAATTCTTCCTTTTTGAATAAAGTTTTGTTTTTTGTTTTTTTTTTTTGAGATGGAATCTCACTCTGTCACTCAGGCTGGAGTGCAGTGGCATGGTCTCTGCTCACTGCAACCTCTGCCTCCTGGGTTCAAGTGATTCTCCTGCCTCAGCCTCCCGAGTAGCTTGGATTACAGGTGTGCACCACCACACTCAGCTAATTTTTGTATTTTTAGTAGAGACAGAATTTCACTATGTTGGCCAGGCTGGTCTCAAACTCCTAATCTCAGGTAATCCACCCCAAGAAATGGTTTTATAGGCAAAAATGCACCTAAAATATAGTGTACTGATTGATCCCTCCTCATTTTACCGGGTTAAAAGGCCTTCCTAGCCTCATTACTCATCAAGTGATATTTTTTAGTGGTGTATCAGTTTCAGGCTTTGAGAGTAGTTCTTTAGTAGGACAAGAATATCTTTGTGCCAGCCCCATTGTATATCATTACAGTACACAATTATAGGAAAACAAAAGTAACAAAATACCTACAGAAACTCAAAAGGTAGTTTCTGTGAAGTAGAAAATCTTTAGCATATTGCATAGGTGAACAGGTCCAAATAAACATTAAGGTGAGGAACAAAACGTCATTTTAGGGGGTATCTGTAGTCTATTATTAAATATACAGTGTACATTTTATTTTACTCCACATAAAAGTGCAGTTCAAAAGAATATGCTATTTTTCATAAAATATTTTCTTTAAGTTCAAATATTTAAGGACTGTACTGAAGAAACTGAGTAAGTTACAATGGTTACTCAATCACTTTAGCCACCGGGATTCATTAGTTATTTATTTGTTGAGATATCATAATTTTTAGATTGCTTCTTTATATCATATTACTTGCTACTACATTTATCTTCAGCTCCACATTTGGCAACTCTTCGCTTTTATCTGACACAATATTTCCAAAGTAGTTTTTACTTCTTCTTCAAATACTCTATTTAGGAGACTTTAGACAGAAATTATATCAAATGTTGGCACCTTAGTGTTTTAGCATTACTTATTATTGTTTTGTAATTATTTCATTCATGTTTTAAAGGCAGAGAATAGATTTTTAGGGAAATGACGAATTTATATGTAGTAATCCCCAAAAGTCATTTTTAAAAGAGAATACTGCAGCGGTAATGTAGTGGCTGACTTTTAAGTACTTTACTTTCTTTTATAGCAGAGTCAGCAGTTGTCATTTCTTTCCTATGTGCTAAGCCCTAAAACATATGCTTTACATAGATTGTCTCATTTAGTCTTCATAACAAGCCTGCTTTCTAAGACCTCAGCTGAAGTAGAGGAAGCATGTTTTAAAAGGATTTTCACAGAATTATACAGTCAATAAGTGACAAAGAAACGTAAACCCAGACAACTCCAATGCTTGTGCTCTGTCCCTATACCTTAATGCACCCTCTCCCTCCATGCTGAGATATTAAAATTTTAGGCAACAGAAACTAGAGCATTTTTTTATTACTCATTTTATACTCATTGTGTTAGTCCATTTTTGTGTTATTTAAAAGGAATACCTGAGACTGGGCAATTTATAAAGAAAAGAGATTAATTGACTCACAGTTCTGCAGATTATACAAGGATGGTACTAAAATCGACTTGGCTTCTGGTGGGGCCTCAGGAAGCTTACAATCATGGTGGAAGGCAAAGTGGGAGCAGGCACATCACATGGTGAGAGCAGGAGCAAAAGAGAGAGAGGTGGGAGATTCCACACTCTTTTAAACAACCAGAAGTTATGTGAACTCAGAGTGAGAACTTACTCATTACTGTGAGGCTGGCACCAAGGCATTCATGAAGGATCTCCCGCCATGACTCAAACACCTCCACCAGGCCCCACCTCCAACACTGGGGATTATATTTCAATATGAGATTTGGAGGAGACAAACATCCAAATTATATCACTCACTCTGCTAACACAGGTCACCAGAACATTGAATGACTGAAAGGAGACACATTTTAGGAAGTCAGTACTGAGAAGGTCTCTGGTGTGAATGCCATTTTTTTTTTTCTCATTACTGTTTCATAGACATCAGTGTCTGGAAACTTAAGAGAGCTGGTTACATACAGAAATCTTTTATGATTTCTTTTTTATGTTTGCTAAGAAAAACTATAATAAATTTAAGAACTTAAAAGCCAGAGAGTAAAGGCAATGAAAACTTCTGACTGCTGGAAAGTCCTCTCCTTTCAGAGGCATCTTGTTCCATCTTACAACTGAGGTAAAACCAGGTAGGGTTTTAAGGTAAAATGACCCTACATCTTGGGGTCACAGAGTTGGAAATGAAGATTCAAAGGGGTGCTTGGAAAACAAAACACTTTTCTAGTAAAGGCTGGGAAAATGAACAGAGTTGAATGAGTGGAGATTGAATACAATTGAGCATCTCTGAGAAATGTACCTACCATGAAAGCTTGCTCTTTAGGTACTATCTACATATCCCAAAAAGGTTACATTGTTGAAGGTAAACATTTTCAGAAAAGATGTGGCTGAAGAAGAAGGGACTCAATAAAATTGAACAAATCAGTTAACAAATATCTGTTGATAGTTGTGTCAGCTCTGAATGTACTTATTGGCAAATAACAGAAAGCCAGAATAACATTGACCAGATGAACCAGTCTAGGGCTGTCTGGTATGGATGGCTCAATAGTGTCAGCAAGGACCCAGACTCTTTCTGTCTTTCCATTCTGACATCATTAATCTGTAGGTGGTTTTTTTAAAATTATTTTAAAGAATTTTTTGTCTCACAATCTCAGGAGTTTTCTTAGATCTCTGTCTTGTGTGTGCATCCAGACAGGAAGAGGACAGAAGAACATAGAAACAAAAATTATGCTTTTACCTAATGTTCCAATTATCTATTACTGCATAACAAACTACCTCACAACTTATAGTTTTAAACAACAAGTTTAAAATATCGTATGTCCTGATTCTGTAGGGCAAGAAGTTGAAAAAGCTGGTGGTTATAGTTGGGGATTGGGCAGGCATCTTCCACTCTATAAAGCCTCTCTATATGGCTAGGTTGGGCTTCCTCACAGCATGGTTCCCTCAGAATAATCAGATTTTTTGTATGGTGGCTCAAGACTCCAAAAAGAAGGAAGCAAAAAGATATAGAGACCCTCCATCTTCTCCTTTCAACTCTCAATAGGAGTGTCAAAGAATTTACTTCCATCTTTACCACAGTCTGTACTCTTGCTATACATTATTTACATTCCTTCCACATGCAGAAGCACACTTGCCTCCTCCCAAGACCCAGAAAACCTCCTTTCATTATGGCACCAGGCTTAGGCTCAAAGTCTAGAGTCTCATGATCTATATCATATTCAGAGATAGTTAAGACTTCTTGGGTGTGGCTCCTTCTTCTAGTTCCACCAATACGGTGCCTTTTTAGCTGAAGACCTATGAGATAAAGAGACAAGTTCTCTGTCCATCATACTCCAGCATACAATGGTTAGACAAGCATAGGATAACTACAATAAAGACTTTCATTAAATAAAGGGGCTATCATCACTTCCATCATATTTTTTGGGTCAAAACAGTCACAGGTGAGCCTAGATTTAAAGGGAAGAGGACGTACAACACACCATTTAATGGAAGAAGTATCAAAAGATGTATGGCCGTCTTTTCCTTAGCCACATGGAGTGGCACCAAGCCATTCATGAAGGATCTTTCCCCATGAACCAAACACTTCTCAGTAGACCCCACCTCCAACACTGGGAGTTACATTTCAACATGAGATTTGGAGGAGACAAACATCCAAATTATACCACTCACTCTGCTAACAAGGTCACTAAAATGCTGAATGATTGAAAGGGGACACATTCCTTCCTATGCTCTTCATTTGGGATGGGAAACCATCCATAGGAACTTCTACCTACATCTGGTTGACCAGATGTGTGGAGTAATGGCCACCATTGGGAAGTTGAATACAGTAAGGGAAGACAAGTATGAAGAGACTTTTATGTAGCCAAACAACAGTGCCTACAAAAACTTGTTTACTATATGCCAGACACTGTAAAGAAACAAACTATCCCTGGCTTTCAGATAGATTATCAGCAAGGTAGAGAGACAAATGTAACAAATAGTGACTTCAGTGTATTAATGGCCAAGACAGGGACATTATTTTTCATCCAAGAAAACCTAGGCAAGAAAATCACCCCAGAGAATATGTTGCTTTAACTGAATCCTGTAAAATGAATATGAGTTACTCGGTTAAGATATGTGTAATGGCGATCAGGGAGTGGGAAGGGAGGGGAGCATTTCAGGCAAAGGAAGAAGAATGGGCAAAGATCCAGAGTCAAAAGAGATGACAATGCATTTAGGGAGCACAAGAAGTTCATAATGACTGAAACAGAGCCTGAGAGGGTGGAGAGTAGAGAGATGACACTGCCTTTGTATTTTGAATCTAATAAAAATAACACTCCAGCATTCCTTGAGACATGAGCTGAGTCATTCCACAGAATTAAGCCACAAAAGGCATAATTCATCAACAGTCAAATTGGAAATGAAAATTTGTGTACTACTATGAATTTCTATATTAAAATTTAAAATAAGGCACTTGGAACCAAGGTTTTCATCACATGATGACTGCAAGTTATGATTGTCAGACATCCTATCAAACATTCCAATTTACACTGTTCCCATTTAAGCCATTTCAATCACTTCATAAGAGCTCTATTGTATACTAACTCTGTTTATAAAAGCAACACCAACATTTAATAAAATATCATTTTGCCGATGCTTACTTTTAGAACAACCTCTTTGTAACTGGAAAATATAGTTGTCGTAAGAGTTTAGATAAGCTTGTCTCGCAAAAATCTGCCCTATTTTTTTTATTTACCCCTCCTCTCCCCTCACCTCCCTTCCCCTTTCCTCTCCTCCCCTCTCCTGACTTCCTTCCTCCCTCCCTCCCTTTTCTCCCTTCCTTCCTCCCTTCCTTCCTTTCGCCACCCCCTTCTCTATTGTCCTAACTATAGTTTTCACTCTACTTTTTCCCTTTTGAGACAAATAGTTCTTTCATACCTTAAAAATCTCCTACGTCTCTGAGAACTCTGGCTCTTACCATGTCAAATGTCATACATAAATGTCTAGAAAATGTTAAATCCCTGAAGGTAGTAAATTCATCTCTTACTTTGTTCCTTTTAATTTTAAATTCTGGTAAGCTCATTTCAGTTATTTGTCCTTTGCCTGGTCATTAAAACAGAAAAGGAAATAGTCTTAACTGTAAAAACAACAAGAGTCCTCCTTATAGCAGTTTAAATTCAAAATAACATATCCATATTGACTATTGTGTGTGATAGTTTATGTATTGGCATTCTAAAAATATCTTCTTTCAGGTTGAAACAGTATACTTCATGGCTTCTGTTTGTTTAAAAACTTTTATAATATCCTGAAGTGATAGAATTTTATGAATAAAAGACCATCTGGCTCCTCAGAGTGTGTGAAATTTTTTTCAGCTTCTTTGAATGGGGCTTTATTTTCAGTAAGAAGCTACATTTAAAAAATGGATTTGTGATGAATAAACAAGTGAGGCCTTGTAAAGTGCCAATTTTGTCTTCCAGAGGAGCCTTTCCTTATCTCTTATTTCCATCTTTTTATCTTTCCTATGTAAAAATTGGTCTAGGTCTCTATTACCTGCCTTCATCTTAAGTTTCACCCAAAGGAGTCTAGAATTGAATTACAATGAGCCAAGTAACTGATACCATTGAATATGGAGGCCTTCTGTATAAATTGGAGAAGACAGCATACTCTCCCTCTCCCAAGATTCCCAGAAGAGTAATGGTCAATAGTTTAAAAAACCAGAGATACACCTGCATCACTCCTGGAAATGAAAAATGGTGTCATTCACATTCTAGAAGCATCAGCAATTTTCTATTAATAGAATGCAGGTGGGACAGGACAGATGGAGACAGAGTTGACTCACAACTTTTCGCTAAGAAACAAAAATTGTGCTAGGGAACTAAGTGATGTGCATTAGCAATATTAGGTTATGTTCTGTAACAAACTATTCCAGAATCTCAGTGGCTTACAAAACAAATAACTGTTTCAACATATAAATGCCCATATACAACAACAGTAGAAGATATAATGAAGTAGTTAGTTGTTCATAACTTTACATGGAATAACTGGGTGCCAAAGTTACAAATATGGATTGACAGAGGTATGTTATATTGGTGGCTCAAGCTTTACAAGAAGAATTGCGAATGAGGAAGTTATTTCCAAAATAGTAATCTAGCATTTGGTCAAATTTTGAACAAAAGAAAACAGTTGCATTCTATAAAATTCAGTATTTCTTACAATTATTTTAAAAATTATGCTTCTATATGACATAAATATATGTTCTAACATAACTATAGTGTTTACTTATGTGATCATCCAGTAGGATGTTTAAACTTGTGTGGGCATGAGAAAAGTCTTTATTGTGTGGAACTTTTCTTCACATTTTAGGATGTCTATTATCTAGTATTCCTTACCTACACACTCAGAAACAATAGTCCCAGCCTTCATGGAAAACAGGTTAGCTGTTCCTCAAAAGATTAAAAATAGAATCACCATATAATCCAGCAATTCCACTTCTGGGCATATACCCAGAAGGACTGAAAGTAGGTCTTGAAATGATAGTCATTATTCATAAAAGCTAAAATGTAGAAGTAACACAAGTGTCCATTGATGCATGAATGGATTAACAAAATGTGATATATATATATATATAACCCATTCTTCCATCGATGGACACTTGGGTTGCTAATATTATTCGAGCTTAAAAAGGAAGACAGTTCTGACATAAGCTACAACATTGGTGAACCTTGAAGATATGATGCTAAATAAGATAAGACAGTCAAAAAAAGATAAATACCATATGAGTCTACTTATACTAGGTACGTAAAGTAGTCAAAAATCAGAGACAAAATCTTAAATGGTGGTTGTCAGGGGCTGGGTAGAGAATAAAATGGAGAGTTATTGTTTAATAGGTAGAGAGTTTCAGTTTTACAAGATGAAAAAAGTTCTGGAGTTAGATGGT
Source organism: Homo sapiens (assembly GCF_000001405.40). Taxonomy (NCBI): domain Eukaryota; kingdom Metazoa; phylum Chordata; class Mammalia; order Primates; family Hominidae; genus Homo; species Homo sapiens. Next base: position 180,144,906 of record NC_000003.12, read on the forward strand.
GGTAATGATCCTACAACATTATGAAAGTATTTAATTTTACTGAACTGTATATTTCAAAGTGGTTAGGATGATACATTTTATGTTATATGTATTTTACCATAATAAAAAAATTGGGAAAGAAGAATAATAGCCCTTCTGAGTCACTGAGACAAGCAAAATTGCCCCAACAAATTTTCAAAATTCTAAGACATGGTACACTTCTACTGAGAACCACTGGACTAAACAAACAAACAAACAAAAACAAACAGGATATACATGTCTACTAAAACATAAGACTAAAATAGGAACAGAAATAATATAAATGTCAAGAAAGATAAGATAAAGGAAACAGCAAGAAAATATTAAAACAGAAAGCACCACAAATAATGGCAAAAAAAAAGCTCTGTTTTTGCCTAGGATGTAGAAAACTAGAGTGTAGTATCCATTCTAACAACAAGAAAAAAGCCAAATAAGCATTTTATGTCATAAATTTCCTTGAATTCATTGGAGAACTGAAGTTTCAGGTTAATCAAGTAGCCTGAAATTTAAGGAAAGACAATTATTTTCTTTTTTTTCTTTTTCTTTTTTTTTTTTTAGATGGGTTCTCTCTCTGTCACCCAGGCTGAAGCTCAGTGGAGTGATGTCAGCTCACTGCAACCTCCGCGTTCTGAGTTCAAGCAATTCTCCTGCCTCCTGAGTTCAAACAATTCTCCTGCCTCAGCCTCCTGAGTAACTGGGATCACAGGGGCATCCCACCATGCCTGGCGAATTTTTGTATTTTTAGTAGAGACGGGGTTTCACTATGTTGGCCAGGCTGGTCTTGAACTCCTGACCTCAAGTGATCCACCTGCCTTGGCCTCCCAAAGTGCTGGGATTACAGGCATGAGCCACTGCGCCTGGCCAAGACAATTCTTTTCAAGGGGATGGGGATAAACACTGATTCACCTTTGGCAGAGCACAGGAAGAAAAGACATTAAGCACCATTCAAGCTGGCAAGAAGAATTAAGGTAAAAATTTTAACAAATTTCTAAAGGCCAAATTTGGGCTAGCATGAGAATATAGAATCCTTGGGGTCCACAAATGCAATTGATACAGTCTTATAAAAAATGTAAATGGCTTTAAATAAAAGCATTTGAAAAAGGACCCCTGAAATTAGTTTCTCAATGTTTAATTAAAAAAAAATACTTGGTAAATATTTGCTTTAATGAAAATATCACCTATATTTTTGAAACCTTTTTAAAATGGCTTTTGTATCTTTCAGGAATGGGATTAAAATATATATTTCAATGTATATACTTCAAAAATAAAATTTTATCTTTTGTTTTGATTCCTTGCTCTGAATATTCCCGTTTTTATATTATCTCTCTTTCACTAGTTTCATCTTCTCAAGTTCTCCTCCAACCCATTTTCATGTTTGAGATTTTTTTATTTCATAAATATTTGCTCAATTCTATACTACTGCATCCAAAACAATGTAATTTTTATATTATGAAGTTTAATTTCAGGAATCACAATGATTACTTTGCTTTGTACCCATAGTTATGGCGTGTTTAAGTGGATTCAAAACTTGCTGCCAATTTTATTTTTCTTACTGTGAGTTCTCCATTTGTGGGTTAATGTGTTGATTCATTTTTAAGTTTGCTGGATAGCATGTTGAAGTAGATTTTTCAGAAAAGTGTTATGAGGTCCTGAGTATTGGAGATAATCTTTTATTTTCCTTCTTTTGTCAATGATAATCTAGTAAATAAATTTTGATTCACATCATTTACCCCTCAATGCTCTGGAGACATTAACTCTTTTTTTCTTTCAAAAATATTTTTAGGTGAGGCTAAATTTAACATAGATGTTCCTAGTTCTTTAATAATCAGCTAAAATATTCAAGACCCATCTGACATAGCTCTAGGAAGCCTGGAGTGTCATTGTGTTCCCTTCCTTTAGTATTTTTAAGTGTTTCAGTTTCTCGTAGTTTGATTCCAGTTGTCACTGACCACATTGTGCTACCATAGGTCACTACTCCAGCCTTCCTTGTGCATTTTCTCTTGTCATCTTTCCCTTAGTCCTCTCTCTTGCTTTGTCCATGCTAGTGTAGATTACTCCTGATGTTTTTACTGAAGTGTATACTCATGCTATTCTTCTAAATTCTCAAAGTAAGGCAAATATCTGTCTACAGTATTTAACAAAGTTTTGCTGAATGTGGGGGTTATGTGTGAAAAATTAACATGGAACATTGTACAGGGTTTAAAAGTATAGACTCTGTAGACACACTGCTTGGGTTAGAATTTCATCTCCACAATTCACTAGTTTATGGCCCTGGACAAGTTATTTAATCTTGCTTTACTTGTTTTCTCAATTTTAAAATAGGAGAAATAATAATACCATCAGGAGGATTATATGAATTATAAATAAAGTCTTACAATAGTGCCTGGCACCTAGTAATTCCTATGTGAATGTGTGTTAACTAAGTTTTTTAAAAGGTTTGAAAAAGGTGAACTCAAAATGCTTAGCAAATGTCAGTATTGCTAGAGTTCACTGGCAGCACTCAGGAGATAATAGCTAGAACACACTAAAAAAACAGTAAATAATAGTTGCTGTTGTTATTTACTTTGTGGCACTTTTCTCTACCCCTCCTAAGTCACATATAGCATGGGTCAGCTTATCTGCCAAGGATTGAAATGCTGTCAATCCTATCTCCACTACTTTAAACCTAGGTTTCCAAGTATGCTTTAGGCTCAGGAAGAAGAAGAAATGAAATGACTACACATTTCTTACCATCACCCCCACACACGAGCCACCTCGAACTCAGTGAAGATATCAGTGAAGATAATATTCTGTATTAGTATGCACACAAACTTAGAAGTTAAGATGTTAACTGACATCTCCTTTCTAAAAGAGATTCACCATAACCCAAAGGCCCACTAAACTGTTGGTCCCAAACCAAAGTGCTCGGCTTCTAATGGTGATTTCAAGAGTTCACCTCCAATAGGGGAAAGAAACTTCTGGCAACATCCAGCAATTTGTTGTCATTGCTCTCATAGGATTTTTTATTTACCTTTGAAATTCATGAACTTTATCAATTAAGTCACGTGTTAGAGTCAGCTTTTGTTTACTTTGTCTATAGGTTATCATAGCATAATTTCCCAAAGTGTCCAGTACATGGTTATTTTTCATCTTTGGTTTCTGTTGTTGGTTTTATTTTTAGATACAATTTTTATGATCTATAAGTCTTTCAGTGGGAACTTTCAAGAATAGGAAATTTAGACATATTTGTTCAAATATTCACCTTATCCAAAGCTGGAAACAATTATAAAATAATGAAAATGAGAACCCAATTTTTAAAAAAATATTAGATATAGCTAAAGATTTATTCAGAGGTAAATCTATATCTGTAAATATTTTCAAAAATTAAACAGACAAAAATTATGGAGTCAAATGTTTTACTTAATAAGTCAAGAAAAATAAAAAACCAGTATTTAAAAAAATTTTAAAAATAGAAGAAACGAATTTTAAAACAGAATTATGTCATAATTATGAAGAAGATTTTAAAACAGAAATACAGTCAAAATGACAAGTCAATTTAGCAGCCAGAGTTTTGGAAAGCAAAAATAAAAGACAGTGAGAAAAAAACAGACAGTTTTTCTTCCAAATCCAATTTAAGAGAAAGAAAACATACAAAAATTATAATAGGAAAGGCTATATAAAACAGGTGATAAGGTCATCAAAATTATAGAAATAATTATATACAATTTTATGGTAATCAAGTTGAAAATTTCAAACAGATGATTTGGAGGAAAGTAAATTATTAAGTCTAAGATAAAAAATTGAATAGCAAGAAATCAGAGAAGAAATGGTAAACATATTTTCTTATAGCATATACCAAGGATGAGTCCACATCAATTAAATACCTAAACATGAAATGTAAAGCAATCAGATTAATAGAAGATAAAAGGGGAGAATTTTATTTCCACATATAAGTGGGAAAGGAGTTATTAAATAGAATTCAAAAGAAACTATTTTTTTTTTTGAGATGGAGTTTTGCATTTGTTGCCCAGGCTGGAGTGCAATGGCGTGATCTCGGCTTACTGCAACCTCTGCCTCCTGGGTTCAAGCATTTCTCCTGCCTGAGCCTCCTGAGTAGCTGGGACTACAGGCATGCAGCACCACGCCCAGCTAATTTTGTATTTTTAGTAGAGATGGTGTTTCTCCATGTTGGTCAGGCTGGTCTTGAACTCCTGACCTCAGGTGATCCACCTGTCTTGGCCTCCCAAAGTGCTGGGTTTACAGGTGTGAGCAACCACGCCCAGCCCAAAATTATCTTTTAAGGAGCAATAGGTAGACTGATAGCAAACTTCCCAGTAGCAAAAGCAGATGTCTGAAGGTAATGTAAGAATGTCTTCAAAGGATACAGTCAGATAAAGTATATCTGTCAGATAAAGTGTTATTCAAGAGGGAGAAAAGACTGATCTCTTTCAAAAACTAGAAAGTTTATCACTCACAGACATTTATTGAAGGAATTGTTCAATGTACTTTTAAGGGTAGCCAACTATTTGGGGATAAAATGAATAAGAAAACTTAGTTGATTCAGTAAATGTAGAAACGGGAAATTTGGTAAATTGAAAATAAGGTAATGTGGTAGAAACAAATACAAACATATCTGTAACAAAAAATAATACAACTGGAGCAAACTCACCATTTAAAAGAAAATTTCTTAGGTTTAAGACAAAACGAAATAATACAATACAATATCAAGGTAGCTGATATTTCTAAGAGGCCCATTCAGATTACAATAACCTAAATAAATGATTAAATATAACATGTTCTAGATGGGATTTTAAAATCCTTCCAGTATGTTATTGCCTTTATTTTATCTTTAAATTTAACACAATTTGATAAATAAAAATCCGATTCAGAAATTTACCTAGAAGTGGAAAGGCCCCCAAACTGGTAAAACAACTCTAGAGAAACACCATTGAAAACAATAAAAATGTATAAATGAATTAAGTCTCTAAAACAAAATGCTGAGCTGAGAAGAAACATGCTATAGAAAAGAAAGAGTATAATATAATTTAGATAAATTTTTGAAACACAAAGTAGTATACATATTTTATCTACCTATGCATATTTAGTAATTAATAATTAAGTACATGGACTGGAGAAATACACAGCAAATTCATACTTGTCTTCGAGGAAAGAGAAGAGAAAAGTGCTTAGTTGAAGATCAAATGAATTTCAATTTTATTTATTTATTTAATTTATTTAACATTTTTACTTTTAATTTTTGTGGGCACATAGTAGGTGTATATCTTTATGGGGTATATGAGATATTTTGATACAGGCATAGCAACGTGTGACAATCACATTAGAGCAAATGGAACATTCATCACCTCAAGCAGTTATTTTTTGTTTCCGTTACCAACAATCCAATTATACTCTTTTAGTTATTTCAAAATTTACAATAAATTATTGTTGACTATAATCATTCTGTTGTATTAAATGCTAGATCTTATTTATTCTATCTAAGTATATTTTTGTACCCATTAACCATTTCCACCCCATTACCCTTCCCAGCCTCTGGTAACCATTATCCTGCTCTCTATCTCCATGAGTTCAATTGTTTTAATTTTTAGCTGTCACAAATAAGTGAGATCATGTGAAGTTTGTCTTTCTCTGCCTGGGTTATTTCACTTAACATAATGACCTCCAATTCCATCTATGTTTTTGCTTATGACAGGATTTCATGCTTTTTTATGGCAAAAGATAAAATCCATTCCTCTTTTGATGGATGCTTAGGTTTGCTTCCAAATCTTAGGTCTTGTGAATAGTGCTGCAATAAATATTGGAGTGCAGATATGTCTATGATATACCGATTTCCTTTCTTTTGGGTATATACCTAGCAGTAGGATTGCTGGATTGTATGGTTTTATTTTAAAAGATTAACTAGCAAAATAAAACATTAATTTTTAAAAAAACTGCAACAAATATGACAAATGTTATTATATGTTATTCTAGATGATGTGTATGTGGGTTTTGAAATATTACTCTTGATCTTTCATTAACATTTTACTAATTAAAATGGAATACATGGGAGAATAAACAAAACACTGCTAATACTGTTGCAGAAGGATAATTTCACAGATATCTCTCAATCGTGACCGATCAAGCTGGCAAAAATAACTGAAATGTAAATATTTTGAATATACTATGAATAAAGCTATCTGTATATATAATATTCATAAAATACTTATAAAAATTGATCATATAAACCACAAAGTGCGTGTAAATTTATTTCCAAAGGCAAAAATTATAAATGTCACAGTCCCTCACATCAATGAAATCAAATAGTAATTAAATATGAAGAGTTAAACTCAACAGTTCAAAAGAACATCAACAGAAAGAACTCTTTCAATTAAAAATACTCAATTTTGTATCAATGAGGAAATCCAAATTACATTAATAGGTTATTAAATATAGATGAAAGCACAAGAATTGCTATAGATATTTCAGGAAATCCCACAGCATGATAGAGAAAACCAAGAGAATAAAATAGAAAAACTCTCTCTAGAGAAAACAGAAATAAATTAGAGAAAAAAAGAGAACTTCAGAAAGAAAACACCAATTAGTATCTTGAGGGAAATTTCAGCCTGTATTGCATGCAAAAACTAGTACTCTCTTCTATGGAAAAGAAAATCTTAGATAACAAGATGAAACTCTTGGAAATTAAATATATGTTTGCCACATTTAAAAAACAATGTAAGATTGCAAAATAAAGTTAAATAACTTATACGCGATGTAAAATAAAAATACAACCATAAAAAATATGTTTAAAAGGTGAAGAGATATAGAGGGTGAATTCTAGGATCCCAGTGTTCAATTACTAGACCATCCAAAAGAGAGTCAGAGAGGAACTGGTAAGAGAGTCATTAAATTATAAATTCAAATGTTACAATTACAAAATTATGATATCCTACAACTTAAGGGAAAATATTCATCTAGTGTTGGACAAGATGAATTAATAAAAGACTCAAACCTAGATATATACATGTGAAGTATTAGAAAATCAAGTAGAAAGAGAAGTTCCTAAAACTTCCAAAGCAAACAAAAAATAATCTACAAAGGAATGAGTATTCAACTGAAATCATGCTTCTCAGAAATGCTGGCTGTTATGAGACAATGGAGTAAATGCCTTCAAGTATCTGAGGAAAAGTGATTTTCAGCCTAAATTTCTTTTTCTAGTCACATTACCAATCAAGTGTGAGGACAAGGTACATCTAAAAATATGTAAGGACTCAGATTGTGTTTCTTGGGATTTTTTTTGAGGATGTATTCTGTTGAAATAAGGGAGTGAACTAAAGCAGGAGGCCAAAGATCAATGAGGGGGAGTGCAGTTTTATATGTGACTTAGAAGACAGTCCACACTGGAGAGTTGGGAGGACAAAGGGCTACAAGAACAACAACAAAACAACTTAGAATGTGATGGAACACGTATTGTGATGGAGATCTTGGAAATATCTTATGCAATTAAAGCATGGAGATGAATGCTATCAGAGATTCCATGAAAGCAAAACAAAACTATACAAGAAAGTCATGATAAAGAGAGGCAGCCATCTAAATTGAGGCATGACTGGGCTCGTTCAGTAAACAAGAGGAATAAATTTCAACTTGGTCTAGGAATATTCCCCTTTAAGTGGCACACGCTGACACTGAAACTGTTAAAAACAACTGAAAAATGTGCCTAGTCATTAGAATGTAATAATCATTTGTTGGTTTTCAACTTTAGGATTTTATAGTTTGTAGGCAAACCATGGATGAGCTAAGACTACAGAAGAAAATGAAAATGTTATTAAAAATGACAATGTAAAAAGCTATGGAAAAGCCAACATCAGCTGGGATTTGGAAGAGCAAGAGAAGATGGGTAATAATGTTATCATCATACACAGAGAATGATTAAAAGCTGTGCCTATTGTTATTGGGAAAAGAAGTACTGATTTAAGAATGTTGCTGTAAATGGAAATTAAAAATAATGGTACACTCTGGCAAGAAAAGAGGGAGAGGAAAGGTGTGATAGGAATATGTTAAATCCTTATTTATCAAAACAAAATTAATAGATGATATCCAAATCATGTGACTCTTGATATAGAAGTTTAGTGATCTTATTTAGAGATAAGTAGAGCATCAATAGAGGCATTAAAACAAAACTTATTAATACTGTTATTAAAAGTTAGAAGCATTTGAGTGAAGGTGGGTAATGCATCAGCTGGTTAATTTTCTTCATAAGTCTTTCAGAACTCTGTTTAACCATGTGCATGTTACTTCGAAAAAATCTGCAATTCAAAGGTTATGTAAAATAAAATGACAGTGAGGAAACTACACAAGAAGACACTGGATATAGAATGTGATCCAAAATGAATTCAGAGATAAATTCATAGTCTCAAAGACAATTATAAGATAAAAAAGAATTAAAATAAATGAAACAAGCATTCAATGCAAGTTAGGAAAACATGGCTAAAGAGATCAGAAAGAAGCTAACAGTAAGGATACAATAGAAAATTATAAATTATAAAAAATAATAATGTAGTATATCTGACACTATTTTTAATGCTTTACATGCTTTAACTCCTTTAAATCTCATAACAAACTATGAGGGAGTTGCTGTTACCATCATTACTTTCAGATAAAGAAATTAAGGTTCAGATACATAACTTGCCCAGAGCAAGAATTCCAACCAGTGGTATGCTAGTAAATGCTTGGCAATATTTGACAAATGGCTCTCCTCCCACTTTCTGTACTTCCCATCCCACGAATCCCTTATTTATAGTGTTTGCAAGTACTCCCATCATAGTCAACTTCAAGCTACCAACAAATTGACACGATGAGTGGAGTTGGGAGGAGATGCACACAATTTGCTCACATGAGCCTATTCAAGTGGCCTCTAGCATACTGGATTCAAACCCAGGCAATCTGGCTCTGGAGGATCAAAGCCAAAACCAACACTGATGGCATTCTAAGGATATTTCAGTTAATATGAGTTCTAAGAGAGAGAGATCATCTGTTACTCTTAGATTGCCAACATTATTATTATACTACATTATTAACTAATGCAACGAAACAAGTAAATTATGACATAGTTACTGGAGTGATAAAAGTGGCATTTAATTCCAGTCAAATAAAGTATGGATTTAGTAAGTGGCTTTGAACAATTGGGCATTTATTAAGAAGGTAATCAGATTAAGCCCTACCTTATACTATATGAAAATAAATTCCGTCCGGTGCTGTGGCTCATGCCTATAATCCCAGCACTTTGGGAAGCTGAGGAGGGTGGATCACCTGAGGTCGGGAGTTCAAGACCAGCCTGAACAACACGGAGAAACCCTGTTTCTACTAAAAATACAAAAAAATTAGACAGGTATGGTGGCGCATGCCTGTAATCCCAGCTACTTGGGAGGCTGAGGCAAGAGAATCGCTTGAACTTGAAAGGTGGAACTTGTGGTGAGCCAAGATTGCACTCCATCCTGGGCAACAAGAGTGAAACTCCATCTCAAAAATAAACAAATAAATAAATAAAAAATAAATTCCAGAAGAATTAAATGTCTAAATATTATAAACTCTGAAAATATGAGAGTACTTTTGTAGCTTTGATGTAGACTTTTCTCAGTAAGCCACAAAGTAAAAGATTAACATATGTATGAGTATGTGATAAATAAATCTGAAAATATGCATAATCAGTAATAAATTAGCAGCAAATGTGATTATTTCTGGGGCTAGGACTGGATGAGGGATATATAAATACAGATATAGATATAGCTATGAAATCTTGGTGATATTTTATATTGTGCTTTGGGTATTTTTCAAAGAAAATATAGTTTAAAAATAAAGGAATACGGCCTGACCTACAATTTTAGACTAAGTGTATTACTTTCTGGACAGTGGACATATACAAATGGAGTAAGAGGGACTAGAAAATAGGAATGGACTAAAAAGCAGAGAAAAATTAAAGGAACTCATCAAACTGCCTCTCCTGTCATTCCTTCCTGCTCAATGAAAGGCTTCAATTTTAGTTTGTGTTGTATATTGGTCATTTTAACTTTCAAGGAATAACTAATTCTCAAATTGTATGCTCAATGTAACTCACAAAAAACAAGGAAAGCTTTCTAACTCAATTTGTTTATTTATTTAACAAATATTTATTGTGTGCCTGTTTTACTAGATTCTGGGTTTATAGTGTTGAATGGGAGTTCTCATGGAGTTTAAAACCTAGAGAATCATAGTAAAATTAAGTTATTATTACATGTACAGTTATAAAATTAAAATCTGGCAAAGACAACAAACAGCAAAACAAGAAAAAACAATCCCAGAACACTGAAGGATAGACAGATTCTATCAAATATTAGTTAATTGAATTTAGTAGTGTATTAGGAGACAGTCATGCCAAAGCCAATTAGGTTTTATTCCAGACATATAAGGATGATGCAGCATTTAAAAAAATATATTGGTAATACCATCAGTGGGTAGAAAAAAATACAACATATCATCTCTATAAATGTCAAAAGATGTTTGACATTATCCAATACCTGCTTCTTCATTGAATGTTAATTTATTTAACATAGTGGGGAAGACAGGAGTGACCAAGAAATCGCAATACAGAGAGAAAAGGGATATGTTGATGGAAGTACAGGTTCTAAGTGGCCAGACATTGAGGACACTTCTCCCATCTTTGTGTATTTGGGAAGGCTTGCTGGTGGAAGAATAGGAGTTAACCAGTAAAGAAGAAAGAAAAGAATTTGGGACAGAAGAAATAATATTGAGAAAGACCACAAGTTGAGAGAAAATAGAATACAGCTACAGTGTAGAGCTAGAGTTGGCTAGTGGCTAGAGATGAGGCTCACGGGATGAACTGAGGATCATTTATAACCTTGTAAGCCATTTTAAAGAGTCTGAATTTATTTTTATTTTTATTTTTATTTTTTTTTGAGACAGAGTTTTGCTTTTGTCGCCCAGGCTAAAGTGCAATGGTGCGATCTTGGCTCACTGCAACCTCTGCCTCCAGGTTCAAGTGATTCTCATACCTCAGCCTCCCGAGTAGCTGGGATTACAGGCACGTACCACCATGCCCAGCTAATTTTTGTATTTTTAGTAGAGATGGGGTTTCACCACGTTGGCCATGATGGTCTCAATCTCCTGACCCCATGATCCGCCTGCCTCGGCCTCCCAAAGTGCTGGGACTACAGGCGTGAGCCACCGCGCCAGGCCAAGAGTTTGTACTTTATTCTAAGAGAAACAGAGAGCTGTTGAAAGACTTTGGGCAGGGGTGGGACATAGTTTTGCACTTCAGAAAGTTCATTTTAGTGGCAATGTGAGAATAAATAGGAGAGGCTCAGCACTGGTGGTAGCTAAAAGTTCATGTGACAATAGGAAGAGAGGAGATGACAGCATAGATCTAAGGCAGTAGCAGATCTAAGAGGCAGAATTAAGAGATATTTAGGAGGTAGAATTAAGAAGTCTTAATGATGACTACATATGAAGAGAGGAAGATAAAGGGAACAATCAAGAGCTCCTTGGCTGGAGGTAGGAGTCAGTAAAAATACTCAGTGACAGTGTTACCACTTTCTTTTTTTTAACTGACATATAATAATTGTACATATTTAATGGATACGTAGTGATGTTGCAATACAAATAATGTATAGTGATCAGATCATGGTAATTAGCATATCTATAGTCTCGAACATTTATCATTTCTTGGTTTTGGGAACACTCAATATCCCTTTTCCAGCTTTTTGAAACTATGTAATATATTATTGTTGACTATAGTCATCCTCGAGTAGTAGAGAACACTAGAACTCATTTACCCTATCTAGCTATAATTTTATATCCTTTAACACATCTCTCACTATCTCCCCCTTTCCCCTATCCTTCCCAGCCTCAAGTATCCTCTGTCCTACTTTTTACTTCTATGAGATCAACTTTTCTTAGCTTACACATATCAGTGAGAACATACAGTGTTTAACTTACTGTTCCTGGCTTATTTCACTAAACATAATGTCCTCCAGTTTCATCCATGGTATCATCCATGGTACCAATAATAAAATAACAACATTGTATTCTTTTTTATGGCTGAATAGTATTCCTTTGTGTACACATAACACATTTGCTTTATCAATTCATCTGTTGTCGGACAAGGTAGATTTCATATCTTGGCTATTGTGAATAGTGCTGCAATAAACATGGGAGTACAGATGTCTCTTCGATATACTGATTTATTTTCTTTTGGATAAATGCCCAGTAGTGGGATTGCTGGATCATATTATAGTTATATTTATAGTTTTTTGAGGAACCTCCATAGTGTTCTTCATAGTGGCTGTACTAGTTTACATTTCCACCAACAGTGAATAAGAGCTCCCTTTTCTATGCATCCTCACCAGTATTTGTTGACTTTTTTGGTCTTTCAAAATAATATTCATTTATAACTGGGGTGAGATGATACTTTATTGTGGTTTTGATTTGCATTTCCCTGATGACTAGTGATGTTGAGATTTTTTTCATATATATGTTGGTTACTCGTATGTGTTCTTTTGAGAAATGTCTGTTCAGATCATTTGCCCATTTTAAAAATCAGGTTGTTGGGTTGTTTTTTAGCTATCAAGATGTTCGAGTTTCTTGTGTATCCTGGATATTAATTCCTTGTCAGATGAGTAGTTTGCAAATATTTTGTCCCACTCTATAGGCTGACTTTTCACTCCTTTGATTATTTCCTTTGCTGGCAGAAGCTTTATAGTTTGACATAATCCTGTTTGTTTATTATTGCTTTTGTTGTCTGTGCTTTTGAGGCCTTATTAGTAAAATCTTTTCCCAGACCAATGTCCTGAAGGATCTCCTTATGTTTTCTTCAAGTAATTTTATAATTTCAGGTCTTACATTTAGGTCTTTTGTCCATTTTGTGTTGATTTTTGTACAGAGAGGTGGGGGTTCTAGTTTTATTCTTCTGCATATGAATACACAGTTTTCCCAGCACCAGCTATTGAAGAGACTGTCTTTCCCCAGTGCATGTTCTTGGTGCCATTGTCAAAAGTCATTTGGCTATAAATATGTGGATTAATTTCTGTTTTTTCCATTCTATCCCATTAGTCTATGTGTCTGTTTTTACACAAGTACCATGCTGTTTTGGTAATACAGCTTTGTAGTATATTTTGATGTCGGGTAGTGCGATGCCTCCAATTTTGTTCTTTTAAATCAACATCAATTTGACTATTCTAGGTCTTGTGATTCCACACAACTTTTAAGATTTTTTTTCTATTTCTGTGAAGATGTCATTGGAGTTTTTATAGGTTTTGCATGGACTGTATAGATAGCTTTGGGTAGCATGGTCATTTCAACAATATGAATTCTTCTGATTTATGAGCATGAAATGCTTTTCCATTTGTTTGTGTCCTCTTCAATTTATTTGATCAGTATTTTGTAATTTCCCTTGTAGAGAGGTCTTTCACCTCCTTGCTTAAATTTATTCTTAGGGTATTTTTTTGTAGCTATTATAAATGAAATTGCCTTTTTGATTTCTTTTTAAGCTAGTTCATTGTTTGTGTATTGAAATGCTATTGATCTTTGTATATTAATTTTCTTCCCTGCAATTTACTGAATTTGTTTATCAGTTCTAAGAGTTTATGATAAAATCTTTAGGTTTTTATAAATATAAGATCCTGTCATCTGCAAAGTGGAGAAATTTAACTTCCTCATTTCCAATTTGGATGCCCTTTATTTCTTACTCTTGTCTTAATTGCTCTGGCCAGGACCTCCAGTACTGTATTGAATAAGAGCCATGAGAGGGGGCATACTTGTCTTTTTCCTGTTCTTAGAAAAAAAGGTTTCAGCTTTTTCCCAGTTAGTATCATGTTAGCTGTGGGTTTTTTACGTATGGCCTTTATTGTGTTGATGTAGTTTCCTTTTATTCCTAATTTATTGAGAAGTTTTATCATGAAGGGGTGTTGAATTTTATCAAATGCTGTTTCTACATCTACATCTATAATCATATAGTTTTGTCCTTCATTCTATTGATGTGATGTATCATATTTATTAATTTTCATATGTTGGACCAACTTTGCATTCTTGGGATAAATTCTACTTGACCATGGTGTACTATTTTCTTGATGTATTGTTGGATTAATTTTGCTAGTATACATGCAGGTTTTTCATGTATGTTCCTCAAGGATATTGGCCTCTAGTTTTCTTCTCTTGTGTCCTTGGGTTTGGTATCAGGATTATGTTGGCCTCACAGAATGAAGCATTCCCTCTGCTTCAAATTTTTGGAAGAGTTTGAGAATAGTTTGTGTTAATTGTACTTTATAGGTTGGACAGAATTCAGTGGTAAAGCCATCCCTTTCCTGGACTTTTCTTGGTTGGGAGATTTTTAATGAATGAGTCAATCTTGTTACTTATTATTGGTCTGTTTGGGATTTTTATTTCTTCTTGGTTCAATATTGGCAGGTTGTATATGTTCAGAAATTTATTTTTTTCTCTAGGTTTTAAAATTTATTGGCATATAGTTGCTCATAGTAGTCTCTAATGATCCTCTATTTCTGTGGTATCTGTTGTGGCATCTCTTTTTTTGTTTTTGATTTTATTTATTTGGGTCTTCTTTCTCTTTTTTTAGTTAATCTAGTTCACAGCCTGTCAATTTTGTATATCTTAAAAAACAACTTTTTGTTTACTTGATCTTTTGTATTGTTTTTCTAGTCTCAATTGTGTATATTCCTGCTCTAATCTTTATTATTATTATTTTTGTGCTCATTTTGGGTTTGTTTTTGGTCTTGCTTTTCTAGTTCCTCAAGATGCACCATTAGGTTGTTTATTTCAATTTTTCTAATTATTTATTTATTTTTATAATTTCAACTTTTACTTTAGATTCAAGGGGTACATGTGCAGGTTTGTGACCTGAATAAACTGTGTGATGGTTTGGGGTATGACTGATGTTGTCACCCAGGTACTGGATATAGTAACCAATAGTTAGTTTTTCAACCCTTGCCGGCTTGCTTCTATTCCTCCTCCTTTTAGAAGTCCTCAGGGTCTACTGTTGCCATCTTTATGTCCATAAGTACCCAATGCTTAGCTCCCACTAATAAGTGAGAATGTGTGGTATTTGGTTTTCTGTTCCTGTGTCAATTTGCTTAGGATAATGACTCCCAGCTACATCCATGTTGCTGCAAAGGACATGCTTTTATTCCTTTTTATGGCTGCATACTATTGCATAGTGCATATATACCACATTTTCTTTATCCAGTCCTCCTTTGATAGATACCTAGGCTGATTCCACATCTTTGCTATTGTGAATAACACTGCAATGAACATATGGGTGCCTTTTTATAAAACAATTTATTTTATTTGGATATATACCCAGTAATAGATTCCTGGTTGAATGGTAGTTCTATTTTAAGTTCCTTGAGAAATCTCCAAATTGCTATCCACAGTGGCTGAACTAATTTGCAGTCCTACCAACAGTATGTGAGTATTCCCTCTTCTCTGCAGCCTCTGCATCTGGTGCTTTTTGGTTTCTCACTGTGGTTCGATTTGCTTCTCTGATGATTAGTGAGATGGAGCATTTTTTCATATGTTTATTGGCCACTTGTATGTCTTCTTTTGAGAAGTGTCTGTTCAAGTCTTTTGCCCATTTTTTAATGGGTAGTTATTTATTTTTTGCCTGTTCAATTGTTCAAGTTCCTTATAGAGTCTGGATATTAAATCTTTGTTGGATTTTGCGAATATTTTCTTCCATTCTGTAGGTTGTCTGTTTACTCCCCCCCCTTTTTTTTTTTTTAAGAGATGAGGACTCCCTATGTTGCCTTGAGTTGTCTTGAACTCCTGGGCTCAAGCCATACTCCTGCCTTGGCCTCCCAAAGTGCTGGGATTACAGGAGTGAGCCACCAAGCTCAGCCTGATAGTTTCTTTTGCTGTGCAGAAGCTCTTTAATTTAACTGGGTCCCATTTGTCAATTTTCGTTTTTGTTGCAATTACTTTTGAGGACCTAGGCCAAAATTCTTCCCAAGGCCAATGTCCAGAAAAGCATTTCATAGTTTTTCTTCTAGGATTCTTATAGTTTGAGGTCTTATATTTAAGTCTTTAATCCATCTTCAGTTAATTTTTGTATATGGTGAAAGATAGGGATCCAATTTAATTCTTTTCCATATGGCTGGCCAGCTAGTCCAGCAGCATTTATTGAGTAGGAAATCCATTCCCTATTGCTTATTTTTGTCAACTTTGTCAAAGATCAGATGGCCATAGGTGTGCAGCTTTATTTTGGGTTCTCTATTCTGTTCCATTAGTCAATGTATCTAGTTTTGTACCAGTACCCTGCTATTTTAGTAACTGTAGTTTTGTAGAATAGTTTGAGGTTAGTTAATGTGATGCCTCTAGCTTTGTTCTTTTTGCCTTGGATTGCTTTGGCTACTCAGGCTTTTTCTGGGTTCCATATAAATTTTAGAAGTTTTTTTCTAGTTTTTTGAATAATGATATTGATAGCTTGAAAGGAATAGCCTTGAATCTGTAAATTTTTTTGGTCAATATGGCCATTTTAACAATATTGATTCTTTTATTCCATGAGCATGGAATGCTTTTTCATTTCTTTGTGCCATCTATGATATTGTTCAGTAATGTTTTGTAGTTCTCCCTGTAGAGATCTTTCACCTTCTTGGTTAGAGGTATTTCTAGTTTGCTTGTTTGCAGATATCATAAATGTGATTGTGTTATTGATTTGGCTCTCAGGACATTATTGGTATATATTAATGCTACCGATTTTTGCACATGGATTTTGTATCCTGAAACCTTACTGAAGTTGTTTTTCAGTTCCAGGAGCCTTTTGGCAGAGTCTTTATAGTTACCTAGGTATAGAATCATATTGTCCATGAAGAGACAGAGTTTGGCTTTTTTTCCTATTTGGATGCTTTTATTTCTTTGGCTTGCCTGACTGCTCCATCAAGGACTTCCAGCCCTACATTGAATAGGAGTGTGAGAGCGAGTAATCACTGTCTCCCTTCCAAGTACTAACCAGGCCCGACCCTGCTTAGCTTCCGAGATCAGACGAGATCGGGCGCGTTCAGGGTGGTATGGCCGTAGACAGCAATCACTGTCTAATTCCATTTCTCAAGGAGAGTGCTTCCAATTTTTGCCTGTTTGGTATAATGTTGGCAGTGGGTTTGTAATAGATGGCTCTTTTGTTTTTTAGGTATGTTCCTTCAATGCCTAGTTTGTTAAACGTTTTTACTATGAAGAGATGAGATATTGGATGCTATCAAAAGCTTTTTCTGCATCTATTGAAATGATTGTATGGTTTTTGTTTTTAATCCTGTTTATGTGGTTGGTGAATCACATCTATTGATTTGTATATGTTGAACCAACCTTGCATCTCAGAAATGAAGCCTACTTGATCATGGTGAATTAAGTTTTTGATGTGCTGTTGGGTTTGGTTTGCTATTATTTTTTGAGGATTTTTGCATCTATATTCATTGGGGATATTGGTCTGAAGTTTTCTTTTTTTGTTGTGTCTTTGTGATATTTTGGTATCAGGGTAATGCTGGCTTTGTACAATGAGTTAGGGAGGAGTCCCTCCATTTTTGATTTTTTGAAATACTGTTAGTAGGATTGGTACCAGCTTTTCTTTGTACATCTGGTAGAATTCAGCTATGAATCCATCTAATCTGAGCTTTTTTTTGGTAAGTTTTTTATTTCTGATTCAATTTTGGAACTTGATATTGGTCTGGTCAGGGTTTTAATTTCTTCATGATTCAATTTTGGGAGATTGTGTTTCTAGGAATTCATCCATTTCCTCTAGATTTTCTAGTTTGTGTGCATAGAAGTGTTCATAATCATCTCTGAGTATCTTTTGTGTTTCTGTGGGGTCAGTTGTAATGTCACCTTTGTCATTTCTGAGTGTGCTTATTTGCATTGTCTCTCTCTCTTTCTGTCTCTCTCTGTTAATCTAGCTAGTGGTTTATTGATCTTGTTTATTCTTTTAAAGAACCAATTTTTTGTTTTGTTGATTCTTTGCATGTTCTTGTTTTTCTAGTTCCTCCAGGTGTGACATGAGATCATTAATTTGAGAACTTCCTAACTTTTTGAGGTAGGTATTTAGTATTATAAACTTTCCTCTTAACACTACTTTTGCTGCATCCCAGAGACTTTGGTACGTCTCTGTTTTCATTTATTTCAAGTAATTTTTAAATTTATGCCTTAATTTTATTGTTTACTAAAATCATTCAGGAGCAAATTGTTTAATTTCCATGTAATTGTGTGGTTTTGAGAGATCTTGTGTTGATTTCTATTTTTATTCCACTGTGGTCTGAGAGAGTGGTTGGTATAACTCAGGTTTTAAAAAATGTATTGCAGTTTGCTTTGTGGTCGAACGGTTGATCAATCTTGAAGTATGTTCTATGTGCCAATGAGAAGAACGTATATTCTGAGGTTGATGACTGGAATATTCTGTAGGTATCTGTTAGGTTCAATTGGTCAAGTGTTGAATTTAAGTCTGTAATTTCTTTGGTAGTTTTCTGCCTTTATGATCTGTTTAATAATGTCAGTGGGGTATTGAATTTCCCCACTATTATTGTGTGGCTATCTACATTTTTTTCACAGGTCTAAGAGTACTTGTTTTATGAATTTGGGTGCTCCAATGTTGGATGTGTATATATTTAGAACAGTTAAGTCTTCCTCTGAATTGAATCCTTTGTTCTTATGTAATGTGCTTACGTGCTTGCTTTATTTATTTATTTATTTTACTGTTGTTTAAAGTGTATTTTATCTGGTAAAGGGATAGCAGTCCCAGCTCTTTTTTGTGTTCCATTTTCATGATAGATTTTTCTCCAGTCCTTTACTTTGAGCCTATGGGTGTCACTACATGTGAGATGGACAGATGGACTTTTTTTTTTAATCAAACTTGCCACTTTGTCCCTTTCAAGTGGGCTGTTTAGACATTCAAGGTTAATTACATTCAAGGTTAATATTGATATGTTAGGTTTTGACCATTTCATGGAGTTGTTAGCGAGTTGCTTTAGAGTTTTTATCACGTGATTGCTTTACAGGGTGTGTGGGCAATGTATTTAAGAGTGTTTTTGTGGTAGCAGGTATTATTTTTTGGTTTCCATGTTTAGAACTCTCCCAAGGATCTCTTATATGGTTGGTCTAGTGGTAATAAATTTCCTTAGCACTTGGCTTGTCTGAAAAATATTTTATTTTTCCTTTGCTTATGAAGCTTAGTTTGGTGGGATATGAAATTCTTGGTTGGATTTTTTTTTCTTTAAGAATGCTGAAAATAGGCCCCCAATCTCTCCTGGCGTATGAAGTTTCTGCTGAAAAGACTGCTGTTAGCCTGAATGGGTTCCCTTTGTACATGATCTGACCATTTTCTCTTACTGCCTTTAAGATTTTTTTTCTTTAGTGCTGACCTTGGATAGTCTGATGACTGTATGCCTAGATGATGTTTGTTTTCTATAGTATCTTGCAGGTGTCCTCTGGATTTCTTGTATCTAGATGTCTGTCTCTCCAATAAGATTAGGACATTTTGTTGAATTATGTCATCAAATATGTTTTCCAGGTTGCTTGATTTTTCTCTAGCTCCTTCAGGAATGCCAATAATTCACAGGTTTAGTCAATTTACATAATCTCTTATTTCTCAAAGACTTTGTTCATTTTTAAAAAATTTTTTGTTTTTGACTGTATTAGTTCAAAAGACCAATCCTCAAGCTCTGAAATTCTTTCTTCTACTTAGTGCAGTCTATTGTATTTTGAAATTCATTAAGTGAGTTTTGTAATTCCAGGAGCTCTGATTTTTTAACATGTTTATCTCTTCCTTCATTTCCTGGATTGCTTTAGAAGTTTCTATGTTTTTATTTTTAACCTGGTCTTGGATCTTACTGAGTTTCCTTGCAATCCATGCTCTGAACTCTTTATCTGCCATTTCTGAGTTTCTTTTTTAGGGACCACTGCTAGAAAGTTAGGATGTCCCTTTGGTGGTGTCACTACATCCAGATTTTCCAAGGTGCCAGAATTCTTGAGCTGGCCCTTTCTCATCTGGGTAGGCTGGCACTTTTAATCTTTGTAATTATTTTTGTGTGCGTAGGATTGTTTCTTTTACTTTCTTTCCCTATAATGTTATTGCTCTCTTGTTCTTTCCCTTTCCCTTATCCGTTCTCCTTAGATAGTGTGACTATAGAAAATGCTGGGTGGGGTCTTTTGGTTTTGCTTCTGTAATTCTAGGCACTTCTGTTGGCAGGCTTTATATTGTGCTGTGCTGTTTGATGGTTAAGAGCTGGCTATGGCCAATGCAGCTGGGTATATACTTGATCCTTGTTTGCTGGGAGAAGTTCTCTGTTGCCTGAGGCAATGGGCTGATTTATCAAGTGCACAGTGGCTTGAGCTCTCACTTCAGCCCAGGAAGGCAGGGGTTAGATGGGCAGTGCCAGACTGGGCACATCTGCCTACAGGTTTCCTGATAGTCACTGCCAGCACTAAGGGAAAATCCAGTTGGCAGTCACCAAGTGGCCAGTGATGTGCCTAGGTGTGGAGCTGGAAAACTTCTTCAATCCCAAGTTATCTGCATGGGGATAGGAGGCAGCTTAAACTCCTAATCCAGGAGAATGGGTGTTCTAGATGCCTGGAGATCTGCCTGGGTGTGGAGTGGAAAGGGCCTTCCTGCACTGAAAACTTTGCATATGAATGGTGGGGCAACAGAACCAAGCACTCAAGGCTGCTGAACCAAGGAGAGGTGCCTGACCATGAAGTAGAGACTCTCTGGACCCAGATCTCTGCACAGGAAGGGTGGGATGGCTCAAGCTGCCAATTTGGGTGAGCAGGTGCTATGATTTCCTGGAGATGTGCCTGGGCTTGGAGCAAAGAGAGGCCCCCTGCACCAAGATCTCTGCACAGAAGGGGTGGGGTGACTCAGGCTGCTAAACCAGGAAAGCAGGTGCTTTGAATGACTAGAGATCTGCCTGGGTATGAAGCAGAGAGGGACCTCCTCCTGCACAGGAAGAGTGGGGCAACTCAGGCTGCTGGTCCATGCTAGCAGGTGCTCCAAATGCCTAGAGATCTGCCTATGTTTGGGGTAGAGAGTGCCCCCATTCTACCACAGTCTATGCACAGGAAGGGTGGGGTGGCTCAGGCTGCTGATCCAGCAAGTGAGTGCTCTGAATTCCCGAATTTCTTCCTGGAGATGCAGCAGAGAGGTCCTTGCTGTGCCATAATCTTGGAGGAGCAGGCTGGGGCACTTAAAAATGAAACACACAGACTGGCTCCAGGTCACCACTCTGGCCCTGGCTGCAAGTCTTGTTGCCCAGGAGAAACTGCAGCTGCTGCAGCATCCCTCCCACCCTAGGCTTATAACAGAGGAGAACACAATTCTAGCACCTGCTGAAGTGCTTTCCACAGTTCTGGCTGTGGAGGCCCCAATCCCACTCCAGAGGAGACGTTCCAGTCTCTGGCCCAAGATAAAATGCCTCCCTGGCCATGCTATCAGGTGTCCAAAGAATGGTTGACTTCATATGTGCCTTGATTAAAGATGGTATCCTGCATTCATTTCTGTGTTTGGGAAAGTGCCTGCAGCTTTTCCTGGTTTATTTCCCTTACAGTGTCTCCAACCCTTTCCCCAAGTTAGCTCTAGAGCTTGGGAAAAACACAATGCTCTGCCTTGGCCTGGGTTGCTCAGATCTCCAGTGGAAAGTTGGCTCACAGAGGCTCTCTGCCTCTCTTGTATACTGGGAGTTCACACACTCTTATTAGCCAGATGCTGTCATGGAGGCTGTTTGTCTGTTCTCTTCTCTCTAGGATTTGGGTTATCCTTCATGATTCTGGTGGACTCTTCTTTTCCTTCTTGAATTAAAGCTCACTGAGTTGATCTTTATGCACCATTTTGCTATTTCCGAATGGCTGAGGCATGCTAAACACCTCTGATTTACCATCTTGGAAAACCAAACACAAAGCAAAACAAAACCTTTTTCTAGTTTTTGATTTAGCCATTTCTTGCTATAAACTTGTCTTCTGTTACTGCTTTTGTTGTGTCTCATAGGTTGTGGTATGTTGTGTTTCTAGTTTTATTTCAGAAATTTTAAAATTTAATTTTTAATTTTTTTCTTTACCCTTTTGTCATTCAGGAGCATACTGTTTAATTTCCTTGTATTTGTGTAGTTTCAAATGTTCCTCTTGTTATTGATGTCTAGTTTTATTCTACTGTGGTCAGATAAGATACTTGATAAGATTTCTATTATTTAAACTTTTTTGAGACTTGTTTTGTGTTCTAACATATGGTCAATCCTGGAGAATATTCCAGGTTCTTATGAAAAGAATGTGTAATCTGCAGCTGTTGGCTGAAATGTTCTGTGTCTGTTAGATCTATTTAGTCTATGGTGCAGTTTAAGACTTAAGACTTTCAGAGACACATGCACGTGTAAGTTTACTGAAGCACTGTTCACAATAGCAAAGACTTGGAACCAACCCAAATGTCCATCAATGATAGACTGGATTAAGAAAATGTGGCACATATACACCATGGAATACTATGCAGCCATAAAAAAGGATGAGTTCATGTCCTTTGTAGGGACATGGATGAAGCTGGAAATGATCATTCTGAGCAAACTATCACAAGGACAGAAAACCAAACACCGAATGTTCTCACTTATAGGTGGGAATTGAACAATGAGAACACACAGACAACACAGGGTGGGGCACATTACACACCAGGGCCTGTCATGGGGTGGGAGAGTGGGGAGGGATAGCATTAGGAGATATACCTAATGTAAATGATGAGTTAATGGGTGCAGCACACCAACATGGCACATGTATATATATGTAACAAACCTGCATGTTGTGCACATGTACCCTGGAACTTAAAGTATAATAATAATAATAAAAGATTTTAAGACTTTTTAAGTTTATTTATTTATTTATTTATTTATTTATTATTTGGTCTGCCTGTATTGTTTCAAAAGACCTGTCTTAAAGTTCAAAGTTATTTCTTTTGCTTGGTCTAGTCTATTATTGAAGATCCTCATTGTATGTTTTTTTTCATTCATTGAGTTCTTTAGCTGTAGGATTTCTGTTGTTTTTGTTTTTAAGTAATATCTGTCTGTTTGTTTAATTTCTCATTGAGATAATAAATTGTTTTTCTGATTTCATTGAATTGTCTGTTTGGATTCTTTCCTATGATTATTATTTTGGTTTTTTTTTGCATTTTGTATATTTCCTTATAACTGTGGTTTACTAGTGGAGAATTATTGTTTTCCTCTGGAGGTGTCATGCTTCCTTGCTTCTTTGTGTTTGATGTGCTTCCGCAATGATTTCTACGCATCTGGTGTAAGAGTCACCTCTTCCAATTTTATGGAGTAAATTTTGTATGGAAAGACTTATTTATTTAGATGGGTCTTGGGGGTTGATTCAGTGGGGTGCATTGGCTTTCATTCTAGATGGATGTGGTAGTATAATCTACATGTAGTTTTTTTCAGCTGTAATCCATGCTAGTGATGTTTGTGAGTGTCCTTATGACCTAAGCTGAGAGAGTTTGTGGCAGTGGTTCTGTAGCTTTGACAAGGTTGGGCTTGCTGGTCTATTTCTAAGGTCATGGACATGTGTTTGCACATAATGGTCAGCCAATTTGGGGTCTGGCTTGCTGTGGTTGGGGCCATAGGGCAGTTACTCTGGTTGGGGGAATGGATGCCTGGTTGCTTGGCCAGCCTGGGAACATGCCTAACAGAGGAGGCCTATGGGGCTTTCTTATCAGGCCCAGGACATGGGTGTCCAGGTGCTCAGTTGCTTAGATGTGTGTGCACCAGGAAAAGCCCACAGGGCTGTTTCTCAGGCTCAGGACACATACACTCAGCTGCTTGGTCAGCCTGAGGGTGTGTATTCCAGGGAAGCCTATGGGGCTGTTTCTTGGGGCCTTTGGACAAGCCAGAGGTTTGTCCATGGGGGTGGAGTGGGTACTGTGTGGCTGTGTCTCATGCCCTGGGCATGCAAATATAGCTCCTGTGCCAGCCTGGGGGTGCATCAGCTGCTTGGTGGCTCAATACCTCTCCTTCTTGGGGGAGGGCATGCAGTGATTGGGCTGGTTCAAGGGTAGGTCCGCCATGAGCAGGGCTGCCAGACTGTTCCTTCAGCTAGAAGTAGTGTGGCAGGGATTAGTTTTCCTGCTCTGTAGGGTCAGAGTCACAACCAATCTTGTGCCTAGGCTCTGCATAGATGGATTGTGATGTTCAGCCACCCATGGGGGCTTGGTTGCATGAAGATGGAGCCCTACTGCTGGAAAGGTGCAGTGGATACTGGCTCCCAGGGGAAGGTTCACTCCAGAGGTGGTTGTGATCTAAGATTGTGCTAGCTGTAACAGCTTGGCCACAGGTGCTGGATGGGATCTGGATGAGTGCACACTTTGTGCTCTTAATCAACGGCAATACAGCTGTGTGAATTCCTGGCAACTCTCTTAACTGGCCTCAGGGATTGTGAGGACTGTGGGATTCTTCCATTGTAAGGGCTGTAGGTGTTTGTGGCCACAATGGGGGATGATGGGGATCATCTGCTTACTTTCTCGCTGCATGGGGAGTCTCTCCTGTCTCTAGAATGATCTGGTTCAGGCCAGGAAGATGGGGTTGCAGAACTATGTGCCTCCATGCTGCCCACCTAGATTTCCAATCGCTACAGATGTGTCTCCATTCACCTCCCCCAGTGCTCCAATGCTCTTTTCAACAGTGCAGTCAAATCTTAGCTGTTTATCCATTGTCTTGGTTCTCGTTTGGGAGGCAAGTGTCAGGTGTCTCTAGTCAGTCTTCTTGCTGATGTCACTCCCATCACTTTCTTAAAGAGATAAAAGTTATTGATTTGAAACTGACAAGCACATTTATTCTAAATAATAAATCATTAAAGACTTTCCTATGCAAATCTGTAACAAGATGATGTCCATTGTTACCACCATTACTTCATGCTCTTTTTCAAGTGGTAGGAAGTGTAATAATGCAGTGAAAAAATGAATAAAAATAATTCTTGGAAGCCATACAACTATTATCATTATTTGCAAATGATATGACTATGTACCTAGAAAACCTAAGTGGCTCAAGAGGAAACCAACTAGAAGAAATTAGCAACATGTAAAATTCATGTTATAAAATGAATTTTATGAAATTCAGTTTTTCATTTAATTAACAAAAACACATTAGAAAACATAATTTAAGTGTCTGACAGACACTTCTCAAAAGAAGACATTTATGCAGCCAAAAAACACATGAAAAAATGCTCACCATCACTGGCCATCAGAGAAATGCAAATCAAAACCACAGTGAGATATCATCTCACACCAGTTAGAATGGCAATCATTAAAAAGTCAGGAAACAACAGGTGCTGGAGAGGATGTGGAGAAATAGGAACACTTTTACACTGTTGGTGGGACTGTAAACTAGTTCAACCATTGTGGAAGTCAGTGTGGTGATTCCTCAGGGATCTAGAACTAGAAATACCATTTGACCCAGCCATCCCATTACTTGGTATATACCCAAAGGACTATAAATCATGCTGCTATAAAGACACATGCACACGTATGTTTATTGCGGCACTATTCACAATAGCAAAGACTTGGAACCAACCCGAATGTCCAACAATGATAGACTGGATTAAGAAAATGTGGCACATATACACCATGGAATACTATGCAGCCATAAAAAAGGATGAGTTCTTGTCCTTTGTAGGGACATGGATGAAATTGGAAATCATCATTCTCAGTAAACTATTGCAAGAACAAAAAACCAAACACTGCATATTCTCACTCATAGGTGGGAATTGAACAATGAGAACACATGGACACAGGAAGGGGAACATCACACCCTGGGGACTGTTGTGGGGTCGGGGGAGGGGGGAGGGATAGCATTGGGAGATACACCTAATGCTAGATGACGAGTTAGTGGGTGCAGCGCACCAGCATGTCACATGTATACATATGTAACTAACCTGCACATTGTGCACATGTACCCTAAAACTTAAAGTATAATAATAAAAATAAAAAATAAAAAAAATAGAGGCAGAACCACTAAAAAAAAAAGAAAACATAATTTAAAACTTTATTTTCAAAACAAAATCCAAACATGAGATACCTGTTAAATAGATATTAAATTTTTTAATATATTTAAAAATTAATCAGTATTGATTTGAATGAAGACATAAAACTTTACTAATTAGACTTGCATTAAGTTGTTGCATGTGACGATACTAATATAAAGTTTCTCTGATTTATAAATTTGATACCATTTGATTTTAAAGTTAAACTAGAAAGTGTGAGAACAGCCAAAGAAATATTGAAATTTTAAAAAGGAAGAATTATGATTAGGAATTATACTGCCAAATATAAAAATATATTTTAAAATCATGATAATTAGAAGTCTGGTACTAGTACATAATTAGATGGAACAGTAGAATAGATTAAAATGCCACAAAACATTGCCAGTTATATGCCAATTTTTATAAAATTGTTTTTGTATGAAGAATGTAGCACTTAAACCCAGGAGAAAAAGATGGGAGTGTAATTGAGGAGATGAATTTATCTTCTCTCCCTATGGAAACCCTACTAAAATATTAGTAAAAGGATTTTTAAAAGGCATAGAACTACAAGTACAAATGGATCAGGAGAGGAGACAAAAGCAAATGCGAGATGATAAATTTTTGCAAGTCAGAGAGCAAATGTAGGAATAGTTAACTCAGCACGGGGAAGAAACTATAACCTAGGTGACAATGAAATGAAGTCCATGCACAGAGGATAGTGAGATAAAGTTGAAAACAGAAGGGTTAGGGGATGCCTATGTCCTGAATCATGTGACCCCCCCAATACCTTTCCCATAACAACAGCCAGTCGTTTACCTAACTCAGGCTGAAGGCAAGAGGATTATTTTCTTGGAAAATTGAGAAGGTGCCCCAATGTCAGTTACAATTGTGTTCCCTTACCTAAAAAGCCATCTTTCTGCTCAGTGGCTCT
The DNA here is from genome assembly GCF_000001405.40 of Homo sapiens. Taxonomy (NCBI): domain Eukaryota; kingdom Metazoa; phylum Chordata; class Mammalia; order Primates; family Hominidae; genus Homo; species Homo sapiens. Next base: position 180,171,853 of record NC_000003.12, read on the forward strand.
AAAACAAAGCTTACTAATTTAAAAGCTCATCTTCCTTTCCCCTTTGCCCAGACTAGCTCCAATCAGCATTTTTGAAATCTTTCTCTTAAATATGCACAGTACACAAAGGATTACTAGAAAATTAAGAAAAATCTCCAACTCAAAATAAAGAGGCCAAAAGAAATAGAAAACAAACAAATAAAAATCCTCAGAGAGAACAAAGACCAAAAAAAGCTCACAAAAAGAAATGTCTTATAATTTGTATCCTCAGAAGGATAAATGAAGATATTGTATCCATGAAATACTAATAGGATAGTATATAAAATTTTTTAAAAGACTAAGAAAGAACTATTAGAAATTAAAAAATGAGAATGAGAAAGGCAAAAACAACAAAGGGTTGGAAGATAAAGTTAAGGAAGTATTACAAAAGGTCAAACACAGAAAACCGATAGAATAGATAAATGTATAGAAAAAATAATTTTTTAGGATCAATCCATGAGGAAAAAACTATTTAATTAATGAGTTACAGAAAAAGAGAACAGATTGTGTAGGAAGGATATATTGGAAAATGTATGGAAGAAAATGTCTCAGTACTGAAGATCTAGGTTTTTAGATTAAAAGAGCCAATTGATTACCAATAACTTCCAACTCTTCTGGTGATTAACACTAACAATAGATTCTAGTTACTGGTAGCTATCTGGTCTCTATTACTTTGGAGCACTGTCATCATCTTGGCTATTAGATAGCCCAATTCTGTGACTATCTTTTCTACCATCAGCACTGCTTGCAAAGGACAACTACAACCAAACCCTTAATGATGCTGGTGTCCCTCTCAGTGGCAGATTCCCAACGGTCTGAGTGGAGGATGTGTCCTCGTTAGAACATAGTTTATTGGTTGGATGTCAGGATTTTCATAATGTATCTATTGCAATATGCCCACTTCCTTCAGACTCTTTATTCCCATTTCTGTCAGCTTCCAGGACAACTTGGATATTTCAGTGCCACTGGACATTGGCCATTACTTTTTCTGTGTCTAATAACTACCCTCACATTGATTTTGCCGTGTTTCCTGTGGTCCTTGTCTGAGTGACAAAGCTCATGTCTCAGGAAAGTTCCTCAAAGCCAATGAACACTCCTTTTTACCAGTACATTTTGCCAGACCACTAGTGAAATATTTACCAATTGAGCTGCCATCTTGTGCCAGGTGTCATCTATGACTACCCACGACCCACTCACCAAATGGAGATGTTGTACTCTATACTCACCAGGCAGTGTGTGAGCCAGTCCCAAGGCCCTATCTGTTTTTTGGACCACTCTCAGTTCAACTTGCATGAGTTGTCTGAGAAGCGGATGCCAAGACAGGATTAGATATGCAAGATATTTGCTGGGAAATGCCTATGAGGGATAACGGAGGAATTTTGAGGATACTAGGAGAGTCATCAGACTATCATGCAAGTATGATTTCTTTAAAAATAAAGGAATGGAAGGAAGAAAGGTCTTATAGTGAAGTACAATTCTAGGACAGTTTGGCAAGGCTTATGGGAGTTGAGCCAAAGTCACCTGTCAAAGTTGTCTTCTGTCTCCCAGGATTGGGCCTGCCATATACTAAGAGCAGCCTGTGAGAAGTGTGGCCTTGCTATAAATGCGGTCCTGGATTCAGAGCTGAGAAGTTTTGGCTACCAATCAATTTTGTTTTCCATAGTAAGAGATCTCAAAGGCACTTTTTGTGGCCACAACACTGTGCAATAGTAGATGTGGGATGTGTGTGTGTGTGCGCACATGCGCACGTGTGTCTTTTGAAAAGGCATTCCATGAAGAAACAGAAGATGAGAATACCCATAAGTAAGAGAGCTGAGAATTTTCAGTAAATTAAAAGGAGAGACAAGTAGGTATTAGCCAGGATAGTGACAATGGGGATTAGAAATAGGATGAAGAGTGATCTAGTTAGAAGCAAAGAGTGTGCAAAGTCCAGAAGTAAGTGTGGTCATGACACACTCACAAAATTGCAAATGGTATAGCATGGTTGAAGCATAAACTGTAAAGAGATTTGGAGAGGTTCAGTGGTCTTGGATGAGGCTGGAGAGACAAGCAGGAACCCAGTTATGGATGGCCCTTCAAAACCCAGTAAGGAGTTTAGACTTACTTCTAAAACAGTGGTGAGTTATTCAGAGCTTTAAGAAAGGAGATTCTATGACCAAGTTTGTATTTCTGAAGGATCACTTTAGCTGTATCATGAGGGATGAATTAAAGAAGAGCAAATGAGATCCATTTAGGAGCTATTAGAGGAATCCAGGTAGGAGTTGATGATGACCTGGGAGTATAATAATGACAATAGGATTAGAGAATTGAGACTTATTCAGCAGAAATTTAGGAGAGACTTAGAATTAAAGACTCTAAGATTAACTGGATATGTGACATGCAGGAAACGGATGACTTAATCACTAATGTGGCCAATTTTTCTTGCTTGAGATCTGGGTAGAAGGTGGTATCAGTTACTCAGAGAATGTAGGAAAGAAAATTTTGGAAAAAGATAATGGGCTTTGAACAAATTGTACATCATCAGTGCATAGGTGTTTAGTATGCATTTTAACATGTGGGTCTGAGTTTGGGAGTGAAGTCTAGTCTTAAGAAATAGGAGTGGTCATTGTAGCCATGAAAGTAGATCGATTGCATAGAGAAGATATACCAATTAAGATTCAAAGAAGGCCCATAATAGAACGGCTCATTAATGCTCTCAAGATATTCTGCTATAGATTTATATTATGAATTTATGCTACCATTACCTTATTGTCAGACTTATTTTTTTTCTCCAAATTTTAACTCTTACCAAAGACCTTGCAATGAATGGTTCTGCACATAAATCTTTGTCTAAATTTCAGATGATCTTCTTAGCACAGATGCCCAGAAGTTGCATTACTGAGAATTTGCCCTACTTTGAAGTGATTTGGAAGCCTGTTGATCATTCAAAGTAGTCTTATGAAGAAACTGAGGTTGACATAGTTTGAAAAAAGAGACTGGTTGATCTGTTTGTTTATTTTTTTTTCTCCCTCTCTTTTTTGAGATGGGGTCTTGCACTGTTGCCCAGGCTGGAGTGCAGTGGTGCAATCTCCATTCATTGCAACCTCCACCTCCCGGGTTCAAGCAATTCTCCTGCCTCAGCCTCCCGAGTAGCTGGGATTATGGGCACTGGCCACCATGCCCGGCTAATTTTTTGTATTTTTAGTAGAGACGAGGTTTCACTGTGTTGGCCAGGCTGGTCTTGAACTCCTGACCTCATGATCCACCTGCCTCGGCCTCTTAAAGTGCTGTGATTACAGGCGTAAGCCACCCCACCTGGCCTGATCTGTTCTTTCTAAGGTGGAATGCAATTGGGAAACATAATCTTTCTACATCTTATTAATGAAAGTTGTGCCCTCTTAGGGTCTCTCACATGATAGACATTATAGGAGGAGTATTTGGGCCATCAAACAAAAACAAACCTCAAAGGCGTACTCACGAGGAGCTTGTGAAGATGAAACAGAGTTGTCTCCCCAATTTTTCCAGGGAAGAGAAGGGGTGGTGTTGAGCTTGAGATCAGGAATGTGGGGTACGGTTACCCAGCAAGAAATACTCCTTTGCTTTCTTCTTGGTCTTAGTCATCTTTCTCTTTCTTTTCCCTTGTACAAGTCTCGGTGACACTTTGCCTAAAGCTTCTTTGCTGTTCTCTTTGTCACTGTGTCCCTTTGAGGCATCATGGGAAGATGCATGAGCTTCAGTATCACAAAGACCAGAGGACATGACTCAGTTCTTCCACTTATTGATGGTGTTTCAATTATTTATTGCTGCAAAACAAATCACCTTATGAAACTGTGATTTGGGCAAGATTTGGCAGGGACAGCTTGTCTCCACTCTACTTAATGTCAGCTGGCAAGGCTCAAAGGCTGGAGGCTGGAGTCATCTGAAGCAGGGTTTCTCAACCTTGGTGCTATTGACATTATGGGTTGGATATTCTTTGCTGTGGTGTGCTGTGGATTGTAGCATACTTAGCAGCATCCTGGCCTCTACCCACGAGATGCCATTAGTACTCCCCCTCTAGTTGTAACAACCAAAAATGTTTTCAGAAATTGTCAAATGTACTCTCTGGAGGTGGGGGGATAGCACAAAATTGGCTATGGTTGAGAACTGATCTGAAGGCTTGTTCCCTCAAATATGAGGTAATTGATGCTGACTGTTGATTGGGACCTTAGAGACAAATGTGCAGTCCGGAACAATTACACATGGTCTCTCTCCAGTGATTCCCTTTCTCTCAACATGATGGCTAAATTCCAAAGGTAGATGTGGGCAGGGAAAGCAATACTGCTTTTTATGAAATAGCCCTGGTTGCAGCTTCACTTCTGACACATATTCTGTTAAAGCAGCCACAAAGGGCATTTCCAGTTTCGAGGGGAGGAGAGACAGACTGCATCTTTAGGTAGAGTGCTAATAAGGTTCTGAAGAGCGTGTGGGACCCAGAATATTGCTGTGGCCATTTTTGAAAAATACAATCTACCACAGATGGGAAGAAGTGGCCTCTTCATCTATTAGTAAACAGAAGTATTTACTAATCTGTAAAATAGATGAACAATAATCTTATTTTGTAGGCTTGTTTGGAGAATTAAGTGATGAACTTTTTTTAAGTAGCAACCACAAAATCTTAACCTGTAAATGATTTACATGTAATTGTTAAATATGCACTTATGAGTCTTATACTCCTTCTAATTCTATAAGTAATGTTTCACTGGTTAACTTAAAGAATTTCTTGTTAACATCCCTGAAGTTTTCTCCAGAGGGTTCAAGAAAGAACTGGGATATTGTGTTGGGAGAGTGGCTTGAGGCCCAGAACAAGAGAATGTATGGTGGCTATGTAGCCGTATATGTACCTGAAGTGGATCTGGTGTGCAGAAAACTGTCATGGAGTGGGGGTGTGTGTAAGAGGAGAGCCTTTGGAGAGTTGATGCAAGTGGGGCTAGGTTCAAAAAGTGCTTTCTGCCATAAGCTAATGGGACACGAAATATCAGGCTCAGTATTGTACACAGTTGCCCTTATCCAGACTAGTGTGTAGCCACAAAATTTTCCCTTGTAACACTTCCATCAACCAATCTTTTCTGACATAGGGGCATTGTGATAGAAAAGTCCTTAGCTGGTGATGTACATAACTGTATCATGAAAACTCTTACTTCCTAGGATTCCCAATATGGGGTCCAACCTCAAGTATTTCCTAACTGTACATCTTTCAGAGAATGAACTAACGGAAATTTTTAAGAACTGCTATATTACTTTAAAGGATTAGATATGCAGGGGAAAGTAACAACAATACAAAGAAAAAGTGAATATGTTTGTCTTGGACTGCATCAACACAGTTGGTTTTCTCCGAGATTGAGTTCATATAGTTCAAGATACACCTTGTTCCAAAACGAAGAACAGCTTTCCTGGGGCAACTCAATCTTTATTAGGTTTTTCTTCCACAAGAGATTCCTCTGGCTGAGCAACTTCATTGCCTTCTGGGAAAAGATGTTCTATAGCATTGTCCTCACTCACTGGAGATTGCTTTCTGGAATAGCAAGTAGTTGACGTTAAAGTCTGTGTGCTGGCATATTATGATAAAAACAAGCCATCATCCTGCCACCTGGCTTCATGAACCTTACAGTGTTGGAGTTGGGCTCAGTTGCAAAATTCGAGACGGCAGCAACATGATTGAATTGTTAATTTAAAAGTCAAATGAAGGTACAAAGGGAGAAACTAATGAAGTAAGACAAAGCCCTTGATATTTGTAGAGATTTCTTGTCAATAGTGGTCAAGACCAACAGTATCTTGCTCTTGGTTTCAATAGGAGTCTTCAGTGCATTAGGATTCTTAATTTTCCACCAACTAATCCCATCCTGGGGCTCTAACCTAGAACTTATTTCAAAATAAAGAAAATTTAAAACCCTATCTCTCAAAAAGATATGTATTGCAACATTATTGACAGTGAAAAGTTGATAACAATGTGAAAGTCCAGCATCAGGAGTATTGTTATGTAAAGTGGCACATTCAGTGGACAAAATATTATACATTATTAAAATATTGGTTGCTAAAAGCAGGGAGAATGACTGGGTATAATTCTGAATGAACATGACAATATCTAAAATTATATAAATATTGTAAGTTCTTTTGATATTTGTTAAACATTATAAGTTCTTTCTTTTGATATTAAAGTACAGGTAGAGAGTTACATTATAAAAATTGAAATACAAATATATAATTTCATTATTAAAATTTTGAAAAACTCAAAAAAGTAATAATCCCTTTTTGTGGTTCTCTCTAATATTATTTTTGTTTCCAAATGTAACTATTGTGAATGTTTCTCATTTCCTATATACATGTCCATGTGGCATTTTTTTCATAATGAGATTATATCAAATCTGTTGTTCTACAACATGCCTTTATTATTTAATGATATGTGTTACAAAGTTTTTCCCTAGTTGACACTGCTATTGTTAACATTGCTTCATATTTTTAAATGTCTATTGAATTCCCCAATATAAATATGTTGTAATTTATTTAACCATTTTTCTACTAATGCAGAATTAGATGGTTTTTAATGTTTTAAATTCTGCAAGAATGATGTAAGGAACATTGTTGTATATTTATTTTTGTGAGCTTGTCTGAATATTTCTGAAGGATGATACTTAAACATAGAATTTAACAGATATTGCCAAATTTTCCCCCGACAACCTTTTTCCAATATATACTCCAACAAATGAAATATAGCACTGCCTTTGAGAGGCCGAGGCAGGCAGATCACTTGAGGTCAGGAGTTCGAGACCAGCCTAGCAAACATAGTGAAACCCTGTCTCTACTAAAAATACAAAAATTAGCCGGGGGTGGTGGTGGGCACCTGTAATCCCAGCTACTCGGGAGGCTGAGGCAGGGGAATCGCTTGAACCCAGGAGGCGGAGGTTGCATTGAGCCGAGATTGCGTCACTACACTCCAGCCTGGGTGACAGAGTGAGACTCCGTCTCAAAAAAAAAAAAAAGAAAAAGAAATATAGCACTGCCTGTATTTACAAGGGAATTTTTCAATCTTTTAGATTTTTGCCAATAAATGATGCCTCATTGTTTTATTTTTAATTTTCTTGATTACCAGTAAAATGCCCTTATTGGCTGCTTATATTTCTTCTTTTATGAATTGCTCATCTGTATCTTTATCAGCATTATTATTTCAATTAGAAAAAAATCAGGAAAAAAGAAACACATAAGATTTTAATGGTAGTTATATTAGGGAGTAGAATGATAGGTGATATTTTTTCTTTTCTGTAATTTCAGAATTTTAATGTGATGACATTAAAGGTGTTTGTTATTGTAATGTAGAGTCACAAGTACCCCATGGTTGTCTTTAGTTATTTCTACTCCCTCAGGAGCCTCTTGAGGACTGTCTACTAACAAGAAGCCCAGACCTTTAATGGGCCTTGGAAAGCTGGAGCAGTTTGCTTACATGCAGAAGCTGCATGCCTTTTTATAAGCTTGAAAAAGCAATCCTGAGAGTAGGTTCTGAACTTTCTGCTATGGTAAATCCCAGATCCTTTGCATTATCACCACTGAAAATTTGGCATCAGCATGCTTCACCTATCTATGCTTTCAGCTGGTAAAATTACGTAAGTTAATTGCACAAGAAACTGCTAAAAGAATAAAGGTGATAAAAATGAATGATCTTCTCATAGGAATATTCTTTATGGAGGAATATGACTCAATATTTCATAAAATAGTGATTTATTCCTTGTTCATATTGCTTAAAATGTATCTGAGGACTGCAGCTCTGTTTGGGGCTCCTGAATAAATTCTGATACTGGGAAGAATGTAAGGAATGAAGAACATGCCAGGGTACTCAGCACAAAGTAACTTCAAGACCCTGTATTGATTTAAATCCTTTTATTATTGACCTATGCTCAGGCAGGAGGCCAGGAGGAGGTTCCAGGCACCTCTTGGTATATATGGCATAGCTTGGGGTGGGGAGCGGACCAAAGTGAAGACCTTAGTTACCAAGCTGCTGCAACGATCTGGACATGAGGTGGGAAGCAAACAAATTCAAAAGTGGAATTAACTGAGGAAGACTCAATACCTGGAGTTGGGCTTTGGAGTTAGACAAACTTGGACCCAATCTTGAATTGGCATCTTTCTAGTTGTGAGACTTTGGGCAAGTAATGTCTTTTTTAATTTCAGGTTTTCTTTCCAACTGAAAATGGGGATAATAATAAGTTGGCCTGTGAAAGGTATTGTAAGAATTAAATGAGATAACGTAGGTAAAGTGCTTTGTATAGCACATAGCATAGAGATACTGCTTAATAAATTACCTCTTTGATTTTATTGTTTAAAGTTTAATAAGGCTAGATAAGGTGGCAGAGACCCAATCACAGAGACTGGAATTTGAATTTGGATTCCACACCCTGGAGGGCTTGAGGAAGGAAGTTCTGTGCTGTCTTCTTTCTTTCTCCCTATACCTGTTCCTTGATCTCTGTTCTCCCAGTTCATCTGAGATTTAGAAGCAGTGCAGGTTCACCTGAGGATGAAAGATTAAACTATTTGGTTTATGCCTATTTAATCCCCCTAGTCTAAAGGCAGGATTGGCTTCGGATCTCATAGTGAGGATAAAGTGGAGCTTTAGGGGATTCCTGAGGTGAGGGCAGGGGGCCAGTTGGAGAGTGCTGACAGTAGATGATCTGAGAGCCATTCTAGAGAAAGAAAAAAGAAAGGAAAGAAAGAGAGAGAAAGAAGGAGGGGGGAAGGAGGGAGTGAGGGAGGGAGAAAGGGAGGGAGGAAGGAATCTTCTCTGACAGTTCAGGGTATCAGTGAAGGAAGGAGAATAGTCAAAAACACATGAACATTTTATAAGCTGAAAGAAAATGTAGTAGTAGAGAACAGGATTCTCCCCCACAGCACTTCTCATATATTTTGCCGCTCATGGAATTGGACCAGCATTCAAAGCAAGTCTTGACCTGGTGCACATAGTTACTTACCATACTGTAATTCTTAACACTTCTGCTCTCCATTTGACCATCTGCACTTTATTTGAAAGACCTCTGTCAGCTCCTTTTCATCACTTATTTACATGTGTTTACGTAAAATGACTCCCATAGCATCTGAGATTGCTATTAGCAGCAGCCAACAATTTTTACAAATTGTCTCTGACACAAACTGCTTTCCGAAAGAATTTGTGTCTTTTACCACAAACTGATTTTGCGAAAGAGTTCACTGGGAATAACTTCTTGATTGTGTAATATCTTTCCACATGATTCAAATGTCTGATACAGAAAGTCATGTATTGCATCAGTTAATACAAGTAACCCATAACAATTGACATTTTAGAATTACTTGTTATAATATTGATAGACACTGCACTGCACTAAGAATTCTACATGCCTTATTTCACAATAACAACATTATTCCCATTTTATAGATAAAATTTAAAGTTTAGAGAGATGAGATTACCTGCAGCTGCTACAGAGCAGAGAAGGGGTTAAAATCCAGGCTGCGAACCTTACTCTGAGCATCTCAGGTTAGGTCCTGAGTGTTCATAGCAAAATTACAATAGTTCCTTGAAGCCATGTGCTACACCTTACTGGAATGTCAATATATGCTAGACTCTTTCATGAAGATATTTTATATTAAACAAGCATGTGTCACTGGAATGCATAAATTCATCAGTTTGGAGTAGAAACAGTCATCACAAATCAGAACTCTGGAGTATGGGAACTCTGAGACTCTCACCTACCTACTTTATCAGGATGTCTGGGTCCCTTCCTTCCCCTTCCCCTTCCCCTTCCCCTTCCCCTCCCTTCCCTCCCTCCCTGCCTCCCTCCCTCCCTCCTTCCCTCCCTCCCTCCCTCCCTCCCATCCTCCCTCCTTCCCTCCCTCCCATCCTCTTTTCTTCCCTCCTGGGCCTATTCTGTCTGTAGGGATTAACGCCTTCTCCAAATGCCAGGCAAAGAAAAGGACAAAATCCAGTGAGTCTTCTAGCACTGATGGTTTGGACACTGTCACAACATGTGGCTGTGGGACTCTGATATCAGAGGTGCTGGTCCAGGCACATGACACCCTTGCTGACACAGGATGCAGTGGTGCCCCATGCTTGGCCTCCAAGGTTACTGCATCTTAGTTTACGCTTCTGAGGTCAGCCATTGCTCCCCCAAACATGGTTCTATGCTTGGTAGATGAATCTGGACAAGCTTCCAAGCCTCAGCCAAATATAGTGCCATAAAGCATTATATTTGGAGGAAGCCATCTTTTCTCACAAATGTGTAGGCCCAATCTACCTTTTTTTTCACTTACGGTGAATTACCCTTGGATAATGAGGCCCTTGGTAGGTTTTCCAACCAGCAGACTTTTGTTGGTTAACCAAACCCAACAAGTTGGTCCAAACCCAACAAGGATTAACAACAACAACAACAAAAATGAACTTTAAAACCTGAAAGGGCTCGTTAGGTTTCTTCAGAAAACCTTTTAACTCCTTATTCAAATTGGCTTACCCTCCAAACAAAGTTTAGCATATCATGGGATATTACGGTGACAGGAATACTTTATCAATCACTTATCAGCACTGATTCCCAGGAAAAATGGGCCAGTTCACATTAGGTGGGCCTATCTAAGGATAGCTTTGAGTTATATGCAGCTTAGCCCTGCCTCAGAAAGGGGCCAAAGTTTTACTTTATTCAATGCCTGGCTCCCCATTTCATGCTCTAGTTACCTTTTCAGTAAGATAGAGGAAAAATTGAGAACTACACTAGGGCCTCAAGTGTAAAGACATTGATTGATAGATCATAGGTCTTATATTGAACATTTTGAAACCCTTTCAGGTCTAGAGTTTAAAATTTTTATGTTACATAATACATAAATAAAAACATAATGTATTACTTTACTGTAAAATTGATTAGTGTAATCTGTATTCATATATGTGTAAGACTATCAAATTTTAAAAAGAAGTCAAACTGAAACAAATTCAACCAGTCAGAAATCAGCAAGTCTCCTATCAAAATACACTCACACACAAAGAGTTTTTTTTTTTTTAAATGTGTTAGGTAAACTACAATGATACTCAATATGATATAATGACACTGTAATCCTAATAGGTCAATTCTAAAAGGAAACTACCTATGTTGAATGTCTGGTTAAAAAGTAATATTTTAGTCTGAACAAAAATGTTGACTATTAATAATGCAGTAAAATAGAAAAATCCTATTCAGGTGAGAATTCCAGGTTATCTAACATGACAAAGGGGGCAGATTTGGAAGAACACAAGTTGGTTCCTGTACCATAGTCTTCATCTCTAGAGAACGTTTGGTAGCTGACTCACACATTGGTGGCCTATAGTGGCCAAATCGTGCTGACTGTCATATTTTCTTTAGGCAATACGGTGTTGCAAACATCTTGAATAAGTTGCCCACATTTTCTAAATTGTGAGATTAAAAAAAAAAAGAAATTTCTGAGTTTCTCCAAAAAGAGAATTAGCAACAATCACGGTAGTGCTGTATATAAGTCCCCATTAGGACCGCTTGTCTGTGATATGCCAGAAAGCAGTGTTCGTGGTGATTGTAAGTAAGTAATGGTCTCTAGAGTTACACAGCATTATGGTCCTTGACACCCCATTACTCATTTATGTTACCTAGGCAACCCATATTTAAGGACTCTGTATGCCACAAACCGTGTTAATCACTATTTCTCTTCTTTTCCCTATGGAAAACTGTCAATGTCTAAATGGAGCTCATTCAGGAGCATAAAAGAGTCACATCAGGTGAAGTCAGGACCAGTGAATCACCACAGTAATGCTTCAGGGTTGGTCAAATAGGAAAAGATGGAGGAAATTCATTTGGCAGGCAAAGATGACAACTAGAAAGCCTCAAATAAAAATGGGTCCAGGAAGCAAGATGGGGAGATCTATAAGGTATATTTTTTAAGAATAGGCAGGTTAGAAATGACCATAGTTATCCAGCAGCAGATTATTATTCAAGATCTAGGAAAATAGTTGAATTCCAGGAAGCTTGTCTGTACAGAAATGGAATCAGCAACAGTACTGGGTTGAGGGGAGTAATTTCTAATTCTGAGAAACAAGACAGGATTCTTTCATACTTCCAGAAGTCAGAAATGAAGCATGTAGCCAAAGCTGGGGTTTAGTTGCTGGTATTGCTGTGTGTGCTGGAAATGCTATATATGTATCAGATCAGGCAGATCTGGGGCCAAGCTTCCAAACTAAAAATCTTAAGCCCATTAAGTTATATGCCTAATTAGGAGCAGAACTAGTCAAATCCAAGAGCAAGGGTTACACACACATCCCACATGGAGCCTCAGATAGTGATTATTGCACCCAGCCATGGAGGTTGGACTAAGAATATGCAAAGGGTCTAAATAATGATTAGAGTCAGACTAAAAGAAAAGTGCTGATGATTTAAAATGCCCTGAAAACATTGTTGAAGAAGAATGGCCAACATTCTGTAATTGAATTCAGAGAGTTGAGTGCTTTCTTGTCACTTAACACATTTCTTTATGTTCACATTGAGTCATTCCTCTCGAATTAATATAGACCTATGGGTCAAGAGTTTTCTTGAATGTTTCCAATCCTCAGTTAATCACTTTTTCTCCTTCTATTTTTTTATTGAGATGGAGTCTCACTCTGTAGCCCAGGCTGGAGTGCAGTGGTGCAACCTCAGCTCACTGCAACCTCCGCCTCCCGGGTTCAAGCAATTCTCCTGCCTCAGCCTCCCAAGTAGCTGGGATTGCAGGCGTGTGCCACCATGCCCAGCTAATTTTTTTTTTGTATTTTTAGTAGAGACGGGGTTTCACCATATTGGCCAGGCTGGTCTTGAGCTCCTGACCTTGTGATCCGCCCACTTTGGCCTCCCAAAGTGCTGGGATTACAGGCGCGAGCTACCGCGCCTGGCCGTTAATCACCTTTTCTTATTAGGAAAACAACGTGTTCCAGATGCTATTCAGTTTGTACCCACATTCCCTAGGAACTGTGGGTCTGGATCCAGTGCCATAAAAATGTGGTGAGAAGATGAAGCAGCCTGAACACTTTGACCACCCACTGAGAAAGCAGTCTTCTCTGGGCAAGTGTACAGTACAGCTTAGCTATAACTCCTCCATCTGACTCTGATTTTATAGTACATTTCCTAAAGACCCAGAAAAATCACAAAATGAATGAGTCAACAGTTCTTTCCTTGACACTCTAATTACTTGAGCAAGTTACCAGTTACTTCTGCATTAATTCTTACGACATTCCAGGACATCACATGACTAACTAGAACAAACATCCGAAGAGGGACCAGCCCTAATACTAGCATTAACCATCAAAATGGGTTAGAGACTATGGAAACAGCTCTAATTTCTATCTATTCTAATTGGCTAGTAAATTGTAATAAAAATAATAGTAGCATCTATTATTACTCTCATGTATTACTGACAATACTCTAAATAGGTACTAGGCCCTCTACATCTCATCTGAACAATGATGGCTCCATTACTAATTTGAAGGGTTTTCTGGATTTGTGGAGACTTGTCCTATAGCTGTGATTGTATAACAAGGACATTATTTTTTCTTATTTTTGTTCAAAAAGCATTATCCAAAAATTGGAAATGAGGCAAAAAGTAGGGCAGCACATTTTTTCACTGTCTTCTGAGATTTGTCCAAGGAAATTTGGGGGAATGTACTTTGTCTAGACTTAATAAAGATACATGTTACATCTTAACTCGCAGATTTTTCTCTGGTAAGAATACAAATAATTTGCGTCTGGTTGAAAAGATAGCATCAAAGGCTATGAATTTTTGCCTTGCAGAATGTTAACCAAATTTGTATCTATTAGCAAATTCATTTCATTCTTTTGAGTAATTGACTCTATACATATTCATTTCCAAATTCTCTCTTTGAACCTGCCTTACCATCTTGCTAGTTTTCTTATTACTGAGTTGAATAAAATATTTGACAGTATTCATTTTGTATTTGCATAAGAGTAATGTTCTTAACTTTTAAAAAAATATAACAGATGTGGTGGAGGCGGTGCCATTGCTGCTCTTGTTGGGATTAAGCAACTTCTGCTTGGGTTTATAGTCCTGCTGAATACCACTGAAAAGGCCCTGGATTCTTCTACAGCCCAGAATTGGCAGCAGCAGCTGTTGGGTACCATCAGAAGTAGAAAAATAATGTTTTTTCTCTTCCGCTCATCTTCCAAGTTATTAACAGAGCCACTGGAGCCTCCTCTTGAATACGGTAACCAGAAGTAAGTTGACAAGAGAGTATGGAAAATAAGGTTTGTAGACTTCTTGCTAACTATAATATTAGAAAGAACATGGAAACATTAGAAAGGAATGAAGCAAATAATTGGCATGAGGAGGAAATGCAGATGAAAGAGGACACTAACAACATCCCTTTATAAAATCTATTTTGTGCATGTAATTATAAATCCCATTTTACAGAAAATATGGGCATAGAGAAGTTAAATAACTTGCCCACAATTACACAGCTGTCATGTGGTAGAACTGGGATTTGGATGAAGGCTTCATTCTAAATATTGGCTGTTTACCCATCATGCTATATTGCCTCCCCTATGAGGTGGGTGACAGGAGCTGGCAGTGCAATATGGCAGTAAGTATTAAGGAGACTAAACAGAGCTGATGGGAATCCAGGAACCAGCAATATTGGAAGCCTGAGCAAGCAGTTAGAAGTCTGTGGCTCCTAATATGTCACCATCCATCAGTTTGAAATTCCAATTCCAAACCTGGGAGTGAAGAGAAGTGAAAGGAAATAAATGAAATATAAGGCAAGTTACTAGACAGAGGTTGAGGCACAGGAGAACAAGCCAAGAATCCTTTATTAGTTAGGCACAGATAAAGATTAGAAAAACATGAGTCTAGGTTAAAATATTTAGTTAATTAATTGAAGCCAATGCTGGGTATTTCAGGGGATATTATAATTGCATCTTAGTTTGATTTCTTTTCTTCCTGTCGTCATTCTGTAGTGATTAAGGACAAGGTGAACTCAGACGAATGTTTGCCCTCTCAAAAGAATTGGAAGGTTTCTAATACAAGGAGAACTCTGAGAGAATGAGCTTACATAAAAATACAGGCTAATGTCAGCATAGCCATGTTTAAATTCACTCTAGAATAGGAAAACATTTATCAATGAGATTTCTGATCACTTTTATGACTCACTCACTCATTGATTAATCTAAAAACATAAATTAACCACTAAATTAAATCCTGAGAATACAAAGATAAATCAAACTCACTTCTTGCTTTCAAAGTGCTTATGGTCCAGAAACTAGTCAAATATGTAGGCAGTGATCTATAATGTAAAGCAAAATTAAATCAAATAAATAAGTAAAAAATTGTAGGACAAGGCCGGGTATGGTGGCTCATGCCTGTAATCCCATCACTTCAGGAGGCCAAAGTAGGTGGATTATTTGAGGTCAGGAGTTCAAGACCAGCCTGGGCAATGTAGAGAAACCCCGTCTCTACTAAAAATACAAAAATTAGCCAAGAGTGGTGGTGCACACCTGTAATCCCAGCTCCTTGGGAGACTGAGGCATGAGAATCACTTGAACTTGGGAGGCAGAGGCTTCAGTGAGCCAAGATTGTGCCACTGCACTCCAGCCTGGGCGACAGAGCAAGACCCTGTCTCAAAAAAAAAAAAAAAAAAAAAGTGGGACAAGATTACATAATGTCTCAAATTCTCACTGAAGGGTGAGAGGGGCTTGTGGAACAGATTCCTTTGTGGTGACTCCTTATTAAGGGATGATCATACTATTCATATGACTTGCATCTATTTTAAAAATTTTATAATATTTTGTGCACACTTATCTACATCCGTAAGTATGAATGTATCTCCCTAACAGTTTTTGCTTTTAAAATTTATATCAATTTTCAACACCAACACGCACACACACACACTTACTTTTATAATTGAGCTTAACATATTTGGATGTACCCATGGGGTAAATTATGGAGTGGGCTGAAGTAGGGAAGGGGATGAAAAGATGTCTTGAACTTTTTTCTTCATACATGATTATTTTGATTGATATTTTCAAGAAATTATGACATACCTTCATAATAATTGTCTTTATAAGTAATACCTCCTCCTTTCCCAGATCAATATGATTCTGGCAGCAGAATGTTGTAGGACTGATGACAGGAAATGTTGGCAAGCACGCTGTCTTGGAGCAATGGATTATGGAACTTGAGCTAATTGTGTTGGGTCCTAAATGCTTGAGTACTCAAGAATCTTTTGGCGGAAAACAATTGGAAAGTGAATTTAATCTGGCCTAAGCATAAAGGGAACTTATCCAAATTAACTGAAAAGTCCAGGGGAGATGGCTTTTTCAGGCATAGCTGAATCCTGGTACTTAAAAACTACCACTAGAAATATTTCTCTCTCCATGTCTTGTGTCTACTTTTCTCTAGCTGGGCTTAATTTTCCAGCGTGAAAATGGACACTTCAGTCCCAAATTAACATCCTACTGGGATAGGAATCCCAGCAGAAAGAAGGCTTTTTATTCCACCAAATTCTAGCAAAAGTCCCAGAGCCAGCTCTCTTTGGCCTGACTTCATCCATACACCAATCTAAGGGTTGTGATGAGCCATGTCTGCCTAATTTCTCCACACCTGGAGTATCTTCCTCTGATATGGGAAAAGAACAAAAGTCTAAAGGACATGCTTAAGGCTGTTATCAGAAGGAAAATGGACTATGGGTAAGAAAACAACAGAAATGTCATTGAGCTCATCCATTGTACATGTGAGACAAGGGGGCATGAAATCTTTTTTAAGGTCTTCATCATGAATAAGAAATGAGAGAGTCCAGTTTACAATACACTACAGTGTGGTGAATGGTTGGCTTCCTGCATATGTGACAAAAAGATGACCTCAGAAGCCACAGTAGATGATGAGTTATTTATAAGAAAATGCTGCTCTGGTTGTTTTTAAGATAATGAAAAAAATTCCATATTGCAAGATATGAATGCATATTCTCAGAATAGCTAATTTCCTCACAAGGAGATCCTTCAGTGCTCGGAGAGTCATAAGAAGAAATGTTCTCACTTGTGTATGCAGATGCCCCAAAGACTGTCATTAGAGAATGTAACTCTTTTTTTCTTTAAATTATAGTAATTAGAATGTGCTGTTTCCCATGAGCAGCAACCTACCTTCCCAGAATTGTGTCTACTTCTAGCTACCTCTTTTGCTTATTCATTCTCCTTCCCCATTCTCCTATTATTGATTCACTAACTGACATTATTTTTGCTATACAGTACAATGCAGGCACTTGCTAAGCAAGTATATGTTTCCATTTGTCATCTGCCTCTTAGTTCACATCTCCATCACCCTCGTTTCAGTTTTGAATGACTTTCTTCTCTCTTTCTTAATGTTGGTTTCAGCACTGGAAGCAGCTTTGTTACAGGGGGCTAAGAACTGTGTGTCTGCCAAAGCATTTCTCATAAGTGGTTGCTCCAGAAACAAGTCTGAAAGATTGTAAACAACAACAACAACAACACAAAAACAAAATCCGCCGCAATCTGTGGGATAGAATCTGAGCTCATCCACTGCCTCATCATCTCCCCACCCACTGCCAGCACGACTACACCATCAGATACTGATTATGGTTCATTAAGAGTTGGCATATTTTTACTCATTATACCACTCATTACAGTTTAGAATATATAAAATACTATCCACTGCCTAAAGTTACTGTAGGGAAATAACTACACAGTACTCATATTTCTTCATCCTTTAGTGCCACAATTTTCTTTCCAGATACCTGCTGTGGAAGGGATGTGGGATTGAATAAAATAAGATTCCTTTCAACATTTTTTTTTTTGAGACAGAGTTTCGTTCTTCTTGCCCAGGCTGGAGTGCAATGGTGCGATCTCGGGTCACTGCAACCTCTGCCTCCCGGGTTCAAGCAATTCTCCTGCCTCAGCCTCCCAAGTAGCTGGGATTACAGGCATGCACCACCATGCCAGGCTAATTTTGTATTTTTATTAGAGATGTGGTTTCTCCATACTGGTCAGGCTGGCCTTGAACTCCCAGCCTCACGTGATCCACTCACTTCGGCCTCCCAAAGTGCTGGGATTACAGGCGTGAGCCACCGCACCCGGCCCCTTTCAACATTTTTAACACTGAAATTCTAATGTAACTAACTATGGTTCTATGAGTTCACACGAAAATCTAGCTTGACTTTTTTCCTCAGTGAATATCTATAACAGCCTCTTGCCACACTTAAGGTGTTATGGTTTTCAGGAAAATAAATCATAGAATGTTTGCTGGAGTATCATTGATAATTAGAAATAAAATAAATTTATCAATGTAAATTTTGCTTTGTGAACTTGTGTCTTTTTTTTTTTTTTTTTTTTTTTTCCCGAGATGGAGTCTCGCTCTGTCGCCCAGGCTGGAGTGCAGTGGCATGATCTCAGCTCACTGCAAGCTCCGCCTCCCGGGTTCATGCCATTCTCCTGCCTCAGCCTCCTGGTAGCTGGGACTACAGGCGCCCACCACCACGCCCAACTAATTTTTTGTATCTTTAGTAGAGACGGGGTTTCACAGTGTTAGCCAGTATGGTCTCGATCTCCTGACCTCGTAATCCGCCCACCTTGGCCTCCCAAAGTGCTTTTTACAGGCGTGAGCCACCGTGCCCAGCCGTGTCTTTCATTTTTAACCATATTTCTACTTGATGTATTGTAAAATACTCTAATGTTTATTAATGTTCCTTGTCATTAGTTATAAATGGCAAGTGGATATCATCCAGCATTTTGTTTGCTGGTATATTTTGACCTCAGTTCTCATTCCAGCTTTGCTTTTACCAGATGGCTAGTTTTGGGCAAGTACTAACCTCTTGACGCTTCAGTTTGTCATGTGGAAAAAAAAAAAAAAAGTAGCTACTAATATTTACTCAGCATATGTGCAGGACTGTTCTGAAGATTTATCATGGGAATGCAGATTAAAAAGGTTTTGTGAAGTTATAAACTACATATAACTATTTTAAATTATAAATACGTATAAAATATGGCTTGACTCCAGACCATAAGTTCCTAGGGAAAAGCACTTGGTCTAGTTTGTTCATCACAGTGCCTCATACAATATACTTATTTCTCTCAATAAATATTTGTAAATGAATTGATGATTTTCCTGGTCTACTTAGGAGTAGGCTAGGGTTAAGGGTTGAATTGTGTTCCCCAGAAAGAGATATTGAAATCCTAAATCCTGGCACCTCAAGACCCTGGAAATAGGGTCTTTGTAGATGTAATGAAGCTAAAATAAGGTCATACTGGATTAGAGAAGGTCCTAATTTAATGACTAGGGTCCTTATCAGAAGATTAATATTTAGACCTAGAGACAGAGAGAAGGCTATGTGAAGATAGAGGCAGAGATTGAAGCAATGAGTCTATGAGCCAAAGAACACCAAGGATTGCTAGCCACCATTGGAAGTGAGAAGAGTGAAGGAAGGATTCTCCCCAGAGCCATTAGAAAGAGCACGACCCTGCCAACACTTGATTTAAGACTTCTAGCATCCAGTACCGTGAGAGATTAAATTTCTGTTGTTTTAAGCCACTAACTTGTGGCAAATTGTTATTGGAACCCTTAGGAAGGTAACATAGCAAGGGCCCCAAACAATGTGGTACATGTCTATGATAATGTAGGGGATCAGTATTTGATCTCAGTCTTTACACTCAGGCTTTTTATTTCAGAGAAAATTCGATTTACCTTGACTTAATATGAATGAATGAAAAAAATTAACTCTATTTAATAACAGAGATGCTTTTATCATCATAAAGGAAAATAACAATATCTATTAAGCATCATTTGCAATTAGTCCGTCTTAGACAATACAATTTTAAGCCCACATAACTGCCTGAATCATCTCGTTTTCTGCCAATCACTTTCACTGAAACCATTTCTCAACATACACTCCTTAAATGACAGTAGGCCAATAACTTTATATAATTCTCAAAAGATAAATTGTTGATCATTGCACAAGTCATGTTTTCAGATACCTTCTCTTTTTAAAAATAAATATTCTTATTTTCCCTATGGAACTTTCCAGCTACCGTCTGTCATTTTCATAACTTGGATAGTTAACAACTGCTTACTTGTAGAAGTTAAACTTGATAAGCCAACAAACTATGGTGTAACTCTGTCCCCAAATACTTAGTGAGCACATAGGGATTTGAAGACTGAATTTGCCTTCTAAGAGAGTTTACCTTTGGACCACAGATTTTGTAGGGCAATATAATTGGTACATTCATGTTGTGGACATTATTAATCAGAAATGATGGAATTTGATTGTTAAGACAGCTTTAAGTTCCATATCAATTTTGCTATCATCATTGAGATACAGCCTTTCATCTTTTTTCAATGCTAAAATGGTACTAGTGATTCACAAATCACACTTATCAGGTACTCCTAACTTTTCAATTCAGTCTTTCAAATAGAAGCACATACTTTACATTAGAAAATCCCAACTGACAGTTTTTTCTTTGCAAAGGTACTTATGAACTATTATACAAGCATAAAAAGTTCTCCATAGGTGTATCCATAGAATAGAATTTAGAGAAACTTCTATCTGGGTATCCAATTAATATTCAAGAACATTTCAAATATGCCAAAATTTTTCATGAATTATGCATTGTTTTAGTTTTCTATAATCTCCTTACTTTCTTTGAAATATGAACTTTAAATCTTGCCCTGATTCCTTTAGTTTTTGATATGGCATTTTTATTTGAATCATTTTTGAGTTCTAGCTTTTTCCAAAAAATAAAGTATGATGATTTGCTAAAATTAGAATGAAGCTTTTAAAAAGTCTAAAACTGCCTTAAGTCACACAAAGTTGTTTTTGATGTTTTTCTTTATGCATGTAAGTTCTAATATCATGTGATGGCATTTTATTTTTTTGAACAGGATTGTCATAAGTCTGAAGAATATATTAGGTTTTATTTTGTAAAACTCTTTTGCTCAGAAAAGCAATAATCTCCAGGCCAATATCCAGGTTGACCCACATCAACTCCTCCACTGAAAATATAGCATATTATTATATTTTTGTCCCAACAAACATCAAATAATGGTAAGGCTTTCTTTTTATTTTTCATGTTATTTTGGAATCATTTGTTTACCTATGCCTGTAATCCTACCTAGGCAGTATATTTATGCAAGATATTACAATAAAAAGGAGGCAAGGACAATGTCAGATGGGGTTAGAGGATAATTTTATAATTTATTAATATATGAATGTTTCTTATTATAAAAAATTGTGTTAACAACATTTTCTTCAATATTATCATTCAAGGAAACACTTGGAATATCTACATTTTGGTAAAATAATAATTATTATTTTTTTTGAGATGGAATCTCGCTCTGTCGCCCAGGCTGGAGTGCAGTGGCATGATCTCAGTTCACTGCAAGCCCCACCTCCCGGGTTCACACCATTCTCTTGCCTCAGCCTCCCATGTAGCTGGGACTACAGGTGCCCACCACCATGCCTGGCTAATTTTTTTTTTTTTTTTGGTATTTTTAGTAGAGACAGGGTTTCACCTTGTTAGCCAGGATGGTCTCGATCTCCTGACCTCGTGATCTGCCCGCCTCGGCCTCCCAAAGTGCTGGGATTACAGGCGTGAGCCATTGCACCCAGCCAAGAATTATTTTTAAAAATATGTTTGGGAATCTATTTGAAAAGCATCTCCAATGTAATAAGTTTTACATTTTGTTTTATCTAATCAATGCTGAAATAAATGAACCTCTGCTTCATTCCTTCATTTTTGAAATTGTATCAACATATCAAAGAAATGAAAGATATTTTGATTAAACTATTACCCTGACTAGAAAAGATAATATTCCTGATACATTTTTCAAAAAATCATTAGAGTTTAGCAAACCGGATTTTTAAAAATTATAGACTTGGATATAGAAAAAAAAACTCATTTGATCTCAAGGGTAATTGTGAGAAATATGCAGATGTATTTTTAAAGACCTTTTTGTTTTGTTTATAAGAGATTTTTCATTAAATCTCTTAAATCCTTAAGTCACCTGTTTTACCAGTTCTATTGCTTTCCTACAGAATGTCACTACTTATTCAAACTTTACTTACAGGCAAAAAAGCATAGTAAAACCAAGCCAAAATCTATCTCACCTATTTCCTAAATGTCAACCAAATCTTACAAGTATACACTCCCGGTAAGAGGTAAAGGAGTATTCTCCTTCCATATCTTTTCCCACCTCTCCATTCTGGCTGACCCTATGTTAAGATCCATTTCCTCCCATTTTCTCCTTGGTGTTCCTCTTGGCTGTTACTTTGCCCCATTTTGACCCTTTCTCATCTTTATAGATGAAGATTTCCAGACTGAGAGAGGTTTAAGCAACCTACTCAAAGTTATAAAATTAGTAAGTGTTGACATCATTCTGTGTGACACCAAAACTTTTACTCTTTCTACTATTTCAAAGACTTCTCCAGCGAGAGTGATTTCACTTACCCTTGTGTGTTGGATACCAAAAATAAGTACAACAGAGCAGTGCCTCTCAAACTTTAACGTGTATACAAATGACCTAGGAATCTTGTTAAATCAGATTCTGATCAGGAGGCCTAGGGTGGAGCCTGAGATCCTGTATTTCTAAAGAGCTTCCAGTTCCCAATGAGGCTGCCATACTTTCAGTAGCAAGGCCTTACAAAACCTAGCAGAGGTTGGATATGGTTTTTAAATCTACTATTTAATTTTATTCACTAGTTTCCCTATAAACACTGCAGCTTTTAGTGAATGTTATTTCTTCTTGAATATATTTAAATGATGATCACAATAAATCTAATATTGCCCATTTATTATTACAGTAAAACAAATGAGACTGAAATAAAGAAATTAATATTCAAGAGTATTAACTCATCTGCCAGTTCATTGCAGTGGAGCTGGTGGAGCCATCATTAATAAATGAGTTGAAGGAGACAGTGGGGACCCAGCAGACAATTTTGAACATGTGCTGTCACAAAGAATATAATGAGCAGCAAGGGAATAACTTGGATAGTTACTGAAGGAGATGCAAATCACTATAGGGCAGATTGGAGAGCAAGTATGAAAGTAGGAAAATGGTTGTGTTCTCGAAGAAGCATGGAGTTGGGGCAGGTGGCAGCAGGTAAGAATGGGGAACATACCTTCAAGAACTAGACAAACCTAAGTTGGAATCTTAGCTTTGCCACTCATACTGGACATAAGACTTTGAGCAAATCTCTTATCATCACTGAACTTTGTTTTCTAAGCAGCAAACATCTACTTTTCAGTGTTATTGTTAAGATTAACAGAATAATAGATGTAAAAGAACCCGACACATAATAGCCAAGCCATGAATTGATGTGTCTTTTGCTATGTCTGCCTGAACGTGATATGCTACATGCAGATTTTAGGCACATATCTTTCCTTGAGGGTTTTTTTTTCTCCCAGATTTTTCTTTCTTGCCCCCTCTCTGGAGTTTTTGTCTAATTGTCCTCAGCACCAAATAGTTTCAAAGAATGGGATGCTGAACAATTAATCCAATCCTAGAAAGCATGCTCAGCTGGTATCTGGGTCAGTCAACACCACACTTACATTTGCACATATGTTATGGTACCATGGATTGTAAATATTTTACTAATTATTCCAGTTGGGACTGGGTCCATCCCTATAGTCATGAAATCATGTCTGCTTGGTTCAGTCAGAAAGCATTACTTGACATACTTGTGTGAAATAAATTTTGCATGTGTTTACAGTGCAGAGAGAAACCAAGAACTTTAAATAATGAGCAATTGAAATTCTGAAAACGATGAGTTCCATCATTTTTAAAGCATATCCTGTAATGAATTTCTGTTAGCATATGATACTTAGATCTATATTTTTACTTAGCATGAATAAGTTTTCTTGGCACCAATCTCCTTTTTCTCAAATCTATGAGAACTGAAGTTAGTCCTTCAGCGCTATTTTGGATGCCATTTTAACTGATGAGCAATGGGGCTTGAAGAGGAGGGTGGAGGTAGGAAGCTGGATCTAGGGATCACTAGTATGCTCACCAAAACAACAAAGTGATTTGAGTTTCCCTATCCAGAGATGGGAAATTTGGGGGAATAATGGGAATGTTTTATAGCCACTGGATTAAGAAGGATGGAGAGAAATGACTTTTCTGGGAAGATATGTCCAGCTACATTATGGAGACAGTACTAAAATTTTTTAGAGCTTGTTGTCTGTGAGTAAAGCAGGCACTTCTGGATGTCCAAGAGCCTAGGAAATATAATGTCACTAAATGAATTTCCCACCTCGAATTCACAGATTTATCCACTTCCTTTGTATCTATCTTTCCCTATCTTTCTTTGCCTTCATCCTTATCTAGCTGAGATTCCACAACTCAGTATCGTGATTCCCTTTCCCCTCTCCTCTCCAATCACCCTCTCTGACAAAACCGCATTGTGAATGAACCCACTACACATCTTTGCTGAGACTTTACCACGGCAGCTAAGTGGGTGGCAGAGAAGAACTACATCCCCCAGGCAGACTTACATTGTTCCCTTGCTTCAACCAAGCCTTTGACATTGCTCAGAAATCTATTTTTTCAGTAAGTTTTATCTTCATCATTAGTAACTAACAGCTTACACTTTCTTTATTCTTCTCTGACTTCCCCTCCCCTCTTCCCACCATTGCCATTACCTGCTCTGGACATTGGCTAAGACATTTTAGAGAAAACAGAGGTTGTCTAATCTTTCTACTTTGACACCAAATCTGCAATGCGCTTCGCATCTCATTTCCAACCCTTTTTTTGTAGATGGCCTTTGTAATAAACAGAATTTTGTCTTCCCAAATTCATATGTTGAAGTTCTAACCCCCAGTATCTCAGACTTTATTTAAAAATAGAGGCATTAAAGTGGCAACTAAGGTAAAATTAGGTCATATGAGTGGGTCTTAATCCAATATTACTGGTGACCTTATAAGAAGAAGAGATTAGAACAAAGATAATACTTAGGCTGAAGGAAAAACAAGTGAGGTCGCAGTGTGAAGGTGGCCACCTGCAAGATAAGAAGTGGGGCCTCAGAAAAATCCAAACCTACTAATAGCTTGATCTTGGACTTCTAGCCTCCAGAGCTATGAGAAAAAAGTTCTGTTGTTTAAGCCATTCAGTCTGTGGTATTTTGTTATGACAGTTCTAGCATACTAATATTGTCTCATTCAAGACCCATCTTAATTTTGTTTCTTTCTCAGAGAGAAAAGACATCCCAATCAAAATTAAGCTTATTATATTTTGTATGTTCTATATTTTTCTTCACATTATTCATCACTAGTGGCAATACTATATTTATTTGTTTATTGTCTCTCTCTAGATTTTAAGATCTGTGGGGATGGGAGACGGGACCAGTGGCAGCATCAAGAGGTGGGGAAGTAGCAACCCTCCAGGAGTACTGCCGTGTGTGTGTGTGTGTGTGTGTGTGTGTGTGTGTGTGTGTGTGTGTTTGAGATGGAGTCTCGCTCTGTCACCCACACTGGAGTGCAGTGGCACCATCTCAGCTCACTGCAACCTCCACCTCCTGGGTTCAAGTGATTCGCCTGTCTCAGCCTCCTGAGTAGCTGGGATTATAGGTAAATTAGTTGCTAATTTTTGTATTTTTAGTAGAGACAGGGTAATTTTTGTATTTTTAGTAGAGACGGGGTTTCACCATGTTGGCCAGGTTGGCCTCGAACTCCTGACCTCAGGTGATCTGCCCACCTCAGCCTCCCAAAGTCTGCCCCATGTATATTTGATATAAAAATTGGCATTTTATTAGCGCTGTGTAAAGTTTTATGCAAAACGAGATTCAAGACAAGTTTCCTGCCCTCCTTTCAACCAGATTTTACCTCTAAGCCTCTTTTACATAGAAGTTATAAAGCTGATTCTCACTGGGCCAATGTGTGTGAGTCACTGCTGTATTCCTAGTACCTAACACTATTTCCTGTACATAGCATTGGATAAATAGATTTTTCTGGAAGAAATGAAGGAAGAAAGGAAGAAGGGAAGAAAGGGGAAGAAGTTGAGACCGTAAGGAAAAACAATTACCTGCCATAGATATGTCTCAGATATAGCTGATTGTGAGGTGAGTAGACAACTTTCCACTCAGTGGGTTTTAACTTGGGTCTGTGGATGTGAGTCACAGTGAGTCTATTAAATTTCTTGTGATCATGGATTAACTAAGAGGCCTGGAGGCTCATTAGGTAACTAATTTTACTTTAGTTACCACTTTAAAGCCTCTATCTCCAACTGATTTGCTTTTGACCTCTGGACATATTTGGTTAACCATTATTCTAGGTGTCTATGAGAGTATTTATGGATGAGATTAATATTTGAATTGGTAGACTGAGTAAAGCAGGTGGCCCTCCTCAATTTGGGTGGGCCTCATCTAATCCATTGAAGGCTTGAATAAAACAAAACATGGAGTAAGAGAAAATTTGCTTTTCCTACCTGTCTTCAAGCTGAGGCATCAGTCTTCTCCTGCCTTCAGACTTGGACTCAGGCTGGAACTTACACCATTAGCTGTCCTGGGTCTCAGGCCTTTGTACTCAAACTGGAAAGGGAACTATACCATCATCTCCCCTTGGTCTCCAGATTGTCAAGTGTAGATGCTAGGACTTCTCAGCCTGCATAACCACACGAGCCAGTTCCTTATAATAAATGTCTCTATCTCTCTACACACATACACCCCTCATATTGGTTTTGTTTCTCTGGACAACCCAGACTAATACAGGCACCTAGGACATATTATATTTGTGGATTCTTAAAGGTCAAAGAGAACTTAGAAACTATTTTAAACCTAAAGCCAATTATTACCCCATGAATAGCCATCTGAGTGAATTCCTACAATTTGAGACAGATTGTATAAGAACAGTGCTTGCCAATGCAACAAAAGTACTTGAAAACTTTATGTAGAATGTTCCATATATGCATTTCCATATATGCATCTTTACATTTATCCGTAGAAAGGCTAGGTTTTCATCTGTATTTTTTAAACTTTTTTTTAACGGAAAATGTAAAACATACACAAATGTAGAGAGAACAGTATTATAAAGCCCATGTACCCTTCACTCAGCTTCAACAATTAATTTATGACCAATCTTACTTAATCTTCACCACCCCCTATTATTTTGAAACAATTCCCAGACAACATATTGTTTTATGAATAAATGCCAAACAACTAATTTACAAATGCATTTTTAGAACAGAACCCTCTGCTGATTTGAAGATTGCCTGTATTTCCACCTCATTTTCAATAATGGATTTATTAATTTTCCACTCTCTTTCTTATGGACATTCTTCTGTATACGGGAAAGAAATTAATCACCCTGCCTACTACTTAGCTGCATTTTTCTATTTATGTAGACTATTCTGAATAGTGGGCGAAATTTTGGTTCTGTTATTAATTATGTGACTCTGGGCAAGATTTTAGCTCTCTGTGTCTCAGTTGCTTCATCTGTAAAATGAGAAAATATTTGAGGATTTTTTTCCTGGCAGTCAACAAGCTAGCAACTATTATTACTATTATTATTATTTAATGTGGGAGCTGGAGCTAGAATAAGTGGGTGAAAGTAATGACTTATCTGTAATTCTTGTAGTAACATCAACAGCTGCATGCTTAGCAGGTGCTCAGAAAATGCCACTAAGAAGCAAAGAAGTCATCCTTTCCTCTTTCCATCTAGAGAATGCCAGGTGTCCTCATGTGCCCTTGTAATAGCTTTCTCCAGTGTCAAGGGGATAACGGGTCAGACTGATCCCCTCTCTAATGGCATGCAGTTAGAGTCTCGGCTTACGTCTGCTGATAAATTATGAAGCAAGCCAACAGATCCTGCCTGCAGTCAATTATCCAAGGTCCATGAGTCTCAATCTTCAAAGGGGCCCTCAATAGGGACTATGTAGCAGCAGAAATGAGAGCAAATGGAGAAGTAAAGAAAAAACAATTCCATCTGTCAAACTGATGATGGATGCTGTCCAAACCTGTGAACAAAACCTGAAGTGCTAATTCTATGCGCTGCTGATGCCTTTAATTATGCGACTTTGACAGATGGAA
Organism: Homo sapiens; assembly: GCF_000001405.40. NCBI lineage: Eukaryota > Metazoa > Chordata > Mammalia > Primates > Hominidae > Homo > Homo sapiens. The sequence continues at coordinate 180,199,892 of NC_000003.12, forward strand.
AGATCATTATGCAGTTTTTATTTAAGAAGCTCATGCAACTGTAGTTTTTGTGCCAAGGGTAACCAGTCACATTAAGGAATTTGCCAGAAAGTGTAACTCTACCTTATTTATAGCTTACTAGGTCCTAATTATGCTTCCTAAATGGACAGTCCAATAATAAGGCAAACACAAAATATACGTACTGCAAATTACTACACAGTAGTGACATGTCAGAACAGGCAGCCATTTTCAAATCACAAAATTATTTCTCATCAGGCAATACACAGCAAACACACTGCAGATAATGCCATGTTGAGTTAGAATTTCAAAGGTCTGAAAAGGGTTTCTTTCTTAGTCGTGATTTCAGCAAGGCCTCCAGAAAGTTACAGAACAATCACTGTTTGATCCCCTTTATGTAGCTCATACCTATTCTGATTCTGAGGATTTTCACCAGCTCTTCCTTCTAGTTACCTGAAGTATTGCCTTTAGTGTCACCTGCATTGATGTTTCACTTAGCCCTGAAAACCACCCTCTTAAGATACTTTTAGCTTCTTTTCTCTGATGTTGCTACTTAGGTGAGGCTCTGTTCTGCTCATCCTATCCCCATCTCTTTGTCATGGGCTTTTTCTAAATAGGAGACCTAGAGTTCCAGAACATGAAAGTGACCATGGCTGTATAACCTATAGGTGGTTACCGAGTAGTAAGGGCAGTATCTTTTTGGTTCCATGGCTGCCACTCAGTCCAAGACTTTATCATCATAAAGTTATTACAGTTCCACGGCCACAGCCTCCTCACTCCCTCCCCTCCTGACTCAATCTGCATACCCTTGCCAGATGGGTCTTCTTCAAACACAATTTTTCACACATTTTCCCTTGTCAAAAACCTTTAATGAATCCCTTGCCCCAAGATTAAGCCTAAAGTCTAGCATTCAATTTCTTTATGACCTGCCCCCTATTGACCTTTCTGCTCCTGCCTCTGTGCTTACATATACTGTCTGCTCTAACCATAATGGAGAGCTCACCATTTTCTGGCTTCTCTCTTCTAATCTCTATTCCTTTGCACATTCCCATTTCTCTGCCTCAGACACCTTCCAGATAATCTTTACTTCTTTGAACCCTAGATTTCCTTTACAATTGAGGCAGGAGGACTCTAATGTGTCCACCTTCAATGCAATTTTGAATGCTGGCCACTTGTGAGGATGTTGTATTCATCTGTTATTTGGAATATTTTAAATTAGTATCCTTTCTTTTTATATTCCCAATTATTTTATTTCCAAATAGACTGTTAGCTTGTATGTATAAACAACATACATATCTTGCTAAATTATATGGTACCGAAGTTTGGAACTCTGAGAAGCAAAATACTGTAACATGAAAACATGAGGATTAGACTCAAATAGATTAAAACTCTGATCCTGGCTCTTATGAACTGTGTGCCTCTAGATGAGTTACCTAGACTCTCTGAATCTCAGTTCCTTCATTTTTAAAATATGGATAACAGCTTTCTATCTTAGAAGGCTGTTGTAAGAACTAAATGGCATAATGAATTAAATGTCCACAATAAATTAGAGCTATTAGGATATTAAATCTATCTTGTACTTTCAAAGCTGAGCATAGTGACTGGTAAATAGTTGACATTTAATAGACATTAATCGAATTAAACTGCATTTATGCTTTCAACATTTAGCTCTGGCTACTGCCCCTACTGATATGAGATAATGAATCTTCCAACTTAGTTGCACTCTTTAAAATCAAGAATAAAGGCTGTTAAGAACTTAAAGATTAATATTATAAACGTTTATATCATTATTAAAAATATCTTCAGTTATGAACATGTAGATCTAAGTGGAATGTAGACCTTAATGGAGTTTAAGTGATGGGAAAGATTCTTGACAGACCAGTTAAGATGTGCCTGCAGATGTTGCGAACTGAATACAAGAGAAACAAGTGTCACATAAATTTCAGTAAAAGGAAGAACTTGCCTATAGAAAGGAAGGTTTTAGGGAGAAGAGAATGCGAAGGAGAAGAAGAGCTTCAGAAGTTGGGGAGGGAGATTGTTATAGTGGGGACAATGAAGATAGAGGACACTTGGGTTCTAGTTCAATTTTTAGCTTAAAACTAGCTCTTCACATTGGACTCTTCTTTCAAGTCCAGGGGGTTGGACTAAATCATGATTTTACAAACTTCAGTCATCTGGGAACCATCTTGATTTTTTCTATATCTGAGAACCATGTTGTTGTGCCGAATCTCTATTAACCTCAATAGGGAAGGCTCCTGGTTCAAGATGCTAAAGAAGAGACCCAAAGCCAGCAAATGAGACATGTAGTTTTATTAGGGACTTATGTACGGGGGAGAGAGTCCAGCGGCAGTGGACTAGACAGGAGAACAACTTTGCATACAGTACAGTGATGGCAGGCTGGACAATGTATCCGCCTTTCATACAGTGCAGTGGTGATGGAATAGACAAAATAACTGCAAGGCCCAATGGTAATGGGCTGGAGAGAAAAACTGCAACCACCTGCAAACAGCATGCAGTTTATAATGTATTTCCACTTGACACTTTCCTCCTAATGACTTCCACCTGGCAATCTTCATTTAACCCAAAACTCAGGGCATCAATCCTCTGTATGGCCCATGTTCCATGGGACAAGCTGGGGGCTCAAATGTTCCTCATAGACAAGAAATGAATCTCTGGGTTGTCCACTCCCATATTCCCTAGCTCAGAACACACATTTAGGTGCATCTGCCATACAGGGTCATTCTAAGGGTATGCTTAAGTTATTGCCATCAGGTGTGTTTATCCTACAACCATGACCTATTATTTACTTAATATTTTCTTCAAATTGATTCACTTGAATCACTGGGAGGGTGGAAAAAGATGGCCAAACAGAAGCCACTTCCAATAGTCCTCCCCTCAGAGAATGACTGAACCAAATTGAACAGCTATCCACAAAATCGACCAATTATCCACACAAAAAAGCACCTTCCCAAGAACCAAAAATGAGGTGAGTTATCATAGTACCTGGTTTTAAGTTCATATCCCTGAAAAAAGCACTGAAGAGGGTAGGGAAGACAGTCTTGAATTGCCTTCTCCATCCCCTGGAAGCAGCCACGTGGTGTGGGGGAGAATCTTTGTGCTTTGCAGAGGGAAAACATAGATCGTAGGACTTCGCGTAGGAACTCAGTGCTGCCCTGTCATTGCAGAAAGCAACACTGGGCAGAACGCAACCAGCCACCACAGAGGGTGCTTTTAGACCAGCCCTAGCTAGAGGAAATTGCCTACCCCAGCAGTCAGAACCCAAGTTCTGTAAAGCCTTTCCACTGTGGGCCAAAGCGCTCTGGAGTCCTAAATAAACTTGAAAGGCAATCTAGGCCACAAGAACTGCAATTCCTGAGCAAGTCCTGGTGCTGTACTGGGCTCAAAGCCAGTGGACCTGGGTTTGGGGGGCACATGGCCCACTGAGACACCAAACAGAGCAGCCAAGGGAGTGTTTATGTCACTGCCCGCCAACCCCGGGCAGTGCAGCTTTCATCTTCAGGAAAGACTTCTCTCCACTTGAGGAGAGGAGAGGGAAGAGTAAAGAGGACTTTGTCTTGCAGCTTAGGTACCAGCTCAACCACAGTGAGGTAGAGGACCAAAGGGGCTTCTGGGGTCCCCAATTCCAGGCCGTGGCTCTTGAACAGCATTTCTGAACCTGCCTTGGACCAGAGGGGACCCCACTCCCCTGAAGACAGTGTAACAGGCCTGGAAGCATGATTCACCACAAGCTGACCGTAGAGACAGAACTTGGGCCTTGAATGAACATTGGCAATAGGCAGTAAATGTTGTGGGCCTGGGACAATGGTGACTATGGGGACAGAATCCTTCTGCTTAACAAAAGGGGAAGGAAGAGTGGGAGGGGCTTTGTCTTGCAGCTTGCATGCCAGGTCAGCCATAGTAGAATAGAGCACCAGGTAAATTTGTAAAGTTTCTAACTCCATGCCCTGGCTCCCAGACTATTTCTCTGGACATGCTTCCCTGAAGAGAAGGACACAAGCTTGGCTGGCTTCACCACCTGCAGATGGTAGAACCCTAGAGTTTTGAGTAAACGTAGGCACTAGCCAGGCAGTTACTGTGTTCCTCAGGCAAGGCCCATTGTGCTGAGTTTAGCTCTGACCCAGCATAGTCCCAGTGGTGGTGGCCACAGGGGTGCTTGTGTCACCCCTCCCCCAGCTCCAGGCAGCTCAGCACAGAGAGAGCCTCTGTCTTTTGGGGGAGAAAGTAAGCAAAGAAAACAAGAGTATCTGCCTGGTAATCCAGAAAATTCTTCAGGATTTTATCCAAGACAATCAAGGCAGTACCTCTATGAGTCTGCAAGAACCACAGCATTAGTAGGCTTGCAGTGCCCCTAATGCAGATATGGTTGCGGTGAGCAAACACTTAGATCACAACACCCAAGTCCCTTCAAATACCTATAAGGCTTTCCCAGGAAAGGCAGGTATGATATGATTAGGCTTTGTGTCCCCACCTAAATCTCATTTTGAATTGTAATCCCCATAATCCCCAAGTGTCAAGGGAGAGACCAGGTGGAGGTAATTGAATCATGGGGGTGGTCTCCCCTATGCTGTTCTCCTGATAATGGGTGAGTTCTCATGAGATCACATGGTTTTATAAGGTGCTTTTCCCCCTTGGCTCAGTACTTCTCCTTCCTGCCACCTTGTGAAGACAGTGCCTTCCTTCACCTTCACCTTCCACCACGATTGTAAGTTTCTGGAGGCCTCCCCAGCCATGCTGAACTATGAGTCAATTAAATCTCTTTCCATTATAAATTACCCAGTCTTAGGTAGTTCTTTATAGCAGTATGAAAACAGGCTAATACAGGGTACAAACAAGCCCAGACTGCAAAGCCTACAATAAATACCTAACTCTTCAATGAACAGACACTGATGAACATCCACAAGCATAAAGATCACCCAGGAAAACCTGACCCCAACAGTTGAAATAAATAAGCACCAGTGACCAATCCTGGAGTGACAGAGATATATGATCTTTCAGACAGAGAATTCAAAACAACTGTTTTGAGGAAACTCAGTGAAATGTAAGATAACACAAGGAAGAAATTCAGAATCCTATCAGATAAATTTAACAAAGAAATTGAAATAATTAAAAAGAATCAAACAGAAACTCTGAAGTAGAAAAATAAAACTGACATACTGAAGAATGCATCATGGTCTTTTAATAGCAGAATTGATCAAGCAGAAGAAAGAAATAGTGAGCTTCAAGACAGGCTATTTGAAAATACACAGTCGAAGGAAACAAAAGAAAGAAGAATTATTCTCAGCAAACTGTCGCAAGGACAAAAAACCAAACACCATATGTTCTCACTCATAGGTGGGAATTGAACAATGAGAACACATGGACACAGGAAGGGGAACATCACACACCGGGGACTGTTGTGGGGTGGGGGGAGGGGGGAGGGATAGCATTAGGAGATATACCTAATGCTAAATGACGAGTTAATGGATGCAGCACACCAACATGGCACATGTATACATATGTAACAAACCTGCATGTTGTGCACATGTACCCTAAAAGTATAATAATAATAATAATAAAAATTGGAAAAAAAGAAAGTAGAATTTTAAAAAAAAAGCATGCCTATAAGATCTAGAAAATAGCCTCAAATGAGCAAATCTAAGAGTGATTGTCCTTAAAGAGGACATAGAGAGGGATAGGAGTAGAAATTTTGTTCAAATGGATAGTAACAGAAAGCTTCCCAAAACTTAGAGGAAGATATCAATATTCAAGTACAAGAAAGTTACAGCACACAAAGAAGACTGAACCCAAAAAGACTACCTCAAGGCATTTAAAAATGAAACTCCCAAAGATCAAGGATAAAGAAAGGGTTATAAAAGCAGAAAGAAAGAGAGAGAGAGAGAGAGAGAGAGAGAGAGAGAGAGAGAGAAAATGGTTCTCTAATACATCTATCAGCCCACTTCTTGGGGGAACCTTACAGGACGGGTGAGAGTGACATGACATATTTAAAGTGGTGAATGGAAAAACAAAGTAACTTGGAGTAATATATCCAGTGAAAATATTCTTCAAACATGAAGAAGAAATACTTTCCCAGACAAACAAAAGCTAAAGGATTTCAACACCAGACCTGTCTTACAAGAAATGCTAAAGAGAGTTCTTCAATCTGAAAGAAAAAGACATTAATGAGCTACAAGAAATCATCTAAAGGTATAAAACTCACTGGTAATACTATGCACACCAAATAACAGAATATTATAACACTGAAATTGTGGTGTATAAACTACTCATATCTTGAATAGTGATATGGTTTGGCTGTGCCACCACCCAAATCTTATCTTGAATTGTAGTTCCCATAATCCCCATGTGTTGTGGAAGGGACCCAGTGAGAGGTAGTAATTGAATCATGGGGGCAGTTACCCTCATGCTGCTGTTCTCATGATAGTGAGTGAGTTCTCACGTGATCTGATGGTTTTGTAAGGGGCTTTCCCCCCTTTGCTCAGCACTTCTCCTTGTTGCCTCCATGTAAAGAAGGACGCGCTTGCTTCCCCTTCCACCATAATTGCAAGTTTCCTGAGGCCTCCCCAGCCATGCTGAACTGTGAGTCAATTACGCTTCTTTCCTTTATAAATTACCCAGTCTCATGTATGTGTTTATTAGCAGTGTGAGAATGGACTAATACAAGTAGAAAGATTAAAAGATGGGCCAATCATAAATAATAACTACAGCAACTTTTAAAAATAGACAGTAAAATGAGATATAAATAGAAACAACAAAAAGTTTAAAAGTTGAAGGATAAAGTTAGAGTTTTATTAGCTTTATATTTACCTATTTGTTAGTTTGCTTATGCAGTCACTGTTAAGTTGTCATCAGTTTAATATAATGAGTTATAAGATAGCATGTGCAAGCTTCATGGTAACCTCAGATAAAAAAAATCATACAACAGATACACAAAAAATAAAAAGCAACAAATTAAAACATATCATCAGAGAAAATCACCTTACAGAAAGAAAAGAAAGAAGGAAGACAAGACCACAAAACAACCGGAAAACAAATAACACAATGGCAAGGGTAAGTCCTTATTTATCAATAATAATTTTGAATGTAAATGGACTAAACTCCTGAAAGAGATAGTGGCTAAATGAATAAAAAAAATAAAAACAAGACCCAGTGATCTGTGTGGCCTGTAAGAAACACACTTTACTTATAAAGACGACATGGACTGAACATAAAAGGATGGAAATAGATATTCCACGCAAATGGAAACCAAAAAAAGAGCAGGAATAGCTATATTTACATCAGACACAATAGATTTTAACATAAAAACTATAAACAGAGACAAAGAAGGCCATTATATAATGATAAAGGAGTTAATTCAGCAAGAAGGCACAATAATTTAAACATATATGCATGCAATATTTGAGCACCCAGATTTACAAAGCAAATATTAGAGAGAGAGAAAAAAAAAAGAGAAAGAGAGAGAGAGAGACTCCAGTACAATAATAGCTGGAGACTTCAACATCCCACTTCCAGCACTGGATAGATCATTCAGACAGAAAATCAACAAAGAAACATTGGGCTTATTCTGCACTATAGACCTAATGGATCTAATAGATATTTACAGAACATTTCATCCAATGGTTGCAGAATACATATTCTTCTCCTCAGCACATTAATCATTCTCAAGGATAGACCATATGTTAGGTCACAAAATGAGTCTTAAAACATTCAAAAAAATTGAAATAATATCAAGTATCCTCTCTGACCACAATGGGATAAAACTAAACATTAATAAAGAGAGAACTTTTTGAAACTATAGAAACACCTAGAAATTAAACAATACGCTCCTGAATGACCAGTGGATCAATGAAGAAATCAGGAAGGAAATTTAAAAACTTCTTGAGACCAATGAAAATGGAAACACAACATACCAAAATTTATGGGATACTTTGAAAGCAGTACTAAGAAGAAAGTTTATAGCTATAAGTGCCTACATCAAAATAGTAAAAAGACTTCAAATAACCTAACAATGCATCTGAAGAAACTAGAAAAGCAAGAGCAAACCAAACCTAAAATTAGTGGAAGATAACAAATAATAAAGATCAGATCAGAAATAAGTGAAATTGAAATCTTAAAAATACCAAAGATCAGCAAAATGAAAAGTTAGTTTTTCTGAAAACATAAACAAGAGCATCAACAAACCTTTAACCAGACTAAGAAAAAAAAGAGAGAAGACCTAAGTAAAAAAAAATCAGAGGTGAAAAAGGAGATGTTACAACCAATTCCACAGAAAATCAAAGAATCATTAGAGGCTACTATTAGCAACTATCTGCAAATAAATTGGAAAACCTAGAAGAAATGGATAAATTCCTAGACACTTACAACCTACTAAGGTTGAACCATGAAGAATCCAAAGCCTGAACAAATAACAAGTAATGATATTGATACAGTAATAAAATGTCTCCCAGCAAAAATCTGAGACCTAATAAAGTTCACTGTTGAACCTTAGCAAACATTTAAAGAACTAACACCAATCCTATTCAAATGATTCTGAAAATATGGAGGAGGAGGGAATACTTCCAAACTGATTCTACAAGGCCAATATTACCCTGATACCAAAACCAGAAAAAGACACATCAAAAAATGAAAACTACAGGCCAATGTTCCTGATGAATATTGATGCAAAATTCCCAACAAAATAATAGCAAACTAAATTCAAGAACACATTAAAAATTTCATTCATCATGATCAAGTGGGATTTATCCCAGAGATGCAAGGATAATTCAACATATGCAAGTCAATTAATATAATACATCATGTCAATGGAATGAAGGAGGAGAAACCATACGATCATTTCTAATGCTGAAAAAGCATTTGATAAAATTCAACATCCCTTCATAATAAAAACCCTAATAATACTGACTATAGACGAAACATACCTCAACATAATAAAAGCCAAACATAACAGACCCACAGATGGTATCACATTGAATGAGGAAAAATGGAAAGCCTTTCCTCTAAGATCTGGAACACAACAAAGATGCCCACTGTCACCACTGTTATTTAATATAGTACTGGAAGTCCTAGCTAGAGCAATGAGAGAAGAGAAAGAAATAAAGGGCATCCAAATTGGTAGAGAAGAAGTCAAATTATCCTTGTTTTCAGATGATATGATCTTATATTGGGAAAAACCTAAAGACTTTATTTAAAGAAAACAATTAGAATCAATAAATTCAGCAAAGTTGTAGGATACAAAATCAACATATAAAAATCTGAAGCATTTCTACATGCCAACGGCATACAACCTGAAAAAGACATCAAGAATGTAATCCCATTTACAATAGCTATAAATAAAATAAAATACATAGGAATTAACTTAACCAAGGAAGTGAAAGATTTCTACAATGAAAACTATACAACATTAATTAAAGACATGAAAAAGGACACACAAAAAATGGAAAGATATTCCATGTTCATGGATTAGAAGAATCAGTATTGTTTAAATGTCCATGCTACCCAAAGCAATTTATAGATTCAGTGCAATCCCTATTAAAAAAATGACATTCCTCAAAGAAATAGAAAAAAAATCATAATATTTATATAGACTTTCTAAAGACTCAGAATAGCCAAAGACATCCTGAGTAAAAAGAACAAACCTAGAGTAATCACATTATTTGTCTTTAAATTATTCTAGAGAGCTACTGTAATCAAAACGACATGGTACTGGCTTAAAATAGATACACTGACCAATGGGAAAGAATAGAAAGCCCAGAAACAAATCCATACACCTATAGCAAACTCATTTTCAACAAAGGTTCCAAAAGGATACACTGGGGAAAGGACATTCTCTTCAATAAATGGTGCTGGGAAAACTGAATGCCTGTATGCCAAAGAATAAAACCAGACCCTTATCCCTTGCCAGGTACAAAAATAAAATCAAAATGGATTAAATACTTAAATCTAAGCCTTTAAACCATGAAACTATTAAAACATTAGGGAAACTCTCTAGGACATTGAACTGGGCAATGATTTCTTTAATAATACTGCACAAGCACAGGCAACCAAAACAAAAATGGACAAGTGAGATCACATCAAGTTAAAAACCTTCTGCATAGCATAGGAAACAATCAACAAAGTGAAGAGACAAACCACAGAATGGGTGAAAATATCTGCAAACTACCCATCTGACAAGCGATTAATAACCAGAATATATAAGGAGTTCAGATAACTCAATAGGAAACAGATCTAATAATCTGATTTACAAAATGAGCAAAAGCTCTGAATAGACATTTTTTAAAAGAAGACATACAAATGACAAACAGGCATATGAAAAGGTGCTAAACATCACTGATCATCAGAAAAATCCAAATGAAAACTACAATGAGATCATCTCACCCCAGTTAAAATGGCTTATATCCAAAAGACAGGCACAATATCAAATGCTGGTGAGGATGTGGGAAAAAAGGCAATGCTCGTACACCGTTGGCAAGAATGTAAATTAGTACAACTACCATGGAGAACAGTTTGGAGGTTTCTCAAAAAACTAAAAATAGAAAAAAGGCAATGCTCGTACACTGTTGGTGAGAATGTAAATTAGTACAACTACCATGGAGAACAGTTTGGAGGTTTCTCAAAAAACTAAAAATAGAGCTACCATATGATCCAGCAATCCCACTGCTAGGCATATACCTAAAGGAAAGGAAATCAGTATACTGATGACATATCTTGTACTCACATGTTTGTTGCAGCACTGTTCACAATAGCCAACATTTGGAAGCAACTGCTGTGTCCATCAGCAAACAAATGGATAAAGAAAAGGTGGTCCATATACACAATGGAATAGTATTCAGCCATAAAAAGAATGAGATTCTGTCATTTGTAACAACATGGATAGAACTGGAGGACGTTATGTTAAGTGAAATAAGCCAGGAACAGAAAGATAAACTTCACATGCCCTCACTTATTTGTGGGAGCTAAAAATTAGAACAACTGAACTAATGGAGATAGTAGGATGATGGTTACCAGAGTCTGGGAAAGGTAGTGAGGGGTGGGGAGTGGGGATGGTTAACAGGTACAAAAATATAATTAGATATAATGAATAAAATCTAGTATTTGATAGCACAACAGGGTGACTACAGTCAACAATAATTTATTGTACATTTTGAAATAACTAAAAGAATATAATTGGATTGTTTGTACACACAAAAGGATAACCACCTGAGGTGATGAATACCTCTTTTATCCTCATGTGATTTTTATGCATAGTATACCTTTATAAAAGTATCTCATGTACCCCATGAATGTATAGACCTACTATGTACCCACAAAAATTAAAAATTAAAAAGAAATGGAGTCACTTTAACTCAAATAAATTTGTTATCAAAGGAAACTAGGTGTCATTACCATAAGGAGAAAACCAGAATCCGTTGTTATAAATACAAGAAAACTGTGAAAATAAACAAAAGCAGAGCTATCTTAGCTAGACAAGAAAGATTCCAGCCTGAATCTGCCTTCACTTTGATAAAAAGGGAGATTGTCTGGTATTAGAGAGATATTAGAGAAAAACAGCATCAAACTAAGATTCCTCCTTCATGTAGTCAGAATATATCGAAAGAAAATTGAAAAGGCAGTGACTTCCTCACTCACTCATTGTCAGTTATTGCCCTGCCCCCGCCCCTATCAGGCTCCTTTGGACTCTCAGCAATGGTACATTCAGTCACACTTAGCATATGGCGAACAGAGCAAAAGTGAAAAGTTTGTTTCAAAAGTCACAGGCCAGGGTATAGTATAACAAAATACTTATGGTTACATAATAGTTTTGTTTCCTAAAGAGAATTTCATCTGACAATTTTAAGAAACTGTGTTTGCAGAATCTCTGAACTATCTCGGTAATCAATTAGAAAATAGCAATCAAAATACCTCACTTTTGGAGCTTGCTTCCCACCTCCCCCCTACCCCTGCCCCCCTCCAAAAAAAAGCACTTTATCCCATTTGATAATCTGTGGGTGAGAAGAAATGTATATCAACTCTGGAACAAATCTGAGTAAGTTGAAATCCAAATTCCTCTCTCTCTAGGTCTATTGCCTTAAAAAATCATTTAATGTCATTTATTTCTATTTCATCATTTGAAAAAGGAGATTAATAAGCCTTACTAATTGTTGTAAGAATTAGAAGTAATGCATGTAAAGAAACTAACACCTAATGTGATTTTAAAACTTACAGACTCTCTGCTCTTCCCATTTGACAGACAGACACATCTTCTCATACAGGGACAGCGGAAGCATCGTTGAGACACATGCTGAAGTGATGGCAATGTGGATGTCGTTGCCATCACTGACCCCTTTGTTAACATCAAGTACATTGTCTATGTGTTCTAGTATGATTCCACCAAATAACAAGTTCAACGGCATAGCCAAGACTGAGAACCAAAAGGTTGTTATAAATGAAAAACCCATTTCCATCTTCTAAAAGTGAGATCCTGACATGAAATGGGGTAATTCTTGTAATGAATTTGTTGTGGAATCTACTGTGTCTTCATTTTCTTGTAAAAGTCTGACTTCATATGAAGGGTGGAGCCAATAGGGTCATCATCTTTGTCCCGTCTGCTGATGTCCCCATATTTATGAGCATGAATGATGAGAAGTGTGACAACTCCCTCAAGATTGTCAGCAATTCCTCCTGCACTACCAAGTGCTTAGCCCTCCTGGCCAATGTCATCAATAACAATTTTGGCATCACGGAGAGACTCAAGATCACAATCCATGCCATCACTGCCACCAAGAAGACTGGGAAGGCCTCTCTGGGAAACTGTGTTGTGACAGCCATGAGGCTAGCCAGAACTTCATGCCTGCCTCTACTGATGCTTCCAAGGCTGTAGGCAAGGTCATCTCTGAGCTGAATGGAAAGCTCAGTGGCATGGCCTTCTGTGTCCCCATCCCCAGGCTGTGTCTCCAGCTTTCTATGGACTGTCCAGAGAAAGCTGCCAAATGTGATGACTCCAAGAAGGTGATGAAGCAGACATTGGATATTCTCCTAAAGGGCATCCTGGGCTACACCGAGGACCTGGTTGTCTCCTAGACTCTAACAGTGACACCTACTCTTCTACCTTCCATGCTGGGACTGGCATTGCCCTAACAACCACTTTGACTAGTTCATTTCCTGGTATGACAATGAATTTGGCTACAGTAGCAAGGTGGCAGACTTTATGGACCACATGTCCTCCAAGGAGTGAGAGCCTCCTGGACCACTAGCCTCAGTTAGAGGATAAGAAAAAGAGAGAGACCCTCAGGTGCTGGGGAGTCCTTGACCCAGTTCAATCCCCCAACACACTGTGAACTGCTCATAGAAAGATGTGCCTCAAAACTTTAATTAGACCTTACAGTCACAGAGGTCTGCTTCCATCTCAGTGGAGCAAATAGACTTTAATAATTGGACTTTAAATGAAATTGAAACTCACTCACCATATGTTTAATGCATCTCATCTAATGAGTAAGTTCTTGTGAGATTTGTTCCCGTTACTCTTCCCCTCTTTGAGCACTGTGAAATCATAAAAAATTCTTTGTATGGCAATAAACTGTGTGATTTATGAAATCATACTTTGAACACCTCTTTACTTTAACCATGCAAAACACCCTCCCAAACAGAAGGAACTGCTCCCTCACTTTTGTCCTCTTTGCACTTGTACTTACATTATCCTCACATTTTAGAATGGTTTTCTTTTGCATGTGTGTCACTTTCCTGCCTGTGAGCTTCTAAAGAAGGAGAACATATGCATGCCCCTTTTGTAATCAGTGTCCAGCATGTCATCTGGTAGTACACTGTACAGGCTCCATAAGTGCAGGCTGACTTGAATTCCGTTGAATTTATTCTTTTGACAGAAAGCAAAGAGTGAAAGAAATGTAACTTCATACCAGCAAAAATGTTTAGCATAACACTGGTTATGGAGAAGTTATGTTGTTCTTATGTCTTTGTTTGCAAATGGTATAATAATTTGCAAATAAATTTACAAATTTGTTAAAACACAAATCATGTAATCCTTATAGCAAGGTAGAAAAATGTATATGCTGATACTTGAAATTTCTTTGCATTCTGGGCTTTGCTAAGAGAATAAGAGCCCATGTCAAGAGTGCTAAATTGAAACTGCCAAAGTACCTAGTTGCTGCGGGAACTTGGTAAGAGTCATGCAAATGGATACAGGACATTGACCAAACTTAAAGAATGAACAAAATAGAATCAACTCAAACTTGCTGCCCAAAATGCTGTCAAGGTCTTTGCTTTGCTTCCCTGGGGAATTTTTTTGGCTCTGCAAGATACCTTGGGACCAAGTAAGAGATAATTTATTTCAAAACGAGATGTCCTATTTTTGGAGGACTGCCCTAAATTTTTTCTTTTGTCTATAATAATCTATTGTCCTGGATACCAAAAATAGTACCAGGCAGGGATCATTTAAAGCTCTTTGGTAAAAGGCAGTAATGCAGCCTGCTAAACTTATTAGAACAAAAGAGGTAAGCTTCAATCAAAGAGAACTTTGGAACTGTCTACAGTAGTGAAAACATGGACTAGTACCTCCAAAATTTTTGTTTTCATTTTTATTTTCTCAGAGTTAGAGAAGGCCCCAAGGAGTAGACAGGGTAGAAATTTGACTGGATAACAACTAATTGGTGAGCTTCTTTGGGGGAACCTACCTCAAAAACAAAACAAAACAAAAACAAACTCATAAGCAACCATTTTAGAACAGCAAGGTTTATTTAAGTTGGATTATGCTGGGGAACTGGGAAAGGAACTTCTTTTTGCTTGAATATTGCTGAGCAGGGGCCTCAATCCTTCTGGACAACACAACTTCTTTACTGCATCTTCAGAAGCTATGACACTCTTCAATCATCTTAAGGGGGTTTTAAGCCACAAACTTGGTGGCTTAAAACAAAACAAATATATTCTCTTAGAATTCTGGAGGTCAGAAGTCTGGAATCAGATTTACTGGGCTAAGGTAAAGATATGGTGAGGTAGGTTCCTTCTAGAGGGTATAAAGGGAGAACATCCATTGCCTTACCTTTTCCAGCTTCTAGTGGCCACTAGCATTCCTTGGTCTGTGGCTCCTTCTTCCATCATCAAAGCGCATAAATCTCATGTCTGCTTTCATCATCATCCCATCATTTTCTTCTCTTCTGTAGTAAAATCTCCCTCTGCCTCCCTTTATAAGGACATTTGTGATTACACTTAAGGCTCACTTGGATAACCCAGGATAATTTCCTCATCTCAAGGTGCTTAATCAGATGTGCAAAGTCATTTTTGCCCAGAAGGTAGCATTTACAGGTTCTGGAAATTAGGATGCAGATATCTTCAAGGGAGTAGGGCTGGTGGTTTGCATTATTCAGCCTATCGCAAATGGCTAGTGAGTAGAAGAGGAGTTAACCTTGTTTCGTGTAGAACTGAACATAACTACCCATGGCAGAGGGATTTTGGAAGTTGAAAGGAAGTGTTTTGGATTATCAACGCTTTCCAAAAGTAGAGAGGATTTTCTTGGGTCTGTGAGAAGATGTTAAACTGGAATTATAACTATGACCCCACAATACAACACTTGGGACATCTCAAAGTGAATTTCTAGGCAGAAACAAATTTTTGAAGGAAAATTACCCCACAAGGAGACTATAAGAAATCAAAAGATTAAAGAAGGCGGAAGATTTATGAGAGATTTCCTTAAAGGGAACTTCTATCCTCTCTCTGCTTCAAAGGGAATATGGTAAAGCTGTTTCTCCTTCACTTCCAGCCTAGAGGGAGTGGGCTTCCAAAAGACCACTCTGAAAGTACAGAGGAGCCTTGAACTGGTGTGTGACACACACGCAAGAGGCTGTGGCTCTCAGCCTTAGTGGAAGTGTGGAAAGAAATAGCCTGAGTCAGATGAAAATGCTCTTTCTCTAATGGTGGGTCCAAAGGTGCACAAAGCCCAGAAAACATACGTGGAATCTGCAGTAAGGTTCTGCTGAAGAGAGCTGCTGCTGGAAAGTGAGTGGAGTCTAGTAGAAGGTCTGAATAGAAAGGACTACTGGAAAATCAGAAACTGAGGTGAGAGCTAGAGCAACCAGCCAAAGTGTGGGGCTACTGACATCCTGGAAGTCATCGCAGATTGGCCTAGCAGGAGAACCTTGGAAGAACCCACCTGCTCTGTCTACTTGGGAACCACCAGTTTTAATCATTAGCCAGAACCATGGACTGTGGAGCCAGCTTAAGGCAGCACTGTGACACGTGAGTAGATCCAGATTTTTTGAGTTCTTAAGCTTGTAGAATTTGACAGGTTCTCTTTAATAAAAAGAATAAAGCATCACAGATAGAAAATTAGTGAGGAGGTCTTGGAAGGGGTTTTTGCAAGTGAAGCTGCAAAAGTTTGATTTAAATAGCTGTATGTTAAGTCCATAAACTAAGACCTTTTGGTTCCATTCCCCTCTTCTCTTCCTGTATGCCAACAGAAGGGTCTGAGACTAAAGAAAGGAGCAGCTCACCCCAATAAAGGGCTTTCCTGGAGTGGGGTACATTGGGATGGCATTCTTGCCTTTGTATAAAGATTGAAATGTTGATTAACATATTAAATTGTATATTTAATTACAGAACTGAAAATGTTCTTTAGTGACTTAAAAAAATACCGTAGCATTGTGTATTACTTAACGAGTGCCCCCAAAGCATAGGTTCTGCCAGAGTTTCTATTTAGTGGCCAGAGAAAGCCCATCAAATACATTTTAAAGTGGCAATGGGAAGTGAAAAATGAAGTATTTTGATTACATTTAATGAGCAGTATTGTTCAACATCCTGGATACAGGTGGTGGTAAGTTCTTCACCACTGGCATGTGCAAGCAGTTGGTGATAGCTTGTCGGGGTGTCATAGAAGAGATTTAAGCATCTGAATTGTAGTTCCACTAAGTGACTCTAAGATCACTCCTTGTTCTGATGGTTTCTGGCTCTATGCTACTTAACTTGCTAAGAAAGGCTTTCTGAAGAAAAGTTTTGATAGTGAGAATGAGAAGCAAGCAGAAGGGCAAGGCATTCCTGCAGTGGGTAGAGAGATGGTATTAAAACAGAGAGGAACAGATGCAGTAAATGCTCCAAACAAAGAGCATATACTCTTTTTGAGAAGAGGAAAATGTTGATCTCTTTTAACGAAAACCCTAATATAGAGTGAGAAAAATAGGCGAGATAGATTTAAAATTTTAAATATTACTGCCAACTTCCAGTTTTTGGTCTGACATGTAAGAATAATGAAAGTCACCACTCTATCTTAACTAGTAAAAAGCTAAATAAGCAGCTTTCCCTATGACCTCAGCTCTGTTAGGAATCTAAGAGCTACTGATGTTTCAGTTGGTTTCGCTTTTTACTAGAGAAGGTAAAATAATAACTTTCATTTTTATTATTCTTAATTGATCCAATAGATAATATTTTGTTCAAAATAATAATAGTAACTACATATGCTTACATATAAGTGAAATGAGTGACAGCTATAATACAAGAGACGGAAGAAAAGAATTAAGGTTATGTTGTTATTATAAGGTGCTCACGTTACTGGTGAAATGGCATAGTGTTATTTGAAAGCAGGCTTGAATTAGTTGTAAATGCATATGTCAAACTCAAGGGAAACCACTAAAAATGTATAAAAAATATAACTGATATGCTAAAAAAGAAGAGAAAATAAAATCGTAAAAAAATACTCAATTAACCATCAAAGGGAAAAAGAGAAAAGTAGAAGACAAAAATAGGAACAAAGAATAAGGGCAATAGAATTGAATAATAATAAAGATAATAATGGCAAAAGAAAATGAAAACAACTTATCAAAATTTGTGAAATGCAGTAAAAACAGGGCATAGAGGAATATTTATAGTATTAGATGTGTATTTTAGAAAAGAAGAAATATTTAAAATCTATTTTTTCACCTTAGGAGTCTAGAAAAAGAAAAGCAAATTAGGTCCATAATAAGTAGAAAAGAAGAAATAATAAAAACAAAACAGAAATCAATAAAATTGGAAAGAGAAAATCAATAGAGAAAGCAAATAAAACCTAAAGATGGTTCTTTGAAAAGATCAATAAAATCAATAAGTATCTAGCTGGAGTTAGAAAAAGAGAGGATAGAAATTACTAATATCATAAATGAAAGAGGGGACATCACTACAGATCTTGTGGACATTAAAATGATAGTAAAGGAACACTATGAACAACTCTGTGCCCACAAATTTGATAAGCTACATGAAATGAACGAATTTATTGTAAGACACAATATGCCAAAACTCATGCAAGAATAGACAATATGAATAGGCCTATATCTATTAAAGAAATTGAATCAATAATAAATGTTATGGACTAAGTATTTATGTCCCCCAAAATGTATATGTTAAAATCCCAACCCCCAGTGTGTTGGTGTTAGGAGTTGGGGGCTTTGGGCAGTGATTATAATGGTCATGAGGATGGGGGCCTCAAGAATGGGATTAGTACCCTTATGAAAAAGAACCCAAAGTGCTCTCTTGCCCCTTTCTGCCATATGAGGTCACAGCAATGATGCAGCAAAATGCAATGTGAAAGGGCCTTTACTAGAACCTGACCATGTTGCAATCCTGATCTGGGACTTCCAGCCTCCAGACTGGGAGAAATACATTACTGTCAATTATAAGATACCCAGTCTATGGTAATTTGTCATTGTAACCTGAATTGACTAAGGAAATTAATAACCTTCTAAAACAGAAAGTACCAGGCTCAGATGGGTTCTGTGGTAAAACATTTTGCAAAGAAATTATACCATTCTCTTTGGTCTCTTTCAGAAGACAGAAGCAGAGGGAATACTTCCTAAGTCATTCTGTGAGGCCAGCATAATATACAAAGACATTATAAGAAAAGAAAGCTATAGACCAATATCTCTCATAAACATTGATGCAAAAGTCCTCAACGAAATATTCGCAAATAAAATCCAACAATGTATAAAAATAATTATATACCATGACCAAGTGGGATTTATCCCAGGTGCGCAAGTCTGGTTCAACATTTGAAAACCAAATAATGTAATCCATCACACCACCAGGCTAAAAAGGAAAACCCACATGATCGTATAAAAAAGCATTTGACAAAAATCCAACACCCATTTGTGATAAAAACTCACATTAAACTGGGACTAAATGGGAATTTACTCAACTTGATAAAGAACATCTGCAAAAAACCTACTTCTAACATTATACTTATTGGTGAGGTATCAGAAGCTTTCCCACTAACCTAAGAAATGAGCAGGATGTCTCTTCTTACTACTGTTTTTTAACACCACACTGAAAGTCCTAACTAATACAATAAAACAAGAAAAGAAAAATTTACACAAATTGGAAAGGAAAAAATAAAAGTATTTTTGTTTGCAGATAATAAAATTTAAAAAGTTGACCAAACAACCTCCTGGAACTAATAAACAATTATAGCAAGGTGACAGGATATAACGCTAATATAAAAAAGTAAATTTCTTTCCTGTGTACCAACAATGAGCAAATGAAAATTGAAATTAAAACCAGTATCATTTACATTAGCCTTCCAAAAATGAAATACTTAAGTATAAATATAACAAAATATACACAAAATCTATATGGGAAAAACTATAAAACTTTAATAAAAAATAAGAGAACGAAATAAATGGAGAGATATTCCATATTTATGGATAGGATGACTCAGTATTGTCAAGACGTCATTTCTTCTCACTTTGATTTATAGATTCAAAACAATCGCAGTCAAAATTCCAGCAAGTTATTTTGTGAATACCAAAAACTACTTCTAAAGTGTATACAGAGAGGCAAAAGACCCAGAATAGCTAATGCAATATTGAAGGAGAACAGAGTTGGAGGACATTATAATAGTAAGACAGTATAGTAAGTTTTGAAGTTGAACATTATCCATTATAGTAATGTCCATGTTCAAGACTTACTATAAAGTTATGGTAATTAAGACAGTGTTGTACTGGCAAAAGAGAGAGAGAGAGAGAGACAGACTGACTTAAATGGAACAGAAGAGAGCCCCAAAGTAGACTTACATAAATGTGGTCAACTGATTTTTGATAAAGGAATAAAGGATGTACAATGGAGAAAAGATAGTTTTTTTCAACAAATGATGTTGGAACAGGTGAACATCCACAAACAAAAAATGAATTTAGGCATAGACCTTGCACTCTTCACAAAATTTAACTCAGAATGGATCACAGACCTACACGTAAAATGCAAAAAGCATAAAAACTTAGAAAATAACATAGGAGAAATTTCTAAATGACCTTGGGCTTGGTGATGACTTTTTAGATACCATACCAAAGGCACCATTCATGAAAGAATTGATAAGCTGGACTTCATTAAAATGAAAATTTTCTGCTCTGCAAAAGACATTCTTAAGAGAATGAGAAGACAAATCACAGAGTGGGAGAAAATATTTGTGACAACATATCTAATAAAAAACCACCATTCTAAATATAGAAGAACTTTTAAAACTCAACAAATTTATTTATGGTTTGCAATATTCTTTCCCAATGCATAGGCTGCCTTTTAATTTTGTTGATTGTTTCCATGGCTTTACAGAAGCTTTTGAGTTTAACAAAGTCCTACTTTTTTTTTCTTTTGTTACCTAAGTTCTTGTTGTAATATCCAAATGACATTGCCAGCCAAGGCCAATGTCAAAAAGCTTTTCCTTTGTGCTTTCTTCTATGAGTTTTATGGTTTCAGGTATTACATTTAGGTCTTCAATTTTGAGTTGAGTTTTGTGTAAGGTAAGGTTCTAATTTCCCTTTTTTTGTATGTGGATATTGAGTTTTCCAACATCACTTATTGAGGAGGCTATCCTCTCTCCATTGTGTCTTTTTGGTACCCTTGTCAAAAATTAGTTGACTGTATATGTTTGTGTTTATTTCTGGGACTTATATTCTGTTCCATTGGCCTTTGTGTGTACTTTTATGCTAGTACCATACTGTTTTGATTACTACAGCTTTGAAATATAATTTGAAATCAAGATGTGTAAT
This sequence comes from Homo sapiens, assembly GCF_000001405.40. Classification (NCBI taxonomy): domain Eukaryota; kingdom Metazoa; phylum Chordata; class Mammalia; order Primates; family Hominidae; genus Homo; species Homo sapiens. Next base: position 180,220,888 of record NC_000003.12, read on the forward strand.
TATCTCCAACTTTATTTTTCTTTCTCTAGTGCTTTTGCTATTCAGGACCTTTTGTGGTTCTATAGAATTTTTAGAATTGTTTTTTCTATTTCTGTGAAAAATGCTATTGGAATTTTGATAGAGATTGTATTGAATCTGCATATTGCTTTGGGTAGTGTGGACATTTAAGCCATATTTATTCTTCCAATCCATAAAAATGAGTTATCTTTCCTTTTATCTGTGTCTTCCTCAATTTCCTTCATTAATGTTTTATAGTTTTCAATGTACAGATCTTTCACTTCCTTGGTTAAATTTATTCCTAAGTATTTTATTCTTTTTGATTAATGTACTTCAAGTACTATGCTTAATAGAAGTGCTGAGAGTGGACCTCTTTGCCTTTTACTGGATCTCAGAGGAAAAGCTTCCGGTTTTCACCCATTGATTATAATAGCTATGGGCTTTCATAAATGACCTTTATTATGTTATTGTGTCAAGGACATTTCCTTCTATACTTAAATTATTGAAAGTTTCCATCAACAATATATGTTGAGCATTTTTCTGCATCTATTGAGATGTTCATGTGGTTTTTATCTTTCACTCTGTTAACATGGCATATAGGATTGACTAATTTGCCTATATTTAAGCAACCTCGTACCCCAGGGATTAATCTAACTTGACCATGATGCATAATATTTCTTATATATTATTGAATTCGGTTTGCTAGTATTTTATTTATATTATCAGGGAAGAGCAAATTAAAGCAACAATGAGTATCAGTAAACATGTATTAGAAGGAGAAAAATCCAGAACACTGACAATGCCAAATGCTGGTGAGGATGTGTTGTTCAAAGGACACTCTAATTCATTACTGGTGGGAATGCAAAATGATACAGCTATTTTAGGAGACTCTTCAGCAGTGTCTTACAAAGTTAAACATACTTTTACCATATGATTCAGCAGTTATGCTCCTTGTTATTTACCCAAAGGAACTGAAACTTGTGTCCACACAAAAACTGGCACATGGATGTTTTTAGCATCTTTATTCATGATTGCCAAAACTTGAACGCAACCAAGAGGTCTTTCAGTAGTTGAATGGATAAGTATACCATGTCCATCCAGACAATGGAATATCATTCAATGCTAGAAAGAAATACATTATCAAGCCATGACTAGACATGGAGGAACCTTAAATGCATATTAATAAGTGAAAGAAGCCAACATGAAAAAGTGACATGCTGTACAATTCCAACTACATGACATGAAAAGGAAAACTTATGGAGATAGTAAAAAGATTAGTGATTTCCAGGGATTAGTGGGGTGGGAGGGATGAATAGGCAGAGCACCGGAGATTTTTAGGGTGGTGAAACAATTCTATTGAAAACAATCTACTATAATGATGGATCCATGTCATTATACATTTGTCCAAACCCATAGAATGTACAACATCGAGAGTGAACCCTAATGTAAACTGTGGACTTTGGGTGATAATGATGTGCCAATTTAGGTTAGTCAGTTGTAGCAAATGTACCACTCTGGTGGAGAATGTTAATAATGGGGGGCTGCACACATCTGGGGACAGAGAAAATCTCTGTACCTTCCATTCAATTTTGCTATGAATCTAAAACTGCTCTAGAGAATACCCTATTTAAACACACACACACACACACGCACACAAAACTGCCCACACTAAAACACTTACATGCCTTTGTAAGGGCCACTGTTCAAAATATATGCTAATGTGAAAGAATAAGTTGACAGCCAAAACTCATTTTTTAAAGTTGGTTTATCTCCAAATGCATGAGTGTTTTATTATTGTTATTACAAATGCCCTTTAATGTAGGCCTTCTCATTCATTATCTTAGAGGGTTCCAAAGTGAAATGAAAAACAACAGTTTCTTGACAAGCTTACAGACTTTAAAGCTGTTAGAGTGGGTGGAAGAAATGAGAATTGCAAAGCTTTATAGACATTGATGGGATCGCTTTATTCTGAAATGATGATATAAATAAGCCTTTTCAAAAACTTCATTGAGTTTAGCATGGAAATTACCTAGTCAATTTGGGGAACTTGATAACTTTAGGACCTTGGGCATAAATAATACATTGTCCAGCAAAACATTAGCCAAAACTTTTATTGGCAAGTTCACAAATTTCAAAAGCTTTACCATGGCAATTTCTAAAAAGGTAATCCTTAAGCTACCATGTTTGTGTGTATATTATTGTCTGTTTTAAACTGAGAAAATACATTTTTTATCTTAAGTAGGAAGGGAACTCATGTTTAATGCTTACTATGTGCTAGGTACTTAACGTGAACGATCTCATTTAATTCAAACAACAAATTCATGAGGTCAGTATTATTATCTTGGCTTTAGATAAAAGGAAGCAAAAGCGCAGAGAAAAATAGAAGTGAAGGCTTACATAATATTATGTTTCAGGCAATGTTTTAAATACTTCTTGCATACATTGACATTTAGTTCTTCATAACAGTCTTTAAAAGGTGGGTACTACTATCTCCATGTTGCAGATGAGAAAAGTGAAGCACGGAGAGATCAGAGATTTGTTCAAGGTAAGTGGCAGAAGCCGGAACTGAGATACAGGAAGTTGAGTCTGTACTCTGTAACCACTAAGCTACAGAGCCTAAAGAGTGCAAAAGGCTTTACAGTAAGGACATGGCAGAGCCATTTTTTTGCTTGTCTTTCTAGCCCTTAAACTCTTTATCATCTTTTAGGTCCAAGATTCCACTAAAATGAGAGTCATTACTGTTAGGACGAATTGTTTCCCTGAACTGCCATGGCCATATTATTAGTAGCTCTACTTAGCAAGTATTTAATTCCAATGTAAGTGGTTACATGTAAGCTTTTTGAAGACAGAGGCTAATTTCTTTCTTTGTATCTCTAAGCACCCAACTTTTGTACAGTTGTGGGTGCTCAGAAAAATTTTAAATGAACAGGAGGGATATTTCAGTGTTTTTTTAAACAAAAGGTTTTTGGTGGTGGTGGTGTTCTCTGCTATAGGGGCAAATATAACATGAATGAAAAGGTCTATAGCTGATGTTATTGGCATAGAAAACTAAGTAGTTTAAGCCTGAATTGATAACATTTAAAAGGGAAGAATGTCAACTGAATGATACATCATTTTAGCTAACAGAAATAATGTAATGTAAATGGATAGAAAATTTAGATTACAATAAATATTTAAAAATTACTGTCTTCTCTACATGAATATAACTTCTTCTAAGAGACTCATAAAGAATATTTCTTTGATACATGACAATGAGTGACAGAGACTGTATTATGTTCTTTGACACACGAGCCCCCCCCGGAACCTGAGGCCAGTACTCACCGGATACTGAGAATATGTGGTTTCTGTTACCCATGAGATATTACTTCAGGTCTCTAAAGGTGAGAAGCAATAACCCTGTTCCCCAAGACAGACATCCTCCTTGTGTTCCAAGCAATGTGGCTCAAGTAGGTTGGCTCAGGCAGGTGTGTTGCCATGAAAGCATCACTGAACTCAGAGTTATATGATCTGAGTTTAAATCTCAGTCCTGACATTCCCTAGCTGTGTGCTCAGGTAGCTTCCTGAGTTTCAATTTCTTCATCTGTATAGTGAGTGTAATAATACTGGCATATTAGGTTGTTTGATGGTTTAAAATTCTGTTTGCAAAAGTCCCTGTTATACTGATTTTTTCAGCTAGTGTTTGAGCCATGTGAATTTCATTCCTTCCTGTGGGGATAATTCCAGTGGGTCTTGGCCACCTCTAACCTGTTTTGCCACTCTGGTTGCTGTTACCACTGCAATTTCCTGAGGTCCTCTGTTCATTCAGGGCTGATTTCAACTCCCAAAACCACTACAGGAACCTTGTACATTCCTGCACTCTGATCAGAACTCTTCTCAGCATTGCTGCTGCCACTGGCTCCCACTAAGCCCCCAACATGTGCTTTTCCTTGGGGCTTCCCTGAGGCCCCCTCCAGCTGCTCTCACCACCTCTGTGGAGACCTTCAAGCTCTGTCACCCTCTGGCAGGCTGAGACTTTACTTATCAGTCCCTGTTCAACATCAAACATTTACTGAGGGCCTACAAGTACTAGGTTAAACGATGAAGTTATAAGTCCTTGCCCTCAAGGAGCTTAGAATTCAGAAGGGAAAATAGACAGACTAACTATAACACTACAGTGAGAGATGAGTTAAGAAAGAGAAAAGCAGAGAGTAGGGACCAGGCAGAGATCCTCTACAGACCTGCCTGCCCCCTTGTATTTCAGGTTTGCTATCCCCAAAGTCTTGAGTCCAAGACTCTGGATGCAGCAGAAAGTGACCACCAATCCCAAAGGCTGACAATGAAAAGGTCTTAAGAAAGGTTTTTATACTTTTCCTGTAATGTGTCCTGCAGGCAGGGCAGGGCAGGGATACTCGTATTCTCTGATGCCATCAGTCCACTATGCTCCCTAACCCACATACTGGAGGCAACTGCCTATGTAATTTCCCCACACGGTGGCTTCTCTCCCTCTTATAGGGGCAGCCCCCCACTCCCTGCCATTCCTCTTAGACTCACCGTGACACAGACTCCAGAAAACATTGACCATGTTTGCATAAAACCTATGCAAAGCGCCTCATGGTTAAGTAAAAGTGATTCTTTTGACTGCAGAACTTAGCTTTGGTTTACCTTTTTACCAGTACAAGTGGATGTGGGCTAATTTTCTCAACTCTTTTACCTACTTGCCTTGCAGCCAATGGAAGGCATTCATGAACATCTGACTAGATCAGAGTGTGAAGTCTTCTCAAGTCATCTGAGGATAACTGGCCCATAAGAGGATTGAACTCAGAACTTTGACTTCATTAGGGGTACATTCCAATCCCTGGCCTAAAACAAAGTGATCAGCTCAGAGGAGAAGTCTAATATGTGGATCCAGGGCCACAGCTCCTTCCACGATGTAGATTTTTTGAGCTAATTGTAAGAAATGTACTGTAAAGATGAGACTACATATTCTTGCCATAGTTTCCATCAGCTGACAAACAGAATGAAATCAATGCAGAAGTAGATAAAATGAAGAACATGAACAAGAAAAGGGATGATTAAGAGAAATAAATTCTTCTATACAAATATTTCAAAACTTGGCTCTTGAAGCATGAGTTCTTGAGGGTAGGCAAGGTCCATTTACCTCTGTATTCTCAGAGAAACTAAGAGATAGTTTATTTGCACATTGTAAGAACTTAAGAAATGTGAGTTTAAAAAATCCAAAACATCTTGCTGAATATCCAGAATAATAAAGTTATGAGAAACAAATGAGTTGGAATAAGAGTTGCTTAATATTGAAAATCAAATACAGAACAAAATACAAATCCATCTTATAAAGTATATTATAAATGTACTAGATCAGGTTTAACCTATGTACAATTTAGAAACAAAATATGTGAATTAAGAGTTGGTGAAAAATAAAAATCTATAAATGCCTTCAAAGTTGTTGAAAATGTCTATTAGTTGAACTCTTACATAGTCTGTGACTATAAAGACAACACAAAAACTTAAAACAAGGGGTGGGGAAAGAGAGATTAAAACTTGCTGAAAATATTTACTATCTGTCTGTTATGAATTTATCTCTCCCAAAGAGATTTTATTTTCAGTTTTCCTATATCATCAGTATGGAATACATGAAAACTATGCTTTTAGACTAACAACTACCTTAAAAATTATTGTCATTGCTCACTAAACCATACATTTCTGGATTCTTAAAATACCTCTAGCTAATAGGACCATTCACAAAAATGTCATTTTGGTTCATTGAAATGAATTGCTTTCCTGTCCAAGAATTAAACAGTCATTTAAAAACAACACATTATTTCCTTGCAAAATAAAGCGCTAAGCTTAAGAAATAAAATACAGAAAAGTCAAATGAGAAAGTGTTTTGTAAGGGGCTACCTGCTGCTGCAACAGGGCACTTGCTTCTCTCTCCTACATTCTGCAGTGACTCTGGGGTCCCCAGAGTTTGGGCATAAATAATCCAAACTATACCCACAGTGCAGGGAGCCCAGTCAGCTTTCCTTCTCTCCCGCTGGCACTGGAAGGTAACTGACATGCCCTCTGGCTGCCTTCTAACCGTTTTAGTTAAGCCTAGGTTTCAATTAAGTTCAGTGCTCCAGCCCTATTCACTCCCTAGAACTAGCTGGAAGGAAGCTGCTACCAGTCAATGAGTAGATCCATTACTTCCCTAAGTGCTCAGCCCCAGAGAGAGAAATGCTGAATTTAGAAAAGATTGGGTGGACTTCGGACAATGTGTGGGAAGGAAGTACATTTCCTAGGCTGTACACACACCCCACAGAGCTTCTGGGGATGAAGAAAAGAGAAAATAGGGGTCTCTGAAGTATTTATTTTGGGAACTCAAGCATTAAATTTATTACTTAGTCACTTAGCAGTTGTTATTTTCTTCAACCTAGAATATTACCCTCAATGAGAGCTAAAACCAAAACCAATTTATCACAGGGATGGATTTGAAATAATGTGATACCTAACCTAATGTCACATGAAATTTCACAGTAATAATAAAAATGTAGGTACTGGTTTTCTTCAAATAAGAAACATTTTGAACATGTAAAAATAACCTCTGACCTATATATGACTTAACTTGCTTGTTCTCATTCACGCAATGCCCATATACTGATTGAACATTTATGGCAGCCCCATAGCACTGATAGATGCAGGAGGCAGATAATGGGGGGTCCCCAGAGAATCTCCGACCCACCCCACAAGTGTTTACATCAAATGTTTCATGCAGATGAGGGAACTTGCCCAGGGTCTTGTCTGTGCATGCCTGCAATGGACTGGGGATCTGCTTGCACACTGGGAGAATGGAGTTGAACCATGGTAAGTTCATGCCTTGTGCAGGGGGCAGGGAGCCTGGCTGCCTCAGCTCCTGAATTGGTGGTGGCCTGGAATTCAATCTCTGAGGTGGTAGCCTGTTAGCAAGACCCCCTCTCTCTTTGCTGAGAGTCTTCTTTTTTTCTCTCTTTTCCTTTTCACCCAACAAACTCTGTTCCCCTCACCTTTCAATGTGTCCACATGCCTATTTTTTTCTGGTTATGATACAAGAGCCCAGATTTAGCTGAACTAAGGAGCAAAAATTCTGCATCATTTTGGTGGCCCGTATAGGGACATGAGGAAAGGTGAGTAAAATGCAGATCAATAGATCTTTTTCCCTCTTGTTTCTGAGGCTTTTTGTCCTCGGACTTCTTCTGAAGTCCTTCCTTCTTCTGAAGGAAGCTGTGCACCACCCCACCCCAATGGCCACAGACACACATTTGGGACAGATGGGTGAGTGATGGCTCCCTGATCCCACTTCCTTCCTGGCTGGGGTGCATGGCTGTGTCTGCTGCATGTGCATGTGGCATCTAATGGCCATGCAGGGTGGGAAGGAGCCACAGATGCTGCCTGGGCCCCAAGACAGCCGGGGGGACCCAGGCCCATGTGGCAGGATAGCCAGCATTCCCCACCACACATTCATGGAGGCTTCCCTTCCCTCAGCCAAGGGGTCCAGCTCCATCTGACAGCAACTAATTTTCTCTCCAGGTTGGAGGAACCCATTTGCATAAGAAAAAGAGGTGCTTCCCCCAGACATCTTTCTAACCCTGAACTTTCAGCTATTTTTTCCCTTTTCTCTACCCTGTCAGTAGTTAGCACAGCCCTACACTTTAAGCTTTTTTCTTTTCTCCACCAGGTCAGGCGTTAACTTTTAAGCAAGAGGTTTCTTTCCTTTTAGAAGATGTTTTACTAGGCCAGGACCCCAACTATCACTGTTTATATTCTCTGGAGAGTTTTAATTATGAAAAAGAATTTGTAAGGTTGTTCTTAAGCTGTAGCCAATCTGGTGTGCTTTGCATGTCTTTTTGTATGGTCAGCAAACTTTGCTGCAGGCCTCCATTTTATTTTACGTCCTTGGAAGCGTGATCTGTAACCACATGGCAGTGCTTTGTTTTAGCTTCTGCCATTTTACAATTGTGGATGGGTTGAATCCTGGCTTAGGGAATGAGTCCTTTCTGGTTTGATATCTGCATGACTTTTGCCATTTGTTAATTCTTTTCCCCTCCACAAACCACCTTGCATTTCTCTTTCTCTGAGTCTTTAGTAAAGTTTGAAAGCCAGAAATATTGGCCACTTGGCATGTCAAAAGTCAGGTAATAAGTGATTTAAAAGGATTTTCTTAAAGAGCACTCAGCTTAATTAAAAGTGGATATCCAAGTTGTAGGTATATTTAAAAGGCCTTTATGTTTTTCTCTTCTTGGATCTTGTTTTTCTGGAAAAGAGGTTTTTCATCACTCAACTGAATTATTTTTCTTCATTTTGCCTTGCCACTCTTAATGCAGGCATGAGAGGGGAGTGACCTCTGTTTTCCTTATGGAGCCCCAGGAATTGGAGTCTGATGAATCCCTCCCAAAATCTTTTTGTCTTCTGGCTGTACCTCTTTATTAGGCCTCCAAAACTGCATGCTTTCCTAGTCTTCCTTTTAATGGGCTCCACCCAGGGGCCAATAATCCAATTAGGAGATTGGCAAACAAAAAATCTTATAGCTACTGGATCCTTTTCTGCCTGTCTATGTAGTTATATATGTATTGTGTGTGTAATGTCTATAAAAAAAGAGCTCTAATTAATTAACTTAAAGAAGGATAAGTGCTCAAATATTTATCAAAGGAAATATAAAAGCTGTGGTGCCTTTTAGTTCATGGGACTTTAATCTTTGAGAAATAAAAACAGCCTTAAATAGTATTGGTAAAATGCAGATGTCATTAAAATAAAAATTGTTGCCTAGAGTTAAAGGATTGTTTTAAATTAGATAAGATAAAGTTCAAACAAGTTGTGGAAGGATTGTAAAAATTAATCATGCAGAAAAATTTCATATGTGAACATGTTGACTAAATTCAAAAGGGTATTATATGTTTTTTCTGCTAATTGAGCACTGAAATAAAAGCACAACAAGGTACTCTTAAGGAACTAATCTGTAGCAAAATTTGTAAAGGGTTATAAAAGATTTTTGCTTTTTTAAAATTTCAGAGTCATCATTTTGGTAAAATAAATAACTTATGGTAATCTGGAATTCTATTTCATAACATCAAGTGTTTTAAACCTCTAATGTATTTAACAGGCATCCCCAAATCAAACTTCAGTTTCGAAATCATCTTTCCTGACACCTGGCTTTGGATGCTACAGAGGGCCCCCGAAGCATCCGGAAGAGAGGTAAATAGTATTATTTAACATGTTTAGGCAGATGGGATTGCCAAAATGATGTTTAATTGTCTTCATGTTATATTTTAGGGAATAATATTAATATATGTTTCAAAATTATATGGGATCTCTAACATTCTAATGTCTGAGTATACGCCATCCATCACAATTAAGGTTGTTATTTTAAACTATTGTAACCATGGAGATAACCAAATTTCTTTGTCAGTCGTGTTTTTGACTGTAACTACCCTGGAGATTTTGTTATTCACAGACAATTGTTCTGATCCTCTTCAAAGGACGGTTTATAATCAGCTATAGAACTTTAACAGTGCTCTCAGATGTAGGTTTCTGATAAGTTTGGAGATTGTGACATTGGAATAATGGAAAAATGTACAGGACTCATGAAGAGCTAAAACGTTCACAAATATCAAGCAAAACAAGAATTAACTGAATGGACTGAACTAATAGAAAACTAAAGTAATCTATTTGACTTTTGCTTGGAACATTGCTGATCCTTGTTTGTTTTTCACATTCAAGGAATCTTATTTTGAGCTATTTACAGTATTTAGTAATTGAGTAAGGTATATGCCTGTGAATAAAATTTGGAGCATATTTGTCTCTCTCTCTCTCTCTGCCTGGCTTCTCCAGAATTTGGAAACTAGTTGTGAGTATTGTTAACTTATGGCACTATAGTTGTTTACATCAGTGTAATAAGAATCAATTTTCTTTTGCAACAGGATGCAATTGGAGAAAATGGTTGTTTTACCAAGGCTTTGACTGGAAGGGTATGCTTACCTTTAAGAGTCAAGCTCGACCTGCAGAGCCAATAAAAACCCCTTGGGAAAGCTAGCCTCATACCTGGTCTACACAGTCCCTGTACAGGTTTTCTAACCTGCAATGAGTAAAGAATGTCAGTTTCTAACAGGCCCAGGAACCCCATGCTCTTGGGACCTCAAGAGAGGAGTTTACCCAACTTACAGGTATTTGAGGGTAGAAACCCATGACTGGGCTTGGCTTTAGAAAGTTCTATCTGATATTTCTTGTGTAACAGAGTTCCATCAAAGCCAATCTAAAAGGTCTACATAGAAAAAAATATTCTTACTGTACTATATGTAAATAATCAGGCCAACTATAAGACTAAAGTATCCTATCTGAGATTCCTTGTGAAACAGAGTTCCATCAAAGCCAATCTAAAAGGCCTACGTAGAAATAATTATCCTTTTTCATGTAATTTATGTAAATAATCAGGCCAAGTATAAGACTAAAGAATATTTTGCAAATGACTCAGTCCTATCATGATTTGTTTTTCACAAAAATGAGGACTGGAGAGAAATTATGTTTTAAAACTTATCATACATTTGTCATTAACTTCTAGACTTGGCCAGGCACGGTGGCTCATGCCTTTAAATAACCCCAACACTTAGGGAGGCCAAGGCAGGCAGATCATCTGAGGTCAGGAGTTTGAGACCAGCCTGACAAACATGGAGAAACTCCTTCTCTACTAAAAATATAAAATTAGCCGGGTGTGGTGGCGCATGCCTGTAATCCCAGCTACTTGGGAGGCTGAGGCAGGAGACTTGAACCCAGGAGGCAGTGGTTGCATTGAGCCGAGACTGTGCTATTGCACTCCAGCCTGGGCAACAAGAGCGAAACTCTTGTCTCAAAAAAAAAAAATTCTAGACTCATTTGTTGTTTTTAAGTTTTTGCCCACATTTTAGGCTAACTCTGCTTAATCCTGTTAACCAACCAGCAGTCTCCAACTGCAGCTCAGAATAAACAAAAGGGATGGGTAATGTAAAAATCTGGATCAATATTCTAGTTCTGAGCAATTATCCTGCAAATCCTGCCAGGTGATGGGAATAGATAGGGTTACCTGGAGGTTTCCTTTTTGGGGAAGTAAGACCAAAGGAGCTAACCAAACTCAAGCCACATATACCCAAATCTTGGCAAGCATTTCTATAGCCACCAGTTATCTGTGCATGTCACAAAACATCCTTTTCTCTCCTTTGTTGGAGGAAGACTCAATTCCATAGCTTCACCTTAGCATTTGGCTTATAATAAGAAGTCTATGCAATCCCCCGAGACACATTTTTGATCCCAAACTCAATTCCAAGCTTTGGATCAAAGCCCTAGGAAAGAAAACTGGATCTGAGGAATCCAGAGACAGATGATAACAGAAGCCAAAAGGCACAGCACAGGTGAACATGACTAATTCCTGCCAATTAAGCCCAGCTTCCAATTTCATGGATAAAAGTCATGCTAGTATCCATGGCATAAATGAGGTCTAGGGAATTTGAAGGCTACTGACAGCAGGGAAGATAGGGTGTATGCGGGTAAGCAGATATTCCAACCCCCTGGATCCCTTGTTAACATGGGTGAAAGCTGCTTTGATGACACCCATGGGTGGCACCTTGTCATGGTCACCAGTACTTGGGGATATAAGAACAGAAGAAAGAAAGATGAATGCCTCATTTTCTCTCCCTCACATACCCCAGGTATTTCCTAGGAAGAGAAGAGAACCTAGGATGCCTTGCTCCCCTCTCTCTAGATGAGTAGCCATCCATCTTCAGCCTGTACCCCTTTCAAATGCATCCTGAATGCCTGGAACTCCTTTTGAAAAAAATGGCTTCTTTTTTTGTCTTTTTCCTCCTTTGTCCTCTCTTCACTGATTTGTAATTGTATCTCCATACTATGGGACACTCCCCTCGGATACATCCGCCAAACTGGGAAAAGTTAATTTCCCACATGTAGTAGTCTGTTTTCATGCTGCTGATAAAGACATACCTGAGACTGGAAATAAAAAGAGGTTTAACAGATTTACAGTTCCACATGGCTGGGGAAGCTTCACAGTCATGGCAGAAGGCAAGGATGGGCAAGTCACATCTTACATGGATGGCGGCAGGCAGAGAGAGCTTATGCAGGGAAACTCCCCCTTATAAAACTATCAGATCTTGTGAGACTTATTTACTATCATGAGAACAGCACAGAAAACACCTGCCTCCATGATGCAATTACCTCCCACCAGGTCCCTCCCACAACACATGGGAATTAAAGATGATATTTGGGTGGGGACCCAGCAAAACCATATCATTCTGTCCCTGGCCCCTCCCAAATCTCATGTCCTTACATTTCAAAATCAATCATGCCTTTCCAACAGTCCCCCAAAGCCTTAACTCATTTCAGCATTAACTCAAAAGTCCAAAGTCCAAAGTCTCATCTGAGACAAGGCAAGTCCTTTCTGCCTATGAGCCTGTAAAATCAAAAGCAAGTTAGTTACTTCCTGGAAACAATGGGGGTACAGGCATTGGGTAAATACAGCTGTTTCAAATGGTAGAAATTGGCTAAAACAAAGGGGCTACACGCCCCATGCAAGTCCAAAATCCAGCAGGACAGTCAAATATTAAAGCTCCAAAATGATCTCCTTTGACTCTATCTCTCATATCCAGGTCACGCTGATGCAAGAGGTGGGTTCCCATAGACTTGGGCAGCTCTGCCCCTGTCCTGTGGCTTTGCAGGGTATAGCTCCCTTCCTGGCTTCTTTCATGGGCTGGCATTGAGTGTCTGAAGCCTTTCTAGGTGTACGGTGCAAGCTGTTGGTGGATCTACCATTCTGGGGGTCTGAAAGATGGTGGCCCTCTTCTCACAGCTTCAGTAGGTGGTGCCCCAGTAAGGACTCTGTATGGGGATCTGACTTCACCTTTCTCTTCCACACTGCCCTAGCAGAGGTTGTCCTGTAGGGCCCCACACCTGGAGCAAACTTCTGCCTGGGAATCTAGGTGTTTCCATACATCCTCTGAAATCTAGGTGGAGGTTCCCAAACCTCACTTCTTGACTTCAGTGCACCCTCAGGCTCAACACCACGTGGAAGCTTCCAAGGCTTGGGGCTTGCTTACACCCTCTGAAGCAACAGCCCAAGCTGTATGTTAGCCCCTTTTAGCCATGGCTGGAGCAGCTGGGACACAGTACACTAAGTCCCTAAATTGCACAGAGCAGGGGTGTCCTGGCCCTGGCCCAGGAAACCATTTTTTCCTCCTACACCTCTGGGCCTGTGATGGGAGGGGCTGCCACGGAGACCTCTGGCATGCTCTGGAGATATTTTCCCCATTGTCTCAGGGATTAACATTCATTTCCTCTTATTCAAATTTCTGCAGCTGGGTTGAATTTATCCTCAGAAAATGGGATTTTATTTTCTATGACATTGTCAGGCTGCGAAGTTTCTGAACTTTTATGCCCTGCTTCCCTTTTAAAACTGAATGCCTTTAACAGCACCTAAGTCACCTCTTGAATGCTTTGCTAGTTAGAAATTTCTTCTAACAGATACCCTAAATCATCTCTCTCAAGTTTAAAGTTTCACAAATCTCTAGGGAAGGGGCAAAATGCCACCAGTCTCTGTGCTAAAACATAACAAGAGTCACCTTTGCTCCAGTTCCCAACAAGTTCCGCATCTCCACTTGAGACCACCTCAGCCTGGATTTTATTGTTCATATCACTATCAGCATTTTAATCAAAGCCATTAAACAAGTCTCTAGGAGTTCCAAACTTTCCCACATTTTCCTGTCTTCTTCTGAGACCTCCAAACTGTTCCAACCTCTGCCTGTTACCCAGTTCCAAAGTTGTTGCCACATTTTTGGATACTTTTTCAGCAATGGTACCAATTTAGTCTATTAGTCTGTTTTCACACTGCTGATAAAGACATATCCAAGACTGGGAAGAAAGAGACTTAATGGACTTATAGTTCCACATGGCTGGTAAAGCCTCACAATCATGGCAGAAGGCAAGGAGGAACAAGTCACATCTTACATGGATGGCAGCAGGCAGAGAGAGAGAGAGCTTGTGCAGGGAAACTCCCCTTATAAAAACCATCAGATCTCATGAGACGTATTTACTATCACAAGAACAGCATAGGAAAGACCTGTCCCCATGATTCAAGTAACTCCCACTAGGTCCCTCCCACAACACATGGGAATTCAAGATGAGATTTGGGTGGGGACACAGCCAAACCATACCACCAAACTTTAAACTAGTTGGCTTAGGATTGGGCTTTGGGGAAGGGAACCCAGAAGCCTGACATGCCAGCAAAAGGGTAAAAGTGTTTTTTACCAGTTGGATTTTTGTCTCCCTCTCCATGTCCAAACTAGTAAAAGACTTTGGGATTTTTGAGCTATCCTTACGCCCACCTTGTTTTGTTTTAACACATGTTTTCTAATAATCTGGTTTGTCTCTTTTGCCTTCAGGCCACCAAACTCCAAATGTTCATGCAACCAGAGCCTTAGACAATGGCCCCTTTTGCCAGGGAACCTTAGATGAACCTCAGAGAGAACCCTGACTGCTGTTTTCCCAAAACAGCACTCCCTATCAGCAGGAAGCTGTTAAGATCAGTCTTCCTCCTCATCCTTATTCTAATGGCAGTTAGATGTACTTCTTTAGAGGGGGGAATGATAGATGCAGGAGGCAGATTGGGGGGGGTCCCCAGAAGATCTCCAACCCACCCCACAAGTGCTTACATCAGATGATTTTGTGCAGATGAGGGAACTTGCCCAGGGTCTTGTCTGCACATGCCTGCAATGGACTGGGACCTGCCTGTGCACCAGGAAAATGTGGTAGAGCCATGGGAAGTTCACACCTTGTACAGTGCAGGAGGAGCCTGGCCTCTTAAGCTCCTGTGTGGTGGCTTGGAATTCAATCTGTGAGGTGGTAGCCTGTTAGCAAGACCCCCTCTCACTTTTCTGAGAGTGCTTTTTCTCTTTTTTCCTTTTTGTCCAATGAATTCCACTCTCCTCACTCTCCAGTGTTTCCATGTGCCTATTTTTTCCTGGATGTGGTACAAGAACCCGGATTTAACTGAACTAAGGAGCAAAAATTCTGCATTGGTACTAAGCTGAGAAAAATAATTCAGTGTAGAGAGACTTGCTACTCATAGTACCCAGACCAAAATATGGATATTACCTGGGAGTTTGTTAGAAATGCACAATCTTAGCTGCATCAGACTCACTGAATATGAACTTGTATTGAACAAAATCCACTGGTGATTTACACACACATTAGTGTTTTTGAAGCACCAGTGTAGAATGGTCTCCAAACTTTAAAAATCCCACATCTCTATCCATTAAAAGAGTAACATCCTTCACAATGTATGCATAATTTATAAATTATATATGTACTACTTTAACATGGTGTATATTTTATAAAGAAAGCATTGGCTGGGTGCTTTGGCTCATGCCTATAATCCCAGCACTTTGGGAGGCTGAGGCGGGCAGATCACTTGAGGTCAGGAGTTTGAGATCAGCTTGGCCAACATGGTGAAACCCTGTCTCTACTAAAAATACAAAAATAATTAGCTGGCCTGGTGATGGGCACCTGCAATCTCAGCTACTCAGGAGGCTGAGGCAGGAGAACTGCTTGAACCCATGAGGTGGAGGTTACAGAGAGCTGGGATCGCACCATTGCACTCTAGCCTGGGGGACAGGGCAAGACTCTGTCTCAAAACAAACAAACAAAAGAAAGCATTAAAATATAAAACAAGTTAAAATATAGACATTCTAGTAATTTCTTGCCATGCATCAGTGGATCATCTTAAGCACATCCATGACCACGAGGCTAGTGCACTGAGCCAAAGACATGAAACCCTGGGCTTCATTCCTGGCTCTGCCACCTCCTAGCTTTAGTTTCCACAAAGACTCTGGGTTGCAGAAAGAAGAGGTGATAGAGAAGGGGAGCTAGCAAGAAAAGAAGTCATGGCCAGGGAGAGAGAGAGGCTGATGACCATTAATTAAGTCCCAATTAAAAAAAGGCAACCCCAGTTCAGTTATAGGAAGGTTAACAATTCAAGGGGAGTCGGCTTCCTCAGAAGTTGTGACTGGTAAATGGGCAATTCTCTAGGGAAGATATTGACTCAGTAATTACACAGGAAATAGAAAATGAGTGAGAACTGGAAGCAGGTTCCTCATGGGAAGAAGGAAAAAATTGAAAGTTCGGAGATAGGGAGATCTGGGTTCAAGTGATTGCTGTACTTCTTATAATCTGTGTAACTTTGGCAAGTTACTTAAATAAACTCTTAGAATCTCCATTTCCTGTCAGGGTTAATAAGAGGTGCCTTGGACTATGGAGAAGTTTCAACAACTTAAAGCCATCCCAAATGAACCCACCGTGGTTTGAGTTCAAAAGAATGGGCAAACCATTCCAAATAATAACAACCTGAGAAACCAGTTAGAATGGCGATCATTAAAAAGTCAGGAAACAACAGGTGCTGGAGAGGATGTGGAGAAATAGGAACACTTTTACACTGTTGGTGTGACTGTAAACTAGTTCAGCCATTGTGGAAGTCAGTGTGGTGATTCCTCAGGGATCTAGAAATAGAAATACCATTTGACACAGTCATCCCATTACTGGGTATATACCCAAAGGATTATAAATCATGCTGCTATAAAGACACATGCACATGTATGTTTATTGCAGCATTATTCACAATAGCAAAGACTTGGAACCAACCCAAATGTCCAACAATGATAGACTGGATTAAGAAAATGTGGCACATATACACCAGGGAATACTATGCAGCCATAAAAATGATGAGTTCATGTGCTTTGTAGGGACGTGGATGAAGCTGGAAACCATCATTCTCAGCAAACTATCACAAGGAGAAAAAACCAAATACCGCATGTTCTCACTCATAGGTGGGAAATGAACAATGAGAACACATGGACACAGGAAGGGGAACATCACACACCGGGGACTGTTGTGGGGTCGGGGGACGGGGGAGGGATAGCATTAGGAGATATACCTAATGCTAAATGACGAGTTAATGGGTGCAGCACACCAACATGGCACACGTATACATATGTAACAAACCTGCACGTTGTGCACATGTACCCTAAAACTTAAAGTATAATAATAATAAAATTTAAAAAAAATCTCAAGTTGTTTTTTTTTTTAAATAAATTCACAGGGTCAGTTGCCAAGAAAGCAGAATATAAAGGTAGCACCTCCCTAGCTGGGATTGGTGCTTTTGAGTTGCAAGGTGCTCAAAACCCATTCTCATGACATCTTGGTTTCCCCAGCCATCAGCTAATGATCATGAACTCAAGTGCTGAGTGGTGGCTTCATGATCAAGAAGATGCTTTGCACTCCTGCTTCCGCATCCCCTTAGAAACGGGTATAGTGGAATAGATAAGTATGCCAGCTCTGGAGCTAGACAGATGTAGGCTTGACTGAATACATCTCAGCACCTGAGAATAAAATGCATTTTTTTCAGAGTTATAAATGAATTTGGCAGGTGGTTGGCTGACCAGAGGGCTAGTTTCTCCAGATGCTACTTTCCTGAGGTGGGAGAGCAGTTCCTGGTTGCCGAGACCTTAGGACAGGAGGAGAACGAGGCAGATTGCTTAAGGGGAGGGAGGAAGTGAAGGGTTGGGCTTAGATTTGAGAAATTTCAAACCCACAAGACCACCAAAATGCTTGAGGCATCAAGTGGCTCCTTGTGTTCTTTAGTCCCCTGTCAGGAGACCATTTTCCAAATCCCCCAGTTAACAGGGTAAAAGTGAATGCCCTACTGCCCAGCAGCTCTCCATTACCTGTGACAGAAGCCTTCAACCTACTGGGTGCTTATCACATTCTCTTGGGTAGAGGCTGACAATGACAGCATGTCACTTTAATTTTCCATGAAGCAAGATAGATTAGTGGTTTTCACTAGATTCTGGTTTCAGAAAGACATACATTTCAGTTGTGAATGCACAACTAAACTGGCTGTGTAATGTTGGTCAAAATAACCTGTCTGATCTTCAGTTTTTATTCTGCATAATGGAGAGCAATATAATAATAGTTAACCTTCATGGATGGGTTTCTATGTGCCAGACACAGTGTTATTTGCTGTATGTGAATTGTCTCCTTTTATGCTTCTGGCAAGTCTGGGTTCTGTACTATTATATCCTCATTTTTTACAGATTGGGAGACTACCTTAGATAAATTTTAAAACTTACTCAAGTTTACATCTACAAAGTGATGGAGTTGCGGTTCTGTGTCAGACACTAAAGCCTCATTAATAAGATGATAGCCCAAAGGACTTAGCACCTGCCTGGTGGAGAGTTAGTGCTACTGTAATGGTAGCCTCAATTTCCTCTTTAGTTATGAGGAGGAGAATGGTGAAGGCAAAGGACTTTGTAAACAATAAAGCACTAAGCCCAGGGGAAGGATTCCTTAATGCATACTGCACCTGTCCCTTGACCCTTAAGAACAGGGAGAGAGAAGTCAGTCGAGGGAAGCCAGCCAGCAAAAAGGTGGATGCTAATCTAGGCCTTGAAAGAGAAACAGAATTGGGTTTGTCAGAGCCATGTTTATTAAGTATACATGCACATAAGCTTCAGGATTTATGCAAATTGTTGAATAATTTCATTATTTGCATAGAAGCTCTATGTTTCTTTACCATACTAAAGGTAAATTGCCAACAAGGTTCTGTTAGCATGAAGAGAATATTTTTCTATTAATGCCTAGTTTGAGTAAATCAGAGAATTGGAGTTGTTGATGTTCCTTGAATATGATAGAAAGTCTCTATGTGTAGACGGCAAATATCAATGCCTTTTGAGGGAAGCATGATTATTAAGCTTTACTATAATTCAATTTCCACTTCAAAACAGAGGAAAGAAAAAAATATTTTGTTTTATAGAAGTGAAAAAATATTTTAAGACTAATTTGCTGTATTAATTAATCATTAATTCTTTTATTTATTCGAAAGGCATTTACTGATTAATTCTTTTATTTTTTCAAAAGGCATTACCTGAAATGTGTCAGGCCCTGCGGTAGCCTAGTAATAAATGGGTTTCTATTTTTTTAAAATTCTGCAGAAATTCCAACAAGAAGCATTATAAGAAACAAAGATATCAGGACTGTTAAAGCCTTAATCTGCCACAAAATAGGCTTAATGAGCTATTTCCAAGTTTGGTCTGAAGATTACAAATCAAATGCAATGCATTAGTTTGCTGGGTGAAATGCCTCCTCTGTGAAAACTTTAGGAGGTCACACTTCTCCACACTCCTCACAGTCAATGTGTGTGTGAGTGTCACGTGTGTTTGCTGCTGTTGTGTCTTATCAAGCACCACTCGCACATAGGATTCTAATATTTAAACAGCTGCTTTGAAGCAGCAAAGTTTTCTGACTTAAACTTCTAGAGTAGAAGACCTTTCCCCCTGGAGGACTTTCTCCATTTCCAACTTGATTTCCATTCATGCAGGGCAAATTCACTTTCCTCTGTCAGCTAACAGCTTAAGATACTTTTAGCAGATCTAGGATGTCGAAGTAACATAACTACTTTTCTCAAGTTACTTTACCAGTAGAGGCCATGGTTCTCCAGACATTTGCTTGTAAGGTTATTATTATTATTATTATTATTTTAGCAATCCTATGTCATCTTCTGTTATGTGAAGCTAGTTGTCCCTAAAAAAACGTTCTGAGTTGAATTCAGACGCATGTGCTATTTTTATATCTGAAAGCATATGCTTCAGAATATATTAAAACCAAGATTAAGTAAGTTGTTAGTAGCTGAACAATATGTACAATATATAAACTATAATGACATTTTGGTGGGAAAAAAAGAGAACAAAATAATAAAACATAAAGCCTCAGAAAGCAATACTATATATTTTCTTCTATGGGTGCCCATATCCACAGCACAAGTATGTAAGGTTACACACCAAACTGGTTATAGTTTTATCTTGAGGGTGAGAAAGTTCAAAGAGGGCATTTAAATTGAGATGAGAGTCTACCAGGGTTAGTTTGAGAAGTCTATGACATAAAGTTAAATTCACAGTGACTTTTTTTCTTCTAAAAGGGAAGTCCAGAGGTACATGGTACAAGTATGAAGATTCCATGAAGATAGGAAGACAGGCTCTTTCCAGCATTGTTTTCTGTCATTTCTAACATATGACCCTCATTCTCATGGCCCAATATGAGTGCTAGAGTGCCAGTCAGCACTTATGAGTTCTAAGGAGTAGGGTGGAGAAATAAAAAATAAAAATAAAAAAGGAACACAGCACATGTGCCAGCTATCCTTTAAGGCAATTTCCGAGATGCTGTCAAATAACATTCTTATCTACATTTTATTGTTCTAATTTATTCAGATGGTGAATTCTACCTGCAAAGAAGTCTGAGAAACATTGTCATTATTTTACCTGGCCATGTCTCTAGTTTATTACTAAGTCAGAAAGGGAAGATGAATACTGGGATAGGCATCTGAGGTCTCTTGCCATAGTCATCAAAGGACTTTTGCCTCACCAGTAGTGTTTTGCTGTTTTACAAGGGGAATAAATTTATATATTATTTGTGTAACTGAAAAATCATTTTAAAATAAAAAAGGGAGTAATTACCTTGTTTTTAAGATTCACTAATCTGAAAGTGTTTATAATACTTTCTTTTATTTTCCATAAGTTATTGGTGTATAGATGGTATGTGGTTACATGAGTAAGTTCTTTATTGGTTATTTGTGAGATTTTGGTGCACCCATCACCCAAACAGTATACACTGCACCCTATTTGTAGTCGTTTATCCATTAGACCCTTCCACTCCTCCCCAAAGTGCCCAAAGTCCATGGTATCATTCTTATGCATTTGCGTCCACATGGTTTAGCTCCCACATATCAGTGAGAAAATACAATGTCTGGTTTTCTACTCCTGAGTTACTTCACTTAGAATAACAGTCTCCAATCTCATCCGGGTCGCTGCAAATGCTGTTAATTCATTCCTTTTTATGGCTGCATAGTATTATTTCATTTATATATATATGTCTGTCTCTCTCTCTATATATATCTCATATATATATCTCTCATAGATATATATCTTATATATATATATCTCATATATATGATATATATGAGATATATATATCATATATATCTCATATATATATATGAGATATATATATATCATATATATATCTCATATATATATCTCAGTTTCTCTATCCACTCGTTGATTGATGGGCATTTGGGTTGGTTCCACGATTTTGCTATCGTGAATTGTGCTGCTATAAACATGCATGTGCAAGTACATTTTTTGAATAATGACTTCTTTTCTTCTGGGCAGATAGCCTAAAGTGGGATTGCTGGATCAAATGGTAGTTCTCTTTTTAGTTCTTTAAGGAATCTCCACACTGTTTTCCATAGTGGCTGTTCTAGTTTACATTCCCACCAGCAGTGTAGAAGTGTTCCCTTTTCACCACACCCACGCCGACATCTACCGTTTCGTTTTTATTTTTTGATTATGGCCATACTTGCAGGAGTAAAGTGGTATTGCATTGTGGTTTTGATTTGCATTTCCCTGATCATTAGTGATATTGCATTTTTTTCATATGTTTGTTGGCCATTTGTATCTCTTCTTTTGAGAATTGTCTATTCATGTCCTCAGCCCACTGTTTTGATGGGATTCTTTTTTTCTTACTGATTTGTTTGAGTTCTTATTAGATTCTGGATATTAGTCCTTTGTCAGATGTACAGATTGTGAAGACTCTCTCCCACTCTGTGGGTTGTCTGTTTACTCTGCTGACGGTTCCTTTTGCCATGCAACAACTCCTTAGTTTAATTAGGTCCCAGCTATCCATCTTTGTTTTTATTGCATTTGCTTTTTGGTCATGAAATCCTTGCCTAAGCCAATTTCTAGAAGGATTTTTCCAATGTTATCTTCTAGAATTTTTATTGTTTCAGGTTTTAGGTTTAAGTTCCTAATCCATCTTGAGTTGATTTTTGTATAAGGTGAGAGATAAGGATCCAGTTTCATTCTCCCACGTGTCTAGCCAATTATCCCAGCACCGTTTGTTGAAAATGGTGTCCTTTCTCCACTTTTATGTTTTTGTTTGCTTTGTCGAAGATGAGTTGGCTGTAAGTATTTAGGTTTATTTCTGGGTTCTCCATTCTATTTCACTGGTCTGTGTGCCTATTTTTATACCAGTACCACGCTGTTTTGGTGACTATGGCCTTATAGCACAGTTTAAAATCAGGTAGTGTGATGGCTCCAAATTTGTTCTTTTTGCTTTGTCTTGCTTTAGCTATGTAGGCTCTTTTTTGGTTCCATATGAATTTTAGAATTGTTTTTTCTAATTCTGTGAAGAATTATGGTGGCATTTTAATGGGGATTGCATTGTATTTGTAGATTGCTTTTGACAGTATGGTTATTTTCAATATTGATTCTACCCATCCATGAGCATGGGATGTGTTTCCATTTGTTTGTGTCATCTATGATTTCTTTCAGCAGAGTTTTGTAGTTTTCCTTATAGATGTCTTTCACCTCCTTGGTTAGGTATATTCCTAAGTATTTTATTTTAATTTTTTGCAGCTATTGTAAAAGGGGTTGAGTTATTGATTTGATTCTTGGCTTGGTTGCTGTTGGTGTATAGAAGAGCTACTGATTTGTGTACATTAATCTTGTATCTGGAAACTTTGCTGAATTCTTTTATCAGTTCTAGGAGCTGAAAGTGTTTATAATACTTTCAAATTGCATCTAATTGATATCCAGGCTGTAAGTTTTGTGCAAGAAGAGAACCCAGAGTATACCTCCTGAGCCCATTGTGGTTAGGTGAGGTGACAGCCACAGAGACTTAAGTGGGGATTTACTCTGAGACTCAGAGTTATAAACCCCTAAACTGTACCCTGCTGTGACAATCTGAGCAAATTCTACTCTTCTCTGCCTTGTACTTTTAAAGTTTGTAGCCAGATACACATAACTTAATGTATCATCTTAACGATTTTTGAAAATACAGTTCAGTAATGTTAAGTACATTTACATTATTGTGCAACTCCAATTTCCAAAACTCTTTATCTTGCAAAACTAAAACTCTATGCCCATTAAACATCAACTGTCCATTCTCTCTTCCCTTCAGGTCTTGACAGCTGTCTTTCTACCGTCTGTCTCTGAATTTGACTACTCTATGTGCCTCACATAAGTGGAATCATACAGCATTTGTTCTTTCTGTGACTAGTTTATGTCACTTACCATAATGTTTTCAAAGTTTATCCATGTTATAGCATGTGTCACAATTTCCTTTCTAAGGGTAATATTCCATTTTATGTATAGGCCATATTTTTTTATCCTTTCATCTGTTGATGGCCATCTGGGTTGTTTTCACCTTTTAGCCAATGTGACTAATGCTGCTATGAATGTGGGTGTACAAAGATCTCTTTAAGACCCTACTTTCAATTATTTGGGGTAGATACCCAGAAGTGGAATTTCTGGATCATATGGTAAAGTCTACTTTCAATTTTTTGCAGAACTGCCATCCTATTTTCTATAATGACTGCACCTGCAATGCAGGAGAGGAACTCTTGAGTGAAGGAACCTAAATCTTTTTCCACCAACAGTTCACAAAGGCTCCAAATTTTCCACATCATCACTAACACTTGTCATTTTGTTTTATTTTAAGCATAGCCATTCTAATGGGTGAGAAGATGGCAGATATTTCCTTGTAGTTTGGTTTGCATATCCCTCATGATTCATGATATTGAGCATCTTTTTTTTGTGCTTTTTGGCCATTGTGTGCTTTTTGACCATCTTCTTTGGAGAAATGTCAATTCAAGTCCTTTGCCCATTTTAAAAATCAGGTTGTTTTTGTCATTGTTGAGTTTTATGATTTATTTGTATATTATGGATATTAACCACTCCTTTTTTTTTTTTTTTTTTTTTTTTTTGAGATGGAGTTTCACTTTTGTTGCCCAGGCTGGAGTGCAATGGTGTGATCTTGGCTGACTGCAACCGCTACCTCCTGGGTTCAAGCGATTCTCCTGCCTCAGCCTCCCGAGTAGCTAGGATTATAGGCATGTGCCACCACACCAGGCTAATTATTTTTGCATTTTTAGTAAAGACGGGGTTTCTCCATGTTGGTCAGGTGGGTCTCGAACACCTGACCTCAGGTGATCTTCCTGTCTCAGCCTCCCAAAGTACTGTACAGGCATAAGCCACCATGCGATCAAAAATATGATTTGCAAACACTTTCTCCCTTTCTGTGGGTTTCCTTTTGTACGTGTGAGTGTGTCCTTTGATGCACTGGTTTGTTTTTTTGCTACCATGACTAACCCCACTCAAAATGCATGGTTTCTAGTATTGACCCTAGACCTCACTCCCATGACTATGAGCCACCTTCTTTGCTTCATATTGATTCTCGCTCCAGTTTTTCCAACAATGACCTAGTTCCATACTAACTCCCTAACTGGCTTCCTGCCTGATTCCACTCTTGGATCTCTTAATCATCTTCTAATAAAGGCCTCAAAGTTTGTGTTTTGCTACCATGGTTTGTGTTTTGCTACCACAACTAACCCCACTTGAAATGCATGGTTTCTAGTATTGACCCTAGATCTCACTCCTGTGACTATGAGCCATCTTCTTTGCTTCATATTGATTCTCACTCCAGTTTTTGCAACAATGACCTAGTTCCACAGTAACTCCCTAAGTGGCTTCCTGCCTGATTTCACTCTTGGATGCTCTTAACCATCTCCTACTAAAGGCCTCAAGGTTTACTTCAGAACTTGTTTTATCCCTTAAAATCTGTAAAAACTTGCAGCCATAAGATTTATGATCATTTGTTAATTCTTAGATCATGTGAAAGATTTGTCTTCCACTTTCTAAAAGACAGAAAGTGAGGCAAATAAAATAACAATACAGAGCTATATAATCTAAGAGGAGAGTGAATCACACCAAAACTCTATGGGTTTTTGCTACAAATAAGTATCTAAAACTATGAAGGATCTGAGATTTAGCCTACTTGCAAGTTAACAATTTGCCTGCCACATTTTTGTGAGTGCTGAAAGAATTCATGACACTCTTAGGTCAGAGAAAAAAGGACTTCATAACTCACAGCAATTGCATTAGCCAAAGCATCTGTATTTTCTCACACTGATTCCCTGAGCCCCAGATGCAATAGGGCAGTATGAAGAGGGTCAGGTGATATCTGCACAGATATATGAAGAGTTTCTCTCCTGTACTGCATAAGGAGATAAGGAACCCAAATCTTTGTAGCAGGCAATAGGCATGCCTGTACTTTGCTCTGGAAGGAGACACTATTTCTATCTTCCAAGGCTATTTGCTATAAAACAAATCCTTGAAAAGATAATCCAGAACAAAAAGTAGTTACTGTCTCACTTGATGACATGCAGAAACATGAGAGAGCCATGGAATTGTCCCCCACAAATGAGAAATTCCTTTTATTTTGTTTCTCAGAACTTCCTGGCTATGAAGACCAAAAATCTATAGCTTTTCTTTGGGACATAAAAATTAATTGAGATAAACTTTTTTTCCAGCTCTAAACTATAAGATAAAATAGGCATTTGGAATCACACCTAGAACACAAATCAAACAATATAATAGTAATGTGTTCAGAGTTTTATACATACAGAGACATTATTTTCATATAGCCCTTTCTTCTATAGATGTGGAAGAAATCAAAGAAAAAATTAAATCAAATATCTTTAAAGATATTATTGTGAAAAAATTCTATGTATCTTAACAGTAATAAAGTTTAAAATGTGTGATTTTCAATATATTAATATTTCCAGGGTATATACACTAGCCAAAGTATAGTCTAATGCAAACCATGAACTACAGTAGAGCATAGTCAACTGTGTGCTTATTTTTTTGTATATTTATAGAATTCAGATGCCTGGATTTGTTTCTTATTTTGATAAACAAGCACCTTATTCAACATATTAAAAAATAAACATTACTTGATCACCTATTCTGTTCTAGTACTTCTCTATTTACCGCCTGTACAGAGAAGTAACACACAGTCCTCAACTTCAAGAAGGAATCCTAAGCATCTCAAATAGCCAGTGTTTATCTTCTACCTGTTTTCTTCCCTGCCATAAATCCATGCGGATGGCTTAACTCTATAGAAAGGAAGAGAAGCTCAGCTTATTCATATGCAAGCAGTTGGTAAGAAAAGGAAGTTTCTTCACTTTGATTGCATTTCATCAGTGTCATTTCATAAGTTTCCTTATTTTAGAGCTGAACTGCCCAATATGGTAGTGAACAGACAAACCTGGCTATTTAAATTTTAATTTAAATTAACTAAAATTAAATAAAATTTAAAATCAGTTCCTCAGTCCCAGTAATCACGTTTCACATGCTCGATGGCCACGTGTAGCTAGTGGCTAGTCTGCTGGATAATGCAGGCATAGGACGTTTCCATTATCCATTATTGCAGTATGGCATATTACACAGAACTGTTTTAGAGTATGGCTTTGCTTGTTAAGGTGTTATCTTTGGTTATAATCTGGATATGTCCCAGAGCTGGTACTCAGTATGTCAGTCTGAAGCCCATATACAGATATACATATATAGAAACACATAAAAATAGAGATATATAAATACATAGATACAGATATAAATATGGATATTTATTCTACACAGGTACCCTACTTTTTACATTCATTCTCAAGGATGAAAGGGATCAGTCAGTCAGAATAGCAGAAT
The DNA here is from genome assembly GCF_000001405.40 of Homo sapiens. NCBI lineage: Eukaryota > Metazoa > Chordata > Mammalia > Primates > Hominidae > Homo > Homo sapiens. Next base: position 180,247,512 of record NC_000003.12, read on the forward strand.
AAACCTGGTGAACTTTATATCTGAGTAGGTCACAGTTTCAGTAATTCTTTGTGGCTTTTCCCCTTTGATTGAAATATTCCTGGCTGCTATATTCTCTATGGTGATTCTGTTGAAACATATAAATCTGTAATTACTGCATTAGCTAACAGAAGAATTATACAAGGTATGTGCTTTGTAAATGTCATTTGATATTTGCATGTGGCATTTAAATTCCTGCTAGTGTTAATGCACCACAGAGGTCTTTGTATTGTTGTTCAGTTGTTTCTTTTGTTAATTTTGATTCTATTTGCAGCAGGGGTTTTAGAAGTTAGTAGAAAAGTTAGACTTGTATTTTTTAATGCCATTGGCAGTCAGTAAGCTTACCAGAGAAATAAGGATCCAAGAACTATGTAAGGAGATTTTAATCTTCAATCTATTGTTTCCTTGAATTAATTACTGGAGAAAATAGAACAGGTTCCCAATATCTGATCTTTAGAGTTCAAGGAGGGGGAAAAATAAGACAAGTACAGACAGATATGGTGAATTGCATCATAAACTGACTAAATGTCATAATAAACACATGTTCCTATGCAACTTCTTTTTTTTTTTTTTTTTTTTTTTGTTTTGAGATGGAGTTTTGCTCTTGTTGCCCAAGCTTGAGTGCAATGGCGCCATCTCAGCTCACTGCAACCTCTGCCTCCCAGGTTCAAGCGATTCTCCTGCCTCAGCCTCCCGATTAGTTGGGATTACGGGTGTGTGCCACCACGCCTGGCTAATTTTTTGTATTTTTAGTAGAGACTGGGTTTCACCATGTTGGCCAGACTGGTCTCAAACTCCTGACCTCAGTTGATCCGCCCACCTCGGCCTCTCAAAGTGCTGGGATTACAGGCGTGAGCCACTGTGCCCAGCTAGCACTTTTTTTTGTTTTAAATTTACAGTTAGTTTTTATGGTTTCTATTAACAGTGTGCCTAGGATAGATAATTTTCCCAGACTTAGAAGTAGAAACATGTAGGGCACATGTAATTTCACTTACATATACAATTTTTCCCACATTTGTATATTATCTGTTTTGGCATTTGGTACCATTTCTTGCTTGTATCTTCAGTGGTCCTGTGTTCCTGAATTTTCATCCTTGTAACAGGTGTTTATTTCTATGAATGTAAAAGTTTGTCTACCTTGCAAATCTTATTTGACTTTAAATATTTTTTGAATTATGTGGATGCTTTGGGTTTGTTTGATTGCTCTTGTCATATAAGCAGGATCTTGCAAATAGTGATCCTTCAGCCAACTTTGGCACTTCTCTTAGCAGAACCCTCACTGGGGCTCTTAGTCAAACACTCAGTATTTCCCTCACATTCTCTATAATTAATAATCCATGTAATATGACAGAATGCACTATAATTTTATAACTTTCCTAGACTTCCTTTGAAGTTTATAATAGTTTTTAAATTGTAGTTTAAAACAAAATTAAAGGACATAGATAAGCATAAAGTTCTTTACTTCCTTATAATATTTGTAGTTTTTCCACCCCAGACTCCTACAAAACTAAGCACTGCTAACAGTGTGGTTAGATCTTTCTTTCTATGTATACATGTGTATGTACATATATTTTTCCCAAAAATCTAGGATCATATATATTATTTATAATCTGATTTTTTTGCTTCATATATCATGCATATCTTTCCTAATCTATAACATCTTAAGAAATTATATACTGTTCTAGATCATTATTTATAATAGTTGTATAAAAGTTCAGTGCTTACAAATAATAAAATAATTTATTTTATTAAACTATCCCTATTATTGGATATTTTGGTTATCTCTGACATAGTGGCTTTATCATCAATAACCTTTTGATTTGCTCATTCCAGTACATAATTAATTTTTATGTTAGTACATAAATTTTTGAAAATTATTAGAAATAGCCAGATTTTAATATTTTCTATTCTTACATAAAAATTTACCTTAATTTTGCTCATCCACACAATGTACCACAATATTTGACCTAAGCCTTGTGGAATCATTCATTTTCCTAGTATTTCATTCTTTAATTTTTTACCTACTTGCTAATGCCTCTTTTCTACACTCCTTCTTGCTCTTATCCTTTGTCTTCCTAAAAATCTACTCCTAGGCATTTCTTTAACAGGGAGGTAAAATTAGCTAGCAACAACTTAATGTTTTCCTTTCCAAGGTTATTGCGTTTTAACAGGGTTCAAAATCTTATACTAACCAGCTGAAACTGTAATGGAGGAATTGTAAACATCCACCAGGAGTTTAAAAAGACCCCTATAAACAAACCATACAATGGCTTATTGCTTATTCTTCATATTTTAAGATTTTTAGGGTACAGATTATCAGCTCTCTACTTCTCAGTTAAGTTGCAAATATGCTGGATATGCTTCAGGTCCTTTATATGAGTCAAGGTGGAAAACTAGAGAGTGAGTAACTTTAGGTAGAGATTACCTGGTGTTTTAATACTGAGATGCCAAGCATAAAACAGACACATAATAAATACATGTGGTTTAATTGATCAACTACCAGAAACTCAGGCTGTGTCAATCTGTAGACTGCTGACTTAACTTGCTTTTGTGGCCAGTCCCTGCAATTCTGTTACAGATAATACGCAGGGGAGGATGCTCTTAAGCAAGGTTCCTGATTCCTTCATATATGAAAGAAATAATGATCCCACAAAATCAGGAAAATTGGTACTGAGTCAAAAAGGCAGATAATGACAGGTGGTGGTAGACAGAAAAACTCCACCCCCATCATGCAAAAAATATGAGCAAGACATTGCTCTGCCAAGTTCACTAAGGGAGATAATTAAGTGAGTCACTATTGTAAACACAATAATAGAATAGTGTACATGGTAAAGTGGAACCAGAGGAATGAGCCATAAACTCTGTTTAAAGAGGTCAGGGAAATCTTCACCTAAGAGTCACTACTTGAGCAGGGTCTTGAAGGATGACTAGGAGTTCATTAGATATATGAAAAGAGAGAAGGAATACAATGTGAAAAGGAGTGGAAAATGTATTAGGTTCAATAACCTCCTACTATTACGATCCTGGAGTGCAAAGTGTCGGGTTGCCAAGCAGCAGAGGGTAAGATTGGAGAGCTGGACCTGAAGCTATCACAGAGGATTTGTGTGCTATATGAAGGAGCTAGGATTCTATTCTGTAGGCCAGTGTTTCACAATGTTAGCTGCACACTAGTACCACCTGGAGAGATTTTTTATTTTATTGTTTTATTTTTTATTTTTAAATTTTGTGGGTACATAGTAGGTGTCTATATTTATACATTCACCTAAGAATAGAGTTGCGCTTGAGTCCCAACCTAACAACATATCAGCTCTGTGGCCTTGGGTGAATTACTTCTCTTTGAGCCTCAGTTCCCACTTTGGAAATGAAGGTGTTATGGATGCCAAGTGATATCATTAGTGACACTGTGTTTTGTAAAATATTATGTGGCTATGTAGTTATTATTCTTCTTATCATTAATGACTCACAAGTATATAATGTATATGTTTTCTGTGCATGCATATGGTATAGAAGAAAATATCAGACTATGATCAAATAATCTGTCTTCAAGTCCCTTAGGCACTTTACATTACTCCTTATATTTCAACATTCATTAAGTGAAAGTTGGACAAGTGTGTGGTTTTGAAACACTGCTTAATGAAGCCTTAGCATTTTTCAATGAGATAGCTCAGGAGCTTTCAAGGCATGAAGGAGTGGGCTATGGGGAGATTACAACTGTTCTACTTTTACCTTCCTACTGTCTTAGTTTGAGCTGCTATGATAAAGTACCATGGTCCTGGTGGCTTATTAACAACCAAAGTTTATTTCTCACAGTTCTGGAGTCTGGAAGTCCAAGATCGGTGTGCCAATATGGTTGGTTCTGGGGAGGGCCCCCTTCCAGACTGCAGACTGCTGACTTCTTATCGTATCTTCACATGGCAGAAAGAGACTGAGAGCTTTCTGGGGGCCCTTCTATAAAGGCATCAATCTCATTCACTAGGGCTCTACCTTCATGAACTAATTACTTCCCAAAGTCTCCACCTTCTAATATTATCACTGTGGTTGTGAGGATTGCAGCCTATGAATTTAGCAGAGACACAAACATTGCACTTATATATTGAAATTTTTTGGTAATATTTTTTAAAAGAAAATATTCTGAAGCTAAGAAAATTTAAAGTCTGAAAACTCCTGAGTTAGATGATTTCAAAGGAGACTTTCTTCTGGACCATCCAATGGTTCTACAGGGTTGTAAATGATCCGGTTTCCCCAAATCCCCACTCTCTCCACAAGGTTATTTGGAGGAATAGTTATGAAAAGTCCCTTAAAGCTGTAAGATGATTCTCTACAGCTGCTTCCTGACCATATCCAGATACCAAATGATATTATACCTACATCTGTATCTCTCACAAAATTGAATATTTTTTTCTTGTTGTTTCATGTGGAAATATTGCAGTTCAGAGACAGAAAATATTCCTCACAGATGCCAACTGTAGAGGCTGCCTGGACCCTGTGATGACCTGGTTTCTGTGTCTGCATTTAGGTTCCCTGGAAAAGAATGCCGTGATCAACTATTAATTTCTGCCATAAGTAGGAGAATACAGGCACATATGCCAGTATTTGTCATTTCCCTTAGAAGAAAAAATTTGATTTCAGTATGGCCGGTAGAGCTTGACTCCAAAACTCCATCTTCTATTTTCATACATAAGGGTTCTATGTACATAAGTAGAAGAGGGGAAAGGTAAATATCACAGATGAGCTGCTTCCTATGGTACCAAAGGAATTATGTCCTAGTAAAAAAAGTCCTTCACAAAATAAATATAAGAGAATTTCTACAACCTACTAAATGACATCACGTTGGTGGTGAAAGATATACTCCTAAGGTCAGCAACAAGGTAAGAATGTCTGGTCTCACCACTTCTATTTAGCAGTGTACTAGATATCCTTCCCAGTGTGATAAAGCAAGAAAGGTTTCTGACAAATAACTTCTATTCAGAATATATAAAGAATTCTTACAAGTCAGTAATAAGAATATAAATAACACAACAATAAATGGGCAAAAGATTTTAACAGACACTTCATCAAAGATGTATATAGATGGCCAACAAACACACTAAATATGCTCAATATCATTTCTCACTAGTAAGACATAAATTAAAACTGTAATGCAAATGTGAAGCAACTGGAACTTTCATAAACTGCTGGTAGAAATATAAAATGGTATAACTACTTTGGATATTGGTAGTTTCTTAAAAATTCAACACATATTACCGTACAACTCAACCATTTCACCCACTCCTAGGTATTTACCCAAGGAAAACAAAAGCAACTGTACACTGAAATACTTTACACCATGCTCATAACCGCTTTATTTTTAATAGCCCCAAGTTGGAAAGAATCCAAATGTCCACTAACACCACCTGTCTACCAGGTAAATGAATAAACAAGTTGTGGTGTAGCCACAGAATGAAGTACTTCTTAGCAATAAAAAGGCAAAAATGTTGATACATGTAAAAACAAGGCTATGTCTCAAAATATGTTTTTTGAAGTGAAAGAAGCCATACGAAATAGAGATACTATGTACTTTTAGTCATAAAAAATTTAGAAAATGCAAATTAAACAATAGTAATAGAAGGCAGGTAAGTGGTTGCCTTGGAATGACAGGGATTGGGGTGACAGGGAGCAAGGAGAGGAAAGGAAGATTACAAATGTAAATGAAAAACATTTAGGGGTGATAAATATGTGAATAATTTTGATTGTGGTAATGTTTTCATGAGTATACACATATGTAAAAACTTATCATAATATAACCTGTAGATATATGCCATTTATTTATGCCAGTTATACCTCAATAAAGTTGTAACAAAATTATCTGTCATTTAGAGTGACCTTATTAGTCTTCTACTCTTACTTCATTACATAGAAGCTCATGACTCAGTGTAGAGATTAAGAAAGTCAGTAATATCCCTGGAATTCAATTTTCTCAATTGTAGGAAGCAGTTGCCTTCAACCATGATGAAAGATCCCTTTCATCATCTCTAATCTATGGTAAATAAGCCACATTCAAGAAAACAGGGTAAGTCCTAAACCCTGACACTTAAATCTTGATAATAAAAAAAAATTCGGAATTTTTTTGAATAAAGTGGGGTGGCAGCATAATTTAATATTTAGGTTCTGTGACTTCGCCTCTTGTACCATGAGCTGCTATGGATTCTTTTATTGATTTCTCAGTTTGTGAGGTGTCTATGGGAGATTATGTCCAAGCCCAGGCCAAATAAGTCCCAGAATGATAAGGAGAATTGGAGAGACCAATGGCCCCTGGGTCACTTGAGATTTTTCCTTAGATCTTATACAATTAGTGTAAATTTGTAATTTCCATGAGATTAAAACTGCTGTGGGCTGAAAAGCCAGAACGCTTTAAAACTCTGTTGCAGAAATCCTTCTCAAATATAAATGGACAATGCTTTGGAATGATAAAAATGGAAAGGAATGTGACAACGTTTTACTAATATTAATCTTTATTCCCCAAACAATAATTTAAAGAACAAGTAAATAAATAATTCTAGTATTAATGGAGTGTTTACTGGGTTCTAGGCACTGAGCTTGAAACTTTGCATATATTATATCATTTAACCCACCCAAATTGTTATTCACTTTTTCACAGAAAAAAAAAACTGTGGCGTGACAATAGTGAGATACAGGCTCACTGTTACACAACTAGTGAAGAGCGAGGTATTAACGATTCTCACTACAGTGTTTCCAGATCATTAACTGAACTTGAGTCATGGGTTCTAGATCTTGCTCCATCCCACTTCTAAGTTACAGACTGACTTTCAGAAGGTCATTAACCTTCATGTCTCATTTTCTGAATCTTGAAAATGAATACAATTACATTCTTCTAACTGACACAGATGGAGGAGATAGGAAATGTGACATAATCAGATAACAAATAAAATATATTTGCATTGATAGTCCATCTTCTATAAAAATTTCAAATGATAATTGTATAGGTTTAGTATTTATCATATATAAGTATACCCCAAATCTCAGCCAAATTAACAGTTTTAAAAATTAACATAAAAGAACTCAACCCTCTTGTCTTTTCAGCAAGTAAAAAATCTACTCCCTATCAACACCATCCTACCTTCTGAGAGATAACTATTAAATTGATGTTTTCACGGACACCAATAGTTCTAATTTTTTGCTATCACTGAACTTTCAGTCTTACTTTTATTTCATTTCGAATGACTTCTATTTTTGTTCTGCCTCACACAAACCAGGGGCAAAGACTTTTCCTTGATTTCTCCAAAACAATGTCAATCATTTGCGTAGATGATTCCTTTGCAATTTTAAGCATTTGAAGAGGACACTTACAGCACAAATTACATAGAAAATGTCTTAAAAGTTAATGTTAGATGATCTCTTTTAAAAAAATTTCTTCAATAGCCTTGCTACCAGAAAATTATTCACTGATTCCTTCTTTTCAGTCTTCAGCCTTCTGTCATATTATTTGGGCACTTCTTCCTGACTAATCCTTCTCTCATTTTCTCCTCCTCATTGAAAACCACCAGTTAGTGAAAACTTTCTCTACTTAAACAATTTAGCTGATATTTCTATATATTTCCTTCCAAAGTATTATCACTTGTCCTCATCTACATCATAAACATTTCTTTGTTTCTTACCAAAAACATTTGGCCCTCTAAGAGGAAATCAGGTGCCACTCACTAACATACACTCTTTAAAACCCTCATTTTATATCTGATTTAATAATATTTTGCTAGTTTGGGGTTACTGATTTCGTGACCTTAACACAAAACAAGAATTAGGCATAATTCCCAGGTCCCTGGGAAGCCAAAGTCAGGTGACTTATTTACCAAAATAAAATTGTATGAAAGTGGCAGTAATCATCAAAATGGTATTAAAAACATTCAAAGAGTTTTTCTTAACCTTTAAAAAATCCCTCAAAAGCCAAAGTTCGTTTAGTAAAAATCCTTTATTCCATTGTTAAAAGAATGAGCTGTAATAAAGGAATTTTCTGTGGCTATAACAGAATATTTAATACCTGAGACTGGACAATTTACAAAGAGAAGAAATTTACAAAGAAAAGAAATTTATTTCTTATAGTTTTGGGGGCTAGGAAGTCCATAGGTATGGCACTGGCATCTACCCAGCTTCTGGTGAGCGACTTATGCTGTGTCATTATGTTATTACATAGTGGGAGGCATCACATGGCGAGACACAGGCCAAGTGTGCTAGTTCAGATCTCTATTCTCCTTATAAAGCTACCAGTCCCATCATGGGAGCTCCAATTTGATGACTTTAGCTTCTTTACCTCCCAAAGGCCCCCACCTCTTAATACTGTTACCATGGGGATTAGGTTTCAACATGAATTTTGGAGGATCAAACTATAGCACTAGATGTAAAACACAGATAGGCTTATAATACATCAATGAATTAATTTATCATAGGCTGAATGCTTAGAAAACAACAACCATGACAAAATAAGGCACACAAAAATAAGACAACTCTGATGGCTGCACAAAGACAGTGTAGGGCACAAGGACTGCAACTTTTAGGACAGTTCTAGTCCTAAATTTGGCCCAGAACCAGCAGACTGAATGGGGGTGGGGCACATGACCTATTGAGACACCAGCTGGAGTGGCTAAAGAAGTGCTGGCATCACTACTTCCCTAACCCCAGCCTGTGGCTCCAAAAGAGACCCTTCCACTTGAGGTGAGGAGAGGGAAGAGGGAGGAGAACTTTGTCTTGCATCTTAGATAGCAGCTTTGTCTTGCATCTTGGATACCAACTCAGCTGCAGCAGGATAGAACACTGGTTACAATTACAAGGCTCTCTCTCCAGCCCCTAGCTCCTGGATGATATCTCTAGACATGCCCTGGGCCAGAAGGGAAACCACTGCCTTGAAGGAAATGACCCAGTCCTGGCAGGAGATATGGACTGCATTTATTTGAGAGAAAGTAAGGTAAGAGAAAATTAGTCTCTGCCTGGCTAATTCAGAGAATTTTCCTGGATTTTTTCCAGTACCATCAAGGTGGTACCTTTATGAGTCTGCAAGAATCACAGCATTACTGGACTTAGGGAGGCCCCTAAAACAGATACAGCTTAGATCACAACACTCAAGTCTTTTTGATTATCTGGAAAGCCTTCCTAAGAAGGATAAGTACAAACAAGCCTAGACTGTGAAGACTACAATAAATATGTAACTCTTCAATGCCCAGACACAGATGAACTTCTACAAGTATCAAGGCAATGCAGGAAAACATGACCTCACTCAATGAACTAAATAAGACACCAAGGACCAATCCTTGAGAAACAGAGAAATGTGACCTTTTAGACAGATAATTCAAAACAGCTGTTTTAAGGACACTCAAAGAAATTCAAGATAACATGGAGAAGGAATTCAGAATTCCATCAGATAAATTTAACAAAGAGACTGAAATAATTACAATGAATCAAGCAGAAATTCTGGAGCTGAAAAATGCAATTGGCATACCGAAGCATGCATCAGAGTCATTCAAAAGTAGAAGTGATCAAGCAGAAGAAAGAATTAGTGAACCTGAAGACAGGCTATTTGAAGATACACAGCTAGAGGAGACAAAAAAGAATAAAAAACAATGAAGCATGCCTACAGGATCTAGCAAATAGCCTCAAAAGGGTGGATCTAAGAGTTATTGGCCTTAAAGAGGAGGTAGAGAAACAGGTAGGGGTAGAAAGTTTATTTAAAGAGATAATAACAGAGAACCTGCCAAATCTAGGAAAAGATATCATCAAAGTACAAGAAGATTATGGAACCACAAGCAGATTTAACCTAAATAATACTACCTCAAGGCATTTAATAATCAAATTCCCAAAAGTAAAGGCTAAAGAAAGGATCCTAAAAGTAGCAAGAGAAAAGAAACAACATATAATGGAGCTCCAGTACAGCTAGCAACAGATTTTTCTGGGGAACCTTACTGGCTAAAAGAAAGTGGCATAAATGCTAAAGGAAAAAAACTTTTATGCTAGCATAGTATATATAGCAAAAATATCTTTCAAACATGAAGGAGAAGTAATGACTTTCCCAGACAAAAGCTGAGGCATTTCATTGACACTATACCTGTCCTACAATGTATACATATGTAACTAACCTGCACATTGTGCACATGTACCCTAAAACTTAAAGTATAATAATCATAAATAAATTTTAAAAAAAAGAAATGTTAAAAAGGGGAACTTCGATCAGAAAGAAAGTGACATTAATGAGCAATAAGAAATAACCTGAAGGTATAAAACTCACTGGTAATGGCAAGTACACAAAACAACACAGACTGATATAATACTGTAACTGTGGTATATAAACTACTTTTATCCTGAGTAGAAAGACTAAATGATGAACCAATCTAAAATAATAACTACAATAACTTTTCAAGACATAGCCATTACAATAAGCTGTAAATGGAAACAACAAAAAGTTAAAAAGTAGGGGGATAAAGTTAAAGAATAAAATTTGTATAGTTTTCTTTTTGCTTGTTTGTTTATGCAAACATAATTAAGTTGTCACAGCTTAAAATAATGGATTATAAGATAATACTTGCAAGACTTGTGGTAAATGCAAACCAGAAAACATACAGCGGACACACAAAAAATAGAAAGCAAGAAACTAAATCATATCACCAGAGAAAATCACCTTCATTAAAGGAAGACGGGAAGGAAAGAAAGAAGAAAGATAAGATCACAAAGCAACCAGAAAATAACACAATGGCAGGAGTAAGTCCTTATTTACTAACAGTAGTAATGTTGAATGTAAATGGCCTAAACTCTCCAATCAAATGATGCAGAGTGGCTGAATGAATTTAAAAAATCAAGACCCATTCATCTGTTGCCTACAAGAAACACACTTTACCTGTAAAGATACACATAGACTTAAAGGGATGGAAAAAGGTATTGCACGCCAATGGAAATCAAAAAAGGGCACGAGTCACTATGCTTCTATCAGACAAAATGAATTTCAAGACAAAAACTACAAATAGAGATGAAGGTTATTATATAATGATAAAGGAGTTAATTCAGCAAGAGGATATAACAGTTTTAAATATATATGTATCCAACACTGGAACACTCAGATACACAAAGCAAATTTTATTTGAGCTACATAGAGAGATAGACCCCAATACAATAATAGCTGGAGACTCTGACACCTCACTTTCAGAAGTGGACAGGTAATCGTGACAGAAAATCATAAAGAAACATCAGACTTACCTGCACTATTGACTGAATGAACCTGATAGATATTTACAGAACATTCCATCCAATGACTGAAGAATTCACATTCTTCTGCTCAGCACATAGGTCATTCTCAATGATAGACCATATATTAGGTCATTAAACAAGTCTTAAAAATTCAAAAACATTGAAATAATATTAAGCATCTTCTCTGACCACAATGGAATAAAACTAGAAATTAATAAGAGGAATTTTGGAAACTATACAAATACGTGATGTATTAGTCCATTTTCACACTGCTGTAAAGACATAACCAAGACAGGGCAATTTATAAAGAAAAGAGGATTAATTGACTCACAGTTCTGCATGGCTGGGGAGGCCTTAGGAAACTTACAATCATAGCAGAAGGGGAAGAGGCACATCCTACACGGCGTCAGGCGACAGAGTGAGTGCGTGAAGGAGGAACTGTCAGACACTTACAAAACCATCAGATCTCATGAGAACTTACTATCACAAGCACAGCAGGGGGAAAACTGCCCCCCATGAACTAATCACCTTCCAGCAGGTCTCTCCTTCAACATCTGGGGATTACAATTCAAGATGAGATTTGGGTAGGGACACAAAGCCTAACTATATCACGTGGAAATTAGAAAATATGCCCTTGAATGACTAGTGGGTCAATAAAGAAATTAAGAAGGAAATTAGAAAAAATTTTGAAACAAAATGATAATGGAAGCACAACATATTAAAACCTATGGTGTACAGCAAAAGCAGGACTAAAAGGGAAGTTTATAGCTGTAAGTGCCTACATCAAAAAAGAGGAAACACTTTATATAAACAATCTAATGACAAAGCTTAACTAGAAAAGCAACAGCAAAGCAAGCCAAAAATTAGCAGAATAAAAGAAATAATAAAGATCTGAGCAGAAATAAATTAAAATAAAATCAATGAAATGAAAAGCTGGTTTTTTGAAAAGTTAAACAAAAATGACAAACTTTTAACCACACTAAGAAAAAAAAGAGAAAAGATATAAATAAGTAAAATCAGGAATAAAAAAGGAGGCATTACAACTGACACTGCAGAAATTTAAAGGATTATTAGTGGCTACTGTGAGCAATGATATGCCAATAAATTGGAAAATCTCAAAGAAATGGACAAATTCCAAGACACATACAATCCATTAGATTGAACCAGGAAGAAATCCAAAACCTGAACAGAGCAATAACAAGTAACAAGATTGAAGCCATAATTATAAGTCTTCCGGTAAAGAAAAGCCCAGGACCCACTGGCTTCACTGCCAAATTCTACCAAACACTTAAAGAACTAATACAAATCCTACTTAAACTATTCCAAAAAAGTAGAGGAAGAAAGAATACTTCCACACTTATTCTAGGAGGCCAGTACTACCCTGATACCAAAACCAAAGACACATAAAAAAAAGTAGTGGTCAATATCTCTGACGAATATTGATGCAAAAATCCTGAACAAAATACTAGCAAACCAAATTCAAGAACACATTAGAAAAATCATTCATTATGACTAACAGGAATTTATCACTGGGATGCAAGGATGGTTCAACATACACAAATCAATCAGTGTGATACAGCATATCAACAGAATGAAGGATAAAAACCATATGATCATTTTGATTGATACTGAAAAAGCATTTGATAAAACTCAACAGTTCCTCATAATAAAAATCCTGAAAAAACTGGGGATAAAAGGAACATACCTCAACATAATAAAAACCACATACCACAGACCCACAGCTAGTATCTTACTGAATGAACAAAAACTGTAAGTCTTTTTACTAAGATGTGGAACATGACATGGATGCCTAGTTTTACCACTGTTATTCAACACAGTACTAGAACTCCTAGTTAGAGCAATCAGAAATGAGAAAGAAAAGAAAAGAAAAGAAAAGAAAAGAAAAGAAAAGGGCATCCTGGCTGGGTGTGGTGGCCCATGCCTGTAATCCCAGCACTGTGGGAGGCCAAGGCAGGCAGATCACGAGGTTAGGAGTGCAAGACCAGCCTGGCCAATATGGCAAAACCTCGTCTCTACTAAAAATACAAAAATTAGCGGGGCATGGTGGTGCATGCCTGTAATTCCAACTACTCTGGAGGCTGAGGCATGAGAATTGCTTGAATCCAGGAGGCAGAGGTTGCAGTGAGCAAAGATCACGTCACTGCACTCCAGCTTGGGAGACAGAGTGAGACTGCACCTCAGAAAGAAAGAAAAGAAAAGAAAAGGCATCCAAAGTCCAAATTGGAAATGAAGAAGTCAAATTATCCTTATTTGCAGATATGATCTTATATTTGGAAACCCTAAAGACTCGACATAAAAACTAACAGAACTGATAAACAAACTCATTAAAGTTGCAAGATACAAAATTAAGCTACAAAAATCAGTACCATTTCTATATGCCAAGAGTAAAAAATGTGAAAAACAAATCAAGAAAGTAATCCCATTTACAATAGCCACACATAAAATTAAAGAACTAAAAATTAACCAAAGAAGTGAAAAATCTCTATGAGAACTGTAAAACATTAATGAATGTAATTGAAGAGGACAAAAAATGGAAAAATATTACATGTTCATGAATTGGAAGAACCAATATTGTTAAAATGTCCATACTATGCCAAGCAATCTACAGATTCAATGCTACCCCTAACAAAGAACCAACTGCATTCTTCGCAGAAATAGAAAAAACAATCCTAAAATTTATATAAAATCACCAAAGACCCAGAATAGCCAAAGCTACCCAAAGCAAAAAGAACAAAACTGGAGGAATCACATTACCTGACTTCAAATTACACTCCAGAGCTATAGTAACCAAAACAGCACGGTAGACTGGCATAAAAACAGCCACATAGACCAATGGAACAGAACAATGAACCCAGAAACAAATCCATACACCTACTATGAATTCATTATCAACAAAGGTGCCAAGAATATACAATGGAGAAAAGACAGTATCTTCAATAAATGGTGCTTGGAAAACCGGATAACCATATGCAGAAGAATGAAACTAGACCCCTATCTCTCACCCTATATAAAAATCAAATCAAATCAAAATGGATTAAAGACTTAAATCTAAGACCTCAACCTATGAAACTGTTCCAATAAAACATTGGGGAAAATCTCCAGGACATTGGTCTGGGGAAAAATTTCTTGAGGAATAGCCCGCAAGCACAGGCAATCAAAGCAAAAATGAACAAATGGGATAACATTAAGTTAAAAAGTTTCTGCATAGCAAAGGAAACAATCAATGAAGTGAAGAGACAACCTAGAGAATGGGTGAAAATATTTGCACACTGCCAGTGTGACAAAGTATTAATAACCAGAATACATAAGGAGCTCAAATGACGCTACAGAAAAAAAATCTAATAATCAAATAAAAAAATAGGCAAAAGATTTGAATATGCATTTCTCAAAAGAAGACATACAAATGGCAACAGACATATGAAAAGGTGCTGGGAGACGTCATCCCGCCCTATTAAAATGGATTTTATACAAAAGACAGGCAATAATAAATGCTGGTGAGGATGCGGAGAAAAGGGAACCCTTGTAAACTTTTGGTGGGAATGTATAATAAATTAGTATTAATGCAACCACTATGGAGAACAGTTTTGAGGTTCCTCAAAAAACTAAAAATAGAGCACTATATGATCCAGCAATTCCTCTGCTGGGTATACACCCAATAGAAAGGATATCAGTATATCAAAGAGATATCTGCACTTGCATGTTTGTTGTACACTGTTCATGACAGCCAAAATTTGAAGGCAACCTAAGTGTCCATCAACAGATGAGTAGATAAAGAAAATGTGGTACCTATACACAATGGAGTGGTATTCAGCCATGAAAAAGAATGTGATCCAGTCATTTGCAGCCACCTGGATGGAACTGGAGATCATTATGTTAAGTGAAATAAGCCAGGCTCATAAAGACAAACTTCACATATTCTCACTAATTTGTGGGTTCTAAAAATCAAAACAATTGAACTTATGGAGAAATATGGCTGATAGGGCCAGATGGAAGGGTAGAAGGAGTGTGGGGGGATGGTGGGCATGATTAACGGTTACAAAAAAAATAAAGAATAAAACCTACTATTTGATATCATGACACGGTGACTATAGTCAATAATAACTTATTGTATACTTAAAATAACTAAAAGAGTATAACTGGATTGTTTGTAACACAAAGGATGAATGCTTGAGGGGATGGATACCTCATTTTTTTTTTTTTTTTTTTTTTTTTTTGAGACAGAGTCTCGCTCTGTCGCCCAGGCTGGAGTGCAGTGGCGCAATCTCAGCTCACTGCAAGCTCCACCTCCCGGGTTCACGCCATTCTCCTGCCTCAGCCTCCCGAGTAGCTGGGACTACAGGCGCCCGCCAACACGCCCGGCTAATTTTTTGTATTTTTAGTAGAGACAGGGTTTCACCGTGTTAGCCAGGATGGTCTCGATCTCCTGATCTCGTGATCCGCCCATCTCGGCCTCCCAAAGTGCTGGGATTACAGGCGTGAGCCACCGCGCCCAGCCCTCATTCTTCATGATGTGATTTTTATGCATTACATGCCTGTATCAAAACATTTCATGTACCCCATAAATATATACACCTACTATGTACCCACAAAATTTGTTTTTAAATGTGGAGGATATGCATTCACCATATCCTCCAAATCCCCAATTATTTTTCCATTTTCCTTTCATTCAAAAATCTAGACACAGACTTTGTATCTAGAACCAAGCCAGGAGTTTTGTCCCTAGTAACTCTCCTTGGCCATTAGTGCTCTGTCCATCCCTCATATTTTTATGTAATATGCTAATATTTGAATATTGAAGTCTTACAAAGTAAAGTTTTCTATGAATGACCTATCCACAAGTACATGCTATTTTAGGAATTAATTATGTTCTCCCTGGACCCCATGAATGCCTTATGTCAAGTCCTAAAAAGATAGAAACGATATACAGACAGTCAGTCCCTGACTTAAAATGGTTTGACATATGATTTTTTGGCTTTATGATGGTATAAAAGTGATATGTATTCAGTAGAAACCAAATTTCAAGTAACCCAACCATTCCATTTTGTATTTTTCATACCGTATTCAACACATCACATGAGATATTTAACACTTTATTATTAAATGGTCTTTGTGTTAGATGATTTTTCCACCTGTGGGTAATGTAAGTTTTCTGAGCATGTTCAAGGTAGGCTAGGCTAAGCATAATGTTCAGTAGGTTAGATGTGTTAAATGCATTTTTGGCTTATGATATTTTCAACTTGTGATGGGTTTATCAGGACATAACCCCATCATAAGTCGAGGAGCATCTGTATTTTGAAAAATATTGCTATTTATCTTTTGATATTTTAAAAGTGCATTTCTTTCTCTCGTGAATTCAAATGTACTTTCTGGGCTTAACCTCCATCTCAAGCTATCAAGATTATAAGCATCCGTTTGTTGGATAATTGTTCTTTTTATTATGTTTGACACATTTTTAATTGTTTCTATTGATTTATTCTTCTTAGCAATTGCATGTGATGATCAGAATATTTGCTATATGACCTTCCTGCTTTGTCTTCAAGTGGATGGTGTAAGTCGTGTTTCAAAGTATATTTTCAGAAATCCTTAGAATGTTGTAAAATTTGTATATGAAAAAGGATAAAGTACTTAGCAAATTAGCTCTTGTTCCCACAAAGAAACTTCAAAAATTAAAGTACATAGTGAAATAATCTTTAAAAAAAATTGAGCTAGGGATAGAAAAAATAGCAATTTGATGACCAGCAAGTGTTTATATAATGAGTTCAAAAAAATTTAGGACCAATTTGCTGAATTAACAAAACCTGTAAGGCAAATAAGTGTTTTCCAGATGGACTGTCTCATCCATTACTGCCCACGACATTCTCTTTCTTGGCCTGGAAAGAAACAGTAGTGGAAATTCTACGTAATTCTTAAACATTGTGAAAATTGCCCAGTCAGCTTTTTAAGAAGCTACAGAGCTCTAACCACCAACAAACATTTATAGGACTTAGAATTGGGTTTATCCAAATTTTACATAGTTGCCAACTCTAGCAAAATGAACTGAACAATGATCTATCTTTCAGAACTACGCAATTAAGTTTTTTGTACTAGAAAAATGCATCCTATTCAAGGTTCTTTTCTGGCAAAGAAAAAGTATTCACTCTTCTTTTGCATTTTTCTGAAACCCTATGACATTCTTCCCACTTCCACCATAACACCCAACCCCTGTGCGGTTGAAAGGGCAATCTCCTTTAAACTCCCAGCACAGCCATGCCATCAGGATTTTTCATGGAAGAAGTTCATGGGTTATTCCTGAACAATCAGCTATCTTGCAGACTAACTTCATATTTTGCTCCCAGATGCCCAGAGAATCCTCCTGGGCAGACATATCCTATGTGTTCAGATGAGAGAGATAAATGACCTCCTTAGATGGCAATATAAATTTGAAGATTGAAATTGAGAAGGAAAATCAACCCCTTCAATCTTTCTTACCAGAGACTAGAAAAAAATCGTGTGTGCTTACCTGATAACAGTGAGCAACTCTTGCTATCTGTGCCACCGAATTAATCTTGAAACTGATGTGAAATGTGTCTAACTTCACAACACCAGCTCCTTCTGATACTGTCTGACAGCACCACCCCATCAGAGATTCTTCTAGTTGTGTGCTATGGATATTCGTTTCCTGTAAAGATGGTTGCTTGGATATTTTGATTTTGTGAATGCTGGGTCAACCTAATCATATTTTCCCATATAAATTGCATCCATGTGAAATTAAAATTGAACATAATTAAGAGGAATCCTTTCTGTCTGTATGTCCTATGCATCATTTATCAGGTACAGATATCTCAGGATTAAGGAATCTAAATTTAATTTCATTTTGGATGCCTAAGTAAGTCCTGGGTGAACAAGAAGGCTGGATGAGTCAACAAGAATTGCTGAATTGGCCAGGCTTACTTTGGAGAAAGAAACTTGCATCTGGCAACTGGGCAGTGATTCAGGAGATGGCTGATGCTAAAAGAAAAAATGAAAGTATGAGGCTTACATGCTTATAATCAGCTCCTAACCTCTTTAAAAACACCCTTAATTTCCCTTGTAGTGGTTTCTTTTTCCATTCAAAGGGTTCTGGATCTTAATTTTAATTCAATTTCATCAGGAAACCAATGTAGAAAGAGTAAAAAGAAAGGCAGATGAATAGCAGAAGGAGGTTATCTCAACCTCAATCACTCATGGATGCTTCTAGCTGAAAACACCAGAAAAATCTAAGTGATGTAAACAACTAAGAGCAAATGTAAGAAGAGCTAGAATGCTAAAGTCTAAAGGCAGTTAGTGGGAAGGAGATACTTATAAATTATAAGATAATCTGAGAAGGAAAAGTTGATGGAAGGGGAAAGAGAAGAAAGTGGAGGGGACATGGGGGAAGAGCAAGAAGCGGAGGGAAACAGAAGGTAAAAATGTATGGACTCCATTACCTGATTAGAACTAGGTCCTCAGCTTAAGCTCAGTTACGCTATCAAAGGATGACCTCAACATCTCAGTAGCTTACAAAAACATTGATTTCTCTTTCATGCTACATATATACTCCAGGTCAACTGCCACTCAGCAGTTAATTGTCTACATTCTAGGATCTGGGTTGACTGTCTGAGAGTTCTTAATGAGGTTTTAGAGGAAAAATAGAGCATGAAAGCCACAAGATAGAAGCTCAGAAGGGACACGCTTCATTTCTGCTCACATTTTATTTGTCAAAGCAAGTCACATGGCCAAACCTGATGTTAATGGGGTGGGAATGTATATTTTGAATGATATGTAATTATCCAATAATAATGTAATAATTAAAACATATGTTTTAATCTTCACATCAAGTAAAGATGGCTATGATTTTCCCATGCTTAGGAGTATTGGTTAGAGTGTTTTGCAGAATGTCCTTCAGTTTGTTTTCTTCTGATACTTTTCTCATAAGACTGGGATTATGGGGTTTTTTGGGGAGAAGGGAGAAAAATGCCATTCTCATCACATGATATCAAGAATATATGCTATTAACATGAGCATCATTGTTAATCTTAAACTTGGGGTCAGGCTTGTCAGTTTTCTCCACTGTAGTTACTTGTTTTTCCTTCTTTCTATACTATACTCTTTGGAAGGAAGTCACTATGCACAATTCACACTTCAGAAGTGAGGAGTTATGCTTCACTTCTTTAAAAGTATTTCCCCAATTTTATAGGTGAGGAATTGGAAGTTTAGGGAGCTTAAGCCCAAGACAGCATACTTACTTAGTAGCATCAAGACTGATACCCAAGTCTGTCTGACATATAAAACTATTCTTTCTTCAATATTCCACAAAAAGTACTCCTACTCCTCTAAGAACAGGAAAGTGCTAAGAAAAACAGAAGGATGTATTTATTGGCTGTTTTACTGAAGCATGTTGAGAAACATGCCCTTGATATTTCAGACATTCAGATAATGGTTCCTTAACTTGCTCCTCACTAGCATGGTGACTGGAGAGCTATAAAGCTCCCTCACGTTTGTAACACTATCCAGTCACTGTCCTGACATGGCCTAACTATATACTAGACTGTCTTTCTATAATCATGTCCTGACTCCATTCTAATCAGTAAGCCATCTTTCAAAAGAGAAACTAACTTCTTAGAGCACTGTGAGGGGAGAGCAGAAAATGAAAGTGATATTATCTGCACATCTTGTGGCCAGGAGATAGCTTCTAAGCAGTGTTTTCATGAAGAGAATTATAAATCCAGATATGCCTAATAAAGAAAGACATGTTCTTGACACAGAAAAAGCTCTAGACAAATAGGAGAACTGTCACCAAGACTGAGAAGTACAGCAACAGGATGGTCTATGTCTGTTGGTCGAAAATTCTGAGGGTTTTCCTTCTTGTCAGGGAGATTCAATGTTGACATTTAAAGTATGTGCCAAGTCCTGTGTCCAGTTTTCTTTTGAAGTGTCATTGACAGTGCAGTTCAAAGACAGAAATGAACATCAGATAGCACTGAGTCGTGTTTTCTGAACTAGAATCTAATCTCTCTTCTGAAAAAAAAACTAAGTTATAGAATGTATAAAGATAAAACAGAGTTTATGAATATTCTACATATTTCATATGAAGAAAAGTCTTTTCTCTGTCCATTTTTATACAGAGAATAGAGACTAGTTGGTTTCTAAGTCACATGTACATACTATATATTTAATTGTAATTGTATGATACACAAACATTATTAGTTGAAATATCCTGATGTACAATTATTTTTAAGTAGATTGAGCTCTTGGCTGGCAGTCAGAAAGTTGAATTTTTCACTTCTATTTCTCATAATGTGCAGATATATTTTCAGAAATTTTCTCCAATTGCTGAGATTATCTGGACTATTTGAATTTGCTATTGTAAATCACGTACAAGGATTAAGCTTTTAGGACAAGAACTGTTTTCTTTCCCACTGTGCCTCAACACTTAGTTTATCATAGAATACTATAGATACTTAATAAATGTATGTTAAATAATACATACCAAAACACTGTATACACGCAGTAAATGTTTCTTAAATATCGAATGAATGCTCTCAAGAAAGAAGCATTGAGTGAATTTAAGACAGTCATAAAATGCACAGCTACATCTAAAATAAAAGACCACGTCTAAAGTCAATGCTCATTATTATCCTTCAGTTCAGAATAAAGCTTTTTAAAAAATGAGAACAAGTTTAATAAAGTCT
The DNA here is from genome assembly GCF_000001405.40 of Homo sapiens. NCBI lineage: Eukaryota > Metazoa > Chordata > Mammalia > Primates > Hominidae > Homo > Homo sapiens. The sequence continues at coordinate 180,268,463 of NC_000003.12, forward strand.
GTATCACATAACATGCGTGATAGCACATTTCTTCCAAATATATTGATCGAAGGCAAGATTTCCAATGGTGAATATTGATAATTGACTTCTAGGCTGTCTCTGCAGGGGCTCACAAAACTTGCTGACCAGCAGGCTGCTATTCATATGAACAGAAAGTAATTTTCCTTTTGATAAGTCAAAAAGATTATATGTTCTTTACATTAAATAACAAAATTGATTGAAAATTAATATTTAATGCTGGTGACAGTATGTTGAGAGAGTTACTCTTCTCTAACACTGGTGTAAGACTATTTTGGTACAACTTTTCTGGAAACTAATTTGGGACTATACACAAAGAGGCTCAAAGAATTTATAGCTTTTTACAAAAGAAAACAAAGAATTCTACTTCTAGGTATTCATCTAAAATTAAAATCAGAGATTTTTTTTCAGAGATTACTGGATATAAAGATGTTTGCTATGTGATAATACTTAAACCTTTGAAACAACTTCAGTGGTTATTAGAGGACTGCCTAAGTAAACTAAGAAATATTCACTCAACAAAGTATTATTCATCCCCTTAAAATAAAGCGTCTATAAAGGAAGAGCCTTATCCAATTCTCCTTTGATGGGTACCTAGGTTAATTCCATGTTTTTGCTATTGTGAATAGTGTTGCGATGAACATATGAGTGTTCTTTTGGATGGATACACAGTAACGGGATTTCTAGGTTGAATGGTAGTTCTGTCTTAAGTCCCTTGAGAAATCGCCAAATTGCTTTCCACAGTGGCTGAACTAATTTAAATTCCCACCAACAGTGGATAAGTGTTTCCTTTTATCCATGTCTATTGTTTTTTGATTTTTAATAACAGCCATTCTGACTGGTTGTTAGAATGATTTCTCATTGTGGTTTTGATTTATTACTCTGATGATTAGTGAGGTGGAGCATTTTTTTCATATGTTTTTTGGCCACTTGTATATCTCCTATTGAGAAGTGTCTGTTCATGTCTTGCCTATTTTTAATGGAGTTATTTATTTTTGCTTGTTGAATTCTTTTAGTATAGATTCTGGATATTAGACTTTTGTCAGATGCATAATTTGTGAATATTTTCTCCCATTTTTTAGGCTATTTATTCTGTTGATAGTTTCTTTTGCTGTGCAGAAGTACTTTAGTTTACTTAGGTCTCACTTTTCTGTTTTTGTTTTTGTTGAAAATTGCTTTTGAGAACTAAGTCATAAATTCTTTACCAAGACCAATGTCCAAAATGATGTCTCCTAGATTTTCTTCTAGGATTCTTAGAGTTTGAAGTCTTACATTTACGTCTTTAATTCATTTTGAGTTAATTTTTGTATATGGTGAAAGGTAGGAGTCCAGCTGCATTCTTCTTCATATGGCTAGCTATCCCAGTACTGTTTATTGAACACAAAATCCTTTCCCCATTGTTTATTTTTGTTAGCTTTGTCAAAGATAAGATGGCTGTAGGTGTGGAGCTCTATTTCTGGGTTTATATTCTGTCCCATTGGGTTATGAGTCTGTTTTTGTACTAGTACCATGCTGTTTTGGTTACTGTTGTCTTACAGTATAGTTTGAGAATGGGTAATATGTAGCTTTATTCTTTTGGCCTACAATTGCTTCAGCTATTCTGCTTTGTTTTGGTTCTATATAAACATTAGAATCTTTTTGAGGTCTGTGTTAAATTACGTTGGTAGCTTGATAGGAATAGCATGGAATCTGTAAATTGCTTTGGGCAGTATGGTCATTTTATTTTTATTTATTTATTTTTATTTTATTTTATTATTATTATTATACTTTAAGTTTTAGGGTACATGTGCACAATGTGCAGGTTAGTTACATATGTATACATGTGCCATGTTGGTGTGCTGCACCCATTAACTCGTCATTTAGCATTAGGTATATCTCCTAATATACCTCCCCCCTCCCCCCACCCCACAACAGTCCCCAGAGTGTGATGTTCCCCTTCCTGTATCCATGTGTTCTCATTGTTCAATTCCCACCTATGAGTGAGAATATGCGGTGTTTGGTTTTTTGTTCTTGCGATAGTTTACTGAGAATGATGATTTCCAATTTCATCCATGTCCCTACAAAGGACATGAACTCATCCTTTTTTATGGCTGCATAGTATTCCATGGTGTATATGTGCCACATTTTCTTAATCCAGTCTATCCTTGTTGGACATTTGGGTTGGTTCCAAGTCTTTGCTATTGTGAATAGTGCCTCAATAAACATATGTGTGCATGTGTCTTTATAGCAGCATGATTTATAGTCCTTTGGGTACATACCAAGTAATGGGATGGCTGGGTCAAATGGTATTTCTAGTTCTAGATCCCTGAGGAATCGCCACACTGACATCCACAAGGGTTGAATTAGTTTACAGCCCAACCAACAGTGTATAAGTGTTCCTATTTCTCCACATCCTCTCCAGCACCTGTTGTTTCCTGACTTTTTAATGATTGCCATTCTAACTGGTGTGAGATGGTATCTCATTGTGGTTTTCATTTGCATTTCTCTGATGGCCAGTGATGGTGAGCATTTTTTCATGTGTTTTTTGGCTGCATAAATGTCTTCTTTTGAGTAGTGTCTGTTCATGTCCTTCGCCCACTTTTTGATGGGGTTGTTTGTTTTTTCTTGTAAATTTGTTGGAGTTCATTGTAGATTCTGGATATTAGCCCTTTGTCAGATGAGTAGGTTGTGAAAATTTTCTCCCATTTTGTAGGTTGCCTGTTCACTCTGATGGTAGTTTCTTTTGCTGTGCAGAAGCTCTTTAGTTTAATGAGATCCCATTTGTCAATTTTGGCTTTTGTTGCCATTGCTTTTGGTGTTTTAGACATGAAGTCCTTGCCCATGCCTATGTCCTGAATGGTAATGCCTAGGTTTTCTTCTAGGGTTTGTATGGTTTTAGGTCTAATGTTTAAGTCTTTAATCCATCTTGAATTAATTTTTGTATAAGGTGTAAGGAAGGGATCCAGTTTCAGCTTTCTACATATGGCTAGCCAGTTTTCCCAGCACCATCTATTAAATAGGGAATCCTTGTCCCATTGCTTGTTTTTCTCAGGTTTGTCAAAGACCAGATAGTTGTAGATATGGGGTGTTATTTCTGAGGGCTCTGTTCTGTTCCATTGGTCTATATCTCTGTTTTGGTACCAGTACCATGCTGTTTTGGTTACTGTAGCCTTGTAGTATAGTTTGAAGTCAGGTAGTGTGATGTCTCCAGCTTTGTTCTTTTGGCTTAGGATTGACTTGGCAAGGCGGGCTCTTTTTTGGTTCCATATGAACTTTAAAGTAGTTTTTTCCAATTCTGTGAAGAAAGTCATTGGTAGCTTGATGGGGATCGCACTGAATCTATAAATTACCTTGGGCAGTATGGCCATTTTCACAATATTGATTCTTCCTACCCATGAGCATGGAATGAATGTTCTTCCATTTGTTTGTGTCCTCTTTTATTTCATTGAGCAGTGGTTTGTAGTTCTCCTTGAAGAGGTCCTTCACGTCCCTTGTAAGTTGGATTCCTAGGTATTTTATTCTCTTTGAAGCAATTGTGAATGGGAGTTCTAATGATATTGATCCTTTCAAACCAAAAGCATGGAAGGATTTTCCCATTTGTTTGTGTCATTTGTGATTTCTTTCAGCAGTGTTTTGTAGTTCTCCTTGTAGAGATCTTTCACCTCTTTGGTTAGATGTATTCCTAGGGGTGTGTGTGTGTGTGTGTGTGTGTGTGTGTGTGTGTGTATTTGCGGCTATTATAAATGGCATTGTGTTCTTGATTTGGCCCTTGGCTTGAACATTATTGGTATGTAGAAATGCTACTGATTTCTGGACATTGATTTTGTATCCTGAAACTTTACTGAAGTTGTTTATCAGTTCCAGGAGCTTTCTTGTGGAGTGTTTAGGGTTTGCTAGATATAGAATCACATTGTCAGTGAAGACAGATAGTTGGCATCCTTTTTTACATTTGGATGCCTTTTATTTCTTTCTCTTACCTGATTGTCCTGGCTAGGACTTCCTTAATTTTTTAATGATAATATTAATTTTTGAATTCAGTGTATTTTATATCAAATTATACATGGTCTTAATGTAGAGTGTCAAATTGTTGCACAAGGCTTAGAGAAAAATAGAATTCCGAATACCTCTTTCCAATTTTTGTTCCTTAGAGGCAGCTACTTTCAGCTCTTTCAACTAATTTTATGATATTTGCCCCCCATATTTCCACCAATCTAAAAACAAAAAGCAAACAAATTTGCGTTTTTATTTTTAGGCCTCATGTATTGACTTCCTACCATAGAAAAGTATACTTTAGCTTTCATTTTTACTACCTATATCCCAAACATAAACACACACCCCCTTATTCTTTCTCCTTTCTTCCCAACAGAGCTTTACTATAATTTTAGTTATACCACTATAGTGTTTATAGTGTTATGACCATATAAACACTAGACAGAGTTGAGTCAGGTTGGGTACAATTATTATTTTTCCTTTTCTGAACAGATTTTGGTTTCCTTAATTGTCAATTTTTTTTTCATTTTAAGGTATTACTATTATTGCTGTTTATTCTTAGTTTCCTATATAATTGTCATTCTTTTATTGATGATCACTTCCTCAGTTGTGAAAATCTTCTTTCAATGCACTGATACACATTCAATGTCAACTTCATCATAAGGAAAGTGTCCCAGCACTCTTCTGACTTGTCCACATCAGAACTGGTTGAGGATTAGCTGTTGTTTTAAAGTCTCCTTCCACCATTGTCTTGGGGATTCTCTTTCCATATTTAATATGGGATTTCCTTTTACCTGATTCCATGTATTCTTCTCTCTTGGCTTACTTCTTTGTTTTGATAGAACACAGCTTCCTGATAAAGTGTACATAGGATATAAAATTTTTGAGACTGTGTATATCTAAAATATTTTTATTTTACTCTCATACATAACTGATAGTTGTCTGGAAATAGAATACTAGACTAGAAATCATGTGCCCTCACAATTTTGAAGGCTTTGACCTATTGCCTTCTACCCTCCAGAGCTACTAATTAAAGTCTGAATGACAATGCCTAACATTTTCTCAGCACTGTATGTCAGTCACACTTCTATATGTATTTATGTTTTTCATCTCACTTAATCCTAACAACAACCCTGTCAGGTAGGCACTACTTTTTATCCCCATTTTACAAATGAGAAAGGTGTGACACAGGGTTGCAGTAACTTCCTCAGGGTTATAGGTCTAGTAATTACAGAATTAGAATCCAGGTGAGCTGGGTTGAGAGCTCGTGCTGTTAACCTTCATGCTTTACTGCCATATTGATTATCGATCCTTTCAATAAAACATGAACTTTTTATCTGGGTATTTTTATTACTTTTTATATTTTGCATTCAGTATTCTGAAATTTCACAATACTATGTCTTGTGACGAGTCTTTTATCACTCATTTTTATGAACACAGTGGGCTATTTCAATTTGGAAACACTGTGCTCCAGTTCTGGAAACAGTTTTTAAATTATTTCTGTGTTATTTTCCTTCTTTCCATTTTCTCTGTTCCCTGCTGCTAGATTTTATGGACTGTTCCCACTAATTTTCCTATGGTTTTCTTGCTCGGTTTTCTATAGCCCTGCCTTCTTGCTTCACTTTCTGTAAGCTTTCCTCAAATTTGTCTCCCAAATTTTCTAATAAATTTTTTGCTTCTGCTATCTTGTTTTAATATCTAAGATGTATAACATGTATAACAGCTCTTCTTTTTCTCCTCTGAAAGTACTTCTTTAAATCATTGTTTTCCCCCCCAAAGGTTTATTATCTTCTCATAGCACATGCATATACCTTATATATTCATATTCACATTAATCAGAAAATTTTGATTGTTTAAAAAAGTTTCATCCAACTTACTTCTTTTTTTTGAGGCTGAGTTTCACTCTTGTTGCCCAGGCTGGAGTGCGTTGGTGTGATTTCGGCTCACTGCAACCTCCACATCCCGGGTTCAAGAGATTCTCCCGCCTAAGCCTCCCAAGTAGCTGGGATTACAAGTGTGCACCACCATACCTGGCTAATTTTTGTATTTTTAGTAGAGATGGGGTTTCACCACATTGGCCAGGTTGGTCTTGAACTCCTAACTTCAGGTGATCCACCCGCCTCAGCCTCCAAATGTGCTGGGATTACAGGCGTGAGCCACCATGGCTGGCCCAACTTACTGTTTCATGTTCACTTGTATTTTACCTGTGTATTGTCTGGTGGCCACAGGCTATTTGCATTAGAATGTTAACTGGAAGCTTTGAGCAAGTAGGTGGAGCTTATTGACTGGGTGTCTGTGTAGTGAAATGGCTGGGCTTCTTCACTGAGGAATCTGTGATGTCAGCATCTCTTGATTTTTTTTTCTCTTCGGCTAGGCTGATTTGTGAGATATAAGTGTTCCCGCCCCCTGCCTGAAGGAGAAGATTCTGGCTACCACCATTTTGGAAGCAGGGAAAGAAGGAGTGAGCACACAGTATAAACATGGAACTGAATTTCCCTGCTTTTGACATGTACTCATGCCCTTATATGCACTGCTGTCTCCCATTTGCAGGAGCCTCTGTTTCTCCCTACCCCCCAAATCTCCAGTATCCTACTGGGTGAGGGCAGGCAGGGAGGCCTGGGCGAAGGGAGTGGGGAGCAAGTCCCTTCACATGTGAAGCAGAATTCCAGATCTGGCACTTGATCTGCTGCTTTAACAACAGAAACCATTTCTCCAGTTTTTTGTTCTTTTCCTCTAGTACTTGCCCTCATTCTAAATGTTATTTTCCTTTTCCAAGACAACCTGCCTTGTTTATCTGATCCAAAGTATAACTGCAAACTCAGATTCTCACAGCTAGAAAGACAAATTAAAAGGTCATCTATTTCCAAATCAGAATTTTTCAGATGAAAAAAGTGCAGGCTAAGACAGTTTCCTTGTCCTGGGGTAATAAAATTAGTCATATGCAATGATGTAAGATATAAAAAAACAGTTTCAGATTTTAACTTGATACCTTTTCCGTTGTAAGACTCTCCTGTTTCTCTGTGTTTTGTTCATCATAAATTTCTAGGTCATTACCTACTTTGCCAAATTAGATTGCTTTCAGAAATACCTCTTAAGTCGTAGGTGATTTCTGTGGCACCAGTGGATTTCATAGGTTAATTTGACCTATGAAATCCTATAAATCTCCATTTGATAACCCATTATCAAGCAAGTAACTCAATATTTTAAGTGAGAAAAGGAAAGGTCAGCTGAGACCATTCAAATTATATCTTCTTACACAAATTGTTTCTTTTGGGGGAAAACACAACAAAAGAAATTCCTACATTGCAGTGAATGATTTGGTTTTGTAAAATTGACAATATGCCTCATAACTCATGTTTCCTTTTGTGCTGGGCCTTCTAGGAAGCTCAGAACCAAACAGCAATCCCTAGCAAGGAACTTTCAGCTGTGTTTTTTGTAATAACATTACTTTCCAACTTCATGTTTTTTTCCTACCTTCATTCTCCTTTTCAATCCATTTCTTTAATCCATTGTATATCATTTTTATTGACATTGTTTCACAAACCATTTCAAAATTTTATTTGAATAAAGCATTGTATTAATCCATATTGCATTGCTATAAAGAAATTCCTGAGGCTGGGTAATTTATAAAGAAAGGAGGTTTATTTGGCTCACACTTCTGCAGTCTGTACCAAGGCATAATGCCAGCTTCTGCTTCTGGTGAGGGCCTCAGAAAGCTTACAATCATGGCAGAAGGGGAAAGGGGAGCAGGGCATATCACATGATGACAGAAGTAGAGAGAGAGAGATTCAGGCTCTTTTAAACAACCAGCTCTCAGGTGAACGAATAGATCAATGACTCACTCATTTCCATGCAAGGGGGCACTCATGAGGGATCTGTCCCCATGACCCGAATACTTTCTACAAGTCCCCACCTCCAACACTGGGAACACATTTCAACCTGAGATTTGGAGGGGACAAACATCCTATCAGGCATTATGTAAACAAAAAAGTAAAACAGTGTCATATGCTTTGTTCAATCACCTGTTGGTATAAATATATACCTTTTTTTTTTTTTTTTTTTTAAAAAAACTTGCTCCATTGCTGGGCACAGTGGCTCACGCCTGTAATCCTAGCACTTTGGAGGCCAGGGCAAGCAGATCACTTGAGCTCAGGAGTTCGAGGCCAGCCTTGCCAACATGGCGAAACTCTGTGTCTACTAAAAATACAAAAACTAGCCGGAAATCACTTGAACCCAGGAGGTGAAGGTTGCAGTGAGCCAAGATCGCACCTCTGCACTCCAGCCTGGGTGACAGAGTGAAACCCTGTTTAAAAAAAAAAAAAGAAACCTTGCTCCACTTTATTAATAAAAGTGACCAGCTTATTCTCATGCCTTACTCAGTGTCCATTGTAAAAAGCTCTCTATTATCCACTCTGAGGTTATGACACAACATGAATAATTTTAAGACCTAGAAATGTCCTTGGCTGTATAGATCTGCATTGTTCTTAAATCTCTTTCTAGTTCGATTTTATCTATAAAGTTTACTTTCTGTAGTTTTTGACAGATACTGATAATTCAAAATAGAATATATATGTGTATTGTTTCGTTGCCCTCAAATATTTCCATACATTTTTAAAGAATTCTCACAACAGTCTTGCCAGCTGTATAGTATTAGCTCTACTTCCTATGTGTGGAAACTGAATTCCATAGAGGTCATGTGACTTGAAGGCCACACAGTAATAAAATGACAATGCCAGGACTAGACAGCATGTCCCTTCATTCTCGGTCCAGGATGTTGCTATTGCAAACCACTGCAGCTTCTAAGCCTCTAAAAATCAATACCACATTCTCTTCAGAATGACACAGAGCCTCTTATAAAGCTGACTTCATCCTGTTCTGCCCCTTATTAACATTAAACATCAGTGGCTGAGAGAACGGAGAGAGACTCACATATTCAGCTATTACTAACAATGATTCTGCATTGTGTTAATAGTCACACTGGGAGAAGACCAACCACTTTGTCAAATTGTAAGGCCTGGACTTTTTTGGGAACTTCTCAGCCTTGCATATTTAAAACTTCCATAGGTACTTTCAGATTATAGAGACAGAAGCTTTTCAAAAAAATTCCTTTTACACATCCAAACATTAACTATTACAATGTAGTTTTGCACATGAATTCAAAGGACACAGTTCTTTTGAAATAAGGTAGGTTTAAAGTTAAATAAAAAATACAGAGTTGCAGGCTGAAAGGAGAAAACATAATATTAATAGTGTCTTTCCTTTGAATTAGAGCACTAAACTGAGATTTTGAAAATATCCTTTTATTCTTTTGAATGTTCTAAGTCCAGCGTCTCAAACATACATCTAATCGGAGCTCTCGCAGTTCTGCCCTACCTACCATATAAACCAGATATGTGCACTCCCCAGGTTTCCACAAATGGTTAATGGCTTCTTTATTCTTCTTTGGCTCAGGCCCAAAAACCTAGCAGTCATTCTTGACTGCCCTTTCCCTCGCATATTACAGCAAAATAAATCTTGAACTTCAGCCCTTCTGATAAACCCTACTGCTCCTCTCCAAATCCTACCCGTATCTTCCTCCAATTGTCACCTAATTGGCTTCCCCACATTTCCAATCTTTCTCAGTGGCCCCAGGTCAATTCTGTATGCAACAAGCAGAAGAGTCATATTAGCACATCATGCAGACCATGCCATTCTGCTCTTCTTCAATGGCTTGGCTGCATGGGCTCTGGCCCTGACCTACCTCGCCAGCTTTCTAGCATTCCCCTCTTGCACCGTTCCCCAGGCCATGGTGGTCTTCTTGTTCATCTTTGAAAAGTCTGTGCTTATTTCCACCTTAAGGCCTTTACATTTGTTAGTCCCTCTGCCAGGCACACACTTCCCCAAGGTCTTTGCAGAGTTGATTCCTTCAATTCATTCCTTCTCACTGTCACGTCTTCACAGACATGCTCCTGACTCTACCAGAAATATTCCTCCTTCACCTCTCCTCATCTTCTCTGTTTCCTCCTGCTTATTTTTCTTCATTGCACCTTCACTACCTCACTTCTATTGAATGTTCATTTACTTGTAATCTGTCTCCCCTAGTGAACTCCACTGAAGGCAGGGACTTCATTCACTGCTCCATCCCTAATGCTTACAGGAGTTCCTGAACAATATTTTCAAGTTATAAAGTAATACTTTGTAATTAGAAGTAAAATACATGCTTTTGATTAAGCATGAACCAAAACCCCAATTACAGACTAAGAACACTCTGCAAAGTGCAGCTTTAACAAGAGGAAAGAACAAGCTGTCAGGAGAACTGAGAAGTTAAATGAAGGAAGTGAAAGTTGAGCCGAGCTTGACCTGAAACAAGGCATTACAGAAGCTAAGGAGAAGAGGAGAAATAATGAGAGAAGGAAAGAAAGACTGAAATTAAAAATACAAAGTTCACTGAGGCCAGCTTCAGTGTCACATAGTACCAGAGAAGAACAAATTCTGTAACTAGCCTTGGAGAGAGGTTTGGCCCTGGGAACAGCGCTGCCAAGGTTATTACTCTGTAACAGAGCTTTGGGGACTATTTAATGATGATGGCAGGCACTATGCTGAAAGGTTGGCTGCAGGAGCACCTGAGATAGAAAGTGAACAGCAAAGTGCATGAGATAATGTAGCTTATATCTAGTAGTTGTACAAATGAAAGATTGAAATATTTATTGTTTAGACATTTTAAACAGAACAGGCACATGAGTCAGGGACCCAAACTGTTTTTAAAGATCAGGTTTACCAGAATCTAAAATGAGGTTAATTCTAGAATATTCACAAAAATAATTCAAAGACAGATGAACTGGCAAAGGGAGGAGGACAAGACAGGGGGTTCTCATGCATATGCCTACCGACTTGACCATCGCTGTGCAAATGGTGTTGTGAGAGGAAAATAAGAAATCTGAAAATAGAATCAGAAATATTGCTTACTCATCCCCCCAACACACACAAACACACAGACTCAAACAAACTGCATGACACAGATGAATATGTCTATATGGAACCAATCAAAGGTCTCTTGATATTCATTTGCTAGCCCAGTGAATTCAAAGCCAGAATCCCTGGGTTCTAGAACAGGTCAGATCACCAATTAATTGAGTGGCCTTATGTGTCATTTCACTCCTCTAACCCACTTTCACATGGGTAAAATGAAAGGGTTTAATTAGATCGTTCCTAAAGTCCATTCCAATTCTAATAATCCTTGTTTCATAACAAGTGGCATTGATTTGGGATAGGTAAAGTAAATTATAACTGTAACACAGATCCTAAAGATTGATCGATTCAGGGCCAGGTACAGTGGCTCACACCTGTAATCCCAGCACTTTGGGAGGCTAAGGTGGGCAGATTACTTGAGCCCAGGAGTTCAAGACCAGCCTGGGCAAAATGGTGAAACCCCATCTCTACAAAAAAAATACAAAAAATTTAGTCAGGCATGGTCATGTAGGCCTGTAGTTCTAGCTACTCACAAGGCTGAGGCAGGAGGATAGCTTGAGCCTGGGAAGTTGAGGTGCCAGTGAGCCAAGTTTGGGCCACTGCACTCAACCTGAGTGACAGTGCAAGACCTTGTCTCCAAAAAACAAAACAAACAAACAAAAAAGATCACCTGTTTATTCTACTTGTAGTTAATCAAATATCATTTATTCTTCACTCAACAAACATTTATTGAGTAACTACTTACGCTGAGTACCACTCTAGGAGTTTCAACAAGGATTAGAGAAAAGTCCCTGTCCTTAAAGAATTCAGTAATAATCTTGTGTCAAAGTTCAAGACCAGCTTGTGCAATATAGTAAGATATCATCTCTACAGAAAAATTGTTTTAAAAATTAGCTGGGTGTGGTGGTGTGTGCCTCTGGTGCCAGCTACTTGGGAGGCTGAAGTGGGAGGATCACATGAGCTTGGGAGGCTAAGGTTGCAGTGAGCAGTGATCGCACCACAATGCTCTGCCTGGGCAATGGAGCGAGGTACTGTCTCAAAACAAACAAAACAAACAAACAAAACTCTATCAGAGTTTTGACACTGTTGTTTTTAGAGGTTAATTTGTTTTCAGGGATTTGATAAGACTCATTTGGTCAACAGAAATAGGTTCATTCATTTGCTAAGGTTTATGTGTATGTATTTGTATCTGTGTTCTTATGGAGATCAGGCTGGAATTTTTTCTGCAAAGTTTGTAGACATATGTACATTATGTATACATAAATATACATCTCCATGTTTTTGCAAGTCACTGTAGTCTGTCAACTGTGCTAATAATGATAAACATAGTTCATAGCTTAGTCCCACTAGTTGACTCACAGGTCTTTAGCCTCTATTAGGTTCCACACTTGGCCTTGGACCAAGGGAGGCTATTGCTTGTGCATACAACTTCAAGAAGCCTCTGCGTCCACATTGAGGTGAGCCTGCTGGGTGGCTCACACTGACCACAGCCTTTTCCCAGCCTTAAACAGTGCATTAGCCTCTCTTAGGGGTCTTTAGTTCTGATTCTGATGCCCATTTATTGGAGAACGAGGTCATTTCTCATTCCTTTCTCCCTTTGAGGATGGTCTCCATCACTTAGAGCTTCTTTTAACAGTCCTCTCTAGAAATTTATCTTCTCATTCTACTGATTTGCCACCTATTCTTAGCATTCACTCACTCAATTTTGCCAAGACTTTATGATTCACTTTGAAGCTTTTATTATCAGAAAGATATCCAAACAAGACTACTTTGGTTATGGAATTTATGCCTCTTTTTTAAGGAATGGAGAAAGACACCAAAAAGGGCCTGTATTCTTTTTTTTTTTTTTTTTTTGAGATGGAGTCTCTCTCTGTTGCCCAGGGTGGAGTACAATGGTACAATCTCAGTTCACTGCAACCTCTGCCTCCTGGGTTCAAGCGAGTCCCCTGCCTCAGCCTCCCAAGTAGCTGAGATTACAGGTGTGTGCCACCACACTCAGCTGATTTTTGTATTTTTAGTAGAGACAGGGTTTCACCATGTTGGCCAGGCTGGTCTTGAACTCCTGACCTCAGGCGATTCACCTGCCTTCAGCCTCCCAAAGTCCCAAAGTGCTGGGATTACAGGTGTGAGCTACCGGCCTAGCAGGCCTGTATTCATTAACAACAACCTGCTAAAGCAAAAACTCACACTCATTTAGGATCTGGATGGTCATTTCTTCCTCCTGTGTGCTACCTAGTAACCCAGAAATGTATGTTTTATAGAGAAATCCAAAATCTAATTTTTAAAAATAATTATAATCTGTTTCACTTAAAAATACACAAAAACTAGATAACAGGTGAATTATCATTCCAGTATAAATTACATTTTTCTTATTATTTTGCGAGAGATGCTTAAAATAGCATTCTTTACTGGCAGACATGAAAATGTGCTGCTCAGATCTGCCTTCAAGAGAGGACTTGCTGTCCAGTTTCAGGGAATGTGGCCAACAGACAGCCTCTATCCATTGCCCGTTCAAGATCTGCATCAGCCACAGAGAGCTGAGGTGATATTATTCCTAGGGCTACCCATATTCAGTGACTGGATAAGGTAGAGGTATAAGAGGACGACCTTTTTAGCCCAAGGTGGAACACTCCGATGGGCTCAGAAATGAGGATTCAGGTCATGCTACCAGGTAAGCTGGGGAGAACAGCAGAAGTAGTAGCTGAGGGGACTCTGGAAAGTTGAGTAGAGGAAGGAGATGAGTTACCAGTCATTGCCCTGAGACCAGCTTTAGCTATGGCAGCTACAGCTTATACTACTACATTTGCTTTTCTAAGTGTCTCTAAATAAAAGAGGTCCACTAGAGTCCCAGAGGACCTAATACCCCAATATATGTAGAGAAGAAGATCCAGGGAGCTTAAGGGGTAGACTGTAATAGAAAATGTGCTACCCAGATCTTCCTTCAAGGAATAAGGATCTGCACAGCTGCAGGAAGCAGCTGATATCAATCAGCCTTCAATCACTGGCTTCTTCAGAGTTTTCCTTAACAGCAGAGAACCAGGGTCTCATTCTTCCTGGGTGGCTGGTATCCAATGACTGAGCAAGGTAGAGCAATATGGGGCTGGCCCTCTCAGCCAAGTGCTGGTCAGTGTTTGCTCTGGAGCTCCCATAGAGTGGACAGAAGCCTTGCCAACCTTGAATCATGGTCTGAACTCTCTTCTTGCCCAATCCTGTTCTTTCCCATTCTCTTCCTGTCATAGACATTTTGCTTGCCTATCTCCATCTCAGCATCTGCTTCCAGGGAACACAATTTGTGACACCCTTCTCTCTCACACATGACAATGCCTCTTACTTTGCCACTTCAACTCTTATCCTAGAGGACTAGGGAATGGGCAGAACACCTGGGCCAGCAGCCCAGGTGTCTGATAGTCAGTGTGAGGAGCTGGAAAAGGCAGGAATAAAATTATTTCAATGCTTTTTCACTTTTCATCTCAGTTCCCAGTCAGAGGTACCATCATTGATGGCATGGAAGATTTTGATGGTCTGATGTACGCCTTACTGTTTAAGGTAACAGGCAAATCTTTAATAACAAATCCAATTTTAGATGTTGTGAGGGTACTGGTTGGCTAATTAAATTTTACCGTAAATCCTTTAGTGAAGAAAATAATGGCCTTTTAATCTGTTTTACAAATATAGATTTTCATATCTCAGAATTAAATTATATTTAAAAAAACTAAAATAAAGTAGCTATTTTGATTAATGCTACCTAGAGACTTAGAAAGGGGACAGTAAGAAAGCTACTCTTACCATTATCCAAAAATATATATATATTTGAATATTTGCACTTCCACTTAACATTCTCTCCACATTGAAGATAACCATTCCTTCCTCTTTTCCAACCTTTAAACCATCCCCCATTCCCATCTCTATCTCTGGCTTCTACTCCTTTTAATCAAGCTTAGTCTTGTCCTCCTTAGACTGACACACAGAATTCTGGAGACTGACTTAGAGCGCTGGCTTTGCCCCAGGATCAGGGCAAGGAGGAGGGCAGCCAAGCTAGCTGGTTCAGCACTTCTGCAGCATAGCCGAGAACCACACAGATGGAGCAGAGCTTCTACCCCTCAGGCCTTTCCACTTGTTCACAAAACATTCCAAGTGAGGGCTGAGAAGTCTTATCTCCTCTCTTCGTGTTTACTCCTTCATCCATATATTGAGGACATTCATAGGCACAAGCTTCCTGTGAAGCTTAAATGAGATGGCAAATATGAGAGTCCAGCACATCAACCTGCTAAAAACAATGGCTATGTGTGTCCATATATATTTGTTCACTCATTTCTGCCCCTCTATCAGGAATGTATATAGGTATAATGAATGCTTTTATTTAAGCCCACATACCTGCTGCAACTAGCAGAGTAAAAGAGAGGGCATCCTTTCAGAGGCAGGATTTCCTGATGGACTAAAGCTGTTTTACCCTCACTGCTCTGCAGTAAAACTGTCCCCCACCCCTGGAGATTCCAAGCTCTCCATTATAATACTCCAAGGTGCCCCCAGTTCTACAGGGAGGGTAAAAAGTACTCAAGTAGCCCACACTAACTCTCTTTAAATAAAAACCACCACAAAAACAAAAACCTTCATAGCCTTTGAGAATTTCGATGGCACCTACTGTAATCAAATATACAAAATAAGAGGTTACCAGTTTGTAAAATCTCGTAATTACATATTTTTATTTGCCATTGATTATTTACTATATGCCAGGAACAGTGCACTTTACATGCATTCTTTCAATTCATCTGCCTTATAACTCTGTGAGGTAAAGGAGTGGATACTTAGAGAAGTTATGTAACTAGCATAAATGTAACTGGTCAGCAGTAGACTTACTGTAAAGTTAATGGAGCTTAGGCTCTAGTTCCTTCACTTGCAGGAGTCCCTTCTAAGGCCCTGCAAGAAGCCCTAGCATCATGTTCACATGGTAGTATGTTTGAACTAAATTTGCAAAAGCTAGGTATTTTAACAGAAATCAGTGAAGGCTGTTTTCTCTTTTCATTCCAACTTCCTCACCATCACACTCCCCCTCATGGCATTGGAGTGGTTGGTCATGGATATTTTGGGGAGATGACTAAGGGCTAGTTGAATTGAGGATACATTTAGTTGGGGTTTAGTGGCGTACTTATATTTGGTTAAGTCATCACTAGCCACTCCAGTGTAGGAATTCACTGTGTCAGCTCATCTGGCAGGTCCAGAAGTTGGATCACAAAATGGATCTGACCTGCACAGCCGGCCCTGGGAGTATCCAAGTAATAGAGGAAAGACAAGGTTTAAAGTGTGTGGAGTCAAAAGCTAGTCTATGGAAAATGCTCCTCCAAATCTTACTGTTCACATATGGAGGGAGTTTAACACAGGTTTTTCCAAATTCTGCAACAATTCTAAAAATCATCACCAATGATGATCTATGGAACCAAAAGACACTTTTCTAAACAGTCATTTTAAAAGATTATACCAACTATGCTAGAGCAGGGACTGAATCATCTTTCTATTCTTACAATAGAAAATGATATTGCAAAACCATTGTCATATGAAGAGGTGACTTAAGGATTTGCTGGCAAAAAATGTAGAAAAGAATGCATTATACAAGTTATACAGTATATATAACTGTCAAGCAATTAGTCAATAAAAATATTGTTATTTTTCTGAATATTGGGATATTCTGGGTGTTTGTTAGCTTTTATATTTCTTTTACATTTCCTTTTACTTTTTTTAATACAAATTTATATTTGCTCCTAATTTTAGTTTTATATTTTGCATTACTTTTCTTAAAAGAAAGCTTCTAAAATTGCATCAATGCCTGCAGCTAAGTAGCAGAGTCAGAATTCAAACCCAGGGCTGTCTGATTTCAAACTACTCCTTGCTATGGTATTTTCTTCTCATTTGTTTGTAGCTTCTTTCTAGTGCTCCCCTATCATCTCTTCCGTGATCCTCTGCTCTCCCTTTTCATTGAAATCCCTTCCCAATTGCCAGATAACATTATTCGATTGATTCTTTCTATCTTCTTCACTAAACAAAGTGGTGACCAAGAGGTCACCAATAACAATTCCATTTCCCTGACAATTTTCTCCTCCGGAGGCCATTCCTTATGCCATTTTTCAAAATTCCTAAAACCAGGATAGTAAGTACCTTGCTTTCAACACCATTCCCATGCACAGCTAACCTCCAGAACAACGTCCTACCTTCTTCAAATATGTTAGCATTTGTCTCATGGGGTCCTTTACAGCTATGTTCCTTAGGAATTTTACCATCTTCCATTCCTGGCCTCACAGGACCTTGACGTTCTCAGTACATATAGTCTTCATCTATACTCCATTTGAGCTCCTCATAGGCATGACTACATCCTGCAACTTGACATCCCCCAAAATAGCTGTGCATCCACGAGCTGTAACACTAAAATTTCCCTTCTCCAAGCCTAGGATCTTTTTCATTCTTCAATTATCTTAAAGTTAGTGATTACCTACTTAGAAAAGAGTAGTAATCTGGTTCCTCTTGTTCCAGGGTGGGCTCTTGCTACCTCAGATCTATTAAATCCTAAATTTACTTGGCATTTTAAAGTCATATACATTTGTCTACCTATTATATTCTCCAAAGAACTTTTTCTGCATTTTTTCTCCTTCTTAAAAATTGTCCTACTAGTATTCACTTTCTGAAAAAAACTTAGCTTCTACTTTACAGGAAACATAGAGGGTGACATTCAGCTGGTCTTATCTCTCCTTCAGAACAGTTTGACTTCACCAGCTTTCATTTATCATGTTCATCTCAAAGAAAGATATTCCTTTCCAGGGCATCCCCTTTAAGTGTGACCTCATCCTTTCCTGTGCCACTCCACACTTTCTAACACCTTATGCCATCATTATTTTTGTATTTTCTATCATTCTTTCTCCCTGGGTCCTTTCCCTAATCTAGACTGTGCTTTCTATCAGTTGCTTGAAATAATTAACCAACTTTCAGTGACATCCTCTAGCATTAAAGGGCTAACTTGGGCCCCACGAATGTCAATTTTTCCAATCTGAATTAAAGATCAAGAGGGATTTAAAGATGTTGAGGGAGACTTCAATGAAGTTCCAGAGTGCAGAGGAATACAGAAACCTATTTCAATTTCAAGGTAACCTGTACTGGGTGAAGTAGTAGAGATTTCTCCAAGGTAGGGATGGTTGTCTCTACCAATTTTTAGGTTTCAGGGACATGTAGCTGGGTCATCAGGAAAGAGGGCACCAAAGCAGCTGCATAATTTCCTCACTGAGAAATATTACTCATGACTGTTCAGCCAAAGTACATAAACCCCTTTTGAGGAAAAGAGTACGGGTAGGAACAGGGGCAGCATTATGCACAGGTGTCCCAGACTTAACAGAATACTCTTGCATTGATATACCATTTTGTAAAAGGTTGAAGAACTGGAAGGACATTTGAGATTTAACTAGTCCAGAAGTGACCATCAACCTATGCTGGTCACAGTTGATAATCCTTCTTTGGCCTGCACTGTGTTTTTTATAAAAGTTGTACCAACACAGAAAAATCTGAAAAGTTCACATAATATGAGATTTCAGTTTTCAGGGAATATTGGGAGATTTGACAATCTGAACTTCAGCATGGGAACCATGGAAACCATTGGTTGGATCTAAGCAATAGCTGCCCATTTAGAAGAGGTGTGTGCTACTCCGTTTATCATCATCCCTATCATTCATTCAGTAGGCACTGGCACCTGAGCTTACAGCTTCTGACTTACTCTAATCTCCTGATATTATAAATGATAGAACTGAAACCCAGAGAGTTTACATAGTCACTCCAAGGTCCCACTGATAGTCAGATGTTTGACCTGATTCCTAGAGCTGTGCCCATCTACCCACATTGCTTCTCAAGGTGCTTGAGCTTAACATTTTTGATGTTCAGAAACAATGACCCTAATTTTAATGTAGGTATAGGACACAGGCATCATTTTTTGCCATTATTAGCTTTGGAGCCATCCTTTTGGAATAATGCAATTCGTTCAGGAGGTCTTGTCACTGGGCAGATCAATAGCTCTGACCTACATGATTATGTAACTTGCAATTGTGTTTTCATTATAAAATTTATTACCCAGTACAGCAAGAAGAAAATCCTTACTTGCCTTTCTTAGATTCTTTTCTCAAATTATATAAGCCAAGGGTCATGACTTCTTACCAGTCTTACAGTAACTTTTTTGGTTTTCGATCAGGCAAGGAAAAAAAAAAGAGACTATAACTCTGATTCTTTAATTTGTTCTTGTATTAAATATCTTGAATTGACACTTAGCCATATATACGTCATCCTAGGAATTCTTTATTTCTTTAGCATCTGTATACATTTCATTTATTGCTACCTTGAAAGGCAAAAGAAGGGAGATTTCTCTGTTTCAAATCACAATACAAGTGCCATTCTTCCCTTTTCCTACCCTCCCTTCCTTCCTCCTTCCTCTCTTCTCTTCTTATCTTTTCCTTTCTCTTCCCTTACTTTCCATGCATTTATCTTTCTTTACTTTCTCCCCCTTTTCACTCCTTTTTCCTTCCTTTCTCTTTCTTTCTCTTCTCTATTCTTCCCTTTCCTCTTTAATCATTTATTGGTTGTACACCATGTACTGGACATTCTACAAGAAAAGTCCAGGTAAGAATTAATAAAGAGCAAGAGCAGGTATGTGAATGTGTAGAAGATGATACAGAAGCATGAGACACACACAGCAGACATTGCCACTGTTCCACCCTATTTTCTTGGGTCCCCTTGCCAGAAACCAGCCTGACTTTCAAAGGCAGTACCTTCATCTTTGTTGGAGGGCTGACTTCAGGCTTCCAGAACCCACTATGTAAGCCAGAAGTGTCTGTACAGGTATAAGGGTGGCCCATAATCAAAGACTAATCAGTGTACAAATATAAATACCCAGATCCCACCTTCTAGGCTGGGGTAATTCTGAGTTCTCAGTTTCCAGAGTCTGACTGTAGGATAGTAATGATCAGTTACCCACTACAACAGTTGACTTAATAACAAATCTCCTCAGGGCTGCTTTCCCTCTCTATTTGCTTCCTCCCTTATCTACCAATGTTCCTTGCACCTCTCAAGACTGCTTTACTCAAATCCTTGGTTCAGAGTTTGCTTTGTGGGGAACTAAGGCCAACATAGCAAAACACATGCCTTCCAGAACCTCTTGACCAATGGGGAACAAATAAGACTAAATAATACTAAAGTAATATGGGAACATAGTAGAAAACAATTCCATCTGGCAGAATTGGATAAAGTGTCAATTTAAGAAGTAGCAAGTGCACTGGATCTTGAGAAACAAGAGTTTTGTAAGTAGAAGTGATGAGATTCAATAATACCAGCAGCTAAACACTTTACATCTGTTTTCTCCTTTGATTCTCACAAAAGGTTTAAAAGGTAGGTCCTTTCTTGTATCTTAATTTTTGCAAATGAGGAAACTGGGATTTGGAGACAGTAATCATTCTGCCTAAGGTTATTCTGCCTGTAAATGGCAGGGCTGAGATTGAAACCCAGTCCCATATGCCTCCAAAGTCATAGCTCTTCGTAGCACTCTACTAACATAGGAGAAAGAAAATAGGCTTTAGAGGCAGACAGATCTGAGCAAATCCACCCTCCCATTAGCTGTAGGTCCTTGAGTAGAAATTAATCTCTAATTCTGTAATCTCAAAGGAAATTGGGGATAATTACTTGGAAGAAGGCTTGTTATAAGCTTTAACTGAAATATTACATGTTAAGTCCTAGTGCAATGCTTGTCATCGAGTAGGCACTGAAAAAATAAAGCAGTAGTTGTTGTGACAAGAATAATGATAATTCCAGGCATGAGAAAATTTTCTGTATGCATCTGAATACCAGCCCCATCACCCTCCAACATGTCAGATTAGTGCCCCAAGAGTGTAGTATTTATGAGGAAATTGATGAGAAATTTGGCTACCATCGAACTTTAGGACCCGATATTTAAATGATACATATGTGGAGCTAAGGAGTTTGACTTGATCCTGCAGGAAACCACCAAAGGATTTTCTGAAGGGATAAAGATAACATGTTTAGTTGTGCATTTTGGAGTTAGGTAGGGATGGGGTTGACATGTTCAGAAGTGCAGTGTTTCTATTTGTTTGCATTTGTGTTTGGCACAGGGAGCAGTAACCTGGAGTCACTAAGAACGATAGATTGGAGGACTGTGGGGTAGGCCTGGCACAGGAAGACTCAGTGAAGCTACTGAGGAATATTGTCAAATTTTTCCCTTTCTCATTGCTTTTTAAAATTTTCAAAGCACAAAAAAGTATTAAGTTTGAGTGAATTCAGAGATTGTATGTGTATATGTGTGTGTTTGTGTGCATCACAGAGAGAAAGAAAGAGACAGAGAAGGAAAATACCTTGAAACAGCAACTTTCCTTCTTCAGGACTTGGGTTATACAACATGGAACAGACTTTCCAGGTAATACACTTAACTTTACCTACAAAACTCTGTTCTGGAATCTTTCATGGGCTGTAATCCTTTGGTCTAGTTAATTATACTTCTAAAATCTACTCAGTCTGTGGTCTTGGCCTAGTCTGGAAAGTGTTCATTCCAGCCTCAGTTTCCTAATCTGTAAATGGGCAATAACAACTTTCCTGTTCTCCCTATGGAATAAAATGCAATCTGACTGTATATACTCCAGATCACTTACAGACATCTCGCTCTATAGCTTTTAGTGAGACAAAACTGCTTCTCTACTCCAAAAAGTGGAGTCTCCTTCCATTTAATTATTTCTATGAGATGAAGTACCGGTTCACAGAAGCACAATCACTATTCAGCCAAATCATTTTTTACTTAAATTTTGCAATCACTGTTTTCCATTTAATCATGTCACAGAAGCCTAAAAAGGATTGTAAAGATCATATAATTCAACTGTACCTAAACTGCATTAGAAAACAAGTCATTCAATCTTGGTTCCTTTGGATTGTGAGTTTGCCAGATTGGTTACCTTTCTATCTGGTTTTATTACTTTCTAAAAATTATTTCTCAAATAATAACAAGTATTTCTTTTTAGTCATAATAAGTAAAACAGCAACTTCATCTGACTCATTTAGTTTTCTAGTTTATGTCATTCTGCATCTCTTTTCAAATGCTGAATTTTGTCACCCACAAGATATGAAAGGAGATTAATTCCTTGCCTTAGAGCTTTTGCTTGCAATGTTCCATCTTGACCTATTGACATCCTTTCTACCTTTCAAGGCATTTCCTAAAATAATAGAGGAAAGTGGGTGTGGGGACTATGGGAACTCTCTGTATTATCTTCACAATTTTTCTGTAAATATAAAACTACTCTAAAATTAAAAGGTTTATTTTAAAAAGATTATTTAATTTGAAAACTATTGTGTGCAAAATTTAGATGTTGTATTCTAGTCCTGTGTGTGTCAGTGTGTGTCAGTGTGTGTGTGTGTGTGTGTGTCTGTGTGAGAGAGGGAGAGAGAGAGAGAGAGAGAAAGATGGAGAAAGATGAAGAGAGAGAGCAAGAAAGGTAATGTGAGGCAGGTTTGGCTTGACTAGCCTAAAAAGGAATACATCAAGGTGAAATTGGAAAGCAGGCCAGTTGGTTAACCACAGTGAAGGTGGTCAGTGTTTTCTCTAAGAAAATAAATGTCGAACTATTGTAGTCAACTCCAAGATGGTCTCCAGTAATTCACATCCCTTTGTATTCATCGTCTCATGTAGATCCTCTCCCACATTAAATCAGGGCTGTCTTTCTTTTCTTTTCTTTTCTTTGAGACAGAGTCTCACTCTGTCACCAGGCTGGAGCGCAGTGGCGTGATCTCGGCTCACTGCAACCTCCGCCTCCTGGGTTCAAGCGATTCTCCTGCCTCAGCCTCTGGAGTAGCTGGGACTACAGGCGTGCACCACCATGCCCAGCTAATTATTGTATTTCTAGTAGAGATGGGGTTTCGCCACGTTGGCCAGGCTGGTCTCGATCTCCTGACCTCAAGTGATCCACCCACCTTGGCCTCCCAAAGTGCTGGGATTACAGGCATGAGCCACCATGCCCAGCCAGGGCTGTCTTTATGTGACCAATAGAATATGGTTGAAACTGTGGTGTGTGACTAGTTTTCACCTTGTCTCAAATTGCTTATTCCAGAAGAAGCCAGCCACCATACCACAAATATACTCAAGCAGTTCTGTGGAAAAGACTTCACAGAAATGGAGGCTCACCAGCCAACAATCAGAACCAACCTACTGCTGTACAAGTGAGCCACCTTGGAAGCAAATCCCCCACTTTGTTCAGATGACCACGGCTCCAGCTGACATCTGACTGCAAGTGAATGAGAAACTGTAAGCAAGAATGGCCCAACTGAGCCCTTCTTAACTTCTTGATCCACAGAAACCATGAAAAATAGTAAGTGATCATTGTTGTTTTAAGTTACTAAGTTTTGGAGGTGATTTATATGCAGCAAAAACTAAAACACTAATTACTGAGTGAGTGCCTACTATGTGCCAGGAATTCTACTAGGTGTTTTTGCAAACATTATTTATTTCTATATCTAGTCTTCTGACATAGGTTTAATTATATCTATTTTATACATTTTTAAAAATTCAAAGTCAAGATAATTTAGGTTACCTGCTTCTGAGCGACCAAGTTTTGAAGCCACCTGACTCCTGTCCAATGTTCCTTTCACCAGGTAAGCTCTGACTGAGAAAACAGCAGGAGGAGAGACTGAAAGGGCAGAACTGGATAGGGCACCATGGCAAAGACTACATTTTTAACTTGAGTTTTGGGTGGAGGTGGTGGTAGAAGTGGGAGAGAAGGAAGAAAGTAGGGCAAAGGAAGAAAAGCACTACTTGGATGAGATACAGTGAAGGGATTTCAAGCAAAAGTGGATTTGCACCAAGAGGCATCTGGGAACTCAGTGTCAACTAGCAATTTGTTACTGAGGGCTCTCAAATGTCCAGCTCCATTTTGTAAAGGTTAAGAATACTTAAAGAAGCAGTGCTGTGTTGGCATATGTGTGACTGGATTAATTCAGAGAGGACGCACAGATAACAATGAATCTGAGGGTGTCTAGACTAGGAGAGTGGTTATAGATATATTTTGAACTGAATCATAAAATTCAGTTTTATAATCCCTGTTCCAAAGAAAGTAGTCTACCACATTTGGGGGTGTAGTCCTTCTTCATACTTTTACTAAAAAGACCTTCTCTGCCTTTCTTTACCAATAATTCTCATTTATGTTACTTGCAAACCTCCAGGGATTCATAAATATTCACATACACAAATTGACGACTGATAGAGTGATACAACTGCATGCATGAGTAAACATCTTGGAATTTATTTCTATAACCTTCAATTTGTAAACCAGAGAACAGTTTGTTTTCTCATCTGCACGGTACAGTTTTAGAAGTATGATTGATTAACTCCTTAAGAAGAGAACCTTGTTTAGAAATCAGGAACAAGGCCGGGCGCGGTGGCTCACGCCTGTAATCCCAGCACTTTGGGAGGCCGAGGCGGGCGGATCACGAGGTCAGGAGATCGAGACCATCCTGGCTAACACGGTGAAACCCCGTCTCTACTAAAAATACAAAAAATTAGCCGGGCGTGGTGGTGGGCGCCTGTAATCCCAGCTACTCGGGAGGCTGAGGCAGGAGAATGGCATGAACCCAAGAGGCGGAGCTTGCAGTGAGCCGGGATAGCGCCACTGCAGTCCAGCTTGGGCGAAAGAGTGAGACTCCGTCTCAAAAAAAAAAAAAAAAAAGAAAGAAATCAGGAACAAAAATGTTTCCAGTTTAAAAAAGAAAATTATAGGACTGAAGAATAAAACCTTTTTATATTGGAGGTTGTACCATAGCCCATGATTGTATCTCTGGATAGAACTTCTTTTTGATGTATTATCTTCCTTTAATTAGTGGGTATCTGAAGACATCAATCTTTGGAGTTATGAAAGGATACCAATATATTTTTTCACTATTTGGAGGACTAGCCATGTGTCTTTAAAAAAAAATCCATCTTTTTACCAACTGCTTGAAAGTGATTATCTGTGACCTGATTTTAGAACCATTTCTTTTTTTTTTTTTTTTTTTTTTTTGAGACGGAGTTTCGCTCTGTCGCCCAGGCTGGAGTGCAGTGGCGCGATCTCGACTCACTGCAAGCTCCGCCTCCCGGGTTCACGCCATTCTCCTGCCTCAGCCTCCCAAGTAGCTGGGACTACAGGCGCGCGCCACCATGCCCGGCTAATGTTTGTATTTTTAGTAGAGACGGGGTTTCACCGTGTTAGCCAGGATGGTCTCGATCTCCTGACCTCGTGATCCGCCCGTCTTGGCCTCCCAAAGTGCTGGGATTATAGGCGTGAGCCACCGCGCCCGGCCAGAACCATTTCTTAAAGAGGTGTTTATTTTGGCATGCCACTTGGGGATAATGATTGTAAACCTTAGAATTAACATAATGAATTTACCTTATCTTTATTTCCTTCATAATGTATGCCCACAGTTCTGAACTATGTATTTGACTTTCATTGTTAATTGGTCTAAAAAGTCATCAGTGCATAAATTCACATGACTTAGAAAAAGTTTAGTCAGAAAGCTCTGAGCTTTCTGGGAAGTTACATAATACATAATACCAGTAGAAACAAAATTTTTCTAACTGGAGATTATTGTTAGAAAGTTACATGTAGAGTAAAAAAATACAAGATTAAGAGATTTAAGACACTTTTTAAAATTCTCAGCACTTTTAAACTTATGACGGAACCAGTAGGGCCTTTAATTTCTAGGCAGCAAGTTTAACCAGCTGCATTTGTTAAGGTAATGCTAACTGATATAAAAGATAAATCCCCACATCTCAGAGGCTGGACATGAGAGTTTACTTTTCACTTGGGTAAAATCCTGATTGACAAGTGACTTGCCACCAAATAATTCAAAGACCTAGGGTCTTGTATCCTGTGGCTCTAACAGTTTCATCATGTTGCTTTCAAGGTCACTATGCTCATTTGCATCAAGCCAGAAGGGAAAGGGACAATGAAAATTACCCGTGGGAGGCTTCATAAATTAATTATAAAGGGACTGCTTCACCTTTGCTCTCATTCTATTGGCAAAAGTTCAGTCACATGACACATCTAACTATAAAGGAGGCTGGAAAGTATAGTTTACCCAGGTATACAGAAAGAAAAGATTTGGTGTCATCAGCTAGTAATTACTGTCACAGCAGCCAATGGCTTTATACCCTTTTAACATCAATTCTAAAACCTAAAACAAATAGAAAATTTCTATTTACCAATATTTTGGGGGAAGAAATAACCAGCATTAATTTTTCTAAGTGCTCTGATTTGTCATTGTCCAGTTCAGGGGAATGAGAATGAGACCATTTCTCAAACTTTGTGTTACTATTGACAGAATTATCTGGATTTATTTTCTTAAGTTTGCCTAAGCTGTATAAACATGAGCTCTTTCCCTGTAAAGTGGCTTCATGTATCTCACTTTGTCATCATTGACCTAAGTAGAACTTGAGAAGTGGTTTATTAAAATAACTCACTAAGTGGATTGCTGAGGCTCTTGCTTCATCATGACAGCACCAAATTGTGATACACTCCTTCCCCTACCACTTCCTTAAAAAAAATCATTTTTTTTTCTTTTTTGTCTTGAAATAACACTCTGAAAATCTGTGCTATAATTAAGAGAAGCAGGATTTTCTGGTAATGGGAATCATGGGAGCATTCTCAGATCAATTTGTTTCTCAGCTCGAGTTTACCGTAAGAACCGCTTTTGATATGTGGACTCTCAAGGGAAATCAAGACGACCTCAGAAACTTGCTCAGAGTTTCCAGGTTAAGTGGAATGGGAAGGCTGTGACAAGTGGCTGTGCCACCTACAAACTGATGAGCAGCCTGAGGCCCCTAAACCAGAAGCTCATTGCCCCTACACACACACGCACATACACACACACACACACACACACACACACACACACATTTCACCTCAGCCCATTAAAAAGTCAGAATTTTGAATGTGCTATTTTATGAAGATGTTAACATTATTTTAGTTTAAAAATCTCATACTTCTCAGATCAGTCTGTCCATACAAGACTTCTTCCTTCTTAGAATTGCAGCAGAACTTATTGTCATAGCACTCACATAGCAGTTTACATATATTGCTCTAGATTAAAGCATTTTTGTACCTTTTCCTTCTCACATTTTCATGATAATTAAGACTTTTTTCCAAAAGAAACACAAACTTTTATCAAATTAGCTATTTTCAATTTTCCAAATTTACTTTCCACTTTTATCTATATGCATTTGGGGTCTTATTGTTATTGTTGTTTATGTTCTTATTAATATATTTTAATCTCTTTTTACCTCATTTAGTGTCCTAAATGAATCTAGTTTGGAAAAAAGTTAGTATTTAATATTTACTTATTGAGTTCCTACTATGTGCTAGGCACTGTTCTGGGTTATGGGAGACAGTGATAAATGAGACATAAATTTTGCTTCAAGTAGTTTACATTTGAGGAGTGGGGTTAGGGAGATAGACAATAAGATGTAAAGATATAAATGAGATAATGAGACAAGTATGCAGTGTTGCTGAGAAGTATGCAGCTGTGTGGAGACTCGGGCAGCATGTTCCAAGCAGGAAAACAGCAACTGCAAAAGCAGGTTTGGTGAGTTCCAGGCACAGCACAAAGGCCATTGTGGCCAAAGCAAAATGAGTAGGATGACAAGTGGAAAGTGAGAAGGTGACAAAAGTCAATAGGGGGCTTCAGAGTTCTTGTAGATGATATCGAGAAGTCACAAGAAGGTATTAAACAAGGTATGGTAAGATCTTATTTATACTCTGATTGCCTCAGTTACCATGTAGTAGATACATCGAAAAGCAGGGGACAAAAGTCTGGGTGGACAGGTAACAATCTGTTCTTGGACTAGGAACTTTAGTAGGGGAGGTGCTGAGAAATACTTAGACTCTGAGTGTATTTTGAAGGTAGAAGTTATAGAGCTACTCATGGGTTAAAAGTGTGCCATGGAAGAAAAAGTGGAATCAAGGAAGAGTCCTACGCAGAGATGGATTTTGGTACCATTTGTTATAACAGAGGTGATTTGATGATATTCATTCATTCAAACATTAAGTAATTATTTTGTGTCATACACTATGCTCAGCACTGTAGACATGGAGAATAACCTACGGAATTCTAATTTAAGCAAGAGGTGATGAGGGCTGGCATCGAGACAGAGGAAAAACAATGAAGAAAAAAATGACAAAATTAAGAAATATGTGGCAGATGGAATTGGCAGAATATGGTGCCTGATGTTGAGAAAGAAAGATTCTGGAATGATTTGAAAATGTCTGATGCAAGTGGGCAGATGGCAACAGCATTAACAAAGATGGGGAATGTATGAGAAGAAATTGGTTTGTGGAAAAAGTCATTATTATGTTAATATTGGCAGTTAATAATTATCGATCACTTCTTATGTACTAGGCACTCTGCTTACTGCTTAATACAAACAGCCTCATTTACCCTCAAACATATACGGAGAAGACTAATATTGTCCCTGTTTTTATGGAGGCATAAACTAGGGCTTGCAGAGGTTAAATAACTTGCTCTTAAGAGATATACCTAATGTAAATGACGAGTTAACGGGTGCAGCACACCAACATGGCACATGTATACATATGTAACAAACCTGCACGTTGTGCACATGTACCCTAGAACTTAAAGTAAAATAAAAAAAGAAAAAAAAAACTTGCTCAATGTCACAGATGTAGGAATTACGAAAGCCAGGCCTTGAATCCACGATAACAATATTTGCAGATGCTGGGTTTGAGTTGAATAGACATTCACTTAGGGACATTTGGTAGATTTATAAACATGGACTTGGAAGTTGGAATGTACCCTGGAGGAAAAGATTTGAGAATTATCAGCACAAGGTGATTGTTCAATTGCATACCCTGTATTGGTGTTCTCTTTCCTTAGTTTTTTCTACCCCTAAGGTGTTTCCTGGGATCATCACTGAAATAAGCTACTTGCACTTGAGTCCTTTTCCCGGAGTCTGCTTCTGAGGAAACCCAAATCTAGACAGAAAGTGATTGAGAAGTAGAAGACGAAGAAGAAAGATAAAAAAAATTCTTTGTTAGGAGCTTGGCTATGAAAGGAAAGGGAAATGAATAGTGAAGTAATCCCAAGAGAATGTAGGACTACTTTTTAAGAAAGTAAAACAACCATATTAAATGCTGGGAGAAATTAGTTAACAGAAAGGAAAACATTGGAGAGTTCCTGGTAAAAAATGTCTATTGTTTTCTATGAGGTTAAGGGGAAGTTATCTGCTCAGGGAAAGAGGTGAGAGAGAAAAGGTGTCATGGGGTTTAAGGTGGTTGCTAAAGGGTTGAAAACCACAGATTTTTCATGAATTTTACATGATTTTTGTCATGAAAGCTTGGCAATCCAAGAGTAGAAATGGAAAAGATGATTGGAATCGTGAGTCTAGGTTAACATTTTCAGAACTGAATTTTTCAATAATCCAAGTGCTCAGGATAGAAACAACAGTGGTCCGGTGAAAGTGTAAACAGCTCTGATATTACCAGTGCCTCCAGGTCTTGCTGACCTGGCTACAGACAACCTGAGGCTTCCATTCCCCAATCCTCTCTGCTTTGTCTTCTTAAATCTTTGCCTTACCAATTTCTGACCTACAGCTGCCTGGGCCTTGAGACTTCATGAATATTCTTTTTCACTTTTTTTTTTTCCAGTAAGATAAAAGGAGTTATGGAGTCACTGAGTTGAAGAAATTTTAAAGCCAGAAATGTTTTTTGCCTACAAAGAAACAGAATTTCAGAGAGGTACTCACTTGCCAAAATTACAAAACAAGTTAGTAAGAAAGCCAAGAGACTACTTTTTGTTTATTTTAAAAATTTTAAAATTTTAAAATTTCTTAGTATAGATGCAGGGGGTACATATGCAGGTTTGTTACATGGATATATTGTGCAATTGTGAGATGGTTTTTCCCACCATACTCAGGTATCTACCATAAGGATAGGGACAAAGAAGCAAAAGCAAAGAGGCAAATGTGCAAAAAGAAAGAATATGGACTTCGTCCTTTTAAATGAAAACTAGTTTGAAATTTGCTTTACTTTTTTCTTAATTCTTGCTAAGTATGTTTTCTTGCTTAATTCTTGCTAAGTAATTTATTACTTTGATTTTCATCAGGGAAGGAGTATGATGATATAATAACTCTGCTTCTCCTATTGGGGCCATTATCACCTTGTCTTTCAAGGAATGACCTTCCTTTAGCTAAAAAGGATGAAGTGAGGAGGTGGATGAGATCAGATCACTGAGGTCAGCTAAAGAGTTTGGTCCCTACCACTGAGGATTCCTTCCTGTCCCCCAGGGAAGCACATCTGCACCCAGCTCTATCCCAGAAAGCACAAGGAGCAAAAGATCAGGCAGGCTAATTAACTAAGGGCTCCACTTCGGCTGTGGAAATCATTAATCATAGAGCTGCCACATGGCCACCGGTCTTTTAATGATGATTTTAATTTACATACTAAGCAAACAGTTTAAAGAATGTTGCTTTGGGGAGAATTTGTGAGTCGTGCCTAGGCAGGTTATTTCAAAGTCAATTAGACTTTAATACTCTTTTTCCAAAAAGTCGTTCTTTCATTTTGACAACTTCATTTTATAAATACCATCACTGGGCTGTCATTTGCTTGATTCTGGGTAAATTAATTCCAACCAAGCATTTATTATTTTAATAAAAGAAAAAATATATAAAAACTGTTTAAAAAATTATAATGGGGCCAAGCATGGTGGCTCACACCTGTAATTCCAGCACTTTGGGAGGCCAAGGAGGGAGGATCATTTGAGGCCAGGGGTTCAAGACCAGCCTGTGCCACATAGCCAGACTCCCTTCACCTGCAACCCTTGATCTCTACAAGAAATAAAAATAACATAAAATTGTAACAATTGTGAAATAGTCTGGATTTTGGAACTAGGAAGGATTTTAGATATTAACTACTCCAAGTGATTTTCAAATAAAATTAAAATCTAGAGATGTTAAGTGAGTTGTCAGAGATCACAGAACATTTGACTAGAGGAGCCAAACTGTATGATAAGTCTGATGTTTTTCCCTAAAACTATTAATGAAATTAGATATATTAAGATAACACCATGTTTCAAAACAATGGACTGGTTTTCCAGAATCAATTAAATCCACATAGTTGAGTGTTCCTGCATTCCAAATTAGACAGCTTGGCTCACAAGTGTTATTGCTGTCAAAAGCCATATTATCTCAAGTTAATTTTCTTAATTTGAAAAGCAAAATCCATTTACTGTTTTTCATTAAATAATAATACTTGTCTTGAGGTAATGTGGCCAAAAAGTGGCAGTCATGAAAGAAACAGCTTAATTGCACTCAGAACAGTATGTAAAAGAAACAATTATATCTCAAAGACTTCACAGTATAATGTATAGGGAATAAAGCTGCCTACTTCAATAATAAGGAACAAGAGGTTTGAAGTGATTTACAGTTTTACAAGTTATTTCACATCTGGCCTCATATAGTTTTTAAATGACATAGTCAATGATTGTTACTATCTTTTATGACTTAAGGCACAGAGATGTTAAGTGACTTGTTCAAAGTCACACAGCTGTTTGGTGGCCTGGCCTAGGTTAGATCCTCCTCTCTCGGTTTCCTGGTGCTCAGTTCAGGCTTTCCTCTACACTACACTAATGGCCCTTCATGGAAGTATGCGTGAAACCATCACTCTGTGTTCTTGCTGGACACTGGCTGACTGACCAGCTGTTCACCCAGTAAATGTAAAGGGCCACGCTAAACTCCTCACTTGAGGCCCTATCTCTGGAAGAACTGGGACAGAAAGCATTGCTTCCTACTTCATTACCGTCCTCTGACTCCAGCATGGATGCTGTGGGTTCTCTGACGTCGTGTACTCCTGCCCTAACCACCACAGGGTCACATCCCCCAAGTGGTACCACGCCCCTCTTTGGAAAAGACTCTTCCTTCACACTCCGTAGGCAACACCACTATGGGTGAGAAGATGATCACTTAGGATCTGCAGAGACTGGGATAAAACCTTCAAAAAACAGCCATGCAGCCTTAAGTAATAATACTTGTCTAGAGGTACTGTGGCTTCTGGATTAAAAGATAAGGAGAGAGGAGGGTACAAAATGGAAAGATGCACACAGCCATGAAGGCCACAGCTTGAGAAATTCTGGAATGTGAGAGAAGAAAGCTGAGCCAACGATTTTACACTACAGAGGCGGCACACTTCTGTGCCTGAGGACACTCTCTCATTACACTCCTGTTCAGCATAGCAGGCAAGTGTTAAAAACTTTACTCTTACTCTCCATCCCAAGCACTTGAGAAAAGGGAGCTCATTTTCAATTCTCTGTAGACTGGTCAATTTCAGCTAATTCTAGGCATCTTCAAACAGTGGCACTTACTCCAATTGCTTCTATTAGGGCTTCTCCATGTTTTACAAACCTGATCATACCTAATCTTCTCTCAAACAGGGTTGTTTCATTATAACAAAAAAGAAGGGGGTAATGCACTTGCTTATTCTTTTCGATAATCACTTGTGTTTTCATGTAGTTTTGTTCTATCTAGATGATCACACATTCCAGTGTTGTCTTTATAACATTATCAATAACATTCTCTGTCACTCTCAAAATGTCTCTGTTTGTGGCAATACATTATTTGGTCACCATAGCCACACTTTGTAAAATGAATTGACAATTTATTTGGATGCATTATATAATTTATATTGGTTTTCTTATGCCACACCTTCAACCCCCAAAAAACATTTATTGAGTACTTGCTACATTCAAAACATTACTGTAGAAGCTGTGAGGAATGCTAAGGTGGAAACATGGTTTCTATTGCCCAGAAACTCATTATCCTGATGAAAATATAGATAACAAAAAATACTGCTATAAGAGATACAAGTTATAAAAGAGGTTTCAATATTCTGTGGGACAATGAAGAAGAAAACTGATCCTTGGAATTGGGGAGTTTTGAAGAAGGATAAGACTTGAGCAAGCATTTCAGACAGAGAGAGTAAAGAATAATAACACTAACAGCAAACACAATAGCAGTTATAATTTATTAATACCTACTATGTTGTAGAGACAGTGCAAGATGCCTTAGAGATATTTTTAATCATATGCAATTTAATCACATCAATCTTTATTTCTAATAAGTCTAGGACAGATAATTGATATTAGAATCCAAGAAAAGCATATAACTAGGAAGGCTGGATGATGTCTCGCTAAGGAGACCTTGAAAATCCAGGTAAGTAGTTGATATTTCAACCTATAGGCAGCAGAAGCCATCTCTGGTTTTCACTTGAGATGGGAATGTGATCAGATGGTAGCAGTGGAAGGATGGTGAGAGGAGAAAGAGGTAGGGGGCTTGTTAGGAAGCCATGGTAACGGTGCAGATATAATGAATGATCAAAGTAGATGCAGGACAATGGAAGCTGGGGGACAAATTTGAGATCATTAGCAGGGTAATATTAATGTGATTTTTCAATTTGATAAGATATAAGATTTTCTTGTCTTATAAACTCTAAATTTCTAATTTTTAGGATAAACTAATATTGTCTACAAAGGGATGGGATGTTGTATGTGAGATTAACCTGCATTTTTCTCCTTTCCTCCTCCATTACTGCTTAGCCCATTGTGTGTTAAATTACCTTAAACTCATTAGAAAGTTTCAGGAACTTTCTAGAAAAAGAACAGTTACAATTTGTTAATTTATCTCTTGTTTTTTAAAAAATTATTTTTAAGCTTTGTAGAGTGTCATGTAAATGAAATTGAAGAACAAGCTGTCAAAAATGGATTTGCTCACTAGGAAATTTTAAAAATAAAATAAATATTAAGAAAAGAGAATCTGGCTCAAGAGTCAATCTGTGCATGCTACAGTGATATTACTGATCATCATCAGTAGAAAATTCATTTTGAAATATTTTTCTAGTTATAGTATTGGCTTGTGATAACTCCTCGAAATTCTTTTCACTTGTTCCTTGTTTAGGATACAATGTTGTCAAACTCAGAGATCAGACTCCTAACTTCAGTCTCATTAGCAATATCTACAAATCAACAAAAACTGTAGGCTCAGGTAAAGTAAGCACAAGAATAATAAAATGTGAGCAATATTAATTGTCTTATAATTAGGATGTCATTTATTGCATTAATGCTGAAAGAGAAACTTTATTCTAAGAGTTGGTCTCTAGTTTAAGCTAACTGTGGAACTTCCCAAAAGGTATATTCTGTTTTAAAATTATCAAGTATACATTTGAAGGTGACATCCAAGTTCATGCCAGTAGTACAGTCACTCATATTCTATGCTTTCAGAAAAGAAGTTACAACTTAGTACAAAGTGTTCTTGAAGAATGTCTCCAATTTCCTATATTAGCTGCAAACAAGATTCTAAGCGCTAATAATTTATGATGAGCTCCTGTGAATTATGAGTTTGTCTCAGATTGAAAATAGATTCCTAAATCATTTCATTTAAAAGTAGATATTTCCTACCACACTGTATCAAAATGTATTATCTGTCACTTTGAGGATCATTTAACATTTTCTATAAAGTTCACACTAATTGGACCATTTCTGTAACATTGTTCACCTAGAAATGCCCACATGAGGACCTTTTCTATACTTTCTCTTTCAGTCATGGCTAATGCTTCTCTCGTAATCCTGTTGTCTCTATTCTTCACCAAAAGTAATAAAATACTAAGTCTGTAGTGAAAAGAAAATGACTTGGCTGTCTAGAATACATTTGACTAATATATCTGAGGAACAAAAATTTCAGAGAAGCCTTTATTCTCATAAAATTGTTTTTCCTGTTTGTCTTTACAATTAACATCAATGGCAAAAAGGAGATAATTCATTTAAATTATATAATATTTTATGCTTTACAAACAGAAAAACCTCTAAGGGAAATATTATTGTTATACCTTTTTAAACATGAGAAAACTGAGGCTCGGGAAGAGAATGATCATATAAGCAGCAGGTGGTGGGGCCAGAATTTGCACATTGGTCTGATTCCATATCTAGCTTGACACAATATCCCAAGTATAATGTTTGTGTCAATACCAAGAAACAACAGGAGATTTATATATAAGCTACAGGAATTTTCTACCAAATGAACATTATACAAAAAGAGGAAGAATTCTTACTTTGCTAGTGACTGCTGACTGTTCCCATAATGTATAGGCAGCCCTGGTACTTAGCACAGATATTGAGGTCTTCACCTTGGCAGGGCCAGAGCTCTTACACATCAGCAGAGGAATAGTTGGGAAAAGGGTGGCAGAACTCGGCCAAGTGGGGGTAGCTCATTTATAAAGGTTTTAGAGCAGAGGTTCATGTTACAGTATTTAGTGAAATGGTATACACAGAGTCCATCTTCTCCCCAGAGTTCCCATGCTATCTAGGAATCTGAGTAATGTCATGTTCAAGTACTGACTATCACACCTACCTCAGAACCTCTGCTCCCCTCCAGCTTCCAGAGTCCAGTCTCAGAAAAGCAAACCATATTCAAATTCTCTTTTATTTGGATGGGATATCCACACTTTCCTGGCAATTTGAATTCCATTGAGTCACCTATTCTGGAAGGCATGATGTAAATTCCCCATTTTCTTACATCAGTCAGCTAATGGAAGTATACAGACAAGAGGGGTACCGTTCAGCTAGCTCAACCCACCAGCCATATCTCATTTCTAGCTTTGGCTTAACCAGACACCCTTGACATTTAGAGGCAGCAATAACAAATAATACTAAATGAAGGATCTGATACAGAGGACAGTTTATATACTGTTTTTAAAATTTGTACAGGATTCATAAATTTGCTTTGGAATTTGTGCCCAGATTTAAGTGATTAAGTTTATGTAGAGCAGGTTTGGATATATTTGACTCAAAAAATATGTGTGAAAGTCAAATATTCGCCTTTCACAAATTTATAGGTAAAATATGGCAAAGAAACATACACCCTACCTTTAAAAAAGAAACCCACAAAAAACAATTCTGTCTACTTTCCTAAGAGCAATTCAAGACCATGGATAGGATTTTATATTTCTTATTGTCTTCAGCCCAGCTCATCTAATTCTTAAGACATAATCGGTGTTCAATACACATTTCTTGTATAAATGAATTCTTTTTTTCTTATTACAGGCATCTTCATGTTTTCAAAGTTACTGATTTGCTGACATAGGGAAAGCTAAAGTACTATAGACATTTTAATGTATTTCCTTATCTCAAATTAATTTAACATAACTTAGACTCTTGGATATAAAGGCCTTTTGAGATTGGAGTCTATGATTGACAATGATGTTACTTTCTGACAGTGTATATTTGTAGCCTAATTCTATTGCAAATTGGGGCGGGGAGGGGTAGAAATATTTAACTATTTAATAGAAATTGATGTTTCCTCTTTCTTAGTGGGAGAGTCATGGCTGGAAAGAAGCTGCCCAGCTGGTGGTTACTCTACCTACCCTTTGCATGTAGGTTGGACCATACAAAAAGATATTGCCAATGGAAAGGCAGAAGAAGTATTGTGACTCACTTCCATGCAAGGCTGTCAAGAAGGAAATGTGCCTTCTGCACTGGAGACTGGAGAGGATGGCAGACCCGAATAATGGAACAACCTGGAGTCCTGGAATCATCTTTTGGAAGAAGGCTGCCCTCCAGCCAGGGACATATACAATACAGGAGCATAGGATAACCTTGTATTGTGATAAGTTACTGAAATTTTGGAATTTATTTGTTCAACAGCTAAAGTTACCTAACTACGTATACATTTGTAAACATGTAACCAATAATTGGGGAGAAAAGACCATGCAACCATTTCAGAAACCCTTGCATGCAGTGCTACAGATATACCAGATACAGCAGGGAGAATATATAAACAGGCTGGGAGAACAGGGATGGGAGGAATTGCAAGGTATCTAAAGGAATCTCTCAAAGCTGTGAAAGAACAGAATAAAAATAATTTGATTTAAAAATATGTGTGGATTGCTAAGAAAGAACTTTCTCTCTTCATAGAGCTGTACTGTTGGTAAAACATGGTAGTGAGCATAGCATGGCCATGGCCACTAAGTTATGTTTTTTCATCAAAGTGTTTAATGTGAGTCTTCAAGGACATTATTTTTTCCCAACAACAAAAAAATACACTTTAATGTTAAGGAAATATCAAAAATAAGACTCTCTGAATAATGTTTTTAATCTGATCTTACTTAAACTCAGCTATTCTATAAAGTGAAGATTATTTATTACTCAGCCATATGTTAACTGATAATCTGTGTATATGAACTATGGTGTTTAGCTTTATTATTCTTTTGCCCACCAGAAGAAATTCATTTCTAGATTCTTTCCAAAGGATATTTTTGCCATTATCATTATTATTTTCTTTTGGTTAGGAAAACTTAAGGCCTCTCTTGTGAAACTGTGACACACAGTAATGCAAAGAGACTTCTGTGATGCCACTTCAAAGACCCAATCATTTCCATGGAGCAAACACCCTCATTTCCACTTGACAGCAGCACTTGCTTATAGTCTTGAAGAAATTCTTCTTCCTAACAACCTTTCTTACAATAGAACCATCCTTTCTCTCTGACTGACCTAATACAGTCAGAACTAGTTTGGTGAAAACATATTTTTAAAATTATGGCCACAAATTTCAGTAATAAACTGATACTTCTCAGATTTTTGCACAAGTTTAAAAATGTGTATCTTTGATTATTTTGCTTTTCCTCCAGTTATGATAGTTTCCTGGAGTCTAATAAATGTGGACTTGTGTGCTGAATGTCAGCTCAGTTGTAGAAAGTTGTTGGAAATTCATTTCTTAAAACATTATACATTATTTCTCACTTCTAGAATATTGAATGGGCCTAAATCCTTTTTATTCATCTACTGTTAGCTAGAGGCTAGTAGAGGGTTATATTTCTCAGTTTAAAACAACATACTCAGCACACCAAGTGGAACCAGTGCTGTTGAATTTGACAAATAGTGCAAATATTTAACTTGGGTGTGCTCATTTTCATTTTTGTTTTGCCATCAACAGCATTTTGTTTTCATTCGATTATTATCACATTCACTTTTAATTTCAATCCTGTTGTTATTCAGCTGGAAATTCTGAGATACATTTGCTATATCACCTATGGTTTTTAGAACAGTGCTTAATATACATTAAATTCCCAATAAATATATTTAACTGTCTTAATTATTAAAATGAAGAAGAATAAAGAAATTAGGGAAATACATTATTTTGTTGCTGTCGACTTAGTTGAAGATTCTGGATTTTTGTAACAAGCTCAAATCAGGATATACCCTGTGGTGATATGATAAACTCTGTTGGGAGTTGTGCTTATTCCTTTCAGGCCTGCAGGCAGAAACACCCACACGAAGAGAGCTCAGCACCCAGCTGTCCACGGGATTTCCCTCTCGGCATTGTAGATGCCCTCTTTCTTCTTCCTCTGCATTTCTCCTACAACAGTGACTCATTTAGAACTATGTTAAGGGGCACGCCAACCAGACAACTGCCAAGGATATCAGTTGTTAAGGAATGCTAAGGCATCAACAGAGTAAATCAGGAACAGGTGCCGGTTAACTCAGGTTTCCACCTGCACTCGATGAACAAAATGCAAACTGGTATTGCTCTGCCAAGAGGAAATACAAACAACCCTGCTTGACGGTGCCTATCCTGTTGAATACTCTGCCTGAAATCAGCAATTACAGCTGAAATTTCTGAAATGAAAGAATGCATGGCACAAGCCTATTTGAAGTGAATACATAGTTTATTATCCAACTGTTCAACCTTTTAGTGGAGTTCACAGAAAGTTTTCTGGTTCAGAAAATTGACAAAAACCAAAACCAACAACAACAACGATGACAAAAACAGAAGACAGAAATATTTTTCTTATTTTTCATCTTCAGAAGACTGAATCTGCCTAAGTTGGTAGAAGTGCATTTAGCATGTTACCTCTTTTAGTGTATGATGTTATTAACAGGAAATCAGTTTCTCCCGTTGTCTCTACTGTTGAATAGATAGTTAAATATTTTTGGTTTGAAGGGGAACAATGTATTAGTACGTCTCAGTTTAGTCCTGAACTATTTCTGTCAACTGGATCTCCGTTTTTATGGGAATCACTGCTGTGCAAACCTGACTCACTTTTGTTCTCTGATTCCAGTCCAAATTCATCTTGCACCTTGAGAATATTCACTCTGGGGACCGGTCTTTATTGCTGTGTGTGCTCTCTGCTTTAACCAACATGAAAAATAAAGAGTACCATCCAGGCTGTCATATAAATAATTGATGTCTAGTGGTGGTAACAGGTAGGCTCAGAGGAGAAAATGGTGCCCAGGGGACACAGAAGCCTAAGCCCAGCTGGTATCAGTGACCTGCAGAGAGGACGACATCCAACATGAGGTAGTGAGGCATCCTCTCGGTTTTCTAGGCAGAGAAGTCCTAAATAGCATATGTGGACATTATTACTGGGTGTGTGGCTACAAATGAGACTTGATAACAGCACCTTAAATGAAAAATAGTGTATTTTCGTTACATGCCAAGAAATATGGAGCCAGCTAGCTTCTACACTAGTTAACTACTCAACAACATCACAGACCCAGATTTTCCACCTTTGTGTTCTGCAGTTTTTAGCATTTTGGCTTTCATCCTCATGTCCATAGCTCATATAGCACTATGGCAGCTGCTGTTTATATTCCAAATTCATGTCGAAGCTAGGAAGAAGTAAGAAATGGGAGGGCTCATAACAGAGTGTATCTCTTTCCATCAGCATCAGAAGCCTTCCCAGAACCACTTCAGAGTCAATTGACATTTGGGTCACATGACCACATTTGGGTATTGAAGAGCTAAGACAGCTGGAAACAAGTCTGCCATAACTGGCATTGACCAATCAACTGCTCATCCCTGTGAATGTGAGAACATTGCCATTCTGAACAAGGTCAGAATTTTGTTAACAAGGGAAAAAGAAAAGATTGGAGTCAGTAGATAATGAAAAGGACCTGCTATTGCCACATGTCATTGGGGTGGGAGGTAAGTAGCAAGCAAGAGAGGAAGTAAGCAGTGTCCATCATCTTGCAGCTGAGAAGACAGTCTCTGAGAACACACATTAAGCATTAATTGGAAGTATTCTAAAGAAAAAACGGACAAGAAGAAAGACTTTTAGAAGGTGGGTGATCCTCTAATCCTAGAATAATATTGGTCACCAAGACTTTGAATATATTAGTTCTTGACTAATATATAATTCAGGCTATAATAGAGAAGACAGAAACAAAAACCATTTTACATGAATGTAAGAGAGTAGGCTCTACTTTTATCCATGGCAGGAATAACAGTAACATTTCTTCCTTTCCATCACATTATTGTCCCCTCTTGAGAATTTTCAGTTTCACTTTGTTTTGAACTTTGAATCCAAAGACTGCTGAGAATTTTAGGATATTGAATAGGATACACATCTGAAGGAGTGGGCTATTTGGGAATCAATGGAAAGAAAGAGGAGAGATCCATTTATTCTGTTTGTAAATTTGGGATAGGAAATACCAAATTTAGAGGATAAAGAGCATAGCCAAGTTTTCTTTTTCTTCTAATATCAGAGTCACTACCTATAAATACATTTTTTATAACTTGGAACTGTTGATGAAAAGAATGGATATTTGAGAGTTTGGATATTTGTGGGTGAATTCTTTCATAGTTATATGAGGATGTATGTTAATAAAATTAAAAGTTGTTCTGGAATATGAATATTTAATTAGGAATAATTGTACTGATCATCAAGGTTTTTGTTTTACTTTTATCTTCTACTGCCTTACTTTTATCTTCTTCTGCAGCAGTTTCTTGCTGCTTTGAGGTGTATTAGTAAAGACCCTTTGTATTGAAAATGACAGAATAATAATTTATATCTTAAGTACAAGAAAAAAAAAAAGGAATTGTAGTGCCCAGTATAAATAGAGTGTCAACAGTTTGGTCCAGGGTTTATTTTTATCTCTCTGGCTCTCACCTCTCTTTTTCCTGTGTTTTGGCTTAATTTTATCTTCCTTTAGATAGTCACTTCCATGTAGCCGTAGAAGATGGCTGTCAGCAGTTCTAGTTTATGGTAGCTATTGATTTGAGAAGAACAGAGTCATACTTTCTCCCAATGTCCCTGTATCACACACATTAACAGGGAAGGTTCTGATTGGCCTTGTTTGGATTATGAATCCATCACTGAACCAATAAGCAAGGAGACATGCTATTCTTGTTGAATGAATCTGGATACTGAACTCATACCTGTGGATGAGGGGTGAGGTGGCAGGGTTGAGCCCATCTGATCCATACCGAAAACAAAAACAAAAATTCCCAAAGGGAAAGATACCTGTTAGACAAAAATAATAATAATAATAATAATAATCAAAATAATAACAGCAACAAACACATGTCTGCTCATAGGGCAAATTAGTATTTCATGGACTCTAACACTTAAAAATAGGAGGCATTGTTTATCTTTTGCCAGACTTGAGAATATAATTGTAATCATAATCATACCTAGGAAAACTTAGATAACATAAAACACCCTCACTAATTTGGATCATGTTAGTATAATTACAATATCTTCTACTAGCACTGCATGGCACACTGGGCCAGGTATTATATATTTTTCCCCATATAATTCTTAGAGTAATTACATTTTTCACATGAAGAAGTTAGGGTTATAGAGGTTAAGTTGCTTAAAGCCACACAGCTAACTAATCGTAGAATTCTACTTTAAAGGCCGTTTCATTATACAAAAATTCATTATTATTTACTGGTTGGAATCTGTTTATGTTATCTGAGATAACCAAAAGATTCTGAAATTGAACTACTGTTTTCAAGGATATAAGCTAACAACTAGAAAAATGTTACTTAGCAGAAGCCTTTGGCTTCCCTCTTTATTCTACAAATTTTATTTTATATTTTATAAATTTAATATATAAGAATATTTTTTCCCTAAACTAATAGGAAAAATATTCATCTTCTGAATAATTTAAATGTTCTCACGTACAATACAAAATTAAAAGGTATCATCTTTGAAAACATATTTGCTAAACTTAAGATCAGTCCTTAACTACATTTTCACAAATTTGAAATTTGTTGAAAGCAAATTAATGTTCTTTTTCTCTATTAAAAAGGCTTAAAAAAAT
The DNA here is from genome assembly GCF_000001405.40 of Homo sapiens. Taxonomy (NCBI): domain Eukaryota; kingdom Metazoa; phylum Chordata; class Mammalia; order Primates; family Hominidae; genus Homo; species Homo sapiens. The sequence continues at coordinate 180,310,544 of NC_000003.12, forward strand.
TCAGTTTCTTTCTCTATTAGCATGTGTACAGAGAAGTGTTAGTAGAATGCTGGGGGGAGATATTTGAAAAGATCCAAAATAAACTTATAAATTAGTTATAAAGAGCTCAGCATTAATCCGTAAGATATTTTGTTTCTTTCAGAGTACATTTTTTAGGTCATCATTCATCAATCAGTAAACATATTTTGTGTGCTAGTCAAATATGTTGGGCATTGGTATAGGAGCTGCTAACCCAAGTAAAAATATGGGATTCCTGACTTCAAGGAACTGAGGGTCTAGTATGGGGGACAGGTGAATAGGCACATAACTAAACAGTGTGAGGAGTGTCAGGCAGCATACACACAGTGAGCTCTGGAAATCCATAGAAATGTCTTCAGAGACAACTTAGGGGATCAGGGTTGGGTTGGAAAAGTAATGAAGAAAGCTTCTGGGAGGCTCCGTGCCTGAAGTGGATTGTGAAAGATAAATATAGGGAACGGATGATGAGAGGAGAGGGATGTGAAAAGGTTCAAAGCAGAAGAGGCAGTGTGTACTAGGTCACCATCACCTATAAGAGTGACAGAAGAAGGGGTAGGGTGGAAGAGGTATTTAGATGTCTAAAAATAGTTTAGTATAATTAAAGGTAGAATGTGGTAAGAAGAGAAGTGGGGAGTGATGGAAAAAGAAGCATTTGTGCCCCATCCCACCACTACTAATAGACAGCATTTTTGAGCCTCACTTGCCTTTAAGTAGAGAGATTCTGCCATCCCAAGAAGCAGTGACAGAACAACATGTGATCCAAGAGGCAGGGACCCAAAGGCAGACAAAGGCCATAAAAGGAAGATACTAGCTGATGCCAGGAGGTGCCAAAGGTTGTAAGTGGGAACAGGAAATGACTGAAAACTGGGGGAAGAAAGTTATGTTAATGGCCACACAGGAAACAGTGGCCAAGCATTCTGACCAAGAGTACCAGATAGTTGCTTGACCAGTCTTTCCTTTGGAGGCCGATAGACTCATAAAGGTTTTTCCACCAGATAAAAGACACAGAAGACATATTACCATTTGGCTGCCAATGTGGAGAATGACTGCCAACTAAGGCCAGACAGGATTATAGGACCACACTTCCTGAAAGAGGAACAGTATTCTGTATAAGGCCAGGGGCAGGGAAAAGCAGAGCTATTTTAGACTCATTGGCCTTCTCCTTTCTGACAAGAAATAGTGCTAGTGCCCCTAGAAGACTATTAATAACAATCTCTAATGATGAAGAAAAAACACAGAATCACACATTTTCCTGCTGTACTTAGGGAAGCACAATGCTAATACCCTCTTAATAGAAATAGAACTCAGAAATGCAAAGTACTTTCTTGTTTATGGGAGATTGAGGAAGAGAATCACATTTCTTTAACATTATGGTCATGTTTAAAATGACTATATTAAATGTTAAGAGAATTTTATTGATATAGAAATGTCTAACATGTAAAGAAAAATTATGTGGGGGAAAGTATCTGACAATGAGTATTTCCAGACGTGTTCCAAGACACTGTTCTCCTCATGTGACTTGCTCCAGAAACATATTTAAGCCCAGCCACAGGAAATTACAACCACTCCCTCCCTGTTGGATTGGCCCAAATCTCCTTCTAGTTCTTCCTGATATTCAATTCAGGCTCACCTTTCTCTGAAAACACAAGTGGATGTGCTCACCTGACACCCCTTCTTACAAGTGGTTTTGGTACTTGGAGCCTGTCTCACATACCCCACTGCTGGCAATAGAATGAGAGATGACTTTGCTATGGGAGTTATTCTTCATAGGCATAACCCCTTGCTCTTTCTCTCCTTCCTTATGAGACAAATTAGATGATCAGGTATGGACTGAAGATGTCTGATTTCTCCCTGATGCCAGTTGAGAGGTGGCATTGATAGACCAAATGGCTACAGAGAATCTCTGATTCTCAAACAGATTGAGTTCAAACGAAACATTCTTTAAAGAAACAAATCAATCTGAGTTTATGCAGACCCAAGGGTCCTAGCATCTGCAAAAGCACCTTGCCCACGTTAATCTCCAATTGGTTACAAACAATAAAAAAGCAAGTAAACTTTCTGAGGAAAAAAAATAAGCTATTCAATACTCCCTTTCAAAGTACACAGATAGGATGTGAAGACAATTCTTGCAAAGTACAAAAAACACTAAACATGAAGGAAAAAAATTCATTGGACTACATTAAAATTAAGTTTCTGTTGATCAAATGACACCATGAAGGGAGTTAAGAAACAAATCACATACAAGAAAAATATATTTGCAAAATATGCAAAGGACTAGTATCCAGAATATATAAAACACCTTCAATAAATCAATCAGTAAAAGATTAATGCAATAAAAAAGTGGGTTCAAGACTAAAACAGCCTCTTTCTAAAAAGAATATCCAAAGAATCAATAAACATATAAAAAGATGTTCAACTTAGTCATATGAGGAATACAAGTTAGAACCAAACAAGATATACACCTTATAGAATGTCTAAAATGAAAATGAAAAATGTATTGGTGTGGATCTAGAGGAGATATATACACTGTTGATAAGAATCAAAATTGTAAAAACACTCTGGAATGCTATTTGGTAGTACCTATTAAAGTTAAATATAAGCATGCTGAATGATCTAGCATTTCCACTTCTAGAAATGCATCCCACAGAAATGCACACATATGCATGCCAAAAACCATGTGTTAAGAATATCTGTAGTCATATTATTTATGATAGCCCCAAACATCCCCAAAGTCTATGAAAAATAAAGTGAACTTATAAATTGTGGTATATTTACAACAACATGAATAAATTGAACTAATATTGCCAGGTACAAAACAATAATACTAAAATAACCCAAAATGAGAAAAGGTAATCTATGATGGTGGAAATTAGATAATGATTACCTGTGGGAAGAAGAAAGATCAAACTGACTGGGAGGTGGGGGATAGATATGAATGAGGCTTCTGGGGTGCTGGTAATATTTTATTTTGAGACTTGGGTGGTGATTACAGGGGGTACTTATTCTGTGATAACTCGTCTAGCTATATACTTCTTTGTATTTTTTTTGTATCTGTGTTGCACATCAGTAAAAGCGTTTATTTTTAATAAGTGCATGGAAGTAATTTGACCTCAGTTGTTATTTAATAATTCCACACGATTCTGCCATTCAAGGCTCACTTGCCAATATGGTTGTGTTTGCAGTGCTGACAGAACTACAGAAAAAGAGAAGGTCCCTAGAGTTTGACCTGAGGCCACTTGGGACTGTTTGGCCTGCAGAGGGAAGGTAATGGTTAGCTATCAAATTAACGTCTATATTTTAAACCTTAACATATAAATTATGCAATATGGCTTAATGGCTTTCCTAAATCAAATGGCATGCAATGGCTTGAAAAAGATACGGATGTTGAATCTGTGTAAAATGCAAATTGCTTGACAGTGTTAAAATACATACAATTTTGCTGTGGCATGAAAAATGTCACCATTTCCCAGAACTAAATAGATGAAAGATGTATGTGATATCAGAGAAATAATTGGGCCCTGGTGGGACTGAGCTATGGACAAGGCAATCAGCCTGCTTCTTAAAATAATTTTCACGTCTCCAAGGTAACATCACATAATCAGTGTTGGTTTTTCCATAGCATGTTTAGTATAGCAAAAGTATAAACAGATTGTTCTGGTTTAAGATGAGACATTTAAAAATCTTAAATTGCTCTCTACTTCTTTAGCTACAAAATCAGAAATTATTAGAATAAAAAGACCGACTTCAGTGGCACATTACCGTTTGGGTCAAGTCATACTGCTCAGCATGAAACACAAAGTTCTGCACCATCTGGTTCTTGCAAACTTCTCCATCATCCCACCTTCCTCTCTTCCCACTTGATCCTCTCCTAACCCATTTTATAGCCTAGCAGTTGCTAACTACTTTTAGTTCCTGCATATTTGCTCCTCCAAACTTCTAGGCTTTGTGCACGCTCTTAACTTTCTGGACTGAAAAGCCCTTCCCTAATTATCTCCCTGGAAAATTCCCATTCATCCTTCAAAAACCACTTCAGTCTCAAAGATTAATCACACTTCATTATAACTGCAAACTATTTCTATGTTTTCATTATTGATCTTATGACACTCTATTTCCCCTCTCTCCTGTGATATGTGGAATTCCTCGAAGATAGGGATAATATTTGATGAATTTCTCTATACCTTGTTCCAATGTCTGGAGCATAGAAAATGCTCAAGAAACAGGAAATGGAAAAATTTGCTCTACCACAAGCAATTTGCCAAATAAGAAATTCAAGTGGCCACCAAGAACATTTAAAATTCTCCAATCTCATTATTATTTAAAAAACTGAAAGCTGAAATAATAATGTACATTATTTTGTTCCTTAAAGTTCCTTTAAAAGTTTCAATTTTTTTAAAATTATAATTCACAGGCTAATGCACTCAGTGGATATTTGTTATCAAGTGCTTCTTTAACGTGTATTAACTTTGACCTATTATGTATGATTAGGTGTCTATTTTCAGGAAACAGTCCAATAATATGGGTCTATATTCAAGCATCAAGATATATTTATAGTGTTCTTTATAATAAAGCAAATGAAACTTAGGCAATGGGCCCAATGGTAAGAAGATATTTACATAATGATGCTACTTCTTTACAATGGAACATTGTGCTTTGCAGAGTGTTTAATGACATGGGAAAATGCTTATAATATACAATTACCCTAAAAGGTAGGATACCAAATACATATTATATACAGCATTAATTCAATTCCATAAAGAAAACTGCCTATTAAAAGGAAAATATACCAAAAATATAGCAGTGGTGGCTCTAGGGAATAAATATTTTTTCTGTTTCCTAGAGAAAGAGAGAAATTCTGTAATAGTCTAGTTATCAGGAGAAAAACTGATCTCCCTGTACCCTCAATTGTGCTTTCTTGTATGTAAGTCAAGAACAAAAAAACCTCTTTTTTATTCAAGTAAACTCTAGATAGGACATGGCTGATTATAAATAATTTTGAAATTTAAAAAAAAATTTAACTAGTTTTATATTACTCTCCAGTGACTAGATAACTAAAATTTGTTGCTAAAAGGTAGCGCATTTCCAAGAGAAGGGAAGAAAGGGAATCCTCAAATGTTTCTTGCGAATTGGAACTAGGCAGCGGGCCAAACCCTCTCACATATTTCCTTAGTTAACCATCACGGCAATACTACAGAGAAGATATTATTATCCACAAGTTGGTGGCTTGTCCAAAGTCACTCTAGTGTGTGACAGGGTTGGATTTTGGTCCCGAAACTATCTGCCAAAGAAATTCACATTTTTTATATTTGTGATTACCTCTTTAAGCAAAATAACAGTTCTGCACAGCCTGCTTTAATGGAGATAAAAATCGTTTGTATTGATTTATGCAATTTGCTTAAAGTTTTTAATTAAATAAATTAAGTTGGCTCTTAGGATCGTAATTTACACAAACAGCAAGAAACAAACACCTTGAAAGCAGTGTTACAGGTGTTAGGAGTTTTCATCCTGATCCCAGCACCAGGTCAGAAGCAACTGTAGGAGCTCAGTAAGAGCTTGCTGAATTGAATTAATTAGATTCTTCAGCAGGAACTTAAATCTTTCCAAGACCAAGTTATCCCAAATTTCAAATTAGGTCAAACTAAATAAATGAGGTTTCACTGTGTTTCCTCACGTACACTTTTGTATGCACTTTTCCTAACCTTGAGAGTTAGTAGGTTTTACTGTCAGAAGACATGTCTCCCTTAAGATTTCAGTGCAGAGATTAAAACCCTTCTTTTTCTATTTTTCTATTTAAACCCCCTCTATTTCTATTTTTCTGTATTTTTCATAGATCTTTTTCTAGATCTATGAAAAATACATCTTATTTTAGCAGCAAAGATTAAGGGCTATTGCCTTCTGTCTCTTCTAGAAACACTTCATTGATTTTGTGGCCATTACCACAAACGTTATCTTGTCAGGGGCCCCCCAGAACTGACGAAGATTTCAAAGAAACAATTCTAGATAAATGTGAGCTTTGAGTAATTGCCTCTTTGAGTCAGTTTTGGGTTCTGTGCTGCTTTTGATGAAGATTATTAAAATTAAAGCATTGCTGAAGATAAGATTTGGTGGCCAAGTTCTCTTCAGAATCATTAGTTACTTCATTTCTCTAGGAAAACAAAGCTTTAAGGAATATTTCTAAATGGGAAAGGGGAAATGGCATGTTTTGAGCTTCCACTCTGAACTGGGCACTGTGCATACATTATTGCATCTGGAATTACAAAAACCCCTATGAGGTAGACACCCCTTTTCTCACATTGCAGATAAATAAATAGATTCTAAATGTTAAAACAATCACTCAAGGATTCACAGCTGATAAAAGGTTGAACAGGGTTTCTGAGAGGTTTCTTTGTTCTTAGATACCTTCTCTGCCTCTCCCTGTCCTGCTCTCCATTGTAGGAACTATAATTCCCAGGTTCCTTTGTGGGTTCCAAGGGGTAGGAGGGTTGGGACCTAGAGGAGACTGGAGGCAAGAAGACAAGATAAGCTATTCCTCCCACTTTTTGCTTTGCCTGGGCTAACCTTTCCAGAAGCAGCTCCAGCTGCTTCCTGGCTCCAGGTCTAATTGGTCTAGCTATAGTTCTAGCTCCCATTAGATGGTCTCAGCTTCAGGGCTCTGATAATCCACCTCCTTCTTGCCGCATATGCCTAGAACTTATCATAGCTCCTTGTTCTTGATAATCTCTGAATTGCCCATACCTGCCTTCTTTTCCATCAGCTCCCTCAGCCCTTTCATCAATGGTGTAAACAATTTTCTGCATTACAATAATTTAGAATTAAAAATAGGTAAGAAAAAAGAAAACACCTTGACTGGTTTCTCTGTTCTGACTGATCCTGACTGATAAAGATTCAGATACAAGTCTGTTTGATTCTCATGCCTAGCCCTTTCTATTGGTTCATGATAGCACACTGCCAAAAAAATGGTGATAGGTTTTTTAAAGCATGAATGTGTACTCACACTTTAACATATGACAGGAATTTCTGTCTCTGACTCCATTTCATGTGTCCCCTAACCACATGGTGTCTTGTCACTTGATGCATTTCTTTTCTTCTTCTTTTCTTTTTTTGAACTGGAAACTATTATTAATACAGCTATGTTCAAAACATGTTTGTGTATAAGTTAGTTCCTGTGGCGTGGGCTAAATTTTGGCAGAGAAGCATAGCAGTCCAAAATGTATGCCACAAAATCATGGATTTTAGTGTTTTATTAAGATTCATTTCCCTTTGGCCACCAGTCCTATAATTTGTCATACTGTCAGCTGCTGAACCTGAAGCTTTTGCTACATATTGTGAAAAGGAAGAAGACTCAACATTCATAATTGTCTGACCCACACGCAGTCTAAAACTATTTTCTCCAAGCTATAGAAAACTTTCAGGTATGTAAAGCTGCTCCAGTTTCCTGAAACAGATGGGATATTATAACCAACTTGTTAAATAAGCTGGACTCATGGGGGTACCAGTAAAAACCAACCTTATTTTTCCCCCTTTTCCTTCAAAATCACTCACCAGTCTGATTGTTCCCCACTCTTAGGACAATATGTCCTGCAAGTCCCATAGCTTTTTTAGTCACTCTTCTATGATAGAAAGATGCTTCCTTTACTTTTGTACTAAAAAGCCCAATCTGCTCCACTCTAATCATCACAAAATGCTTCCATTCATTAACTTAACAAATATTTACGGAACACCTATTTACCTGTCAGTATTCTAGGTTCTGGTGTTGCAGTAGTAAATAAATCAGACATAAAACCTTACTTTCATGGAGTTCAAAGTCTGGTGGGGAAACGGCAAATCTGACAAGTAAGCAAAATAGATAGAATATTAGTGATGTGATAAGTGCTCAGGGGACTGAATTTTAGATAGCTTGAGGAGGAAAGACCTCATTGAGAAGGGGACCTTTCATAGTTTCCAATACTTCACTCTCAGTTGATGACCTTGCTTTCTATTTTCCTGAGAAAATTGAAGCAGCCAGAAGATAACTTCCACAAGCTTCTACCACTACGTCTACCTATCAACATCTGTGCCACATACTCTGCCTTCTCTCCTGTGAATTTCGAAGAAATCTCCATGCTCTTAGATAAATCCAACCCCTCCACTTGCGTGCCAGATCCAATCACCTCTTGGTTACTCAAAAGGATTACTTCAGTCACTATTCTCTTTCTTTCCTGTGTCATCAATTTTCTCTTGCTCAGTGGCATGTAAACATCTCTTATCTTAAAAATCCTCCTAGAGTTCACTTCTATCTCCAGCATCTACCCTATTTTTCTTTTTTCTTTTTGTTTTTGAGACAGAGTCTCACTCTGTCACCCAGCCTGGAGTGCAGTGGCATGATCTCAGCTCACTGCAACCTCCACCTCCCAGGTTCAAGTGATTCTCCTGCCTCAGACTCCTGAGTAGCTGGGACTACAGGTACATGCCACCACTTCTGGCTAATTTTTGTAATTTTAGTAGAGAAGGGGTTTCACCATATTGGTCAGGCTGGTCTCGAACTCCTAACTGTAGATGATCCACCCGCCTCGGCCTCCCAGACTGCTGGGATTACAGGCATCAGCCACTGCGCCCGGCCTTCTCTGTTTCTTTTAGAGAAAAACTCCCCTCCTTGCCTATATTCTCTACCCTCAACTACTCTCCTCTGCTTCTCTTTACAGCCCAATCATACCTGGGTTTTGTGCCCACCACTTTACAGAAATGGAAAGGTCACCAACAACCTTCATGTTGTTAAGTATAGTGGTTAGTTTTCCATCCTCATCTTACTTCCCCTTCACCACTGTGTCACAGAGGCCATCAGTCAGCCTCCTTGGTGCTCTCCTCACTTGGCTTCCAGGACCCCATTCTAGTCCGGGTTTTTCTCCATCTCTCTGCAAGCTCCTTCTCAGTCTCCTCTGTTGTTTTTGCCTCATCTTTCCATCCTCTAAACATTGGAAGGCCCCCGGTCTCAGTCTTTGAATCTCTCCTTTTTTTCCTTTCTATTTTTTCCTTGTGATCTCATCCAACCTCATGGGTTTTGATACCACTAATACTCTAAAGACTATTCTAAAGACTTCCAAATATATACTGCCAGCCTTAAATTACATTCATGAATCACCATCTACTCATCTACTCAGTATTTCCACCCAGATATCTCTAACATAACATGTCAATATCAGAGGTCCCTCACCTCTCGCAAAATGTTCCTGTTAAAGTTTTCTTCCCTCCAACTACAGGCCTTTTCCAAGACTGAGCTGGGCAAGGAGGAGTGGGAAGGTGGCAGAAAAAATCTTCCTCAACCATCATGTACAACATTTGGTACAACATTTTATGATGCATTTTCAAAAAGAAATCATCAGAGGGTAGAAGATGATAAACAGAGAAACCAGTCAAGAAGTTATTTCAATAACTATGTGAAGAACTAAGGAATATGGGTAGGACAGAAAAAAGTGAACAGGATGGTGAAGGTTTCAGGCAGTAAATTCTCTGGGACTTGGTGATTAATTGGATGTAAGAATGAAGGAGCGGGAAATGTCACGATGATTTCATGTCTGACTTAGAAGTCTGGGTAGATATTGGTGACACTGAGATAAGGGGCATATGGAAAGTGTACAATTTTGGAGAAAGGGGAATAAGAGATTCAATTTCAGCCATACTAAAAGCTCATGCCTACCAGATATTAAGTAGAAACTGGATAAAGTGTCTATATAATTTAAGTACAGATGATTTTTTAAATGTGAAATGGAGTATATGAGAATATGCTCATATACTCTAGGGTACTCCTATATACACATAGAGTATGTGAGAAAATTAGTGTGTACACTAATATGGCCAAAGGCCTGAATTTTGCATTGAACCAAACTAAAGGACCAACAAACACAGAGTGCCTTTGTTTTCCACTCCTGATGGAAGACACACCCTTGACACAAAACAACACATGCCATTCGTAAAACGTTGTCTTTATGGGACTGGGGGAAAAGGAAGTGGGCTGGTTTGTACAATATTCTGTTGTGAAAATGATGTATGGTGGTCTACCCACGGTTATAACTATTGAACACTGATACAAAGTTTCATGCCCCTCTGTAATTCAAACCTTTGCATAAACCTGACACCTTCTCTTTGTAAATTCCACCCACTGCAACCTCATCTCCCCCAACTGACTCCCGACGATAACAGTATGTATTTAGGGCAACATGTCTTCAAGACAACAGAAGTTTTGGGGGTTTTAGGGCCAGTGAAACCACAGGGAGGCTGAGCTGGAGACAGTTTTGCATCATGAATCATTACCAAAATTGTGAGCTGAATTCTGATTGCAAAACCTTTATTACTGTGATGTTACAATAATCCAAAAGAACACAGCTGGATTTTCAGATGACAGGTGGAGCATACAATTTCTGGCTGAAGACAACTCAATTTTGCAGTTATAAATTGTGTAAATTTGACGTGGACATCACCGAAAGGGGATATGTGTGGAACCCCACAAGGTTATTATTACAGTGACTCTTTCTGGCAGTAGACTCACTTTTGATTAGAATTTAGGAACATATGGAAACCCTCTATAGGGGGTCATCCCCAAACAGAAACTTTCTGAAATTTAATTAGCTTAAATTTACTGAAAGCTTGGGTTTTAATTTTATGGTAAACAACAGCAGCATCAAAACTCTCTATAATTTGGCTGCAGCCTCCATTTCCAATCTTAGCTTTGTACTTTCCTTCCTCAAATTCACACTTCAACCAAAGTGTTCTATCTACTGCCCTCTGACCCTGGAGGGCATTTTTCTCACCCTGCTCTGTCTTTTCTCCTCTCCTGTGCCTTTTGAAATCCAGCTCAATGTCCAGATTCTTCCATAAAACCCTTCTTGACCCCTATATCTTAAAGTGATTTTTACCTCTTCTGAATTTCTACAGCAAATAGCACAAATATGGGAAAGCTTTTTAAACTTGAAGTTTTTTAAACATTAAGCAAATATTTGAAATATTATGACAATATCTCATAATTGGATTGGAAAGTGTTTTCAGTTGATGAACTTTTATTCACCCTACATTTTTGGGTCTATCAAGACTACCCTCAGCTTTTATGATGTGCTGGAAGAACTCACAGAACCCAGAAAAGTGTTATAGTCATGGTTGTGGCTTTCTGAAGTGAAAAGATACAAATCAGCAAAAGCAAAAGACACATAGGGCAGAGTCCAGGAGAAACCAGGTATGAGAGTCTATTTATTCTCTACCAGTGGAGTAGTATAGACAGTACTTAATTCTCCCAGCAACAATGTATGACAACCTATGCAATATATTGCCAAACAGAGAAGCTCACTAGAGCCTTAGTAGCTGTATTAGGGTTATCTAGAGGGACAGAACTAATGGGAGATTATATATATATGAGTTTGTTAAGTATTAACTCACACAATCACAAGGTCTCACAATAGGCCTTCTACAGGCTGAGGAGCAAGGAGAGCCAGTTCAAGTTCCAAAACTGAAGAACTTGGAGTCTGATGTTCGAGGGCAGGAAGCATCCAGCATGGGAGAAAGATGTAGGGTGGGAGGCTAGGCCAGTCTTTCTTTTCACATTTTTCTGCCTGCTTATATATTTTTTTTTTCTTTCTTTCTTTTTTTTTGAGACACAGAGTCTCGCTCTGTTGCCCAAGCTGGACTGTGGACTGCAGTGGTGTGATGTCGGCTCACTGCAACCTCTGCCTCCCGGGTTCAAGCAATTCTCCTGCCTCAGCCTCCCAAGTAGCTGGGACTACAGGAGTGTACTGCCATGCCCAGCTAATTTTTGTATTTTTAGTAAACACGGGCTTTCACTATGTTGGCCAGGATGGTCTTGATCTCCTGACCTCGTGGGTGCCTGCCTCTGCCTCCCAAAGTGCTGGGATTACAGGTGTGAGCCACCGTGCCCAGCCTCTGCCTGCTTATATTCTAGCCTCGCTGGCAGCTGATTAGATTGTGCCCACACAGATTAAAGGTGGGTCTGCCTTTCCCAGCCCACTGACTCAAATGTTAAGCTCCTTAGGCAACACCCTCACAGACACACCCAGGATCAATACTTTGTATCCTTCAGTGGGATCAAGTTGACACTCAGTATTCACCATCACAGTATCAAAGGGATTTTTTGGTGTGGTCAGTCACTGAGGTATGGAGTCCCTACATGCACCTACATGACTGAATAGCTAGAGTCAATCATGTAGGTGCTGCACTCCATACCCACCTGACTCACCCTAGGTATTCAGTCTCCAATTTTCTCCCCACTTCCAGAGGTCAAACTGATAAACAGTGGGCCCCAGGGTCAAAGGAGGGAAAAAAAAAAAAAAAGCCCGTTCCATCCCAATCATTGTAAACAGGCGGAGGCTGGGCGGGGTGGGAATGGGGTGCTGGAGGCCGGCCTGGGGCACAGCGCAGGAGGCAGCTACAGTGGCTGCAGCAGCAGCAGCCTGAGTGCCAGGAGGCGGCAGCCGTGGCAGCGGGGCAGTCGGTTGCATGGTGGCAGGCACAGGTGTAATGGAGAGGTAACAGAGAAGACCTCCTCCCTTCCTAGTCAGGGCATTAGCAAGACTGAATGCTTCCTGCCCCCACCAGCAGCGCCAGTGAACACCGCAGGATGGAGCATGGCAGCGGGCTTACCCAGACCCCCAGCTCTGAAGAGATCAGTCCTACTAAGTTTCCTGGACTGTACCGCACTGGCCAGCCCTCACGTCCCCATGGCATCCTCCATAAGCCTCCTGATATAGTGCCTGATGATGAGAAAGACCATGGGAAGAAAAAAGGAAAATTTAAGAAAAAGGAAAAGAGGACTGACGGCTATGCAGCCTTTCAGGAATATAGCTCTGGAGATGAGGCAGAAAGTCCTTCCAAAATGAAGAGGCTCAAGGGAATCCATGTTTTCAAGAAGCCCAGCTTTTCTAAAAAGAAAGAGAAGGATTTTAAAATAAAACAGAAACCCAAAGAAGAAAAGCATAAAGAAGAAAAGCACAAAGAAGAAAAACATAAAGAGAAGAAGTCAAAAGACCTGACAGAAGCTGATGTTGTTAAACAGTGGAAGGAAAAGAAGAAAAAGAAAAACCAATTCAGGAGCCAGAGGTGCCTCAGATTGATGTTCCAAATCTCAAACCCATTTTTGGAATTCCTTTGGCTGATGCAGTAGAGAGGACCATGATGTATGATGGCATTCGGCTGCCGGCCATTTTCTGTGAATGTATAGATCACTTAGAGAAGTATGGCATGATGCGAAGGCATCTACAGAGTATCAGGAATTGAATCAAAGGTGGATGAGCTAAAAGCAGCCTATGACCGGAAGGAGTCTACCAACTTGGAAGAATATGAGCTTAACACTGTAGCCAGTTTGCTGAAGCAGTATTTGTGAGACCTTCCAGAGAATTTGGTTACCAAAGAGCTTATGCCGAGATTTGAAGAAGCTTGTGGGAGGACCACGGAGACTGAGAAAGTGCAGGAATTCCAGCGTTTACTCAAAGAACTGCCAGAATGTAACTATCTTCTGATTTCTTGGCTCATTGTGCACATGGACCATGTCATTGCAAATGAACTGGAAACAAAAATGAATAAACAGAACATTTCTATAGTGCTCAACCCAACTGTGCAGATCAGCAATTGAGTCCTGTATGTGTTTTTCACACATGCGCAAGAACTCTTTGGAAATGTTGTACTAAAGCAAGCGACGAAACCTCTGCGATGGTCTAACATGGCCACGATGCCCACGCTGCCAGAGACCCAGGCAGGTATCAAGGAGGAGATCAGGAGACAGGGTTTTCTTTTGAATTGTTTACATCGATATCTGCAGTGTGGGATAAAGGATTTATCTAAAGAAGAAAGATTATGGAAAGTCCAAAGAATTTTGACAGCCCTCAAAAGAAAACTGAGAGACGCTTAAAGACAGGAGTGTGAAACCAAGATTACACAAAAGATAGCCAGTCTTTTAAAAGAGGATGTTTCCAAAGAAGAGATGAATGAAAATGAAGAAGTTATAAATATTCTCCTTGCTTGGGAGAATGAGATCCTGACTGAATAGGAGGAGCTCCTGACCATGGAGCAGTTTCTATGCCGGCAGACTTCCTCAGAAAAAGAAGAGATGGGATGCCTCAGAGCCGAGATTGCTGAAATTCAGAGTCACCAGCAGCACGGCCGAAGTGAGACTGAGGAGTACTCCTCCGAGAGCGAGAGTGAGGATGAGGAGGAGCTGCAGATTATTCTGGAATATTTACAGAGACAGAACGAAGAGCTGGAAATAAAGAGCAATCATTTGAATCAAGCAGTTCAAGAGGAGCGCGAGGTCATCATCGAGCTGCGCGTACAGTTCCGGCTGCTCCAGATGGAGGGAACCAAGGCTGAGCAGCAGGTGCAGGAGGACCAGGAGCCTGAGTGGCGCGGTGGTGCCGTCCAGTCGCCCAGAGACTGTGTCCTCAGGCCAAAAGAAGCTAAAGAGCAGCCAAAGGCAGGCAAAGAGCCGGTGAAGCCATCACCCAGCAGGGACAGGAAGGAGACGTCCATCTGAGCAGCCCGCGCGGCCGTCTGGAGTCCGCGAGACTGAAAGGACCTGTGCATCTTACTGTAACCAGGGGGCCAGGCCGGCTTTCTTGCTGTACATTCTGTAAAGGTGTCTTCTCTTCTCAGACTCTTCCTCTGTCACCCGTCTGACTCCTTTGCGTCAGGCTCAGGTTCCATTAAGAGAACGAAGCAGTGGATGCATTGTGGGCTTTAGGGACAGATGAGTTTTCCAGATAGTGTCACCTTATTTAAAGATTAATTTTCTTTGTTAACTTAAAATAACTATTTTAACCCTCGAGTGGCTTCTTTTTAAACCATAAATCGTCTTGCTTTGCTTTTTTATCACAGCAGAATCAGGATCTCTTTCTCATTCAAGGGGGGAACCACACCAGGTCAGCGCTGCACCTGCTGTGGCCGCTGTGAGCTGCACCCTCTGGGATCTCTGGTACCTTCACACTTGCTTGTGCCTTCCACACCTTCTTGGTGCAGATCCCTGTGGGGGAGCTGCCTCATGTTCTCTGGCCAGAGTGGCGCCTGGTGTGTGTTCCCTGGCCCACCCTCCTAACTCTCTCCTTCTGCAGTTCTAAACCACAGTTGATAAGCCCTAGTCACCAGGATGGCCTAGTCTGGCCACAGACAGAGGCTGCCTGTGGAGCCTGTCCACCCACCCCGGGCAGTGCAGGCCGGCAGGGAGGAGGCCGCCTCTTCCCACCAGTTCCTCACCGCGGGGACCAGCAAAGGCCTTCTCACTGGGTTGGCAGAGGTAGTCACCTTGGCCTGGTGCATCCACAGAGGATGTTGCTCAAACTAGAAATCTTTTAAACAACTGGCCTTCCTTAAAAACAGAATGACTCCGATTGCTTGCTTGGGCTAGAATGTACACGTGTCCTTGCCTGAATAAGCCATATATATGCTTTTAAACAAAAGTATGAAATTACCCATATTGTCTCAGTGAATCTGCTGGTGGACTCCCAATTGACAAGACTGAGCAATAAAAAAAATTTTCTTTCGTTTGAGTGATAGCTGTGACTCACCCCACCCCACTTTCTTGTTTCTGGTCCATCTGATGAGATGGATGCTTTGAGGCTTCTGAGAAGCCAGACCCTGGAGGCAACATGCTGCAGTCACACCCTGTTGAGTGAAGAGCACTGCAAGACAGGCCAGGCTCATGGCTTGGAAGACAAACCCCACACGCACTTAAGAGGACGAAAACAAACCCCATAGGAAGGCCCTCTCCTCCTCCTCTTAGGTAGTATTTATTTTCAGCACCTGTTTGATGTAGTTTTTAAACCTCTACCTATTGTACTGTTGTGACTCACTGGCCATTGTTTGATTTTTTTACGAAAAAAATCTTTGTTATAGAAATCAGCATACCATTTTTTTTTAAATCTGGAGAGAAGATATTCTGGTGACTGAAAGTATGGTCAGGTGTCAGATATAAATGTGCAAATGCCTTCTTGCTGCCCTGTCAGTCTCAGTACATTCACTTTATAGCTGCTGGCAATATTGAAGGTTCCTTTTTTGTTTGTATAAACTCTAATTTCTATCAAGGTGTCATGGATTTTTAAAATTAGTATTTCATTACAAATGTCTCAGCATTGGTTAACTAATTTTTGGCAGGACCATTATTGATCAAGCAAATAAATTCAACAGCCACTTGGGAAAAAGAAAAAGAAAAAAAAAAACAGATATTCATCACAAATCTCATTGTTAGCATAAACTCTCTGGCGTGGTTCAAGGTCTCCTGTATATAAAGACACTCTTATCAGACAAGATAGTCCAAAGCCTCAGAGTTTATCTTCCAGGAACCAGTTGAGGGACAGTGTTTTCTTTAAAATGTGAAGGGTTGGAGTACCACAAGCCTGCTGACTTAACCCCTTTAATGCCTCCATTGTGTCATGATATTTAACTGTCCAACCATATTTTATGATCCTTGGGTATCAGTGTAGAGCATGGCTGACACTGATTTTTTATTTTTATTTTTAGTTATTATGCAATATATATTTGAGTTAATTTTTATTTTTAGTTATTTTTAGTTATGCAATATATGAGTTATTTGCATTATTATGTGTCTTCTATTCATCATACGTCATATACTAAATACATTGTTCAACTTTTGTTATAGTTTTTCTCTGCAGAGTAACATAAAGAATATCAATTCTTGGCCAAATTCTCATCTGTGTTACAGTGACATATTTTCATAGATATTTCATCTAAGATTGTGCAGCTAGAGCTATAGAGTGACATTTTTGAAGAGAAAGTGGGGATATGAAATATGTACAATGCCCATTTGCACTGTGAAACTAGAAAAAATAAATTTGAAACCTCAGCTGTTTCTGAGGCCTGATGAGTCCCCCAACTATTTTGAATAAATTAACTTATTAGGTTGAATGTTGCATCTGTTTTGTGTCAAGTGGAAATGTGTAAAACAAAAAACTCACTCCCATTTTAAGCAGCCAATTAATATTTTTAAAGTAAGAAGAAACCCAGAATGAGCAGTTTTGTAGATATAAATATACAATACACCTTGACTATCAAACCAGTATCAAAGCTGAAGAGCGTCTGGAGTGAAGAGCAGACTAGTGTCATGATACAAGCATGGGACTCAGTGTCAGGACTCCTGCTATGGCAGGGACGATGTTGTGTGTTCACATCTGTAGGAAGAAGACCACATTTTCCCTGCTGTCCTGATAGTTAAGAATTTTTTTTTTTTTGAGATGGAGTCTCACTCTGTCGTCCAGGCTGGAGTGCAATGGTGCAGTCTCGGCTCACAGCAACCTCCATCTCCCAGGTTCAAGCAATTCTCATGCCTCAGCCTCCCAAAGTAGCTGGGATTACAGGTGTGTGCCACCATGCCCACTAATTTTTGTAGAGACAGGGTTTCACCATGTTGGCCAGGCTGATCTTGAACTCCTGACCTCAGGTGATCCACCCACCTCAGCCTCCCAAAGTGCTGGGATTACAGGTGTGAGCCACTGTGCCCACCCAAGATCATTTGGTTAATTCTTTCCAGTAGAAGCTAATGCATCACTTCCATCTGAGGCAGTTTAAAGCAGGTGGAGAATAAATACCCATGTTCCATAGGGTAGGACTGCCTGACCCCTACTAGACTTCATAAAGAAACAAACAAACCTTTGTTGTATTAAAGCCACCGAGATGTCAGGCTGTTTGTTACTGCAGCCTGGCTTATCCTAGCCTGGCTGTTGTACCTGGGTCATACCTCCAACTCTCCTGTTAGCGGTATAACCAAAGGCACGATACTTTGGCTCTTTAGCTTTTAGTTTACTGAAATTAAAAATGCAGTTTAGGCTAGTTCTCTGTACATTTCCTCTTAACTATAAACGCTCATGCAGTTGGTTAAAAGCAGGAGCCCTGTAGGTTTTTTTCCAGGATATGTCGCTTATTGTCTGTGATGTTAACCTCAATTTTCCTTATCTATAAAGTAAGGATATTAATACCCGATACAGAGCATCATTTTTAAAATTACACACAAATTACATTTTCCTGGCATATTAAAAGAGTTCTAAAAGCGAAAAATAATTATATCCATGATAATAAGTATGCTGTTAAAAAAAGTTCACAGATGAACCATAAATTTTGTTTTCTAAACATCCTTGACTCAACAATGGCATTGCTAATTGAAGTAAGTGCCTATTTACATCTCTCATTCTTAAACTTTTTCCTAACAAAGAAAAGGTAAAAAAGTTGGCCCTTACATTATGGTCCTGCAGTCTTGTTTGTGACAACAAAACATAATAAAACATAGTTCACCATAGTTCATGAAACTCTCAGAGCATGAAGCAAAAAGCAAAGAGTGCTCTGCGAAGGTGTTCCATAGTGTCAGCACTGACTTTGATGATAAGGAAAGAAAGAAAAAAAAAAAGTGTTATATTTCCCCAGAGTGCTACTCCCAACTGTGAGACAAAGTCATTTTGAATTTCCTTGAATCTGTATCTAAAAGTGCCTGTTTTCTATCTGAAGAGGATGCTTATTGTATCTTTGAGGCAAACAGATAAATATTTACATAAAAATTGTGTATTACAACTACTTTCAAAAACATTTGAATGATGAATAGACAGTGTGCAAGGTGATCTGTGGTCTACTGGGCATTGTTGCCAGCCCCTCTCCACACTGCCTCTACATCACAGTAAAAAGTCAGAAAAGTCAGAACTGTGTTTCCCAGAATCCTGAACCATCTGAGTAAAATTCTGATGAAGAGAAGCACTACGGCTTATTTGGAAGGTGAAAGGGAAGAAGCCAGTAGTCTCTAGTGGCAGCATGAGCAGATGCAGGAAGCTAGCAGAGGCCTCTGGACAAACTTCTGAGAATCATTCACTATGAGACCCCAGTGGACATACTTATTCATATCTATTTTTCAAACTGAAACTTGACGAATATAGGTGGTATTAGTAATATAGGGAAGTACCTAAGATTTTCCTAGTACTATTTACAACAGTAGATTAGGAATAAAAAAATTAAAACCTATTAAAAGATCAGCAAATTTTTTAATCGTTCTCTTAAAATGTATTTCAAATTGTACTCAAGAACTTTTATTACAATTTAATTCTCTTTCAATGATATATGACATTCTTTATCTTTCTTTCTCTTTAAGCCTAGTGTTATTTTTGTACTATTATAAAATCTCATAAAATGAAACTGGAAATAATGAATACCCACCAACAGGAAATTTAAATTATCTTTTACAATTGTATTTGACCTGTCTTTACAGATTCTTAAAGGTCCTTTAGTAGAGATGGGATATCATAGAGACTAATTTTTCGAGTATTTTCCCAAGGTCCCTTAGATCTTCGAATTAAATCAAGAAACATGTATTGAGCACCTATATTATCTGTGTACTCTAGAAACTTAAAATGCAGTTGGCAAGACAAATACAATCAAAGAAATGTAGGAAACAATAACATAGATTTAACTAATACTTTAAGGCAACAGTAGACGAAGTGTTGCAAAGTAATGGATGATTCATTGCTCACATTATTTACCAAAAGACTCAGAGAAGCTGTATAATCCTCCCATGAACACTTCCCCAGCCTTAATATCATCAGCTCTAAATATCTGATGGCCTATTTTTAAAAATTCTGTTCAGTATTTTGGCACAGGATACCAAAGCCCATCATGCTGGAAGATGCAAAGGCTTATAGCATAATTGTTAGTTAATGACATAATCAATTTTTTCTTGCCCAGCTTTCCTCCCTTTCCGCACCTTTTTCATTAAGGTGAACTGCAGGATCTCCAGTTCTTATTTAGTTGTTAATTACAGGCAAAGAAAGGACAGGAAGGAAACCTCAGTTATAAACATAGAAGGAAATTAATTTGATTACATTAGTTTGAGTGTCTTATAGTTCATGAGAAACCATGACTGAGGAGCCATTCTAAAAATTATCTTCAGCTGGTGTGAGATGTTACTAGGAAAGGTCTCCAGGCTTGACAATGAGCTATATATCAATGACAAATTAAGTCAAGATTGTTCAAGACCCAGAAACCACCTACCTGTTAATATCCTCTTTTGTGGTTAATTCCTCTTTTACCTTTCATGCTTCTATTTTGGACTTTGGTGGTGAGCCTTGACTTTATGGACAAAACTTCACCCATTAGTGGACTGCGGACACCACTCTCATTACATCATAGTCTGAGAGAAAGGGTCAAATTAAAAGAGGAGGAAAATAAAGAAGGCTGCAAAATCTGCTCTGGTTACACCAACTCACTTGACCTCCCTTTTTCCATATACTCAAGGCATTTTTTATCTATTATCTATCATATATCTATTTATCTCTTTTAAACCTTAATGATAGGAAGTATGCTTATAATTGAGTATAGGACAAGCATGTAAGTCCCTTGAGATCTCCCCAGTTCTGTATTCCTTCCACTTGCTAGTTCTATTCTTAATTTCCAAAATTAATCCAAATTTCAGGAAGGAGGGAATTTAACTCAATGCCAACCCTCTGGGGCTTGCTATCTGGGAAGTAAATAGTTAAAATAGAAGATTTTCAAGTCATTCTCTCCCATCTACAGGACACCTCCAGGGGGAAAAGGACAAAAGCTGACCTGGTCAAATAGCCATGTAAATAAGCTAAGGATAATACCTCATAGCAGACAAAATAATGAGTATTTGCTAACAGCAGTCCTCATCTATAGCAGGATATACCTGCTATAAGACTATTTACGGTAAGCATACCTGGAATCTATGGATTTACAGACATGGGATCCCGGAAAATGTCATATAAAGTATGTAACTGAGTATAAAGTAGAGATGTTTCATGATCCAAACAGCTGTTCCTCCATAAATTTCTTAATTGCATAACTCATTAGAGATCTTATATATTAATCTGGGCCCTGAGCCCATCCTGATGCAGCAAGAAAAGAACCTTGTAAGGTTCACTGACTATTCCAGATTTCTCCTGCTTCACTATGACTCATGATAATTTGTATCCCTGAAATCATGAATAAAGCTTGTTCCTAGGCAAAATCTCAGATTCATGTGGGTCTTTATAACCCAATTCTTTGTATTATGTCACCACCCAATCATACTTATCACTTTTTTAACTGCAGTCTTGGTCCCTCCTTGAAGAAAAATCTTCTACTTAATTCTCAGGATTTAGTCCCTTCTCTATATTCCAGTTCTGCTAACTAGCTCTCCTGTTCTCTGTTGGCTGAAACTCTTAATGAACATGTTGAGGATCTCAGACTGTGTAGGACTAAGGCCTGCATTTTTCATGCCCATCTCTACCAGGGACCTGAGTCTTGTCTTGAGGCCTAGTACAATGACTGTTGACTTTTGTGTCTGTGGAAAGATCTGACTGGCTTGAATTACAGGCTTGGCTCTAAACATAGCATCCATTCCCAGAGTTTGTAGGCTCTGCCCTCTCTTTTGTATCCCAAGTTTTACCCACATCGAATCCCTTATACATTGCATTCTCCAGAGGACTTTGGAGAACTGTGGTGCCACGTTCTGGTGTCTCCTCAACAGCTGTGGATGGCCTTCTCTCTACCTCACTGCTAAGAGTAATTTTAGGTTTGTCCTTTCTTATTCTGCCTCTGCCATGCCCTAATATGGGACACAGACTGTATCTAATCATTAATTAATATCTCACCTCATTCATAAAACACAATACTCAATAATTGTCTGTGCACAGACAGCAGATAAAGAATCCATATAATGACTATAAATTACTTACTTATACTCTGTGTGCATCAGGCACAGTGTAAGAACATTGTTGTACACAATTTTAAATCTTCAACAAATATATTGAAAATGCACCATCATTTTAGTAACGAAGAAAATGAGACTTACAAACATAGTTTTATTCAACTGCATATTGAGAATTCAACAGAAACAAGCAATGATCTGATTTAGGGCATAAAGAAAGATGCTGCAGTGCTCCTGGAGTCCAGCAGCAATAGAGAAAAGAAAAGCATGTGACAGAAATCATGTCATATCAATTTTTTTCCTACTTCATCTAAATTCATTGTGAAGAGCTTCTCACCATTGTTCAAACTGCTTTGTTTTCTCTTCACTTTTTTGTAAGACATAACGAAAAAAATTAATTTAATCATTGGCTACGTGGTTTTCATTTGGAAGGTACAAATTAGACGTCACATAGCTCAAGACCCACCTTAAGAAAATTATTTACATTTATTTACCCTGTAGTCCTTTCAGTAATGGGTTTGCACTTCTACGCATAACCTAATTCATAGGCTACTCAAGTGAGAAGTTTTATTTTTACACTTAGCCACTGAAGAGAGAGCAAACTTGACAGAACTATCTTTAAAAATGAAAATGAAAATGTACTGATCATTAGTCAAACAAAAACATGACCTTTTAAGCAGACAAATGTAGAAATACATCTACCCAAATCCTTCTGGGGCCTTCAGCAACCTCAGAAGATTACTTATGTCCCTAGACAACATATTTTTGCACCAGATCTTAATCCTCTGAATGATCTCTGTCTGTATTTCAGTGCCCAGGAAATACACAGTAGGTGCTTATTAAATGTTTCTTAAAAAATACTTTTCAACTAAATTTAAAACATATCTTTTGCCTGCAGAAGAGGAAAGGAAAAGGGTGGAACAGTCAGAGCAGCAATAAAGGTAAGAAATGAACTCTTATAATTTCTCTTTTATTCTGAGTTCCTGTATCAACTATTAGGAACAATTCATTTATTCAACAAACATTTTTTAATATCTGCTTATGTGTTCAGAGGGCAATAAGAGGTGACAGGACAGACACTGATCTCTGTCCTTTTGAAACTACTGTGTACTGGGGGAAACAGCAAACTATGATGAAGATTGAGAAGGAAAAGTTCTTTTAATTGTGATGTTAGGGTGCCGATTTTAGATCTTTCCCACTTTCTGATGTGGGTTATAAATTTAAGGCTATAAATTTCCCTCTAAACACTGCTTTAGCTGTGTCCCACAGATTCTGGCACGTTGTGTCTTTGTTCTCATTGGTTTCAAAGAACTTATGTATTTCTGCCTTAATTTCAAGGATTATATATCACTCTACTACAAAGACACATGCACACACGTTTATTGCAGCACTGTTTACAATAGCAAAGACTTGGAACCAACCCAAATGCCTATCAATGATATACTGGATAAAGAAAATGTGGCACATATACACCATGGAATACTATGCAGCTATAAAAAATGAGTTCATGTCCTTTGCAAGGACATGGATGAAGCTAGAAACCATCATTCTCAGCAAACTAACACAGGAACAGAAAACCAAACACCGCATGTTCTCACTCATAAGTGGGAGTTGAAAAATGAGAACATACAGACACAGGAAGGGGAACATCACACGCCAGGGCCTGCTGCAGAGTGGGAAGGTAAGGGGAGGGATAGCACTAGGATAAATACCTAATGCATGCGGGGCTTAGAACCTAGATGATGGGTTGATGGGTGCAGCAAACCACCAAGGCACATGTATACCTATGTAACAAACCTGCATGTTCTGCACATGTATCCAAGAACTTAAAGTATAATAAAAAAACAGAAAATAAAAAATAATTATAAAATTTAAAAAAAGAAAAGGAAAAGTTCTGTATAGGAAAAGCAATGGGTGCTATGAGACCATCTAACAGATGGACCTAACCTAACATGGAGAGTTTGGGAAGTCAGCATTAGGATGTGACATTTAAGCTGAAAACAGTTAGATTTATCCAGACTTCAAAATTTGGTAGTGAGCCTGAATGAGGATTCAACAAACAAAATGCAATTAATCTGAGTAACTTTCATGAATAGTAGTTTCACTATTTATTCTTAATCTAAAGAAAATGAAAATTGACACAACTATTGAACTCTTAATAAATTTATTTCTTTAGAGGTATAGTACTTCCGAGAATTTTTTGCATATTGTAGAACTAAGTAACTAAGTAAACATACTGATATTCTTAAGAACCAAGTCTCTCACTGTAGAAGGATAAAACAAAGGGAATATACATAGTAAAGGAAGAATCCTGTGAAGTTTGGATTGTAATGGGAAATCCCGATATAAATTTGTGTGTGTGTCCCAGCTTTCTTTATTTAAAGGAAGCAATAAAGACCATTAACCAGGAGCATTACTAGCGCCCAAATCTAACTACTACAACAAAAAGATCCAGAGCTCCCTGGAAAATCAAAAAGTGCTCATATGGGGACAAGACAAAGGGACCCAGCAGCCACCTTAAAGAGGCAACCCTGGTTACATCTGGGACAATATAAGCATCAAAATAAATAGACAATAACTCATTGAGTAATTTAAGAATCCACGACTACATACTGATTTTATACATTTATATACACACAGATTATATATATATCAATAGATAGATAATGATAGATAGATCTATAGATAGAAGGAAAAGCTGTGCCTTACAATAGAATGCCAGAAAATACATATAGAGGAAACTATGGAGTTAGAAAATAACTATTTCTACTTTCATAATATATGTAAAAAGTTGATTCAGGCAAAAATAATTACTGTCTGCTAAATGTAAAGCCCTTGAAGGTAAGGGCTTCTACAAACAACCAGCACAGGATCTTGCATCTGGTAAGACGTTAACATGTTTGTAGAATTTAAACATCTCTCAAAAGCCTCGGCAAGAATGCCTTTGATTTCCAGGCACAGGAGAAGGAATGGACCTATCTACCCATGCCATGCTCTGGTGCAGACCCAGTTGCCAAGTGCTGAGAATGACCATTTGTTCTTTTTCACAATATAGGCACAAAGCCCAGGGCCTGTGAGCTTTTCAGGGGCTTACACAAACACTGGAGACATGAAAAACATGTGTAAATTGGCTTCAAAATAGGAAAAGCACCAAAGTCTAAATCAATAAATATTCAATTAAATATTTAAATAACGTATAACCTGTCAACCTCATTCTTAGCATCACAAACATTGTCTTTATACTTGAAAACAATTTTGAAGTTAGACTTTCTCATTTTGTAACTAGTGCAACCTCTTATTAGGTTTCTGTTTTTGTTTAACCTTTATTTTGAACTGAGAGGTACAAGTGCAGGTTTGTTACATAGGTAAAGTTGTGTCATGGGGGTTTGTTGTACAGATTATTTCATCACACAGGTATTAAGCCTAGTACCCATTAGGTTTTTTCCCTGATCCTCTCCCTCCTCCCACCCTCCTCCCTCTGAAAGGCCCCAGTGTGTGTCGTTCTCCTCTGTGCATCATCACTTAGCTCCTGTTATTTAGCTCTCTCATTATAAGTGAGAACATGCAGCATTTGGTTTTCTGGTCCTGTGTTAGTTTGATAATGACCTCCAGCTCCACCTCATATGTATAATCATTGTGAAGAAATAAAAACTGATCTTATTTATTTTTATTTTATTTTTTTGAGATAGGGTCTCTCTCTGTCACACAGGCTGGAGTGCAGTGGCCCAATCTTGGCTCACTGCAACCTCCATCTTCCTGGGCTCAAGGAATCCTCCTGCCTTAGCCTCCCTAGTAGCTGAGACTATAGGCACGGGCCACCATGCCTGGCTAATTTTTACATTTTTTCAGAGACAGAGTTTCACCATGTTGCCCAGGCTGGTCTTGAACTCCTGGGCTCAACTGACCCACCTGCCTTGGCCTCTTACAGTGCTGGGATTACAGGTGTTAGCCACTGTGCCCAGCCAAAACTGATTTTATTTAAATGAGTTACTTAAAACTCTTGATTGTCTTCTACCCCCTCCTTTGGGGTTTCCTGCTATACAATGATGGTATCAGTTAAGATATATGAGGTACCATGGATAAACATTTCATTTATGCACAGCCAAGTCATTAGAAAATACATGCCTAGCCAGCAAAAGTTTCCAAGCCCACAGACCCCAGTTTAGCCCCTATATAATGTCCCAAATTCTTACTCTAATCCATTGCGGCCAAAACTCCTCCCCAAAGCCCAAGATCTTCCCGCTGGGTTGGGGCTGGGGAGTGGTTCATGTGTGATTCCACGTTTAATTACTAATTTATTTTCATAGGGTCATTTCTCTTTATAAAAGTGTTATGATATACAGTATAATTACTAAGTTAATCAGAACGGGTATTGTGTAGCTTACTCTTAGATCTTCTCCTCCATTGGGTCAAAATCCAACCGTGTTCTTGGCTTACTCTTCTTTCAAAGGCATGAACACTGCATTTTCCATTTTTTTCTCCACATTTTGTATGGTGTTAACATGATATTTCCAACCTATACGATTTTTTCTTGTATTTACTAACAATGCATTTTATTTTGCCTAGCAAGCCTTGATATGCTTCTCTTCTTCAATGCAATACATTTATTTCTGATCAATTCTGCCATTCAATAGTAGTCAAATAATTTCAAAATCATATTTTAAATGTTATTTTAATCTTGCCAATAGAATTATATTTAATGGCATCTGAGTATATGTTGTTATTTTGATATTACTCAGGTGTGGGCCTCTAAAGCAAGAGTGCCTAGGACCTATGAAGGTCTTTAAATAGCCTCAAAGCTAAGGAATGAGCTAGAGAGTTTATACACTCATTTAGCAATTAGTTGACAGATTATTATATGCCAGAAATTCTATTAGGTGTTACTGGGCATATAAATGACTATAAAACACTATTTATATCCCTTAGGAGTTAACAATATAATTAGGGAGGGTGGAACTGACTAATTGTTCACTGATCTTTGCTCTCTATTTTTTTTTTTAATATTCTGCTAAGCTACTATCAGAGTTCCCCTACAATTAGGTGAGCCATAGGACTGAGTGTGGCCAATTGGAGTATGAGCGGAATGCATATCACCTCCATATGTGGCCACCAAAAGCTTACATGAGTGTCCTCACTTTCTTTTATTTTATCTTAAACTGTTGACCGGATGTGGAGGATCCATTGCAGGCTTTTGAAGTCCTAGGGAATAGTGATTACAGTAAATGAAGCCTGGACCACTGAAGTAACTGCATGGGACAGAGTTCTCCTCAACCCCCATGCCTATATAATGTAAGATGAGCAAGAATTAAACTTTGGTTGTTTGTACCATTTAGATTTTGAAATAGTTTGTTACATCAGTTAGCATACCCTGAATAATACTGAGAGACTAAACTCAATCACCCATGACTTCAGCTTTTAAAAACTGCTAAAATAATACATAAATTTTGAAGTGGTAGGAATAATTTCTGTTTGTTAGGTTATGTGAGGGATCTTCTCTCTAATGATGAACAGCACCTGAGGCAATTGTTGATGGAATGTCACAGACCCCACCAAACACAAATCTTCCTCTTATTATTTCTCCCTTGTCCTTGTCTTTGATGTGCACATTCCCATTACATTTTTCTTTCCTTTTAGCCTTAGTTTTCCAACTGTCTGAAAATCAGCTCCATATACTACCTATTTTTGTCTACCCCCTTAGGTTTGAATTTTCAAAATTTACATTCATCTCTTTATGCATAAGATATCATTCTGTTAATTACATATTATTCCCATCTATTCTCCACTATTAAAACAAGTCCTTTAGGGCTTATAAATTTTTGTTACCATGTATTGTTATTTTTAAGTATTTCCAAGGCAGACATTTATTAAACATTGACTTTCTACCAAGTAGCAATCTAAGGGAGTGATAGATTGTAGAAATTTAACAGTTAAGGACATGAGTTCCTAGATAACATTTATTTGGAATTTAAACCCCTGCTTTTCACTTACTACATGATCTTGGATAAATTATTTGAGCCTCAATTTTCCTATTCTAAAGTGGAAATAATGACACCTGCTTCATAGAGTTGGTATATGTATATGGCTTAAATGAGATAATACACATGAAACAACAACTTTATAGTGGGGACTTAATGGATGGCAGTTACCAATATTATTATTACCATGGTTGTAATTAGTATTCATATATCTGAATTTTTAAAAATTCTGCCCACAAGGGGCTCAGCATCTAGTAATGGCCCTTTAATTGGCCATAATCAATGAAACATCATTACTTTTATTTCTTGACTACATAGACCTTCTCCTTTAGAAGTTCTCTGTAATCTGAGAGCAAATTAATCAAGTTGAAAGAATTTGTCTGTATTTAGTTCAATTTATTTAAGCTTGTAATTTTACAATATTTTTTGTAGCTCTATTGTATAATTTTTCTTTTTTGGTGACATTGTGATTTCAAGTGAGGAATTGCAGTCAAATGACATTTTTATCATTGTCTTTTATAGGTAATAAACATGATAGGCATAAACAGATTAACACTGTACTGTGCTTAAGAATGCTTAACTGAAAATATATCAATCACTTAGTGTATTCTGGCCAGAAATTTGGAAAAATGTATCTACTGATTCTGAATACTAATTAAAGGCTTAAATTACAATGATAATTCTTAGATGGTCTCCCTGCCCTCTTCCAATCCATCCTTCTACTACCTTCTCAGTGATCGTTAAAAATGCAAATCTGGTCATATGACTCCCTGATAACCTTTCCCTCCTCATTATTATAAATTACCCCATGACTTCATATATCATATAAGGTCCCTCATTAGGTAATCTCACTCACCTTTCCAGTTTCATTTATGCAGCTCCTCCATATTCAGCCTCAGCCTAAACTAGATGGAACTATTTTCAGTTCCCAGAATATACAATACTTTTGTTCAAACTGTTTCCCCTGGCTAGAGGCCTTTTCCACTTGTTTCCCAAACACCTACATGATTGGGGGACTCAAACCTCTTCTTTTGGAATTCCTTCTGCATACTTCCACTGCTTTCACCAAATAGAATTGAGCTCTGATTCATTTGTGCCCAAATGTTACCAGTAAGACTTTATGGTACACCCTTGTGTTTATATCTGTCTTGCCTATTGGCTCTATGAAGGCAAAGTAGGGATTACTTCAGTGAATAAGCCCTGTAGATCCTGTCCAGATGATCATCTCATAAATCTAAACCACATCTCTAGCTTGCCATGCTTAATATGGAACAGCAAGGGGAAGAGACGTGGTGATTAATGAAGTGGTCTTGGAATTAGTTTGAAATCAGTCATTTATTGAGTGACCTTTGCCAAATTATTTAAACTTTCCATACTTTATCTTCTCATATATTAAATAGAGATGATAATAATAATAAATGTCTCATGGGATTCTAGGTAGGATTAAATGAGTTTAATGCTTACCATTCAGTAAATATTATAATTATATTATTGTTATCCTATATAAACTTATACAGTTTTTTTTAGAAAGGTAAGATAATGTGCATCTTGTTTAAAAAAATGACACATAAATCCATTTTGGAAAGTAAATTTTTTTCTCATTTTAAATGTAGCAGAGGAATACTTAGAAATCTAACTGATCATCTTTTTTAATGAGAGGAGTTAGATTTATTTATATGGGCTTAAAGTAAGGCATATCTATACTCGTCATTAGTTTCATGTAAATTTAGATTATGAAGCATATTCATATACCAAATGCTGTACTTCCAGTCTACTAAATTGGTCATTTCAAGACATATTCCTTTTTTTTCTCTCTCTCGCTCTCTCTCTCTTCTGACTATCTCTACGTTCCTGCCATATGGAACTGCTGTAATTCCCTAAATGTGGCCTACCAATCACCCACCTAAGCTTCCACAAAGCTTCCCTCTGCCTAAATTATCTCTCCCCCATAGCTAACACTCCAACTCCAAATTCAGCTCAGTGGTTATTTCAGCTAAGATATTTTTCCACCATCTCCATCATTCTGATTTTTTCTCCCTTCCCTGTGTTACCAAAGCACCACACGTATACTCCCAACATGGAATTTATTATTGTTTTGAAATTATCTGTTTATTTTCTGTCTCTCTAACTAGACCACCTATTCCTGGGTGCAGGAATCTTCATATTTCTGGTCCTAGGACATTGATGTTTGATACAGGTGTTAAATAATATAATTAGAATAAATTGATATAATCAAGGATAAATAAATGAATACAGCTTTAAAAAGGCTATCCATAGTCAAATATCCACCAATAGTAGCATGGATAAGTAAATCATGGTATTTTCACATATGGCATACTCTATAGCAGTGGTTCTCAAGATGTAGTCCCCAGGCCAGTAGCATCAGTATCACTCACGGACTTGTTAGAAAGGCAAATGCTTGGGCTTCGCCCCAGTTCTACTGAAACTGAAACTCTGGGGGTAAAGCTCAGAAATCTGGTTTATCAAGCCCTCCAGATGCTTCTGAAGCACACTAAAGCCTAAAAATCAGTGGTCTACAATAGAGAGAGTTAATAATCTATAAATACACATAATAATATAGAATAATCTATAAATACCCACAATAATATAGACAAATTTCACAAATTCATGAAATTTGTGAATTGTTGAGTGAAAGAAGCCAGATACAGGAAAAGTATATACTATATATATAAATACATTTATATATAGTCTAAAAACAGGCAAAATTAATCATTGTTGTTAGAATGCACTGTGTTACCTTTTGTCAATCTGGCTACATAATTTGCAAGGCCCAATAGAAAATGAAAACGTAGAAACCCTTGTTAATGTTTTTAAAAATCTAGTTCTTCAAATGCTTTCCATATATCTTAGGTTCTAGAATGTTTAATCTCACAATTGTCTCCTTAAGATATATTGACTGTATCTTTAGCATCAGAAATTTTTTGAGATGCATGGGAAGAATCTGGTATCAGAACAAAACCTGATCCTTGAATAAGAAAGAATTTGGTAGAAACTAACAGGAGCTTAATATAAATGATAAGTCTTGTTTTATTTGAAACAACAGACCACAATTTATTCAGAAACACATGAAGTACTTGAAGCCCCCTTGATTTTCTGCTATTATCATACAGCATAATATATTTTTTATTCAAAGTTTAATAGATATGGCCTTGTCATTGTGCCAGTCATCTAGGACAAACAGAAACTTCAAGAATCGAAATCCTGTATAAGAAAGGTAGTAAGAAATACAGTCACTTTTCTAGTAGAAAATGTGTTAGGCATCAGTAATTTCCAGAGAATAGGTTTTGTAAGGGAGAAGAAGGGAGAGCACATCAGCCTGGGCATCTTTCGAGGGTAAAAGAAGATGGCCAAAGGAGAAAAAAAGGACACAGAACAACTTCTTCTATTTTATACTCTTGCACAAGGCCCTTCTGTATTTAAGTGTACTAGTATGCCCTAGACTCAAAGGGCAACTTATTTTGGAAGTCATAAACATTGATAGCTGTTTGCATCTGAGAGAAGCCTGTCACGGCAATTTGAGGAGTGACGTCTTTGCTGAGATTGGTGCTCTCTCAGAGGAATAAAAAGATGTCATAGTTGTAACAATTAAGACACTAGTCTCTTTTTGAACAGACAGCTCCTGGTTGGCTCCTGGGGTAAGCAGAAGAAACATTCATATTCAATTTTTAGGATTCTTGATATGTAAAACATATTGATTATAGGAGGTGTCTATTCTTTTGTATTGCACTTAAGGCTCTTATTGTTTAAGAGCTCTTACAAAAAAGGGCATGTGACTGAACAAGTAATGCCTATGCTTTTCAATCTAAATTGAAAATATAATTAAAATATGCCCATTAAGTCATGTATTTTAGAAAACGTTGCTTCTATCATCCTATGAGCTGGATCAGCTTCTTCTACTTCATAATTTTGCACCAGGTCCTTCCAGATTCAAGTGCACTAATATGCCTCGGGCTCAAACATGGCTCAAACACATGCCCAGCAACATAGTTCAATAACATCTTTCTTAATCATTGTCATCATCATTATCTAGCCAGCAAGTGGTGCATTTTGCAAATACAATTGTTCCCTTAAGGAGGTGCACATCTGCATAAACAAGATAAAGACACAGAAAATCTCAAATACTTCAAACGCTGAATAACCAAATTAATTTATATTAATAATTATGAAAACGAAATGTCACAATTCCTGCCCTTCTCCATCTGTGGGGTAAGATATTTGAATTCTAACAACTGCATGTAATTCTGTGAAAAAGAAGTCATCAGTAAAATAAAATGCAGCATATCTCAATTTTTATGGTAAAGAATATTTCTCACTATTAGAAAAAAAAACAAAACTCCTTGAAACACTAATTTGGACAGTTTTTGCAGCATCAGATTTATGTTAATTAATTCAAAAAATCTCCAAGGCCCTTTCTGCACCAGTGAAAAACTTATAACTATTTGTACTTTAGTGTTTCATTTATTAAAATCATGTATCTGACAGACAAAACTTTGAAAACCAACTTTTCCTTTTATTTTTTAAATTGACATAATAATTACACATATTTATGGGATACACAGTGGTGTTGCAATACATATAAAGTATAGTGATCAGATCAGGATAATTAGCATATCTATCATCATTTATTATTTCTTGGTGTTGGGAACATTCAATATCCTCCTTCTACCTATATAAAACTATGTATTGTTAACTGTAGTCATCCTACAGTGGAAGAACACCAGAATTTATTTCTTCTATTTGACTGTAATTTTGTATCCTTTAATCTCTCCCTATCCCTGCCTTCTCACCACCCTTCCCAGCCTCTAGTATCCTCTGGTCTACTTTTTATTTCTATGAGATCAACTTTTTTTTAGCTTCTACATATGAGTGAGAACATGTGATGTTTAATTCTCTGTTCCTTGTGAATTACACTTAACATAACGTCCTCCAGTTCCATCCATGTTACCATGAATGACAGAATTTCATTCTTTTCAAAAGTTGAGGCCGGTCGCGGTGGCTCACGCCTGTAGTCCCAGCACTTTGGGAGGCCAAGGAGGGCAGATCATGAGGTCAAGAGATTGAGACCATCCTGGCCAACATGGTAAAATATATTATATATATATGAAATTGAAGAGGATAAACAATGGAAACGCACACAACACACATGTACAAACACACACACATATATCACATTTTCTTTATCCATTCATCTGTTGTTGGACACCTAGGCTGATTTCATAACTTGGCTACTGTCAATAGTGCTACAATAAATGCAGAAGTGCAGATGTCTCTTTGATATACTGATTCCTTTTCTTTGGATAAATGCCAAGTAGTGGGATTTCAGGATCATACGGTAGTTCTGTTTGTAGTTTTTTGTGGACCCTCCATACTGTTCTCCATAGTGGATATACTAGTTTACATTCCTACCAACAGTGTGTAAGAGTTCTATTTTCTCCATATCCTCACCAGCATTTGTTGTTGTTGTTGTTGTTGTTGTTTTATTATAGCCACCCTAACTGGGGTGAGATGATACTTCACCGTGGTTTTGTTTTGTATTTCTCTGGTGATTAGTCATGTTCAGTATGTTTTTGATATATTTGTTGGCCATTGTATGCCTTTTGAGAAATGTCTGTTTTGATCACTCTCCCATTTTTAATTAGAGTTGGTTAGTTTTTGCTGTTGGTAAGTTTGAGTTCTTTGTATATTCTGGATATTAATCCCCTGGCAGATGAATAGTTTTCAAATATTTTCTCCTATTCTGAAGGTTGCCTTTTCACTCATGATTGTTTCCTTTGCTGGCAGATTTTTAGTTTGATAAAATACCATTTGTTTATTTTTACTTTTGTTGCCTGTGCTTTGAGATCTTATTCATAAAATCTTTTCCCAGGCCAATGTCCTGAAGTGTTTTCCTTGTGTTTTCTTCCAGTAGTTTTATAGTTTTGGGTCTTATAGTTAGACATTTAATCAATTTTATGTTGATTTTTGCATAGGGTGAGAGGTGGTAGTCTAATATTATTCTGCATATGGATAATCAGTTTTCCAGTACCATTTATTGAAGAGACTGTCCTTTCTCCAACAAATGTTGTTGGCAACTTTGTCAAAAATAAGTTGGCTGTAGGTAAGTGGATTAATTTATGGATTCTCTATTCTGTTTCGTTGTTCTGCATGTCTTTTTATGCCAGTACAATGCTGTTTTGGTTACTACATCTTTGCAGTATATTTTGATTGCTGGTAGTGTAATTTCTCTAACTTTGTTCTTTTGGTTCAGAATTGCTTTGACTGTTCTGGTTGTTTTGTGTTTCCATACAAAGTTTAAGATTTTCTATTTCTGTTAAGACTGTCAATGGTATTTCGATAGGGATTGTATTGAATCTGTAATAGCTTTGGGTAGTATGGTCATTTTAACAATACTAATCCTCTGATCCATGAACGTGGGATGGGTTTCCATTTGTTTGTACCCTCTTCAATTTCTTTCAGCAGTGTTGTGTTGTTTTCCCTGTAGAGATCTTTCACTTCCTTGGTTAGATTTATTCCTAGGTATTTCTTTTTTTTTTTTTTTGGTAGCTACTTAAATGGGATTGTCTTCTTGATTTTTTTTCAGCTAGTTCAATGTTGGTATATAGAAATGCTACTATTTTTTGTATATTGATTTTGTATCCTGTAACTCTGCTGAATTTATTTTTCAGTTTTGGTAGACTATTTAGGTTTTTCTATACATAAGATTGTTTCGTCTGCAAACAGAGACATTTGACTCCTTCTTTCCAATTTGAATGCCCTGCCTAATTGCTCTGGCCAGGACCTTCAATACTATGTTGAATAAAAGTGGTGAGAGTGGGCATCCTTGTCTTATTACAGTTCTTAGAGAAAAAGCTTTCAGTCTTTCCTCAATCAGTATAATGTTAACTATGGGTTTGTCATATACGGCCTTTATCATGTTAAGGTACTTTCCTTCTATACCTAATTTGTTGAAAGTTTTTATCATGAAGGGATGTTGAATTTTATCAAATGATATCTATTGAGATGATCATATGGTTTTTGTGTCCTTCATTCTATTGATGTGATGTATCACATTTATTTATTTGCATATGTTGAACCATCCTTACATTCTTGGGATAAATCCCACTTGATCATGGTGCATTACTGTTTCGATGTATTGTTGGATTTAGTTTTCTAGTGTTTTGTTGAGGATTTTTACATCAATGGTCAGAGAGATATTGGCCTGTAGTTTTCTTTTTTGTTGTTGTATTCTTTTCTAATTTGGGTATCAGGCTTATGCTGGCCTCATAGGAGAGTTAGGAAAAGTTCCCTCCACTTCAATCTTTTGGAATAGTTTGAGAAGGATTGATATTAATTCTTTAAAGTTTCAGTAGAATTCAGTGGTGAAGCCATCTGGTCCTGGACTTCTTTTTTTGTTGGGAGATTTTTTATTACTGATTCAATCTCATTACTTGTTATTGGTCAGTTCAGGATTTCTGTTTCTACTTGGTTCAATCTTGATAGGTTGTATGTGTCCAGGAATTTATACACTTCCTCTAGGTTTTCAAATTTATTGGCCTAGAGTTGTTCACAGTGATCTCTAATGATTCTTTATCTTTCTCTGGTGTCCACTGTGCCATCTCTTTTTGGTTTCTGATTTTATTCATTTGGGTCTTCTCACTTTTTTCTCAGTCTAGTTCATGGTTTGTTGATTTTGTTTATCTTTTAAAAAACAACTTTTTCTTTCATTGATCTTTTGTATTTTTTAGTTTCAATTTCATTTCTTTCTGATCTGATTTTTATTATATGTTTCCTTTTACTAATTTGCAGTTGGTTTGTTCTTGCTTTTCTAATTCCTTGATATGCATCAAGTTGTCCATTTAAAATCTTTCTAGTTTTTTGACATAAAAACCATTTTTGAGCATTTAAACACTGATCACAGATTTGATTGTTTTTGTACAAAATTGCAATTACAATTTAGCATGACTAATACTTTTGTATAGGTAAAATCTCTGTACACCATGCAAACCACACATAAAGGCAATGGTTACAAAGTGTGTTAGCAAGCATACATTTACACTTAATCTATAAACACCATGAATTTGATTTATTTCCTTACTGTACATGTTTTTAAATCTTCCTAGGATTAGTACCATACTACTGTAATATCTTCTCAGGGTTTTTACTTATCTTGACACCTTCTCAAGTTTGCTATAGTCTCACCAGAACAATCAAGTGTACAGGTTTTTGATGGATTGTTTATTGTTTAAGTTAAGAAACTTAATTTCTTTTCTCAATTTCCTCTCTTCTCTCCAAATTTTAAAAATTCATACCTTTCATAGAGGTTTTACTTTTGTGCAACCTGATGCCTTTTCCTAAAAAAATTCTTAAAATTTTTTATTGTGAAAATTTCCAAAGAGACAAAAATGTAGTAAAGTATAAAATGTTCTCCATCAACATTTCACCTAATAGTTCTAGCACCCATTAATTCCTCTTTCTCTCTTTCTGAAAATATTGATTCCTAACAATGTTAGAAATTGATTTTTTTCTATAATATAAATATATTTTCATTAATAATATAAATACTAACTGTAGGTTAAGATTTTTTTGCACTTCAGAGTCTATAATCAAATGTTACATTTTAAGATCAGTTACAGTAATTATTTTCTCTGGTTGGTTATGTTACAAGATAATACTTTTAAATTATGACAAGATTTACCATAATGCATGGTTTGTTCTAAGATATAGACCTGTGTTGTTAATATTTTAACATTTTTATATATTTATCATTATTATTTTTATTAATAGGGCCATCTAGAGGTGGTGTCTCCTGAGAGACTGGGAACAACCGAGTCTCAGCCATTACCTGTCTTTTAGCTCATTTGGCTAATTTATCATCTTGAGCACACTGTCAAGCCCCTATTCTCTTTGGTTATTTTGTGTATTCACTGATGCTGAATCCAAGCTCAATTCCCTTCCTGACTGCTACTTTTATCAGAACTGTACTTATAGTTCCCTGTGTTTGGATGGTGTATTAGTCTGTTCTCAGGCTGCTAATAAAGACATACCTGAGACTGGGTAATTTATAAAGGAAAGAGGTTTAATTGACTTACAGTTCAGCATGGCTGAAGGTTTCAGGAAACAAATACTCATGGCAGAAGGGGAAGTAAACATGTCCTTCTTCACATGGCAGCAACAAGGAGAAGTGCTGAGCAAAAGGGGGAAATCTTTATAAAACCATCAGATGTCCTGAGAACTCACTCACTAGCATGAGGGTAACTGTCCCCATGATTAAATTACCTCTCACCACGTCCCTCCCACAACACGTGGGGATTATGGGAACTACAATTCAAGATGAGATTTAAGTGGGGACACAGCCAAACCATATCAGATGGACATAAGTACCTATCAATACTTCCTAAACAGATGTATGTTAAATAGTAGTAACAACATACCTACATATATTAGCATTCCCATTTATTTAAATAAATACAATTAAGCATGCCCTATTCTATTCACCATTCTTTTATGGTTATGAGTATGTCTTGTATACTTCATATTATCATGAAATACTGGCCTTATATAGACTCAATATATTCCAATTAGCCACAATTACCATCATTATTTTGATGCTTAAATCCTCACAACTTTGTCCTTTTAAGAGTGCCCCAAAATCCTTTAAAATGTCCCTGTTCTCTGACAATAATTATTTCCAAATCTATCTGCATTGTCCTTGCCCTAAGACTTGGAATAAGCTATCTACAGAGTTTTGATTTCTTTTAAAGAAGAATAATATTTGTATGGGATACAGTATTTGCCCCATCCCTTCTCTTCACCTTCCCATTTCAGTTCTCACTGGCATGTTTTCAAATGCTAGTGTCTGCTTCTTTTTTCCTGAGGTCTTTTTGCCCAGGGTCTGGGTTCCACTTCTTGACTGACAGGCTGGAAGTTCCAGCCACCTGAGAGCAGCCCTCAACCAATGACTCAAGGAAGTTGGATGTAAATATTCCAACTCCCTCACTTGCAGGTGGGATAATTCTGAGGCTGCATTTCACTCTGAATCCCAGAGCTCTAAGTTACCAGCAGTGGCAACTTGCAAGAAAATGTAACCTCTACCAGTTTCTTTCCCTTTCCTCTCTCATTTTTCCACTCTTCTATTTGTATTGTAATCCTTGCCTCAGTATCTGCTTCTGGGAAAACCTAGATTACATACTAGAGATCAAAACCTGGGTATTAGTAATCCCAGCACTTTGGAAGGCTGAGGCAGGCAGATCACCTATGGTCAGGAGTTCGAGACCAGCCTGGCCAAAACAGTGAAACCCCGTCTCTACTAAAAATACGAAAACTAGCTGGGCGTGGTGGCAAGTGCCTGCAGTCCCAGCTACTCAAGAGGCTGAGGCAGGAGAATCAATTGAGCCCGGGAGGCAGAGGTTGCAGTGAGTCGAGATCACACCATTGCACTGCAGCCTGGGAACAAGAGTGAAACTTTGTCTCAAAAACAAAAACAAAAACAAAAACAAAAAAAACCTGGGCATTAGAAATCCTGCTGCTGCTATAGTGACAGAGCTGGAAAATGCATGTTCTTTTCACAGATTAACACTGATTTTTTCAGTTTAAACTCTTACATTGCAAGACCCTGTCTTTCGTATAATATGTGGTTTCACTGAGAAGACTTTCTTCTACTTTGACAAAGGGTTAGTAAATATCGGGTTATGATAATAATAGAGATAATATCTTTGATCTAAAAGATCGAATTTTTCAAAGAATTCATTTGAAGTCAACTAGCATTTATTAGACACTTATGTGTCAAGCACTGGGCTAAGAGCTACGAACACAAAAGCAAAAAAGGTGGCAGTAAATAAATTCGACATTTTTCCTGTCAGAAATTTGGAGAATTAAAAAGACCATGTTTTGACATTTATAATCCTATAAAGGTCGCATTTTCACACAAGAATAGTTCTTTTTGTATTAAAAAAAGAAAGGATGCCTCTTTGGAAGAAGAAAATGGGGGTAATTTTTGGCAATATTTAGGAATAAATTGTGGCAAGGGACCTTCTTACTTTGCTTCAAATCTTTTAAAAATTCTCATCAACTTTAGAAAAGATATTTTTTAAAATCAGACACTAAATTGAATTCATAATCAAAAGCAATACATGGTGTTCATTACCATTTCAAAAACATTAAATAAATCCTGTCAAAAGTGTTTTCTCTACTTGAGTAGAGAATTTTGTCTGTGTGTTTTGAAGACTTCTGAGAGACAAGTTTTAGGTCTAGACCGGACTAAATCGAGTGGCACAAGAGCAGTAGTAAATTCAACACTGTAAAACTATATTTGTGTTGATTAATTACTAGAAGGAAAGCACACACTTCTTCTGGCTTGCTTCCAGTCAATATGGAAATACACGACCATACACAGTTTACTAAAGAGCATATTCAGAATGAAATATCTATATAGGAGAGGATCCTATTTTCCCTGTCCTAGTCTTAAGACATTGAACTTCTTTTTAAGTTTATAATCTATTATAATTGTTAGAAACATCCATGGTATTTACTTTTCAGAGAAACATCACCATGAAACACTGTTAATTCCTGCCTATTTTCTGTTCCCAAGAGATACTTCTCTTCTTGACCAATTCCCCTTATCATATCAGTATTTGGGAAAATAATATGTGTTAAGAACAATTTAGAAACATCTTTAATCCTCCCTCCCTCAAAATGATGCTTAAACATGTCTGTTTAAAGAAGTCAATATTTGACTGAGTTATTTGGCAGTAGCAACAAGTTTACAGGCACATGGCAAGGACTGATTCTATCAAAAAAAAAAAACAGTATATTTGTGTTTTCATGCCCCTAATTGGCTTTAAGAAGTGATAAAAGTTCTTGTTTTTTCTTGTTTTCATTTTTTACAGTGACATCCCTGGGCCTATATCTATATATCCCTGAAACTACATAGTCAATATAGAAGTGCAGAAATAGAAGAGAGATATTTTACCATTTACTAAGACATGAATACTAGTATCTCATTTTTTATATTTATTCTTGTTCTCCCTTTTATTACTTCTGCTATCTCTCTGTCTTTCTAAAGATCCATTTGATGAGAAAGTCATTGGAATTTTTTTTGGTCCTTGATGTTAGGGAAGCAAAATCCAAAATTTCATTTCAGATCTGAAGTGTTTATTGAAGTTCTGATTGCCAAAAACATTTGTTTTAAATAGAAATTTAGGCTGAATCCTAGTTATAGCACAAATTAGGATAAATATGATGGATGCCAGTCATGAGTCTGTTGAATGTAACCATGAATCTAGAATTTCAGAGATGGTAAATATATAATGCACAATCGATCGCTTCTCCATCCTGAACTGCTGACAGACATTGCTAATCAAGCCCATCACTCTAACCTGCAGAGCTCAGGCAGGACTTCTTTGACATGTTCCCAGCAGCACTATCCCTAGACCAATGTTAGCTCATGGAATGAAATTATTTACCATCCTTTGGGCACAGTATAAACAGTTTACAAAACAAAATTGCTGCTTTAAAAACAGCTTTATTGAAATATAATTGATACACAAAGAACTGCTTGTATTTAATGTGTACAATTTGATGAGTTTGAACGTATGCAAAAAACCTATGATACCATCACCACAATAAAGGAAATAGACATATTTGACATATTTCAAAGTGTCTTTTTTTCCATTTGTTTTTCTTTTTGGGGTTTATATCTTTGTGGTAAGAACACTTAACATGGCATCTACCCTCTTAACAAATTTTTGTAGTGCACAATACAATATTGTTAACTATAGGCACACTCCATTGTACAGCAGATATCTAGAACATCTAGCATAACTGAAACTTTATACCTATTGAACAACTCCCCATTTCCTCCACCCCCAGCCACTGGAAATCAGTATTGCATTCTTTGCTTCTATGAATTTGACTGACTATTATAAATAACTCATATTAATGGAATCTTTCAGTTGGTCTTTCTGTGACTAGCTTGAGAATGTCCTACAGTTTCATCCATGCTGTTGCATATGACAGAATTCCCTTCTTTTATAATACTGAATAATATTTTATTGCATGCATACACCACATTTCTTTTATTCATTCATTTGTTGATGAACACTTGGATTGTTTCTATTATTTCTTGGCCACTGTGAATAATGCCACAATGAATATGGAAGTGTAGATTTCTCTAAGATTCTGATTTTATTTTTATTTTTGGATACATATCTAGAAGTAGAATGGCTGGAACATATGATAGTTCTATTTTTAATTTTTTTGAGGACCTTCCATACTGTTTTCCATAGCTGCTGTACCATTTTACATTCCCACTAACAATGTACAAGGGTTCCAATTACTCCACATCCTTGCCAACACTTGGTCTTTTTGGTTTTTTGATAATAGCCATCCTAACAAGTATGGGGTGGTATCTCATTGTAGTTTTCCTTTGCATTTCCCTGATAATTAATGTGGTTAATTTTTTTTCATATACTTATTGACCATTGTATGTCTTCTTTGGAAAAAATGTCTATTCAAGTTATTTGCTCATTTTTCAACATGCTTTTGTTTCATGTGGATGTGTGTGGGCGTACTTGAGTGTGTTTGGCTACTGAGTTGGAGTTCCCCATATATTTTTGAAATTAACCCCTTCTGAACTTGCAGGTTAGAGTGATGAGTTTGATTAGCAATGTCTGGCAGGAGTTCAGGATGGAGAAGTGGCCGATTATGCACTATATATTTACTATCCCTGAAGTTCTAGATTCACGGCTATATTCAACAGACTCAAGACTGGCATTCATCATATGTACCCTAATGTGTGCTATAACTAGGATTAAATCTAAGTTTCTATTTAAAATAATATTAGAAATATTTTTGGACAATTGGAACTTCAAAAAACATTTTATATCTAAAATGAAATTTTTTATTTTGCTTCTCTGATATCAAGGGCTTAAAAAAATTCCAATGATTTCCCTTATGGATTGCTTTTTAATTCTCATCCAGGTTATACTTTAACCAGAATAATATGAAATATAGAAGAGTTATA
Source organism: Homo sapiens (assembly GCF_000001405.40). Lineage (NCBI taxonomy): Eukaryota > Metazoa > Chordata > Mammalia > Primates > Hominidae > Homo > Homo sapiens. The sequence goes on from NC_000003.12 coordinate 180,352,218, forward strand.
AAAGTAGTTCACCTCTTTTCCCCGGGTTCTAAAATTGTGGAGACTACTGTTGCATAAAGATCTCCAGTTTCTTCCCTGTCCTAATGATAGTAAGAAATGGGAAAAAATCTCAACATCAAATAAGTAAGAGCAATAAATCAACTATTTAGAAAGTGTACACATAATGGATAGATATTACTTTTCCTAACAACTTATGTAATGGTCACGAATGGTGCTATCTCAGGCCAAGTTTAAATCTCTGGCCAGCATAGATCATTCTGAGTAGAGCTAAAGTGATGTTTGTTCCCATTTATTTTTCTTCTCTGGTTTCTATGGAAACATATTTTGAAGTGGCCTTTGCCAGAGAGAATATTTTGTTTTGTTTTTAAATAGAATGATAACAAATTCTATTTATCTGTGCAAAGCAAAAATGTTTGAGATACTTCTAAACCAAAGCTAAAATGTGATTTAATCATTTATTTGCCTGCCAAGAGAGGCAAAGTCATTAGAGACAACACTTTTAAGGGTTTGTATGTGTGCATTTCAGAAGAAAATTATTCTTTATCCAGCAGTTCAGGGGACATACAATTTATTTTGTTACACTTATGAAGCTACTCTATATTTTCATGCAAAATCCCAGGCAATGCACATTTTAAGACATGGCAAATTTCATAAACGCTCATTAAAATTTCAATTCAATAAATTAAGTTTTATTTTCAATGGTTCCCATTTATTTTTAACATAGAAGCTGTTTAAAATTAGAAAAACCCACAAAATGCACACACAAACACACATACACTCAGCTGTCTAACCCAGCTATAAAAATATGTTCCTCTTCTAGGGGTATAAACTGAACACCTATGTAAAGTAGATTAATTTTCTAAGGAAATAGCATATTCAGAATAAAGTATTCATATTTATTCAAAATTTTACTTCCTAGAATTTCAAGATAAAATAAAAACACATCTGTGTCTACCTTGTCCATAGTATTTATGCATTTTTAAGCTTCAATCATATCCAGTGTCAGCCTTGATCTGTCCTCTACAAAGGGATCTTGTTAGTCTACCAGCAGCCTGTCTCCCCCTGCTAATCATTTCACTTGCCCTTTACTCAAGGCCCACTTGCTGGACTTGTATATAATATCCCAGATGCAAATGAACCATTGCTTTATCTAAGAGTTATGACAATTTTCATTAGGAAGATGAAAGAAAAATGGAATGTCTGGTAAGAGACTCATAAGCCCTTGTCTACATCTTTGTCTAAAATTGATAATGTCTAAACTGATTCAAGAATAGCAGAATAATTAGATTATTTAAATGTATTAGAGTAGTTCTAGGGGGAACAGCTTAATGTGTATTAGACGGCTGCCTCCTAAGCAGGACCAGGATAAAGGAAAAGCGTGAGGCAGATACTGCTATTAAAGGCTTCTTAGTACTACTGTACTTTCTAAAGCAAGTAGACATACTACTTTGATGAAAGATGAGAGAGAGAGAGAGGGAGAGGAAGAGAGAGAACAGTAAAAATAGGAGGAGGGGATTCATTTGCTATGTTTCTGCCCACACAGATATGTTATGTGTCAGTTGACAGGATATTCAATTTATAAATAATGTAGGGTCAAATGCAAAATTAATACTTACGTTATCTTTTTCCTTTTATTACTTTTTATCTCTTAATTTTCAAATGTTCAGTAAGACAACTTTTCTCAAGAAGAAACCTTACTATAGCCTTTTCTATGAAGAAAAATATTCACCTATGTCTCTGGATTTTTGTCCCATCTCTTCATCCATATGCAAACTTTTGTTGCCCACCCCCAATCCCATGATAATTCATTTTCCAGAAATTCATTTGCTAAATCAGAAAACTCTAATATATTAGGCATAATTTCTCCTTGTGGCTAAATTTATTTATGCTTATTCAAAATTTATACATTTAATATTTTTCCCAATTGGCTATATTTATTTAAATACTTTTACATTTATCCTCAATGTGAATCCTATCATCGTGCTCCATGAGGCACACCTGTCTTTCCTTCACCATTTTTTTATTAGAAAGTGTGCTTGGTCGAAACAGCCAGCCTTTTTCCGATTTGTCGGTATAATGTTATGCCTCGCTGGTTTACTCCCTTTGCAGGCAGGACTTGCCTGGCCCACTTCTATGGCACCTTCTCAGAGCCTTCAGACTCAGAACACTGACTTCTAGATACTGTGACGGTGTCTTTAGTCCTCTACTGAGAGCCGTGCCTCTAGATACTGTAAACTGTCACCCATCCATTGTAACCTACCAGCAGGTAGCAATACGGAATTAAAATAAATTAACCTCAACCTCTATGTGCTGCAGAACATCGTCCAGAATTTGTTCCTAATTCCTTCTTTTCATAAAATTTAAAGACAGCATGACACCTGGTAGAGCAAACCATTTTGCCTTTGTCCCCACAGCTAAAAATACATCCCTCAAATGTGTGTTTAAAATTGAGAAAATGGGCTTTCTTTCAACTGGGATGGCTGACATTTTTAAGACATAATAACTAGTTCTGAAAGCTATGGGCTTCAAACATGAGATGAGAGGTTGGAATTCTTCATAAAATAACAATTTTTTATTATGGAAACTTTAATCTCCTGAAATGCTATATATGAAAACCTAAATTTACAAAAGAAATCTATTGTTTTGTAATTGAAAAGACCCTCATTGTGTGAAAACCTTTACTTCAAAATTGTTTTAGAAAACAAATTCCCATGATATTAAAGATTTTCCTCTCCATAGACCACTGGCCACTCTTAACTACTTTGACCAAGAGAATAAAGGATGAGGAATTTTAAACCTACTTTTATTGTCGAGCATTGGTAATTAAAAGCATTAAAAAGCAATTTCAGTGGTCAAAAGCAAATTGACACAAACGTTTACCGATACAAGTTATTATATTAAAGCAGAGGTCGCAGATTTGTGCAGAAGCAGATAACCTTTTTTTTCCTTTTCTTTTTCCTTTTTATTTTTTGAGACAACATTTAAAATTTCAGGGCTATCACATAAAAATCTGGATTCCTGACTTCTCCTCAGAAAAATCAGAGGATCTGGAAACTCACATTTCCACTGACAATAAGCACTGGAGTTGAATAGCTGAGTTCTGTTTTATGTATAGCATGAATACACCGGTTCTCTAGAGATCTCTTCAAACACTATTATATGCCAGATCCAGCTAAATTCACTCATTTAAATCACCTGCTTAATGTCTATAGGCATTTATTTGATTTTGTACACTCTAGTTTCCTAAATCAACTAGTTACGGTACTCATGATTTGGGTAGTTAGGATACTCATAGAGCAATGATCTTAATAGTTACAGGAATCTTATTTAATGACTACTTGTCATCAATTAACTTTATATTTAAACTAATAGTGGCTAGATATTGACATCTTTTGTAAAGTAAAAATAAATAGATGAATATATTTGATTTTTGTGTAACTCAGTTGAAAACAAACTAGCTAAACAGTATTTTTCCTTATTTTACTACTAATTTTATATATCGTGTATTAGGCTCCTAAAGCTGCCATAACAACCCAAGGTGGTGGCTTAAAACAATAGAATTTTCTTTTTTCACAGTTCTGGAGGCTAGAAGTCTGAACTTAAGGATCCAGCAGGGCTACACTCTCTCAGAAGACTTCCTGGGATAATCCTTTCTTGCCTCTTCCAGCTTCTGGTGGTTCTTGCTGTTCCTTGGTTTGTGGCAGCATAACTCCAATCTCTGCCCTTGTCTTCATATTCCCTACCCTCCATTGTGTCTGTGTTTCAATGTTCTTTCTCTTATAAAGACACTAGTCATTGGATTTATGGACCACTGTAAATCAATATCATGTCATCTGGAGATCCTTGATTACATCTGCAAAAACCTTATTGCCAAATAAGGTTATATTCGTAAGTATGAGAAGAGCGGGGAAGGAGTTAGGATTTGGACATATCCTTTTTGAGAGATTCAACTCAACCCACTACATACTGATTTTTCACAGATTTCAGTAAACCTGTGACCCATTTTAAGTATTTAAGCTCCAGTCACTTTCCAATTTCAATTCACAGATTTAATAAAGTCAGTCTATAAATGTGAAATTTCCCTTTGGTTCCAAAACTGAAATCTCTGCTAAGTTATGATCAGTTGCATCTAATAAGCCATCTCTAAGCTAGAGGACAAAACTGAAGTAGAAAATGTCTTAAAATTTAAGCAACAGGTTTTTAATTTAGAGAAATTACCGCCTTTTTCCCTTTGACCAGAGTTTTTCAAGATAAGATGTGTGGCCCCCTCCAAAGGTATGCTGACAAACTAATACAACTTTGATTTTGTGAGAACCAATTGTTAAGTATTCAGGAATTCTGATGGCCCATGTTAGCTTAAAATTGGTCATAGTGGGAGTATTTACACCACCAAATTTGGCAAATGCTGCAAATCAAGGGACCTCCTCCCCAGAATCTCCTCCCCAGAGAACCAGTTGTTAAACAATTACCAACATACCACTGCCTGCACATTAGTAAGTGGTCCACAGGTGGTTTGGCAGTATCAGAGGAAAAGTGATTAATTATTCAGTTGTGCTCATCTACATTTCATAAGTGTGAAATACAAGATTATTACTGTCCCCAAAATATTATTTTTCTTAATTATCATTATGTCCTTAAAGTATGTTCAAGAGTAACAAGGTAGCTGCAAACTAAGGTGAATTAGTCTCAGCTAATTAATTTTCAGATTATTTGCATACACCTGGAATTTTAAAATTATCATAGTGTTGTAGCTACAAAAATAGATCAGTGATTCAAAATAAATTCAGAAAAGCTTAAAAGTAATTATGAAAAGAGTAACAAAAATATTTCTGTTCATTGTACACATAAACAGTGTTGCAATTGAATATATGTGTTCTGACAAAGAGTCTGTGACTAAAATGTTTATTTGCAAATAAAAAACCACAACTAGAAATACCTAAAAAAGCAGACTTTGTTGGACAAGAGATCTAGCCACCTCTATCCCTTAGTGTGTTGTATGCTATGAGACTACGTGAAATAGTAACATGAAGGTAAAGAAGTTCTCTCATCCTTTATTTTTTTCATTTTTTGACAGGTTTATTCACCCATTTTGAGTACAACTCAATGGCTTTTAGTACCTGCGGTTGTGCAGCCAACAGCGGCACAATCAATTTAAACACATTTATTTTAACCCTGTGCCCTTTTAGCCATCACAACCTCTTACCCACCTAAACCCCCAATCCTAGGCAACCACTCATCTACTTTCTGTCTCCACAGACAGATCAAACCCTTTTTCATTTAGTCCAAAAGCCTCTATAAATGTTGGACAGGCTCCTTGGCATCTATGACGCTCACAAATCCCCAGTTCTCTCATTCTTAAACAAAGCATGGTGACCTTTTTAGCAAATCAATTACATTTTACCAGGATGAGTACATGTTTCCAGTATGAAATTGATTAACTTTGTTAATCAGTTTAAGGACATGTGACTGAAATCAGAGGCATCATTCACTGTTGTACTCCTCACAAAAAGAGAGGTACAAGCTAGGTACCCACTGAGACACTTGATAAACTAAAAAGTTAACAAATATCACATCCACAGAAACAGCAGAATGAGTCCTACATAATATTGTGTTATCAAATGACACTATTGTCATTTAATATTAATTGCATACAACATGGAGGAGCTAATGCTACAACATGCCCATTAGAAAATGTGCACTGGGTTAGGCGCGGTAGCTCATGCCTGTAATCCCAGCAGTTTGGGAGGCCAAGGCAGGTGGATCACTTGAGGCTGGGAGTTCGAGACCAGCCTAGCCAACATGGTGAAACCCCACATCCACTAAAAATACAAAAACTAGCTGGGCGTGGTGGCACATGCCTGTAATCCCAGCTACTCCAGAGGCTGAGGCTGGAGAATCGCTTAAACCTGGGAAACAGGTTGCAGTGAGCCGAGATCACATAACTGCACTCCAGCCTGAGCAATAGAGTGAGACTCCCTCTCAAAAAGAAAAAAAAAAAAAGAAAGAAAGAAAATGTGCACTGGGATCAGAACTGTTGTGTGAGCTGTGTGGCCATGTGTGTGTACAGGAAGGGGTATTGCTGGACAAGTAAAGAAATTGCACCCAGATGTCAGGTGTCATAGAGCCTTATAAATAGAGAATTCTTGGCAGTCACCAACCTGCCTCCTCATCTTGACTCAGTATTGAAGGAAATGATTCAAATTGCAAATATGGTCTAATTAATTCTACAAACATTTATTGTATGTGATAGGCACTACTTTGGGGGGACTGGGGATATAGCAGTTATGAAAGCAGACAAAATATCCTGCCTCCTTCTGGTGTTGTGTGGTGTATGGAAGGAAACTAACAATAAAAGAAATAAATAAGTCAGTTAGATGCTTGATATCTGACAGCATTGGTCCTACACAAATGACAACTTCATACACTTCAACTTAATAGTTTAGCAGATAATAAGTAGCGTGGATATAAATAAGCAGAGTAGAGAGTGAGGGAGTCTTGGGATAGGGTGGGGGTGAAGGAAAGAGCACTGGGAGGCAAGGGATATCTTCCCTGGAATGACGTGCTCAGTGTGCTGTGTAGAAAAACTGATAGAGGGAGCAGGACTGCTTTCTCCACTGAGGAATGCTAGCTGTTCAATGAACAGGTGCTCACAGAGGCTTTGAAAAGATAGGCAAGATAAAAACATCTCTTCACAAATTCGTAGTACCAGAAAAGGTGGTTTATATTGGCTGGCGCAAGCTGTGTGTCTCAAAGATATATACAGTCTCTTGAATAGCCTGAACATACCACTTCCTGATGAAAAAGGCACAATTCTGAGATTGGGCATATCATGATTTTTTAAGTAGATCAAGCAGGGGGATAAGCAACTTGACAGCTAAGAGTTTGGCTCTTTTTCAATGCTTATCAGAGAAAGAAATTAAGCTTATTTTAAAACCAAATCCAAATTCTGCAACAGAACATGCGTTATACTTCCAAAGCTGACTACTACCTAAAGAGTAGATTGGAAAAGCATTGGCGATATCTCACAAGTTGAAGCTTTCAAAGTTGATGTGAGTTAGCTTAGCATTTTTTAGAATGCTCAAAATAGACTTCAGTGGAAAACTTCATCATAATTCTGGATCCCTATGCAGTCTGAAAATCTGGAACTATATAAACGAGCCAACAAACACTCATTGCCATTTCTAAGAGCTTATAATTGTGATAAAAGAATTTCTAATTTAGTAGAAATACAAAGAGATGGAACTAACTGAATATGCAATATAACCTAAGACTGCAGCCTTCAAATTGAATATAGACATCTGGGTGAAGCACTGCAAACATCACTCCTTTTATAGATATAATACAGGGAGCAGTATAGCACCCGGTTAAGAGCTCAGCACCAGCTCTGTCATTTGACTAGCTTCATGGCCTTGAACAAGTTACTTATCTTTTCCAAGCCTCAATTTTCATCTGGGAATATTCATCATAATACCAACTTCATAGCTTTAATGTGATTATCACCTGGATTAATGAATAAGAAAAGCTTAGAATAGTACCTGGCATACAATAAGGACTCTGTAAGTAAAAAGACCTTCCAGGTTGTTGTGATGACTTAGCAGATTTGGAGGCATAAAAACCAGTGAGATGTACTATGCACTCTGTACATGCAAAACCCTATCACAGTTGAAGACCATACACATCATTCAGTTTGGTACACTAACTCACTTTAAAACCTAATGCAATCAGTCACACCTAAGGAAAACAAGGGGTTAAAGAAAATTTGTCGTATAAAAATAAAACAAAGTACTTGAAAATAGCTTGTACTGTTATTTACATGTCCCCTTTTACCCTTGGGTTCACTTTTTATTTGCTTAACAAGCAAGACCTTTTGTCATGTCCTTGAATGTTTACAAACTCCAAACGTGTGAAGTTTGGACTATTTAATTAGGTGTTCACCTAGATATTTAAAGCTTTATGAGACTTCAAATAAGTTTTCCTTACAAGGTAGAGTGGTCTGAATGTCTCCAAAAATTCATGTGTTAAAAATAAATTTCCAATGTGATGGCATTAATACATATGTAACAAACCTGCACGTTCTGCACATGTACCCTAAAACTTAAAAGTATAATTTTTAAAAAAAGAAATGGAGTCTTTATGAGATGATTAAGTCATGAGGATGGAGGCTTCATGAATGACAGTGACGTTAGAAAAGGGCTTGAGGGTGCAAATTTGCTCCTTCCCTCTCTTCCACCATGTGAGGATACAGTGTTCATCCCCTCTGGAAGATGTGGCAACAAGGTGCCATCTTGCAAGCAGTGACCAGGCCCTCATCAGACACAAAACTTGCTGACACCTTGATCTTGGACTTTACAGACTCCAGAAGTATGAGAAATAAATGTCTGTCATTTATAAATTACCAGACTGTGGTACTTTGTTATAACAGTACAAATGGGCTAAGACATAAAGTCATGCTAATCCATTAAAACCTGGATTTTAGTCAGACATATCTTTTAGTCACATTTTTCTAGGAGGTTTTGCTTTAATTAACAAAATCTTAGGCATGGGGTACAGTGAGGTGTAGGGGAAAGAATAGTAGAATAAAGCAATCTGAGCCTGAATTGTGGGTCTTGAACTTTAGGCCTCTGCAGATTTGGGGAAGTCACTGAAGCCCTTGGAGCTCTCCTTTCCACATTGAGAAAACAGGTAAAATGTGAAAATATTTTCTAAATTGAAAATACTATGCAGAGATTCAAGGACACGGTTAGGTTTTGTGAAGCTTATATATACATTAGGGGCCCTCTGTAAGAAAAGTACAGAATTATGAATACAAAATTAGATATAAAAATGTATATTGATGTAGAATGAGAAAATAAGTCAAGATAAACTATAAATGTTAAGATGCTGACAAACACCACAAATACGAAATCCAGAAATATAGTAAGATACACACACACACGCACACACACACACACACACACACGCACACACATACATTTTAATTATCCAAAGTCCATAGTTTATATTAGGGCTAATTCTTGGTGTTGTACATTCTATGGGTTTGGACAAATGTATAATGATATGTAGTCAGAATTAGAGTAGCATGCAGAGTAATTTCACCGCAGTAAAAATCCTCCAGGCTCTGCTTATTCATCCCTTCACCCTATTGCTTTAACCCCTGGCAACCACTCATCTTTTTATATATATATTACACTTTAAGTCCTGGGATACATGTGCAAAATGTGCAGGTTTGTTACACAGGTATACAGATGCCATGGTGGTTTGCTGCACCCATGAACCCATCACCTACATTAGGTATTTCTCCTAATGCTATCCCTCCCCTAGCCCCCCACCCCCGGCAGGCCCCACTGTGTGATGTTCCCCTCCCTGTGTCCATGTGTTTTCATTGTTCATCTCCCACTTATGAGTGAAAACATGTGGTGTTTGGTTTTCTGTTCTTGTGTTAGTTTGCTGAAAATGATGGTTTCCAGCTTCATCCATGTCCCTGCAAAGGACATGAACTCATCCTTTTTTATGGCTGCATAGTATTCCATGGTGTGTATGTGCCACATTTTCTTTATCCAGTCTATCATTGATGGGCATTCGAGTGGGTTCCAAGTCTTTGCTATCGTGAACAGTGCTGCAATAAACATATGTGTGCATGTATCTTTATAGTAAAATGATTTATAATCATTTGGGTATATGCCCAGTAACCACTCATCTTTTTACTGTCTCCCTTGTTTTGTCTTTTCCAGGCATCAAATAGTTGGAATCATACATACATATCCTTTTCAGATTGGCTCCTTTCACTTGGTAACATGCATTTAAGATTCCTCCTTGTCATTTCACAGCTTGATAGCTCATTTCTTCTTAATGCTAAATAATAATTCATTGTCTGGATGAACCAAAGTTTTTTATCTGACATTCAGCTATTGAAGGATATCTTGGTTGCTTTCTAGTTTTAGCAATTATGAATAAAGCTGTTATAAACATCTGATGCAGGTTTTTGTAGGAAGATAAGTTTTAAACTCCTTGGACAGATGCCAAAGAGCATAATTGCTAGATTATGTGTTCCTGTTCAGCTTTGTAAGAAACTGAAGAAACTGCCAAATTGTCTTCCAAAGTGGATGTGACATTTTGCACCAGTAATGAATGAGTCTCATTGTTGCTTTAATTTGCATTTCCCTGATAACATGTGATATGGAGCATCTTTTCATATGTTTGTTTGCCATATGTATATCTTCTTTGTGAGATGTCTGTAAAAGTCTCTGACCCATTTTTATATCCAGTAGTTCATATTCTTGTTGAGTTTTAAGAATTCTTTGTATATTTTGGATAATAGTCCTTTATCAAATGTGTCTTTTGCTAATATTTTCTCCCAGTCTCTGAAATGTCTTTTAATTCTCTTGACAATGTCTTTTGCAGAGCAGCATTTTTTAATTCTAATAAAGTTCATCTTATCGATTATTTCATGAACTGTGCCTTTGATGTTGTAGGTAAAAAGTCATTGCCATACCCAAGGTCATCTATATTTATCCTATATTATCCTCTAGGAGTTTTATAGTTTTCTGTTTTCCATTTAGGCCTATAATCCATTTTGAGTTAATTTTGTAAAGGATGTAATATCTGCGTCTAGATTCAATTTTTTTGCATGTTGATGTCCAGTTGTTCCAGTAGCATTTGTTGGAAAAACTATCTTTTTTCCATTGTATTCCCTTTGCTTCTTTGTCAAAGATCACTTGATTATATCTATGTGGGTCTATTTCAGGGCTGTCTATTCTGTTCCATTGATCTATTTGTCTATTATTTTGCCAGCACCACACTGTCTTGATTACTGTGTAATAGCTTTATAGTAAGCCCTGAAGTTGGTTAGTGTTAGACCTCTAGTTCTATTCCTCTCCTTCAATATTTTGTTGGCTATTCCGGGTCTTTTCTCTATATATAAACTTTAGAATCAGTTTGTTGATATCTACAAAATAATTTGCTGGTATTTTGATTGGAATTGTATTAAATCTATAAATCAAGTTGAGAACTGACATTTTGACACTATTGAGTCTTCCTGTCCATGAAAATGAAATACCTATCCATTTATTTAGTTATTCTTTGATTTCTTTTTATAACAGTTTTGTAGTTTTCCTTGTAAAAATTTTGTACATATTTTGTTAGATTAATACCTAGTATTTCATTTTTAGGGGATGTCAGTATAAATGGTTTTCTGTTTTTAATTACAAATTCCACTTGTTCATTGCTGACATATGGGAAAGCAATTTACTTTTGTATATTAATCTTGCATTCTGCAAATTCACTATAATTGCTTAGTACTTCCAGGATTTTTTTGTCATTCTTTCAGATTTTATGCAGACAATTATGTCATTTGCAAACAAAGATAGTTTTACTTCCTTCTCCATTTTTATATATGTCCTTTTCTTGTTTTATTGCACTAGCCAGGGCTTCCAGCATAATGCTGAAAAGAAGAGATGAGAGAGGATATCCTTGCTTTGTTCCTGATCTTAATAGGAAAGCTTGCTTCTTACTATTAAGTATTATGTCAGTGTAGGTTTTATGTAGATATTATTCATCAAGTTGAGGAGTTTCTCATTTATAACTAGTTTACTGAGAGTTCTTTTTATAAATGGGTGTTAAATTTTGTCAAATGTTTTTTCTGTATCTATTGATAAGATCATGTAATCATTTTAGCCTGTTGATGTGATTGATTACATTAACTAATTTTCAAATGACAAACCAGCCCTGTATATCTGGGATAAATCCCACTTGATCATGGTGTATAATTATTTTCATACATTGTTGGATACAATTTGCTAATATTTTGTTGAGGGTTTTAGTAATCATATTCACGAGAGACACTGGTCTGTAGTTTTCTTTTTTATAATATCTTTATTTGGTTTGGTATTAGGGTAATGCTGCCCTCACAGAATGAATTAGAAAATAGGGACTTCTACCTTCTGAAAGAGATTGTGGGGAATTGGTATAATTTCTTCCTTAAATGTTTGGTAGAATTCACCAGTGAACCCATCTGGGCCTGGTGCTTTCCGATTTGGAAAGTTATTAATTATTGATTCAATTTCTTTAATAGGTTAGGCATATTCCACTTGTGTTTTTGTGTGAGTTTTGGCAGATTGCTTTCAAGTAATTGGTCCATTTCATCAACTTTGTTTACCAAATTTGTTTCACGTTATCAAATGTGTGGGCATAGTACTCCTTTATTATCTTTTTAATGTCTGCTGAATCAGTAATAATGTCCTCTTTCATTTCTGCCATTAGTAATTTCTGTCCTCTCTTTTTCTTGGTTAGTCCGGCTAGAGGCTTATTGAATTTATTGATCTTTTCAAACAATCAGCTTTCATTGATTTTCTCTAGTATGATTTCCTGTTTTTAATTTCACTGGTTTCTGCTCTAATTTTTATTATTTCTTTTATTTGGCTTATTTTGGATTTAATTTGTTCTTATTCTAGTTTCCTAAGGTGTAAACTTAGATTACAGATTTTCATTCTTTTCTACTACGTGCATTTACTGCTATAAATTTCCCTCTAAACTTTGCTTTTGTTCTATCCCACAAATATTGATAAGCTGTATTTTCATTTTTATTTAATTCAAAATATCTTTAAACTTCTTTTGCAAGCTCTTTGATTCACCTGTTATTTAGAAATGTGTTGTTTAATCTCCAAGCATTTGGGAGATTTTTCAGATAGCTTTATTATTAATTTATAGTTTAATTCCATTGTGGTCTGAGAGCAGACAGTGTATGATTTCTATTTTTAAAATTTGTTAAGGTAGTTTATGGCCCAGATTGTGGTCTATCTTGATGAATGTTCCATGTAAACTTCAAATTAATGTGTATTCTTCTGTTGTTGGACAAAGTTGTCTACACATGTCAATTTTATCCAGTTGATAGATGGTGCTGTTGAGTTCAACTATGTCCTTACGGATTTTCTCCCTTCGCTTCTGAAGGATAACTTCATAAGGTACAGAATTCCATGTTGGTCGTCTTATTCTCTCAACACTTTAAATAGTTTACTTCACTCTGCTTGCATGATTTTTGAGGAGAAGTCAGATGTAATTCTTACTTTCATTCCTTCCACCCCCACTTCTGGTTTCTCTCAGGATTTTCTCTTTATCTTTGATTTTCTATAGTTTGAAAATGCTATGCCTAGGTGTAGTTTTTATATTTTTATTTTTTGGCATTTATCCTGCATGGTGTTCTCTGAGTTTCTTGAATTAGTGGTTGGTGTCTGACATTAATTTGGAGAAGTTTTATAATTATTATTTTAAATAATTCTTTTGTTCCTTTCTCTGTTTCCTCCCCTTATGATATTTCTATTATGCAAATATTACATTATTTGTACTTGTCCCACAGTCCTTGGATATTTTGTTCTGTTTTTCTCAGTCTTTGTTCCCTTTGCTCAGTTTTAGAGGTTTTTACTCATATAGCTTAAAGCTCTAGATTCTTTCTTCAGGTGTGTCCAATCTACTAATAAGACCATCAAAGGCATTATTTCTAGTACAGTGTTTTTTATCTCTAGCATATCTTTTTGGTTCTTTCTTATGATTTTCATCTCTCTGCTTACATTGCATGCATTTCTCTGTTTTTGAATGCTTTCTACTTATCCATTAGAAATCTTAGAATGTTAATCATTATTATTTTAAATTCCTGGTGTGATAATTCTAACATCCCTGCCATGTCTGGTTCTGATGCTTGCTCTGTCTCTTCAAAGTATGTGTTTTGCCTTTTAGCATTTAGTCTGCCTTGTGGGCTTTTTTTTTTTTTTTTTTTTTGATAACAGGACATGAAGTTCTTGGTAAAAGGAGCTGCTTCAAATAGGACTGAGACCTAATCATAAGGCCATAAAATGCTTCCTTTCTCCAATGTCGGGGGTACTATCTGGGGGGAAAGGAAGAATTCTGAGACCTATGAGACCTTCTAATCATAGGTCTCAGTCTCTTAGTGAGCCTATGCCTCTGGACTATGGACTTCACAAGGTCCCTCAGTCCCCCTTAACCACCCCCACCCAAGACACTTACATGGAAGAGAATGCCTAGAGTGGGCTTGTGTATTAGTACATTCTCACACTGCTATAAAGAACTACCAGAGACTGGGTAATTTATGAAAACAAAAACAGGTTTAATTGACTCACAATTCCACAGGCTGTATAGGTATCATGACTGAGAGGCCTCAGGAAACTTACAATCATGGCAGAAGACAAAGGGGAAGCAAGCACACTTCACATGACAGCAGGAGAGAGAGAGTGAAGGGGGAAATGCTACACACTTTTAAACAAGGAGATGTCATGAGAACCCTATCACAAGACAGCACTAGGGTTATGGTTTCTAAACCATTACAAACTGCTCACATACTCCAATCACCTCCCACGCAGCCCCTCCTTCAACATGTGAGGATTACAATTCAACATGAGATTTGGGTGGGGACACAGAGCCAAACCATATCAGCTGAAGTTGACTATTTCCCTTGTCTCCTATGGAAGACTGGAGCTGGTTAAATTGGGTATTTCTCTTCCCCCAGCCAGTTAGGCTCTGTTGAAATAGATTTTCCTGAGGGTTGGCTTTATTAAAAAGAGGAGAGTGCTCTGATGTATTTAAAACTGGTTTTTTTTCTCCCCCTGCCAGAAGCATGAGGAGATTTTTCTCTGTGATATTTACTATGAGAACCTGGCCAAATTTCTGGAGGCAAAACCCACAAAAGTGTGGGGGCCCCTATGACTGGATCCCCCTGGAGGTTTAACTGTCGTATTTGTCCACACTGAGATTCTAGCAGCTCATCAATTGCAGTTCCATTTTTTCTACTCTAGCACTGATTCCCATGATGTTTTCTGCTCTGAGTCTCTGCTCTAGTAATCTGTGACTCCCTGTATTCTCCTGTTTATCTCTCTAATCTTGTGCGCAATGGTTGTCTTGTGTCCTCACTTCACTTATGGATCCCTGAAGAGTTGATTTTTTAGTCTGTTCAGCTTTTTACTTCTCAGAATAGAGTGGTGACTTCAAACTCCTTCCATATGGAACCAGAAACCAGAAATAGCATAATATTTTTACTAATCGAATGCTTAACACACTATTATAATTGTTTTTTCCTACATTTTGGCTCACACCTTTTAAACAACTCTTCAGATAATAAGCGTTTTGAAGCTCCATTGCAAGATGCCTGAATAGGAATAGCTCCGGTCCGCAGTTCCCAGTGTGATCGACACAGAAGACAGGTGATTTCTGCATTTCCAGTTGAGGTACCTGGTTCATCTCATTGGGACTGGTTGGACAGTGGGTGCAGCCCACGGAGAGCAAGCCAAAGCAGGGTGGGGCATCGCCTCACCTGGGAAGTGCAAGGGGTTGGGGGATTTCCCTTTCCTACCGAAGGGAAGCCGTGACAGACTGTACCTGGAAAAACGGGACACTTCCACCCAAATATTGTGCTTTTCTAATGGTCTTAGCAAATGGCACATCAGGAGATTATATCCCGTGCCTGGCTTGGCGGGTCCTACACCCACAGAACCTTGCTCACTGCTAGTACAGCAGTCTGAGAACAAACTGTGAGGCAGCAGCCTGGTGTGGGGAGGGTCCTCTGCCATTGCTGAGGCTAGAGTAGGTAAACAAAGCTAACAGGGAAGCTCAAACTGGGCGGAGCCCACCTCAGTTCAGCAAGGCCTGCTGACTCTGTAGACTCCACCTCTTGGGGTAGGGCATCGCTGAACAAAAAGCAGCAGAAACTTCTGCAGACTTAAACGTCCCTGTCTGACAGCTCTGAAAAGAGCAGTGGTTCTCCAAGCACAGTGTTTGAGCTCTGAGAAAGGACAGACTGCCTCCTCAAGTGGGTTCCTGACCCCCGTGTAGCATAACTGGGAGACACCTCCCAGTAAGGGCCAGCTGACACCTCATACAGGCGGGTGCTCCTCTGGGACAAAACTTCCAGAGGAAAGATCAGGCAGCAATATTTACTATTCTGCAATATTTGCTGTTCTGCAGCCTCTGCTGGTGATACCCAGGCAAACAGAGTCTGGAGTGGACCTCCAGCAAACTCCAACAGACCTGCAGCTGAGGTTCCTGACTGTCAGAAGGAAAACTAACAAATAGAAAGGAATAGCATGAACATCAGCAAAAAGGACATCCACACCAAAACCCCATCTGTAGGTCACCAACATCAAAGACCAAAGGTATATAAAACCACAAAGATGGGGAGAGACGAGAGCAGAAAAGCTGAAAATTCTAAAAACCAGAGCACCTCTTCTCCTCTAAAGGATCACAGCTCCTCACCAGCAATGGAACAAAGCTGGACGGAGAATGACTTTGATGAGCTGACAGAAGTAGGCTTCAGAAGGTCAGTAATAACAAACTACTCCAAGCTAAAGGAGGATGTTCGAATCCATCACAAGGAAGCTAAAAACCTTGAAAAAAGATTAGACAAATGGCTAACTAGAAAAAACAATGCAGAGAAGACCTTAAATGACCAATGAAGCTGAAAACCATGGCATGAGAACTATGTGATGCATGAACAAGCTTCAGTAGCTGATTCAATCAAGTGGAAGAAAGGGTATGGTATCAGTGATTGTAGATCAAATTAATGAAATAAAGCAAGAAGAGAAGTTTAGAGAAAAAAGAGTGAAAAGAAACTAACAAAGCCACCAAGAAATATGGGAATATGCGAAAAGACCAAATCTACATTTGATTGGTGTATGTGAAAGTGACAGGGAGAATGAAACCTAGTCAGAAAACACACTCCAGGATATTATACAGGAGAACTTCCCCAACCTAGCAAGGCAGGCCAACATTCAAATTCAGGAAATAGAGAGAACACCACAAAGATACTCCTTGAGAAGACCAACCCCAAGACACATAATTGTCAGATTCACCAAAGTTGAAATGAAGGAAAAAATGTTAAGGGCAGCCAGAGAGAAAGGTCAGGTTATGCACAAAGGGAAGCCCATCAGACTAACAGCTGATCTCTCGGCAGAAACTCTACAAGCCAGAAGAGAGTGGGGGCCAGTATTCAACATTCTTAAAGAAAAGAATTTTCAACCCAGAATTTCATATCCAGCCAAACTAAGCTTCATAAGTGAAGGAGAAATAAAATCCTTTACAGACAAGCAAATGCTGAGAGATTCTGTCACTACCAGGCCTGCCTTACAAGAGCTCCTGAAGGAAACACCACACATGGAAAGAAACAACCCGTACCAGCCGCTGCAAAAACAAGCCAAACTGTAAAGACCATCGAGGCTAGGAAGAAACTGCATCAACTAACGAGCAAAATAACCAGCTAACATCATAATGACAGGATCAAATTCACACATAACAATACTAACCTTAAATGTAAATGGGCTAAATTTCCCCAATTAAAAGACACAGACTGGCAAACTGGATAAAGAGTCAAGACCCATCAGTGTGCTGTATTCAGGAAACCCATCTCACATGCAGAGACGCATAGACTCAAAATAAAGGGATGGAGGAAGATCTAACAAGCAAATGGAAAGGAAAAAAATCAGGGGTTGCAATCCTAGTCTCTGACAATAAAACACACTTTAAACCAACAAAGATCAAAAGAGACAAAGAAGGCCATTACATAATGGTATAGGGATCAATTCAACAAGAAGAGCTAACTATCCTAAATATATATGCACCCAATACAGGAGCAGCCAGATTGATCAAGCAAGTCCTTAGAGACCTACAAAGAGACTTAGACTCCCATACAATAATAATGGGAGACTTTAACACCCCACTGTCAACATTAGACAGATCAATGAGACAGAAGGTTAACAAGGATATCCAGGACTTGAACTCAGCTCTGCACCAAGCCAACCTCATAGACATCTACAGAACTCTCCACCCCAAATCAACAGAATATACATCTTCTCAGCACCACATCGCACTTATTCTAAAATTGACTACATAGTTGGAAGTAAAGCACTCTTCAGCAAATGTAAAAGAACAGGAATCACAACAAACTGTCTCTCAGACCACAGTGCAATCAAATTAGAACTCAGGATTAAGAAACTCACTCAGAACTGCACAACTACATGGAAACTGAACAACCTGCTCCTGAATGACTACTGGGTAAATAAAGAAATGAAGGCAGAAATAAAGATGTTCTTTGAAACCAATGAGAACAAAGAAACAACATACCAGAATCTCTGGGACACATTTAAAGCCGTGTGTAGAGGGAAATTTATAGCACTAAATGCCCATAAGAGAAAGCAGGAAAGATCTAAATTTGAGACTCTAATATCACAATTAAAAGAACTAGAGAAGCAAGAGCAAACACATTCAAAAGCTAGCAGAAGACAAGAAATAACTAAGATCAGAAAAGAACTGAAGGAGATAGAGACACAAAAAACCCTTCAAAAAGTCAATGAATCCAGGAGCTGGTTTTTTGAAAAGATCAACAAAATTGATAGACCACTGGCAAGACTAATAAAGAAGAAAAGAGAGAAGAATCAAATAGATTCGATAAAAAATGATAAAGGGGATATCACCACCAATCCCACAGAAATACAAATTACCATCAGAGAATACTATAAACACCTCTACACAAATAAAGTAGAAAATCTAGAAGAAACTGATAAATTCCTGGACACATACACGCTTCCAAGACTAAATCAGGAAGAAGTTGACTCTCTGAATAAACCAATAACAGGCTCTGAAATTGAGGCAATAATCAATAACCTACCAAACAAAAAAAGTCCAGGACCAGATGGATTCACAGCCAAATTCTACCAGAGGTACAAAGAGGAGCTGATACCATTCCTTCTGAAACTATTCCAATAGATAGAAAAAGAGGGAATCCTCCCTAACTCATTTTATGAGGACAGCACCATCCTGATACCAAAGCCTGGCAGAGATACACAAAAAAAGAGAATTTTAGACCAATATCCCTGATGAACATTGATGCAAAAATCCTCAATAAACTACTGGCAAACGGAATCCAGAAGCACATCAAAAAGTTTATCCACCACAATCAAGTAGGCTTCATCCCTGGGATGCAAGGCTGTTTCAACATATGCAAATCAATAAACTTAATCGATCACATAAACAGAACCAATGACAAAAAACACATGATTATCTCAATAGATGCAGAAAAGGCTTTTGAAAAAATTAAACAGCCTTCATGCTAAAAACTCTCAATAAGCTAGGCATTGATGGAAGGTATCTCAAAATAATAAGAGCTATTTATGACAAACCCACAGCCAATAACATACTGAATGGGCAAAAACTGGAAGCATGCCCTTTGAAAACTGGCACAAGACAGGGATGCCCTCTCTCACCACTCCTATTCAACATAGCATTGGAAGTTCTGGCCAGGGAAATCAGGCAAGAGAAAGAAATAAAGGGTATTCAGTTAGGAAACGAGGAAGTCAAATTGTCTCTGTTTGCAGATGACATGATTGTATATTTAGAAAACCCCATCATCTCAGCCCCAAATCTACTTAAGGGGATAAGCAACTTCAGCAAAGTCTCAGGATACAAAATCAATGTGCAAAAACCACAAGCATTCCTATACACCAATAACAGACAAACAGAGAGCCAAATCATGAGTGAACTCCCACCATTCACAATTGCTTCAAAGAGAATAAAATACCTCGGAATCCAACTTACAAGGCATGTGAAGGAACTCTTCAAGGAGAACTACAAACCACTGCTCAATGAAATAAAAGAGGACACAAACAAACGGAAGAACATTCCATGTTCATGGATAGGAAGAATCAATACCATGAAAATGGCCATACTGCCCAAGGTAATTTACAGATTCAATGCCATTCCCATCAAGCTACCAATGACTTTCTTCACAGAACTGGAAAAAACTACTTTAAAGTTCATATGGAGCCAAAAAAAAGCCCACATCACCAAGTCAATCCTAAGCCAAAAGAAAAAAGCTGGAGGCATCACTCTACAAGGCTATACTATACTATACTATACTACAAGGCTACAGTAACAAAAACAGCATGGTCCTGGTACCAAAACAGAGATATAGACCAATGGAACAGGACAGAGGCCTCAGAAATAACACCACACATCTACAACCATCTGATCTTTGACAAACCTGACAAAAACAAGAAATGGGGAAAGGATTCCCTATTTAATAAATGGTGCTAGGAAAACTGGCTAGCCATATGTAGAAAGCTGAAACTGGATCCCTTCTTTACACCTTGTCAAAAATTAATTCAAGATGGATTAAAGACTTAAATGTTAGACCTAAAACCATAAAAACCCTAGAAGAAAACCTAGGCAATACCATTCAGGATATAGGCATGGGCAAGGACTTCATGACTAAAATACCAAAAGCAACAGCAACAAAAGCCAAAATTGACAAATGGGATCTAACTAAACTAAAGAGCTTCTGCACAGCAAAAGAAACTACCATCAGAGTGAACAGGCAACCTACAGAATGGGAGAAAATTTTTGCAGTCTACTCATCTGACAAAGGGCTAATATCCAGAATCTACAATGAACTCAGACAAACTTACAAGAAGAAAACAAACAACCCCATCAACGAGTGGGCAAAGGATATGAACGGACACTTCTCAAAAGAAGACATTTATGCAGCCAAAAGACACATGAAGAAATGCTCATCATCAGTGGCCATCAGAGAAATGCAAATCAAAACCACAGTGAGATACCATCTCACACCAGTTAGAATGGCGATCATTAAAAAGTCAGGAAGCAACAGGTGCTGGAGAGGAAGTGGAGACACTTTTACACTGTTGGTGGGACTGTAAACTAGTTCAACCATTGTGGAAGACAGTGTGGCCATTCCTCAAGGATCTAGAACTGGAAATACCATTTGACCCAGCGATCCCATAACTGGGTATATGCCCAAAGGATTATAAATCATGCTACTATAAAGACACATACACACGTATGTTTATTGCGGCACTATTCACAATAGCAAAGACTTGGAACCAACCCAAATGTCCATCAATGATAGACTGGATTAAGAAAATGTGGCACGTATATACCATGGAATACTACGCAGCCATAAAAAAGGATGACTTCATGTCCTTTGCAGGGACATGGATGAAGCTGGAAACCATCATTCTTAGCAAACTACCACAAGGACAGAAAACCAAACACCACATGTTCTCACTCATAGGTGGCAATTGAACAATGAGAACATGTGGACACAGAGCAGGGAACATCACACACAGGGACCTGTCATGGGGTGGGGGGCAGTGGGAGGGATAGCATTAGGACAAATATCTAATGTAAATGATGAGTTAATGGATGCAGCAAATCAATAAGACACATGTGTGCCTATGTAACAAACATACATGTTGTGCACATGTACCCTAGAACTTAAAGTATAATAAAAAAAATTTTTTTAAATAAGTGTTTAAATATAATTTTTATAGAAAGTATAGAAAATAACGTAGACCTTTACCTTTCTCTAATACAATTGACTTGTACTTTTTAAGTTTCTTTCAGCTTCACAATTTGTTTTTGGCAATGCCCTATACATTTTTGAATTGTTGTCATGTTTGGGATAAACCTCAATCTAGTGTCTTTCCTATGTGCATGCTATAATTTCAGAGCATTTCATGTTTTTTCATCTAGACACTAACCTAAAACATTATTTAACTTAATGACACCAATTGATAAGTTTGTCTTAGAATTATTTTATCTTCAACAATTTTGGTGGTACTCAAATCATCGAGAAATTAAAAATCTTTTCTGAATGTGTATATATATATACACACACACATATATATATATACACACATATATAAACATATGATGAATTTTTTTATTGTATTATTTTATCCAAAAGTCTAATTCATTGCTTCCACTAAAAATTTATCCTGGAAATTATTCACACAGTGGGATCGCAAACCATAACTTAATTTTGTAAGAATGTGATTGTAAGTCACATAAATATATCACACAAAAGTCAAACTAGGAAAGAGCCCACATCGCCAAGTCAATCCTAAACCAAAAGAACAAAGCTGGAGGCATCATGCTACCTGACTTCAAACTATACTACAAGGCTACAGTAACCAAAACAGCATGGTCCTGGTACCAAAACAGAGATACAGATCAATGGAACAGAACAGAGCCCTCAGAAATAACGCCGCATATCTACACCTATCTGATCTTTGACAAACCTGAGAAAAACAAGCAATGGGGAAAGGATTCCCTATTTAATAAATGGTGCTGGGAAAACTGGCTAGCCATATGTAGAAAGCTGAAACTGGATCCCTTCCTTACACCTTATGCAAAAATTAATTCAAGATGGATTAAAGGCTTAAACGTTAGACCTAAAACCATAAAAACCCTAGAAGAAAACCTAGGCATTACCATTCAGGACATAGGCATGGGCAAGTACTTCATGTCTAAAACACCAAAAGCAACGGCAACAAAAGCCAAAATTGACAAATGGGATCTAATTAAACTAAAGAGCTTCTGCACAGCAAAAGAAACTACCATCAGAGTGAACAGGCAACCTACAAAATGGGAGAAAATTTTCACAACCTACTCATCTGACAAAGGGCTAATATCCAGAATCTACAATGAACTCAAACAAATTTACAAGAAAAAAACAAACAACCCCATCAAAAAGTGGGCAAAGGACATGAACAGACACTTCTCAAAAGAAGACATTTATACAGCCAAAAAAACACATGAAAAAATGCTCACCATCACTGGCCATCAGAGAAATGCAAATCAAAACCACAAAGAGATACCATCTCACACCAGTTAGAATGGTGATCATTAAAAAGTCAGGAAACAACAGGTGCTGGAGAGGATGTGGAGAGATAGGAACACTTTTACACTGTTGGTGGGACTGTAAACTAGTTCAACCATTGTGGAACTCAGTGTGGCGATTCCTCAGGGATCTAGAACTAGAAATACCATTTGACCCAGCCATCCCATTACTGGGTATATACCCAAAGGACTATAAATCATGCTGCTATAAAGACACATGCACACGTATGTTTATTGTGGCACTATTCACAATAGCAAAGACTTGGAACCAACCCAAATGTCCAACAATGATAGACTGGATTAAGAAAATGTGGCACATATACACCATGGAATACTATGCAGCCATAAAAAATGATGAGTTCATGTCCTTTGTAGGGACATGGATGAAATTGGAAATCATCATTCTCAGTAAACTATCACAAGAACAAAAAACCAAACACCGCATGTTCTCACTCATAGGTGGGAATTGAACAATGAGAACACATGGACACAGGAAGGGGAACATCACGCTCTGGGGACTGTTGTGGGGTGGGGGGAGGGGGGAGGTATATTAGGAGATATACCTAATGCTAAATGACGAGTTAATGGGTGCAGCACACCAACATGGCACATGTATACATATGTAACTAACCTGCGCATTATGCACATGTACGCTAAAACTTAAAGTATAATAATAATAAAATAAAAAAGTATATAAAAAAAGTCAAACTAAATTTATTCCCAAATCAAATTCTCTTTAGTTGGATTTCAGAAATAGCCCTGGCCAACTCCAATGCTACTAATATGAGACATGTGACAGAGAAAAAGTTGGAGTAGAAGGAGACAGCAGTCTTAACCAATTGCAGTTAAATTCCTTGTTTTTCAAAAATTACCAAAATTTTGACCATTTCAACATATGCTTGGCCTCCTCCCAAGATCTCAGAAGCCTCCCCACAGATAAAGCTTAATAAGCTTCATTAGCTTCATTACAAATTTATCTCTGCAAATTTAACTGACCTACTGATATGGTTAGGCTTTGTGCCCTCACCCAAATCTCATCTTGAATTGTAATCCCCAGGAATTGTAATCTAGGAAGAGGCCTGGAGGGAGGTGACTGGATCATGGCGGCGGTTTCTCCCCTGCTGTTCTCATGATAGTAAGTGAGTCCTGATGTTTTTGTAAGCCTCTGGTATTTCCCCTGCTTGCACTTCTCTCTCCTGTTGCCTTGTGGAAAAGGACAGGTTTGTGTTCCCTTTCCCCACGATTGTAAGTTTCCTGAGGCCTCCCCAGCCATGTGGAACTGTGAGTCAATTAAACCTCTTTCCTTTATAAGTTACCCAGTCTCAGATATGCCTTTATAGCTGCATGAGACTAACATATCTACCCACTAGAAAAATAACTCTCTCACCTTACTATTCCTAGCAGCCTTGACAACAACTGATACATAGTAAAGTCTGGATAAATCTTTGAAAATTAAATAAAATAGGTTGTACTGTGATTAATATAATCAGTAAAATTCAATTAGCCATGTGGTAAAAATTATATTAAAAAAGCTTTTGAATGTACTAGACAAAGCAATATGGTGTAACAATAGAGCATAAGCTTTGGAGCTAGGATTCTTGACTCCATTATACACAAGTTAATTGTCTCAGCCTTTTCTATGCCTCAGTTTCCTCTTCTGAAAATGAAGATCATATGCTAGTAACACTAGTAGCCCACCATGTAGGATTGTGAGGATTAAATGTATTAATACATGTAAAATGCTTAAAGAGTTTTTAACACATAATAAACATCAGTTAAATGTAGCTATCTTTTTGTTTAAAATAAAAACTTTCCTTCCCTCTTTCCAAAAATGTTAGCACATTTCCAAAAGGTAGCACAAACAAAATATAATTCCAAAGGTTAAAATACAGTTAATACCTGGGATAATCCAAATGATCTGTAAATTAAGGATAAGAAAAATAATCAAAGCCAGGAGTTAAGTCATTCTGTGAAATGAAAAATGTCATGTGAAGAAAGTTTCCTTATTCTACGTAGAAGTAGGAAGCAATCTGGCTCTATGAACCCTGTAAGCAGGAAAGTTCAGCTGAAGAACACCTTTGGGATATTTCACCAACAGCATTTCTTTAATCTGTCCTGCTATTTGGCAAAAGTTACTGAAGACATATTAGTATTTAAGTCTCAAACACCTCTCCATCTGTGGAGACAAAAGCGACTCCATCTTGGATGCTAATCTGCCATGTTAACTTCTGATTAACCTCAGTTCCATAAATGCCTCCTGATTCCTACTTTATTGACTGTCCTTATTGTAAGAACATGTATTCACTATAACTCCTGCCTTTGGATCAAAGTAACTTTGATGATATCACACAAATTATAGGCTATGGTACCTACAACATTCTTCCCTGTTCTGGAGGGTTGCCTTTATAGAGCACATGTATCCTTTCTCTATGGTATATAAGTCATGGGTCTGGGTAGTAACAGTGCTGAGATCTACCTGTCTTGCTGCCACCCAAGACCATGCTTCCATTTTTAAGTTCCCCCCATAAACCACCCTTTCCAAGAAACTGAATTTGTCTGCTGCATCCTTTGGTTTCTTGGCTCCTTTGGTATTTGGGGGCCACTTTGCATATACAGTCCTGCACAGAACATCATCTTTCTCATCACCTTTTGATCTTACATAATAGAGAAGCATTTGAATTTGTCAAGCGTTCCTAGGAGTACTCTGCTCTCCAGTGATTGGCTGAGATTTATGAAGCAGGTGCTGATAGGGTGACTGGGGAGGGTGGGTAGGAATGAAAGGTATACTTCATTTCTAATGCTGCTTGTGATTATTTGGGGCCAACTGAGGGAATGCAGAAAAAAACTGGCATCCAAATCTAACATTTCTTAACATTTTCTTTTGCAAAATAAGTATGCTAAACTTTTAAAGGCATTGTATGTGATCCACTGGTAAGGATAAAGCATTTTCAAATTTTATGCAACACTGCAGATTTTCATTGCCCTAACCCAAGGGATCTTCAAAAGCTATAACACATTTGCTCCCAGAACTGTAATTCTCTGATCCAAAAAAGAAATTGAGGCAATTCCTAAGTTACCTTTTCATTATTCTTTTTTCAGTTTCTTTTAAAAACAAGCCTTTAATGTGTCTCTAAATGTTAGTGCCTCCTTCAAGATAAAAATCCCTGAGTACCACTTCAAACTTGATGCTTGCCATTAGAGCTCATAAAGAACATCTACCTTCCACTTAAATTACTATTTCAGTTAAACCTGTTAATGTAAATTATGGTACTCTTTGGAGCCATATAGATTTGCCAAGCACTATTTGGCTACAGAAAGAATATGAGCCATGAGTTAAAAGAATTTCATGATATATCGTTTTGAATTATTGATGTTACATGCCTATAATAGAAATCAATGTGCCAACTCTAGAATTTTTTGTTATATTCATGGGAATACTGAGAAAACGACTTTTAAAAAATTCTTGAAGGCTTTTATATGCCAAGACCAAGGAAAATTTGGTATAGGAACAAAACATGTTTCAGGTTTCTTTGGAATAACAGACATAATCACGTTGATTTTTACCAGCAGACCAAAAATGAGACACATCCTTAATATAACTTTGCATTTTTCTGAATTTTTAAATTGTGATAAAATATACATATGTAACACAAAATTCACCATTTTAACCATTTTTAAGTGTACCATTCAGTGGCATTTGTTACACTCACAGTGTTGTGCAACTGACACGACTATTTCCAAAACGTTTTCATCATTCCAAGCAGAAACTCTATAACCATAAGGCAATAACTTCTCACTCCTTCTGTTCCCCACCAGTTCCAGATGACCTCCTCTACTTTCAGTCTCCATGAATTTTCCCATTCTAGAAATTCTGTATAGATACAATCATACAATATCTGTCCCTTGCGTCTGGCTCATTTCACTTTAGCATAATGTTTTCAAGGTTCATCCATATCATAGCGGGTAAAGGAATTTCATTTATTTTAATAGTTGAATACTAATCCATTCTATGTATATACCACATTTGTTTATCCATGTATCTGTTGATGGACATTTGGAGTGTTTCCACCTTTTAGCTACTATAAATAAAGCTACCATGAACAAATATCTGTTTCACTCCCTATTTTCAATTATTTGCCATATATATGTAAGAATAGAATTTTGGGGGGTATATACCTAGCAGTGGAATTCCTGCCAGCAATATACAAGTGTTCTAATTTTTCCACATCCTTGTGACACTTGTTATTTTCTGTATTTTAAAAAAATTATCATAGCTATTCTAGTAGGTGCGAAGTGGTACCTCATAGTTATTTTGATTTGTGTTTCCCTAATAACTAGTAATTTCGAGCTTTGTTTGTGTGTGCTTATTGCCATTTATCTTCCTTTGAGAAATGTCTATTCACGTCCCTTGCCCATTTTAAAACTGAATTGTCTTTTTGTTGGTGAGTTTTAGGAGTTCTTTGTATATTCTGGCATATTAAACTATTATCATTATCATATACATAATTTGCAGATATTTTCTCCCATTTGTAGGTTGTCTTTTCATTTTCTTGATAGTGAAAACTTACCTTTTTAAGAAGAGCATTTAAATTTTTCTCTTTGGGAGACAAAGGTATGCAAGAGTAATTAAAATACTAATCATGACAGTAATTGAAAATGCTATGATGGAAATGGATTTTCCTCTCAACTGATTCCTTATTCTAATGTGGACTACATTAACTAATTTTATTTCTTGTAGATATAAATGAAAGCTCATTTTAGAGATATCTCCATAATAAATAGTTTTCAGACTAAAAAGGATGAAATTGAAGAAAAACTGAACATTTGTTTCATTTATAGAACAATTTTCTCACCTACACCTAAGAAATCATTTACATTATTGGATTCAGGTAATGCTGATTAGAATAGAATCTACTTTATTGGAGGAAGAAATTATGTAAGTTTAGTGGAAAGAGAACACAATAAGTCTGCAAATTTAAGGGGATATGTATGGGTTTGTAATATATTACAGAAAAAGAGGAAAGATAAAGTAATTGAAGAGTATCCTCATTCTTGGGAACACAACACTTAGATAAGCCAAGAAGACAGCTGAAATTTAACTAAATGCACAGAGCATATAACTGAAACCAAACTGTGCAAACTCAACTCCTAGTTTCCTTGCTATGAAACTTTCTCCTCATATTTATGATATTATAAGAAAAGCCCCAAGCACATGCAGTGCCTGGAATTAGGGATGGAGCTAGATTAACCTTAGGGGGACTGGGGAGGAGTTCAGGGAGAGGCAAATATTAGAACCAAAGAACAAACTCTTGTTGGAAGGAAAAAAGACGTTATATGGAGGCTGCATGATCAAGAGCTTCATTTTTATTTTTCTAAAGAAAACTTCATAAAATCCCTTGGGAAGCATAGAGAAAAGAATTAACTATGAAGTAATGTAAATTACATTAAAAAACTCAGAACAGACAGCTGATGAGTTATGAAAGTCTTCATAACATTGAGAATCAAAGTCTCTTCTCAGTGAAGTTTGGAAAGGTATATGTGCAACTAGACTTGACAGAATCACTGACATCTAGGGTTTTCAATCATCTCACAATGCAAGTATACCAGAAGAGTGCACAGAGTGATAGTATCCTAATAGCATTGTCACTTGAAAAAAGAATGTAGCAGAACCTGACAATTTGCCATGGTATTTAAAGTTGGAGAAGTGTTTTTCTAAAATGCTATTTTCTATATTAAATAAAGGAATGTTCCTTCTTAAATAATTCTTGTGTGTGAGTGTGTGTGTATAAATAATCGGTCAAATAATGTTCCAGCTAAAGGTTGGATAAGAAATCATAACTTAATCCAGTCTATCATTGTTGGACATTTGGGTTGGTTCCAAGTCTTTGCTATTGTGAATAGTGCCGCAATAAATACACGTGTGCATGTGTCTTTATAGCAGCATGATTTATAGTCCTTTGGGTATATACCCAGTAATGGGATGGCTGGGTCAAATGGTATTTCCAGTTCCAGATCCCTGAGGAATCGTCACACTAATTGCCACAATGGTTGAACTAGTTTACAGTCCCACCAACAGTGTAAAAGTGTTCCTATTTCTCCACATCCTCTCCAGCACCTGTTGTTTCCTGACTTTTTAATGATTGCCATTCTAACTGGTGTGAGATGGTATCTCTTTGTGGTTTTGATTTGCATTTCTCTGATGGCCAGTGATGGTGAGCATTTTTTCATGTGTTTTTTGGCTGCATAAATGTCTTCTTTTGAGAAGTGTCTGTTCATGTCCTTTGCCCACTTTTTGATGGGGTTGTTTTTTTCTTGTAAATTTGTTTGAGTTCATTGTAGATTCTGGAAAATGTGGCACATATACACCATGGAATACTATGCAGCCATAAAAAAGGATGAGTTCATGTCCTTTGTAGGGACATGGATGAAATTGGAAATCATCATTCTCAGTAAACTATCGCAAGGACAAAAAACCAAACACCGCATGTTCTCACTCATAGGTGAGAATTGAACAATGAGAACACATGGACACAGGAAGGGGAACATCACACTCTGGGGACTGTTGTGGGGTGGGGGGAAGGGGGAGGGATAGCATTAGGAGATATACCTAATGCTAAATGACAAGTTAATGGGTGCAGCACACCAGCATGGCACATGTATACATATGTAACTAACCTGCACATTGTGCACATGTACCCTAAAACTTAAAGTATAATAATAATAAAAACAACAACAACAAAAAATAATAAAATTCCATTGTAAAGCTCACACACACACAAAAAAAGAAATCATAACTATCTAACACCTTATTCTTCAGGGGACCTCAGGGCAAAAGAGCATGACAACTCAAGAACTCAAGGTGAAAATACTTAGGGTAAAAATGCTTTGCATAGTTAAAATATATACCTAATCCAAACAGGTGGGAAAAGGATCTTATCCTTACCACCAAGGTCTGAGCCCAGCTAAGCCAGTCAAAATGTCTTGTTACAAAGTATGCATGTATATAGCAAGTGTGTATGTCATTTTTCATAAGAAATCCTAATATATTCCAGAATGCACGAATTTTTAAGCCTTGTTATCTGAGAGAAACAAGAGTATTTTCACACAGTTGTGTGGTCACCAATAAAACCTAGGATAATCCTAGCAATTAAATTGAAATGCTGTCCTTGTATGTGTATGTGTGTGCATATGTGTATGTGACTTAATATCCCCCATTCTCCTTCACCTCCATGATGCTGCAGTATGTATGTAGCCCCCCACTGCTCATTTTGTACTTCCTGGATTGTGTTCCAATAATGTTTTTGCTCTGAGATAACAGGGAAAGACCACATCCCTGTGAGCAGGCAGTGAGTCCCTCCCTAACCCAGATTCTTATTTTGTGAAAGGGAGAGAGATAGTCCTGAGGCAAGAAGTTGATTTTGGGAAGACATATCTCTGGGTCTCACACCCTACTTGTCTGGACTTGAAGAAGTCAATTCAAAATTAAGAACACTCCTAGATGTTGGAGAACAGTATCTCATGACACTTTGAGACAAGACTAGGTGGGAACACTCTGGTGTAGGCCAAAGGCTGAAGAGAAATCAGAAGCCAGATTCATGAGCCAGGTTATCAAATTACACATCGCCAGCTCTGTCTCTTTCCTTTGTGTTTTCCCACAGTGTTTGGTAAACCTATTTTTAAATTGTCTTGGTGTATGGAATAATGCAAACTCCATGTGAGAAGGAATATTTGTGTGTTTTGTTAACTGCTGTATCCCCTGTGTCTAGAACAGGACTAGGCAGTAAATAAATATTTGATGAAGAATGAATGAGTTCCTTATGTCACTGGAAAATTAGGGGAAGTTCCTATATAGTCACAGTTAAGCATGTAATACTTGATCCATATTTTAGGGAAACAATGTTCCTGAGACCAGAGGGTGGGGACAGCACTACTGGTGAGAAACCTCAAGGAGAAATTCAATCTGGGAGGAAGGAATTGTGGCTGTTACATAAGCTATTCCCATCCTGTGGGGATTCTTCTTCCATCGTCAGTCTAGGGGAATCTGCCTTTGATGTGACAAGGCAGCTTTGTGTTGGGAAGCAAGGCGAGGGCAGTAATGGCCAGGTCCTTAGAGATGCATTATGTAAGCATTTTCCATGGAACAAGTTACAAAAGAACAAGGGAAGAGAGCAGGGAAGCATTTAATTTTAGTCCCTGGGAGACTGAGGAGGCCTCAGATCTGTTTCCAGTCCTAATCTAGATTCTAGGGGGAAGAAAAGAGGCACTGTGTTAGCCCCTTCTCATGTGCCTTCTCATTGAATCCCATAGCAACACTTCACTTTTTTGAAGAAAAGTCTCATGCTGAAAGAGATCAAACAGCTGGTTTCAGGTGGTAGAGGTAGGGAAAGATTAAGCCTGGATTCAAACTTGGGGCTATTGAATTTCAGGGTCCACTTTTGCTACTCCAGATTCAATTATCTTTAGTCTGTCTACTCCAAATTCTACACTCAACATTTTGACCTTTTACTGTACTGATAATAGCAAAATAATTGTTTCAGCATATAAATATGCTGTTTCTGAATTATTATTTTGTGCTTGTATGAGGGATATGGGTGTGAACCTCTGCACTGAGAAAAATGCCTACTCATGATGAAAGATTAGGCAACAAAACCAAAAATAGACTGTTCAGAGAAGTGAATAGGTTGCTTTCAGTGTCAAGTTTAATTAGGAGTGATACCTTCACTAACAAACTGCTTCTAAAAGGTTTTTCCATAAGTTTACTCTTAGAAAAAAATCCAGAGAGGTTTTCCATGTGTCTATAAATGCCTTTGCTAGCCTGCGGTAATATTTTCTGTGTCTATCAAAGAATAATTCTAGGTAGAGCATATATGTCCTAGGGCTATGTGCTTCTTTATATGACTGTTTCCGGGATGCTGTTGACTATACAAGACAAGTCTACCACATGACTCATTAAACAGGAAGGACATATTATAATCTTCCTGTGGGTCTCTTTTTCACAGTTCATTTGTTTTCATCCAATCTGTTTTTTCCCCTATACCTGTCTCCTATCCTCTATTTTCACTTGCTTTAAACAGAGAAAGTATTTGGGAGACTGGATTTTAAGGATATTGAAGGAAAAGGCAATAGAGTATGTAATAACAATGCTATATAATCAGTAATTGCTGGCTCTAGAATAAAAATCAAGTTCCAAGGAAGCTGAGTTGAAAAAGTATATTATAACTGATACAAAGAATTAATTTGACTATGGATTTCACTCTGTCTCTAATCATGAAATACCCATAGGAATAAATTTGGGGTGAGGGTTGGTGGACATATTTATTGATGGTATGCTAGGAAGTACTTTACCTACGCTAACTTACAACAGCTCTGTGAAGTAGTTACTTTTATTCCCATTTTATAGTTGAGGAAACTGAGGATTTCTTAACTAAGAGATTAAAAATAATCTTCCCAATATCACACTACTAGAATTTGGCAGAGGTAGGGTACAAACCCTGGTGAGTCAGGCTCTAAACTTATGCTTTTTATTTTCATATGGAAGGACTTTTTAAAATAAATTGCATCTTTGGATTAATCATCAACAACTATGTGACAAGGCACCTTCTAAAATTAGCACATTATTTTTTTCTATTTACGGCAGAAATATTTAACTAGAACTTACTTGCTAATATCTTATTCTCTCTCTTCCTTTTGTCCTTTTATGTAGTTGTACTAAGTTCTCTTTCCATTATGAAATGTATTATACAGACAGAAGTGCATATAAAATGAATGTGTAAAATTACAGAATCATAACACAATGAATAACCATATACCCAGGTTAAGAAAAAAGAACATTACCAGCACCTTAGGTGTAATGTGTAAGCACTTTTCTGATCACAGTCTTCTCTTTTCCCTAAAGAGGCCACACTTTCTTGGATATTACTCATTTCTTTGTGAATATTTATAGTTTTGGCACCCATGTATGTATCCCTAAACATATTTGATTGCACTTTGAGCAGACGAATCACAAAATAAATCTGGCATTATAGGAAAAGTCAATAGGTTCACAATTAGAGCAAGGCTCCCAAGAGAAGATAAACTAAACAGAGTTTCTGGGGCATATCCTGAATTCATCTTTCCCCCAATTTTGCAGGAACTTCTGGAGAAATTAATAGGAAAGGTGGTACATTAAAGTGGAAAAAATAGAGCTTCTTACAGGTGGACATCTGGAAGAGCTGGAGCAAAACAAGAGACAGGACAAATAGAAAAAGTGAGTTTTGTATTTTCTACTTCAAGCCCACCATTGCATACCAACAGTTCTCAGGAACATATCTAAGAAAAACACTTTAGTTGAGCAACTCAGGTGATCAAACTTGAACCAGGTAGCAGCTTACAAGGAAAGTAAAAATTTCATTGGCACATGATCTGGACAAGACAAGTACAGAATGCTCACTTGGACATTTTGTCCTAGGTTTAAATGTAGGTATAGTGGTATCAGACCACATACTTCAGTTTCTCCCCACCACAAGGAAGACAGTTTGGAGTTTTAGTTTTGCCAACTTAGGAAGGTTTGGTAACCATCTTAAGTTTTCCATTGATACCCCAGAATGATCACATCTTAGGGATATAAATTAATATCCAGAATGAAAAGATTTGCACTGAGGTTAGGGGAAAAACCTAAATAGACCCTCCTGAATAAAGCATAAAGGCAAATCCCTACGTATTCAGTTAATCATTGCAAGAACAAAACCCAAAAACTTCTAGAGGAAGATATCAAAATTCAGTGTCTTACAACTTATCATCTACAATGTATAATATACAATAAAAATATCTAAACACGTGATGACACAGAAATATGTGACACACAGACCAAAGTCAGTCAGTAAAAAGAGAACTGCATAATTCATGAAGAGATTTAGAAATTGCTTAACGGAATAACATAAAACACCTAGAACTAAAAATATAATATATTAAGTAAAAATGTATTGCATCAGTGAATTTGAACATTGGCCAATAGAAATTATGCAAACTGAAGTGCGGAAAGAACTAAAAGAGACTCAGTGGCACGTGAGATGTTCTCAAGTCATCCAAAAATATATGAAATTAGAGTCCCAGTAAAAAAAGGAGAGTGAGAATGGGGCAGAGAAATATTCGGGAAAAATATTGACTAAAAATATTCCAGTATTTGACCAAAAAACAGTAAACTACCAATCCAAGAAGTTTAACAAATCTCAAGCAAGATACTTATTCATTTAAAGAAAACTTCTATATCTTTTGCAAAATATTTTATAAAAGATGTGAACTCTTTTCATATCCAATATCTTTACCATATGGGGGCAGGAGAGAAACAGTTCTAAATATTTATTCTAAATAAAAGATGATTTTATATTTTTATTTGTCAGATTAAGAGGATTTCCCAATCAAACAGTTCCATATTTTGAGCTCTGTCAGGAAACTTGGAGCTGGATATAGCAGAGGTACTTGTAGCAATTAAGTTATTGCTATCCTATCCTTCTCCAAAGAGCTTTTCTTCTGTTTTTTAGTGCTCCCCTCCCATATCTCATGTACACTTTATGCTAAAAAGAACCTATAGCAGATGGGTTTTGGAGTTAACCAGACCTGAATAGGAATTTGCTCCTTAACCTTCCTCATTGTATGATTTGACCCCTCTGCACCTGAATTTCTTAATCTGTGAAATGAGGGTTATAAGAATACTCACATTATCTGTGTTACAGCATTGTTAGAGAATTTAATTATAAAATGCATGCAGAACCCATACATCCTGGCATGGAATGAGATCTCAGTTAATGTAGACTATTATTATTTAGTCACCTCAAATAATGCTTGGGACTAGCTGTCATATAAAATGCAAATTAAAAACAGTAAAGTCATCAAGTACCAAGGAAATACTTATCTAAAGATAAAGTAATATGGGGAATTTTGAAACTAATGAGAGATTACCAATCTTTGTCTCTGGAATAAATACTGGACCCCCTTGTATGATGGTTTCAAATTTCCGGGCAATGGGAACAGTGCATTTAGTAGACACAACATTTGCTCATGGTATAATTAATAGAATGCGAATATAAACAGGTCCTCAGACCTCTTTGGTTAAGTTCATTCATTTTACTGCTAGTGAAATACAACAATTATGTGTATTCATAATGCACTGGATCTTTAAATTTCATAATTTTTGTTATTTTCCAGAATTCTGCAGTACTTCCTGTGGACCCTAATCCTTAGTCTCCAACTCACTTATTTTGAAAATGGCTAAATCAGAAGGAGGTAGAGCATCTGTAAAGTGGGAATAATAGCATCTTCCCAGCTTACCTCCCAAGTTGTTATGAGGATTAAATTGTGAAATATTTGGGGGAAAATATGTGCAAGTAGGAAACTGAATTCTCATTATTTGTCTCTGTAGCATTTCTTTTAATCAGCAAACAAAATTCTGGTATTTATACTCCTAGCTAATGAGGAAGTTCCTATTTTACAAAATAAAAAAAAATTATTTGGTTTTATTTGTAAAGAGAAATACAAGAAAAAGATTATCAGGCAGTATTTTTCCCTCTTGCCTTTTAAAAATAATATGACTTTGAAACAACTACTATTTAAAGTTTGGGTGTGAGGAACAGTACAATGTACACAGCCATTTGACCTTTCATTAGGATAGAAGTATCTTTTCTGGTGCCCAGAAAAAATGGTAAATAATAATAGCTCCATTATAATAAAAAGAAACCAAGCAGATAATGATCCCATTGTGCCAAGAGCTTTTATTCCTCTTTCCACATGTAAATGGATGGCTTCTTGATCCATACTTTTTTCTTCTACCTTTCCAATATCCTCTTATACCCCCATTGAACAACACTGTGTGACATAAGAGAGATGTCAGACTTACTTACTTACTTTCAGACATAGGCATTATTTGGCTAAGTGTTTGCCAACACCAAGATAAACCATCTTTTTCTGAGTTTGAGTTCTACAATTT
Organism: Homo sapiens; assembly: GCF_000001405.40. Classification (NCBI taxonomy): domain Eukaryota; kingdom Metazoa; phylum Chordata; class Mammalia; order Primates; family Hominidae; genus Homo; species Homo sapiens. The sequence goes on from NC_000003.12 coordinate 180,387,871, forward strand.
ATTAGATTTTAGAGGTGTCTTTTATGATTCATATCATTTCAGAGCAAAAAGCATTTTTTTTTAAAAAGAAGAAATTATATTGAGAGCTTCGATGTGCCTATGGACTCCTAGTTTGAAATATCTATCTCAGATCACACTTTTGAATGCCAACCCCATAGTACTATTTCAAATTCAACATATACAATGTTAAACTCATCCCTACCACCCATTCAAATATGCTCTTTTCCCTCTACTTCTTAATTTGGAATATTCTATTATTGTTTTAGTATTTCTCTTTTTTAAAAAATAATTGATTTTTTTCTTTAAAAATTTTTTATGGATATACAATTATACATCAGTACATGTAATATTTTGATACATGCATACAATGTGTAATGATCAAATCCTAAATAACCATTGATGGGTAAACATCTATCACCAAGAACATTTATCATTTTTAGTGTTGGGAACATTTCAAATCTTTTCTAGCTATTTTGAAATGTGCAACATATTGTTGTTAATAGTATTCTCTTAATGGAACCATCACAATTGCCTCTAATGGATCTTTCTTTCTCCTTATCCCAATGCATTATGCACACTGTTCCATGGCTGATCTTCCTAAAACATTAATCTAAGCATGTATAACTCCCCTGTTTTGGAAACCCTCAATGACTCTTTAATGCCCACAACAAGAAATCCAGTTTTCTTAGTGTGATATGCAGGACCCAGGTTCTGGTCTTCTTCCTATCAACTTTCCCAACCTCAAATCCCTGCCCATGCTCTAGGCTTCATTTAGTAAATTACTTAAATTCCCAAAACAGTATATTGTTCCATGTTTCTTGTCTTTGCACATGGTTTTCCCATTGCCTAGAATGCCTTTCCCATCTCTCACATCACCCACTTCAACATTCACCTGCCAAACTCTTACTCATCCTTCCAGATCCAACTCAAGTTTTTTCTTTCATTGTGAAGCTGTCTCTAATGTACCAGAAAAGAAAACTCCCTCCTCTGAGCCACCTTAATAGTCAAACATCCTTCTATTATTGCTCTTAATACATTGAATTCTAATACGTTTTCACATGATTGTTTCCTCCCTTTAGTCTCAGGGAAAGAAATGTATTATTTCTATCACTTTCTCAATATGTAGCCAGCATACTGAATAGAGGAAGTCTGCAAGTCAGCAAGTATTTGTTGAATAAGCAAGCAAATGAAAATTTTAAAAACTGCCTTACAATTAGTAGGCCGGGCCCGGTGACGCACGCCTGTAATCCCAGCTACTCGGGAGGCTGAGGCAGGAGAATTGCTTGAATCCGGGAGACGGAGGTTGCAGTGAGCCAAGATTGCACCATTGCACTCCAGCCTGGGTGACAGAGCAAGACACTGTCTCAAAAAAAAAAAAAAAAAAAAAAAAAAAGTCTTACATTAGTAAAACATTTTTATATACATGTTTCCTATAATTCTTACTAGAACCCTGGCATGTCAGTAGCCATAATCATTGTTATGGAACAGTTGAAGAAAAGACTGACACTACTAATACATCCATGTAAAAGGAGTTATCTTAAAACCAAAGGTCTAAAGGTCCAGTGAATGGGTACCCAAATTGTGGCTGACATGGCTCATTGAGTAATTTATTATGCTAAAGTAGCTGTTGTTTACCTCAGGTTTGACTTTACAAGGAAATCTGTGTATGTGCTGCAGGAAGATATATATTTTTTCTCAATTACTAAGAGATTACTAGCAGCCTGAGGTAACGTTTCCTCCAATTCCCAGAATTTAGATCCCGCTTTATTGACATTTCTTGTTCACTATTCAGTTTCCCCTACTGTCTGTGACCGTTTGAGGATAAGTATTAATATTATGCCATTTTCATGTTTGTTTCCCCAACACTAAGTGCCTGGTATTTAGTAGGCTCTAATAAAATGTTTCTAGAAAAAAAGAAAAGAGGAGAATGAGGGAGGCAGGAAGGTAAAAAAGGGAAAGGAAGGGAAGGAAAAGAAGAGAAAGAAAGCAGTCACATCTGCTTGCAAAAGTAAGCAATGTAAAAATTATTCCCATTTTTTCAGACAAGGAAACAAAAGAAGAAAAGAAGCGCCCAAGACCACCCATGTACTGGTTCAGTGGTAAAGCTGAGACCACACTCAATTATCCAGTCTTGGAGTCTGCGGAACACAGATTCCAGCATCTGGGAAAGAGCAGGCACTCACACATTGGTGTTTCCCTTCTTTCTTCCCAATGAGCCTCTCTGCCCTCTCATAAGGAATTGTGTAGAGAGGTATTTTTCTAATTATTCACTTAGTAAAATGGAGCTTCTTAAGTATACTCAGAGAAACTAACAAAAGAAATGCCTTAATCATAGTATCATTTAACAAATTCTTTCTGGTTTTCTGGTTCTTCCTCCCTTACAAAATTCCATCCTTGACTGATAATACCGAGGACAGAAAAGTCCTAAAATTAATAAGCTGAAAATTGTGGGAAGTCAGTGGAATATATTTCAACAAAAGCAATTTGTAGGAAATGAAAGCTAGGTTACCTCTTTCTCTGGCTGTTACTCTTTTGAACAATTAAAAACTTTCATATTTAAATTGTGGAGAATATTGAAATTATGTTTCAACTATACTTAGAGACCACATTTTCTTCTCAGACACATTTGCCCACAACTTTCACATCCCATTTTACAACCTAGAAACATGCCCCTTCTCTGGGCTCCCATGGAACCCTCTAACAACACATTTATTACATTGTCATAATCTTTTAAACTATTGATTTCTCCCACTAGTTTTTAGTCCCTTGAGAGCAGGAACATACAGAGCACTATAAGATATTTGTTTGTATCAATGTGAGTCATATGTGAATATTAAACTATTTAATTTTTGTGATAAAATTACTTTCTTACTATAAAATATCTCTCTAAAATCCTAATTTCCTTCTGGACTATAGCTCTCTTATATCATAGTTCTAAGAGACTATATGAATGCATGAGGAACACAAATTCAAGAGTGAGTTGGATGATTCCAACTACGTCATTCCACTTTGGAACCTACAACACCTGGTGTGTAAGGTTTGGCCAAATAAGACTTCTGCACTTTAAAAGGCTTCATGGAACTAAGTGACCAGGAATCAACTACCAGCCACAGTGATTAGTTAAGGGAAGAGCTTGAAGCCTCAGTTAGTGCAAACAGAGAAAATCATGGGAGTTTTATTGGGACAATTGTTGAAAGAGAAGCTCTCTTCCTGCAGATGTTGCTGAGGTTGGCACATACTCTGAAAGTTCCAGCCATTATGAAGCAGGGAGGGATCTGCCTAACAATAGAGCCAACAGTGAGTACGAGAGAGAGTAGTAATGAAATTGCCTGAACCCTTGGATGCAGCCAAACATGACTTCTCAGTTACAGAAGCCAACACATTCTCCTTGTTGCTTAAGCTGTTTAAGTTTCTGTAACTGTCATCTGAAGATAAATGGCTAACAAAGGTATGGCTTTGTCAAGATCTATGAAATGAATTGAATAGTATTAAATTCCATCAGCCAAAATCTCTTGTCAGTTACTAAATATTGTTTCACCATGTTTTTCTTGACTATATTCCATTTAAGTCTACAAACCCATTATTGCACATCTACTATTCATGACCTCAACTCTAAAATAACCATCCTGACCAACTAGAAATAATCTTCCCTTTCCCTAAACTCTTAAAAAACTTTATTTGTAAGAAAACATTAAGATACTTTCAACTGTCTAAATAATTAGATAGTTGTCTTATATGGACCAACTTACCATAACTCAGCCAACTTTTTAAACTACTGCTTTACACCCTAAGATTTGTTTTATTAATTAATTAATTTCTAGAGATGGGATCTTGATGCATTGCCCAGGCTGAATTTGAACTCCTGGGCTCGAGCAATTCTCTTGCCTCAGCTTTCTGAGAATCTGAGACTATAAGTGCAGGCCATCATACCCACTTGAATTTTCCCCTGAATGACGAATAGATGAAACATCAGACTTTTTATTTATTTCAATTATTTTTTACTGGAATTACCAAATCGAAATTTTAAAATCAGTATTTCAATGTCATCATTGTATTAGTATTGTAATTATTCATTCTATTTATTAATTTTAGTTTTACTTGTGACTTAAATGTAATTTCATTGTCTATATATGAGTTTCTTTGACTTTATTTATGTGTTTATGAATAGTTTGTGATTTCCCAAAATACCCATGGGAAATAAGTAACAAACAATTGCATAGTTTCATCTAGCTTTTGTGCAGTTCCTATTTTGAAGAACTTAGATGGATTATTTTACTCTTTTGGTTGTAACTATATTAGAGCTAGATTATCTGAAAAGTAAATCTTACAGTGAAAATCCCTTAATGCCTATATTATTTATATAATTTGCTCCATTATATCAATCCAGACTCATTTCTAGCAACTCCCTGCCTCAAACCTTACACTCAGAAAACACTAAACCACTTGCATTTCCTAGAACATAATGTTGTTATGCTTTTTTTTGTCTTTGGACATATTCTCCCTTCTATTTGAAATGACTTTCTATCTTTTGTCAATCAGGGAAATTCTTATCTATCTCTCAAGCCTAAATTGAGCTATTATTCTCTCAATGAAACCTCCCAGGCACCCCCTTACTTTCCAAAGCAAAAGTGATCATTCCTTCCTCTCTGATAGCACTGAACCTATGTCTCATTATTAAACTTGGCCCTGCTGAATTATTTATTTGACTGTCTCTTCAACTAAAACATGAGCTCTTTTAAAGTAAGGGGACCAGATCCCATGGATTATTGCATATCCAGAGGCTAGAATGTACTTGGTAATGTAGTAAATAATTTATGTTTGATGAATGAATACATGAATTCATGTAGATAGCAAGAGTGATTTATGTATGTTTGATTAATTTAACAATCATTTCATTTTAATAAAATGTCTTTTGTATTAATCAGTGTCCTAATTCTATTTTTATAGAAAATTTTTAAACACAAAAATGAGATCTCTGCACAAATTTTAAGTAAATTTGGGGTTTCTATGCAGAGTTTGAACTAAAATTCATTAGCTAAGGTTCTAATTGAGCATGGCATTCTTCTTGTTGAAAAATTTAAATGACATGTTAATAGGTACTATCAGTGTTATGGCAGTGTAAAAAGGTCAAGTATTATTTCCAAAAGCAATTAACATATAAGACATATTGGCCAGACACAGTGGCTCACGCCTGTAATCCCAGCACTTTGGGAGGCCGAGATGGGTGGATTACCCGAGGTCAGGAGTTTGAGACCAGCCTAGCCAACATGATGAATCCCTGTCTCTATTAAAAATACAATAATTAGCTTGGCATTATGGCACACACCTGTAATCCCAGCTAGTCTGGAGGCTGAGGCAGGAGAATCACTTGAACCCGGGAGGCGGAGGCTGCAGTGAGCTGAGATTGCACCACTGCACTCCAGCCTGGACAACAGAGTGAGACTCCGTCTCAAAGAAAACAAAAACAAAAACAAACAAACAAAAAACAACCATCCATAGCCAACACGTACCCTCTAATAAGAAAAGAAAGACAAACCAAATAGAAGATAAGCAAGATCTTGAATAAACAATTCACACAAGAAATATAAATGGTTATACTTCTTAATATAAATTCCTTCCTACTAGGGAGGTGGAGGTTGCAGTGAGCCAAGATTGCATCACTGCACTCTAACCTGGGGAACAGAGTGAAACTCTGTCCCAAAAAAAGAAAGAGACACATTTTGGCATAAGAAATACTTTCAGCTTATAGGAAGATGTACAATAACTTCTCACACTGCAGAGATAAAATAACAAAAGAATCCACATTTTAAGCCACGGCTGCTAGAAAAATGACAAACTTACAGGTTTCATTAGAGGTCACAAAAATAGAAGATTCTCAGAGTCAAAAGACATTAAAATAGAAAATGTAAAAATTTCTGTTTCATCAATTACATGGATGATTGAAATAAAAGATAATGTGCTTTCATTAAGATCCGTCAGACAGACCCTATTAAAAGGTAGAACCCACATCCACTTTCTATTCCATTGGAAGAAATTATGATGTTAGATTTACCAGGTTTTATATCTGATTCTATATGATTCAGAAACCTTCCCCCCTACCCCCACCCGGAGATGGAGTTTCGTTCTTGTTACCCAGGCTGGACTGTAATGGCGTGATCTCAGCACACTGCAATCTCAGTTTCCCAGGTTCAAGAGATTGTCCAGCCTCAGCCTCTTGAGTAGCTGGGATTACAGGCATGTGCCACCATGCCAGGCTAATTTTTAGTAGAGACAGGGTTTCACCATGTTGGCCAGGATAGTCTCAAACTCCTGACCTCAGATGATCCACCCACCTCAGCCTCCCAAAGTGCTGGGATTACAGGGGTGAGCCACCGCACCTGGCCCAGAAACATTCATATTGCCCTTATTATTGAGTACACACAACTAGTAGCTTTCTTGTGGCAGTCACTTGTCATTTCAGAAAATGTGAACATATTTAGAACATTTATCATTTTGTGAAAGAAAACTTGGAAACATTTTTCACAATTAAAAAACAAACTTTGCCACACCTGTGAACCTCTTGAGGTATAAAATATTTTCAGTCATTTCCTGTCTCATAATAAAGTATCATTAAATGGTACAATTTAAGGAGAAATAGAAAATTTGAAGAGGCAAATAAATATTAAAAGGAATTATAATAGTAGACAATTTCCTCCTCACCTCATCCCTGTAATTAACTTATTATTAAATTCTGTTGACCTAATTGGCTATCCATCTGGAAAAAAGCAAAACTAAATTTCTAATTCCTTTTGATATTTAAATATATGAAGTAGAACCATACAAATATTATAATAAAAATTAGAAGACTGCATAAATTGGGGATGGAAAGAAATCTGGGATAAAAATAAGAAATATAAAAATCCATAAAGGACTAGACAAATATAACTAGTTACATAAAAATATTAAATGTTTTCAGGGTGAAGATATTATAATCAATAAAAGAGGATAAGCAGGAAATAGAAGAAAATTGTTTCATATCTAAGAGCCAACAGGTTAATACAAAAGAGCCTCTAAAAATTATTGTCTTTAAAAAAATAAATCAATGGGAAAATGGACAAAGGATATAAGCATGTAATTAAAAAAAGAGAAAATTCAAGTGCCTAGTAAACTTAAGAAAAGATGTTTAACACGTTGTTACATAACCTGGTCATTAAAAATAAAAATATGCATTTCTTCTGCTACTTAACTTTTGGTAATCTCTTCTACATAAATAACAATAGTACATGTATAGACTGGATTGTTAATTGAAGCATTGTGGATAGTGAGAAAAAGCCAACTGGACACAGAGTGACTGTTTAAGAACAGGGGATTGGTTAAATAATGGTAGTAAAACCATACTATGACATGTTATTTAGTTCTTAAAAATAACAAGCTAGATTTCTATCTATTGATTGGAGGAATATTCACAATGTACTATGAAGTGAGAAAAGTAACTTTCAAAATTTGTATAATATGATTCCATTAACAACAAACAAAGAAATTTTTTAAACCTATTCTTGTGTGTATTTATATGAGCATAGAGAAAAGTAGGAGGAGTACATATAGGCTATAAAGATTGGTTACTACATAGGAATAAAAAGAGGGTTGATGAAGGTGAGAGTCAGAAGCTGTATGTATGTAAAGATTACTATTTCTTACTTTTTATATGTTAAATTGTTCCACTGTTTGAAATTAGCGTGTATTACTTTTGTGATTAAGAAAAATAATCAAATGAAAAGATGTCATGGGTCTGTATAAGCCATTCCAAATAAACATCGGTTAGAAAGGAACTTATAAATTTTGTAGAACAATCCAAAAACTTGCAATCCAATGAACAATCCAGAATACAAACAATTTTCTGTTAAAAGTATCTGGGCTTAGGTTAATTTTTATTTCCAACAAAGGTTGGGGCCAAAGTAAAGTTGGTTTGTTGTCAATGAATACCACTGGGCTTTAGTTGAATCTACAAATAAGTGGAGTAGATTAATATATCCTTTCTCTGATATTCTAGGCTGATATTCTATTCTGATATTCTTCAAGGTTTCCATAAAAATTTAATTCCGCAAATATGCAGTCAACATGTATTATATGATTGCAGTGTGCTAGGTAATAGTCATGTACATATGGATAAGATTTGACATTCACCCTCAAGAAACTCAGTCCACCAGAGGGAAAAGTAGGCACTTAACTCCACACATTGCAATTATGAATTATACAGGAAGGCACAGAAACATAATTATGAAAAAGGTAGGTTTCTGGAAGATGTGAACTGGCTGTCAAGGATTAGCAGGAGTTTGTGAAGCAAATTAATATTTCAGGCTGAAGGACTAGAACATACAGAGACAACAGAAGAGAATTTTCCGTGTATGTCTGCAGAAAGATGAGTAGCTGAGTGTAATTACAATACAGGATACGTGGAAAGTATCAAAATATGAAGCTGGAAAGCTGGTTCATTAGGGCTGCTTGTGCCAAGGAATTTGCATGATAGCCTACAAGTGAGTGGTTCTCAAACTTCTGTGAACACAATAACATCTTGGGAATACTTATTACAACTCAGATTCCTAGAACCCAGCCCTATGAGACCCAGGAATCTGTATTTTAATATCAGGTGATATTGGGAAAAATACTATAAACCCAGTGAAATCATTAAGATTTTAAATTAGAGTTGATTATCATACCTGTTTTAGGTGACTAACTCTGATGCCAGTGTGGAGAGTGGATTAGAGTTGGAGTCTGGGGGCTGGGAGACTGAGTTCGCATATTCACATGCCATTACCAATGCACAGTTGAAAGATGATGAAAACATAAATTAGGGCACCAGCAGCAATAGAGATAGACACTTGGGGCGAGGCAAGTTTTGAAAGACATTGGAAATTGAATGAGCAAGATTGTCGACCAACTGAAAATTGGTGAGAGGCAGGGTGGAGAGAAAAAGAATGAGAAACAAAACCAAAAAAACCCCAAAGATTCCACACTCCTGGGACAAGATGTTGTTCTGAGGCTCTGTAGTGAGTAACCACCCAAACAGGAATAAAAAGCATTAATAAATCAATGACAACTTTCTTCAGTGAATACACTTCTGAAAGCCAGCCAGCCTGACCTGAAGAAGTATGCCTCTACAGCTGGCTTCAGCCACTCCCACTCCTGAAAGTCTTTCAAACTCTGAAATCTATGCCTCCTCAAAAGTCTGTCAATTTCTCCCCATGCCTTTTCCAAATGTTGGCTTTGCTAAGGGAAACTTCCCTGCTACCATCATTCTCCCTGATTTAAGAAAGTAACAAATTCATTTATTGTTTTAGTTATTGTATGATGATCTTGTCCTTTGACAGGAAGAAGTCAATGTAGAAAAAAAAAGGAAACTAACACATGTTTAGTGATGGCTATATGTTAGACATTTTACCAGATGCTTTCATTTTAATCTTGATTTATTTATTTTCTAAAACTCTTTGAAGTATTATTCTATTTTGCACATGAGGAAATGGAGGCTTGAGAAAAGAAACTCATACAAAATCATAAAACTAATCTGATTTTGATCCAGAATTCGATCCCAGGACTTCTGACTCCAAGTCTTGTGTTTTTCCTAGATTTTAGTTTAATGAACATTAACTGAGATAGTAAGTCAGGAAGAAAAGCAGATTTCAGGAGATAGATAGAGTTTTATAACAGACAGGTTAAAGTTGGAGACTGCTAAAGGATATTGAAGAGGAAATGGGCAATAAACAGTTGGAAATATAGATGAAACTCACTGGAGAAGTTGGGACAAGAATGATATGTTTAGGATAAATTACATCCTATGCCGATGCAAGATTAAATGATAGACATTTAAGGTGCTATTGGAGGAGAAAAAATGACAGAAAGGGAGGGGGGTAAATCATTATTTAAGGAGAGCACAAAAAATATACACTTACATAAGAAGACAGACAAAGAAAGTTTTAGTAATGGAGGATGTGATTGACAATGCTGAATGTTGAAAGTAAAACAAGATGAGATATTTATGCAGTTACTGGATCCAATAGCTACATCTTCTTTGATTTCGATCAGAGTAGTTTCATTCAAGTGACAGGAATATAGACCAATGAATTGAAGAGCAAATGAGTGGGAAAAGGGAAGAGATAGACTTTTCAGCTCCCAGTAGTGAAGGAGAAATTAAAGCAGAAAGTGGCTGAAGGGAAAAACAGAATTGAGGTATCTTTTGTTGCTGTTTTTAGGATAGGAAAAACTTTAGCATACTTGTAAGCAAAAGGGAGGGAATCAGTGAAAAAGGTGATTTAGAATTAGGTGAGAGGAGAGGGAGGGATTAAGCTTTTGTGTGAACACCTTTTCCTCTAAGACATGAAGATAAAAGGAGAAGGTGGGTGAAGTGATGGATAGGTTTTTCAGTAGAGAAAAAAAATTAAGGGATCGTCTTACTGTTAATACAGACAATTATCTATACATAAACTTTCTTTTATTTAATCATAATAGTTTTTCTCAAGGCAATATATATTTTGAGTTTTAAAATAAGACATATTTGTGTCAGTATATTAGAGTGGTAAATCATTTCAGAAAAACTAGAAAGCATGGAGAATGGCACATAGGATTAAGACAATAGGAATTTGAGACCATATATATGTACATATATGTGTATGTGTATATATATGTGTGTGTGTGTGTGTGTGTGTGTATATATATATATTATATATATCGAGATAAGTTTTGTGTACAGGAGCCAAGAACTTGTGAATACAAAGATAATAATTATTCCAACATTCATTATGATTTTGGACCAATTCCTTAATTTCTCCACCCCTGAGGATTTACAGCCTAATGATTAGCTTTCCCAACTATAAAATTATGGGGCTTGTCAAGTATTATACAGCTAATAGTTGAATGGTAATATTTGCCTATCTGCCTCAAGAGTAAAATGAAAGAATTAATTATTCAGAGTTTGTGGACACATACAGTGATGAATCTAAAAGGAGCAAAGGGAGAGAAATTTATAAAGAAACATTCTTTATCTGAATATATTAATGGTTTTTGAATATATATTGCTTCCACTAAATCCATTTACTCTTTCACATTTCTTCACTTTATTTTATTCAGGTGTCTGTGCCTTACAATAAAAGGGGAGAGGGGTTTTGTTAAAATTTTCATTGCAATTTACTTTTCCCAATTTCACTGCAGTTATTTAAAAAGATCCACCGACAAAAGAGGTTCAGTGTTAGAGATTCATTAATTCAACTTTTCAGACAAAAGCAACATTTTTCATAAATGGCCTAGGGCCATTAATAAGTAACAATCCACTACTTTCTAGAAGGAACCAGAAATGTAAAAGTGATTTTCAGATAAACTGGTTTAAAGCTAATTAGATCTCCCAAATAACCCCCAAATTGTGAGTGAGCACAAAGAATTTCATTTAAATTAAAATTATTTGTAAAAGTCAGTTTAAGAAACTACAAACAGAAGAAGGAAAGTGTCATTGGATTCATATATAGTTTACTAAAGTTGTGAAATACATTCACTTATTATATAATTTGCCTTGGTTTTATAACATTTTGTACGTTATTTGTAATATTAGTTTAAACAATATAAAGAGACACCTCCTAAGAGGTAACATTTTTTAAAAGGCTGACTCTGGAATTTCAGGGAGAAATAACTATTTGGTGCAATTCTACTGAATTGGCAGTAGTTGTGTTTTCATCTGATACACTTAGTTTAAAATATTATATGACAGCCAAGTGTTAAAAAGATTAAATCCTTGTGACAGAAAATGTACTCATCTGTGCTTCTAAGCAATAATTTTAGCTATAAAATCGAAGCCAAGAATTCAAGACTTAAGATGTAACATTGCCTTTTTTTTTTTTTTTTGACAGATTCTCACTCTGTGACCCAGGCTAGAGTGCAGTGGTGACATTACAGCTCACTGCAGCCCTGATCTCCCCCAGCTGGGCCTCAGGTGATACTCCCATATTAGCCTCCTGAGTAGCTGAGACTACAGGCACATGCCACCATGCCTGGCTAATTTTTTTATTTTGTAGAGACGGGGTTTCCTCATGTTGCCCATGCTGGTCTTAAACTCCTGGGCTCAAGCTATCTGCCTGCCTTTGCCTCAAAAAGTGCTGGGATTATAGGCCTGAGCCACCATGCCTGGCCTAACATTGCCATTTTGAAGAAAAAAATATTTTCTCTCTTAAAGCAGAAAAGTTCAATATAAAACAATTAAGGAAAGATATATAATTTCATTATCAGTGGGTGTATGTGATGCTCACGTAAGAGATCATTTACCTGGTTGAGCCAATTAGTTCAGTGACTAAATATTAATTGAGTGCTCAAAATATAGCAAGCACTATTAGGGATAGAGATGTGAGGCCTGGTTGCCAGTTATGGCCAATCCCTTGGGAGGCACCAGGAGATCATTAATATAGTGTGTTCATTACAATGAATATCATCTAACTCTTTTTTTGACTTTTATTTTAAGTTCAGGGGTACAAGTGCAGGTTTGTGAGATAGGTAAGCTTATGTCATGGGGTTTTGTTGTACAGATTATTTCGTCACCCAGGTGCTAAGCCTAGTACCCCTAGTTATTTTTCCTGATCCTTTCCTTTCTCCCACCCTCCACCTTTTGATAGGCACCAGTGTGTGTTGTTCCCCTCTATGTGTGCATGTGTTCTCATCATTTAGCTTCCACTTATAACTGAGAACATGTGGTATTTGGTTTTCTGTTCCTGCATTAGTCTGCTAAGGATAATGGTCTTCAGCTCCATCCATTCTAACTTTTTTAAAACAATTCCTAAAGAAGTTGTTTAACTTGGGACTTTAGAAGAATAGCAAAAAGAAATTAATTGAGAAAAATAAAATACGACAGTATAAACACAATTATAAATTAAATTTAAAATATCAATGAGTTATTACTAAATATGAATTTACATTTATCCATTTCTTAACTCCCTGTTCTTCGTTCATTTCTAGGGCACTGATAAAGCCCCAGTCACAGGAAGTTATTGTCATTTCTCTATCCAGGTTTGGATCCTGATCCTGCAACTAGTTCTCTTATTCTTAACTTCAAGTGCTTCTTATTCCAAATTCAAGGATACTCAACAAGTACTTTCTGAACAGCCAACATGCTCCAGACACTGTGCTGTCCTCAGACTCAAATTGCACTATGCTTTCCTGAGTTTCCTGATCTACAATATTGTTCATGCCAGACTCACCAATTTTTCAAAATATTGCCATATTTTGAAATAACAGTTGTAGAAAACACTTTCTCTCTCTGCAAATATTCTAGGCTATCATGATAGATATAAATGTGGGGTTTTTCTTTGTGTGTTTATCTTATCTATAAGAGCATAGCAACAGCTGTTAATTTTTGTTATATTAATATTTCCCTCTCCTCATTCCATCTTGACCTAGTACTCAATATTTTAGTCCAGCCCTTCTGCTTCCCTCTCTCCTTTACCTCTCCTCCATCCCCCTGACCCCACTCCATCCCTTCACATCCACTACCATAGACAGATTCCTGCCAGATGGATCCAATGGCTCTAGGCCCGGCCCTGTCACCCTCCTTCAGGAAAGAGCAAAGAGCTTTAGAGCTGCAGCTTAATCAAGTTCTTATGCAATGAGACAGCATTATTCTCTCATGACTATTATGTATAGGTTCCACTTAACAGCTTTAAAAATACTAAATCAATGCAACTTTATCTTAGGATGGCAATCACCTTCAACTTTCACCTTAAAATCAAAACTTTTATAATGGCCTAAAGCCCATGTCACTAAATGGAAAGATATGAAGAGCCAAGGAAGATAAAATCTGCAAATTTAGCACATAAAATGGATTACTATGAAGTGGTGCCAAATGTCTATGCATTATGTGTTACAAATTAGAAAGGAGCCTTTTCCAATAAACTCATCTTGAGTAGGTTGGGAATAACTAAGAAATAATAAGGAAAGGAACATGTGACTTGAAATAAAGGTTCAATTCAGAGTAGTTTGGAGGTTATTTTTTGTCTTCTTCTTTTAAAAACACATTTAAACCTAGAGTAGCAAACCCTGACATGAACTAATCACTGCCTTCAATTATTCAGTTGTCCAAAAAAGAGAGCATAATTTACTGTTTTGTTCAAAAGATATTTATTGAACATTTTGTTAACCTGTGTTGGGCTGTAGAAACACAGTAATGAAGCAGATGCAGACTCTGCCCCTGAACTGTGTTCACCTTTTATGAGTTTGAGAGTAAGGGAAGCATGGAATGCTAGAAGAATCACTGGAAGAAGCATTCAATCCAGCCTTGGAGCTTTACCTGGTGTTTCCCAGAGGAGATAATATCTAAGCTAAATCCTGAACGATGACAAGGAAATACATTAATTCTATTTTTAGATCTTTGTTATTATACAACCTTAACAGCGTTTCCCAGATATTTTAATGTGGAAATAAGAAGGTAAATAAAACAGTTCTTTTCTTTTCATCATCATCACCCTGATCAGTCAGCCCTAGCCACTTTCTTTTTCTTCCTCCAAAAATAGGAGCAAGAAAGAAAGATAAATTAGGGGAGAAGTTTGGAAGTTTCTTGAATAGCTTTCTGGAGCAGATTATACCTACCTATAGAGGAACTTTGTACTAGACACACACCCACACACAAACAAACACACAAACACCTTATTAATAGTCGAATGCCCAGAAACTCACAAAGCTAATATAAAGAAGAGGAATTGAAAATTAAAATTGACCACTGAGGTCTGTAAGAGAATTATGTAAATGAATCATTGATCTCACAAATACAGGCTGTGATAGTTAATTTTATGTGTCAGCCTGACTGGATGCCCAGACATCTGGTTAAACATTATTCTGGGTGTGTATATGAGGGTGGTTTTTGGTGAGATTAACATTTGCATTGGTAGACTGAATAAAGCAGATTGCCCTCGCTAATGTGAGTGGCCCTCATCCAATCTGTTGAAGGTTTGAACAGAACAAAAGGCTCAGAAAGGGAGAACTCACTCTCTGCCTCACTGTCTTCAAGCTGAGACACAATACAATCTGACTCTTCTCCTGCTTTCAGGCATGGACTTGCACTGCTTGGACTGGAACTTACACCAACAGCTCTACTGGTTCTGAGGATTTCAGACTTTAACTTGGACTAAAACTACACTGTTGGCTCTCCTGGGTCTCCAACTTAACTACTGCATATCCTAGTACCCCTCAGCTTCCATAATAAGAAATCTCTCTCTCTCTATCTATAGATGTATATCTATTGCTAGATCTCTATCTATATTGATGTAGAGATACAGATATTGATCCATATCTATCTAGATAGATCTATATCTATACCTATATCTATATCTATTTATCCACCCAGAATACATTCCAAGACCCTCAGTGAATGCCTGAAACCATGGATAGGATAGTACCAAACCCTACATATGTTTGTATCTACATGTTCATACAATACACTGTGGATATGCTAGATAAAGGAATGATTCACATCCTTGGTGGGACATAGCAGGACAGTGAAAGATTTTATCACACTACTTAGAATGGCACACAGTTTAAAGCTTATGAACTGCTTAGTTCTGGAATTTTTTATTTAATATTTTCAGACCACAGTTGACCTCTGGTGACTGAAACTATGGGTAACTGAAACTGTGGAAAGTGAAACTGTGGATAACAGGGGACTACTATACATACAAACACACATATATGGATCTATATCTATATCCTATTCATTCTATTTCTCCAAAGAACCCAGGTTAATATAGATTTGGGTACCAAGAGTGGCTCCAGAGGAACAGAATTTTAAGAATAAGTTTTCTCAATTGGGTTTGGGATTTCTGGCATTGGCTCTCTCACCTGATTAAAGACACTAATGACTTTATTGCCAGAAATAAAGAGAGTACTTATAGTCTACGGTGTGATCTGGCACTAGAGATATGCAAAATATCTCCAATACATATTCCTATTTAAGAAGCAAGGAAGGAGTGACTGTGTACATGATACTTTTGAACATGTCTGGAAAAGTAACAAATATAATAAGAGATTAACTGGCTGCTCCTAATATCACTGGACAGTGGTAAAAGCCCTACCACCCTCTGCAGATAACTCCTCTTCTTTTGAGAAATAACTCTTGGCCTGCTACTGAGCCTTAGTAGAGACTGAATACTTAACCATGGGCCACCAAATTACCATGTGAACTGAGCTGTCTATCATTCCTGGGTATTATCTCACCCACCAAGCCACAAAGTTGGGTATATACGTCAACATCCATCATCAAATGGAAGTGATACATAGAGAATAGGGCTAGAGCAAGTTGTGGGGGCACAAATAAGCTACATAAAGAAGTGACCCAAATTCCTCATTGTCCCTACTCCTGCTATACTGGCTTCTCTCCTTCAGGATGTACCTATGGCTTTATATGGTGTATCCTACGATTAGTTGACAGAGAAGGAGAAGACTTGGCCTGGTTTGAGATGGTTCTGCATGATATGCAGGCACCATGTGAAAGTGAACAATTGTAGCACAATAGTCCCTTTTTCAGACATCTCCAAAAGACAGTGGAGAGGAGTAATCCCAGTGGGAAGGACTTTGGGCAGTGCACCTGGTTGTTCACTTTGCTTGGAAGGAGAAATGGCCACCTGAAATGAGGCAGTACAAGATGTTGCCACCACTCACCCCCATTCTCCTGTGAAAATGCTTTATGTACAAACCAAACCTAATCATCTTCCTCCAAAAACCTACTATTCCTATCATTTACCCTATTTTTATAAGTTATTAAGAGCTTACTATGTGCAGGCACAGTTCTGGGCAGTGCGGACAGAGCAATATATTAGAGTAGGCTAGCTGATATAACCAAAAAGTCCAAATTTCAGTGGCTTAAATTACAAATATCTCTTAATATCACAATATAATAAAATTCAATGTGGCAGGATGGTGGGGGCTGGAGGCAGCTTTATTTGTACTGTAATTTAGAGACACAGACTTCTTCCCTTTAGTGGCTCTCACATCCCTATGACTGGAAGAGGAGGAAAGAGAAAAATTAAGGAGAATTTTCAGAAGATTCTCGCATGTCTTCACCCAACTGAAAAGGAGGCTGGAAAATGTAATCCAGAGTTCCCAGGAAGAAGAGAAGACAGGTGTGGGGCACATCTAGCCAATGTCTGTAACCAGTCATAAACAAAACAAAGCTCTTACATGTAGCTTAAACTCTAGTGTGGAGAGAAAAAACAAAGAAAATATACGACATTATATCAGAGAGTGATGAGTGCTACAAAGAGAATAATCCAGCATAAGGGAACAGGAGAGAAAGCCAGGAAGTTATATTGCATTTCATCAATTCTAAGAACATTTTCCCCCCACATTTTAACATCTGTGAAATTGGGATGCATCTTAAAAAATTATCATGTAATTGATTAACCGGCAGCATTTTGCTTTCTTAGTGGTACCCAAAATAATGGTGCATCTTACTGGCATATTATCTTAGTCTGTTTGGACAGTTATAACAACTCTAATACCAAAAACTGAGTGACATATATACAACCAAAAATTTATTTCTCACACTTCTGGAGGCTAGGAGGTTCAAGATCAAAGTGCCAGTAAAGTCAGTGTCTGGTGGGGGCTCACCTCCTGGTTCATAGACAGCTGTCTTTTCACTGTAATCTCATATAGGGAGGGAATGAGGTGGTCTCTCTCAGGCCTCCTTTATAAAAGTACTAATATCATTCATTAACACTATACTCTCATGACCTAGTCATGTCTCAAAGGCTCCACCTCCCAATATAATCCCATTGGGAATTATAATTTCAACATATGAATTTGGGGGAACACAAACATTTAGATCATAGCACATATGAAATGAGATATTTTATATAGGGTCATCAGGAAAGCCCTTTCTGCAATGGCATATCATCAGAGATCTGAGTGACAAGAGGGAGCTAACCACATTAATAGTTGGGGGCTGAGAACCCTGAGCAGAAGATATAGCTAGAGCAACTGTCACAGAAGGCAGCATGCTTGGGATGTTCAGGGAAGAGCAAAGATGCTAAGGGTGAGAGGAGCAGGTGAGGTTGAGAATGGTAGAAGGTGAGGCTAAGAAAGTAAGCAGGTGACATAACCTCCCACGAATTATTTTACTTAACTAAGACTCAGTTCTGAACCATGAAATAAAGATAATAACATCTACTTCATGTGTATGTCCGAGGATTAAGTAATGACACAGTGAAGGAAACAGGAACAGATATGGCACAGACATCCCGCTCCCCGACTTCCCTTCCTTATCCTTTGTGAGGACCAATCCAGCAATCTTTGAACAGAGTAGTAACAATAACACATTAAGGCTTCTCTAATATAATCTTAGGCTTTATATTTTAAGCTTTTAATGTAAATCCTCATCTTTTCAACCATGTTGCCTTCTATTAACTAACAAAAGCTGTACTTACAATCTTATGGGCCATTTTCTCACAACAAATCCTCAAACGAAGGCTCTCTAAGTGCCAAATTTAGACATCTTATTTTATTTTTCAATAAAGCTCAATTCTATTTTTCAAAGATGAAGCACTCACTTTTTATTTTGCATTTACCATATCTGGAAACTTGACAAAAGGAGAAGAAGGAGATGGGTGACAAATGGGAGAAAATTACAAAATCTTGAAAGGCTCTTCTATTTCTGTTTAAAATTGTATCCCCATCTCCTCAAGCTTCATTGTAGCACCCCAATTTAGTCTTCTCTTTTCAGTTTTCATTTTAATTCACTAAAAAAAAAAGTTTTGGTTCTAAAATTCTAGCCAAGTACGCTCCTGATGAAATGAAACTGAAACTTGGGCCAGTGACCTGCGTAGTTAAATGAATTTGTTGCATTTTTTTCTCTGAGATATTTAGGCCTAATTCCAAACACTAGGTCACATTTAAATATTACCTTGGTTATATCATTTCTAGAGATATAAATTTTTTATACATTTATAAGGAGTAACATAAGCACTAACACCTAAGAGCTACACGGCTTACTTAAAAAAAAAATGACCCTGATGGTAGTTTCTTTTGCTGTGAAGAAGCTCTTTAGTTTAATTAGATCCCATTTGTCAATTTTGGCTTTTGTTGCCATTGCTTTTGGTGCTTTAGAAATGAAGTCCTTGCCCAGGCCTATGACCTGAATGGTATTGCCTAGGTTTTCTTCTAGGCTTTTTATGGTTTTAGGTCTAACATTTAAGTCTTTAATCCATCTTGAATTAATTTTTGTATAAGGTGTAAGGAAGGGATCCAGTTTCAGCTTTCTACATATGGCTAGCCAGTTTTCCCAGCACTATTTATTAAATAGGGAATTCTTTCCCCATTTCTTGTTTTTGTCAGGTTTGTCAAAGATCAGATGGTTGTAGATGTGTGGTATTATTTCTGAGGGCTCTGTTCTGTTCCATTGGTCTATATTTCTGTTTTGGTACCAGTACCATGCTGTTTTGGTTACTATTGCCTTGTAGTATAGTGTGAAGTCAGGTAGCGTGATGCCTCCAGCTTTCTTCTTTTGGCTTAGGATTGTCTTGGCAATGCGGGCCCTTTTTTGGTTCCATATGAACTTTAAAGTAGTTTTTTCCAATTCTGTGAAGAAAGTCAGAGTGAACAGGCAACCTAAAGAATGGGAGAAAATTGCAAATCAAAACCACAATGAGATACCATCTCACACCAGTTAGAATGGCGATCATTAAAAAGTCAGGAAACAACAGGTGCTGGAGAGCATGTGGAGAAATAGGAACACTGTTACACTGTTGGTGGGACTGTAAACTAGTTCAACCATTGTGGAAGACAGTGTGGCGATTCCTCAGGGATCTAGAACTAGAAATACCATTTGACCCAGCCATCCCATTACTGGGTATGTACCCAAAGGATTATAAATCATGCTGCTATAAAGACACATGCACACATATGTTTATTGTGGCACTATTCACAATAGCAAAGACTTAGAACCAACCCAAATGTCCATCAATGATAGACTGGATTAAGAAAATGTGGCACATATACACCATGGAATACTATGCAGCCATAAAAAAGGATGAGTTCATGTCCTTTGCAGGGACATGGATGAAGCTGGAAACCATCATTCTTAGCAAACTATCGCAAGGAAAAAAAACCAAACACCGCATGTTCTCACTCACAGATTGGAATTGAACAATGAGAAGACTTGGACACAGGAAGGGGAACATCACACACCAGGGCCTGTCATGGGGTGGGGGGAGGGGGGATAGCAATAGGAGATATACCTAATGTAAATGACGAGTTAATGGGTGCAGCACAGCAACATGGCGCATGTATACATATGTAACAAACCTGCACATTGTGCACATGTACCCTAGAAGTTGAAGTATAAAAAAAAGGTAAAAAAAAAAAAAAAATCACCATTGTTTCTATTTAAGAAAGTCCAAAGAGATCCTCTATGAATGTCTATTTACTCACTCATTCTATTATTCATTACAAATGTATACTGAGTGCTGATGTATACAAAGAATACAAATAGAAAACAATGCTACTACCTCCAGGAAAATGGTAATCTAGCATTCATTCACCAAAAATGTTTTGTGCCATGAATTGTACTAGGGCTTTAGGAATATAATGCCTGAATGAAACATGATAACTGATCTCAAATATCTCACAGCTAGTAGAAAAAAACATTTATAGATGGTTAGAATGCAGTTTTATTTATACAAAATGAATGCATAAAGTATGGAGAAAAAGAGTAATGCATTTTCAACTGTCCTTTTGTTCTATAATGAAAAGTGTCTAGAATATTTTTTTAAAAATTTGTAATCCTAATCATAAGGAAAGTTTTAACTGAACTAAAATTAAAAGGGTAAAACAATTTCATAGCTCTTTCTTCTGCACTTTTCATGAATGAGATGATTAAACTGTAGATGAATCTGTCCTGATCATATAAGAAGCAGGAAATGAAAATGCTGCATTGGGTCAGAGGCTTGGAGGCAGGAAGTCAGGAACCCCAACCTGACTTAGTCAGGTTTAATCACTGTGTGTCCACTGGCACGCTGTCAAACCCCTTAATTTCTGTGCCTGTAAAACAAGGCAGTTAGACTAAATGATGTTTAAGGCTCTTTCCATTTACATTATCTTCTCACTCTCAGGTTGTGTCAGTACTGAGAAGGGGTTAGCTACAGGAAGGCTTATGTGTCCTATTAGATCAGTCCTTACATCAACATGATGACTTTTTATAAGTTGATTATAAAAGATGAAGCTACGCACATCTCTGTGCACAAATGGTCTATCTTATAAGTTTATTCATCTGATAAGAGTCCTGTAATTTGCCTCACTAACCTGCTTTGTTAGGTTCTTTATGAAAAGAGTTAGAGCTATTGGAATATGTAGGAATCTCTGCATGAAGTAAATCTTTAGGATAAATTATGCATTAGAAAAAAAAAATCAACTTAGTCTATGATCACAGGCCAAAATATCAAATTCAAGTTCAATGACATTACTGCCTTTTGACATGACTCATCATAAATCATGAGTAAATTTATGAATCAACTGGACATCAAATTGAAAGAACATTTGACTGACTGTCTTCACAAATGAGTGTTTAAGATTTACATTCCAAGTATTCCAATGGAGGCCCAGGTTTATTTCAGACACAGACATCCCACTCTGATAAAGGAATCATCTGATTATGATAGTCTAATAAAAAGACCAAAAGTTGTACTTATTCCTTTCCCAAGCTCTTTTCCTATTTCCCATTTTACTTGAATTATTCATTTACAAAACCAGATTTTAAAATACATTACTACACTTTTCTCAACAAACTATCAAACGTTTCTGTGAGATACATTTATAAAAATGTTTATAAACAAAATTATTGCAATAAAATTTGCTAAAAATTCTGTTTTATGAAGAGACACAAAAATTTGAAACCCTTAAAAAATCATACTGGCATTTATCTGGTTTTCCTAATTGGACTTAGATTTTAGACAAAGAAATGCAATATTATAACAGCAACTGGACAAAAGAAAGCACTTAAGTTCTTGTCCTAACAATGCCCCAAATCTAACGATTACAGAGTGAGTTCTACAGTCGTTTAAAACACAGTCCATAGAGAAGTATACATGTATGTTAATAACAAATGACTGGTCAATTTAATACTAAACTATTTTCATGATATGCTGAACAGCCCAGTAGATGAGATTCTTGTTTCTTACTTTAACATGGTCAGTTTCAGAAGGATACTATTGGCAATGAAGAGAAAATTATTTCAAGCAATGTGTAGCAGTGTCAAAGGGCAAGAGAAAGTGAAATATGAAAAAAATGAAGTGGGATGGTTTAACCAGAGAAAATGTAAAAATGAAGTGGCTAAGACTAAATAAACTGTTTCCCCTTGCATTTACACATATTTCTTGATTCCCTCCCTCCACCCACAATTCAGCAACAAACTTATTCAGTGGCTCAAGGAAAAGGAAAGGAGAGAACAGTAGTCTTATTTCTGGCTTTTGAATTCCAAAACCTTGGACTCAGAGGACAAAACGAAAGAATTATGATGAGAAAACAATCCATAAGAAACCTAGTAAAGTTAAATGACTAAAATAGACAGGAAGTGTTGCCACAATTAGAGAGGTCAGAGGGAGGAGATCATGCCTAAACTTCCAGGTACAGGCAAGTATCTACCCTGCACAGCCATCTCTTCTGCTTGTACATTGAGGGGAAGGAGAGAACCCTGGAGTGTTGCTGCTTCTCTAGACTATCCCTGGTAATTGGGACACAGACTCACCTCAAGGGTTCTCTCCTTCCCCACGATGTACAAGCAGAAGACATGGCTGTGCAGGGCAGGTAGGCAGTCCTCAGATGGTCTCCTCTTTGAGATCTCTGTGACACTACAGGGCTCAGGGGTACAAAATGTTTCCTTTGTTCACAGAGCAGAACAGAAATGGCCCAGACAGTCAGCTGTTGGGGTGGGTATAAAGAAGGACCCAACTGTTACCACTAAGACCAAAGGGGAATGTGATCATTCGATCAAATGCTGATGTGGGCAACTGACACTATACAAAACTAGATGCACTCTCCCAATGATTTGGCTCTATGTAAGTCTCCAGTAACTTATATCATCCCCAGATAAAGGCAGCTGGTGAGGTGGAATGTTACATTTTCTGAAATTTTTTCTATCTTTACATTAAACTGAGTCTCATATTGGAAAAATGTAATTCACATGGAAATATAAAGTTCATATTTCTTGTACAATGAGGTTTTCTTCATTTTTTTTGGACTGAGATTTATATCTGCTACATGGGATGAGTTCTGTCTGATTCTGACTTAGTACATGCATTGGCCTCAGATGCAGCCTAAGTAGAGGTGGTCCAAGACTGGAGTAGAGGAGGAGCGGAGAGGTGCAATGGCCACCCTGCTATATAATTCTGCAGCTCTCTCTCTGACTGGATCTCAGAGCTCCTGCACATGTATTCTGTGTGCATATGGCTGAACTGCAGCCACATTTTGGCATAAGCATTTTACAGACATTATCTCTTTCCTCACTGCAACCCTTTCCTCATTGTTAGTAGACAGATGAGGAAATGGAGGATCAGAAAGTTACAAAATTATTCAAGTTCGCGCAATTACTAAGTAAGGATGTGCACCTGAATCAGCCTGGCTCTGAAGCCCATGCTATTTCTAACCCCCAGGTGGCCTCCATGGCAGGGTGCAGAATCAATTTTCAAGGAAATGTGACTGACTGGAAAAAAATGAGTCCTAGATTTTAAGAGAATCTTTTTTATATAATTTATCCCAAGGGGGAATGTAAAAGGGGACTTCTTACTTTGTGAGTGTGATAATGCCAGAAAAGGTTTTTTCCCCCCTATTCACTCATTCTACAGATATTTTTGAGCACCTATGATATGCTAGGTGCTGTATTCCCAATAAGGTTACAGCTGTAAGCTCCCACTATGGAAGCCACCCTAGTGCCAGACCCTTACTCAGGGCACATATTTAAAGCCACGAACATCCCTCCTTCCCTCAGAGCTCTGTTTAGGGAGACCAGAACTGCTTTACAGCACCAGGAGGGAGCAGGCATGGAGGAAAGGAAGCAGACTCACTTCTCTGAGGAATGAGGATCTCCTAACTAGTCTCCTTACCTCAGTTTATCCTCTTTTCCTATCTGTTTTTACTTCTTTCTGCTAGGATTTTGTTTCTAATACATATATTTCACTACTTACTCAACTGCTTTCCAGACCCCATATGAAGTTCATAGTCTTTAGCGTGGGTTCACGGCCCTTAGCTATCTGCCCTGACATCTCTCCTCCAACCTGTCCCTACTTCAGTTACACTGTAGTACTCCTCGTTTCCCCCAACAACTTGTGCATGCTGTTCTCATAGTGTTCTCCTTAGTCTTCCATTGCATGCATTTTTCAAATGTTTTTCAAATGTGAGGTCATCTAGGAAATCCTTCAGGATCCCTCTCTTCCTTTATGGAATCAATAATTCCTCTTTCCAATTCCATATAGCTATTGTGTCACACTTCTACCAAAGTACTTACCACATTGATTATATTAAATGGACAATACTGATCAGGAGAATTAGGGGAAATCCATGGCATGGAAGAATAAAAAGTTTCAGAATTAGAAGAGATGCAATGTGGAAAGTCAGTGAATTCAAAGGAACATGTATATATCAGGAACATCTTAGAGAAACACATCAAAAAAAGATTTTAAAGGGAGAAGCTGAGGCTGGGTGACGTGGCTCATGCCTGTAATCCTAGCAATTTGGGAGGTCAAGGTGGGTGGATCACATGAGGTCAGGAGTTCGAGACCAGCCTGGCCAACATGGTGAAACTCCATCTCTACTAAAAATAAAAAAATCAGCTGGGCATGGTGGTGGATGCCTGTAATCCCAGCTACTCAGGAAGCTGAGGCAGGAGAATCGTTGAACCCGGGAAGCAGAGGTTGCAGTGAGCCAAGATTGCACCACTGCACTCCAGCCTTGGTGACAGAGCGAGACTCCATCTCAAAAAAAAAAAACAAAAAAAACAAAGGAGAAGCTGAAGACTATTTATAAACATATTGCCAGGAGGTATCCTGACGTGCCCTGAGAACACTATCGGACCTCATGTTACAGACAGGGCTGAAATTCTCAAGGTCCACAGTCAGTCTCCTTGGTAATAGACTCCTTCACCATGTCATGGGCATCATAATGGGAAAAACCACTTGCAAATGAATTGGTAATCAGAGTTGGAGCTATATGTGATCTAGTTATCTTCACCTTTTAACAAAGGTCTGGAGAGATTTGAAGAGGTTTGTACCAAAAACAATGAGATCCTGAAGGATGAATATTAGATTATATATAATAAAAGGGCACACTTTGGTCTGCATATTCAAGATATTTTTGGGGAACATTGCATATCTGTTATTTCTCCATGTACATTTGTTGATGAGAATACTAAGTCAGGTATTTACTAATTACCAGGTATTTATTCAGCACCATGATATCTCACCTACTCTACTCATTAGTCCCACTGCCAGGAAAAATAATACTTAAACCAGAGTGTTGCTTAAGCATTTTACATAATTTCTTTTCTTACCACAACTGGAAATGGTGGAAGTCCATTCCCCTTGTGACCTAAGTTGGGTTGGGGACTGGAACCCACCACTTAAATTTCTCAAGAGGTCAAAAAATTGGCACATAGGCAAGGTGCAAGGTTGTTTCTGCAGAGACACTAGCAACACAACTTGACCTGCACTAAGGGAAATGCAGAGAAACTAGAATAGTGCCTGGCATAAAAAAATGCAGGGATAGACTAATGCCCATGATGGGGTGTTGGAAGGAGATGCAACATTTAAACCAGTAAACATTTGCTTTATTACAGAGACAGATCCAAAATAGAGAGAAACTTTCACAGCCCTAAAAAAATCTGGGGATATCCTCATGAATGAATAGAACTGGAGTTATCTTCAGAAGTGTGGAAAAAGATAAAGATGCCCAAGGTCCACGACCAAAAAGAGTCTACAAGCAAGGTGTGGTCAAAGTGATAAGAGTCTAAAAAGACCAAGGGAGAGAAGAAAACTTGCAGAGAACTAGCAGATCATCATAGTAAACTCTGCTCAGGCCATTTTGGTACTGGAAATGACAGAGAAGCCAGAAATGGTAGCCATGCCATGCCATGTCATGCCATTTTCAATGACAAAAGAAGGAAAGAGTTTTCCCTTTCTCTTCCTAGTCCCCAAGGAGAGCGGCTGTAAATAGTAGTATATTAGCTATGACAACTGGCAAATAGCTATGCTGTCCCTATGTCATGGCTGCTTCTGTGGGTACCATTGTGACCCCAGCATGAGTCAAGATGATTATCAGAATGTCTAGCAGATTACCCAGGCCTTGCACCTGGATCAATGGGCTGCCCTAATGAAGGATATCAAAAATGAAGGGGCAGCTAAAGAAAAATAAAAGACACCTCAGAAAGTAGCCTGCCTCTTTGACAAGGGACATGCCTTCAGAGGAACATAACAGAAACCTCTGAGAATTGTCAACAATAAAAAGACTGAGCAACAAGGGAAACTGGTAGGAAGCCAAAGGTTTTAAGAGGTGAGAGTGGAGAAATGCTGTGCTTTTATTGATCCTCTCCAAAGGAACACCTTTAAAAAAGGTTAGTTGCAAATAAAGTGTTTTAAAGAAGAAAAGTTTTGAAATTGTAAGTGCAGTGCTAGTTAGAAGACAAAATTTTAAACTTTTTAAAAAAATTTTTAATGTGTGTGGCTTAAATCTCTGTCCTTACAGATAACAAACTCTAGACTTTGAGATTCTGTGAGTTTATAGAAGAATGAAAGTCAACTGGATTCAAATTAATATTCAGGATTTCATTCCTCCTAAATGGAAACATAGCATTTCCATTTGTAAAACAATAACTAAATGTTTCTGAAACCTCTTTGCAAAACAAACAAGAGAGATTAGAATTTGGGCTATGCTTATAAGAATTGTTTAAGTTATATATTTTTTCATTTTTATGGACCATTGTAATTGATCTGTTGTTATAAATTGACTTATATTTTAAATCCTTATTTTTGTGTGTTTGGCTTAAGTTTGTTTTTAGAAAGTTAACCAGATTAAAGAGTAATAAAAATGGGTAATACAAGAAAATCATTGCATGACACTCTGTGTTTAACAATGATTATCTTATAAATGTCCTTCAAAGCTGAAGTTTTTGGGAAAAATCATTTAGGGAATATTTTGGAATCTTCCTTTGGAGTGTATAGAATCTGTGGCTCTGGCTGAGAATGGGTCCTGGTCAATCTTCTCACCATCTCTAATAAAATAATTTTAAAGAGATTTACAAGTAAAAAAAGGTTATTTCTTTGAAAATTTTAAACTATTAAAAATTTAAACCTTTAAATTTAAGGCTAAAGAAAGTAAAAGTGGTAGAAACTTAGATAAAATTAGATAGGTTAGGTTGCTTTTTAATTGAGGATTTCTTTAGCTCATTGTCCAAGTTGAATAGAGAAGTACTTTTTGGAAAGGGTAGAATAATTTGTATAATTTTTAAAGGAAGTTATGTGATTTATATAACCAACATGTAACACACATAGATAACACAGATAATGCTGTACTTTATAGCAGTTTCAAATATAGACTAGTACATATCAATATTCTCTGGTCAGGTTTCCAGAGATCAATTTAACCTGGTCTCCAGAAAAAAAAAATTAAGACAAGATGGACAATATAGTTTTAAAATTACATTTAAAAATAAATATTGAACTTCTTCCAATCTGGAAATCAAATTAACACAAACAATTCAATTACCATAATGGTGCAATGAGAAAATATGACTTAAATCAACTATGGAAGCTCACTCTGCATTGTCTGGATCTCAGATTCCTGCATTCTCTCAGTGGGAAAGGCTACACCTGAACTCAGATCCTCAGACTTGTGACTCTTTTCCCCAAGCAGAAGGGTGTGAAACTTCCCACAGGCTTCAAGTTCTCCAGATGCTGGGCAGCTGAATTTCACAGAAATCTGAAAATAGCTGCCATCTATACTCAGACTGTTTGGCACCCAAATAGTTTGTCCCTCTATGACCCCACTCCCAACTCATAAGATTGCTTTCAGGGGCCTCGTCTCTTGAATATAACCCTCCTACATATGGCCCTTTGCCCCAGATTGCTTTTCTGTAAGATGATGAGAGGACAGGGGTCTGTACTCCCCTTCATACTGGTTCCCACATCCTAAGTTTTTTAATAAAGCCTTTTCCTTAATGTGTACCAAGTGATGAAAACTTGACCTTTGCTACCTTGCATAACAATCCTCTAAGAACATTTTATATACAAAGAACAATTGGAGTCTATGGTAAAGGGGTCTATTCAGTAATCACATTGGCGTGAAAAGAATATAGATTACTTCCTTGCCATGACTTGCACTCATTATTCACAGATTCCATGGTTACAGATTCACCAACCTGTTAAAATTTATTTGTAACCACCAAACCAATACTCAAAGATGTGTTCATGGTTATTCACGGACATGCAGAGAATAGCAAAACATTGGAGTCCACTGACATTCATATGCCCAGCTGAAGCAGAACAAAGAAACCCTCTGTTTCCCTGTTTCAGCTCTCATACTGTAAACAAGTGTCCTTTCTGTGGTTTATTTAGTGCCACACTTTTCACATTGTTGTGATTTTTGCTGGTGACTTTGCTATTTACAATAGTCCCCAAGCATAGTGTTAGATTGCTGTCTAATGTTTCTAAGAGAAAGAAGGCTGTGATGTGCCTTATGGAGAAAATAGATGTGTCAGATAAGCTTCATTCAGGCATAAGTTATAGGACTGTTGGCCATGAATTCAGTGATAATGAATCAGCAACACAGGACACCTACAAAAAGAAATAGAAAATTTGCTGATCTGTTTATGAAACCACTCTGGAAGTGTTAAAGTAATATCTACAGTGAATGATGAAATTATGAAAAAGAGGAAAAGTAATTAAATTTGTGGATTCATGAGATGACAACCTATTTTTAAAAAACAAAGTGGACAACACTGTTGTGAGTCTGAAAGCCAAAGAAATTTATGATCATATTACCCAGAGTCAGGAAAGTGTTTAACCCTTCTTAGCTAGGTTGGCTGGCTCACATGTTTTAAAAGGCAATACAAAGTCAAAAAAGGCTAAGCTTGCAGACAAGGCGGGTTCCGCAGATCAGGAAGGTGCAGAAGAATTTTTAAAATAACTGCTAAATGTGATACAAGTAGAGGGTTATGTAGAAAAGCAGTTTTTCAATGCTGATTAGACTGGCTTGCTTTACAAGGACTCTGGCAAACAAATCTATATAATGCAAATGGCATTCCAGTTGGCAAAAATATTACGATCAGAGGCTCATAGGAACTTAACCTTACATTTTCCCTATGAGCAACAGTTCACTATTTGCTAATTCAATTGTTTGTGATGACTCTGTAGAACATTACTGACTCAAATAAAAAGAATAAACTATATCAAAGTCAGTGTAGTAGAGATGTGGTTTTCATTTAAATGCATAGTTGCTAAAATGGTTCTGCTGAGTTTAGCCTGTCTTTATGGAATAGGAGTATTTCATCAACCCTGAGATCTTTTGTCTCCCTCTTGGCTAATGGGTGTTTCTCAACCCTTTAACATTCAAAGGGAGCTGGGCCTATTGCTGCAATACAGGCAGTTAGTAGTAGTAAGTACTTTACTGAGGATAAGTAGATGCCCTTAACTAGTGAAACAATATGCTCAAATGAAAGTCTCCTGTGTGAAAAAATCTGAACACTATATACACATTCAAATTTTGGAGGAAACCCCAAAACTGCACACACACACAAGCATATATATGTACACACGTGTATACGTGTGTGTGTGTGTGTGTGTGTATATATATATGTACATGAGAGGTGACTGACATGTCCATGTTATTGGAAAAGATATATTAACAGAATACCACAGACTGGGTAATTTATAAATGGTAATCTGTAGGCTCACAGTTCTGGAAGCTGTGAAGTCCAATATTAAGGTACAGACAGGTTTGGCAATTCTGATTTCAAGATGGTGCCTTAATTGCTGTGTCCTCTGAAGGAGAGAAAAGCTTCATTCCCACGTAGTGGAAGGCAGAAAGGCAAAGAAGCAATAGGAGGTCAAGCTTGCCCCTTTTGTAATGGCATTAAACCCACCCAAGCAGGCAAAACCCTCATGGCTTATTGTTTCCTAAAGAGCCCACCTCTTAATGCTGGTATAATGGCAATTAAATTTCAACAAGAGTTTTGGAAGGGACAGCACCCCACACAAGGCAGAATGTAAGTACATGCAAACTGTATGCACACACCTCTTTATCTCTGGTCATAAGAGGTAGGAGAGGTCATTCCTCACCACTGCCTCCCCTACCTCCTGTAGAACCATGATATCCCACAAATTCAACATGGATATATTTAGTTATAAAATTTACAATCCATGGGGTTATAATGGAATATAATGCTTAGAGTCAACAAATATGTATATCCTTTTTCTAAACTACTTAACACTTATTAAAGTACACCAAACATAGTTTAATGAAAAGATAAAAGTCTTTCAGTTAGAAGGAAGTAGATTTAAATAATGGCTCCCTGATAAGGATTTTTACCAAGTTAAGAAATGTCTATTGATGTCAGTATTATCATCTCTAAAAGTATAGTACTACACTTCTACCTTTGGCTATGTTAAGCTTGAGATGCTCATTAGACATCCAATTTCATATATATATATATGTCTCCAATTAGATGGGTAAGCAACTGGAAGGTAAGCAACTAGAATTGTGAGTCTGAGATAAAGGGGTAGATCTGGGTTGGAGATACATTTGGATATTGTCAGAACATAGATAACAACACTATGGGACTTTTATGGCATCTCTTAAGCAATGACTGTGGATAGAGAAGAGGCCATAGGACAAAGCTGAGGTACTCTAATATTTAGGAGTTGGGAGGATAAAAGGAATTCAGCAAAAGAATCTTTTAAAAAAGCAGTCCATAGATAGAAATAAAACAAAATGTTAGTGATATCACATAAGGCAGGTGAATAATGGGTTTCAAAAAGGAACAACTGCCAATTGTGCCAAGTACTGATGAGAGGTTAAACAAAATGAGGACTAAAAAACTGATCTTTGTATTTGGATATGTACGGATCACTGGTGATGAGCCCTGGTGATTCTGACAAGAGCAATTTTGGTAGAATGTGGGAACAAATGCCAGATTGGATAGAAGAAGAATAAGATGGCAAGTATGGACAACTCTTTCAAGGAGTGTTTTGTAAAAGGCTGCAAAGAAATGAGGCAGAAGTAGGGTGAGGGCTGAAGGAAGGATTTTTTTTAAGATGAGAGATATAACAGTATAGCAATGATCTAAAAAGATCAACCCTGATAATGTAGGAGGCAAGGAGGACAACTGCAGAAATAAAGTACCTGAACTTTGTCAGGTTCTAGTAGTGGGCAGTTTGGGCTCTGGACAGGAGTAATGGCAGTTTATTCCTCATAATAGGAGGAAGGAAGAATGTTTGAAGACAAACACAGATACCTTGTTGATTTGGTGGTGGGCAGAGAGAAATTAAACTATGCTTGGTATACTTTATTAAGTATTAAGTAGTTTAGAAAAGGGATATACATATTTGTTAACTAAACATTAGTAGAAAATATAAATTCAAGTATGTCTGTTTGAAGTTAAAAGGTAATATGAAATTAAAAACTTTTTAAACCAGAGGGAAAAATAGTTCTCAGAAAGTTCATTCAGTTGACAAAAGACTAGAAAAGGTAAAAATAATGAACTGAGAGATGTGATATTAAACCCTCAACTCATTTCTGAGACTAGTATAATTCTGCTACCAAACTAGATGAAAGTCAACATAAGGAAAGACAAATATCATAAAAGTAGATGCAAACTTGAGACCAAATGTTAACAAATTGTATGCAGTCAGTAAAAGAATCATAAGGAATAGGCAGGCAGGATTTATCCCAGAAATACAAAGATAATTAAACATTACAAAACGTACCATGTAATCTATGATGTTAACCAACTGAAAAATAAAATTATGTAACAACTTAAATCATGTAAAATATGTAACAACTTAAATCATGTAAAATATGTAACAACTTAAATCAACTTAAATTACATATTTGTTATATAATTTTCTATTTGTTATACATTAAGTTGTCCTATATTAGGTTTTTGAAATACATATATATATATTTGATAGAAATCAAACACCGAAAGCATATTTTAAAACTTTTAGTAAACTAAGAATGGAAAGCAAACTTCTTGATTTTATATAGGGTAACCATCAGAAACTTTAGCAAACCATTTTTTACACTGAAACTCTAAAGGCATTGCATTAAAGCCAGGAATAAAACCAGGATGACACAGTCATTCAACTGTTCAACATTGTAATACAATCTCCAGCTAATGCAATAAGATCTGGAACAGGAAGGAGTGAATAAATAAATAAAGAAGTTGAAAAAGTATACGTATTGAAAAGGAATGGATAAAACTGTCAATTTTTACAGGCAATATTAAGAGTTAAC
Source organism: Homo sapiens (assembly GCF_000001405.40). NCBI lineage: Eukaryota > Metazoa > Chordata > Mammalia > Primates > Hominidae > Homo > Homo sapiens. The sequence continues at coordinate 180,420,355 of NC_000003.12, forward strand.
CTAGGAAACACAAGAGAATCAACAGACAAACCTATTCACAATAGCAACAGAAACCACAAAGTACCTAGGAATAAACCTAACAGGAAAAGTACAAAATATTTATGAACAAAACTGAAAAAAATTTACTGAAATATGTAAAGAATGATTTGATAAGTAGAAATATATTGGTAGACAGAAAGATTCCTTTGGAAGGATATCAGTATTCCCAGGATTAACTTATAAATTCAATCCAGTCCAATCAAAATACCATAAGAGTTTTGGTTTTTGGCAAAATTTTTAAAATTCAAAATGAACAAGAAAAGTCATAATCATTTTTAATATAAATAAGAGAGATATCTGTCTATACCAGTTAGCCATTAAGACAAGTTCTAAAACCAAAGAAATTAATATAATACAGTAGTTTATAAGAACAAATCAGTAAACACAATAGGTCATCCTGAAGCAGAACCATGTATGTAAATGAAGAGATATTAAATAAGATAAAGGTGGTATCCCAAATCATGTTAGTTCCCAACCTTATAGTATTCTTCAAAAATGAGAGAAAAATATAAGTAAATATGTTATATTATACAGCAGTTAAAATGACTCATAGATGAGTAAGTATGAGTTCAAATATATCCTTTCTAAGACATATTGTGAAATCAAAGCAAGATGCAGACAAACACAGAAAAAGTGAAAAATTACAGATTTCTATGAATGCATTTTGGTCGGTGCAAAGAAAAAGATCTGGAAGGAATATACCAAAGGGATAACAACAACTTATTTCGAGAAGGAGGTACTGAATAAGAATTTAAAGATAGGAAAAAGAATCCTCCTCTCAAAAAATGTCCACATTCTAATCCCTGGAACCTATGAATATGTTAAGTTACATGGCAAAGGGGAATAAAGATTGCAGGTGGAATTAAGGTTGCTAATCAGCTGACTTTGAGATAGATTAATCTAGATTATCTGGTCTGCTCAGTGTATTTACAAAGGTCTTTTAAAGTGGAACAGGGAAGTACAAGAGGGAGGATGAGACAGATAGCAACATGAGAAGGATTTGACTCAATGTCGCTGGCTTCAAAGATGGAGTAAGGAGGAAGGAAGTTAAGAAATGTGGGCAGCTCCTACAAACTAGAAAAAGCAAGGAAATGGATTTGGTGCTGGAGTCTCCAAAAGGAATGCAGCTAACACCCTAGTTTTACCCGAGTGAGAGCTGTTTCAGCCTTTTGATCTCCAGAACTGTAAGATAATAAATTTTTAATGTTTAAGCCACTAAGTTTTTGTTAATTTGATATGGCAGCAAAAGGAAACTAATGCAAGTTGTTAAAAACAAAATAAAAACAATTTTCACCATGCTTACAATGCTTCAGTTTTTAAATATAAAAAAACTATGTATGTGTAATTTCAAATTGCTAAGACAAATGGAAAGGTAGTAGCTAGATGTCACCAGGCAGTACTCTTTCTGTTGTTATTATTGTCAGTTTCTGCTTATTTGTTTTGATTATTTGATACAGCATGATATAAATTGGCACTAATCCTCATAAGAGAAGAATGTCAGCCAAGCCAGTGAAGGAATTTTGGAGTTCGCTTTGAAGACTTATGCACTCTCCAGCTGGTCACAGACACTACACTCACCCATTTTGTAAATACACTTTTTTTTGTTTTGTTTTTTAAGCTTCTCACTTCAGTATCTACCAGACAGGCTTGTGCAAGGAGTGAACTAGTATTGTATCTGTTAATTTCTTTGCAGGCAAAAATCAAGTTACCAGGAAAATATTTTTTAAAAACCACGAACAGTCTAAGAGCACTGAACATTTTGAATCATTTGCCTTTTCTCAACACTGGATTTTAAGCAAGGAACAAGACTATTCCAGTTCTAAATGCTTTAATGAACAAGGGGTATTGGGTTTTAGCATCAACATGATCTATCCTCACTCTGAAGCTTTAACTTGAGTAGCTGCTGTGCTTTGTAAAGCTTCAATCCAATTCATTTGATAACTACAATTACCAAATCTGGGCATTGCTGACTACACAGTTCAAAAAAACAGCATGGAGGGAAGACCTGCTGAGAACCTTAGAATCTATCGATAAGCTCTTGAAATGGTTTAAAGTAATAAACCACTTCAATTGAAAGGGCAATAAAATGTTTTTCGTGTATATATGTACATAAGATTTCCTTCTATTTCTCTTATTTTCAAAAAGAACTTAAGAAAGGTCACAAATGTGCAGTTAGAAACCAGGTAAGTTACTAAAATGTAGGAGAGTGACAGATGTTACTATACCACTTCAAACAAATTAACAAAATTGGGAACACTATATTTACTCTGGATTTCCTAGCAGCTAAAATGAAAAGAAAAAAACTCGAATATATAATGACAGCATTAGAAATGTTCATTTCTGCCGGGCGCAGTGGTTCACGCCTGTAATCCCAGCACCTTGGGAGGCCGAGGCGGGCGGATCACGAGGTCAGGAGATCCAGACCATCCTGGCTAACACGGTGAAACCCCGTCTCTACTAAAAATACAAAAAATTAGCCGGGCGCGGTGGTGGGCGACTGTAGTCCCACCTACTCGGGAGGCTGAGGCGGGAGAATGGCGTGAACCCGGGAGGCGCAGCTTGCAGTGAGCTGAGATCGCACCACTGCACTCCAGGCTGGTCAAGAGAGCGAGACTCAGTCTCAAAAAAAAAAAAAAAAAAAAAAAAAAGAGATGTTCATTTCTATACAATCTTTTTATTACTTGATTACTTGATATAATAAGCCATACTAATCATTTTTCAGAAACGAAGTTTTGTTGGCACTAATGTTAAGGAAGAATTTGTGGCATATGTCTATAAATGAGAAATACTGGGTAAATTAATACGTACTTTTGTAAACCAAGTCCTTCTATAAAATTAAAAGCATACCTAATACTAAATCTGTAGTCCATGAAATTATTTCTCCAAACTGTTGAAATAATAATATATAGCTAAATAGCTTTCTGGAAACCTAATTTTAAAACAGATAGAGAAGGTAGACAACCTATAGTAATAACGAATTAGTTTGTTCACCAAAAAGTTTCTTTAAAACATAAGATTCACCAATTGGTTTTGAAAATTCATGGCTAAATTCCCGCATTAGTGCCTTAAGTGCCAATATTCTGTCTTGTGGACAAAACAGGGCTCCAGATATTTTAGGGAACAAGTATGAGGGACAAACAGTTCTTATTCATCTGTGGAAATGTATAGGCATAACTGATTGTAGACAAACTTCGACAGAAGCATACTGAAACTTTAGAAGTCATTATAGTAAGCATTAATAATTTTCTTTTAAAAATATTTTTTGGGCTGGGTGTGGTCGCTCACGCCTATAATCCCAGCACTTTGCGAGGCCAAGGCGGGCGGATCACCTGAGGTCAGGAGTTTGAGAGCAGCCTGGCCAACATGGGGAACACTGTCTCTACTAAAAATATAAAAATTAGCTGGGCGTGGTGGTGCGTGCCTGTAGTCCCAGCTACTCAGGAGGCTGAGGCACGAGAATAGCTTGAACCCGAGAGGCAGAGGCTGCAGTGAGCCAAGATCACGCCACTGCACTCCAGCCTGGGTGACAGTGAGACTCTGTCTCAAAAAAAAATAAAAATAAAAAATAAGTAAAAATTAATATATATACACACACATATAGTTCAAATACATATATTTGAAATTTCTTAAGTTTCTAATTTTTTTTTTTCTATTCTCACGTGGTAATTTTTTTATTATGGTCAAACATTTGGCATAAGATCTACCCTCTTAACATATGTTAAATGCACAATACAGTATTGTTAACTATAGGCACCATGTTGTACAGACAGCAGATCCCTAGAGCTTACTCAGCTTGCATAACTGAAACTTCATTTTTTAATTTTTATTTATTTATTTATTTTGAGATGGTATTTCACTCTTGTTGCCCAGGCTGGAGTGCAATGGCATGATCTCAGTTCACTGCAACTTCCACCCCCCAGGTTCAAGTGATTATTTTGCCTCAGCCTCCTGAGCAGCTGGGATTATAGGCACACACCACTGAGACTCCGTCTCAAAAAACAAAACAAAACAAAACAAAACAAAAACCAGAAAATTAGTGATTCAGAGATAAGAAAGTTTCACTATTTTTCTTATAACAACAATACTACTTGGTACCTGTGGCACTTCCTTCTTCCCCAGTGGCAGAAACTTTGTAAAGGCTGAGTATATATTTTTAAATGTCACACAATGCCCTGGGTGTGCTCCCCTCAGCCGTAATAAACTCCCTCTCCACACTACTACCTGCTTTTCCCACTAGCTTGGAACTATGGCTGAAGATAATTCTCCAGTACCTGCCTCCGTGATATTCTGCCCTGCGTCCTGCCCAGGACCCTTTCACAGCTGCAAGCTGTGTTACTTACTTATTCCTAATGGGACAGTCAGTCTCTAGCACAGTTCTGAATGTCTGAAGGAAGTCTACGGGAAGCATCGGGTCAATTTCCTGCCTCGGACTGCAAAACGGATCTGGACACATCTCCTATCACTTTGTGATACCCATTTTCTTTTTCTTCTTTTTTCTTTTTTTTAAATTTATTTATTTATTATTATTATTATACTTTAAGTTTTAGGGTACATGTGCACAATGTGCAGGTTAGTTACATATGTATACATGTGCCATGCTGGTGCGCTGCACCCACTAACTCATCATCTAGCATTAGGTATATCTCCCAATGCTATCCCTCCCTCCTCCTCCACCCCACAACAGTCCCCAGAGCGTGATGTTCCCCTTCCTGTGTCCATGTGTTCTCATTGTTCAATTCCCACCTATGAGTGAGAATATGCGGTGTTTGGTTTTTCGTTCTTGTGACAGTTTACTGAGAATGATGATTTCCAATTTCATCCATGTCCTTACAAAGGACGTGAACTCATCATTTTTTATGGCTGCATAGTACTCCATGGTGTATATGTGCCATATTTTCTTAATCCAGTCTATCATTGTTGGACATTTGGGTTGGTTCCAAGTCTTTGCTATTGTGAATAATGCTGCAATAAACATACATGTGCATGTGTCTTTATAGCAGCATGATTTATAGTCCTTTCGGTATATACCCAGTAATGGGATGGCTGGGTCAAATAGTATTTCTAGTTCTAAATCCCTGAGGAATCGCCACACTGACTTCCACAATGGTTGAACTAGTTTACAGTCCCACCAACAGTGTAAAAGTGTTCCTATTTCTCCACATCCTCTCCAGCACCTGTTGTTTCCTGACTTTTTAATGATCACCATTCTAACTGGTGTGAGATGGTATCTCATTGTGGTTTGGATTTGCATTTCTCTGATGGCCAGTGATGGTGAGCATTTTTTCATGTGTTTTTTGGCTGCATAAATATCTTCTTTTGAGAAGTGTCTGTTCATGTCCTTCGCCCACTTTTTGATGGGGTTGTTTGCTTTTTTCTTGTAAATTTGTTTGAGTTCATTGTAGATTCTGGATATTAGCCCTTTGTCAGATGAGTAGGTTGTGAAAATCTTCTCCCATTTTGTAGGTTGCCTGTTCACTCTGATGGTAGTTTCTTTTGCTGTGCAGAAGCTCTTTAGTTTAATTAGATCCCATTTGTCAATTTTTGCTTTTGTTGCCATTGCTTTTGGTGTTTTAGACATGAAGTCCTTTCCCATGCCTATGTCAAAAAAAGGCAGGGGCTGCAATCCTAGTCTCTGATAAAACAGATTTTAAACCAACAAAGATCAAAAGAGACAAAGAAGGCCATTGCATAATGGTAAAGGGATCAATTCAACAAGAACAGCTAACTATCCTAAATATATATGCACCCAATACAGGAGCACCCAGATTCATAAAGCAAGTTCTGAGTGACCTACAAAGAGACTTAGACTCCCACACATTAATAATGGGAGACTTTAACACCCCACTGTCAACATTAGACAGATCAATGAGACAGAAAGTTAACAAGGATACCCAGGAATTGAACTCAGCTCTGCACCAAGTGGACCTAACAGACATCTACAGAACTCTCCACCCCAAATCAACAGAATATACATTTTTTTCAGCACCACACCACACCTATTCCAAAGTTGACCACATACTTGGAAGTAAAGCTCTCCTCAGCTAATGTAAAAGAACAGAAATTATAACAAACTATCTCTCAGACCACAGTGCAATCAAACTAGAACTCAGGATTAAGAATCTCACTCAAAACCGCTCAACTACATGGAAACTGAACAACCTGCTCCTGAATGACTACTGGGTACATAACGAAATGAAGGCAGAAATAAAGATGTTCTTTGAAACCAACGAGAACAAAGACACAACATACCAGAATCTCTGGGACACATTCAAAGCAGTGTGTAGAGGGAAATTTATAGCACTAAATGCCCACAAGAGAAAGCACGAAAGATCCAAAATTGATACCCTAACATCACAACTAAAAGAACTAGAAAAGCAAGAGCAAACACATTCAAAAGCTAGCAGAAGGCAAGAAATAACTAAAATCAGAGCAGAACTGAAGGAAATAGAGACACAAAAAACCTTTCAAAAAATTAATGAATCCAGGAGCTGGTTTTTTGAAAGGATCAACAAAATTGATAGACCGCTAGCAAGACTAATAAAGAAAAAAAGAGAGAAGAATCAAATAGACGCAATAAAAAATGACAAAGGGGATATCACCACTGATCCCACAGAAATACAAACTACCATCAGAGTATACTACAAACACCTCTACGCAAATGAACTAGAAAATCTAGAAGAAATGGATAAATTCCTCGACACATACACTCTCCCAAGACTAAACCAGGAAGAAGTTGAATCTCTGAATAGACATAACAGGCTCTGAAATTGCGGCAATAATCAATAGCTTACCAAGCAAAAAGAGTCCAGGAGCAGATGGATTCACAGCCGAATTCTACCAGAGGTACAAGGAGGAACTGGTACCATTCCTTCTGAAACTATTCCAATCAATAGAAAAAGAAGGAATCCTCCCTAACTCATTTTATGAGGCCAGCATCATCCTGATACCAAAGCCGGGCAGAGACACAACCAAAAAAGAGAATTTTAGACCAATATGCTTGATGAACATTGATGCAAAAATCCTCAATAAAATACTGGCAAACCGAATCCAGCAGCACATCAAAAAGCTTATCCACCATGATCAAGTGGGCTTCATCCCTGAGATGCAAGGCTGGTTCAATATATGCAAATCAATAAACGTAATCCAGCATATAAACAGAACCAAAGACAAAAACCACATGATTATCTCAATAAATGCAGAAAAGGCTTTGACAAAATTCAACAACCCTTCATGCTAAAAACTCTCAATAAATTAGGTATTGATGGAACGTACTTCAAAATAATAAGAGCTATCTATGACAAACCCACAGCCAATATCATACTGAATGGGCAAAAACTGGAAGCATTCCCTTTGAAAACTGGCACAAGACAGGGATGCCCTCTCTCACCACTCCTATTCAACATAGTGTTGGAAGTTCTGGCCAGGGCAATTAGGCAGGAGAAAGAAATAAAGGGTATTCAATTAGGAAAAGAGGAAGTCAAATTATCCCTGTTTGCAGATGACATGATCGTATATCTAGAAAACCCCGTTGTCTCAGCCCAAAATCTCCTTAAGCTGATAAGCAACTTCAGCAAAGTCTCAGGATACAAAATCAATGTACAAAAATCACAAGCGTTCTTATACAACAACAACAGACAAACAGAGAGCCAAATCATGAGTGAACTCCCATTCACAATTGCTTCAAAGAGAATAAAATACCTAGGAATCCAACTTACAAGGGATGTGAAGGACCTCTTCAAGGAGAACTACAAACCACTGCTCAAGGAAATAGAAGAGGATACAAACAAATGGAAGAACATTCCATGCTCATGGGTAGGAAGAATCAATATCGTGAAAATGGCCATACTGTCCAAAGTAATTTACAGATTCAATGCCATCCCCATCAAGCTACCAATGACTTTCTTCACAGAATTGGAAAAAACTACTTGAAAGTTCATATGGAACCAAAAAAGAGCCCGCATTGCCAAGTCAATCCTAAGCCAAATGAACAAAGCTGGAGGCATCACACTACCTAACTTCAAACTACATTACAAGGCTACAGTAACCAAAACAGCATGGTACTGGTACCAAAACAGAGGTATAGATCAATGGAACATAACAGAGCCCTCAGAAATAACGCCGCATATCTACAACTATCTGATCTTTGACAAACCTGAGAAAAACAAGCAATGGGGAAAGGATTCCCTATTTAATAAATGGTGCTGGGAAAACTGGCTAGCCATATGTAGAAAGCTGAAACTGGATCCCCTCCTTACACCTTATACAAAAATCAATTCAAGATGGATTAAAGACTTAAACGTTAGACCTAAAACCATAAAAACCCTTGAAGAAAACCTAGGCGTTACCATTCAAGTTTCTAATTAAAATCTCCAAGTTTTGTGCCATATATAGAAGAAACCATTTTGGGAAGGATAGTGGATGTTGAGTCTTCCTTTTCCAACAGTCCTGGGTATCCTATTTAGGGGTTCATGTAGTTATAAGGATCTTTATTTTGCCACTTCCAACTCATATGACTCAGTCTGGTCAATTAGCACCAACCATTTGCCAGGCCATAATAATTGTTCAGGAGCAGGCATGTGACCCAAGCCAGTTCAATTAGAGTGAACCTCAAAATTTTTCTTGGATTTCTGGAACTAATGTGCTGTTTTCAAATTCCTTTTGAAACTGTGGAGTGTGATTGTGAGACTTGAAATCATGATGTTGATTCTTATTACCATGAACGAATCCAGCCTGAGGGTAATACTGACACAAGGAGGAGGACAGAATCAAAAGAATTATAGAGAAATGGATCTGGAGACCTGATGACATTATGGTCCTCTGGATCAAGCCATTCCATCAAATCAAATTAGATGCTGAGTTTCATACGCCAGTATATCACCTTATTTAATAAAGTATGTTGTTATATTTTCTATTACTGGCAAGCAAAAACATTCTGCTATTTTTTACTTGTTATCAATGAACCCATTATCATCCCATTTATTTAAAGAAAGTAAAACGCCCATTGCATTACCTACTTTTAAATTGAGTTACATTCTGATGGACCCACAAAGGTAAGTTAGGAAGAAAAATATTGTCACGTAGGTTCATAATGGGACTTGGCTAGGATTCTTTTGGATTGCCCATTTAGATGTGACAATTATATGACAAAATCAATCACTTAATACAGTTAAAGCTTGTTGGCTTTTTTCCTGATAACAATTAGTCAATAAAATCAGTTTCTAAAGAAATTAGAATAATAGAGCTATACTATGAACTAGAAAATTTTGTTTACTTTTTTATAAACCATATCAAATGACATGGTTCCTTTGTACCTCACACATGAACAAAAGAATTTCAATACTTCAGGGATTAATGGTGGTATTACCAAAGAATTGCCTTTTCCCATGTCAAATTCCAACTGAAAAAAAAAAATGGAATATACAAATCATGAATCAACTTTGTAAAATAAAGGTGAAAGCTATCTACATGCCTGAAAGTTGGAAGAATTTCTGTTAGATACATACCAACAGAATTGATTGATGAAGATACACATAAGACTCTCCAATGAGAGAATGTGGTATGTTCAAGATAAAAGTTAAAGGAATCTTTAATGATACTCCCCCATCCCTGATATCCCTTGACTCAAAGCTTCAGTCTAAAGAGCCTTTGAGCAACAATACTGAGATACTGGAGTGCCACTTTGAGACCCTGATATTGATGACCAATCCCAATGTAATAGACATGTTCAACATATTCAATGAATAAATTAATGATTATGAACAAAGATCATGAATAACAGATTGAACACTATAAAAACTTAAAGTTAAGATTAAATTCAAGAAATGTTGGCCGGGCGCGGTGGCTCACGCCTGTAATCCCAGCACTTTGGGAGGCCGAGGCGGGCGGATCACGAGGTCAGGAGATCGAGACCATCCCGGCTAAAACGGTGAAACCCCGTCTCTACTAAAAATACAAAAAATTAGCCGGGCGTAGTGGCGGGCGCCTGTAGTCCCAGCTACTTGGGAGGCTGAGGCAGGAGAATGGCGTGAACCCGGGAGGCGGAGCTTGCAGTGAGCCGAGATCCCGCCACTGCACTCCAGCCTGGGCGACAGAGCGAGACTCCGTCTCAAAAAAAAAAAAAAAAGAAATGTTTTTCATCTTGGAGGAGAAAGGCAATCAAGACTAAATAAGAGAAGACAAATGACAGAACTAGGAAATCAACCTGTAAATATCAACAGTTACTGAAAAAGAAAATAAAGCAAGAGCAGAAGCAATATTCATACAATAATGAAAAATCTTCAATGTAATTGAAAAAATATGTCAGGAAAAATTGTTATTTACAAACCCCTGATAGTTAATAAGAAGTATGGTTATTAAGTATTCCGGATTTGTTGGATAATAATCTCAGGAAGAGCTAAATTCCTCTGTTCAAGGAAAGGAATAGAAAAAGACATGGCGATTAGAAAACATGGGAGAAAGGAAAGTCTGGAAACAGTAAAACAGGAAAATAACGTAGCTGAGAAAGACAGGGAAAGAGATCTCAAACAGGTATTTGGGGAGCAAAATGATATATCTCCCAATACAACCATTTTCCTCTATCTCCCCATTAAAATGTTGGTAAAATTGATATTGTTCATTCACTGGTACTTAATGATGTACTTAGTGTTAAGAGATAACACATTGTGCTCAGATCCTGCCTGAAGGCTATTGTGAGGCAAGAATGGCGGATTCCTGTGATGACTGAGTCACATCTAGACTGCACACAAGGAACTTTCTTGCTCAAAAAAAAAAAAATCTTTGGTCTAAAAATTCAAAGTTTACATCATGCTTGACATAAACTAACTGAAAAGCATAATATATCTAGGCCAGTCCTATTAGAATTTCAAACTTTCAAGAGAACGACTCACAAATTTTGAAAAAACAATCAGATCATCCACAAAGAGAAAATTTAGCCTGACCCTAACTACACCACCACACCAAGCAGTGCAATGGAGTACCATCTGTAGAGTTTTGTTGAGACAAGCGGGGAACGATGTGCCTTGAGAATATAAGATCTAATCAAGATTTTTATGGCTAGAAAGGAACTTACACTATAAAATCTCATGTAGGGGGTAATCACTATGAGTCTCAATGATCTGAAAAAGCTTAACAGAAGTGTTATGCCTCAAAAACAGGCTTTGACTAGAAGGCAAAAGACATAGGCATTTCTAGGTATTTTGGAGAAGAAGTGATCTTAGAGAAGACGATGATATGTAAGGGGGAATTATTGAAGGTGAAGTGATCAAAAAGCTAACAAAGAAACTTGAGTCATGATTGTACATTATAAGAAAATGAGAATTATTGGAGTTTCATGAAGAAAAAGTGACATGAAGCCAACTGTTTCTCAAAACAAAACTGTAGGGAATAGACAGGAGCAACTAGAAACATGGGGCCGAAGGGACAATGCAAAGATCTAAGAGATGATAATGACTGCCTAAACCAAGATGGTGGCAATGGGGGTATTTACAAAGAGGTACAGGTGGGAAGGAATCATTTTGACAAAAGATCTGCTGGGGCTTAGTGTTAGGGTTACAGGGAAGGGATAAGAAAGGTAGTATATGGTTGTACTGTAAGTTCTGACTCAAGAGTTGAACTCAAGTTTATGTACTTATCATAAGATGCTTGAAAAACTCCACACTCAGTAAACTAATAGCAAAATAACCAGTAACCAACCCTTGAATTGTTCAGAGTATATCTAACCATTTTGTAACAATTATATTTCAGAAAGGCAGAAACTGAGAGAGAAAGTAACAATACATTTACAGACCAGTAGAAGGGTGTAAATAATAATCTTCAAAAAAGAAATGGGCAAATACTTAAAGGAGTATGTGCACATGAGAGCTATATAACCAGAAATTATGTGAAGGAAGATGCAAGAGCAAAGAATTAATAGTGATACGGGAGAAGCTGAATCAGTTCCGTAGGTTTACAGTCTGTGTAAGAGAAGTTAATGGAGTTGGAAAAATTATTCTTGAGCTACCTAGACTGGGGTTTTTCACAGAGGTGACCTAAAACCAGCTACTCTGATCGGGATTTTGCAAAAAGGAATTAAAGGTGTTTTAGGTACTGAAACCAATATCTCCGTCTTTATGGAGAGGATTGTGGGTGATCAGAACTAAAAAAGGCAGTGATTCAGGTAGTCTACCATTTTAAATTTTGTTGACAGGTAAGAGAGAAGAAACTAAAGACAATTCTAAGGTTTAAATTCAAATGACTAGAAGAATGATGATGTCATGAACATAAATAGCAAACTCTAGAAGGGAGTTTGATTTGGAGAGGAACATGAATTTAAATTTAAACTTGCTGAATGTGAAATGGCAGCAAGACATCCAAGTAGAAATTTATTACAGGCTGTTGGGAACCTGGAACTGGAGCCCATAGTACAGGCCTGGACTTTAGGATAGCAATAGGTTTTGGAATCAGTTTCAAGAAGGGATATTTAAAACCACTGGGGTTCTAAGAGAAAAAAGTAAAAACAGAAGAAGGGTCAAGGAAAAAACTTTAGGGAAATTCTACATTAGCATCAAAAATAGGAAGAAGGGTCTTACAGAAAACTGGTGAAATATTTGAGAGGAATTAAGAGAACAGATCAAAGACATCAATATAAAGAAACTTTTAAACATGAATATATGGTCAAAATATACTGAAAAGAGGGTAAGGATTGGGGAAAGCTTGCTGCATTCACTTGGATAGAGATATAGCAATTATAATAGAGACCCACATTAACAGTGGTTTAAACAAAATGGACATGTATTTCTCTTTCACATTAGTAGCCTGCAGGAGGATGATCCTGTTTTATAAGGTTGTCAGAAAGCTAATCTCTTTTGAGCTAATCTCTTATTGCTCCATTATTCCTAGGACATTACTTTCTTTTGTATGGCTCAAGATGACTCCTCACAGCACTCACATTCTAGGAAGCCATGTGGAGAAAAAAAAAGGAAAGGAAGGGGGTTGTGATTCAGAAGTGGTATGCATCACTTCCTTCCCCTCCCTTCACATTCTGTTGGCTATAACTTAGTCATATATCTATGACTAGATGAAACATAGTCTGTAGTTGAGTGGTAATATATTTGACAAATAATTCTATTATAATGAAAGAAAGGGAGAACAAATATTCACTGTTACCGTTACTGAATTTACTTAGAGTCTGATTTAGATGACCGTTCTCTATACTCCCATAATAACAAATCATAGCATATACCACCACACTGACCTGAATTATTTTGTTTAAACATTTCCCCTTTCAGACTATCAGCACCTTGAGTGCACGAACTATGACATATTCTTATCTATTGTTTCTATTATCTTATCATTCATCAATAATATTTGGTGAATAAATGAATGAGATAGCTTTAAAAATAGATCTGGTATTAGAAAAACTTTTGTAATTTAAATGATAAGGGATAAAAAATTATTTCCTCTAGTGAATGTGAGAATGTTCTGGCATTCCTTGAAATGGTTACCATAACAGGCACTGTGACATAGACAAAGAAGAAAACAGTTTCAGAGGAGAAAAGAACATCTAACTGAATTGATCAAAATAACATGTAAGGAAAGTACAGAAGCTCAGTATCTGTCATGTGGATACGCACAGTAAAAACCTGTCTGTGACTTGCACGTTAGTGTTCTGAGCCTAGAAAGCCCCATTAGCCTAAACTTCTCCAGGGCAAATGTGGATTTTTTAAAGTATTTATTTGCATTTAGCATCTGTGAGGTATTTTGTGTGCACACGCATGTGTGTATGTGTATGTGTGTGTGAATGAAGCACCATAAAATAGATATTTCTGATTAGATTAAGTTATAGGTTTATAAGTTTCCACTGTAAAGATCTCAGTTGGTGATTAAAAAACAAAACAATGTTCACCTATGATTCTAAGTTGCCTTGAAATCAGGAGGTGCATCTAGGTGAATAGTTACCATAGCCAACACTTGGTTTTCAATTATTCCTTTGACAGCTTGGTAACACATGTACTGAGCTCAAGGACTATAAAACCAACTTGGCCCCTCAGAAGAGAGTTAGCAGTGGCAAAACTAGATTAAAATTTGAGCCTCAAAGAAAACAAAATTGTCTGCTGCAGTCAGCTGATGGCATGGGGTATATAAGAACAAAATCTATATGCAAAAATTAGCACTAGGAGTAACTTTTTCTAATATTGTAAAGATATACATCTACTGGCAGCCAAAAATCACACTTAATGCTGAAATATTGAGTCAGTCTTATTAAAGTTCAGAACAAACAATGATGTTCTGGAAGTTCTGAAAAACACATTAAGAAATTGGAAGAAAGTACCAAGAATACAAATAATTGCAGAAAATAAAATTATATACCCAGGAAATCGATCAAAAAAATTAGAATAAGAAAGTTATAAAAATGGCTGTGAATAAGACTATATATATATTTATATGCACATATATACACATGTATACATATACCTATATATATAATATATAGAATGTTATAATCAACAAGTAATAATCAGAAAATAATATATAATAATAAACAGGATGTTTCATATAGACAAAACAAAATAAAAAATCATACAATATACAATATATAGGAGCAACATTAATGGTATATATAAAATCCGTATGAATAAGATTGTGAAACACAGCCAAGCAAGAGGGTCAAATATACCTGTTTTTCTATGGTAAAGTTAGATGTTATTGCTCATTATAGATGCTATAGATATTATTGGCTATTAGAGGAATAAATTCTTAATTAATTGGTTTGGTATAGTTTAATATAATTTGTTTTAATGTAATTCTAGTCAAACTCTCAATATTAAAGATACAATTCTAATAAGTAAGATGATAGTAATATAAAATAAAAATTAGGCAATTTTGGGTTGTAGAAGATATTTCCAACCATAATTACCAAAAACAGATACCATAAAAGAAAAGATATTAATGTAAAACTTCCATACCAAAAATCCACACACAAGAAAAATAATGGCAAAAAACAAATTGGAAAAAAAATTTAACTTTTTTACTTACAAATAGCAACATATTCTTATGGTAGACTTTGCTAATGCTAATGCCTGTCCTATATCTACTTTCTGCTACTTCTTTGCTTCCAGATCCCATATTGTGTTTGGCAGCAACATGCCAACTATTTTCTTTACTCTTGTAGTTGGATGTCCCTGTAACCATGTTTGGTCAATGAGACATAAGCAAAATTCCCTGGTTGGGGCTTCAGGGAAAGCCATGTTTTCCTTATTGAAAGGAAGAGTGTAAGCTGCCATGTGCCTTTTGCCATTGAGTCTTTCTGTCTTCCTTTTTGATATCTCAAATTGATGCCTGGAGGTGTAACAGCCATCTTTGACCATAAGAAAATAAAAGTCACCCACTAGTAAGAGTGAAGCATCAAGAGGACAATCTAGTTCCTTTAGTGCCTGCACCAGACCTGAAATGCCATTGCTGAACTTGTTATGTGAGAAAAAATACCCTTATTTGGTCAAGCCATACCATCTGGTTTCTGTTACATGCACCTAAGCCAAAAAAAAAAAAAAAAAAAAAAAAACTTAATATTTTAACAACTATAATTTTTTAAAGAAAAAGATGAACACTCTAACAGGAAAGAAATGAACTGAACACACAAGATACAATTTTAAAACTACAAAAGTAAAACATGGAAAGTATTGAAAACCATTAACAAAACAATTTTTAAACAAATTACCATTATTAAATGATTAAGATGCAAAGATTTTTTAAAAAGGTAATATTCAGTGTGGTGGTGGTTGTGAAAATGTTATCAGATACTGCTTATGAAAGTGTAAATTAGTAAAACCTTTCATAAGGCTTTTTTATTGTGCTGCTTTTAACTATAAAATATGCCTATTCTTTGGGTCATAGGCGCAAATATAAAATATAAAACTTCTAGAAGAAAACATAAAAGAAAACCTTGTGACCTTGGGTTAGGTGATGAGTTATTAAACACAACTCTAAAAGCATACTTCGTAAAGAACAAAAAAAGCTGAGTTTTATTTTTTCCACATAAAAAACTTTTACTCTATGAAAGACATTGTTAAGAGAATGGAAAGTCAAGCCATAAGTCAGGAGAAAATATTTACAGATCACGTATCTCAGGAAGATACATCCAAAATATGTAAAGAATGCTCAGTCATTGTAGATAGAAATGGAAAATGGTCAGTCACTTTGGAGAGAAGTTTCTTGTACAGTTAAACATATGCTTATAATGACCCTGAAACCTAAAGTGCATTAAGAATGACAGAATTAGAAGTATTAATACATGCAACCAAATGGATAACAAATATAATGTTAGGAAAAAGAAGCCAGACACATGAGTATACATGATATGATTCCATTTATGTAATGTTCTAAACCAGGAATAACTAGTCTATGGTGTTAGAATGACTATGACTCTGTGAAATAAAGTGTTTATTTGAGGTGGGAGGTGATTTATAAGAAGACTTCTGGAGCGCTAATAATGCCTTGCTTCTTGATCTGGAAACTGTGTTCACTCTGTGAAAACACAAGCTGCCCATATATAATTTACAAACTTTTTTGAAAGAAGTTTTCCTTCAATAAAAAGTTTACCAAAAGAGAGGAGAGTGGATTGATTAAATTGTCATACATCTATGCAACAGAATATCCTTCAACCATTAAAAATATAATTTACTATTTATAGAAAATATGCTCAATAAAAGTAGGAAAAGAAAGAAATTACAAAAGAATGTGGTTTGACCCCATTTTATAAAAATATTAAAAGTACACATATAAACAAAGATCTAGAAAACTATACACTGAGATATCAATTTTGGTTGGCTCAGAGATGCCATACACTGAGATATCAATTTTGGTTGGCTCAGAGATGCTTTGTGTTCCTTGCGCTAGTGTTCACTGTTAAATTATTGCGTGATGAGCAAATATTAATTTGTATGAAGAAAAATTTTAAATTCATGTAAAAAAAGTAGAAGTAGGGCCCTTGGCACTACAAAATATCCAATGTAACATAGTAATTAAATGGTGTAGGAATAAATATATGAATAAGTGGAAGAGAGTCCAGTAATAGACATAAATTTTAATATGATAAAGGGAATGCTACAAATATGTATCAAAAGGAGGAGTATTTCATAAATAGTTCTAGGAGAATATTTGGAGAAAATATTGTCTGTATACCTTATGTGAAGAATCAAATTCCTAAAAAATCTAGAAGTAACTGTAAAAAAAAATGAAGCCATAAAAATATATATTAGAATAATAGAGGTAAATATCATTCTCTGGTTGTGAAAGGACTTTATATAAAAGACTTTTGATTACATAAAATGAAATGCTCTTTTACTTCAAAAGAAATCATCATCAAGATTAAAATGCAAACAAATTGGGAAGCATGGTTGCTATAAATATGACATATAAAGAGCATGTATACTGATATTTAAGATCTTAGAGAAACTTGTAATAAATGCATACAGATGCCCACAGGAAAAATAAGAAAAGAACATGAAAGTCATGAATCACAGAAAAGAAAATGTACATGTCTAATAAACAGAGAAAAGATAGCTACATGAAGCCTAGTCATAAAACATCCCTCCCCAAAACTAATGCAATGAAAAAGATTAAACAAAGAAAAAAATGGCATAGGAGAAATCTGTTTTCAGTAGCAGCAACCAAACAAGAAAAGAATTATAACCTAATGGCAGGGAAGCACTTTCATTCCCAGCCAAGACATAAGAGTGACCACATTTTGCCTTCTTACCTGAAAGAACTGAAAACAGGACAAAGAGTATAAACAACAGTTTAATACATCAGTCATCAGACAATGGAAGACAATGATCAAGGAGAAATGAGAAATAAACAAGATAATCCTTAAAACTGTTCCAACTTACTGTCTTAAGAGAGCACCTAGGCTACTATTCAGCAAGGGGAAACAAAGGCAGAACCCGCAGATCTCTGCAATTGAGGAGATAGAACTGGTATTCTGGAGAGAAAAAAAGCAGCCAGAGTTCTCAAAGCGCAGAATATTATTAGAGAGACAATGGCACAGAGAATTCCAGACATCTTCAGAAAATCCACTTTTAGTCTTCAGCTTATTACTGATTAGATTTAATATGTGCTTAGGAGAGAAGCACTTGAGGACAGAGAAACAACCTCACAAAAAGATTAGGGAGAACAATCCCAGGAATTTACATGGGGTTGGGGGTAGTTCCTGTTCTCAATAGCTAGAGTATAAGAAATTTCATAATTCATAGGATATCCAGCAGGATACTCAGAAGAGTTTTGCCTCAGTAGTGGGGAAATTATCCATAGACTAAACACTGCCCTGGTCTCATCTAACAAAGCTTAAATGCAAAACCAAAAAAAATCCAACTTTTCCCAAGTAACTTTACTGCATCCTATAACAAAGATCAAGAATATGTGTAGGAATAAAAAAATACATAGCACTCAAAAAGGTAAAAACTTTAATGCTTAACACCTAATCATAAATTATCAGGCATGCAAGAAGTAGAAAAACAGAACCCATAACAAGAAAAAAAAAATCAATCAATCAAAACCAGCCCAGAAATACTGATACATAAGATAGAATTAGCAGATGAGGTAATCAAAATGGCTATTATTACTATATTCTATATGTTCAATAAACTAGAGAAAAAAATGAATACATTAATTAGCAACATACACACATATATAAATATATCATGTCATTAACAACAGATTAGACATTGCAAAAAAGATTAATGAGCTTGAATATAAGAAGAGATTAGTGAACTTAAATGCAAAAGAAATTATCCAAAATTAAACATGGCAAAAGACTGAAAATAAAGGAACAGAGAATCAGTAAGGTAAGAAACAGTTTTTAAAATATTCAAAGAAATATTAATTGAAAATTTTCCAAATATGATGAAAACTATAAACCCAGAGATTCAACAAGCTCAAGGTATTCAAAACCAAACAACAACAAAAAAAGCAAGAAACTACACTAAAGCATATCAAAAAACACTGATTGAAACTACTGATAAGAACAACCAGAGAAAAATAAAACACATGACATACAGAGGAAAAAATATAATGATGACAGAAGATTTCTCATCAGAAACATACAAGTCAGAAGAGAATGGAGCAACTCTTTCAAGGCAATGAAAGAAAAAAAAACCTATCACCACAAACTTCTATTTTTAGGGTAGAGGGAGAAGAAGTTTTCAAAAATAAAGGCTTTTTCAGACATTCAAAAGCTGAAAGAATTCATCAGCAATAGACCAGCACTATAGAAAATATGAAAGGAAGTTCTTTAGATGGAATAAAATGATGCCAGATGGAAATTTGGAAACTGCACAAAAGAATGAAGAATACTGAAGATGGCACTTTTGTTGGTTAATATCCAAAATTTTTTCATTATCTAAATATCAATAACAGTTAACCAATTGTTTAAAGCAAAAATAATAAAGCCTTTTAGGATTTATAACATATGTACAAGTAAAACAGAGTGATAACACAGGTATGAAGGAATGAGATAGAAGTTTACAATCATAAAATTCTTATACTACACATGAAATGGTATAATATTACTTGAAGGTAGACTGTGATAAGTTAAAGTCGTATATTTTAAACCACTAAAATTAGACAATAAAGAGTTATAGAAAATAAGCTCAACAAAGAAGATAAAGTGGAGACAAAAAATAATCTAAAAGATGGCAGAAAAAGAGGAAAAGAAGAACAAAGAATAGATGGAACAAATAAGCCCAACCATATTGACAATCACATTAAATGTAAATGGTCTAAACAGCCCAAATAAAAGTCACAGGCTGTCAGATTAGATAAAAAAGCAAGATATAGCTGTATAATGCCCATAGTAAACACACTTTAAAGATAAAAATATGAATAGATAATAGCAAAAGAATGGAAAAAAAGATATATCAAAAGAAAACAGTAATGGTAATATTAATATCAGACAAAGTAGGTTTCAGGTCAAAGAATATTAACAGGGATAAAAAGCATCATTTCATAATAATAAACACATGAATAAATCAAGATAAAAACAGTTATGAACCAAAATATACATAGAGTAGAACCTAATAGTACTTCAAGGAAAGAAAGAAAATTCAGTTATAGCAAGAGATTTCAACCCCCTCTTTCAATAATAGATAGAACAAATAGGCAGAACATCAATAACATTGAGGAGTTGAATAATGCTGCCTATCAACTTCACCTAATTGATGTTTATAGAAAATTCTATCCAATGACAGAAGACTACACATTCTTTAAGTACACAGGAACATTTACCAAGATAGCAGAAATGAATGAAAATTAAAACATAGCAAAATTATAGAATGCAGATGAAGCAGTAATTAGAGGAAAACTTACAGCATGAAAACTGTACTTATATGGGAAAAGAAGAAAAGTTTCAAATTAATTATCTCAGCTTTTACATTAAGAGTCTCATTAAAGTGAGAAAATGAAGTGCAAAAAAAAAAGCAGAAAAAAAAATACTACAGAGTAGAGGGGGGAAAAGTCAATGAAATAGACAACCAGAAAGATAATAGAAACATCAGTAAAACCAAAAGCAGGTTATTTGAGATCAATAAAATTGATAAACCTCTAGTTTCATTAACCATGGAAGAAAATACAGAAACAACTATTAATATCAGAAATTGAAAAAGAGATATTAGTGTAGATTCTACAGGTATTAAGAAGGGAAATAGGGGAATATTTTAAACAACATTAACCAATTATTTTAACAATTAGATAAAATGAACGCATCTCTTGAAAGACACAAAATACCAAAGCTCACTCAAGAAGAAATAGATAATCTAAGTAGCCATATATTGGTTAAAGAAATTGGATTTTGCCAGGCATGGTGGCTCACGCCTGTAATCCCAGCACTTTGGGAAGCCAAGGCGGGCGGATCACCTGAGGTCCGGAGTTAGAACAGCCTGACCAACAAGGAGAAACCTCATCTCTACTGAAAATACAAAATTAGCCAAGCATGGTGGCACATGCCTGGAATCCCAGCTACTCGGGAGGCTGAGGCAGGAGAATCGCTTGAACCCAGGAGGTGGAGGTTGCAGTGAGCCGAGATTGCACCATTGCACTCCCTCCTGGGCAACATCTTAAAAAAAAAAAAAGAAATTGGATGTGTAGTTTAAAACACTTCATGCCTAAATTACC
Source organism: Homo sapiens (assembly GCF_000001405.40). NCBI lineage: Eukaryota > Metazoa > Chordata > Mammalia > Primates > Hominidae > Homo > Homo sapiens. Next base: position 180,441,535 of record NC_000003.12, read on the forward strand.
TCACTGTTACATTCAATGAAACATTTAAAGGATAAATTATAACAATTCTACACAAACTCTCCCAGAATTTGAACAGAAAATTTTACTTTACAACTTATTTTATGAGGCCAACATTATCCTGATACCACAACCAAAGACATAGTAAGAAAAGAAAACCATAAACCAATACCCACACTGAACATAGATACAAACATTCTTAACAAAACTTTAAAAAACAAATTCCACAACATAAAAAAGTATACAAAAGACAATTATAGAATATCCAATTTGTGTTTGTCTCAATAACACAAGGTTGGTTTAACATTCAAAAATCAATTCGCATTATTTACTATATTAAGAGACTGAAAATGAAAAATGATATTATACATTTATTATATCATATATAAAATAATATTTGATAATATCAATAGATACAAAAGAGATGAACTCTCAGCAAAGTAGAAATAAAAAGGAACTTTCTTAGCCTGATAAAGGGTAACTGTGTGCAACTTCAGATAATATCATTCTTAATGGCGAAAGCCTGAATGTTTTCCACTTAAGAATGGAGCAAGGGAAAGGTGTTTACTCTCACCACTTCTTTTGGACGTTTTACTGGAGGTTCTAACCAGTGCAACAAGGCACAAAAAAATGAATAAAAGACAACATGTTGGAAATAAAGAAATGGAATTAATTGCCTATGTAGAAAATTCCATACAATCTACCAAAAACATCTAATAGAATTAATGAGCCTAGCAAAATTCTAGAATATAAGATTGATATACAGTAATCAATTGCAATTCTGTGTACTAGCAATGAAATTAAAAATCAATATCATTTTTGATAGCATAAAATACATATTTAAGGACAAACCTGACAGAATATGCACAAAACTTTTATACTGAAAACTACAAAACATTGTCAAGAAAATCTAAGGAAAGTCTGAAAAAGGAGAACTACACTATGTTTATGAATCAGAAGATAAGATATTGTTAACATGTCATTTTTTCCATAAATTGACCCATAGCTTCAATGCAATTTCAATCAAAATACCAACAGGCAAAAATTTCAAAGAAAAAGAGAACAAATTTAGAAAACTAACGTTACTCAATTCCAAGATTTATTATAAATTTATATCAAATATGTGGAACAGAATAGAAAGCACTACAGAAACAGATCCAGTTATATACTGACAGTTGACAGTTGATCATCAAAGGTCAAAGGCAATTCAAGGAAGAAAGGATAATATTTTCAACAAATAGTGATAGCACAAGTGGATATCCATATGCAAAAATTAAAAAATAGTAACCTTTAACCCATGCCTCACTGAAGATATAATAATATTCATGCTGAGATAAATTATGGGAAAGAGCCAGTCATACAAAGAGCTAAGGGACAAGCATTCCAGGCAAAGAGAACAGCATGTATAAAGGGCCTTAGCTAAGAAAGAGTTTGGCATACTTAAAGAAGAAAAGGTCATTGTAGCAACAGCCTGAGAAATAAGAAACCGAGACAGAAGCAGAGAGACAGAAAGATACAGACAAGATAATGCAGCACTTAAATTTTGTTCTAAGTGCAGCAGAGGGATATTGACTGATGAGTTTTAATTTGAGTAGTGAGATCATTTGTTTCATGTTTTCGTCTTCTACTGGGTTGTTCCCATCAGTGTTCTTTCTCCCATTTTAAAATGTGTACAAACAAACTAAGAAAACAACAACAAAAACCCTTCTCTTGATCTTACTTCGGCTGCCAGCTACTGAATCATTTCATCGTTCGCTTTTGCAGCAATGCTCCTCAAAACATACATCTAATTACAATTTCTAATTCCTCTTCTCCTATTCTCTCTAAATCTTGTTCTTAAACTTTTTATTATGGAAATTTTCAAAAGAAAGGAGAATAGCGTAATGAACTCCCATGTACTCATCACCAGTTTTAACAACTATAAACTTCGTGATTTATAATTCTTGTTTTATCTATATTGTTATCCACTCCCCCACCACATACAGGATTATTTTTAAGTCAATCCATGGAATCCTGTCATTTCATCTACAAATATCTAAAAATAAAGCTTTTTAAAATACAATCACAACATAATTTCACCTCAAAACATTGACCATAATTCCTTAACATTATCAAACAGATAATCAGTGTTCAATTTTCCCATTTATGTCATAAATATTTCTTTAACAGTCTGTTGTTTGATTACAATGAAGTTTATACTTGCATTTGCCATGTATCTTAAATGGGGTGACTTCATAATTTATTGTCCAAACTGGGACCTGACTAAGAGTAAAAAGGAGCACTATTAATAATTGTGTCAGAAATAAGCATAAATCAGGATAAGCTGATTTATGCCAGCTGAAAGACATGGTCACCTTATTCCTAAATCTATTTTAATCCATGTGATTTCCCTTCCTCTCTGGTTTCTCCTCTTTCTCCATCCCCACCCCCATGCAATGTATTTGTTGAAAAAAATCAATCCCTTTGTTCTAATTTTCCACAATCTGGAATTTGCTGATTGTATTCCATGTTGTTTCTCTCTTACACGCATTTTCTAAAAATGATTAAGTAGACCCAAATCTGATTTAGGTTATTCTCTTTTTGTTGTTGTTAAACACTTCATGGGTTGTATTTCTTTCTCTCAAAACCTACGCAGAACAGTCTTTCCTCTCAGTCATCCAACAAAACTGCTCCTGTCAATGGCCCCAACTCTATTGCTGAACCCAATCTTCATCTTATTCGATTTATCAACTAATGACTTGCTTCTGGTCAATGCCCTTTTTTCACTTTTTTTTTTTAACCCCACACCTTTTGCTTGTTTTCCAGCTTCACTGTTCTCACCTTCTTCATCTTTTTTCTTTTGTCTGAGTTCTCTTCTCTCTGGCCTCTTAATTTTAGAATACCACAGCACTCAATCCTTGGTCCTCTTCTCTTTCTTACATTCACTCCCTTGAAGATCTCTTCCAGTCTCCTGGCTTTAAATACCATTTACATGCTGACAGATTCCAGCTGAGTGCTCTTCCAGAATTTCAGACTTGCATAGCCCACTGACTACTCAACACCTCCACTCTGATGTCTAATATAAGTATATAAAACTTAACATGATCAAGACTAAAACTCCTGATCTTCCCACTAAATGTATTCCTTAATCTTTTCTATCTCATGTTATGACAGTCCCATCTTTTCTGGTTGCTTGGTCCAAAAACCTTGCAATCATCTTTAATATCTCTCTTTCACATCCCACATCAAATCTATCAGGAAATCTGTTGGGTCTATCTGCAAAATAGGTCCAGAATCTAATTACTTTACCTCTCCCATTACCATTCTCGTCTAAGCCCCATTATCTCTCAGCTAGATTACTGAAATAGCTTACTAACTGATCTTCCCACTGTAATCTTATCCCCTAGTGTTTCTTCTCAAAATATCAGCCAAAATATTTCTTTTAAAATGTGGCTATTATTATGTGAGTCTGTCACCAAAACTATCCAATAGTTCTTCCTTCCATTTAGAGCAAAAGCCAAAGTTCTTACAATGTCCCACAAGGCTCTCCATTCTCACTCGTGCTAACACTGATCTCCTCCTCTTCTACACTCCTCCTCCCTCACTCAGGCTTTCTTGATGTCTCTCAAACACATCAGATATATTCTCATTTTAAAGATAATTACTATTCTTTTTGTCTGGAACATTCTTCTCTCAGAGGTCCACTGGATAACTCATGAAAGGATCCCCTTCTCACTGAGACCTATCCTGACCTATTTAATATTGGATCATCACTACCCCGCACTCTCTAACCCCTTTATCATGCTTTACTTTTAATTTTTCCACAGCATTTACTATCAACTAGCCCATTATATATTTACTTATTTATTATGTTGATTACTTATTGTCCATCTACCATAGAAGATGGAAGAACATATAAGCTCTTCAAAGGCAGGGATCTTTGTTTTGTTCCCTGATGACTTCCAGGAGCTTTAAACAGCCTGATCCGTGGTAAGCCCTTCATGTACTCAATCAAATGTTTGTTAAATTAACATTGAATGAATAAAAGAGTACTCTTACTACTCTGTGAATACTAGATTTCAGTGGGCAAATATTTAGAAGGCTATTGCAATCATCTAGATGAGAGACACTGGTAGTCTGGTCTAGAGTGGTAGCAGCATAATGGAAAGAAGTGGAACACTCCAAATGTAGTTTGTAGATATTTATGATGATAGATTGGATGAGGAGTCAGGATGTAGAAGAAGGAAAAGAATCAAGAATAAGCTTCAGATTTCCTAGATGATAAACTGAGTGGCCGGTTGTGCAATGGGATGGTTAAGAGGAGAGGAAAGAGATAAGGGGTGGATCAACAGTCCATACTGAATGGTAAATTTCAGATACCTGTGAGCCATCCAAGAAGTAATTTCAAGCAAGTTGTCAGACAGAATGGTCAGATTGAAGATCTTGACTATATTTAGAAATGTTAGAATTATCAATATAAGACTAGCAATTAAATCTACAGGAATAGTAGATAAAAGGGTAGATATATTTTTATCATTTCTTAAAAAGAATCTGACTCTGGTGTGTGGATTTGGGTAAAAGAAACCAAGAAGGAGCAGTTAGTAAGGTAGAAAAAAAGCAGAGGGAAGCAGCATCATATGAGCCTAGAGATAAAGTGCTTCAAAAGTTGTCAAGTGCACTTTGGTTTTGGTAAAACAGTCTTCATGGCATCATTGGTGGAGGCAACCTCAGTGGAGTGGTGGGGTAGAAGCCAAATTATGTTCCAGTATATCACTATGCTTCCTTGGAATTTTATTAATCCCATACCTCAGCAGGGAGTAAAATTCTCATAAGCTTTCAATCAAATCAGGCCAATCCAACTACTCACTTATCCACTCGAGTAACAGACTATAAGGAGTGGTAGACAAAGCAAGTAATATGGATCCAAGTTGCCTTTTGAATCTATAGGGCAGGGTAGGTATGTTGGGCTAGTAGTAGCACCAAGTAGTACCACCTTGGCATCATCAAATCTAAGGAGTGGAGAGGATATTGAAGGAATGTCCAGGGAGAGAAAATGCACAACATGCACATCTAGTCTAATCAATCATAGCATTTCTTCCTCGTAAGCTTGGATAGTGTCAGAGGCCCGCAGTGCTCCAGGCAGTCCTTACAACTTGACCACACTTGGCACAGGAATTCAATGCATTTGCTTTCCCTGTCCCAAGTCCCATCCCAGTATCACTGCCTTGTCTAATTTCCTCTACTCCACCTCTACAAGACCAGAACAGTCTACTAGCTTCTGCTTCAATAAGAATAGGGAACGTCTGTGTTCTTCCTTAGGTTGAGCCAAATGCTGAGCCTCACTATCTCCCACTCCTTAGAAGTTATTAGAACCTTAAAAGTCACCATCATCTTTTTTAGTCCTCACATGTCAACCTTTCAGATATTTGAAGACAACTATTATGTTTCCCTTAAATTTCTTTCCTCTCCAGTAGAAGTAACTTCAGCATCTTTACCAAAGGTTCCTAATATTACATGGTTTCTATTTCATACCACCTCATTCACTTTTATCATCACTCCTATTTTCCTGAAAAACATATACACCTCTACTATCACCTCCACCACCATGCTTTACATGCCCAGAGCAAACTAGAAAACTAGAAGGCTGGCTCCAAATAACAAACAGAGTAAAGCATCTATTTCTAACTTACATTTAGTCCCAGCTACCAGATGCTAGAAGTTTTCCCCCAAGGAGAGTGAGGGAGTGTGAACAAGTTTAAAGGGCTCTATGGAGATAAAGGGAGATCATGCAAAGCAGGCGTTCGTTCCAGTTGTTGCAACCTCAGCAGTCTAACTACTGAGCAGAACAGATGATTCATTCCCAGGACATTTTTCCCTTGGGCCATGTGGATTTATGGATTGAAATATCTAGCAGAATAAAAATAGGTTCTGAATAAAATTACAGCATATTGAAGATGAAAATAAATTTGGCTCTAACAGCCTAATAAAACATACTAAGTTATCTTTTAGCCGATTTTTACATAAAGGAAACACTATTATCAACCCCTCTTAAGAATTTCAGAGGAAAAATTTTTACCTGATTTTTCAGGTCTCTTATGAGTTACTGTATCAGAGCCATATGGGGAATTAATAAAAATAAAACATTATATTTTATTTCCAAATAGATTTTAAACTCCTTAAGGGCAAGGGCATGTTTTTTTCATATATTTTATCCAGTGATTAGAAAATAAAAAAATAGGTAAATTATGTGCTTATTTTCATAAAAATAATGAATAAGTGAAAACATGACATAAGCATAGGAAATAATCTTAAACTTTTGGTTAGTCTTCATTGTCTTTATTGCTGGCTCTGCAGAAAAAACCAACAATTTCAAACTGTCCTTTGGAAATGTATCTCTTGTTTATGCCACTAATATAAGCAACTTGTACACATCATATGGAAAAGCACTGAGGCCTTCCATTTGCACAAAAGACCTTATTTCTTTATCTACTCGTCTTTCTTCTCTTTTCTATCTTTGTTAGTAGCTTTTTATGTTCATCAGCAGTTTCTCTTATATAACATTGTATTACTCAGAAACATCAGCTGTAGCCCTCTCTCTGTAGGATTTCATGAGTGTTTTAAGTTGGTTTAGGTTGAGAGAGTCCCAGCCTTACTTTTCTTTTTTTCTCTTTCTTTATTCAGTGCTTAACCCCATTGTTCCCATTTCCATTAAGCCTCATCACTTCCAGTAGTAAGAAAGGATGGCCTCACCCTGCCTTAAATCCCAACCTCATGAGGTACAGGTCCGCTGGCCATATCTAAAGCTTTAAGTTCATAAAGCTTTTTGCATAAGAAGTTGTCAATAGAACCTTGGCAATGGTTGAATAATTTGAAAAATTAAATTAAAATACTTCCTAAGGGTGAGTTTAGTCAATCTTGGCTTTAATCTTTGAGAGAAATGCTTATCAAAATGAAAAATCGTGGGGAGGCAACCAAGATGGCCGAATAGGAACAGCTCTGGTCTACAGCTCCCAGAGTGAGCGACGAAGAAGACGGGTGATTTCTGCATTTCCATCTGAGGTACTGGGTTCATCTCACTAGGGAGTGCCAGACAGTGGACGCAGGACAGCGGGTGCAGGGCACCGTGCGCAAGCTGAAGCAGGGCGAGGCATTGCCTCACTCGGGAAGCGCAAGGGGTCAGGGAGTTCCCTTTCCAAGTCAAAGAAAGGGGTGACAGACGGCACCTGGAAAATCAGGTCACTCCCACCCAAATACTGCGCTTTTCCGACGGGCTTAAAAAACGGCACACCAGGAGATTATATCCCGCACATGGCTCGGAGGGTCCTACGCCCACGGAGTCTCGCTGATTGCTAGCACAGCAGTCTGAGATCAAACTGGAAGGCAGCAGTGAGGCTGGGGGAGGGGCACCCACCATTGCCCAGGCTTGCTTAGGTAAACAAAGCAGCCAGGAAGCTCGAACTGGGTGGAGCCCACCACAGCTCAAGGAGGCCTGCCTGTCTCTGTAGGCTCCACCTCTGGGGGCAGGGCACAGACAAACAAAAAGACAGCAGTAACCTCTGCAGATTTAAATGTCCCTGTCTGACAGCTTTGAAGAGAGCAGTGGTTCTCCCAGCACGCAGCTGGAGATCTGAGAACGGGCAGACTGCCTCCTCAAGTGGGTCCCTGACGCCTGACCCCTGAGCAGCCTAACTGGGAGGCACCCCCCAGTAGGGGCAGACTGACACCTCACACGGCCCAGTACTCTTCTGAGACAAAACTTCCAAAGGAACGATCAGACAGCAGCATTCGCGGTTCACGAAAATCCACTGTTCTGCAGCCACTGATGCTGATACCCAGGCAAAGAGGGTCTGGAGTGGACCTCTAGCAAACTCCAACAGACCTGCAGCTGAGGGTCCTGTCTGTTAGAAGGAAAACTAACAAACAAAGGACATCCACACCAAAAACTCATCTGTACATCACCATCATCAAAGACCAAAAGTAGATAAAACCACAAAGATGGGGAAAAAACAGAACAGAAAAACTGGAAACTCTAAAAAGCAGAGCGCCTCTCCTCCTCCAAAGGAATGCAGTTCCTCAACAGCAATGGAACAAAGCTGGACGGAGAATGACTTTGACGAGTTGAGAGAAGAAGCCTTCAGACGATCAAACTACTCCAAGCTAGAGGAGGAAATTCAAACCAAAGGCAAAGAAGTTAAAAACTTTGAAAAAAATTTAGAAGAATGTATAACTAGAATAACCAATACAGAGAAGTGCTTAAAGGAGCTGATGGAGCTGAAAGCCAAGGCTCGAGAACTACGTGAAGAATGCAGAAGCCTCAGGAGCCAATGCGATCAACTGGAAGAAAGGGTATCAGTGATGGAAGATGAAATCAATGAAATGAAGCGAGAAGGGAAGTTTAGAGAAAAAAGAATAAAAAGAAACGAACAAAGCCTCCAAGAAATATGGGACTATGTGAAAAGAACAAATCTACGTCTGATTGGTGTACCTGAAAGTGACGGGGAGAATGGAACCAAGTTGGAAAACACTCTGCAGGATATTATCCAGAAGAACTTCCCCAATCTAGCAAGGCAGGCCAACATTCAGATTCAGGAAATACAGAGAACACCACAAAAATACTCCTCGAGAAGAGCAACTCAAAGACACATAATTGTCAGATTCACCAAAGTAGAAACGAAGGAAAAAATGTTAAGGGCAGCCAGAGAGAAAGGTCGGGTTACCCACAAAGGGAAGCCCATCAGACTAACAGCTGATCTCTCAGCAGAAACTCTACAAGCCAGAAGAGAGTGGGGGACAATATTCAACATTCTTAAAGAAAAGAATTTTCAACCTAGAATTTCATATCCAGCCAAACTAAGCTTCATAAGTGAAGGAGAAATAAAATCCTTTACGGACAAGCAAATGTTGAGAGATTGTGTCACCACCAGGCCTGCCCTAAAAGAGCTCCTGAAGGAAGCACTAAACATGGAAAGGAACAACCGGTACCAGCCGCTGCAAAATCATGCCAAATTGTAAAGACCATCAAGGTTAGGAAGAAACTGCATCAACTAACGAGCAAAATAACCAGCTAACATCATAATGACAGGATCAGATTCACACATAACAATATTAACGTTAAACGTAAATGGACTAAATGCTCCAATTAAAAGACACAGACTGGCAAATTGGATAAAGAGTCAAGACCCATCAGTGTGTTGTATTCAGGAAACCCATCTCACGTGCAGAGACACACATAGGCTCAAAATTAAAGGATGGAGGAAGATCTACCAAAAAAATGGAAAACAAAAAAGGCAGGGGTTGCAATCCTAGTCTCTGATAAAACAGATTTTAAACCAACAAAGATCAAAAGAGACAAAGAAGGCCATTACATAATGGTAAAGGGATCAATTCAACAAGAACAGCTAACTATCCTAAATATATATGCACCCAATACAGGAGCACCCAGATTCATAAAGCAAGTTCTGAGTGACCTACAAAGAGACTTAGACTCCCACACAATAATAATGGGAGACTTTAACACCCCACTGTCAACATTAGACAGATCAATGAGACAGAAAGTTAACAAGGATACCCAGGAATTGAACTCAGCTCTGCACCAAGCGGACCTAATAGACATCTACAGAACTCTCCACCCCAAATCAACAGAATATACATTTTTTTCAGCACCACACCACACCTATTCCAAAATTGACCACATACTTGGAAGTAAAGCTCTCCTCAGCAAATGTAAAAGAATAGAAATTATAACAAACTGTCTCTCAGACCACAGTGCAATCAAACTAGAACTCAGGATTAAGAAACTGACCCAAAACCGCTCAACTACACGGAAACTGAACAACCTGCTCCTGAATGACTACTGGGTACATAACGAAATGAAGGCAGAAATAAAGATGTTCTTTGAAAACAACGAGAACAAAGACACAACATACCAGAATCTCTGGGACACATTCAAAGCAGCGTGTAGAGGGAAATTTATAGCACTAAATGCCCACAAGAGAAAGCATGAAAGATCCAAAATTGACACCCTAACATCACAATTAAAAGAACTAGAAAAGCAAGAGCAAACACATTCAAAAGCTAGCAGAAGGCAAGAAATAACTAAAATCAGAGCAGAACTGAAGGAAATAGAGACACAAAAAACCCTTCAAAAAATTAGTGAATCCAGGAGCTAGTTTTTTGAAGGATCAACAAAATTGATAGACCGCTAGCAAGACTAATAAAGAAGAAAAGAGAGAAGAATCAAATAGACACAATAAAAAATGATAAAGGGGATATCACCACTGATCCCACAGAAATACAAACTACCATCAGAGAATACTACGAACACCTCTACACAAATAAACCAGAAAATCTAGAAGAAATGGATAAATTCCTCGACACATACACTCTCCCAAGACTAAACCAGGAAGAAGTTGAATCTCTGAATAGACATAACAGGCTCTGAAATTGTGGCAATAATCAATAGCTTACCAACCAAAAAGAGTCCAGGAGCAGATGGATTCACAGCCGAATTCTACCAGAGGTACAAGGAGGAACTGGTACCATTCCTTCTGAAACTATTCCAATCAATAGAAAAAGAAGGAATCCTCCCTAACTCATTTTATGAGGCCAGCATCATCCTGATACCAAAGCCGGGCAGAGACACAACCAAAAAAGAGAATTTTAGACCAATATGCTTGATGAACATTGATGCAAAAATCCTCAATAAAATACTGGCAAACCGAATCCAGCAGCACATCAAAAAGCTTATCCACCATGATCAAGTGGGCTTCATCCCTGAGATGCAAGGCTGGTTCAATATATGCAAATCAATAAACGTAATCCAGCATATAAACAGAACCAAAGACAAAAACCACATGATTATCTCAATAAATGCAGAAAAGGCCTTTGACAAAATTCAACAACCCTTCATGCTAAAAACTCTTAATAAATTAGGTATTGATGGGACGTATCTCAAAATAATAAGAGCTATCTATGACAAACCCACAGCCAATATCATACTGAATGGGCAAAAACTGGAAGCATTCCCTTTGAAAACTGGCACAAGACAGGGATGCCCTCTCTCACCACTCGTATTCAACATAGTGTTGGAAGTTCTGGCCAGGGCAATCAGGCAGGAGAAGGAAATAAAGGGTATTCAATTAGGAAAAGAGGAAGTTAAATTGTCCCTGTTTGCAGATGACATGATCGTATATCTAGAAAACCCCATCGTCTCAGCCCAAAATCTCCTTAAGCTGATAAGCAACTTCAGCAAAGTCTCAGGATACAAAATCAATGTACAAAAATCACAAGAATTCTTATACAGCAATAACAGACAAACAGAGAGCCAAATCATGAGTGAACTCCCATTCACAATTGCTTCAAAGAGAATAAAATACCTAGGAATCCAACTTACAAGACTAAAGAGCTTCTGCACAGCAAAAGAAACTACCATCAGAGTGAACAGGCAACCTTTCGCAACCTACTCATCTGAGAAAGGGCTAATATCCAGAATCTACAATGAACTCAAACAAATTTACAAGAAAAAAACAAAGAACCCCATCAAAAAGTGGGCAAAGGACATGAACAGACACTTCTCAAAAGAAGACATTTATACAGCCAAAAAACACATGAAAAAATGCTCACCCTCACTGGCCATCAGAGAAATGCAAATCCAAACCACAATGAGATAACATCTCACACCAGTTAGAATGGCAATCATTAAAAAGTCAGGAAACAACAGGTGCTGGAGAGGATGTGGAGAAATAGGAACACTTTTACACTGTTGGTGGGACTGTAATATTCTCACTCATAGGTGGGAATTGAACAATTAGAACACATGGTCACAGGAAGGGGAACATCACACTGTGGGGACTGTTGTGGGGTGGGGGGAGGGGGGTGGGATAGCATTAGGAGATATACCTAATGCTAAATGACGAGTTAATGGGTGCAGCACACCAGCATGGCACATGTATACATATGTAACTAACCTGCACATTGTGCACATGTACCCTAAAACTTAAAGTATAATAATAATAAAATAAAAAATAAATAAATAAATAAATTTAAAAACAAAATGAAAAATCCTTGGGACAAAGGTATTTTCAAGTTATGGGCAAGAAACTAGAAAAGGAATTGTTATCCTCTTAAAGACACAGGGATACAGAGCGAAGGACGGATGATCTCACTTTGTGAGTAAATATCGTTTGAATTTACTTACATAAATTGCTACATCCCCTCACCTTTGGCCAGAAGATTCTCCGTGTAAAAGCGTTCATGTTCTTTCATGTTGCAAACACAAAATATTTTGTCAGCTGGATTTCTCTTCAATTTTATGACACTCACTCCAGTTATGTATTTTCATGATTATAACACTACATATGCGTACATGTGAGCGAGTATGCATAAATCCATTTGCATCGACACTTGTGAGATGTGAACTTCTCTTGATATTTTATTAACCAAAAGGAATTATGTCACTTCCTTAAAAGTAAGCCAAAGAGATTCTTAACATTTTAATGCTGCAAAGTTCCCAGAGATCATATAGTTCCACATCATCATTTTACAGATGAAGTAACTGAAGCCCAGAGGTTAAATGACTAGGCAAATATTATAGAGAGCAATATAAATGGCTTTGCAAACCTCAAAGTAGCTCATTCATTGGCCTGCAATGACCCTGGTGTTCTCCCAACTGGTCTTAAATTCCCATTAGTCTCACAATGTCTCACACTTAAAGAGTTTTTATCAATTAATCAATAGAGATTAGGTAAGTAGAATCGTTGTTCTTTTATGGACATTGTTAAAATTGGGACTGGAGTGAAGAAAAATAATAAATTAAGCACAATTTGTCCTTGATATTCCTTTCCACCTGTTTCTCATCTTCTTGCTTTTTTCTTTTGCTACCTTAGAGGTCTCTTTATTTTCTGAAGTCTTCTCCTAGCACCACTCCTACTGGAGTTTTTAATTTCCTGCAGTGACCCGGATCTTTCTACACTGATTGACTAACCAAACTTAAAATCATGTCCTATTCATCTACACAACCAAGTCCTACTATGGTGAACTATGATCTACAGGCCACTACCATTTTCCCCAGTCCTTCAAAATACTGACTTACCTATAATGTCTTGGCATTTCAAATATTAAGGCATGAGTAGGACGAGATATAATGTTCCCCACATCTCATAGCTTTAAATATTGATCCTTTGAATGGAGTAATTCTAGAGCAGCAATGACTCCTAGGTAGGTGTGCTCTTTCTCCAAACTCAGCCCCTGCTGTGTATCATTATAATTCTTACAGTTATTTTCTTTGTTTTACAACTGCCCCTAGCTGTCTTCCACCAGACGCTATCAATATATCAGTATCTTTTTCTTCTTGACATTTTCCTGTGTCAATGGCAAGGTTTCAATTAAAGAGCATTTGTTCTTACAAATTCTTCTCTGACTAACCTAACAGTCTCTATTTTACAATACTAATACAGCTGTCCCTGCTTATTCACAGTTCACTCTCCAGTTTCAATTTCCCCAGTCCAAAAATATTAAGAGATTCTGAGAGACAGAGAATGAGAAAGAAAGCACACATTCACATAATTTTTATTACAGTATAACTGTAATAATTGTTTTATTATTATTGTTGATCTCCTATTGTGTTTAATTTATAAACTACATTTTATCATAGATATGTGCATATAAGAAAAAACATAGTATGTATAGGATTTGGTACTATATGTGTTTCAGGCATCCACTGGAGGTCTTAGAACATGCCCATAATGGATAAGAGAGGACTACTGTATGTCATTTATCCTTCCTCACCTTATGCTTTGTTTTTTAAGGTCAGCTGAAGTCTCTTGACCTTAATAATTAGACACTTTATTTTCACCTTACAATAGTTATAAGAATAAGCCAGGCATGGTGGCTCACGCCTATAATCCCAGTACTTTGGGAAGCCATGGCGGGCAGATCATTTGAGGCCCGGATTTTTGGACCAGCCTGACCAATATAGCAAAACCCCATCTCTTTTAAAAATACAAAAAATCAGCTGAGTGTGGTGATGCATGCCTGTAATCCCAGCTCCTTGAGAGGCTAAGGCATGAGAATCACTTAAACCCGGAGGCAGATGTTGCAGCAGGCCAAGATCATGCCACTGCCCTCCAGCCTGGGCAACAGAACAAGACTGTCTCAAAAAAAGAAAAACAAAAGCTGTAAGAATAATTATAATAAACATTTCCTGAATAATCCCTATATATCAGATAGTTCACTAGACTAACAGTGTACATGCCTTGTCTCATGTAATTATTTCAACAATACTTTGATCTATACACTATTTCTTGATTTATTGACATGGAAACTGCTGGGTGTGATCTTGGGCAAATTATTTGCCTTTCTCAGTCTCTCTAAAATGAGCATGATAATAATACCTATCTCACTGAAGAGTCAATGAAATAATTCACATATTTATCACAGTGCCTAAATTACAGTAAGTGCTCTATAAATGTTAGCATTTATTGAATAACTTATCCCGTTCATACAGCTAGTAAGTGCTAGAACCAGGGATCAAAGCTAGGCAGTCAGCTTCCAGAGACACACTCTGCTAACTCCAAAATGGTACCAATAAAGCACTTATAAATGATGGTTGGTATCGAACATGATTAGCCTAGATTCTGAAGCATGAAAACAGGTATCTATTTACAGTCTGCTTTTCCAAAATGAACTTAAGTTTGATCCCTTAAAGCTTATTTTTAATTTTGCCATCTCCTGTAACAAATGTAAAACTCTGCAGCAGTGTTTACATTTATGGAACACATTTATTATAAGTACTGACATAAACATATTGTCAAAGGCAAACCTAAGTTCAAGACAAAATTAAGAAAGGGTGTTTGTTCATAAAATTGGAGCAAAGAAACTTATCTTTTGTTTCAGCAGGGGTTCAGAAGTTTTAGAAAGGAGACTAAGTTTGATAGAGGAAATACTGAAACAATCCGATTGTCAAGTGTTCTATTAAGATGGGATTTTTAGAAGTAGCAAAAACTTTCTAATTGGTCTTCAGATAATTTGGCAGTTCTTGGTTGACTGTAGAAAGGCAAGCAGCAGTTTGGGGATGTTTCAAAATGAGGATGTGGAGTGTTTGATGTGTGGAGCTGAGGACTTTCTAGGCTGGCCATTTTTTGAAACAACTGGGTTTGATGGTGGCTATTATGGTAGATCATTTCTCAACATTCCCAAGTGATGTCCATCAGAACCCTATAAGGAAGGCAGGGCAGCCATTATCACTCCTTCCATTGCCAGTGAACAAATTGTAGCTGATGAATTAAAGTTTCCTAAGGCCACATAGCTATAATATTAAAGTGAAGAACCTGGACTACAATCTAGGTTTTCACATTCCCTGTTCCTTGCATCATGTCACACTGATGTCATACCTTTTTTGCCAACTTAGACATTTTTGATTAAAAGAAAACTAGTAATCCCTTATTTAATATGGAATCAAAAGGTATTCTCACCATATACTAAAGAAATGGTTTGGAGATCACTTTTAACTCCACTGACCATTAGAAGAAAGTTTAAGAATATAAAAGCTGCATGCAATGTTATTTAAAGAGTTTTTCCTGTTGACCTCTGGAAGAAAGATTTGCTAATCTGAATGATCTTTTGCCTCTCCTAAATATCTCTTACAACCATGTACACAGTGTGAAAGCACTATCTATTTTATATATAAATGTACTATGTATAAGATGTATTTTTCTTATCTTTAACCTTTTCTAAGGCTTACTCTGCACTTCTTATTTTTCTCATTGACAACTAAAGCTATTGAGCAAGAAGAAATCTTTCTTGTAACTGGTAAAGTGGTCAGTTAAACACAGAGGGACTTTTTCCTCCTACACAAAATTTCTTCTCCATTTTTGCAAAGGCTAGCCTTAAGCAATGTCTTCCTGCTCAAAAATAGCATGACATAGTGGAGAGCCCTGAGTGGATTGAGGTCATTTAGGTGCCTGAGCAACAGAGAAAGTACAGGCAACTTGCATAACCAGTTTTTGTGAATACCTTAAAAATACATCTGCAGAGTTCACATCCTAAAACTTTTTGTGTCCATTAGCTTTAGTAACTGAAGAAGAAAATGCAGTCCTTGCATCACCACAATCTCTCTTACTTCATCCTCTTTCTCTCCCTTGCCTCTAGCCTCATCAGTGTGAAGATTATTGATGCCAGCAAGTGAATTAAAGGAATTAAAGTCAGAATTCCCCCCAAAACTATATCTATTTCATTACAGAAAGTAGTGGTAATTACTATAATCCATCTTTGGTAATGCAAATACACTTTCTGAAAATTGCGAAGAAAATGAAGATTAAGATTTATATCAAAAATCTACAGAAAAGGCTAGTATAATTTCAAAGTGTTTTAACTCAATTGCTTATTTTTTAGAAAGGAATATGTTTTATGGTTTGCTATTAGCACACATCAAAGAAAAATAAAAAGGGAATTTCAAAGTAGTAAGACTATAAAGGCAAACTAAAGCTTTTCTATGATTAGTGTGAATAGTCTGGGGAAGGGAGGAAAAAAAGACCAATAAGCTTCTCATTCCTGAGGCAGTGCTTCATTGGCTACTGAGAGAAACAAGCCAAGCACTGAGATGAAGGTATTCCAAAGAGGGAACATGGTAGCTAGGAAGTGCCTTGATTTCAAGCTAAGATTTTTATTGATTCATGGGAGCAGTGAAGGGTTAGTGATAATGGTAATGAATTACGCCATAAACATTCATCCATCTCTATATTCTTTTTTCTAAATTATCATTAGACTTAAAATCACCTGATATAAGACTTTTTTCTTTTTTTTTTTTTTTTGAGAAGGAGTCTCACTGTCACCCAGGCTGCAGTGCAGTAGTGCAATCTCAGCTCACTGCAACATCTGCCTCCAAGGTTCAAGCAATTCTCCTGCCTCAGCCTCCCAAGTAGCTGGGACTACAGGCACCCACCACCATGCCCGACTAATTTTTGTACTTTTTGCAGAGATGGGGTTTCACCATATTGGCCAGGCTGGTATCGAACTCCTGACCTTGTGATCTGCCTGCCTCAGGCTCCCAAAGTGCTGGGATTACAGGCGTGAGCCACCATGCCCAGCCAAGACTTTTATTTTCTATAAAATGAAAATATACAGAAAAATGGTGATTAAGTCATGAAGGCACAAAAAGTACTATGACTTAGAAATCCTAGAAAATCGTTCTGGAACTTAAGCCTCTCTTTTTTGGAAGTATTGGCAGTAGCGGCTATTATCACCCAGTGGCAGCATATCTAGCTAGCCAAATAATCTTTTTGGAAAATGATATTAACTTCTCGAAGGTAACATCTAAAAGTAAAGGCAAAAAGTGATGTCTAATGTATTGCCAAGACATATGTTTTTTTTGCCTGGGTTGAATAATGATGTGGTTGTCTGAAGTCTCCCTTTGATTCCCCCCAAATTAGTTAAATCTGGCAGCATCATTTTATTAACCCAGTCCAAAGTTTCAAGCGTGTTTACTTGACTTAGGCCAGAACTACAAAGTTATCTGAAGGTCAATTTGCAGAACAGTTAATTGGATCATTAAACAACTATGTAATTTAATTATTATGAAAACTCAATTAACAGGGCTGTGAAATGATTTGATCATTTAATCTATTTTTGCAACTAAACAGAATATATGTCTGTATATATGTATACATATACATGCATATATGTATACATGTATACATATACATATACATGCATATATGTATACATATACGCATGTACATGCATACATGTATACATATACACATGTACATGCATATATGTATACATATATACATGTACATGCGTATATGTATACATATATACATGTACATGCGTATATGTATACATATATGCATGTACATATATATACATATATATGGAGAGAGATAGAACAGATATATATATATATGTATATGGAGAGAGATTTTTATTATGAAAATTGGATTATGGAGGCCAAGAAATCCTATGATCTGCCCTCTGCAAGCTGGAGACCCAGGAAAGCTGATGGTGTTAATTCAGTCTGACGCTGAAGTCATGAGACCCAATAGTGCCAAAGGCAAAATGTCATCTCATGTACCCCGTAAATATATATACCTAATATGTACCCACAAAAAAATTAAAAATTAAATTTTTTTTAAGCCAAAAGAAGATGGATGTTCCAGCTCAAACAGAGAACAAATCCTCTGCCTTCCCTCTGCCATTTTGTTCTATTTGGGCCCTCAATGGACTGGATGATGCCAGCCTATACTGGTGAAGGAGATCTTTACTCAGCCTACTGATTCAAATGCCAATCTTTTCCAGAAACACCCCTGAAATGGTGTTTTACCAGCGATCCAAGCATCCCTTAGCCCAGTCGACACATAAAATTAACCATCACACTTACCTTAGAATGTTTTCCTTTATACTTACTTCAGTTCCTTCAACTGTCTCTTGTATGACAGGATCTATAAATCTACCTTTTTCCTGGATGATATGGTAGAATTGAACACAAAATTCCAGCTGTGGATTGATCAGCCTAATCAACTGTCTTAATTTGGATACTTCAGTTTTATTATTGTTATTTTAGATCCAGGAGGTACATGTGCAGGTTTATTACTTTGATATATTGTGTAATGTTGAGGTTTGGGATTCCAGTGTACCCATCACCCAAATAGTGAACATTATACTCAATAGGTAATTTTTCAACCCTCATCCTCCCTACTGTCCCCTGCTTTTGGAGTCTCCAATGTCTATTATGTCCATCTTTATGACCCTTGTTTAGCTGCCACTTGTAAGCGAGAACTTGTGGTACATTATTTTCTGCTTTGGAGTTATCTCAGTTAGGACAATGGCGTCTAGCTGCATCCATATTGCTGCAAAAGACATGATTTCATTCTTTTTTATGTCTGCATGGTATTCCATGGTGTATATATGCCACATTTTCTTTTTCTGATCATCTATTAATGGATACTTAGGTTGATTCCATGACTTTGCTATTGGGAATAGTGCTGTGACAAACATGAGTGCAGGTATCATTTTATATAATGATTTCTTTTCCTTTGGGTAGATACCCAGTAGTGGGATTGCTTGGTTGAATGGTACTTCTATTTTTTTTTAATTAATAAACTTTATTTTTTAGAGAAGTTTTCAGTTCACAGCAAAATTGAGCAGAAAGTACAGAGAGTTCCCATATTCCCCATGTATCCCTACACACTCACAACCTTCCCCACAACCAACATCTTGCACCACAGTGGTACATTGTTCCAATGAACCTACACTGACACAACCTGGTAACCCAAATTCCATATTTATATTAGGGTTCACACTTGGTGTTGTACATTCTGCGGGATGGACAAGGGTATAATGACACATATCCATCACTGTAGTATCATACAGAATAATTTCACTGCTCTAAAACCCCACAGTGCTCTGCCTATTCATCCCTCTCTCTCCCCGCTAACCTCTGGCAACCACTCATTTTTTCTGTCTCTATAGTTTTCCTTTTCCATAATGTCATATAATTGGAATCATTCCATATTTAGCTTTTTCAGATTGGCTTCTTTTACTTAGTAATATGCATTCAAGTTTTCTTTATGTCTTTTCATGGCTTGATAGTTCATTTTATCATTTTATGGCTTGATAGTTCATTTTATTTAGTACTGATATACCACCATTTACTTATCCATTCACCTACTGAAGGACATCTTGTTTGTCAGTTATATAAAGTTGTAAAGAGCAATGTGCTGGGTTTTTTGTGAACATACTTTTTTATTTTTTATTATTATAAAGTTTTAGGGTACATGTGCACAATGTGCAGGTTAGTTACATATGTATACATGTGCCATGTTGGTGTGCTGCACCCATTAACTCATCATTTAACATTAGGTATATCTCCTAAAGCTATCCCTCCCCCCTTCCCCCACCCCACAACAGTCCCCACAGTGTGATGTTCCCCTTCCTGTGTCCATGTGTTCTCATTGTTCAATTCCCACCTATGAGTGAGAATATGCGGTGTTTGGTTTTTTGTTCTTGTGATAGTTTACTGAGAATGATGATTTCCAATTTCATCCATGTCCCTACAAAGGACATGAACTCATCATTTTTTATGGCTGCATAGTATTCCATGGTGTATATATGCCACATTTTCTTAATCCAGTCTATCAGTGTTGGACATTTGGGTTGGTTCCAAGTCTTTGCTATTGTGAATAGTGCCGCAATAAACATACGTGTGCATGTGTCTTTATAGCAGCATGATTTATGGTCCTTTGGGTATATACCCAGTAATGGGATGGCTGGGTCAAATGGTATTTCTAGTTCTAGATCCCTGAGGAATCGCCACACTGACTTCCACAATGGTTGAACTAGTTTACAGTCCCACCAACAGTGTAAAAGTGTTCCTATTTCTCCACATGCTCTCCAGCACCTGTTGTTTCCTGACTTTTTAATGATTGCCATTCTAACTGGTGTGAGATGGTATCTCGTTGTGGTTTTGATTTTCATTTCTCTGATGGCCAGTGATGGTGAGCATTTTTTCATGTGTCTTTTGGCTGCATAAATGTCTTCTTCAAGAGAATAAAATACCTAGGAATCCAACTTACCAGGGACATGAAGGACCTCTTCAAGGAGAACTACAAACCACTGCTCAATGAAATAAAAGAGGATACAAACAAATGGAAGAACATTCCATGCTCATGGGTAGGAAGAATCAATATCGTGAAAATGGCCATACTGCCCAAGGTAATTTACAGATTCAGTGCCATCCCCATCAAGCTACCAATGACTTTCTTCACAGAATTGGAAAAAACTACTTGAAAGTTCATATGGAACCAAAAAAGAGCCTACATCGCCAAGTCAATCCTAAGCCAAAAGAACAAAGCTGGAGGCATCACACTACCTGACTTCAAACTATACTACAAGGCTACAGTAACCAAAACAGCATGGTCCTAGTACCAAAACAGAGATATAGATCAATGGAACAGAACAGAGCCCTCAGAAATAACGCCGCATATCTACAACTATCTGATCTTTGACAAACCTGAGAAAAACAAGCAATGGGGAAAGGATTCCCTATTTAATAAATGGTACTGGAAAACTGGTTAGCGATATGTAGAAAGCTGAAACTGGATCCCTTCCTTACACCTTATACAAAAATTAATTCAAGATGGATTAAAGACTTAAACATTAGACCTAAAACCATAAAAACCCTAGAAGAAAACCTAGGCATTACCATTCAGGACATAGGCATGGGCAAGGACTTCATGTCTAAAACACCAAAAGCAATGGCAACAAAAGTCAAAATTGACAAATGGGATCTCATTAAACTAAAGAGCTTCTGCACAGCGAAAGAAACTACCATCAGAGTGAACAGGCAACCTACAGAATGGGAGAAAATTTTCGCAACCTACTCATCTGACAAAGGGCTAATATCCAGAATCTACAATGAACTCCAACAAATTTACAAGAAAAAAACAAACAACTCCATCAAAAAGTGGGCGAAGGACACGAACAGACACTTCTCAAAAGGTACTTCTATTTTTAGTGTTTTAGAATAGATGCTTCAGTTTTAAAGCATTTTCTTGAGCATATCACCTGGAACCTAACTTTGCATTTACTTTCTAGAACATCTGTATCTAGTTGTCAGCTAAGATTTTTGGCTCCTAATGAGTCTGTGGCCAATCAAAACGCTTAAATATTTTTGCAATATCTTCTCTTTTCTATATTTGAACATCTTTGTTAATTTATTTTGTATCTTCTACATTAATTCCTATCATGTTTCTATTTTTCATCTATAATCTAAATCTCAAAC
The DNA here is from genome assembly GCF_000001405.40 of Homo sapiens. Classification (NCBI taxonomy): domain Eukaryota; kingdom Metazoa; phylum Chordata; class Mammalia; order Primates; family Hominidae; genus Homo; species Homo sapiens. The sequence continues at coordinate 180,463,289 of NC_000003.12, forward strand.
ATTTCTTGAATCAGCTCTATCATTCAGTATATCAGCTATTCCTTCTGGGTTATGTCACTCCAAATTGAACACATTCACCACCTATGTCTTCAAGTCACCAACAAAAATGTCAAGCAGGTCAGGCCTAAGGTCACAGCCCTGCAGCTTGTCATTCAAAACACCCCTCCAACTTGGTATCAATCCATTAATCAACTGCCTTTGTGCCATGAAATGCTGCAATAGATAAAAATCTACTCATTGGTATTTTGAATTAGCCTAAACTATTTTACACTAGGGTTACATCATGGAAAGTGATTAAGTTTATATATTGGTTGTATAAAAAAAGATAGATGGACTAGCATTTTTTTGGTTCATAGCTATGTAATCTATAAATAGTTATGTATATTATTAAATATATCACAGGTATGGCTTAACAGATATTTTTACTTAGGGTGAGGCTAAGTTTAAGTAAAAACAATGAGTTTATTTTTAAAATCTAAGTAAATAGACAGTGTATTAATATGGCAAAAATAGTGTTAAAAATCATTGAAATTAGGGAGTGCCTGGTATAAAGTTTTACAGTTTCAGTTTTCAATGCACAAATACATTATCTAACCCACATAAAACTAAAATAGGGAGCACATGAGAGACATTATCAAATGCCTTACAAAATACACAGGCCCTATTCTTAATCAGTAAGTTTCAAGAAAGGTAAGAGTTTGAAATAAATTTACTTATCCTAAGCAAAACTTACCAGTTACTAGTAATCAATATCTCCTTTATAGAAGTAGGAAGGGTTCAAATATAGCAATAGACATGTATACTTCGATTTTTTTCCTAAGGTGCTAACAAGCCATCTGTTTAATAATCTGCTTCACCATTATGTGTGGCCTCAAGCTTGTGAGTCTATGATTATACTCTTACCTCCATTATGAAAATTGGGACATTTCCTATCTCCAGTCGTTTAACGCTTCAACTATCCAAAATTGCTTCAAGATAACTGGCAATAACTCCTAAGTCATAGATGGATTTTTTTGTTTTGCTCTTTTAGCATGTATTTCATTTGACCCTAAGGACTTGAACTAATTTAGACTATCTGCATGTGCTCATCAATCAGTTAATAAACATTTTGAACATTTACTAGATGCTAAGCAATATGTTTAAAATTGTTTCCCCTGGGGAACTTAGAGTTTAGCAGGGGAGACGAGACAGATGTGTAAATAAATGCATATTTATTTACAACATGACAAGTGCTGTAATAGGAATACATACAGAACATCATATGAATACAGAATAGGAACTATCCACCTTTGCGTGATTTTAAAAAGGTGGAGATATGTAAGCTGGGTCTTAAAGACTGTCCATGAATTCTGCAGGCAAAGAAAGATATTTATGATATTTATACCAATGGATTAGTAAGGTCAATGATCATTGAGAAGTTTGGCAAACCTAGAACTCCAAAAGCATAAAAACATACCATGAAGGGCCTTGTGTGCCATGGTAAGAAGTCTGAACTTAGAAATTATAGAGAACAAAAATAATGCTTAAGCAGTGGAATGACAAGATTTATTTTCAGAGAAATAATTTGTGAGAGTAAAGAAGTTATTTTCTTTACTGGATTGGAGGTTGAGGAGAGGAAATGCATCTCAAGCAGCAGGAAGAATTTTTAAAAAGGCTGCTGAGATAATGCAAGCAAACAATAATGAGAGCCAGAATCAAGGTGCTATCATATTTTTGGCTTTAATTCCTCATCAACATGCTCTTCTCCTTCCAGCTTAATTATTTTTAGCCAGGCACGGTGGCTCATGCCTGTAACCCCAACACTTTGGGAGGCTGAGGTGGGTAGATCACTTAAGGCCAGGAGCTTGAGACCAGCCTGGCCAACGTGGCATAATCCTGTCTCTACTAAAAAATACAAACATAAGCCAGGCATGGCGGCACATGCCTGTAATCCCAGCTACTTGGGAGGCTGAAGCACGAAAATCGCTTGAACCCAGGAGATCAAGATTGCACCATTGCACTCCAGCCCATATGACAAAGCAAGACTCTCTCAAAATAATAAATTTTAGTAATTATTTTGATAGAGGAGGTGAAAACAAAAGAGTATTAAATTTACTATTTCTCCATCACCTGTCAACATTAGAATTTTCCTAAAGAACTGTCACTGTCTTGGTTTACTGCTTATGCTAATTTTTTTTAAATTTAAACAAGCAAAAGCCAGTGTTCTGTTAGTATCTTCTATAAGCTTCAGATTATACTAGGCTTTTATCCTTCCTGACACAATTATTACAGGTTTCGCTTACCTTTCCTATTTGAATTTGGTTACCAGTATCTGTCAATATTTGCTAGATGTCTCCCAATCTGTGTCTGTTTCATTTTTATTTACTAATAGAACTTCCAAATAGGTAGAAACACAAATATCTACAATAAAGTTTGCATTTCCCACCCTTCATTGTAGCTAAGTGTGGCCATCTGACTAAATTTGTCCAAGGGAAGTGAGAGGAACTAGCATGTATCTTTATGGCATAGAGCTATGCTTTTCTTCACTTCCTTCTTACTGATGGTTGCATTACAGAAGTGATGGCTGGAACTAGAGCAGACATACCATAGTAGATCATGAGGTGACCTCGAGAATGATGCCTATATGCAGCAAAGACAGAAAGAAGGCCGAGTCCACAAGAACGTTGTGGAGCACAGATATGTACCAGTCATAAACTATTCAACTTCAGACTTTAACAAGAAGGAGAAATTATTTCTGTCCTGTTAAAACTTCTGCAACTTTAAGTTCTTAGCAACGAAGCCTAATCCTGATATGATATCCCCTTTTAAATGTTAATATCTTTCTCCTACTTTTGAAAGATCGTAAAATTCAGGCCGGGTGCAGTGGCTCATGCCTGTAATCTCAGCACTTTGGGAGGCTGAGGCGGGCGGATCATTTGAGGTCAGGAGTTCGAGACCAGCCTGGCCAACATGGTGAAACTCTGTCTCTACTAAAAATATAAAAATTAGCCAGGTGTGGTGGCAGGTGCCTGTAATCCCAACTACTTGGGAGGCTGAGAGAGGAGAGTGGCCTGAACCCGGAAGGCGGAGGTCATGGTGAGCCGGGATCATGCCAATGCAATCCAGCCTGGGTGACAAGATTGAGACTCTGTTTCAAAAAAACAACATAAAATTCAAACAGAAGAATAAAGAAAACATCACTGGCATCATTCCTCCATATCACCCAATTCTTACAATGAAGGTGAAAAAGAGAGAACCAAATAAACACAGGTTTATTATATAAGAGAATATATTTTATAATTATGTATATATGTTATATATTGTTCATATATATTATTCATTATTATATATTATTCATATATATGAATATATATTACTCATATATATTCTATTATAAATAAACTGGGATAATAGAATTAAATGAGGCAATCAATATAAAATTCTTAGTACAATGCCCTTTATATTGTAACTGCTCAATAAATAAGAGCTGTCATTACTTAGCATGAGTTAGTGGGCCTTACAATGCCTCATTTCCTTTCATTGGTTTTACAAACTCCAGAATGAGGTCACTGCTATCTATGCTCTTTTACATTTTTACATCTCAAAGCAGTTCTCTCTTATTTATCAGATTAGGCTTGGACTAGAAGTTTACTTCACTGCTTTAACTTTTTGGAGGAAAAAAAAAGCACATTCACAAGTATACTACCATTTTTTTTGGTGTCTTCTTTGAACAAGGTTTGTCTTTAGACTTTTCCATTACTTATTTTAGTTGTAAATGCCATCCCACCATGATCCCAAGATAATAATTACATACTGTCTTTGCATACCAAATTCACTTTCTTCATTATTTATATTCTGCACTGGTGTGAAGATATTTCCGGCCAAAAATATTATTAATGTTCCTCTTCCTTATTTTCTCCAGTGAGAATGCATCATTTCCACTATTGATCTGTCAGTGCCAGGTTTGCTTTCCTGTATCTTATTTGGTTTTAATGTGTCTACAAAATATTATCTCTAAACTGCTTTCAAATTTCAGGTTGCCTTCTGGGTTTTTCCAGGTATGTTCCAACTTTCCCCATGTGCCCAAATAGTACAGGAAACTCATGCCTATGTCATGATACTACATACTCAGTCAACTACTCACTTCTGATAGCTACTTGTTTTCATCATTCAAGCTCTATAGGACTCCAAAGTCACTTGTAAACTATTTTATGCTTCTTTTGATGGTTTATTTTAACACCAATTATAAGTAATAATCGGTAATTTCAATGTCTTTCAGGCTATCTTCTTAGTAAGTCTTCATGCAGTTACATCGATACTTTTCTTCAGTATAGAAAAAACATCCACCATGAAGTTCCTTTTTCCTAAGATATTATAGGATTTCTTAAATGTGTTAATTCCTCTGAATTCACAATGTCAATTTTTAAACGTGAAAACAATTTCAAAGGCTACCATTCACAGAGTTAATATGTAATGGAGCCATAATTAATGGACACCACACTATCACAGAACTTAAATTTCCTGAACCCAAATTCTTAAAATCTAGTTGGGGGTCAAGAGTAACAGACATAGAATAAACAATAAAAGACTATAATATATTACGCTAAGTTGCAAAAAAACATTATAAGTAGTAAAATATGGATACAATACTACAGGAAAAGGAGATTCATATAGATTTAATACATTGGGAATGATTTTATGAAGAAGGTAGAACTTAAACTGGGATTTTAAGAATAGTCAGCATTAGATAGGCAATAGCTTAGAGGAGAGTTTTTTGGGAAAGTTAAGGAATGTATGAGATATATCCATAACACCTTCCCAAGACATTGAGGACACCAAGCTAACAACAGTCGAAGGTATGTATTGTTACCAGTAGTAGTTTCTAAGTAGAGAAGACTCATGACATGGCAGACCTTGGGGCTCAGACATTAGAGTAAGCATGGCAGAACACAGTGTTTCCCAAACTAAAACTTCATGGAGATAGCCCAAGTCATCCACAAGTTTTCTATAAGAATTTTTAAATTTTGTGTTTTTATTTATTTAAGCAAATATATATAGTTTGATAGATTTATCCTAATGGCCACATTAATACAATGTACTGACCAGAGATTTCAGTACCCACATTTCAATATGTACATTATTATATAGGCACAAACTACTTTAATTATTGAGGGCTCCTGAGAACAAAATAGAGACTGACTCAAAACATAAATGATTGTGGAGAGTGACTTCAGCAAGATGGTGAAATTAGAGTTCTCCACCTTCACTTCCCCCAACAGAAGTTCAACCAGCAACTATTAACAGACAAGAATACCTTCATGAATATCCCATAACTTGGGAGTAAGGCTGAGACACCCACCTGCGTCACAGAACTTAGAAAAGCTACACTTGAAGGCCAAGAGGAATGGTTCTACCTGATTATGTTCCCTTCTCAAGCCAGCACAGCACCACACACAGAAAACTCCCCCCTAGACTGATGGTTTCTATGTTGAGAAAAAATGAGTTGGAGGCAGACATTCAGCTTCTCCACCATTTTAGGACCCTTTGCAAGAGGCTCGCTTCTGTCTCATCCCACAGAAAACACTGGTAGTACCAGCAGGGCTACACCACCTGGGTCAGTTAGAAACAAAGAATGGGGGTGGGGCTCACAGTGACCAGTGTGCAGACCTTGGCCATTGCTCCGAATTCTGACCAATAAAGGCACCACACCAGAGATACTAGCGAATAGCATCATGTTGCAGGAAGCATGTCTACAAGTCTATCAGACTCACGTACCTAGCTAGTATTTCCACATGTCCCCAGTGCTCTCCTTAAGGCTTTCCCAGGCCAGGAGGTAACTGCAGGTTGGTGATTACCCTTGAAGGGAGCATCTAGCCTCACCCAACCCCAGTGGCCAAGAGGTAATCCAACTAAGCACCTGTGCTCTCCTAAGTCTTCCCCAGGCCAGGAGGCAACTACAGGCTAGTGAGTACCCTCTGAGGGAGCATTTGCCCCACCCAAACCCAGCTGCTGAGTAGCAACTCCACTAAGCCTCAGTGCTCTGCTTAAACCTACCCTAGGCCAGGAGGCAAGCCCAAATCCATACATATCTTTAGAGATAGTCTCTAGCCCTACCCACTCCATGTGGCTGAGCAGCAACCCCAGAGACATCACCTAACCTCAGAGCCAAGCACACAGCCCTGCCTAACGACAGATTCTAGACAAAAGTATCTCCTAACAACCTTGCCTGATCAGAAACTATCAGAGCCCAACAACAACTCTGCCTAATGGTAGAGTCTGGTCAGTAGTCTCACCAGACCATGGAGCACAGCCAGCAGTACCATTCAACCTCAGAGGACAGGAAGTGACCCAGCACAAGAAGAAAGACCAACACCAAGACATGCCTGTTGAGGGTTGCTGCCAGCTGGTGCATCCAGAACTTCAGGACAGACTAAATAGTAAAGATCTGTCACCACCAAAGAACAACTATAAAGGCCAGAAGAGGTGGTGGTCTCCTTAAGTACACAGGTATAAGTGTAAAGACACAAGGGTTTTGAAAAACTGGGGAAAGATGGCACCAAAAGAAACTAATAAAGCTCCAATAATGGACCCAGAAGAAATGGTGATCTATGGAATGACTGACAAAAAGTTCAGAATAATCATCTTAAAGAAGTTCAGGGAACTCCAAGAAAATAAACTTACAAATGTAAGAAGATTGAAATCAACAAGTATCTTTTCAGATCACAGTGGCATGAAATTAGAAATCAATAACAAGGGAAATCCTGGAAAATACAAAAATATGTGGAAATTAAACAACATGCTCCTGAACAATCAATGGGTCACAGAAGAAATCAAAAAGGAAATCAAAATACCGACACAAATGAAAATGGAAACATAACATATTAAAATTTATGAAATGCAGTGAGAACAGTCCTATGGGTGAAGTTTGTAGTAACAAATACCTATTTCAAAAAGGAAGAAAGATCTCAAATAAATAATCTAATATTATACCACAGGGAACTAGAAAAATAAGAATAAGCAAAGCCGATAAGCAGAAGGAAGCAAATAACAAAGAACAGAGCAGAAATAGATATTAGAGAAAAAAAAACAGAATAAAATAAAAACAACTGACAGTTTATTTTTTGAAAAGCTAAACAATGTTGACAAGCCTCTAGCGAGACAAAGGAGAAAAAGAAGACAAATGAAGAGATCAGAAATGAAAGTGGAGACCACCAAGAAAAGTAATCCACAGAAATACATTATAAGAAACTACTATAAATATACACCAACAAATGGAATAATCTAGAATAAGTGAATAAATTCCTACATACACATCAAATCTACCAAGATTGAATCACGAAGAAATAGAAAATCTGAACAGACCAATAATGAGTAAGGAGATTGAATAAGTAATAAAAATACCCACCATCAAAGAAAAGCCCAGGACGAGATGGCTTCACTGCATAATTCTACCAAACATTAAAGAAGAATTAATGCCAATTATTTTCAAACTCTTCCAAAAAGTGAAGTGGAAAAAATAATTTCTAAACTCTTTTGACAAGATGAGCATCACCCTGATACCAAAGCCAGACAATGACCAATAGCAGAGAAGAAAATTATAGGTCAATATCTCTGCTGAACATAGATGCGAAAAATCCTCAACAAAATATCGTAAAACAAATTCAATGACACATTAAATCCCAGGGATTTATCCCTGGGATGCAAGGATGTTTCAAAATATAGAAATCAATAAATGTAATACACCACATTAACAAAATGAAGAATAACAATTATGCGATCATCTCAATAGACGTGGAAAAAGTATTTCACAAAATTCAATACCTTTTCATGATATAAACTCAACAGATTAAAGGGAATGTATTTCAACACAATGAATATATGAAAACCCATAGCTATTATCATTCTCAATAGTGAAAAGTTAAAAGCTTTTCCACTAAGATCAGGGACAAAACAAGGATGCCCACTCTTATCACTTCTTCTCAACATAGTACTGGAAGTTCTAGCCAGTGCAGTTAGGCAAGAGGGAAATAAAAAGGCATTCTAATAGTAAAGGAAGAACGAAATTGTCTCTATTTCCTGACAAAATAATCGTATATATATAAAACTCTAAAGACCTCACCACAAGGACAGGTGCAGTGGCTCACACCTGTAATCCTAGCAATTTGGGAGGCTGAGGTACGAGGATCAATTGAGCTCAGGAGTTAGAGACCAGCCTGAGCAATATAGTGAGACCCCCATCTCAAAAAAGAAAACAAAAAAAAAAGACTCCACCACAAAACTGTTAGAACTGATAAATTTAGTAAATTTGCAGGATAGAAAATCAATATACAAAAATCAATAATGTTTCTATGTGCTAGTAAACTATCTGAAAAGAATATTAAGAAAGCAATCCCATTACAATAGCAACAAAAAAAATTAAATACTTACGGGTAAGTTTAACAATAGTTAGGTGTAAAAGATCTTTATACTTAGGTGTAAAAGACCCGTATATTTAACTATAAAACACTGATGAAAGAAATTGAAGAAAACACAAATAAATTGAAAGATATCCTGTATTCATGGATTAGAAGAGTCAGCATTGTGAAAATGTCCATACTACCAAGGTGATCTACAGATTTAATGCAATCTGTACCAAAATTCCAATGTCACTTTTCACAGAAATGGAAAATACAATTCTTAAATTTGTCTAGAACTACAAAAGCCCCCCAGTAGCCAAAACAATTTTGAGCCAAAAGGAATAAAGTTGGAGGCATCAAACTCCTTGATTTCAAAACATACTATAAGAGAATTGTTATCAAAACAGCATGGTACTGGCATAAAAACAGACACATCAAGCAATGGAACAGAATGCAGAGTCAAGAAATAAACCCACAAATTAATGGTCAATTGATTTTTGACAAATGTGCCAAGAACACATAATAGAGAAATGACAGTTTTTTCAATAAATTGTGTTGAGAAAACTGGATATCCATATGCAGAAAAATGAAATTGGAACTTTGTCTCACATTATAAACAAAAATAAACTGAAAATGAATTAAAGATTTAATTGTAAGACCCAAAACTATAAAAATACCAGAAGAAAGCATGTGGAAAATCTTCATTAAAGTGGTTTGGGTAATAATTTTTTTAATATGACCCCAAAAGTACAGGCAACAAAGGCAAAAATAGATAAATGGGATGGCAGAAAACTAAAAAGCTTCTGCACAGAAAAGAAAACAATTAATAAAGTGAAGAGACAACCCACAGAATACGATAAAATACTTACAAACCATACATCTGATAAAGGATTAATATCCAAAATATATAAGGAATTCAATAGCAAGAAAACATAATCTGATTTTAAAATGGGTAAAGGAACAGACATTTCTCAAAAGAAGACAGACAAATGGCCAACACGTACATTAAAAAAAGTTCAACATCTTTAATCATTAGAAAATGCAATTAAAACCACAATAAGGTATCATCTCATATGTATTAGAATGTCTTTTATCAAAAGATGAAAGACAAAGTGTTGGCGAGGATTCAGATAAAACAGTCTGGCCTGTTCTCACGCTGCTAATAAAGACACACCTTGTGTATTGTTGGTGGAAATGTAAATTAATACAACCATTATGGAAAATAGTATAAAGGTTCCTCAAAATACTAAGAATAGTAGTATCATGTGATCCAGTAATCCCACACTGGTTATATATCCAAAGGAAGTGAAATTAACATGTCAAAGGGGTATCTACACTCCCATGTTCATGCAGCATTATTTACAATAGAAAAGATTATAGAAGCAACCTAAGTATCAATAAACAGATAATAGATAAAATGTGGTATATATACACAATGGAATGCTATTTAACTTTAAAAACTGTGTAAATTCTGTCATTTGTGACAACAAGGATGAATCTGGAGGACATTATGCTAAGTAATATTAATAAGCCAGGCACAGAAAGACAAATACTGCACAATCTCACCCATATGTGGAATCTAAAAAAGTTGAACTCATAGAAGTAGAGAGTAGAATGATGGTTAACAACGACTGAGGAGGTGAGGAGGGGAGAAATGAATTGTTGATCAAAGGGCACAAAGTTTCAGACAGACAGAGGAATATGTTTTGAGATCTACTGCACAGTAGTTAAGACCCAAAGTCTTAACTCATTTATTTCAGCATTAACTCAAAAGTCCAGAGTCTAAAGTCTCATCTGAGACAAGGCAAGTCCCTTCTGCCTATAAGCCTATAAAATCAAAAGCAAGTTAGTTACTTCCCAGATACAACGGGGTACAGGCATTGGGTGACCATAGTCTATTATAACATATTGTATATTTCAAAATAAGAGTAAATTTCATATGTCTCATTATAATAAATGATAGGTAAAAGAGGTAATGAATACATTAATTTGCTTGATTTAATCATACATTGTGTATATTAAAACATCACATTGTATCCTATAAATGTATATAACTATTTGTCACTCAGAAATAATAAACATAAATTATGTATTCACATCCAACAAAGTCTAAATGACATCATAGAGCAATGTACGAATAAAGATTCTGATACAATTCAAATGGGAAAAAGATATCACATATTGACATCAACATAACAAATGCAAAGAATCTAGATATAAAATCAATAGTATATTCACATGGTGTGCAGATTTTATTTTAGTAATACATTATGTTTCATTAAATTTATCCTAATTGAAATTGTATTGAGTTTTTAGTTTCATCATATTAAAATTATACAGTTACACATAAATTATAAATTTACATAGTACTATACAAGCACTATAAATATAAGGAGTTTGTATACAGTTTTCTGTTGGCCTATGTTAATTTGATAAAAATAAATTAGCACTAGCCATCTTTAGAAATTTTCTGATCCCTAAAATGTGATCTATCTGAGATGCTGGAGATGTTCTATATTTTGATATGAATGGTAGTTACCTGGATGAGCATATGTTTACAAATCCATTATACTGAACACTTAATATTTGTGTACTTTATTGTATCTACATTATACCTTCATGAAAAGGTAAAAAAATAATATCCAAACAAGAAAATAAAAGTAGTGTTTTTTGAGTTTGAGGAAACATTGGTATAGCAGCTTTGGAAGAGGCAGACTTAGCTCCCAGTTGCAATTCTACCACTTATTAGCTAGGTAACCTGGGGCAGTCTACTTAACCAGTACAAGCCCCATTTTCTCCACCTGTAAAATGAGGATAATAATGGATCCTTGCAAAATGTTTGTATTAGTCTGGTCTGTTCTAATGCTGCTAATAAAGACATACCTAGGAGAGGGTAATTTATAAAGGAAAGAGAGGTTTAATGGACTCACAGTTCCACACGGTTGGGGTGGCCTCACAACCATGGTGGAAGATGAAGGAAGAGCAAAGGGATGTCTTACCTGGCAGCAGGCAAGAGGGAGCTTATGCAGGGGAACTCCCCTATATAAAACCATCAGATCTCATAAGACTTACTCAGTATCACAAGAACAGCATGGGAAAATCCCACCCCCATGATTCAATTAACTCCCACTGGGTCCCTCCTGTGACATCTGGGAATTATGGGAGCTACAATTCAAGATGAGATTTGGGTGGAGACACAGCCAAACCATATCATTCTGCCCTGGCCCCTCCCAAATCTCATGTCCTCACATTTCAAAACCAATCATGTCTTCCCAACAGTCCCCCAAAGTCTTAAGGGAAATCTTGTAGGTAAAATACCTAAAACAGACCAGTATGTAACAATGTTTACTAAATAATAGTGATAAAGGAGGCTTCCTTTATCACAAAGAAGGAAGGAAAAAGCAAGCAAGCTTTGGCTGAATATGATACACACAAGCATGCATTATGCACACATACAACTACATATACGTTATTTTGAAGGCTGCAAGTATAGAAGGAAGGTGATAACAGCAGTTCTTTTTAAAATGTGGTATGACAGTGTTATACAGAAAGGGCTAGAGTAGAAACTAGAGTGTAGGAAGTCTGCAAAAATATTCATTATAACTTTCAATATCCAAACTATATAAATCAGTAAATGTCATGTCCTGTAATGAGCTTTAGAGAGCTACAGAAACTATTTTGTCTGTCTGGATTTTCCTCCAGGCTTCAAAAAGCATTTATCAAGTAACTATTTGCTGCAGAACTAATAAAGAGCATAATAATCCTTCCTTCCCAGGAACACAAGAGCTAAATGAATGGATATATTTTTCAAAATCAATAAAGAAAAAATTGCATATTTGTATTAGACTCAAGGAAAGACATAATGGCTGTGGATTTTTAAAGCTCAGGATGTACACTGTCAGTGCTGCTCAGATACCAGAAGAATGGGAGGGCCGTTTCAGATAAGGTAGTCAGCAAAGTTCTCTCTGAGGTGACATCCAAGTTGAAGTACATTAAGAAGGTAGCCAAATGATATTCAGAGGAAGAGCATTCTAAGCATATGGGAAGGAGCATGCCTGGTGTGTTCAAAAAAAAGCAAGGAGCAGAGTGAGCTAAAGTAAAGAAATAGAAGATAACGTGGCCAGAGAAATAGTGACGGGGCAGATCAAGGGAGATTATGGACCATGATAAGAACTTTGAATGTTATTTATTATTTTATTAAATTGTATTTATTTATAAGAACTTTGAATTTGTTTTTATTCTGAGTGAAATGAGAAACCCCTGGAAAATTCTCAACAAAGAAGTGATAACATGTAACTTGACTTTTTACAAACATTACTCTGGTTGCTATTTTGAAAAGGGACTTTAGTGCGGGAAAGGACAGAGGCATGGAGAACATTTGGTAAGGGGATCCAAAGAAAAGCATATTGGCTTTCTTCTTTCCTCCCATTGGATAGAACTCCTGGAGAGCCACTCTTGAAGACTGGGAGTAACCTCAGAGAAGGGGAGAGAAACATCTCACTTCTCAAGGTGGAACCACAGAAGCAGAGGTCCACCTCAGCACGACCACCAAGGTTGGAACACAGAGAGTGAGTTCATGGAAACACCTGATATGTTACCCTGGAAATTGAAGGCATCTGAGAACAGGAAAATGGATGCTTGCCTTTCACCTGAAGATTATGAAGGTGGCTGGAGCCGCCCATGGTGGTAGCAAACAGAGGAGGAGGCAAGGGAGAACACTCTAGTTTCCCCAGAGCTGAAGTAACAATATGAATTTCTACAGGCCAATGCGAGACTACAGAAAGTAACCAGCCTAGAGCTACCCTATATAACCTACATTACTGTCTGGAATAGAGAAATCCAAGAGAAACAGAGAGAAGGTGCCCCTCTAGGAGCAGGGGCTGAGTTGGGTCACAGGAAGTCATCTCTGGAGACACTGGCTGTGCAGTGCCTTCTTTATTAGGGGCCTCTTATAGCCCCTTCTTTATTAGACAGCCTTTACAACCAGATTACATGTAAGATTTCTTACCTTTTTTCTATATTCTCCCTTATTTCACCATCTACCCTGGAGGAAACAGATAAAGTAGGAAAGGAGTAAAAAAAAAAAAAATAAAAAAGAGATGATCTAGTAAAAGTACACGTTCTGCTTCACCTGTCTTTACTTCATGAACCCTAACCTTGCCATCCTGCTCCATAAGCATGCTGGAAACATTCATACCCAGAGGATTTCTTGTCATCAGGGCCATTGCTACTCATCTCTCATTATAACCTATAAGGTTATTATAAGGACTCAGGGTAGTTTGCATAATATTTATAGACAACACCATAGCCAATTATGGAAATAAGGGTTTTTTTCTAAACAGGACGTAGAGAAATAAGGTCATTCCTGTCTTCCAGCTGAATGCTGCTGTCTTTATTTGATCTTGACAGAAATTCATCCACAGCTGCTTGCATAAGGTATAACAAGGATCTCTTTAAACCTGTGGGGAGACTAAAAATGGGGCTTTAGAGTTCCAATTACTTAGTGCCTGATGCATGAAGAATCATATAAATAAATGATAGAGAAATAAATAAGTAGAGCATAAATGATAGAGAATATTGACTATAGTGTAGACTATAGATAATTTGAATGATTATAGACTCATTGTTTCAACAAGTTCTTGTTGAGTATTTACTACATGGTAGGCACTGAGTGTTGAGTAGATCTGTCACTATCAAATTTTATATATAATATAAAATATCTGCCTCCCCCATTTCATTGTGAGAAATCTATTATTATATAATCCTAAATAGAGATAAGTACTATGAAGCAAAATAATAAGATGTAACAATGGAGAACTCTACATTTGGGCATTAGGGGGAAGTTCTCTGAGCAAGTGATATTTAAGCTGATGATTGAAGGATAAGAAGATAACAGCAGATGAAGAATTGGAGACCACGGTATGGAAAAGAATTTGGTGTTTGCCAGAAATTTAAGGAACGCTAGTACGACTGGAGCTTAGAGTGAAAAGTGGAAAATAGTGTAAAATACAGTTAGATGTAAGGTAGAGCATGTGCCTTATAGACATCCAGGGTCTTGTAGACTTTTCAAATAAATTGTTTGGATTTTACTCCCAGTATGAGAAAACTGAAGGTTTTAAACTTTACTGGTCCACATTTTAAAAGATCACCGTGGCTGCAGGCTGTGTAGGAGAATGAATTGACAAGGAGTCAAAATAAGGACCAGTAAGGAGACTATGCAGAAGATAAAGAAAAAAATGATGTCTTGAATTTGATGGTGCAGCAAAGGGGAGGAAAATTAAGCCCTTTTTCCTTCTGATTCCACATACTTGAAAGGGACAAGCATATCTACTGTCAGTTTAACTACCACTTCTATGCTTATGACTCCTGAATCTCTGTAGCTACAGTTACGTTCCTAAAACCCACACTCTCTAAACTCCCTTCTTCCTCATATCCAGTTGCTTAACGGACGCTTCCTCTTAGATAGCACAAATTGAAATGGAACTCTTTGTCTTCCCCTCAAAACTTGGTGCCTTTGTGACTTCTCATCACTCTCCCCATCACTTGAAATCAAAATTTTGGCATCACATTTGGTGCCTCCCTTTCTGTCCAACTCCCATGTCCACGATGGCGAAGTACTAAAAGTATATGCTCTAGAGTCAGAATGCTTAGGCCAATGAATTGGAACGGTATTACGGGACATTTATCTGGTATGTGGTTGCCATTGCTATGGTCTCAATGGCACATTGTATTTTAGTAATTATTTTTAATTTCAACCACTGCATGCCCTGGAGAGGCAGTAAATCTACCTAATTGCACCAATAGTTTCTGTCCAAATCAAGTCAACATAGCAGCACTGAGTTGAAGAATGGATATGGTCTGATCCTCCTCAGTTGTTTTAAGAAGAGAAATATTACTTCCTTACTTAACTATAATTTTCTCAATGAATAGTATGCAGACAGCCACAGTCCTTATACTGCAAAGTACAATCATGATAAACAGTGAGCTATGGTGGCTCTGGAGGAAGACAGGCCTAGTTTTTCAAGAAAATCTAAAAATTAACCCAGTTAGAGGGAGAGCTGACATTTTAGAAAGTACTGACAGAGACTTTGCAGTTATGAGAGAATGAGAAAGAGTACGATCTGCAAGAAAGAGCAGTTTGAATGAGAGGAGCAAATGGCGAAAAGTGATACCTACACACGGTGGGGAGGAGGAAGAAATAGAACTCAAAGGATTCAGAGAAGCAGAGCTCAGAGATGCTAATGATCTTCCCTTTGCCCCTCCAAATCCACTCTCCACCTGCTCTCTGGTGGGGAAAGGTATGCGTATATGCACCTCTATAGACATTTACAAGCTCTCTTGTCCTATTGCTTCCAGTTGGGTATAGTAAAAAGGAATACGCCACCAAAAGTTAAGAGAAAGGAGAAAGGAAAATTGGGGTATTTATTCCTTTGGCTCCCCACTGCAGGGTTTTTATGGCCTAGACTGTGACCCTCAACTAAAAGCCACAGCTCCTGTTACCAACAGGCCATTGTTATCACACCCAGATTACTGCATTATCCCTTGAATTTTCCCTACATTCAGCCCCTACACCCTTATAAATTATTGCTTTATTAAACTCTGAAATTACTCAATTTGTATGTGCCATCTATTTCTTGCCAGGATCCTTACTAAGAAGAGGTAAAGGATTAGAATTAGAAAACATGAGAGTAATTATGAAAAAAGGAAGATTAGTGAGTTACACGCTTAAAAGGCCAGCTGTTCCTTTGCTGAGTGAGAAATGAAAAGGTTTCCAGTGGATGCTCTTACTCCCATCCTGTTCTGTTTTGTTTTTTTTTTTCCAGGGGCCAGTTAAACAATGTTTACACCTATTTGAGCTGAGTCCAAAATAAGTAAGTGCCTAATGGCAAGGTTCGTTTAACCTCAATCATTTCAGGAAAGCATTCTACTAATGTCTAAAATAATTGGGGGATGGGGCATAGAGTAAAAGAGTGGCAAAGAACCCACCAAGGAAGCCAACCTTCTTTCATTATTTTGAAAGACAGGAGATTTTCAAGCTCAGCAAGCTTCCCATTCAGCAGTGAA
The DNA here is from genome assembly GCF_000001405.40 of Homo sapiens. NCBI lineage: Eukaryota > Metazoa > Chordata > Mammalia > Primates > Hominidae > Homo > Homo sapiens. The sequence continues at coordinate 180,479,728 of NC_000003.12, forward strand.
CCTAATTAATGTAAACAGAATTTTAGAATGAACCAAACCCTACTCCTAGGCAGCAGGAGCTAACATTTCTCTTCAATTATTATGTAAGGTCACATCTCACAGTTGTGTTCTGGACACCCCCTCCCTTTATTCAATTTGTCTTCCCATCTGCTGCCACTTCCCAGAGAGCCCAAGAACAGAGAGACCCCAGACCATTGCATGCTCTGGAATGGCCCAAACTCTCCTGCCCTACTTGTATTATGCACAAACAGATGCTATGCCACAAGACCTACTCAAAACACGGAGCTCAGGGACAGTGGAGGTAGCAGCTGAACAGAAGGGCACACAGGGAGAGACTTAAAAGCATTTTTGAATGCTAATTCTATAGCCAGAGTTGTTATTCCTTTGCTGCTTATAAACTTAGGATACAGCTTCCTGCACACTCTACCATCTGGAAATGCAGAATTGCTACTATTTTCTAACAAAGATAGATTATATCACTGCCAATAACATTACATCTGTCTTAAGGAAAATTGGGGGTTTTAAGGGTTGTGAGTGAAGGGTAGGGGAAATCAGATTGTCTGTGCAAATGAAGTATGCCTTAATTATGTAAATGCTGCTAAGGAAAGTGTATGGAAAACTATCATACAACCCAAACACAGATATCATAGTGCACGTTATTCTAAAATTTTAAATTTTAGGTTAGAGTGAGAATTTTTTTTAAAAAAGCATTTTTTAAAGTATAACATATTTAAGGAATGTATTTGAAGACTGAGAAATTTATATTTGATTATTCATATATTATAGCACATATACAATATTATCATACCTCTTTCAGAATTAGATTTTGTAATAACACTGGTGAACTCAATATAAAATTAAACTAAATTTTATAATTGTATATAGAATTTTTCACCTCTCAACTACTTTTTCTTTGTTTATGTTCATTTATAAAACTCTATTATGTGCTTAGCTACAAGTTTCTAAAAATAGAGTCTATATTCATCACCAAACAAAAATGGAAATACATAATTAAAAGTTGACCAGGATAAAACTTTAACTACTTGGAAATTAAGAATCATGATTCTAAATAACCTTCAGAACAAAGAATAAATCAAGACAAAGTTTCTAGAAAGCATGGAAAAAAACAAACCCTTCAAACCATTTATTTATTTAGACAATGAACATTTACTGAACATCTGCAATGTCAAAGAAGGCACTTTTCCAGAACTTGGGCTGTGAAAACAAGAGCTATGAGAAGGACAGGATCCTTCTCCCAACGTGAAGCAATCAGAGGCTTCATAGAAATATATGCTAAGGACTGTGGGAGTCCAAAAGAAAAAAATTATTAATTCCAATTGATCAGAATACAAAAGAATAATAAAGTGGCAATTGAGTAAATAAGTTATTTGGGAATGTGCTGGCTTTGGTTAGGGAGAGAAATTGAGGAGAGTGTATTAGTCCATTTTCACACTGCTACGAAGATACTACCCGAGACTGGGTAATTTATAAACAAAACAGATTCAATTGACTCACAGTTCTGCATGGCTGGGGAGGCCTCAGGAGACTTAGAATCATGGTGGAAGGTGAAATGGGAAGCAGGCACTTTGTCCGGTGGTAGGAGAGAGAGCGAGCATGCAGGGGAAACAGCCACTTTTAAAACCATGAGATCTCGTGAAAACTCTCACTACCACGAGAACAGCATGGGGGAAAGTGCCTTCATAATCCAATCACCTCCCATTAGGTCCCTCCCTCCACTCATGAGGACTACAATTTGAGTGGAGACTTGGGTGGAGACACAGAGGCAAACTATATCAGGGAGAGTACATTCTGGGAGGCAGGAAGGCTCAAAGACACAGAGGCAGGAACATGGAATGGGTGACACCAGTTCAGCTTTACCTGTCAGAAGCTAAGCCTGCAACAGCAAGATGAATATAAGTTGCACATGGCCTTGGGTGTGCAAGCTTTAATGTGCAAAGCACCTGGAGACCTTGTTAAAAAGAAGATTTCTGATTGAGTAGGTCTGGGGTAAGACATAAGAGTCTCCAGTTCTAGCTAGCTTCCAGGTGATGCCAATAACGATGAGTAGGCTGATACTTCCAGCAGTTAGGTGGTAAATGATGCAAGAGTGGGAATCGTGAAGTTTTGATGTCCTTGGAGAAAGATGATATAACATAGCCATTAACATAGTGTCATAGCCATTAAACTGGATTGAAATTGTAATTCCTGTATTTGTTAGCTGTGTATCCTTAGGCAACTTACCTGTGGAGCATTTGTTTTCTCATTTATAACGTGAAAAAATAATTACTCCCCAAAGTCTTGTTAGGATTACATGAGAGAATGATTGTAAAGTGCTTAGGATCGTGTACAACACGTAGTAAATACCCAATATGTTGTGGAATTATTTCCTACAACCTGTAACATGAGAGCACTCTTTTTCTCCACTGCTGCCCGACTTAAGCTGTAACTCACTGACTTTTTTGAAATTGTGCTATGTTCTGGTGCTTCTACATTGCACATCCACTGCCTCTTGCCTCCAAGAATGAACACATAGTAGAAAGACCAAAACAACAGGTAGGTACATAGTTACAAAATTTAAAATGGTTAAAACTTTTAAGGATGAGCAGAAGAATACAGTGGAAGACCATAAAATATTGAAGGGCGTTATGGTACAGTTTTAGATCATGTCAATAATTAATGAATTAATGAAATGTCAAATAATTATTGTTCTACTTAAAACAAAGGTGTTACGGGAAAAAGTGATTACTTTCAGCAGTTCATACAGAGGAAATATGTTCATCTGAGAGGTAGATTTAAAGGAATAGACAAATAAGTTGTCAAGTTTGTGATCTAAAATATAGATGAGAAATGTCATTTACAGGACAATGATTTTGCTGAAAGGGAGAGAAATTACCAAAGAAACCAATATTCCAGAATCTCAGTTTAAGGGAAATTTTTTATTTCTTGTCAAAATGCATTGGCTTTAGTGAAAAAATAGACAATTTCAGAAACTTCCAGTTATTTTTGGAAATACTTATCCCTTCCAGTGAGTGGTTTTCTGTGTTTCCTTTATTAAATTACTCTTAGACAATACCAACTAAATACATATATTTTACATATATCTTCATTTGTTACTACACTCAAAGGTAAAAAATTTATCATGGTAGGGCCAGGCACGGTGGCTCATTCCTATAATCCCAGCACTCTGGGAGGCCAAGGTGGACGTATCACGAGGTCAGGAGATCAAGACCATCCTGGCTAACATGGTGAAACCCTGTCTCTACTAAAAAATACAAAAAATTAGCCGAGCGTGGTGGCGGGCACCTGTAGTCCCAGCTACTTGGGAGGCTGAGGCAGGAGAATGGCGTGAACCTGGGAGGCAGAGCTTGCAGTGAGCCGAGATTGCACCACTGCACTCCAGCCTGGGCAACAGAGCGAAACTCCATCTCAAAAAAAGAAAATTATCATGGTAGAATTTACCAGAGGTTGACAAGTATGGGTCATAATTCTGTTGACGGGCTAGATAAACCATACCACCAAATTGTTTTACAGTAAAAAATAGAACCAAAGAGAGATTGAGAGATTGATATCTTGTGTGATTGTGTGAATTCAAGAAAAATGTTTGTGTCTGACATTGTTTTAGACTAGTTGGAAACTTTAGAATAAAGTGAAAGTAAAGCTCTTGCAAAACAGAAAAGAAGAAGAAGCATGTCAATGTTGGAAGGGATTCAGTTCAAAAGATATTACTGAACATCTTCCAGGGCCAGGTCCCTCATGAACTCATAATAACTTGGAGAATGCTAATGGGAAGTCTGGAGGATTGGGATGGTAGAGAATCAGTTTATGAAAAAAAAACAATGTAATTGGTATTTCAAGATGGCCAAATAGGAAAAACTCCAGTCTACAGCTCCTAGCATGGGCAACACAGAAGACAGATGATTTCTGCATTTCCAACTGAGCTTTGAAAAGAGCAGTGGTTTTCCCAGCATGGAGTTTGAGACCTGAGAACGGACAGACTGCCTCCTCAAGTGGGTCCCTGACCTCTGAGTAGCCTAACTGAGAGACACCTCCCAGGAGGGGCCGACTGACACCTCTGAGACGAAGCTTCCAGAGGAAGGATCAGGCAGCAACATTTGCTGTTCTGCAGTATTTGCTGTTCTGAAGTCTCCGCTGGTGACACCCAAGCAAACAGGGTCTGGAGTAGACCTCCAGCAAACTCAAACAGACCTGCAGCTGAGGGTCCTGACTGTTAGAAGGAAAACTAACAAACAGAAAGGAATAACATCAACACCAATAAAAAGGACATACACACCAAAACCCCATTTACAGGTCACCATCATCAAAGACCAAAGGTAGATAAAATCACAAAGATAGGGAGAAACCAGAGCAGAAAAGCTGAAAATTCTAAAAATCAGAGCGCCTCTTCTCCTCCAAGGATCGCAGCTCCTCGCCAGCAATGGAACAAAGCTGGACAGAGAATGACTTTGACGAGCTGACAGAAAGAGGCTTCAGAAGATCAGTCATAACAAACCTCTCCAAGCTAAAGGAGGATGTTCGAACCCAGTGCAAAGAAGCTAAAAACCTTGCAAAAAGATTAGATGAATGGCTAACTAGAATAAACAGCAGAGAGAAGACCTTAAATGACCTGATGGAGCTGAAAACCATGGCATGAGAACTACATGACGCATGCACAAGCTTCAGTAGCTGATTCAATCAAGTGGAAGAAAGGGTATCAGTGATTGAAGATCAAATGCATGAAATGAAGCAAGAAGAGAAGTTGAGAGAAAAAAGAGTAAAAAGAAATGAACAAAACCTCCAAGAAATACGGGACTATGTGGTATCTCATTGTGGTTTTGATTTGCATTTCTCTGATGGCCAGTGATGGTGAGCATTTTTTTCATGTGTTTTTTGGCTGCATAAATGTCTTCTTTTGAGAAGTGTCTGTTCATGTCCTTCGCCCACTTTTTGATGGGTTTGTTTGTTTTTTTCTTGTAAATTTGTTGGAGTTCATTGTAGATTCTGGATATTAGCCCTTTGTCAGATGAGTAGGTTGCGAAAATTTTCTCCCATTTTGTAGGTTGCCTGTTCACTCTGATGGTAGTTTCTTTTGCTGTGCAGAAGCTCTTTAGTTTAATTAGATCCCATTTGTCAATTTTGGCTTTTGTTGCCGTTGCTTTTGGTGTTTTAGACATGAAGTACTTGCCCATGCCTATGTCCTGAATGGTAATGCCTAGGTTTTCTTCTAGGGTTTTTATGGTTTTAGTTCTAACGTTTAAGTCTTTAATCCATCTTGAATTGATTTTTGTATAAGGTGTAAGGAAGGGATCCAGTTTCAGCTTTCTACATATGGCTAGCCAGTTTTCCCAGCACCATTTATTAAATAGGGAATCCTTTCCCCATTGCTTGTTTTTCTCAGGTTTGTCAAAGATCAGATACTTGTAGATATGTGGCGTTAAATGGCAATCATTAAAAAGTCAGGAAACAACAGGTGCTGGAGAGGATGTGGAGAAATAGGAGCACTTTTACACTGTTGGTGGGACTGTAAACTAGTTCAACCATTGTGGAAGTCAGTGTGGCGATTCCTCAGGGATCTAGAACTAGAAATACCATTTGACCCAGCCATCCCATTACTGGGTATATACCCAAAGGACTATAAATCATGCTGCTATAAAGACACATGCACACGTATGTTTATTGCGGCATTATTCACAATAGCAAAGACTTGGAACCAACCCAAATGTCCAACAATGACAGACTGGATTAAGAAAATGTGGCACATATACACCATGGAATACTATGCAGCCATAAAAAATGATGAGTTCATGTCCTTTGTAGGGACATGGATGAAATTGGAAATCATCATTCTCAGTAAACTGTCGCAAGAACAAAAAACCAAATACCGCATATTCTCACTCATAGGTGGGAATTGAACAATGAGAACACATGGACACAGGAAGGGGAACATCACACTCTGGGGACTGTTGTGGGGTGGGGGGAGGGGGGAGGGATAGCATTGGGAGATATACCTAATGCTAGATGACGAGTTAGTGGGTGCAGCGCACCAGCATGGCACATGTATACATATGTAACTAACCTGCACATTGTGCACATGTACCCTAAAACGTAAAGTATAATAATAATAAAGAAAAAAAAAAGAAATATGGGACTATGTGAAAAGACCAAATCTGTGTTTGATTGGTGTACCTGAAAGTGACAAGGAGAATGGAACCAAGTTGGAAAACACTCTTCAGGATATTATACAGGAGAACCTCCCCAACCTAGCAAGGCAGGCCAACATTCAAATTCAGGAAATACAGAGAACGCCACAAAGATACTCCTCGAGAAGAGGATCCCCAAGACACATAATTGTCAGATTCACCAAGGTTGAAATGAAGGAAAAAATGTTAAGGGCAGCCAGAGAGAAAGGCTGGGTTACCCACAAAGGGAAGCCCATCAGACTAATAGCAGATCGCTCAGCAGAAACTCTACAAGCTAGTAGAGAGTGGAAACCCATATTCAACATTCTTAAAGAAAAGAATTTTCAACCCAGAATTTCATATCCAGCCAAACTAAGCTTCATAAGTGAAGGAGAAATAAAATCCTTTACAGACAAGCAAATGCTGAGAGATTTTGTCACCACCAGGCCTGCCTTACAAGAGCTCCTGAAGGAAGCACTAAACATGGTAAGGAATAACCAGTACCAGCCACTGCAAAAACATGCCAAATTGTAAAGACCATCGATGCTAGGAAGAAACTGCATCAACTAACAAGCAAAATAACCAGCTAACATAATAATGACAGAATCAAATTCACACATAATATTAACCTTAAATGTAAATGGGCTAAATGCCCCAACTAAAAGACACAGACTGGCAAATTGGATAAAGAGTCAAGACCCATCAGTGTGCTGTATTCAGGAGACCCATCTCACATGCAGAGATACACATAGGCTCAAAATAAAGGGATGGAGGAAGATCTACCAAGCAAGTGGAAAACAAACAAAAGCAGGGGTTGCAATGCTAGTCTCTGATAAAACAGACTTTAGGCTGGGCGCAGTGGCTTAAACCTGTAATCCCAGCACTTTGGGAGGCTGAGGCAGGCGGATCACGAGGTCAGGTGATCAAGACCATCCTGGCTAACACAGTGAAACCCTGTCTCTACTAAAAATACAAAAAATTAGCCAGGCATGGTGGCAGGTGCCTGTAGTCCCAGCTACTCAGGAGGCTGAGGCAGGAGAATGGCATGAACCCGGGAGATGGAGTTTGCAGTGAGCCGAGATCATGCCACTGCACTCTAGCCTGGGCGACAGAGCGAGATTCCGTCTCCAGAAAAAAAAAAAAAAACTGACCTTAAACCAACAAAGACCAAAGAGACAAAGAAGGGCATTACATTATGGTAAAGGGATCAACACAACAAGACGAGCTAACTATCCTTAATATATATGCAACCAATACAGGAACACCCAGATTCATAAAGCAAGTCCTTAGAGACCTACAAAGAGACTTAGACTCCCATATAATAATAATGGGAGATTTTAACACCCCACTGTCAACATTAGACAGATCAACGAGACAGAAAGTTAACAAGGATATCCAGGACTTGAACTCAGCTCTCCACCAAGCAGACCTAATAGACATCTACAGAACTCTCCACCCCAAATCAACAGAATATACATTCTTCTCAGCACCACATCACACTTATTCCAAAATTGACCACATAGTTGGAAGTAAAGCACACCTCAGCAAATGTAAAAGAACGGAAATTATAACAAACTGTCCTCAGACCACAGTGCAATCAAATTAGAACTCAGGATTAAGAAACTCACTCAAAATGGCACAACTACATGGAAACTGAACAACCTGCTCCTGAATGACTACTGGGTACATAACGAAATTAAGGCAGAAATAAAGATGTTCTTTGAAACCAAAGAGAACAAAGACACAACATACCAGAATCTCTGGGACACATTTAAAGCACTGTGTAGAGGGAAATTTACAGCACTCAATGCCCACAAGAGAAAGCAGGAAAGACCTAAAATCAACAACCTAACATCACAAGTAAAAGAACTAAAGGAGCAAGAGCAAACACATTCAAAAGTTAGCAGAAGGCAAGAAATAACTAAGATCAGAGCAGAACTGAAGGAGACAGAGACACAAAAAACCCTTCAAAAAAATCAGTGAATCCAGGAGCTGGCTTTTTGATAAGATCAACAAAATTGATAGACCACTAACAAGACTAATAAAGAAGAAAAGAGATAAGAATCAAATAGACACAATAAAAAAATGATAAAGGGGATATCACCACCAATCCCATGGAAATATAAACTACCATCAGAGAATACTATAAACACCTCTACACAAATACACTAGAAAATCTAGAATAAATGGATAAATTCCTCAACACATACACCCTCCCAAGACTAAACCAGGAAGAAGTTGAATCCCTGAATAGACCAATAACAGGCTCTGAAATTGAGGCAATATTTAATAGCCTACCAACCAAAAAAAGTCCAGGACCAGACGGATTCACAGCCGAATTCTCCCAGAGGTACAAAAAGGAGCTGGTACCACTCCTTCTGAAACTATTCCAATCAATAGAAAAAGAGGGAATCCTCCCTAACTCATTTTATGAGGACAGCCTCATCCTGATACCAAAGCCTGGCAGAGACACAACAAAAAAAGAGAATTTTAGACCAATATCCCTGATGAACATCAATGCAAAAATCCTCCACAAAATACTGGCAAACTGAATCCAGCAGTGCATCAAAAAGCTAATCCACCATGATCAAGTAGGCTTCATCCCTGGGATGCAAGGCTGGTTCAACACATGCAAATCAATAATTGTAATCCATCATATAAACAGAACCAAAGACAAAAACCACATGATTATCTCAACAGCTGTAGAAAAGGCCTTCGACAAAATTCAGCAGCCCTTCATGCTAAAAACTCCTAATAAACTAGGTATTGATGGGATGTATCTCAAAATAATAAGAGCTATTTATGATAAATCCACAGCCAATATGATACTGAATGGGCAAAAGCTGGAAGCATTCCCTTTGAAAACTGGCACATGACAGGGATGCCCTCTCTCACCACTCCTATTCAACATAGTGTTGGAAGTTCTGGCCAGGGCAATCAGGCAGGAGAAAGAAATAAAGGGTATTCAATTAGGAAAAGAGGAAGTCAAATTGTCCCTGTTTGCAGATGACATGATTGTATATTTAGAAAACCCCATCGTCTCAGCCCCAAATCTCCTTAACCTAATAAGCAAATACAGCAAAGTCTCAGGATACAAAATCAATGTGCAAAAACCACAAGCATTCCTATACACCAATAACAGACAAACAGAGAGCCAAATCATGAGTGAACTCCCACCATTCACAATTGCTTCAAAGAGAATAAAATACCTCGGAATCCAACTTACAAGGGATGTGACGGAACTCTTCAAGGAGAACTACAAACCACTGCTCAACAAAATAAAAGAGGACACAAACAAATGGAAGAACATTCCATGCTCATAGATAGGAAGAATCAATATCGTGAAAATGGCCATACTGCCCAAGGTAACTTATAGATTCAATGCCATCCCCATCAAGCTACCAATGACTTTCTTCACGGAATTGGAAAAAACTACTTTAAAGTTCATATGGAACCAAAAAAGAGCCTGCATTGCCAAGACAATCCTAAGCAAAAAGAACAAAGCTGGAGGCATCATGCTACCTGACTTCAAACTATACAACAAGGCTACAGTAACCAAAACAGCATGGTACTGGTACCAAAACAGAAATATAGATCAATGGAACAGAACAGAACCCTCAGGAATAATACCACACATCTACAACCATCTGATCTTTGACAAACCTCACAAAAACAAGAAATGGGGAAACGATTCCCTATTTAATAAACGGTGCTGGGAAAACCAGCTAGCCATAAGTAGAAAGCTGAAACTGGGTCCATTCCATTCACCTTATATAAAAATTAATTCAAGATGGATTAAAGACTTAAATGTTAGACCTAAAACCATAAAAACCCTAGAAGAAAACCTAGGCAATACCATTCAGGACATAGGCATGGGCAAGGACTTCATGTCTAAAACACCAAAAGCAATGGCAACAAAGGCCAAAATTGACAAATGGGATCTAATTAAACTAAAGAGCTTCTGCACAGCAAAAGAAACTACTATCAGAGTGAACAGGCAACCTACAGAATGGGAGAAAATTTTTACAATCTACCCATCTGACAAAGGGCTAATATCCAGAATCTACACTGAACTCAAACAAATTTACAAAAAAAAATCAAACAACCCCATCAAAAAGTGGGCAAAGGATATGAACAGACACTTCTCAAAAGAAGACATTTACGCAGCCAACAGACACATAAAAAATGCTCATCATCACTGGCCATCAGAGAAATGCAAATCAAAACCACAATGAGATACCATCTCACACCAGTTAGAATGGTGGTCATTATAAAATCAGGAAACAAAGGTGGTGGAGAGGATGTGGAGAAATAGGAACACTTTTACACTGTTGGTGGGACTGTAAGCTAGTTCAACCATTGTGGAAGACAGTGTGGCGATTCCTTAGGGATCTAGAACTAGAAATACCATTTGACCCAGCCATCCCATTACTGGGTATATACCCAAAGGATTGTAAACCATGCTGCTATAAAGACACATGCAAATGTATGTTTATTGCGGCACTATTCACAATAGCAAAGACTTGGAACCAACCCAAATGTCCAACAATGATAGACTGGATTAAGAAAATGTGGCACATATACACCGTGGAATACTATGCAGCTATAAAAAAGGATGAGTTCATGTCCTTTGTAGGGACATGGATGAAGCTGGAAACCATCATTCTGAGCAAACTATCACAAGGACAGAAAACCAAACACCACATGTTCTCACTCACAGGAGGGAACTGAACAATGAGAACACTTGGACACAAGATGGGGAACATCACACACCAGGGCCTGTCATGGGGTGGGGGGTGGGGGAGGGATAGCATTAGGAGATATACCTAATGTAATGGGTGCAGCACACCAACATGGCACATGTATACATATGTAACAAACCTGCACGTTGTGCACATGTACCCTAGAACTTAAAGTATAAAAAAAAAAATGCTTTGCTGTTCTATGTTGGTACGTAAAGAGCATGGACCAAGAATACTTAGTATTCAGTTCCAGGTTTTCACACAAGAACTCTTTATAACAAGAAAGCATTTTTTGACAAACTTTCAGATTCCACTTTCAACAGGCTAGAGACTGCAGAGAAAAGTAGCCAGAAAATGAGACTCTGATTTCCAATTCTCCTACTATCATCAGCTAATGTTCAAACTTTGTATTAGTGCCTACCACCAGAGATGCTGTTGATCTTGCCAAATAATATTCCCAACATTAACTAGCCCCAATCTTCTTTGCTTCCCTCCCTTCCCCTCCTCGAGTATGTTCCCTGAACACAAATTTTGTTTCTGGTGATATAGGAGTCTGCCATGGTAATCTTCCCCAACATCTAATTCTACTGTTACCATAGAAATTATGCCATTAACCTTTACAACTATGCCGACTACTACTGTCACTACTACTACTAAAGTGGAAGAAAAGTAGAAGGGAAAAAAGAGCAGGAAGAGAAGGGGGAAGAGGATAAAAATTTTTCAGCATTTATCATGTTCCTGATCACACAATTTGGAAGTACCAGGGCAAGATTTAAACAGGAAGGCTAATGACAAATCCCACATACTTATCCCCAACTCTTATCCCCCATACTTATCCCCTCCCTAGAAGCAACTGATAATCTCTGAGAAAGCCCAAATCAAACAGTTTGACAATGCCCAAATCAAAATGTGAAGGAGCCAGACCTCAATCCCTGGCCCTCTAACTCCAGAACCCCCACCTACTTAGCCACTACCAATCCTAGCTTCTTGCATCTTGTCTCCAAGTAATTGAATGTTTAAGCAGTCAATAAAATAATGTGACCAGCTCTCTCACTTTGTTAACAAAATCAGAAACAAAGAATTCAGTCATTAATAGTAATCGCATAAGTAGGATGCTTACCAACTCCTCTGAAGTTCTTTTCCTCCAAAAGTTTGGTTTAGAGAGTTCATTAATCCTCCCATCCCAAGAACTGGGTCAGCCAAGCTGTACTTCATCCTGGAAGAATTAGATCAGTGGATCCCTGTCAACATTAGTAAGTCAATAGCTATCGAAGCTTAAACAGACAAATGTCTGAATTTTCTTTTATCCTCAAAAAATTGTAGACTATACAGCACAATTGCTGAAAATTCTCAATTGAAATGTAGCAAGTAGGAAAATGAAATGCAGAGCCTCTGATTTGATAACCCTCCCTCCAGATTTATCAAGATTGCTTGTAACAGCATGGATTTTAGAGGATAAGTTACCTCACTCTCAAAGCCTAAAAGCCTCTTTTGTCAGAAATCTTGACAATTTAACTTTGGTGGAAGTACAGGTGGGCAGGCACAGGCATGTTGGCTAATGCCAGAATTCTGAATATCCTGGTATCTAAAACAAGAATTCATTATTTCTGATCTTGATCCAGCTTTGTGGTAAGACATACCTAGAATTTCTTATCATGTGCATTCTCCAAGGTTTTAAGTCCATAGTTGCTTGATACCTACATGATTAATGAACCCTTTGGAAGCTCAGAAATCACAGTAGGTAAGGCCGGAAATAGAAAGATTCCACAGAATCACCATTCCTACCCTATTAGAACTAGGAAGATTACTTCCCTATGATCTCTACACCTCTCACCCTATTACTTTAAAATTATAACTTAATACTCTTAAATGGCAAGAAGTTAGGGAATGTCAAAGCAAATAGATTCTCAAATCCCTTCAGAAGACAAGTGTATGGATGTAAATGTGGGAAAAGGTAGGAATAAAAATTTAGGAAGTAGTGCTGCTTGTGGTGAGCTAGAGAGTACATTATTGGCCTAAAAAGCCATTCAAGTTTAAAGTTTTAGAAAAGCTGTGCCAGCCAAATACATACAAGACCACTAGTTTGTAATAGCTGATCATATTTCTAGAATCTAACTCTTGGCCAGGCATGGTGGCTCACACCTGTAATCACAGCACTTTGGGAGGCCGAGGCAGGTGGGTCACTTGAGGTCAGGAGTTCGACACCAGCCTGGCCAACATGGTGAAACCCCATCTCTACTAAAACTACAAAAATCAGCTGGGCGTAGTGGCACACGCCTGTAGTCCCAGCTATTCAGGAGGCTGAGGGACAAGAATTGCTTGAACCTGGAAGACAGAGGTTGCAGTGAGCTGAGATTGCACCACTGCACTCCAGCCTGGGTGACAGAGCAAGATTCCATCAAAGAAAAAAAGAAAAAAAAAGAATCCAGCTCTGTTAATCATTTATTAATTTAAATTTTCTTCATTATCAGTTAACAGTTTAGATATAGATCTTATAGTTGGAAATTATCATTTCCCCTTCCTTGTGTTGTGTAACCCTGCATATAATTGTTCAAACAGTTGGATCAAGCAGTGGAGATGCTGAAAGAAAGGGTAGAACCTCATTCCCTCACTGCCTTCTGGAGAAATTATCTGTAAACTGTACAGACTAAAATGTACTCTGACTGTCCCATAAAACCACAGGTCTTGAACATGGTGGCTGGATTTAACAAGGACTGCTGGGAAGCCAAGAGTAATTATATTCAGTACTTGGAGCAAGCTACACATAAATGCTTCATGTTTCAGTCCAATCATAAAAAATTTATTTCTGTAAAAATGTGGACTACTACAGGTTTTGGTAGGAGGCCCTGCACAATAAATGTAAATTAGATCCAGTACTGCAGGCCTTTGAACAAAGTAGAGGTAAGATATGTTTCCACAGGTAATAATATGGTGTCCCTTGGTTTTATAACCCTAAGATATTTACCCTATAGTTTTTAGTCCCAGAATCAGTAGTGAAATTTAGGTACCTAGCTAATTTATTGTGTACTGGAGCTCATGAGAGTTAAAAGTTTAATAATATTGCCTTTGGCTATGACTATCACTAGGCTATTATTCAAAATCAGTATGACATCTTTATCAATAAAAAAATTGTTCTTGAAATAAAGTGCATCTTTGGCAAGACTTTAAGAAAATCTGGCTACAGTATTAGGATACTACTGGCATACATTTTTCTGTAGGTTTATTGGTAATTTATATATATTTTTAAAATGTCTATTCATATATTTGCAAGAGCCTGTTTTTAATCAATTAATTTTAGAGCTGTAATAGAAATGCTGCTCATGGCTTTAGAAAAAAAAAATTCAAGCCATACAGAAAGTAATAAAAAATAAAGTCTCCTTTCCTTCCCCTAACCACTTCTCCACTTTGGAGATCTCTTTCCAGAAATTTCCCATGCAGATACAAGCTTAGACATGTGCATAATAAATTTTAAACAAATTTATATATATGAGCCCTAAAATTTGTTCTTTATCATTTATCACTGTGTTTTGAGAAATTTTTTTCCAAATGGGCACCCCATAATTTACTTTAACAGCATTTTGTGAATGAAAATTTAGCCTTTTTTTTGTTTTTTGTTTTTGCTATTACAATCTATAGCACATATGATTTACTTTAGTACCGAGTCTCCATAAGGTGAAATCTCACAGACTTAAGTGTATCAATATTCTATTACCTGTGCATAATCAAATTATTCTAACAGTTATGCTACAGCTCTCATAACTCCTGATGGCGGGTATGCCCAAGTTATATTATAACAAAGGAAATATAAACATGACCATGAAAACAATATCGCAGTAGATGACTGTACTTGTTAAATGTATTCTGCGAACATATTCCTCCATGCAATTGGAATAGGGTTTAGCATACCTTGATTATTTTAAGGTGCAAGAAGAGTACTGTATACGGATTTTGCCAGTATGACAAGCATACTTAAACCCCAATGACGAAAACTTCTGGCTATTTTTAGACAAAAGAATTCAGAATCCTTTGTTAGCAGGGTCAAAGACAATTGCTTCAGCAATTAAAAGTTACTTGACATTTGACAGCCTTTTAAACAAAAGAACACTAATCTTCATTGGAATCATGATTTGATATATAATGGACAATGTTATTGTCTCTACAATCACGTGAAAATTGATTTTTAAATGTTTTCTGCATCAAAAATACTGCTGACCAAAAATTTCACCAAGATATAATAATATTTCAAATATTTTTATTTCTGTTTAAGCCAGTCAATATTCTAAGCATCAATAAAATAGCTCTTGCTCTTCAGCAGTTTTTATGTGACTAGATTATAATTTACTATTTTCATCGGGTAATTAATTTTATATAACTCTCCAGCTAGATGCGAGATTTCATGAACTGAAAAGAATTTATTGACATTTTTAATCCGACCCAATTATTTCAAATGAAAATGTCATAGTGAAAATATGCAGAAAGTTCAAAGGAAATTTTCAACAAACCTATTAGGATTGAATTTTTACTAGCGTAATTACTAATGTAAGTAAAGTTATCAGAAAAAAATTGAAAAACATTTCAAACTATCTGCAAATCTGAGGCAACTCTTTATTTTTTAAATATTAAGAAATAAATGCAAGCTTTTCTGAAGTATGTTTTTCATTATTTTTTAACATTTCCTGTCACTGTGTGTGTGTGTGCACACGTGCACATGAGCATACATATGGTAGAGTGTTTTCTCTTCAAATTAAAAGTTATAAAAAATTATTTCAGGAACAAAATGAACAAATTCAAATGAGGCACTACAACTCAACAATACTCAAATGGCTAAAATAAAATAGGAACTGCAGAGAAAAGAATAATTTTGCTAATATCTAATCATGATAAAAGTGATTCTAAGCTTGCCTGACTTCATTTATAAGTTTAGTTATATCAACATTTTTCTAATATAGCACTGTTGGAATGACAATAAATCCTCAACTATTTTAAGAGGAAGTCAGTAGATAATGTCTAAAATTGCTAGACCAAAAAATAACAATGTAAGTGTATCTTTTTAGAAATATGAAGGTTAATGTCAGATAAAACCCCTCTAAGACTTGAAATGCTTCCTTCTGAAGTGGAGAACTAGACTGGGTCAGATACCCTTTTAGCTTAACTTAATTTTTAAACTATGTGCATGTATCACTTGGATAAAGAAAAAGTAATTTCAAAATAATAAAACAAAGTATTGTGCAATTGATATTATTAAGATAACACTTTTGACTATACATATACTGCATATATTTCCATTACCAAACTTTAAGATATATTTACATAAGCATATTAATACTACATATAAATATGTAATTTTATGCTACAAAAACACTTTATATAGTTATGATTTTTATTTCAAAATTAGTCATTTAAAAAGTTAATCTTACTGCTTCATAGTTACACTTCTCTGAGCCTCAGTTTCCTTGTCTTTGTGAGTAATGTCTCCGTAATAGAATCATGGGAAAAATTAGAGGTATTTATAAGTACCGCACGCTAACCGATTGAGCCACTGGAGCCACACAATTAGAGGTATTTATAAGAGAAGCTTTTCTAATTAAAATTTAAAATGCTACGCAAGTATAGATGTTTATTCGCCTTTATAACTATGGTACCCCAAAATATGAGGATCATACAGAGCCAGCAAATTTAAGGACTTTAAAAATGAGAACTAAAAGAAAAAAACACACAAATTAAGGGTTAGAATTCTTGTTTTGTCTGAAAAACAAAGATAATAAAATAACAGTTTAAGGTGCATACACAGATGAAGAATCCGTATGCATAATGTGTTATGAATTTTTTTTTGCATAATGTATCAAAGTTTTAAGTGTCAACTGTATGCCTCCCCTTTCCTCCAACTTCCCTGTATTTAATCCTTCTGCATTAATTCAGAGACACACTACCATGAGAATGGTTTAGGATTCAAAACTTTCAGGAATCAGGTTTTTACCTCCAAAAATCAAATAGGCTTGAAAGGCAAGGTTTTTAGTTGTAATAGGTGGGCTCATAGAGTAAAGAAGAGTGGTTTATGAGCTTCAAAAGACTAATAGCCTGGCAGTCTCAGCATATAAAGTTCACACCATAAACTACACAGTGTGAAATAAGGAATGCGGATATAGAAACAGTTTTTCCCCCAACACACGAAAAGATTTTTTTTAAACAACACTGAACTAGAAAGAAAGGAATCTGCAAAGAGAGAGAGAAGTAGAGAATCTGGACTCGGATATGAAGCCCCAGGAATGTGGGTGAGAGGAAAATAGAAACCTCTAACAAGCTTGGGGAATTATAAAGCAAAAGAACCAGTATCTTAATTCCCAGAGTATAGCCAGAGGAGACTGCAAAACTTTTAGAGAAGTCACACAAGCAGCCTAGGATAGAGTGGAACACCAAGCGAGAGGGTCAAATGATCTGAGGACACCTCACAGGCCAGATCTGGTGTGAGAGAGTAATTCATACACCTAGAAATGGGTGGCACAAGAGGCCTGGGGAGAATCAGTGAGCCTGACTGAATCACATGGTTTTGATGAGGAGATACTGTCAGGGAATGTGATGAAGGCCATACAAACTAGAGATTATGGCAGACGCTGGACAGCAGATGTAGGGGGATGGAGAAAACTATCTGTGCAGGAAAAAGAGCAGGTGACTGCAAAGCACCTAAAGACCAATGTCAGCATGACATATGAGAGCACCCCCTATCTCACCCATTCTGCCGGGGCTGAACTTTATTTCCTCCTGGGACAAGGAAAAAAAAGGCGGGGAAAGAAGAACCTTAATTGATAAAGTATTTACTTTTAAAAAAAGATGAGACAAAATTCACTAATACCTACATCGACCTCTAAGTAACTAGATTACATTCTCCAACAATGGCAGAAATGGAGTCACAAGACCTAAGTGCAATTATAAAGAAAGAAACTGTCATATTTGCACAGCCAACTTTATAACTTTGAAATTTGTACCCACTACAATAGCATGATGATCTGACTCTTCATCTCCACTGAAACAGAAAAAGAAGAGAAAAACTTACGCTGATTTTCCAATTATTTGATATTTTCAGTTATCTATACTCCTCTTTTTCCCCAACTTTTATGTTAAGTTCAAGGCTAAATGTGCAGGATGTGAAAGTTTGTTACATAGGTTAATGTGTCCCATGGTTGTTGGCTACACAGAGTATCCCGTCACCTAGGTATTAAGCCCAGCATCCATTAGCTATTCTTCCTGATGCTCTCCCTCCTCACACCCTCCCACCCTCCTACAGGCCCCAGTGTGTGCTGTTTCCCCCAAGGGTCCATGTGTTCTCATCATTTAGCTCTTAAGTGAGAACATCCAGTATTTGGTTTTCAGTTTCTGCATTATTTTGCTGAGGATAACGGCTTCCAGCTCTATTTATGTTCCTATAAAGGACGTGATCTCACTCCTTTTTATGGCTGAATAGTATTCCATAGTGTATATGTATCATATTTTCTTTATCCAGTCTATCATTGATGGACATTTAAGTCAGTTCCATGTCTTTGTTATTGTGAATAGTGCTGGAATGAACATATGTGTGCATATATCTTTATACTGGAATAATTTATATTCTTTTGGGTATATACCCAATAATGGGATTGCTGGGTCAAGTGGTATTTCTGCCTCTGGGCCTTTCAGGAATCACCACACTGTCTTCCACAAGGGTTGAACTAATTTACACTCCCACCAACAGTGTAAAAGCATTCCTTTTTCTCCACAACATTGCCAGCATCTGTTGTTTGTTGACTTTTTAATAATAGCCATTCTGACTGGTGTGAGATGGTATCTCATTGTGGTTTTGATTTGCATTTCTCTAATGATCAGTGATGTTGAGCATTTTTTCATATGTTTCTTGGCTACATATATGTCTTCTTTTGATAAATGTCTGTTCATGTCCTTTGCCTACTTTTTAATGGGGTTGGTTTTTTTTTCTTGCAAACTTGTTTAAGTTCCTTGTAGATGTTGGATATTAGACCTTTGTCAGATAGATAGATTGCAAAACTTTCCTCCAATTCTGTAGGTTGTCTGTTCACTCTGATGATTGTTTCTTTTGCTTTACAGAAGCTCTTTAGTTTAATTAGATCCCACTTGTCAATTTTTGCTTTTGTTCCAGCTGCTTTTTGTATCTTTGTCATTAAATCTTTGTCCATGCCTATGTCCTGAATGGTATTGCCCAGATTTTCTTCTAGAGTTTTTATGGTTTTTGGTTTTGCATTTTTTACATTAAGTCTTTAATCCATCTTGAGTTGATTTTTGTATATGATGTAAGGAAGATGTCCAGTCTCAATTTTGTGCATATGGCTAGCCAGTTGTCCCAGCACCATTTATTAAATAGGGAATCCTTTCCCCATTGCTCGTTTTTGTCAGGTTTGTTGAAGATCAGAAGGTTATAGGTGTGAAGTCTTATTTCTGAGTTCTATATTCTGTTCCATTGGTCTGTGTGTCTGTTCTTCTACCAGTACCATGCTGTTTTGGTTGCTATAGCCTTGTACTATAGTTTGAAGTCAGGTAGCATGATGCCTCCAGATTTGTCCTTTTTGCTTAGGATTGTCTTGGCTATTTGGGGCTCTTTTTTGGTTCCATTGAATTTTAAAATAGTTTTTTTCTAATTCTGTGAAGAATGCCAATGGTAGTTTAATGGGAATAGCATTGAATCTATAAATTACTTTGAGCAGTGTGGCCATTTTCATGATATTGATTCTTCCTATCCATGAGCACGGAGTGTTTTTCCATTTGTATCTTCTCTGATTTCTTTGAACAGTGTCTTGCTGTTCTCCTTGAGGAGGTCCTTCACTTCCCTGTTAGCTGTATTCTTAGGTATTTTATTCTTTTTACACCAATTGTGAATGAGAGCTTATTTATTATTTGATTCTGCTGCTTGCCTCTTGGTGTATAGAGGAATGCTAGTGATTTTTTCACATGGATTTTATATCTTGAGACTTTGCTGAAGTTGCTTATCAGCTTAAGAAGCTTTTGGCTGAGACTAAGGGGTTTTCTAGATATAGGATCATGTCATCTGCAAATAAAGATAATTTGACTTCCTCTCTTCCTATTTGAATACAATTTATTTCTTTCTCTTGCCCAATTTCCCTGACCAGAACTTCCAACAGTATGTTAAATAGGAGTGGTGAGAGAGGGCATCCTTGTCTGTGCCCGTTTTCAAGGGGAATGCTTCCAGCTATTACCCATTCAGTATGTTATTGGCTGTGGGTTTGTCATATATGGCTCTTGTTATTTTGAGGTATGTTCCTTTAAAACCTCGTTTATTGAGAGTTTTTCACATGAAGGGATGTTGAATTTTATTGAAGGTCTTTTCTGCATGAATTGAGATAATCACATGGTTTTGTCTTTGGTTCTGTTTATGTGATGAATCATACTTATTTGCATATGTTAAGCCAACCTTGCATCCCAGGATGAAGCGAACTTGTTTGTGGTGGATACACATTTTTGATGTGCTGCTGAATTTGGTTTGCCAGTATTTTACTGAGGATTTTTGCATCAGTGTTCATCAAGGATATTGGCATGAAGTTTTCTTGCTTTCTTATATCTCTTCCAGGTTTTGGTATCAGAATGATGCCGGCCTCACAGAATGAGTTAGGGAGGAGTCCCTCCTTTTTAATTTTTTGGAATAGTTTCAGTAGAAATGGTACCAGCTCTTCTTAGTACCTCTGATAGAATTCAGCTGTGACTCCATCTGGTCCTGGGCTTTTTTTGGTTGGTAGGCTATTTATTACTGCCTCAATTTTAGAACTCATTATTGGTCTATTCAGGGATTCCATTTCTTCCTGGTTCAGTCTTGGGAGGGTGTATGTGTCCAGGTATTTATCCATTTCTTCTCAATTTTCTAGTTTATGTACATAGAGGTGTTTATGGTATTCTCTGATGGTTGTTTGTATTTCTCTGGGGTCAGTGGTGATATCCCTCTTATCATTTCTGATTGTGTTTATTTGATTATTCTCTCTTTTCTTCTCTATTAGTCTAGCTAGCAGTCTACCTATTTTATTTATTTATTTATTTATTTTTCCAGAAAACCAGCTCCTGGATTTGTTGATTTTTTTAGAAGGATTTTTTATGTCCCTATCTCCTTCAGTTCAGCTCCAATCTTGGTTATTTCTTGTCTTCTGCTAGCTTTGGGGTTTATTCTTGGTTCTCTAATTCTTTTAGTTGAGATGTTAGATTGTTAACTTGAGATCTTTCTAGCTTTTTGATATGGGCATTTAGTGCTATAAATTTCCCTCTTAACACTGCTTTAGATGCATCCAAGAGATTCTGGCACATTATCCCTTTGTTCTCATTAGTTTCAAAGAATTTCTTGATACCTTCCTTAATTTCATTGTTTTTTCAAGAGTCATTGGGGAGCAGGTTATTCAATTTCCATGTAGTTGTGTGGTTTTTAGAGAAGTTCTTAGTCTTGAGTTTTAATTTGATTGTGCTGAGGTCTGAAAGACTGTTTGTTACCATTTTAGTTCTTCTGTACTTGCTGAGGAGTGTTTTACTCCTAATTATGTGATCAATTTTACAGTAAGTGCCATGTGGCCATGAGAAGAATGTATATTCTGTTGAATTTGGGTGGAGAGTTCTGTAGATGTCTATCAGGTCCACTTGATCCAGAGCTGAGTTCAAGTCCTGAATATCCTTGTTAATTTTATGTCTTGATGATCTGTCTAATATTGTCAGTGGAGTGTTAAAGTCTCCCACTATTATGGTGTGGGAGTCTAAGTCTCATTGTATGTCTCTAAGCACTTCTTTTATAAATCAGGGTGTTCCTGTATTGAGTGCATATATATTTAGTGTAGATAGCTCTTCTTGTTGAATTGAACCCTTTGCCATTATGTAATGCCCCTCTTTTTCTTATCTTTGTTGATTTAAAGTCTGTTTTGTCAGTATAACCCCTGCTTTTCTCTATTTTTCCATTTGCTTGGTAAATTTCCTCCATCCCTTTATTTTGAGCCTATGTGTGTCTATGCATGTGAGATGGGTCTCTTGAAGACAGCATACTGATGGGTCTTGGTTCTTTATCCAGCTTGGCATTCTGTGTCTTTTAATTGGCTCATTTACATTTAAGGGTAGTATCGTTATGTGTAGATTTGATCCTGTCATCATGATGCTAGCTGATTATTTTGCAAACTTGTTTATGTGATTGCTCCATAGTGTCACTGGTCCTTGTACTTCAGTATGTTTTTGTAGTGGATGGTAACCATTTTTACTTTCCATATTTAGTGCTTCCCTCAGGAGCTCTTGCAAGGCAGATCCTGTGGTAATATGCTCCTCTATTCTCATATAAAAACTTGTGAATTGACCATATTAGAAATTTCTTTGCTACTTTATTCCATGAAGAATGTTCACACAGAGTCATAATACATCCCAGATGGTTTTAGGTAGTATTTTTCTAAGGGCATGGAATACACATGACTGGAAATTGGAAAAACAATTTTAGGTCATACCTAAGTGTACACTTTTTATCTTAATGTGTATTGAAAAACTATTGCTTGAACAACAAAATGTTATTGCACAAACATTCTTGCTTAAGACAAGGCTAAAGTAAGTATTGAATTTCAATGATTTAACTCAACCTAAAGAAGAGTAGTAAGTAAATATTAAAGTATATGAATATAGCAAAAATAGAGAAAGTTTTATACAGAAGACTGAAGTTTGTAAAGCATTGTACTAAGGTGATGGATTAATTATACTTTTACTTTTATAATTTTAATTATAAAAGTAAAATTATAATTTTACTTTTATTTATTTTATTTATTTATTGAGATGGAGTCTACTTTGTTGCCCAAGCTGGACTGCAGTAGTGTGATCTTGGCTCACTGCAACCTCTGCCTCCCAGGTTCAAGCAATTCTCATATCTCAGCCTCCCAAGTAGCTGGGGCTACAGGCACACACCAACACACACAGCTAATTTTTGTATTTTTAGTAGAGTTGGGATTTCACCATGTTGGTGAGGCTGGTCTCAAACTTCTGACCTCAAGTGATCACCCACCTCAGCCTCCAAAAGTGCTGGGATTATAGGCGTGAGCCACTGCACCCGGTTGATTACACAATTTTAAAAAGGAATGTGGCTATAACATCTTGTGCTGCTCAATATTTCCAGTCTTCAGTTTATTCATCTATAAATCAAGGAGACTGAATTAGATAAATCCTTAAGCTCCTTATCCTGGAATTCTATTATTTGAATAACAGTCTTTATAGCATTTTTATAGGTATCAATCTTATTTCAGCATTATCACATTCAACAAGTATCGAATGAGCATCTTCTATATGCCAAACAATGTTATGAGTCCTTAGGATACATCAGTGAACGAAACACATGAAGATGCTTGCCTTTATGGAGCTTACATTTTGACTCACATCCTGTGAGGTACGTTATTATTTCCATTTTACATGGGAAGAATTTTAAGGTCGGGTATGTAGGCAATTGCCCTAGATAAGTTAGTAGGAAGCAGAGTTAGGATTCAGACTTAGGGCTTCTGATTCACAGATTGTGCTCTTTCCATATTACATACATTGTGAAGGATATGATTCAACAGGGAAACAACTTGGAGAAAAATAGAACCTGCTGCTAACCTAGATGCCTATTAGATAATATTATCATATGCTCTTACTTGGGGTCTTTGATGATGCTGATCATTTTTTAAAATAAATGAAAACCCCAATGGCTCTAAATAAGGAATAGGTCTTATGAAACAGATGGCCTAGCAGATGGTAGATTGCTCCTTTTCTTCTTGGCACCTCCTGTTGAGAGAATGTGATATGCACGATGGTTAGGTATGTTTGACTTCTTGGGTCTTAACTAGCAGATATTTCTGGAACTGATGCTGCTTCCTTATTCTGAGCTCAACAAATTCTTAAGTACAATCTGTAGCATTTTCTTTTCTGTCACTCTTCTCATATTATGTCCAGTTATATCAACTTTAATTAAAATATTTTACATTAAAAAATGACCTAAAATATGTCAGATGTTTTAGGATAACTAACTCAAAGTAGTTATTGGAAGCCCCCAATTTCCACCAATAAGATGGATAACAATCATAACCTTTGGGCAG
Source organism: Homo sapiens (assembly GCF_000001405.40). Lineage (NCBI taxonomy): Eukaryota > Metazoa > Chordata > Mammalia > Primates > Hominidae > Homo > Homo sapiens. The sequence goes on from NC_000003.12 coordinate 180,503,731, forward strand.
GTCAAAATTACATTAAATACATCTTCCAAGGAACAGAATCGATTAAGTAACAACAATATGCAGACCACCGGGATAGGTGCTATGGGAGATGTGAGGATAGTAAGACGTGACTGTGGTCTTTAAGGATTTTACAGTATAGGAAAGGCTTAAGTGAGTGCACAAAAACTGATAATGTAGGGCAGATTGTGGTAATTATCATAAAGGTAGCTCAAAGAAAGAGTTCGGATGTTCAGAGAAAGGATAACCCCCTACTTCTGGCTGGATTGGGAGGGGCTGAGGCATGACAGAATTAGGCTGAAAGTGCTTGTTACTTTGCATGATGATGAGGATTCTTACAACTAGAAATAATAAGGACTTTCCAGATATTATGTGTTTAAGTGTAGAGGTCTGCTTGGAACATGCCTCCTGATTTCCCCCTAAATCCTCACATCTCCAGTGACACATGGCAGTTATCAACTTTTATCCAATTTACAGGGAAGTTATCAAGTTTGGTGGGTTGTTTTTCTGCTTGTTTGTTTGCTTGTTTTGAGACAGGGCTTCACTCTTTCACCCAGGCTGGAGTGCAGTGGCATGATCATGGCTCACTGAGGCCTTGACCTCCCAAGCTCAAGCGATCCTCCCACCTCAGCCTCCCTAGTAGCTAGGACTACAGGCACATGCCACCATGCCTGGCTAATTTTTTTATTATTTGTTGCAGAGACGTGGTTTCACGATGTTGGCCAGGCTGGTCCTGAACTCCTGGGCTGAAGCAGTATGCCTGCCTTGACCTCCCAAAGTGCTGGGATTACAGGCATGAGGTACCATGCCTGGCCAGCAGTTATCAACTTTGACTCGAACATATGTTATATGAAGGAAATCGATTGTGATGGCCTTGCAAATCAAGGCAAGCTATCTGAGCTTAGATCAGATTGCAATAGGGAATTACTGAATAATTTTGTGTAAGAAGATGGCATAATCCATGCCATATTTTAGCATGATTAGTTTCTTAGGAGTTGGGTTAGTTTCCCCGAGACAGAAACAGAAGACAGTGAGACCAATTAGGAGGCCCTTGACATAGTCGAGAGAAGAGATAATGAGGATCTGAAATAGATCTGGCACTTGTTAGAGGAAGAAGGCAATGAATAGGAGAGATGTCAAGGAGGCCTTAATGATTATTTTCCCAGTAAGAGGTGAAAAGTCGATACCTTTTGTAATAACTGCAAACTGAGAGTTGATCAAGGCTGAAAGAGATGTTAAGTAACAAATCACTAAATTCTTAGGAGCTCTAGGGTTGACTGACTTTCTTCTTCCTAACTTCATAAATTGCTAGAAAAATTTCAAATATATATAGATACAAATATATATGAATATATATATACACCCAGTTTTAGTGCCTGTTACACACTTAATTATTAGTTAAGCACAACCTAAAAGGTGAAAATCTGAAGTAAAATTCAAGATCAAATTTCTTCAAAATATTTCATGTTATATAATATAGGGTACCCTCTGATTCTTCACTGTGATTATATATGAGCATGCAATGTCATAAAAAGCAAGTGTCATTAAATACTAATAGATTTTCCTTTAACCAATAATCTATTCAATAGAATTAATACAAATATATTGAAAATAAACTGAATTTCTTATAGTATGTGTCACCCAAGGGCCTTTATAAAAGCAAATCTCTTAGAACTAAATCTCTAAGTAAAAGAAAATATTTAAATAAATAGTGCCCACAGAATGATATGAATGGAATTCAACATGGGAAAGAATCCTTTTTTTGAGTTCTGACACAGCGCCATGGAACGAACCTGGGTCAAGTTCCCCTAGAAAAAATAGAAAGGTGAGTAGTCGTGGCTGTGACTTAGAGTATGTGAAAGGATTAGATTAGGCCCATTTGCTACTAAATCATGCTGCAGTCCATACCCCAAACTTTAGACACTCACAGAGAAGGGGCCGTTTTTGTAACCCTAAATGTCAACCACCAGAAATGTTACATCATATCCTAGGTTCTAACCAAATATAATTATTCACTCTCCTTGGGACATATGACCTGAATTCCCCATAAATCCTTCTCACATCTCCAGTGACGTAAGTAATCTTTCCTACCTCTAAGTCTTCATGGGACTATATCTGAACTACACTTTTAGATTTACCATTTTCTACCTTTTTAATATTATTTTAGATATGGGTCTCCCCTATAAAACTGTAAGTTCCCTGAGGGCAGAGTCAAAGTCTTGTTTTCACAGCCTCGTGGTTCTAGCACCAGGCTCTTTCCACAGAAATTACACATGAAGGGCTAATGAAGAAATGTACAAGCCCTCACTTTGCAAATCACACTTCATTAATCACTAAAAAGAAAATGAGAAAAAAATCACCAGGAGAATCCTAAAAACTTATCGACCTTGTTATGTGAAATTGGATGAAATCTTCTGGGTCTCAGTGTCAATTACCAGTCACCCAGACCTATCTCAGGCTGGATTCGTTCTCCTGAAGTACTCCTGAAGGACTGTGGTTTTTTCCATGTTATTCCTCCCTTCCTCTTCCTCATTTTTTTCCTAAGTCCTCATTATAATTTTTTAAACCAATAATACAACATAATCCAAGTATTTTTTTTGTTTGTTTTTACAAATTGAACTTTTCTTTTTTGATGATTTTGGGGTTTTTTTCTTTATTTATTAGCTTGTCTTTCCTTGCCTTTATCACAATAATATTTCACTTTACAAAGATCACTGACCTCATGGGAAGCAATCACTCTATTTTGAACTATAAGTGGAAAATAATATTACTAAATTGCATTATGGAGCTTCCTCTCAAATTACTGTTTCTTGGGAACTGAACATACACTGAGACTCTGTCTCTTCACCGGAACTGTTTTGATCCCAGCAAAGTGCTATAGGCCTCCATCCCACCCATTTTAAATTTGTTTGTGTAATACTTTCTACTTAGTGTCTTTGGCCCAGTATAATTGCTCTGACATTGGCAGACTGTGTGGGTGATCAATGGGCTGCTACCATTTAGTTTCCTATAGACTTTGATCCAAAGGACTTTAATTTGCTTTCCAGTTCCTCTCTGACTGTACATTTGTCCACACTGGGGATTAATAACAAAGGGAAGCATCCTAAACCCTCTTTATACGATGAATTTACTGTGCATATAACATGTTAAAACAATAAACTGAAAATAAGAAATTCAAAAAAAAATTAAGTCTGGCTAAGGTCAAGGGGTCACCCAATCCAGCATCTGTTTTTCCTCAAAGCATATTTCACCACTAAGAAAATATTCAAGATATAGGAAATATCTTTCGAAGCTTGAATTACTTGTCTTTTCCATTTTTCAACTCAACTAGTAGCTGAAACACTATCCAGTTCCATTGGACGATTAGCTGATGGTTCAAATTATCTTTAGTATTCATACATGACCTTGTAATTTCTATTAGATCTTTCTCTACATCACTTAAATGTTTCAATTATGTATTAATTCCTTCTCAAAACTTTCCCATGAAAGGCTTCAAGTTAGGCATGGTTCTCATTTAAACTTGAAGAAATTAAGAAACAAAGCACTAGATAACTCAAAAATCTTTCTACCATAGGTAAGAAACAACAGTGCTGAAACTTGAGACAACGGCTGTTCTCGGTTGCTGATCTACCTTTTTTTTTTTTCACTTGATACTTTAAGATCGTTTCACCTTTTTTTGTGTCTTAGATTTTTTTACTACGCCAAACAGTACAGTAGTACATAACATGTATAGTTATCAAGAATATTGCCTCTGGAACTAGAACACCTAGATTCAAATCCTGGCCCCACTATTTAATGGCTTTAAGAGTTTAGGCAACTTATTAATTTCTCCACAGTTTATCCTCGGTGAACCATATTCCCTGGGGGTTTTCATACAGCAACACAAACAATTTCAACTGGAATGTTAGTCTTATGTATTATTGAATAGGTATTATTGACCACCCCAAAGCTGGAATTTCCCACTTTCTTCAGAGGCTGCAAGCTTCCTGCCATGTAGTTCGGAAGCCTCTCCTTCCAAACACACAAACCTTTATCCATGTCCTTCCTTTTCCTCTTATTTTTGCTCACCCACACCTAGAAATATGTATTCATTTCTTACACAGAATGGTTTCCCTTGAGGCATCACCTTCCACCTAGCAAAGCAGTTTATCACGTATTTTTTTAAGCAAGACCATACTCTTCATAGTAGGAACTCTGATGTCAGTCAGTAAAATATTATTTTTTCTGTTACATTTATATAATGAGTTTCACCAAAAAAATTGGATTCAGTTATATACTTAATTTAATCTGTTTCACAAATATTTATCAAGTTCTTGGTAGAAGTTTTCAGGAAATTCAGACAACTCAATCATGGGTACTGCCCTGGAGAAATCTGGCTCTTTTTAGCCAGTACAAACAAATGGTCAAAAGGGTAAATGGTGTATAAGAAAGATAAAATGTTATCAGAGTTTAGACTTACATGAACTCCATATAAATAGGAATAGGAAAATGATGTAAAGAATTGCTAATTTCATGTTCAATTTTGAAATGGCTGATTGTAAATGAAACCACATAAACTATTTAGCAATACAAGGAGTACTAAAGGTCATGTCTCTTTTAAGGACTTTACAAATTGTTTTAACTTGAACTTCATACTCAGAGTAATAGCAGATAGCTTATAAAGAACTAAAGTTTTGCCATATATAAATTTCCTGCAATTCCTAGGGCATGTAAAGCATGTAAATAAGGCAAAATAATGATGGCTGTTTAAGCAAAATGTACATACTAAGAAAAAAGGCAAATATACATGCAAAGAAGTTGTTATCGTGTAAAAAATTATTAAATACAAAAATGTATAAGTTTTATATTTGTTAGGTAATTTGGTTTTTCATTATTTTGGCAAAAAGATGATCAAAATGAAATGACTCTGCTAAATTAAGAGGACACCAAGAGGGGAAAAACAACTCTCTTGGTAATCAGCTTTAAGTAGAGAACGATGGCCTGTGATTACACGGCAGAAAAAAAATGGAGCCATGTGAAGCACTACTAAAGCAAATTAGGTCATTAATCCTCTGACTATTGAAATAAACAACATATCTAAGTGAGCTATCTATCAAAAAAAGTGATATCACCAATGGTTCTATGCAGATGTCTAAAGGAAGACTTTTAGATATTGAATTTATTTTTTCCCCATGTTATCAGCTGTTGGCTTTTAGGATGTCCTTTCAGATGCAGAATGCCTCTGAAGGGTTTTAGAGGTAAATTTTTCATTAGGAATAGGCATCTTTTGTGCTATAACAATTCTATCACATGGTTAATTAGAGTAAATACTTTCAACATTCAATACCTGTTTATTAAATGCCCACTCTATAAAGCCCTGTGCTAGGGGTTGGTTGGACTTTAGAGAACCAGATGGTCCTGGCCCTCCTAGAGCTCACTGTTTAGCAAAGAGGGGCCTACTTTCTTACTAAGCAGCTTTGTTTCTTTTTTGAATGACTCTAAATACTATATTAGAATTCTTCTCTTAAACTAAAATCTGCCTCCTTAAAACTTTTATCCACATTATGCCTTCTGGAATCATGCAAAGTAAATTCAATCTGTCCTAAACCTGATCTTACAGGCAAAGAAGCTTTTGAAAGATTACTTCATTAAAGTCACTAAAAAACAAAGCTAATAGGACAAAGCTAAGTACAGGATCCTGCAGCCTACCATTAGTAAATTCATTCATAGTTGACATCATTTTCCACATCCTGAAAAAATTTTATGCAAAAACACATTCATTGTTAAAAAAATGGAAATACATAATAGTAAAAGAAAGGTTAAGGAAGATGGTACATGCACACACAAAAGAGTAACAGTGAGGTGATGGATATGTTCATTTGTTTGACTGTAGTAATCATTTATGTCAAAATATTATGTTGTATACCTTAAATATATAGATATGTAAATATAATAAAAGAAAGATGGTACATTAATTTTATGTAGTATTATGCAGTTATGTCAGAGGCATGTGAACCAGAGCAACTCCATCTTGAATAGGAGCTGGGTAAAATGAGTCTGAAACCTACTGGGCTGCATTCCCAGACAGTTAATGCATTCTAAGTTACAGGATGAGACAGGAGGTCAGCACAAGATACAGGTCATGAACACCTTGCTAATAAAACAATTTGCAGTAAACAAGCCAGCTAAAACCCACCAAAACCAAGAAAGTGATGAGAGTGACCTCTGGTCGTCCTCACTGCTACACTCCCACCAGTGCCATGACAGTTTGCAAATGCCATGGCAATGTCAGGAAGTTACCCTATATGGTCTAAAAAGGGAGGCATGAATACTCCACCCCTTGTTTAGCATATGATCAAAAAATACCCACAAAAATGGGCAACAAGCAGCCCTCAGGGCTGCCCTGTCTATGGAATAACCATTCTTTTATTCCCCTACTTTCTTAATAAACTTGCTTTTGCTTTGCACTGTGGACTCACCCTAAATTCTTTCTTGCATAAGATCCAAGAACCCTCTCTTGGGGTCTGTCTGGATCAGGACCCCTTTCCTATAACAGTTATTTCTATTTAACCAATGTTTACACAAGAGTATGTAAGATATAGGCTTTCACAGAGTAGAATATAAATTGGGGAAAAAAAACTCTGCAGAAACAGACTAGTTCCACTACAAAACCAGTAAAGTAATTTTTAGAGTCATAAAACTAAAAGGACAAAGAATATGCAAAATAAGACAGCAGACAAGGGATGATAAAAATAAAATTTTGAATTTGAAAAATAATCAATTTAACAGAACAACAACAAAAAAATGTGCCCGGGAAAGCCAAAATGTTAGCTGATTTAAAATGTATAATCCCAGAGAGGCTCAGAACCTGGATGTAATAATAAAGGTAGGGGTACCGGTGAGACTGAAAACAGAAGGACTAGTTGGAATCTATCCATATGTATGTATACATACACACATATTTACTTTCATTGTCTTTTATTTTAAAAGATGAAAGGATAAACCAAAACATAAAAATGCCTTCAAAATTCTGAAGGAGAAATAGTCCCTACCTAGACTTCTATTCCTGAAAACTATTAATAAAAGTAAAGGTAAAATGAGGACATTTTCAGATATATAAAGTCTCAAAATTTTACTTCAGTGAATTATTTCTCAAAAAGCTACATAAGGATGTGTCGCACCAAAAGAAGAGAATAAATCTAGAAATGGGAAAACGTGAAATCCAGAAAAAAAGGGGATCCAATACTGGAAAAAAGTAAAGATAATCCCTAGGATACCTATGAAGAAAAGTAAATCCCAAGAAGCCAGCTGAGAAGCAGGTTCAGAGAGAAACTTATCCATTCTGGAGACTGAGGTCAGATGGCTCCAAAGATGTCGTCCAGATACATCACCAAGGAAAAGATGAAACTGAGGGATTGGCTTACATGAATGAATGACAAGCACTTTACTTAATAAAAAGTACATTAAAAACTAAGCAAATAAAAAAAAACTAGGCGAGTAAAAATGTTTTACAAGAAAGGAAATATGATCAGAGTACACTGAAGAGCTGGGCTGGAAATTATATTTATATAATAATCATAATAATATAGACATTAAATATTTAACAAAAATTATTACATAATATCAAAGAAAACAAAGTGAGTGTGGGTATGTTTTCAAGTGGTTGGGGGGATGGGTGGACAAGAGCAAATTCTCATCTTCCATTATAGCAAATCAATAGATCTGAAAAGTCAGGTAATCATAGTAAAAATAAATCTGTTATTATTAATACAAAAGTAAATTTCAAAAGAAACAGCTTAAACAATAAGAGTTACTTCTGGGATCCAAAGGGATAGGGTAAGTGACTGCTAATTTTCATTACAAACGTTGCAGAACTATTTGCCAAAATCTTTTTGAAATGATATTTGTATTTTTTTATCTAATCAATATTACATTTAAAAATGAACTCTAAATACATTACATAGAAGACCCAAAACATAAGGGCAAGAAATACACACAAATGTCAGTAAAAATTATATTTAGATTATTTGTTTTGTTATACTTTTCTGGGTGATTCAAATTGTCTTTAATGAACATATGCAACTAATATGATAAAAATTTAAATAAAAAGAAACTAAGTTTGGCATAACTCGTTCTTTGAACACTTTATGTTTCCTAATATATAAGACATCTTTTTTCTATGGACACAAAGCTACTCTTCAATATATCTTTTCCAGAATTCTTCTAGGAATATTTGTTAAATTCATAATTCTATTCCTAGAAAATATATTTCCCTACCCTCCACGTTTAATACACACACACACCACCTTTTGATAATTGAAACAAGTATTATCTATCTCTGTATACTGTTCATCCTTGTTCTGCACGGTCCTTCAAAGATCACAAATAACTGGCCTGTGACCATAACCACAAGCCCTGTCAGTACCCTGGGATTAAGTTTAATTAAGACTCAGCATCTGAATTTAAAACAGCCCAGCACTCTCTTACCTATCTTTTCGCAGTAATCTAGAGTTGACTGTGTTTTCCATGCTGAGGACCCACCTTTTGATTAGGAGAGGTAACAATACTCATGTTAAATATTTAAATTCACACAAGATTTGAATTTTCCCTTCAAATTTAATTTAGATTATTAGATGAAGTCTGTTTATGAAGAAAGTTTCATTTTTAAAAAGTTTATCTAAGACCTTAAAATATCAAATATAGCTTTATACTGTCTTTCACATTCACCCCCTTATCTCTCCTCCTGCCACTGCCTGAGCTCAGATTCTCATCGTGCTCCTCTGGATCACTAAAATGGCCTTTAAACTGGTCTCCTGGGTGCCAGGATTTCCCTTTCCAGACAATTATCTGGAATTGAAACCCTACTCCAAATAGCTTTGTGTTTTCCTGCCGTTAGAGTCTTCCTTATGATGCTCAAATGGCTCTGATGCTTGAAAACCTCTTCCTCACTCCCAAAACTGTTAGTCAAAGTACTGGATCATTTTTCATGGCCCAACTCCAATTCCAATTCTATGAACCATATCCAACTATTACCACTTAACATTATTCTCACTCTATAGCTATCGTCCCTCTGAAATATTTTGCGTACCTCTATTATTGTTCTTATATCAAACTGTTTCAAATTAAATATATTTTTGCGTTTGACTAGTATAGTGCTTTACTATCAGTAGGAGTATAATTGTTGAATTAAATTTTAGCTCAACTGGCACCATGTTGGATCAAGTCAAAACTGCCTGATAATAACAAAAGTAAGACCTATTAGAAGACTGCTGAACTTGTAGCTATTGTAACTCTTATCTTTCCATAATATTTGTTTTATTTTTAAATTTATCTTATAAGCTTTTGGCAATTGTTTAAATTTCAAAATTACACTTATTATTTGGTTTAGAGAAAATGTTGGTTCATGTGGGCACATTTATTTTCTTTGGCTCATTTTTGCTTCATATTGAAAACCTATTTTTTCTTATATCAAGATGAAAGAAAATTAATCTGTCCACTGAGGTGAATAATGCCTTAGATAAAGGACAAGTCAATGCCTGTAGAGCTATAAAATTCCATTGTTGCACTCCATTTCTTCATGGAACATTTGAGGGAAATAAACAGAAATTAGCTCAAAAGGGCTCCACCAATTTATCACATATTTTAGCATTTAATAAAAACTTGTAACTAGGAGAGTAAGCCATACTTTGAATTTCAGGTTATTTTTGCAAAACTGACCAGAACTCTATCACCAAAATACTAGTGAACAAAAAGCAAGGATTAGAATCAAGATTGCCAGTAATAATCCCAATAGTCATTTTAAAGCTGGGCTTCCTTAACGCTCCATGGAAAGGCCCTCTTTTCACTTCATGTATTGCTACGAAAATACAATATTTAAATGTGACAGACTTAATCCACTGAAAATTTTGCACATAAACTTATTAACAAGTAAAACTTTAATAAGAGGTTTCCTGGCTGGGGGCAGTGTCTCACACCTGTAATCCTAGCACTTTCAGAGGCTGAGGCAGGAGGACTGCTTGAGCCCAGGAGTTTGAGACGAGCCTAAGCAACATAGTGAGATAATTGTCTCTACAAAAAAAATTTAAAAATCATCAGAACATGTGGCACACACCTGCAGTCCCAGCTACATGGGAGGCTGGGGCAGGAGCCTGGGTGGTTGATGCTGCAGTGAGCCATGATTGTGCCACTGCACTCCAGCCTGAGCAAAAGGACAAGACCCTGCCTCAAAAAAAAAAAAAGTTTCCTGTAAAAGCTTAATTAAACTTAAAATGTAATTAAATTGTATTCTTTTATATCCTCAAATAACAAACTATAATATGTATAGCATTATTCAAATGATTGGAATAATGTATGTTCAGAGCATCCTCAACTTTATTAATACATTATGTATTAATCAGAGTTCTCCAGAGAAACAGAACCAAGAACCAAGAAGACACACATATTACATATAGGATTGTTATATATAACCTCTTGGTGTAGGAGAGATGACAGATAGATGATAGATAGATAGATAGATAGATAGATAGATAGATAGATAGATAGGATAGATAGATAGATAGATAGATAGATAGATAGATAGATAGATAGATGATAGATAGAAGATAAATTTATTTTTAAAGAACTGGCTCACATAATTATGGGGGATGGAAGTCTAAAATCCAAAGGGCAGTCTGGCCAGCTGGAGAAAAACAAGAATTGATGTTGTAGTCTTGAATCTGAAATCTGTAGGGCAGGCCAGTAGGCAGCAAACTTAAGCAAGACTCCTTCAGGCAGCAAACTCAAGAAGAATTCCTTCTTCTCCAGGAAATGTCATTTTTTTATCTTAAGACCTTCAACTGATTGGATGAGCCCCATTCACATTACGGAGCATAACCTGCTTTACTTAAGGTCAACTGATTATAAATGTTAATGACATCTACAAAATACCTTCACATCAACATCTAGACTAATGTTTGACCAAAAAACTGTGCACATAGCCTAGCCAAGTTCTTAAATAAAATTAACTATCACATGTTCAGTCAGCAAATATTTATTGAGCACCTACCAGAATCTTGGTGCTATGCCAAGGTGCTAAGGGGGTCAGATAAAGGGCATCAAATTGAGCCACAGTAGTTGTGAATACCATTAGAATAAAGGTAATGATTGGACAAAAATTAGAAGAATGAGTAAGAGTTAACTGAGCTAGGCAGAACAAAGAAGTGGGGAAAAGGCAAATGAGAAAGTGATCTTTATGAATAAAAGCCTCAGGTGCATTTGGTTTGGAGCAAAGAATGCAGGTGCTAACAATGCAGAAAATTGATCTGAATAAATGTTCAGACACCAGAACACAAAGGATTTGATGTGTCAAGCCATAGCATCTGAACCATATCCTGAAGGCTACAGGAACTCATCTGAAACAAGTCAAGTTATACAATCAAATTGGCATGTTAGAAAAATAACCTTGTCTATAGGACTAAGATTGCAGAATTGAGAAGGTGAGAATGGGGAATGACCATTTTGGAGAGTGATAGAAGATACATGAAAAAATTGTGAAGACCTATAGCAGTGGGGTAAAAAGGAGCAGACAGAAAAGGAGATTATAGGAAGCAGAATCAGTAGGATGTAGTGACAAATTGATGTGGATTGAGGGAGACAGAGTCCTTTGTAGTGACTTCAGGTTTGGGGTGTAGATAAATGAGAGCATGTTAGTCCCATATTATAAACCTTAGTTAAAAAGGAAAAGCATGATGAGAAAGAAGGAATAAGGTGAAAAGGGGGAGAAAAGTGAAGAATACCTCAGCAGCTATGATGACATGTTTCTACATCACTAACAGATGGTGAAACAATTTCATAGATTTCTCCCTAATCTTCTGAAGTTCCTTATCCATGGCCAAACCAAGCTTTGTGCAGAACAAAACGGGTTTCCTAATAACAAAAGAAAAATTTTAGGGTAATTTTGGTCCTTAAAAAATGTATTTGCAAAAGAAATTACTGTGCTAAAGTTATCTTTGCCACCTCAAAAAAATGTACAAAACACTCCATAATTATAAATAAATTCGGTGATAAGTAAGGCAACAGTTAGCTTCCTGCCCAGAACTGGAAAACAACATTTTCCTCTATAATTAATAAAAACAACACATAATAAAACATATCAGAAACATGCATAATTGTTTCAAACTCAAAAGTTTTATTATCAGATGCAAGAGGCCAAATATTACATTTCAATCAATGTCATCAGAACAAACTTAAAATAGAAAACAATTTACAGGATTCAGACAAGACGGCTGACTAGATGCAGCCAGGGGGAACAGCTCCCAATGAGGGACCAGGATGACTGGCACACTTCTAACAGATCTTCAGAGGGAGGGCACTGAGAGTAGATGGAGGGAAGACACAGAAGCTGGGCTGAAGAAGGAGAAACATGAGGACTCGTTCCCAGTTCTAAAAGACTCCAGGGGAATGAATGAGTTGAACTGGCAAGGAGCAACCCGCTCTCATCAAGGGCCCCTGGAATCCTGGCAGGAGATCTCTCGACTACCATGGACACTTCAGTTGGCAGGGAGAACTCCTTAGAGAAGTGGTGAGGCAGCAAGCCAGCCAATGCGGAGCCCAAAGGTTTTAGTGTAGGAGCATCTGTAATAGAGCATGGCCAGGGACAGCCATCCCTCTACACTCAACTTGCTCCCATAGGAGACTCTGGCCTTGGGGAACTGTTGGACTTGATCTCTGTGGGGTGGTCTTGCCCATCAGAGGAGGCCAGTCTGACCATAGTACCCCTTGGTCTGCTGGCTTCTCCTGAGGCCCCAGCCTGGCTGTGCCTGCTTGCTGTGCAGCCCTGGGTGTCCTGGAGGCCTGCATCATAGCTCCTGTGCTGGTGGTACCTGACTAGCAGCAAGCTCCACCAGGGTGCCCCTGCAGCAACACAGTAGCCTGACCGCTCCTTCCCCTCACTGCAGCTTCCCCTCAGGCCCACAGCCACCCTCCATGTGGTTTTGCCTGTACGTGTATGTGTGGGTAGATTTTGCCTTCCCTGCCCTGCCAGCATGTGTGTGCTGCCCTGCCTCTGCTGCCAACAAGAGTACACTCTGCCCCCACGGTCCCGCCATTGCAGTCAGAGCCTTGGTGGGCACAAAGCCTGCCAGCCCTTCCCACACCAGTGACCTGCCCCTGCCCGACCCTGCCACCAGAATGAAACTAGGCAAAGAGAACAGCAGACTCTCCCCTGCCCTGAATGGCCACAGAGGACACACACAGACCTGGGCCTGCCAGCACCCTGCCCCCATGCTAACACCACCACCAGAATGACCACCTGCACAGTCACCAAGGGGGGCCCCTTGTGTCCCCAGCCTCACTGCCTCCTCCACTGCTATGAATTCCCACATGGAGGCAGGCACTCTGGAATCCAGTAGCATCCTGCCACAGCCAACAAATGTGCACCCCACTGCATTGCCGCTGATGCTGGCACATGCAAACAAGGATGGATCCCAATGCTATCATCCTATGAAAGGCTTTGGCTGACACCACCCATTGGAGTGTAATGAGTAGCAGCTCAAGAGCACTTTGAACTCCCCAGCACAGTGAGCTCCAAACCTAGAGGAGCTAGAGAACAAAATTGGGGCCCAATATAAGTCCCCCAGTTACAACATGCAGTCCAGGAGTTGGGAGCTGAGATTTGGCCCCCTAAAATCTTCCAGAAACAAAGCTAGGTGACAAAACCCACCTTATACCACAATCAAACCCTCAAGGTCATCAAATGGGATTAAAAAAAAAAACTCATCTAAAGGACAGAAACTTTAAAGATTGAAGGAACACCAACTCACAAAGATGAGACAGAACCAGTTCAAGAACTCTCACAACTCAAAAAGCCAGAGTGCCTTCTTTCCTCCAAATGACTGCACTACCTTTCCAGCAAGGCTTCTGAACCAGGTTGAGGTGGCTGAAATGACAAAAATAGTATTCAGCATATGAATAGGAAGGAAGATTATTAAGATACAGGAGTATCCAATGTTGAAACCCAATCCAAGGAAGCTAACAATCACAATAAAATGATATAGGAGCTGACAGACAAAATAGCCAGTATAGAAATGAACACAACAGACCTGATAAAGCTGAATGAACACACTATGAGAGTTTCATAATGCAGTCACAAGTACTAGCAGCAGGATAGACCAACCTCAGGAAAGAATCTCAGAGCCTGAAGACTGGCTTTCTGAAACAAGACAGTCAGACAAGAATAAAGAAAAAGAAATGAAAAGGGACAAACAAAACCTCTGAGAAATATAGGATTACATAGAGACTAAATCTATGACTTACTGATGTCCCTGAAAGAGATGAAAAGAATGGAAACAACTTGGAGAACATATTTCAGGATATCATCCATGAGAATTTCCTCAACCAAGCTAGAGAGGCCAACATTCAAATTCAGGAAATGCAGAGAAACCCAGTAAGATACTTCACAAGAAGATCATCCCCAACACACATAATAACAAGATTCTCCAAGGTTGAAATGAAAGAAAGAATGTTAAAGGCAGCTAGAGAGAAAGGCCTGGTCACCTACAAAGGAAATCTCATCAGATAAACAGCAAATCTCTCAGAAACCGTGTAAGCCAGAAGAAATTGGGGGCCAATATTCAACATTTTTAAAGCAAAAAAATTCCAACCCAGAATTTCATATCCAGCCAAACTAAGCTTTATAAGTGAAAGAGAAATAAGATCCTTTTCAGACAAGCAAATGCTGAGAAAATTTTTACCACCACACCTGCCTTATAACAGCTCCTGAAGGAAGCATTAAATATGGAAAGACTGTTACCAGCCACTACAAAAACACACTTAAGTACACAGACCAGCAACACTATAAAGCAACCACACAAATAAGTCTGCATAATAACCAGCTAACATCATGATGACAGGATCAAATTCACACTTATCAATATTAATCTTGAATGTAAATAGACTAAATGCCCTAATTAAAAGGCACAGTGGCAAGCTAGATAAAGACCCAAGATGTAATGATATGCTGTCTTCAAGAGACCATCTCACATGCAATGATGACACACATAGGCTCAAAATAAAGGGATGGAAGAAAATCTGCCAAGTAAATGAAAATCAAAAAAAGTGGGGGTTGCAGTCCTAACTTCAGACAAAAAAGACTTTAAAACAACAAAGATCAGAAAAGACAAAGAAAGGCATTACAAAATGGCAAAGGGTTCAATTCAACAAGAGGACCCAACTATTCTAAATGTATATGTACCCAACATAGGAACATCCAGATTCATAAAGCAAGTTCTTAGATACTTACAAAGGGACTTAGAATCCCACAAAATAATGACGGGAAACTTCAACAGCCCACTGACAGTAATAGATTATCAAGGGAGAAAACTAACAAAGATAATCGGGACCAAAACTCAGCACTGGATCAAATGGACCTGATAAACATCTAAATAACTCTACACCCCAAAATAACAATATAAATTCTTCTCATCACCACATGGCACATACTCTAAAATCAACATTATTAAACATAAAACACTCCTCAGAAAAATGGAAAAGAACTGAAATCCTAACAACCATTCTCTCAGATCACAGCACAATCAAATTAGAAATCAAGATTTTACTCAAAACCATACAATTACGTAAAAATTGAACAATCTGCTCCTGAATGACTTCTGGGTAAATAATTAAATTAAGGCAGAAATAAAGAAGTTCTCTAAAACTAATGTGAACAAAGACACATCATACCAGAATCCCTGGGACACAGTTAAGGCAGTATTAAGAGGGACATTTACAGCACTAAAAGCCCACATCATAAAGTTAGAAAGATCTCAATTTAATAACCTAACATCAAAACTAAAAGAACTAGAGACCAAGAGCAAAAAAACCTCAAAGCTAGCAGAAGACAAGAAATACCCAAAATCAGAGCTGAACTGAAGGAGACAGAGACACAAAAAAACATTCAAAAGATCAGTGAATCCACGAGTTTGTTTTTTTTTTTGAAAAGTTAATAGAACAGATAGACCATTAGCTAGACTAATAAAGAAGACAAGAGAGAAGATCCAAATAAACACAATTAGAAGTGACACAACGATATTACCACTGACCCTACAGAAATACAAATAACTATCAGAGAATATTATGAACACATCTATGCACACAAACTAAAAAATCCAGAAGAAATTGATAAATTCCTGGACACATACACCCTTCCAAGACTGAACCAGTAAGAAATTAAATCCCTGAACAGATCAATAACAAGCTCTGAAATTGAATTAGTAGTAAATAGCCTACCACAGCCCTGGACCAGACTGATTCACAGCCAGATTCCACCAGATGTACAAAGAAGTGCTGGTACCATTCCTACTAAAACTATTCCAAAAAAATTGAAGAGGAGAGGCTCCTCTCTAAATTATTCTATGTGTCCAGCATCATCCAGATACCAAAACCTGTCAGAGACACAGTGAAAAAATAAAACTTCAGGCCAATAATGAACATTGATGCAAAAATCCTGAAGAAAACACTGGCAAACTAAATCCAGCAGCACATCAAAAAGCTTATCTACCACAATCAAGTAGGCTTTAGCCCTGGGAAGTAAGGTTGGTTCAATACACACAAATCAATTAATGTAATTCATCACATAAACATAACTAAAGACAAAAAAAATGATCATCTCTATAGATGCAGAAAAAGGCTGTTGATAAAATTTAACACCACTTCATGTTAAAAAAACTCTCAATAAACTAGATAATGAAGGAGCATACCTCAAAATAATAAGAGCCATCTATGACAAACCCACAGCCAACATCATAGTGAATGGGGAAAACTTGTAAGCATTCCCTTGAAGACCAGCACAAGACAAGAATGTCTTCCCTAAACACTCCTAGTCAATGTAGTATTGGAAGTCCTGGACAGAGCATTCAGGCAAAAGAAAGAAATAAAGGGCATCCAAACAGGACGAGAGGAAATCAAACGATCCCTGTTTGCAGATGACATGATTCTATATCTAGAAAACCCCATAGTTCTGGCCCAAAAGCTCCTTAAGCTGATAAAATAACTTTAGTGAAGTATCAGGATACAAAATCAATGTATAAAAATCACTAGCATTTCTATACACCAACAACCATCAAGCCAAGAGCCAAATCAGAAACATAATTCCATTCAAAATTGCCACACACATACACACACACACACACATAAACACACAAATACCTAGGAATACAGCGAACTAGGGAGGTAAAAGAGCTCTACAACACTTCTCAAAGAAATCAGAGATGATACAAACAATGGAGAAACATCTTTTGCTCATGGATAGCAAGAATCAATATCATAGAGATGATACAAACAATGGAGAAACATCTCTTGCTCATGGATAGCAAGAATCAGTATCATTAAAATGGCCATAATACTATTTGGAGATTCAATAATGGCCAAAGCTATTTAGAGATACAATGTTCTTTCTATCAAACTACCAATGACATTCTTCACAGAACTAGAAGGAACTACTTAGAAATTCATATGGAACCAAATAAGAACCCGGATAGCTAAGGCAATCCTAAGCAAAAAGAACAAAGCTTGAGGCATCATGCTACCTGACTTTATGCTACAGGGCTACAGTAACCGAAACAGCATGGTACTGGTACAAAAACAGACACATAGACCAATGGGACAGAATAGAGAGCCTAGAAATAAGGCCACGCACCTACAACCATCTGATCTTCAACAAAGCTGACAAAAACAAGCAATGGGGAAAGGACTCTACATTCAATACATGGTGCTGGGATAACTGGCTGGCCATATGCAGAAGATTGACACTAAACCCCTTCCTTATACCATATGCAAAGATCAGCCCAAGATGGATTAAAGACTTAAATGTAAAACCCAAAACTGTAACAACTCTGGAAGACAACCAAGACAATACCATTCTAGACATAGGAATGGCCAAGATTTTATGACAAAGATGAAAAAGGAATTGCAACAAAAGCAAAAATTGACAAATGGGATCTAATTAAACTGAAGAGCTTCTGCACAGCAAAAGAAACCATCAACAGAGTAAACGACCTACAGAATGGGAGAAAAATTTTTCAAACTATGCATCTGACAAAATCCAGTCTCTATAAGGAACTTAAACACATCTACAAGAAAAAAACAAGCAATCCCATAAAAAAGTGGACAAAAAACATAGACACTTTTCAAAAGAAGACATACATGCGGCCAACAAGCATATGAAAAAAAAAGCTCAACATCACTGATTATTAAAGAAATGAAAATAAAACCACAATGAAATACCATATCACAGCAGTCAAAAAATAACTAATGTTTGCGAGGTTGCTGAGAAAAAGGAATGCTTACACACTGTTACAGGGAATGTAAATTAGTTCAACCATTGTGGAAAACTGTGTGACAATTCCTCAAAGACCTAAAGACAGAACTACCATTCAACCCAGCCATCCCTTACTGCCTATATACCAAAAGGAATATAAATTGTTCTATCATAAAGACACATGCACATGTGTGTTTACTGCAGCACTATTCACAATAGCAAAGACATGGAGTCAACCTAAATGCCTATCAATGGTAGACTGGATAAAGCAAATATGGTACGTATTCACCATGGAATACTCTGCAGCCATAAAAAAGAATGATATCATCTCCCTTACAGGAACATGAATGGAGATGGAGTCCATTATCTTTGGCAAATTAACACAGGACTAGAAAACCAAATACAGGTTCTCACTTAAAGTAGGAGCTAAATAATGATAACACATGGACACATAGAGAGAAACAATAGACATGGGGGACCAACCAGAGAATGGGGAGGGCGGGAGGAAGGAGAGGATCAGGAAAAATAACTAATGAATACTAGGCTTAATACCTGGGTAATGAAATAATCTATACAAAACAAAAAACCCCATGACACAAGTTTACCTATATAACAAATTTGCACATATACTCCTGAACTTAACGGTTAATAAGGAGAAAAAAAGAATTACACAACGGTATACACTTATTGAAAGTGTATATATGGCAATTAAAATAATCATTTTTACAACAAATGTATGTCATTGTGCAATCATAACTAAACAAAGGATTATGAAGGGAGCACTAATTCCCCATATTGAAAACCTATAAGCTTTGTGTGACCAACATGTATAAAAATAGCGAAAGTTTATTGTAAAAAAAAAAAGGGCCTGGTTCTTGTTTTTTAATTTATTTAATCTATGTTGGATTGTTGACAATGATATTCATGGGGATAATGCATATCTAAACTAGTTCTATGTACTTTTTCCTTTGTTTCTTGAGATATAATTCACATACCATAAAATTACCATTGTAAACTGTACAATTCTGTGTTTTTTAGTATACCATATTCACAATATGTGCGACCATAAGCACTATCTAATTCCAGGACATTTTCATTACCTCAAATGGAAACCCCATACCTACATAATTTTAAAGAAACAGAACACTAACTATATTTACAAATCTAAGCAGTGTATTCACTCAGACTTATTAGTACTAGAGCAGGAATAAGGAAGTGGTGCAGAAGTAAACACAGTTGGAGGCCATTCAAGCATTACCCAAGGTGAAGGTTGCCCAGTGAAAATGAACATCTGGTCTTCCTGGCATGTATATTCTTACTATTGAGATGCATAAATCAAGCTATGAAAATCTGATGAAATAAACGTCGAATTAAAACTCCTTTTTCTTTGATTACATTGCTCTTTACTATTCCACATGCTTAAAATTTGGGTTCTGGAGTAGATACCAATTTTCAGTCTGCCCCATATTCATCTTTTCTTCTGACCAGAACTCCACATTCCCCAAACTCCCCTCCTTCTTCTTCAGGGAACTGCTCTTCACTTTACTCCAGCTATGTAATTCTCATAGCACCTGCCATGTTCTTAAAAATTCAGGCTGTAGTTACAGTAGAAAAAATGGAAGACAGAGCTAATGAGTGGAGAGAAACAGAGTCCTAATGAAACCATTTGAGAGCTTGGGCCTCAAGGTCTGCACCTACACCTGAAAGCCAGACATACCTTCTGGACTTTTTAGTTACATGAGGTATTAAATTCTTCATTTTTCTTATGCCAGTTTGAGTTTCATTTTCTGGAGCTCGCAATCTAGAGTCCTAAATGATACAATATATCATTATATAATGTATAGAGGATCCACTGTCTCTAAGCTATCCATGAACTTGAAGCTCTATATACAATGAATTGTTTCAGATTTTATAAAAAATCAAAACACCAAAATACTAACATGGAACTTCAGTATATAAAGCAATCGAATCTGTATTAGTCAGTTCTCACACTGCTATAAAGATACTATCCAAGACTGGGTAATTAATAAAGGAAAGAGGTTTAATTGATTCACAGTTCCACACAGATAGGGAGGCCTCAGGAATCTTACAATCATGGCAGAAGGCAAAGGGAAAGCAAGGACCTTCCTCACATGGAGACAGGAGACAGAAATGCAAGCAGGGGAAATGCCAGGCATATAAAACCATTAAATCTTGTGAGAACTCACTCACTATCGCAAGAACAACATGGGGAAACTTGCCCCATGATCCAATCGCATCCTTCCCTTGACACATGGGGATTACAGGTCCCTCCCTTGACATGCGGGGATTACAATTCGAGATGAGATTTGGGTGAGGACACAGAGCCAAACCGTAACAAAGTCTAACCTTCAAGTCCACTAAAGTATACAAATGGCCAAGTGAAAACAGCACACTCCTCTCAAATTATGGTAATTTTTAAACTGTGAAATAGAACTAGAGGAAGTTTTTATCTGTCTCATTTGCCAAGTTAAAGGAAATGGGAGTAACTTTAATTTTTTTCTTATCTTAATTCACACAGTGACTAATAAAGTTTAGTTTGCACCAAATATGCCTATGAGAAATCCTTGAAGTTGACTGTCAACATGCTATCCTGTAATTCAAAATGGCAGCAAAATCTCAGAATAAAATCATGCAGATTAGATAGGAGATCATGAGTGTACCCTCAATATATCTCTCAGGTGATTAGAAAAGCAAATATTTCTCAGAGTCAAGAATACCATACCCCTACCTCCATGGGACATTATTTTTTTTCTTTGGTTTTAAGAAAATGACTCCAATGTCTCATTATTGAGTTACTAAAGCATTCATAAATGCATGTCAAACACAAGTAGATAATCTCTAAAAGTGAAATGAAATAAACCACACAAAATTTAGCTTAATTATGCATTAAAATGAGTTTCTGAATTCACACTTCAAAAACAAAATAAATTATGTATGGAACTGAGTTATGCTACTGCTTTAATGTCAAAACCAAAATGTCTCACACAGTCCACATGAAGAAAGTTGTTAGTAAACAAAAAGAAGACAAGCTTGATTATTTTTGACAATGATTATATTTTTAAATTTATCACATTTATGAAAACTTTTATCCAATGGCAGTTATTTGTTTTCCCACCTCCTACTATAATTTGACTACTTAAATCTATGACTGGTGTTGGCCAGGGCTAGGATCTCAAATATTTGATTGTTTGAGGGCACACATAATGATTTTAAATCAATATTCTGTAAACCTTGGGGAACAGAAAATCTTCCTATAACCCTACACAATCCTGCACATAATAAAAATAATAATATCAATAATTAGATCATCCTAAAATTTTATACCATGTACAACCCACCTTATCAGGGTAGAGACAGAAAGAATTTGGAGACGTTCCTAAAAATAATCCGCCTATACCCTCTTTATCAGTCAAAGCATCAGAGGACAAGACATTTGAACTCTGTTATAACAGATTATCAAGCAAAAATGATGGGTAAGTGTATTATAAACAAAGGGAACACAATGGTTCTCAGTAGGGAGGGTCCTCCCTCCAGGGAGCATTTGACAATATCTGAAGGTATTTTTTATTGTCAAAATTGGGAAGGTGCTATTGGCATGTAGTGGGTAAAGGACAGAAGTGCTGCAAACATCCTACAATGCACAGGACAGCTCCCCATAATAAATGACCTGGGCCAAAATGTTAGCAGTATCAAGGTTGAGAAACACTGAGCTAGAGAAAAGAAAGGGAGAAATAAATGAATATGTTTAAAGAACAGGGCATACATTATCTGTTAGTTACCTATTAGTTTTCAACAAATTACCACAAATTCAGCAGCTTGAAACACACGTTTATTATCTCAGTGAATTTCTGTGGCTCAGCAATCTGGGCACAGGTTATCTGGATTTTCTGCTTAGGGACTACAATCTTCATAAGAGGCTGCAATCAAGGTGTTGGCCAGGGCTGGGGTCTCATCTGAGGCTTGACTGGGGAAGGAGCTGCTTCCAAGCTCACATGGTAATTGGAAGAATTCAGCTCCTTGCAGGTTCTCAGACTGAGGTCCTTAGTTTCTTGCTGCCTATCAGCCAGAGGTCATCCTCTCTTCCTTACCATGTGTGTCTTTCCTTAGGGCAGCTCACACATAATATGGCAGCTTGTTTCAATATGGCAGCTTGTTTCTTTCAAAGCCAGAAAGAGTCTGTTAGCCTCTCTAGAGATAGGCTTGCACAATGACTAGCAAGAATAGGAAATCAATAAATAGTTGTTGAATTAATATGAAATAAACATAAGATTTTCACTGATTGATTAAGCATCTTATTTTTCTGACAAATAGCTGAGTGATCTGAAGTCTTTACAGACAGAATATATATACTGTAAATTTGAGCTGAAGGCTCTTGATGAAATAGAGTAAAAAACATTGAAACTATAATCAGCAAAAGGGTAAGCAGAAAAGAGATCTAATATCCATTCTATTACCTCTATGAACTAGGTAAATTTCAGACATCATTTGAGTAAATACTCATGACAAGCTTTATTTTATAAATGAGAAACATGAAGCACTAGGAATTTATGTGACTTGCACCTCTAGAAAAAGCTCAAAGTTGTACCTCCAGAACGCGGGAATAATAAGCTCAGTGACTGTCTCCCCAGAAAAAGGAAATAAAACTGGTAAAAACTACTTTTAAAATACACACAACAGTCATCTGGCAAGTGTCTTAAAAACATACAGCAAATGGTGAAACATTTATTTGAGAAAATCTAGTAAATCTCAGTAAGAAAAGCAAGTCTGTGGCCTTTGGGTCACGACTTGCTCCCTTTCCCCCAATGCCAACTCTGTATTATAGAAGCTGTACCCCAAGTCCTTTACTCCAGGCAGTTGCAACCAAAAAGACAGGAGTTCTATTCCTTCCCCACACCTGGTTTGGGGCTACAGTTCCCCCACAGCAGGAGTAGGCTGCCATCCTGCCCCAGCCATGCCCTGTGCTGCAGAAACTCTATTCCAGATTGTAGAGAGTAGCAGGTCTCCCCATCTCTGCCCTGGCTCAGAGAATGGAAGCCTACTCCAGCCACAGTACTGGGTCCCAAATCACCCTCATCTCAGCTTGCTCATAGGGCAGAGATTTCACACATGAATATGGAGACCAGGGACTGTTACCTCTTGTCTCCTGGACACTTGAAGAGTGAGGGGTTTCATTCCAGGAAAAGCAGGCTTCCAACCCTAGTTCTGATACTGTGGCTCAGGTGTTCTGCCTAGGGAGAAAGGCAGGCCATAAGGAGACTTAATTTTGAAACACCACAGCTCTGTCTAAAAGGAAACTTCATTTGGAGCAGCACATAGAGAACTTTATGTCTAAGGGTTTTGTGAAAAAAATAAAAATTTTATGGAGGTGACTTTTAAAAACACTCAAATTCCCCAAAGTTTGTCTCCAAATCCCTTGCTGCTCACTGTCTGCCTTCAGGTTGAGAGAGGTAAGATAGTCAAAAATATTAAAGTATGGTTAAGGAAGGAAAATACTCCACCAAGTAAATTTTATTACTAAAAAATACAAAAGGTAAATAACTAGTCAGAAAAAGATAAATTCTAAAGATAATTTTCTATGAGCATTTTTCCATTTAATTTTTAAAACTGTATCTTTAGGGGAAAAAATCAAGTCTGATGTTTATATTTCATTTATTAGTTTTCATTTAATTATGAAATGTTATAATTTAATAAGCCCTACAATAGTCTTCATTTCCTACATTCCTTATTCTAGACCATATTTTGGACTGCTCACAGCCACGATAAATTTTTCTCTTATCCACATTCATCAGACCAAAAACTAAGCATGCCTTTTCTATAACATAATTTGTGCATAATATAACTAACTCAAAATGTGATACATGAAAATAAACTTTTTAATGGAAAAAAATCAATAAGGTTAGGTGTGGGAGCCCATACCTAACCTGAATTGAAGTCAGGAGTTCAAGACCAGCCTGGCCAATATAGTAAAACCCCATCTCTACTAAAAATACAAAAATCAAGTGCGCCCCTGTAATTCCAGCTGCTGACTCAAGAGGCTGAGGCACAAGAATCACTTGAATCCAGGAGACACAGGTTGCAGTGAACCAAGATCACACCACTGCAGTCCAGCCTGGGTGATGGAGTGAGACTCTGTCACACACACACACACACACACATACACACACACACACACACACACACACACACATCAGTAGAAAATTAGAATTAAATTATTATTGGTCAGAAATAATATAATCCTTAAAATCTACAGATGATAATGATAAGGAAGGACAAAGAGTGACCTAGTCAAATGGTATGAGTCTCAAAGGACTCCCAAAGTTTCCAGTTACCCAGAAGTATTTTGCAGAAGCAGCTCTAGCAGCCTTTTCCTTTGGGGCTAGCAAGTAGTTGTTTCCATCCAGAAATACTGGAATCCATCTCCGTCATACCTATTCTCAAAATATGCTGATAAATTTAACTTCAATTTTAGTATCCTACCTCTCAAAAACAGGGTAAGGCATGGCACCTTAATTATTACCCAAGTTGGTATGTTTATGTACTAGGCTAAATTTGGCAAGTTTCCTCGAGATCCCAGGGCTGAACAGAAGAAACCCTTGACATCTGCAAGGGATAAGTCTTGGTTTCTTGGGTAATTCCCAATTCTGGACTACAATAGCAGCAAATAATTTTCCCCACAAATCGCATTAAAGAATAGTTTTACAAGAATTATTATAAGCATAGCAGAAAATAGAAAACAAAAAGCCACAAGAAATAATAAATAATAATATCAGCTAACATTGATTTTCTATATGCTTGATATACTTTACTTGTATTAACTTTTTTAATACTTGCAAATGCTGAAATGTAGTTTAAGCTCTCCCACCAAATAAATATCTCTCTTATTCACAGCAATCAAATGTTGCAGCTTAAATTTATGTGTTAGGAAAATGGCCATTTATTATATGACATTGACCTATCAGTAGGTCTCACAAATGGTTGAGACCAAGAATGAATGCCAAGGCTAATAACACTGATAACCTCCCAGCTGTGGTAGCTACAGGGCTTTCCTTCTGCTTGAGAAAAAAGCAGAGGGAAACATAAAGGGGACTTTGTCTTGCACCTGAGGTACCAGCACAGCCACAGCGAGGCAGAGCACCAACTGGGATCTTGGGGTTTCCAACTCCAGGACTTGATTCCTGGATGGTGTATTAGTCTGTTTTCATACTGCTATAAAGACATACCTGAGACTGGGTAATTTATGGAGGAAAGATGTTTAATTGACTCATGGTTCTGCAGGCTGTACAGAAGGCATGGCTGGAGAGGCCTCAGGAAACTTAAAATCATAGCTGAAGGCAAAGGGGAAGCAGGCACAATTTTTACATGGTGGCGCAGGAGAAAGAGAGTGCAAAGGGGGAAGTGCCACACACTTTTAAATCATCAGATCTCATGAGAACCCACTATCATGAGAACAGCAAGGGGGAAATCCATCCCATGATCCAATCACCTCCACTAGGTCCCTCTCCAACACTGGGAATTACAATTCAACATGAGATTTGGGTGGGACACAGAGCCGAACCATATTAGATGGCACTTCTGGACCTGCCCTGGTCCAGAGTGGAGCCCATTGCCCTGAAGGGTAAGTCCAAGGTCAGGCAACATGCATCACAAGCTGACTTAATAGCCTTTGGGACTTAAGGGAACATTGGTTGGTAGTCTGGCCATCCTCCTTGTGGCCTGGGGTGGTGGTGGCTACAAGGTGAGGCTCTTCTGCCTTTAAAAAGAGAAGGGAAGAGTGGGAGGACGGCATCCTGTGGTTTTAGTGCAAGCTCAGCTGCAATACAATAGAATACCTGGTAGACTTCTAAGGTTTTTTACTCTAGTCCCTGACTCCCAGACAGCTCCTCTGGACTCACCCAGGGCCTGGGAGACCTTGCCTCCCTGAAGGAGAAGATAAAGGCCTGGCTTGCTTTGCCACTTGCTGATTGTAGAGCCCCAGCGTTTTGAGTGGACATGGATACTAGCCAGAAGGTGGCTACGGCAGACCTTGGGCGAGACCCAGTGCTGTGCTGGCTTCTGGTCTGATCCAGCACAGTCACTGTGGTGGTCACCACACGGGTGCTGTGTCACTCCACCCCTAGCTTTAGGTGGGTCAGAACAAAGACAGACTCTTTGTTTGGGAGAAAGGAAAGCAAGGGAAGAAACAAGACTGTCTGCCCGGTAATCCAGAGAATTCTCCCAGATCTTGTCCAAGACCATCAAGACAGTACCTCTACGAGTCTGCAAGTGCCACAGCATTACTGGGGCCCCCTAAAGTAAATACAGCTTAGATCACAACACCCAAGTCCTTTTAGATATCTGAAAAGCCTTTCCAAAAAGGACAGCTAAAAATAATTCAAGACAGTGAAGATTACAATAAATACCTAACTCTTCAATCCCAGACACTGAAGAACATCTGCTAGCATCAACATCATCCAGGAAAACATGACCTCACCCAATGAACTAAATAAGGCACCAGGGAGCAATCCTAGAGAAACAGAGATATGTGACCTTTCAGGCAGAGAATTCAAAATATCTGGGTTGAGGAAACAAAAAGAAATTAAAGATAACACAAAGAAGGAATTCAGAATGATATCAGATAAATTTGATAGCAGACAAGCAAAGAGATTCAAATAATTAAAAGAATCAAGCAGAAATTCTAGAGTTGAAAAATGCAACTGGCATACTGAAGAATGCATCACAGTCCTTTAATAACAGAATGGATCAAGCACGGGAAAGAATTGGTGAGCTTAAAGACAGGCTAAATTGAAAATACAGGTCAGATGAGACAAAAGAAAAAAGTAAAAAACATAAAGTACACCTACAGGATCAAGAAAATAGCCTCAAAAGGACAAATTTAAAAGTTATCAGCCCTAAAGAGGAGGTAGAGAAAGAGATGGGGTAAAAAGCTTATTCAATGGCAGAATAACAGAGAACTTCTCAAACCTAGAGAAAGATATCGGTATCCAAGTACAAGATGGTTATTGAACACCAAGCAGATTTAACCCAAAGAAGATTACCTCAAGGCATTTAATAATGAAACTCCCAAAGGTCAAGGATAAAGAAAGGGTCCTAAAAGCAGCAAGAGAAAAGAAACAACATAAAATGGAGCTCCAATAGGTCTGACAGCAGGCTTCTCAGTGGAAACCTTACAGTTCAGGAGAGAGTGGCATGACATATTTAAAGTGCCGAAGGACAAAAACTTTTACCCTACAATAGCATATGCTTTGAAACATGAAGGAGAAATAAAGACTTCACAGACAAACAAAAGCTGAAAGATTACATTCATACCAGACCTGTCCTACAAAAAATGCTAAATGAAAAAAAAAAGGACATTAATGAGCAATAAATAATCATCTTGATGGCAGTGGCTCCTGCCATCATGCCGGCTGCAGCAGGGAAGGGTGGCTGGGGCTGCCCACTCCATGGAGCTGGTGGGAGCCCCACCCCTTCTGAGTTGGGGCAGGAGCTCCCTGGGTGCCACTGCAGCCACCGAAAGGCAGCTACAGACCCAGGCCTCCTGCTCTATGGAGCAGGCAGGACCCACAGCCACCCAAACTGCCACTGTGGATCTGAGCCTCCCTGTCCTCTGGGAGAGGGGCTGGGAACAGGCAGGATCTGACCTCCAAGGTGCAGCTGCAGCTGCAGGACCCTCGACTGCAGACTTGGGCCTCTGGTTCCATGGATTTGGTGGGAGCCGCGGACAAGTAGGAGCCCCACCCCTTCCGAGTTGGCAGAGCGAGAGCTCCCAGGTGCAGCTGCAGCCTGCCACCCAGGCACAGGAACCTGGGCATCTCTGCAGTCTGCACCCTCGGGGGCCCCAGGAAGGACCCCCCCCCCATCCCTGCAGGCTCTGGGGTGTCTTCTCCTGCTGCCTGACCTCTCTCCACTCCTGGAACCTGTTCTGATCTCTGAGCAGGGGATTGGAGGCAACCCCCAAGGGCCATGAATGGCAGCTGGAGGCAGATTGATTCCTGGGTAGAACACAGGTCCCCAGTAAGGCCCCATCTTTAGGCCATGGAGGGCCTGAAGGCTGGGGGCTGGGGGCTGGAGTGCCAGACCTGCAGACCTAAGTGGGGTCTCCTGGTGCCTCTTCCAGGCGCCCATGGCCACCCATGGACTAACTGGAACACACTTCCTCCTTTCTGAGGTCCATAAAATCCCTGGCTCAGCCAGAGCAGGGCCGAGGATGACCAGAGGATAAAGAGGGCAGACAGACAATGGGAAAACCAGCTGCAGAGAGAAGCTACACTCTCTGCTGAGAGCTGCAGATGACAGGACAACCAGCTGTAGAGAGGAGCTACCCTCTCTGCTGAGAGCTGCAGAGGTGACCTGCCAGCAGAGAGGAGCCACCCTCTCCAGGGCCTCATATCTGCTGAGAGCTACAGACATCAGGATGACCAGTAGCAGAGAGAAGCTACCATCTCCAGGGCCTCCTCTCTGCTGAGAACTGAACACTTGACAGTAATCTGCCCACAGAGAGGAGCTACCCACTGCAGGTCTCCTATGAGTTGTTGTAATACTCAATAAAGCTTATCTTCATCTTGTTCACTCTTCACTTGTCTGCATACCTCATTCTTCCTGGACAATGCAGGACAAGAACTTGGGCAAAAATGCTGCAGCCACAGAGGTTTCCAGCCAGCAAATCGACACCCTAAAGATCTAATAACAATCTCAGGGTACAAAACTCACTGTAAAAGTAAGTACACAGGAAAACACAGAATATTATAACACTGAAACTCTTATCCTAAGTAGAAAGACTAAACAATGAACCAATCTAAAATAATAACTACAACAACATTCCAAGACATAATCAGTACAATGAAATATAACAGAAACAACAAAAGTTAAAAATTGAGGGGATGAAACTAAGGCATAGAGTTTTTAATAGTTTTCTTTTTCCTTGTTTGTTTAGGCAAATAGTGCTAAGTTTTTGTCTGGTTAAAATAAAAGGTTATAAGATAGATTTACAAGCCTCATGGTAACCTCAAGCCAAAAACATACAATGGATACACAAAAAATAAAAAGCAAGAAACTAAATTATATTACCAGAGAAAATCACTTTCACTAGAGGAAGATGAGAATGAAACAAAGAAGGAAGACCACAAAGTAACCAGAAAACAAATAACAAAATGGCAGGAGTTAGTCCTTACTTATCAATAATAACATTGAATGTAAAACTATAATAAGATATCACCTCACCCCAGTTAAAATGGCTTATATCCAAAAGACGGGCAATAACAAATGCTGGCAGGGATGTAGAGAAAAAGGAACCCTTGTACACTGTTGAATGTAAATTAGTACAACCCACTACGGAGAACAGTTTTGAGGCTCCTCAGAAAACTAAAATTTAGCTACCGTATGATCCAGCAATTCCACTGATGCGTATGTACCCAAAAGAAAGAAAATCAGTATATCAAAGAGATATCTGCACTCCTCTGTTTGTTGCAGCACTGTTTACAATAGCTAAGATTTGGAAGCAACCTAAGTGTCCATCAACAGACGAATAGATAAAGAAAACATGGTACATATACACAATGAAGTACTGTTCAACAATAAACAAGAATGAGATCCAGTCATTTGCAACAACATGGATGGAACTGGAGATCATTATGTTAAGAAAAGTAAGGTAGGCAAAGAAAGAGAAGCATTGCATGTTCTTACTTACTTGCGGGATCTGAAAATCTAAACAATTGAAATCATGGACATAGAAAGTACAAGGATGGGTTACCAGAGGCTGGAAAGGGTATTGGAGGGCTCGAGGAAGGTAAGGATGGTTAATGGGTACAAAAAAAATAGAAAAAATAAATAAGACATATGATTTGATAGCACAATAGGGTGATTATAATCAATAATAACTTAATTGTACATTTTAAAATAACTTATAAAGTATAATTGGTTTGTTTGTAATTCAAAGGATAAATGCTTGAGGGAATGGATACTCCCATTTTCTATGATATGCTTATTTCACATTGCATGCCTGTATCAAACATCTCAAGTATCCCATGAATATATACACCTACTATGTACCCACACATATTTTAAAAACTGTAAAACTTAAAAATTTTTTTAAATAAAAGCACATTAGACTGGGAGAACAGAAGCCTGGGTCAGACATCATACAAACACAGCCCCATAAGTCCAGTCTTCTCTACATGTGTGTTTTGTTTGACTCACACTGTTTTTGCTTTTGTTTTTGTTCATTGTATTTTTCAATTAAAATATTTTCATATAATTCTGAATTCCCAACTTTTATTTAAAAAGCAGATGAGGCCAGGCATGGTGGCTTACACCTGTAATCCTAGAACTTTGAGAGGCCAAGGAGGGTGGATTGCTTGAGCTCAGGAGTTTGAGACCAGCCTGGGCAACATGGCAAAACCCCGTCTCTACAAATATACAAAAATTAGCAGGTGTGGTGGCATGTATGCCTTAGTCCCAGCTACTTGGGGGGCTGAGGTGGGAGGATCACTTGAGCCCAGGAAGCAGAGGTTGCAGTGAGCCAATATCGCACCACTGCATTCCAGCCTGAGTGAGACCCTGTCTCAAAAAAAAATAAAAAACTTTTAAAATTTAAAAATAAAAGGCAGATGATCTGTCTATACTGAGCCCTCATTTTCACATATAAATAATCAGTTTGAACTGTTTGTCAGTGACCTTCCCCCTATGCTATTTACCACATTTCCCATGATCTCCTTTTATGTTATATTTTATATACTTGGCCTTTCTAACAGTTGACTCTGTGACCATTGACCAAACTTCTAACAAAAATTGTGCCACCAACAAGCTGATTGACCTCAAACAAGTTAATACATCTCTTTTGGACTCAATGTCTTCATATGACATTGGAGGAAGGGGTCTTAGGGTAGTTGATATCCTCACCTCTGAATTCTTCAGACTCTACTACTTATTCTAAAATTTAGAATACTCTCTTGTTAGAAGTAGACTGCCTGCTGTAACTTCTACTATCAGTGAAATCTTCTTATGACTATCATTAAATTTAAAAATAGTTTTATTAGCTTTTAGTCACAAGAAAAGAATTCGCAAATTTAGGAGCACTAAAAAGAAATATACTTCAATCTTAAAGCCCTCAGAACGGCTTATCTGATGTCAGACTTGATTTGGAAAATTTTGACTGAACAGCTTCTGTTTATAACTTGGGGGCTGTTGATCTCAACTAGATTATAGCTGATGTTGCCTATTTAAAGCCCAAATAAATATTAAAGAAAAGAGAAAGATGGGAGTGTATTCATTTTCTTCAATTAAATCTTCCACGCAACTGATTGAGGAAGTAATTTTCTCAGTAGTCACCCAAACTTTCTTTGCCATAATTACTCTGCATTGTCTAATTTGGATTTGTTTTCAAGTTATTATTTCAAAAAAGTCACTGAGTACTTTTTTTTACTAGTATCTCCTACTATCATGTTCTCAAAGGCATGTTATATATTCACTGGATCATACCAGAACAATTGTGAACACAATCAAATTATTCCGGGATCATAAAGAATACACGGTAAGATTTTTCCAAAAAACAAAATATTTAAAAGGCAAACTGGTAGGTGTATTAATTGTGCCTCTTAAGCTTGTCATTACAGAAGTTCCTTTTTATTTCTCCAAGTCAGAAAAGTTTAAGGTCTTGTCACTCACAGTGTGGTGTGTGAACCAGCTACATCAGCTTTCCCTGGGAGATTGTTAGGCAAGCAGAATCTCAGACTCTACCCCAGACCTGCTGCATTAAAACTCACAGTTTAGAGTGAGAGTAGATGATGGCCAAGAAGAATCCCAGTGATAATTCTCTCCTGCCCGCCATGGTAGGAACACCAAATTGAACAACTATACACACAAGAAAGCACCTTCCTAAGAACAAAATTCACAGTACCTGGTTCTAACATCATATAAGATGAGAAAAGGAAAGATAGTATTGAAATCACAATGGATTACAGACAAATATTAGACCTCAAACTACGAAACTACTAAAAGAAAACATTAGGGAAACTCTCCAGGACATTGGACTGGGCAAAGATTTATTGAGTAATACTCCAAAGCACAGGCAACCCAAGCAAAAATGGACAAATGGGAACATCTCAAGTTAAAGAACTTCTGCACAGCAAAGGAAACAATCAACAAAATGAAGAAACAACCCACAGAATGGGGAAAAAAATTTGCAAACTATCTATCTGACAAGGGATTAATAAAAGGAATATATAAGGAGCTTGAACAACTCAATAGGAAAAAAATCTAATAATCCAATTTAAAAATGGGCAAAAGATTTAGACATTTCTCAAAAAAAGACATACAAATGGCAAACACATATATGGAAAGGTGCTCAACATCACCAATCATCAGAGAAATACAAATCAAATGAGATATTATTATCTCACCCCAGTTAAAATTGACTGTATCCAAAAGACAGGCAGTAACAAATGCTGGTGAGAATGTAAAGAAAAAGGAACCCTCATACACTGTTGGTGGGAATGTAAATTAGTACAGCCACTATGGAGAACAATATGTAAGTTTCTCAGATAACTAAAAATATAACTACTATATGATCCAGCAATCCCACTGCTAGGTATACGCTCAAAAGAAATAAAATCAGTAAATCAAAGAGATATACTTTTATTTTATAATAAGCACTGCCATGTGTTTATTGCACTGCCATGCTTATTCACAATAGCCAAGATTTGGAAGCAACCTAAATGTCCATCGACAGATGAATGGAAAAAGAAAATGTGGTACATATACACAACAGAGTACTATTCAACCATTAAAAAGTAGGAGATTCTGTCATATGCAACATGCATGGCACTGGAGGACATTATGTTAAGTGAAATAAGCCGGGCACAGAAAGATAGACTTCACATGTTCTCATTCATTTGTGGGAGGTAAAAATTAAAACAATTAAATTCATGGAGATAGAGAGTAGAATGATGATTACCAGAGGCTGCTAAGAATAATGCAGGGCAGGGACGGACCCTGGTATGGTTAATAAGTACAAAAATATAGTTAGAAAGAATTAATAAGATCTAGTATTTGATAGCACAACAGGGTGATTACAGTCAACAAAAGTTGTTATACATTTTTAAATAACTACAGGAGTATATAAATGGGATGTCTGTAACACAAAGAAATGATAAATGCTTGAGGTGATGGATACCGTATTTGCCCTAATGTGATTTTTTTTAATTTTTCTTTTTTATTTCAATTGGTTTTGGGGTAACAGGTGGTGTTTGGTTATATGGGTAAGTTCTTTAATGATTATTTCTGAGATTTTGGTGCACCCATCACCTGAGCAGGTGTAGAGTAACTGTACCTGATGTGTAGTCTTTTATCCCTCACCCCCTCCTGCCCTTCTCCTGAGTCCCCAAAGTCCATTGTATCATTCTTTGCATCCTCATAGCTTAGCCCCCACTTATAAGTGAGAATGTAAGATATTTGGTTTTCTATTCCTGAGTTACTTCACTTAGAGTAATGGTCTCCAATTCCATCTAGGTTGTTGCAAATGCCGTTATTTTATTCCTTTTCATGGCTGAGTAGTATTCCATGGGGTGTGTGTGTGTGTGTGTGTGTGTGTGTGTGTGTCTCACATTTTCTTTATCCATTCATTGATTGATGGGCATTTGAGCTGGTTCCATATTTTTGCGATTGCAAATTGTGCTGCTATAAACATGTGTGTGCACATATCTTTTTTGTATAATGACCTCTTTTCTTTTGGGTAGATACCCAGGAGTGGGACTGCTGGATCAAACGGTAGATCTACTTTTGGTTATTTAAGGAATCTTCACAGTGAAAAGGAAACTACTAATGGTGGTACCAGTTTACAGTCCCACCAGCAGTGTAAAAGTGTTCCCTTTTCACCACATCCATGCCAACATCTATTTTTTTTTATTATGGACATTCTTGCAGCAGTGAGGTGGTATCACACTGTGGTTTTGATTTGCATTTCCTTGATAATTAGTGATGTTGAGTATTTTTATATGTTTGTTGGCCATTTGTATGGTTTCTTTTGAGAATTGTCTATTCATGTCCTTAGCCCACTTTTTGATGAGATTATTTTTTCTTGCTGATTTGAGTTCCTTGTAGATTCTCCATATTAACTCTTTGTTGGATGCATAGTTTGTGAAGATTTTCTCCCATTCTGTGGGTTGTCTATTTACTCTGCTAAAGATTTCTTCTGCTGTGCAGAAGCTTTTTAGTTTAATTATGTCCCATTTATTTATCTTGGTTTTTGTTGCATTTGTCTTTGGGTTCTTGGTCATAAAGTCTTTACCTAAGCCAATGTCTAGAAGGGGTTTTCCAATGTTATCTTATAGAATTTTTATGGTTTCAGGTCTTAGATTTAAGTCTTTGATCCATCCTGAGTTGATTTTTGTATAAGGTGAGAGATGAGGATCTAGTTTCATTCTCTACATGTGGCTTGCCAATTATCCCAGCACCATTTGTTAAATAAGGTGTTCTTTCCCCACTTTATGTTTTTGTTTGCTTTATTGAAGGTCAGTTGGCTGTAAGTATGTGGCCTTATTTCTGGGTTATTTATTCTGCTTCATTGGCCTATGTGCCTATTTTTACACCAGTACCATGCTGTTTTGGTGACTCTAGCCTTATAGTATATTTTGAAGTCAGGTAATGTAATGCTTTCAGATTTGTTCTTTTTGCTTAGTCATGCTTTGGCTATGCAGGCTCTTTTTTGATACCATAAAAATTTTAGAATTGTTTTTCTAGTTCTGTGAAGAATGATGGTGGTATTTGGATGGGAACTGCATTAATTTATAGATTGCTTTTGGCAGTATGGTCATTTTCACAATATTGATTCTATCCATCCATGAGCATAGGATTTGTTTGTCATTTGTTCCATTTGTTTGTGTCATCTGATTTCTTTCAGCAGTGTTTTGTAGTTTTCCTTGCAGAGGTCTTTCACCTCCTTGGTTAGGTCTATTCCTAAGTATTTTGATTTTTTGCAGCTATTGTAGAATGGGTTGAATTCTTGATTTGATTCTCAGCTTGGTCACTGTTGGTATATAGCAGGACTACTCATTTGTGTACATTAATTTTGTATTCTGAAACCTTACTGAATTTATTTATCAGTTCTTGCCCTGATGTGATTATTCTGCATTGTATGCTTGTATCAAAATATCTCATGTACCCCATAAATATATTCATGTACTATGTATCCACAAAATTTAAAAATAATTTTTTAAAAACTCTACAGTTTAACCAGACCCCCTGGTGATTTATGTGTAGATCATAATTGGAGAAGCTAAGGTTTGAGTATGTCCCCCAAAACTCATGTGCTGGAAGCTTAATCCTCATTATAACATTGTTGGAAGATAAGGCCTAATGATTAGTGGTGGTTAGACCATGAGGGCTTTACCCTCATGAATGGATGAGTGGTGGGTGAGTTATCACAGGAATGGTTTCCTTACAAAAGGATAATTTTGGCCCCCTTTTCTCTCATGTGCCCTCTATTTGTGCTTCTGTCATGGGATGATACAGCAATAATTCCCTTCCCAGATGATCTTGGACTTCCCAGCCTCCAGAACCCTAAGCTAATACATTTCTGCCTATAAATTATTTAGTGTGTAGTAGTATGTTGTAGCAACACAAAACAGAGAAGCACTGGTTTGGGGCACAACGGAAGAGTAATGTGTAAGCCTGAGCTCTAATCCTGATTCTGCCACTTACTAACCTTACTAAATTTCACCTTAGTTTCTTCATCTTAAAAGTGAGACTAAATAATAACCCCCAGGGATGTTCTGTGATTTTATTTTATTGCATCTGAAGGCCAGAGTAATCCCTCAATAAAATTTGTCAAATCTAGCTACCAAAAAAGTTGGAACCATTTAGTAACCCCCTATTAAAAACCCCTAAAATATTTGTCAAATCTAGCTACAAAAAAAAGTTGGAACCATTTAGTAACCCCTTTAACTTCTACTTTGAAGTTAAAATTCAAATGTATTTTTACGTATCATTTTTTCACCATGAGCTGAATCTGTTCATTTTTATTAAAATGTAGAATTAGTTTCTTTGCTGCTTCTTCTTAAATTCTCAAATGGAGAATTAAAAAGAAATGGTTTCCTAGGTATTTTGTTCTCTTTGAAGCAATTGTGAATGGGAGTTCACTCATAATTTGGCTCTCTGTTTGTCTGTTACTGGTGTATAAGAATGCTTGTGATTTTTGCACATTGATTTTGTATCCTGAGACTTTGCTGAAGTTGCTTATCAGCTTAAGGAGATTTTGGGCTGAGACGATGGGGTTTTCTAGATATACAATCATGTCATCTGCAAACAGGGACAATTTGACTTCCTCTTTTCCTAATTGAATGCCCTTTATTTCCTTCTCCTGCCTGATTGCCCTGGCCAGAACTTCCAACACCATGTTGAATAGGAGTGGTGAGAGAGGGCATCCCTGTCTTGAGCCAGTTTTCAAAGGGAATGCTTCCAGTTTTTGTCCATTCAGTATGATATTGGCTGTGGGTTTGTCATAGATAGCTCTTATTATTTTGAGATACGTCCCATCAATGTCTATGTGAAGGACCTCTTCAAGGAGAACTACAAACCACAGCTCAATGAAATAAAAGAGGATACAAACAAACGGAAGAACATTCCATGCTCATGGGTAGAAGAATCAATATCGTGAAAATGGCCATACTGCCCAAGGTAATTTATAGATTCAATGCCATCCCCATCAAGCTACCAATGACTTTCTTCACAGAATTGGAAAAAACTACTTTAAAGTTCATATGGAACCAAAAGAGAGCCCACATTGCCAAGTCAATTCTAAGCCAAAAGAACAAAGCTGGAGGCATCACGCTACCTGACCTCAAACTATACTACAAGGCTACAGTAACCAAAACAGCATGGTACTGGTACCAAAACAGAGATATAGACCAATGGAACAGAACAGAGCCCTCAGGAATAATGCTGCATATCTACAACTATCTGATCTTCCACAAATCTGACAAAAACAAGCAAGGGGGAAAGGATTCCCTATTTAATAAATGGTGCTGGGAAAACTGGCTAGCCATATGTAGAAAGCTGAAACTGGATCCCTTCCTTACACCTTATACAAAAATTAATTCAAGATGGATTAAAGACTTAAATGTTAGACCTAAAACCATAAAAACCCTAGAAGAAAACCTAGGCAATACCATTCAGGACATAGGCATGGGCAAGGACTTCATGTCTAAAACACCAAAAGCAATGGCAACAAAGGCCAAAATTGACAAATGGGATCTAATTAAACTAAAGAGCTTCTGCACAGCAAAAGAAACTACCATCAGAGTGAACAGGCAACCTACAGAATGGGAGAAAATTTTCGCAACCTACTCATCTGACAAAGGGCTAATATCCAGAATCTACAGTGAACTCAAACAAATTTACAAGAAAAAAACAAACAACCCCATCAAAAAGTGGGCAAAGGATATGAACAGACACTTCTCAAAAGAAGGCATTTATGCAGCCAAAAAACACATGAAAAAGTCCTCATCATCACTGGCCATCAGAGAAATGCAAATCAAAACCACAATGAGATACCATCTCACACCAGTTAGAATGGCGATCATTAAAAAGTCAGGAAACAACAAGTGCTGGAGAGGATGTGGAGGAATAGGAACACTTTTACACTGTTGGTGAGACTGTAAACTAGTTCAACCACTGTGGAAGTCGCTGTGGTGATTCCTCAGGGATCTAGAAATAGAAATACCATTTGACCCAGCCATCCCATTACTGGGTATATACCCAAAGGATTATAAATCATGCTGCTATAAAGACACATGCACACATATGTTTATTGCCACACTATTCACAATAGCAAAGACTTGGAACCAACTCAAATGTCCAACAATGATAGACTGGATAAAGAAAATGTGGCACATATACACCATGGAATACTATGCAGCCATAAAAAATGAAGAGTTCATGTCCTTTGTAGGGTCATGGATGAAGCTGGAAACCATCATTCTCAGCAAACTATCGCAAGGACAAAAAACGAAACACCGCATGTTCTCACTCATAGGTGGGAATTGAACAATGAGAACACATGGACACAGGAAGGGGAACATCACACACCAGGGACTGTTGTGGGGTGGGGGGACGGGGGAGGGATAGCATTAGGAGATATACCTAATGCTAAATGACGAGTTAATGGGTGCAGCACACCAACATGGCACATGTATACATATGTAACAAACCTGCACGTTATGCACATGTGCCCTCAAACTTAAAGTATAATAATAGTAAAATAAAATAATAAAAATAAAAATAAAATAAAAAAATAAAAAGAAATGGTTTCTTCCCCTTCCCTCTATATTCCTTCAATTTATCTTTCCTCTAAACACAAAAGAAGGGGAGAACCCTAAAGAGAAAAAAATCAAATGAGCACTATAGTAATTTTTCAGAACTTCAAAATGAATGTAAGTAAATTAAACTCTTTCAAAGCTGCACATATAGCCCTGAAGAGGCCCTTCTGTTAAATGGTTAAATAAGAAGACAAGAACACAAAGCAAACTTATCCATAGCACGTATCCAATGTCTGTGTAAAACCCTTGATCTGTTCACAGGGAGATGGCAGCAAGATAGCCAAAGAGCAGAAGCTTGCCAAACTAAATAAAGAAAATCAAGACAAAGAGCAGGAATAAATGTAACAAAGATACCATAACGATATCTTGGAGTTATGGTCAGGTGGAATAATCCTTATCTGTTTCTCCTTTTGAAGGGCAGATTAGAACATGATAATTGGAGTTCACATGATACATGATTAAAGTCTCTGTGTAATCATGACTTACAATATCCTGATTATTCCTATCTTATTCTTCCCGAAAAAAATATATATTAGAGGTTTATGGCTAAAATATGGGATGTGGGTGATCAATAGCCACAAGGAGCACCTGATGACCCTTTGATTAACCTGGGACCCCAGGTTTTGAGATATGGACCAAAGCTATAAACTGTGAAATAGTCAATTATGTCTGTAATATGAAAGAAACTGCTCTTCCAATTTTGGTTAATGATAGGTTTTTTTCTATATAAATGATGATCTTATCAACCAAATTAGGGGGATTTTTAAAATTCATTTTATAAAATATAGTTTAACTCAAGTGACTCTCTAGTTACAACCTGCTTGTGGATCTTAAGTATAGCTACTTCAATCCTTTTTGCCAATGCCACTAGATTAATAGTTCTCACCTACCAAATGGCAAGGCTTCCATCCTTTCTGATGTCTCTTAGATACTCCAAAGTGGATGGGGACTATCTCACATAGAATTTCCACAGCTTCCTGTGTCTCTGCTATCCTTATGCTCTGGCGCTTTACATTCCTCTTAGCTAATTCTGCTTAGCATAGAGCCCACATGGTGTCAATGGCCTTTGACATCCTTTGGAGTGTCTATCTTCTCAAATTCTGATGCTTGGGATGACATCCTACCTGCCTCCAAGTTCCTGTCATAAACACCACCTGATACTTTATTCGGGTCACCAATACCTTGGTGTTAACCCAACCTTGACCTCCAGTCCTCACCTCTCTCTGACTGGTAGAGAAATGATGTCCACATTTTCAACCCTTCCATGAGAAGGGAGAAGGAATCTGACAGCAGAAATGTTTGGGCTCATAGTAATAAACTGCTTTTAACTTCGGCACATAACTATCTCTTTTCCAGGGTCATAAGTGACCACAGAAGTCTGAGCTGTGTAAATTTAAAAGCAGCCTCACATTTGTACCCTACATCAATTCTCTCTTCCCATTGTGACAGACTCTTTCATTTGTTGTAGTAATTCTTTTCTCTAAGGAACCCCTTTGTCTCTTATTTTACTCTGGTTTCCTTTGAAGATTCTAATGAAGCCACTTTCTGTCCTTCACAAATGTCAGTAAGAGTCTGACCCTGATGTCAGACAAAGCCAGAGGTGGAGTTAGAAGCATGAGGTAGACTGACAGTAAAGTATTTGATACCTTGATATGTTCAGTCCTGACTTTGCTAGTCTGAAATTTTAAAACTAATTAATAGCATATTTTGAATTATTAGAGACATAACTTCATATTAAAATGGTCCTAGTCAGCATTTTACATGAAAATATTTTCTCAAATATTGAGAGCACTTGTTTCAAGTCTCGGATCAATCTCAATGTTACTTGCTAAAAATGTGAAGGTAGGATATGAGCCCAATAATCAGATTACAAAATTCACACCTACCATTAATTCTACTTGCAAACCAACATATGAAATAAAAATGCGTTCACAGTCTTTAACTTTCAATAATATACATGTTTCAAATAAAAGAATCTTGGTAAATATAAAGGCCAATAACTTCATTTTATTTTATTTTTTAATGATTTCAACTTTTCTTTTAGAAATGGGGGTACATGTGTAGGTTTGTTACCTGGTCATATTGCATGATTCTGAGATTTGGGGTATGATTGATCCCATCACCCAAATACTGAGAACAGTACCTAATAGGTAGTTTTTCAACCCATCTCCCTCGCCCTTCAAGTAGTCCAGAGTGTCTATTGGTACCATCTTTATGTCCCTGAGTGCCCAATGTTTAGCTCTAACTTACGAGTGAGAACATGCAATATTTGGTTTTCTGTTCCTGTGTTAATTTGCTTAGGATAATGGCCTTCAGCTGCATTCATGTTGCTGCAAAGGATGAGATTTCATTCTTTTTTACAGCTACATACTATTCCATGGTACGTATGTGCCATATTTTCTTTATCCACTGGTGATGGGCGCGTAGGTTGATTCCATGTCTTTGCTACTATGAATGGTGCTGCAATGAACATATGCATGCATGTGCCTCTTTGGTAAAATAACTTATTTTCTTTTGGGTATATAACCTGGAAGGGGATTGCTGAGTTGAATGGTGGTTCAGTTTTGAGTTCTTTGAGAAATCTCCAAACTGCTTTCCACAGTGGCTGAACTAATTTACATTCCCACTAACAGCGTGTAAGTGTTCCCTTTCCTCTGCAGCCTCACCAGCATCTGTTGTTTTTTGACTGTTTAATGATAGCCATTCTGACTGGTGTGAGATGGTATCTCATTGCGGTTTTGATTTTCATTTCTCTAGTGATTAGTGATGTTAAACATTTTTTCATATGCTTATTGGCATTGTGTGTCTTCTTTTGAGAAGTGTGTTCATGTCCTTTGCCCATTTTTAATAGGGTTGTTTTTGATTGTTGATTTAAGTTCCTATAGATTCTAAATATTAGGCTTTTATTAGAGGCACAGTTTGCAAATATTTTCTTCCATTCAGTAGGTTGTTTGTTTACTCTGTCGATAGTTCTTTTGCTGTGCAGAAGCTATTTACTTTCATTAGGTTCTACTTGTCAATTTTTGGTTTTGTTGCAATTGCTTTTGGGGGCTTTGCCAAAAATTATTTGCCAAGGCTGATATAGAGAAGGGTATTTCCTAGGTTTTCTTCTAGGATTTTTATAGCTTGAGGTCTTATTTTTAAATATTTAACCCATCTTGCGTTAATTTTTGTATATGGTGAAAGGTAGGCATCTAGTTTCATTTTTCTGCATATGGCTAGCCAGCTATCCCAGCACCACTTATTGAATAGGGAGTCCTTCCCCCATTGCTTATTTGTGTTGGCTTTGTCAAAGATCAGATGGCTGCAGGTGTTCAGCTTTATTTCTGGGTTTTTTATTCTGTTCCATTGGTCTAGGTGTCTTTTTTTGCGCCAGTACCATAATGTTTTGCTTACTGTAGCCTTTTAGCATAATTTGAAGTCAGGTAGTGTAAAGCCTCCAGCTTTGTTAACATCCTGGACCCGATGGAGTCACAGACAAATTCTATCAGATATACAAAGAACTGTTATCAATCCTACTGAAACTATTCCAAAAAAAATTGAGGAGGAGGGGCTCCTCTCTAACTCATTTTATGAAGCCAGCATCAGCCTGATAGCAAAAACTGGCACAGGCATAATGAAATAAGAAAGCTTCAGGCTAATATTCCTGATGAACATAGATGCAAAATTCCCCAACAAAATACTAGCAAACCAAATCCGGGAGCACACCAAAAAGTTAACACACCCTGATCAAGTAGGCTTTATTCCTGGGATGTACAGCTGGTTCAACATATGCAATCAATAAATGTAATTTACCACATAAACAGAATTAAAAGAAAAATCCATATGATT
Source organism: Homo sapiens (assembly GCF_000001405.40). NCBI lineage: Eukaryota > Metazoa > Chordata > Mammalia > Primates > Hominidae > Homo > Homo sapiens. Next base: position 180,546,157 of record NC_000003.12, read on the forward strand.
ATCTCAATAGATGCAGCAAAAGCATACAATAAAATCCAAAATCCCTTGATAATAAAAACCCTCAACAGACTAGGCATAAAAGGAACATACCTCAAAATAATAGGAGCCATCAATGAAAAACCCACAGCCAGCATCATACTGAACAAGCAAAAGCTGGAACCATTCCCCTTGATAATTGGAACAAGAAAAAGATGCCCTCTCCCACCACTCCTATTCAGTATAGTACTGGAAGTTCTAGCCAGTGCAATCAGGCAAGAGAAAGAAATAAAATGAATCCAAATAGGAAAGGAAGAAGTCAAACTATCTCTTTTCACTGATGATATGATTGATATGATTCTATACCTAGAAATCCCTAAAGACTCCACAAAAGGCTCCTATAACTGATAAATGCCTTTAGCAAAGTTTCAGGATACAAAATCAATGTATAAAAATCAGTAGCATTTCTATATATCAATAACATTCAAGTTGAGAGTCAAATCGAGAACAAAATCCCATTTACAGTAGGCACACAAAAAAACTGAAATACCTAACATATTTAACCAAGGAGGTGAAAGATATCTACAAGAAGAACTACAAAACACTGCTGAAAGACATCAGAGACAACACAAATAAATGGAAAAACATTCCATGCTCATGAATTGGAAGAATCAATATCGTTAAAATGGCCATACTGTCCCCCAAAATTTACAGATTCAACACTATTCCTATCAAACTGCCAAAGTCATTTTCCAGAGAAACAGGAAAAAACTATTCTAAAATTCCTATGGTACTTCATCTTAGAGATAAAGAAATGAAGACACATAGAGTTGAAATGATTTCAAAAGTCCCTAGGCTTGAGTTCAAACTGAAACCTCCTTATTCTCAGTTTGCTTATCTTACCTTTACATCCATTACCATGTAAAAATAGCCTGTGATGTTAAAGTATTTTGCCACAATGACCCATTCATTTAGCCACTAGATATTATTAGAGTATCTTCTATGCATCAGACGATGTGAAAGAAAAGTGATCTACTAGGAGTGAAAATATTAGTTCAAGCTTCAGGTCTTCCAAACCTGATGTGTGTATAAATTATACCAATGAGTGGTATAACCTAATTAATTGTAGGATGAGGCACATGCTACAATGAGGGGTTACAGTGAAGTCATTCATAAGATCTCTTTCAGTTCTCACCTTCTGTAATTCAACTAAACAGCTATACATGTGTTTAAAGAAGAAAAAAACTCATGAATGAAGATTTACAGCTTCACCTGAGACCAAAGAAAGATGTTCACCTGGCAGATTTAAGTCACTGGATAACATCTGATAATTTTTTTTTTGTAAATGAAGAGACTATGATAGATTACTACCTGTCACTTTGTTCAAACAAATCAAGCATCTAGTAACTTTAAAAGAAACAGGTATATTGCATGCCTTATGTATTCAATAGTATATTTTTAGAATCTAGAAAGATAAAATGATTTTTACCAATGCTTCTCTTTTAAAAAAGAGCTGTTTGATAGACCTAAACATTTAGAATTACACTCCCAAATTCATTTTATGTATACTCTCCAACAGAAATCATAAATTAAATTTGGCACTCCATTGAATTGGATCAGATCCAATAGATAATCTCCAAGGTCAACCTAGGTTTTAGATTTCATATAAGTAAGGTTGAAGGGGAAGAATAAATTTTCACAAATCATTTAATATTTTAAGAAATGGCAGAGGGTTAGATTTTAAGAAAGAAGCCTAAATATGTTTAAAATCAGTTACTATAGATAAATAGTATGGCTGGCCATTTTTTTCTGATAAGAGACTATGTTTAATTCTGGTTTTCTCTTATAAATTTATTATTGTGGATCTCTATTAACCAAACTTTTCCTTGTTACAAATAAGAAAATCTCATTTTAGAGAGATGAGTATTTTTCAGGTATTCACACAGTAGGGCCAGAGCTCAGATTCTGTATTCAATTCTATTCCACTTCACTGCTATCTCCTTTTTGGTCCCTTGGCTCCCTCTCAGTTTGGGGGATGGTTTTTAAAATATGATTCCAGGTTTTTCTCATTAAAATTGGCATTGTGAACAGGATCTGAGAGACCAAATGGTGAGTCAGGGAGGAGTATCTATGGAGGAAATCTCAGAGTTGGCAACGTGCATGTGAGGTGGACTAGCCCAATTGTTCAAACTTTGTGGGCCACCACATAAGTATGGGGACACTTGGAAAACACTGGTAGAGACTGAGCACCTATTGCAAGAAGCTAAGATATTAAAGTACAATAAAGATAGTAAATGCACTGTTGTTGCAATAAGGCTAGCTACTAAGAAATCATTAGAGCAGGAAAGGGAGAAAGAGTAAAAACTCCTGCAGAGGGTCAAAGGCATATCAGGTTTTCTAGGACTCCAGCTTGTTACATATCATGGTCCCTTCTTGTGCACATTTGAAAACTGACAGGCAAATTACAAAAAAAAAAAAAAAAAAAATCAGAGCTCAAATGGTTAACCCACAACTATAAAGTTAAGCAGAATCTTCTAACACTTTCTATTTCTCTCTCTCTTTTTCTGCCTGCTTTGAATCTGCTATTTTTAAGTTGCTAGTGTTGAAATAAAACTCACTGTTTATGGTAACACTAATTCAAGGTTATTTGGGGATTTTGTTTTTCTTGTACAGTTCAGCCAGTTCTAGCTAAAATGTAAACAATGAAATTCATTTGAAACTGAAGAAAAAAAAAGGACAAAACAGGTTTTTAAAAATCAAACTGCCATGGAAACTGCTTTACCCAAAATTTTGATCCACAACTTTCCTTGGATTATCTATCAGGGCAAATAAAGTTTAGCCATGTGAACAGGTCCCAATTTTATAAAAAATAATTTGAATCCAGCTGTCTTTTGTAATATAATGAGTTTATGATGCTGTCTCATGGCTAGAATTCCAAGGTGAAAGCCATTGGATCTTTGTATGTGTGCATACATGTTTAAATGTGTTTATGTGTATGTACATGTATTATGTTATGTGTTATATCTAGCATTCTACCACATTAACTTATAAATAAATGAGTACTCATAAATAAGTTCAAATGCTTTCCAAGTTTATATAAATTCAATAATCTTTGGTAAATAAACTGGCTTTAAAATTACTGGTAAAATAAAAGTGTATCTTCAAAAGTGTCAGCATACATTTTTGTCTGAGTTTGCTAATAGATACATTTTATATTTGCTTCTGCTAGATACTTTATGGTGTCAGAGTTTGACATGAAGGTTATAAGACTGTAAACCCAGCCAAAAACAAAATGATCTTTGTTTGTGTGATTTTTTTAATAAGCAAGATTAATTTGATATGGTTGGTTTAATGGAAACAGCTGAATTTTTCTGAGTTATCAGCAAAAATGCCCATGTTTAACTTGAAGGTTCTTGCTTAGCTGAATACCTGATATTCACAAGCTATGAAAATAGTTAACAGAAAAATAGTTTGCAATGATATGTAGCTTTACAGAATGTCTTGGTTCTCACTAGTAACCCAGATAAACTGCTAAAAGTGAATAGATTGAGTAAATGTAAATGAGATCAATGCTTGTGGGTAAAACTTTCATGTAGTTTAAACTCTTAAAGTTATTTTAGGCACTCACTGAATGTCTTGATCACTTCCAGTTTAAAAAAGGTTGTAATATGGGGGAAGCATTGGTGGACTTCAGTGAGCTGGATAAAAACAAAGACCATGTCCAAAAAGTAATTAAGGAACAAAAAAGGGATGATGGGCCAAATGGGTGTCTGTACACTTGCCCCGGCCCAAACAGGCAATATATATGAAACAATACTGTCTGCCAGGGGGACACTCTGAAATCACCCAAACAGTTCAGGAATTACATAAAGTACAAATAGTCAGTATGGCCCACAACCCCTGTAGCAGCCCTATGTGTCCTGTGAAGACACCAGATAGCACCTGGAGAATGACTGTAGACTACCGTGAGCTGAACAAAGTGGTGTCCCCGCACGTGCAGCTGTACCCAATAGTGCTCAACTGCTACAGCAAGTGGTTTGTACACTGGGAAATGTCCATGCTGTGACTGACCTGTCTAACACCTTTCCTAGTATTCCTTTAGTGGAAGATTCACAAGACCAGTTTGCCTTCACTTAGTAGGGCCAATGATAGACTTTTTAGGTGCTACCACAAGGGTACCTGCACAGCCACATCATATGTCACAGTATGGTTGCAAAGGACCTGTCTAGACTCTTTCTGCCTGCCTTGGTCTTCCTGTTTTACCATATTAATGATGACATGCAAACCTCAGAGCCTTTTACAGATTTGAAGACTGCCCTACAAACTATCTTGGATGGCTCAAAGGACAGGGAATGAGAAGTCAACCCCAAGAAGAAACAGGGGCCCAGTATAGCCATCAAATTCCTGAGAGTCACCTGGTTGGAGAAGATGTAAAACATACCTAAAACTGTCATCAATAAGGTATCACAGTAGCCTGTTCCCCAGATAGTAAGCTAACTCCAGGTTGTCCTAGGTTTACTGAGCTATTTATTCGTTTGGTACAAACCCTTCACCTTTCCTTCAATAAAGGAAAATTAAAAATGAGACTGTACACATATAGAGCAAGAGGCATTTGACAAATCAAAAATACTGTAAAACAAGCCAAAGCATTAGGTGCCCCACTGCCACAGCATCCTTTTGTATTAGAAGCCACTAGAGATGCCACAGGGATGAGCTGGAGTTTGTGGCAAAAGCAACCAACAGGAATTGTTACCTGTTGGGCTTTTATCTCAATTGTAGAGGGGGTCAGAATCCTACTATACAGTCCTGGGGCAATAACTCTCAGCCCTGTATAGGACATTGCAACAAGTGGAGGCTATCACCAGAAAGCAGACCACCACAGAAAAAAACTGCCTACTCATAAAAGGGTGAATGAAAGGTCTCCTAGCCAAGCCCACCCCTAGAGTGGCACAATCACACGGCATAAGTGGCATCCCTGTCTACAACTTAGGGGTGGCTTGTCCACTAGTCCTTTAAGTCAGGCACTATAGGAGGCATTAAGATCCATCCACTTTGAACAAGTGGAGGTAGCAGACATGGCAATGGAGCCACCTATCAGGTCAACCACATATATGAGGAGTCCCAGGTGATACTCACTAGGCTTGATACACTGATGGGTCTAGCAAAGTTACCTAACACCAACGGTCAGCAGTTTGTGGTGCAAAGGGATACTGACACCATACGGAGAGAACGGGGATTAGGACAAAGCAGTCAATGGGCTAGGTTACAGGCAGTTTGGATACCCATCACCTATGAGGCTTGGCTGCTAATCATCTATCTACACAGATAGTTGGGCTACACAAACAGGACTTACCATGTGAATCAATCAATGGGCCACAGACAGTTGGCAGGTTTGGGGCAAGCCCCTTTGGGGAATGTCCATGTGGCAGAACATTCACATCAAGTTATAAGAGAAGGATGCCCAACTCAGGTGTACCATGTGGATACACACAGCCCCAGGTTGCTTCTGAGAACTCAGGAGGCAGATGCCCTTACTCATGTTTGGGCACTTTGCCAGAGCCCATTGGAGGAGGCTGCCATATGGGTACATCACAGGAGCAGTCACCAAGGGGCAGCGACAGGTGGGCCATACGAAAGGCGGCAGGCATCCCAATCCAATCTGGAGATGCTTTGGCAGCTGTTCAGAACCGTGAGATCTGCTCATAACTGCGACCTGGAAAAGTTCCCTCCACACCAACTCACATACATCGAGCCATACAACTGTGCAAGACTGGCAAGTCAGTTATATTGGCCTCCTGTCCCCAGGTAGAGGGAGAAGGAGAAGGTATGCCTTAACTTGTACAGACACAACAATGGGGCTACTACAGGGGCCTTCCCAGTAAGACATGCCACTCAACTGGAGACCAAGAGTCTCACTGCTCTTGGTGTCATGTATGACATGCCAAAAAGGATAGTGATCAAGGCCCCCATTTCACAGGTCACGATATCCAACATGGGGCATTGGAACAAAATATAGACTAAAGATTCCACTGGCCATATAACCCAACAGGGTAGGCCTCATAGAAAAAAAAAATGGCCTGTTAAAAACTCAATTATGTGCATTGTCTCAGGACAGTTCTTAAGGGTACTAGACTAAGGATCTCCCTGAAGCTATACAAATTTTAAATAAGTCACCCACTACCACACATGGCATCACTCCCTGTGAATGGTTGGGCAGGCCTGTAAAACAGGTGTCACAAATTCTCAGGATTACCTGAGACTCCAAGCCATGCTCCTGAAACAGATGGGCAGACTGTGCTCCTGAGAACAGCAGTGGATCTGCCAAGTGGCAATGGCTACGTGGACCTGAAGTTGAGCTGGAAATTGCTCCCATACTGGGTCAGTTTTATGGCACTGGGGGGCACTATGAAGACTGATGGAGGAGAGGCGATCCAAGCTATGCTCCTTTATAGAGGTCTGAGAGCTTTACAATATCAACACACGGCAGCACCAATACCTACAGGAGTAGGCATAGTGCTGATAGTGTGGGCAAGGCTGGAAACTTACCAGTTGGCTACTGTGCCCACTCTTAGGGAAGGAAACCATGTATGGTACTATAAGCTAGACATGAAGTACATGGTGGCCTCCCTAATGGGGCCAATGGGAGATAATATAGCAGTAATAATGTTACAAGGAGTGGATACACCCATGAGGGTTCCTGCTAAACACCTGTGTTTATGCCAGTAGGCTGTTGTTCCTGCTACCCATGGAAGCTGCACTGGAATGTAACTACAGTAGCAGTCAGCAACCAGTCCAATTATTGGGTATATGGATACCTCCCCCTATCAAATTATAACAGTATGCCTCACAACAGTCTGCCTTTCTCCCTACAGAACTGGAGTGCCAGGTACATCAGCACCAATAGTGCAACCCAGGTTCACCGGGGATTGTCTCCACCTGGAAGCCTAATGGCCAATTTGATGGAGAACCAACAACATGTGCTCTTATACACAATACCTGTTGTTGTACCTATACCCCTGATAAAAAGGATAATGTCACAGATGCGTTGAATAATTTGTCAACTTAGTTCCATGATACAGCCCAATTAGGTTTCTTTGACTCATGCTCAAAATGGTTACACACCTTACCTACTCATTGGAGTTATGCTTGCTAATAGACGTTATAATTATGGTTAGCTTCTGTTTTTTATGTTGTTATGTATACTGTGGATGTGACTTGTACACACAAGCCATGTCTATATGTTACACATTTGTAGAGTTCTTCCCCTCATACCCCACTCAGGGACTCTTACACAAGATTTATGGAAAGAATGTAAGGGCTGATGGATTGCAGTGTGACAGGTCCCTCACCATGTTACTTAAGGGTGTATGTCTGCTGCCTGAACCCTGGAGGCCAGGCTGCGAGCCAAGGCCATGATGCCTAGCCAAGGAGCAGGTGTCCCTAAGAACCCAAATATCTCGGAGAGAGTATATGAGAAGCTAACAAGGAAAACAGTCCCATCACACACAAACACACACACACACACACACACACACACACACACACACGGCAAAGAGCCAGAAAATTAGCTTAAAAGCAGCTTAGAGATGGGAGGCAGGACAGATCTCTAAAGATGCCCTGCTGCCATCCAGGAGTGCCTCATATGCAAGTCCTAATAAACTTACGTACTCGCCATGTTGGACTTGCCTGAGTCATTTTTTGGTCTCTTAGTTCCCTTCCAGTTTGGGGGATGGTTTTTTAAATACGAGTCTTGGTTTTTCTCATTACAGTTACTATCACCACAATGGTAAAATACTTTGATATCTGTACTTATCAATAATTAAAAATTGACTCAAGATGTACATTAACATTCTTATTCTTTTTTAAAGCATATTTGAAGTTGCTTTTTATTTAATGTCTTAATTCCTCTTTTGCTAAACAACAGAGTGCAGAAAATAATCATGGTTGAAAACACAACTGTCCAAAGGACAAAAGCAGAATAAAAACAATAATAATTATTCAAGAAATAAAATGAGATATTTCTTGTGTATCAAACTGGCAAAGTTTTTGAAATGATAATGTCTAGTGTTGGCAAGAGCAGGTGTGGTAAAATAGTCATGCTCATTTATTACTCATGGAACAGACTTTTTAGAAAGTAATTTGACCTTAACAGTGCTCATATCATTTGACATAGTAATATCACTTCTAGAAACGTTAAAATTCAAAATAAAAAGTTTCTTGAAGAATTTCAGCATTATTTATAATATTAGGAAATTGGAAATAACCTAACTGTCCAAGAACAGAGTAAGAGCTAAATCAAATATGATACACATGTGATATGGTACCAGTAAAAAATCATTAATTTGAAGACTATTTAGCCACATAAATAAATGCTTCCCATGTAATGTGTAGAGAATGAGGCAAAAATATCACAATTTTATAAAACAGTGAACATTAAAAAGCAAGAAGGAAAGATACAAGGTTAACAGTGATATCTCTCTGTGAAGAGTTTACACTTAAGTTTGTAGATATGAGTTGGTAGACACATTACTTTTATCTATTTAGTAATGTGCAGATAATATACAATATGCAAATAATACACCAAAGAACAGAGTCTTGATCAACTAATTATCTTTGTTCAGGGAATATCCCTTGAACTAAATCTGGAAGAATGAGTAGGTTTCTAGATGGAGAACTAGTAGCGGCATTCTTGAAGGAAAAAATTACATATGCAAAGCCACTGAGTTGTTTGTATTTCCAGTATCTAGTTCAAGAGCAAAATGCTCAATTAATGTTTGTTGACTAATAATAAATAAGTTATAAAGAAACATGATTTCTTTCTCTCTGAATGTCCTCTGTCTTCTGTATTTCAGTCACTAAAGGTTAACTATTACAATACAATGCTATAGTTCTGTCTTCATTTGGGCTGCTATAACAAAATGTCTTAGACTAATTTATAAATAATAGAAATTTATTTCTCATAGTTGTGGAAGCTGGAAAGTCCAAGATCAAGACACCAGCAGATTCAGTGTCTGGTGAAGGCTCACTCTCTGCTTTATTGATGGTACCTCTTGCTGCATTCCCACATGATGAAAGGCCAGGAGCACATCCTTCAACCTTTTTTATAAAGGCACTGCTATGGCTTGAATGTGTCCTCCAAAGTTCACATGTTTCAAACTGGAACCCCAGTGCAACAGTGTTAGGAGGTGGGGCTTAATGAGAGGTGATTCAGCTATGAGGGCTCTGTTCTCATGAATGAATTAATGCTGTTATCATGTTAGTTATCATGGAAGTGGGCTCATTTTAAAAGGGGGAATTCAGCTACCTTTTCTGTTTCTTGCTCATGTGATACCTTATGATGCAGCAAGAAGTCCCTAAACAAGATGCTAGCCCCTCGATCTTGGACTTCCCAGCCTCAAGAACCATGATACATAAATCTGTACTCTTTATAAATTATCCAATACTCTTTATAAATTACCCAGTACTCTTTATAAATTACTCTTTATAAATTACCCAGTACTCTTTATAAATTACCCAGTCTTGGGTATTCTGTTATAATGGCAATCCCATTCATGAAGGCAGAACCATCATGATTTAATCATTTTTCAAATGGCCCCACCTTTTAATACTATCACATGACTATTAGGTTCCAACATATGAATTGTGGAGGAACACCAACATTCAGAACATACAAGTTAAAAAATTCCAAGTTAATTAATTTTATATCAGTTACATTTTAGAATTTTGCTTCCTAAAATCATCTTTAAATTCTTTAATCTCATCAGTAGTTGATCTCCAAAAAGTTTGTGTAGGATGAGTGAATTCTGAACAACCTCACAGAGAACCAATCAACACCTCTTAAAAGTATTAACTCGAGCCTGAGGCTAGCAAGATGGCCAAATAAGAATAGCTCTGGTCTGCAGCTCCCAGTGAGATTGACGCAAAAGGCGGGTGATTTCTGCATTTCTAACTGAGGTACCCATTCATCTCACTGGGACTGGTTGGACAGTGAGTGCAGCCCACGGAGGGTAACCTGAAGCAGGGTAGGGCATTGTCTCACCCAGGAAGTACAAGGGGTCAGGGGATTTCCCTCCCCCAGCCAAGAGAAGCCGTGAGAGACTGTACCGGGAGGAACGGTGCACTCTGGCCCAGATATTGCACTTTTCCCATGGTCTTTGCAACCCACAGACCAGGAGATTCCCTCTGGTGCCTATGCGACCAGGGCTCTAGGTTTCAACCACAAAACTGGGTGGCCATTAAGGCAGACACTGAGCTAGCTGCAGGAGTTTTTTTCATATTCCAGTGGCACCTGCAATGCCAGTGAGAGAAAACCATTCACTCCCTTGGAAAGGGGGCTGAAGCCAAAGAGCCAAGTGGTCTGGCTCAGCAGGTCCCACCCCCATGGAGCCCAGAAAGCAAAGATCCACTGGCGTGAAATTCTTGTTGCTAGCACAGCAGTCTGAGGTCGACCTAGGATGCCTGAGTTTGGTGGGGGTAGGGGCATCCGCCATTGCTGAGGCTTGAGTAGATGGTTTTACCCTCACAGTGTAAACAAAGCCGCTGGGAAGTTGAAACTGGGTAGAGCCCACCGCAGCTCAGCAAGGCCGCTGTGGCCAGACTGCCTCTCTAAATTCCTCCCCTCTGGGCAAGGCATCTCTGAAAAAACGGCAGCAGCCCCAGTCAGAGACTTATAGATAAAACCCCAATCTCCCTGGGACAGAGCACCTGGGGGAAGGGGTGGCCGTGGGTGCAGCTTTAGCAGACTTAAGCATCCCTGCATGAAGCTCTGAATAGAGCAGCAGATCTCCCAGCACAGCATTCAAACTCTGATAAGGGACAGACTGCCTCCTCAAGTAGGTCCCTGACCCCCATGTATCCTGACTGGGAAACACCTCCCAGTAGAGGCTGACAGACACCTCATAGAGAAGAGCTGAGGAGAGCTCTGGCTGGCATCTGGCAGGTGCCCCTCTGCAACGAACTTTCCAGAGGAAGGAACAGGCAGCAATCTTTGCTGTTCTGCAGCCTCAGCTGCTGATACTCAGGCAAACAGGGTCTGAAGTGGACCTCCAGCAAACTACAACAGACCTGCAGCAGAGGGGCCTGACTGTTAGAAGGAAAACTAACAAACAGAAAGGAATACCATCAATATCAACAGAAAGGATGTCCACTCAGAGACCCCATCCGAAGGTCACCAACATCAAAGACCAAAGGTAAACAAATCCACAAAGATGGGGAGAAACCAGCGCAAAAAGGTCAAAATTCCAAAAACCAGAATGCCTCTTCTCCTCTGAAGGATCACAACTCCTCATCAGCAAGGGAACAAAACTGGAGGGAGAATGAGTTTGACGAATTGACAGAAGTAGGCTTCAGAAGGTGGGTAAAAACAAACTTCTCTGAGCTAAAGGAGCATGTTCTAACCCAATGCAAGAAAGACAAGAACCTTGAAAAAAAAAGGTAAGATGAATTGCTAACTAGAATAACCAGTTTAGAGAAGAACATAAATGTAGATGGAGCTGAACAACACAGCACAAGAACTTCGTGAAGCATACACAAGTATGATACACAAGTATCAATAGCTGAATCAATCAAGTGGAAGAAAGGATATCAGAGATTGAAGATCAACTCAATGAAATAAAGTGAGAAGACAAGATTAGAGAAAAAAGTAGTGAAAAGAAACCAACAAAGCCTCCAAGAAATATAGGACTATGTGAAAAGACCAAATCTATGTTTGATTGGTGTACCTGAAAGTGATGGGGAGAACAGAACCAAGTTGGAAAACACTCTTCAGGATATTATCCAGAAGAACTTCCCCAATCTAGCAAGGTAGGCCAACATTCAAATTCAGGAAATACAGACAACACCACAAAGATACTCCTCGAGAAGAGCAACCCTGAGACACATAATCATCAGATTCACCAAGGTTGAAATGAAGGAAAACGTGTTAAGGGCAGCCAGGGAAAAAGGTTGGGCTACCCACAAAGGGAAGCCCATCAGACTAATAGCAGATCTCTCAGCAGAAACCCTACAAGCCAGAACAGAATGGGGGCCAATATTCAACATTCTTAAAAAAAAAAATTTCAACCCAGAATTTCATATCCAGCCAAACTAAGCTTCATAAGCAAAGGAGAAATAAAATCCTTTACAGACAAGCAAATGCTGAGAGATTTTGTCACCACCAGGCCTGCCTTACAAGAGCTCCTGAAGGAAGCACTAAACATGGAAAGGAAAACTGGTACCAGCCACTGCAAAAACATACCAAATTGCAAAGACCACCAATGCCATGAAGAATCTGCATCAACTTACTGGCAAAATAACCAGCTAGCATCATAATGACAGAATCAAATTCATATATAACAATATTAACCATAGGCTGGGTGCGGTGGCTCACGCTTGTAATCCCAGCACTTTGGGAGGCCAAGGTGGGCGGATCACGAGGTCAGGAGATCGAGACCAGCCTTGCTAACATGGTGAAACCCCATCTCGACTAAAAATACAATAAATTAGCCGGGCACAGTGGCGGGCACCTGTAGTCCCAGCTACTCGGGAGGCTGAGGCAGGAGAATGGCGTGAACCCGGGAGGCAGAGTATGCAGTGAGCCGAGATCATGCCACTGCACTCCAGCCTGGGCAACAGAGTGAGACTCCTTCTCAAAAATAAATAAATAAATAAATATATATATATATACCTTAAATGTAAATGAACTAAATGGCCCAATTAAAAGACACAGACTGGCAAATTGGCTAGAGTCAAGACCCACTGATGTGCTGTATTCAGGAGACCCATCTCACATGCAAAGACATACATAGGCTCAAAATAAAGGGATGGAGGAAGAATTACCAAGCAAACGGAAAGCAAAAAAAAAGCAGGAATTACAATCCTAGTCTCTGATAAAACGCAGTTTAAACCAACAAAGATCGCAAGAGACAAAGGCCATTACATAATGGTAAAGGGGTCAATGCAACAAGAAGAGCTAACTATCCTAAATATATATGCACTCAATACAGGAGCACCCAGATTTATAAAGCAAGTTCTTAGAGATTTCTTAGAGACCTACAAAGAGACTCAGACTCCCACACAATAATAGCGGGAGACTTTAACACCCTACTGTCAATATTAGACAGATCAATGGGACAGAAAATTAACAAGGATATTCAGGACTCGAACACAGCTCTGGACCAAGCAGACCTAATAGACATCTACAGAACCTGCCACCCCAAATCAACAGAATATACATTCTTCTCAGCACCACATCACACTTATTCTAAAATTGACCACATAATTGGAAGTAAAGCACTCCTCAACAAATTTAAAAGAACAGAAATCATAACAAACTGTCTCTCAGACCACAGTGCAATCAAATTACAACTCAAGATTAAGAAACTCTCAAAATCGCGCAACTACATAGAAACTGAACAAACTGCTCCTGAATGACTACTGGGTAAATGATGAAATGAAGGCAGAAATTAAAATGTTCTTTGAAACCAATAAGAACAAAGACACAATGTACCAGAAACTCTGGGACACATTTAAAGCAGTGTGTAGAGGGAAATTTATAGCACTAAATGCCCACAAGAGAAAGCAGGAAAGATCTAAAATTGACACTCTAACATCACAATTAAAAGAACTAGAGATACAAGAGCAAGCAAATTCAAAAGCTAGCAGAAGACAAGAAATCACTAAGATCAAAGCAGAACTGAAGGAGCTAGAGATACAAAAAACTCTTGAAAAAATCAACAAATCCAAGAGTTGGTTTTTGAAAAGATCAACAAAATAGATAGAACCCTAGCCAGACTAATAAAGAAGAAAAGAGGAATTAACATTGAAGATGGCCGAACAGGAACAGCTCCAGTCTACAGCTCCCAGTGTGAGCGACACAGAAGACAGGTGATTTCTGCATTTCCAACTGAGGTACCTGGTTCATCTCACTGGGACTGGTTGGACAGTGAGTGCAGCCCATGGAGTGTGAGCCAAAGCAGAGCTAGGCGTCGCCTCACCCAGGAAGTGCAAGAGGTCAGGGAATTCCCTTTCCTAGCCAAGGGAAGCCATGACAGACGGTACTTGGAAAATCGGGACACTCTTGCCCTAATACCACGTTTTTCCAATGGTCTTAGCAAATGGCACACCAGGAGATTATATCCCGCACATGGCTCAGTGGGTCCCATGCCCACTGAGCCCTGCTCACTACCAGCACAGCAGTCCGAGATTGAACTGCAAGGCAGCAGCAAGGCTAGGGGAAAGGCATCCACCATTGCTAAAGCTTGACTAGGTAAACAAAGCGCCAGGAAGCTCGAACTGGGTGGAGCTCACTGCAGCTCAAGGAGGCCTGCCTGCCTCTGTAGACTCCACCTCTGGGGTCAGGGCATAGCTGAACAAAAGGCAGCAGAAACTTCTGCAGACTTAAACATCCCTGTCTGAGAGCTTTGAAGAGAGCAGTGGTTCTCCTAGCATGGAGTTTGAGATCTGAGAACTGCCTCAGATCTGACAGACTGCCTCCTCAAGTGGGTCTCTGACCCCCAAGTAGCCTAACTGGGAGACACCTCCCAGTAGGGGCCAACTGACACCTCATACAGCCAGGTGCCCCTCTGAGACGAAGCTTCCAGAGGAAGGATCAGGCAGCAACATTTGCTGTTTTGCAATATTTGCTGTTCTGCAGCCTCCACTGGTGACACCCAGGGAAACAGGGTCTGGAGTGGACCTCCAGCAAACTCAAACAGACCTGCAACTGAGGGTCCTGTCTGTTAGAAGGAAAACTAACAAACAGAAAGGAATACCATCAACATCAACAAAAAGGACACCCACACCAAAACCCCATATGTAGGTCACCATCATCAAAGATCAAAGGTAGATAAAACCACAAAGATGGGGAGAAACCAGAGCAGAAAAGCTGAAAATTCTAAAAACCAGAGTGCCTCTTCTCTTCCAAAGGATCGCAGCTCCTCGCCAGCCATGGAACAAAGCGGGATGGAAAATGACTTTGAGAAGTTGACAGAAGTAGGCTTCAGAAGATTGGTAATAACAAACATCTCTGAGCTAAAGGAGGATGTTCACACCCATTGCAAGGAAGCTAAAAACCTTGAAAAAAGATTAGAGGAATGGCTAACTAGAATAAACAGCATAGAGAAGACCTTAAATGATTTGATGGAGCTGAAAACCATGGTACGAGAACTACGTGACACATGCAGAAGCTTCAGTAGCCAATTCGATCAAGTGGAAAGAAGGGCATCAGTGATTGAAGATCAAATGAATGAAATGAAGCGAGAGAAGAAGATTAGAGAAAAAAGAGTGAAAAGAAACAAACAAAGCCTCCAAGAAATATGGGAATATGTGAAAAGACCAAATCTATGTTTGATTGGTGTACCTGAAAGTGACAAGGAGAATGGAACCAAGTTGGAAAACACTCTTCAGGATATTATCCAGGAGAACTTCCCCAACCTAGCAAGGTAGGCCAACATTCAAATTCAGGAAATACAGAGAACGCCACAAAGATAATCCTTGTGAAGAGCAACCTCAAGACACAATTGTCAGACTCACCAAGGTTGAAATGAAGGAAAAAATGTTAAGGGCAGCCAGAGAGAAAGGTCGGGTTACCCACAAAGGGAAGCCCATCAGACTAACAGCTGATCTCTCAGCAGAAACTCTACAAGCCAGAAGGAGTGAGGGCCAATACTCAACATTCTTAAAGAAAAGAATTTTCAACCCAAAATTTCATATCCAGCCAAACTAAGCTTCATAAGTGAAGGAGAAATAAAATCCTTTACAGACAAGCAAATGCTGAGAGATTTTGTAACCATGAGGCCTGCCTTACAAGAGCTTCTGAAGGAAGCACTAAACACGTAAAGGAACAACCGGTACCAGCCACTGCAAAAACATGCCAAATTGTAAAGACCATCAATGCTAGGAAGAAAATGCATCAACTAACAAGCAAAATAACCAGCAAACATCATCATGACAGGATGAAATTCACACATAACAATATTAACTTTAAATGTAAATGGGCTAAATGCCCCAATTAAAAGACACAGACTGGCAAATTGTATAAAGAGTCAAGACCCATCAGTGTGCTGTATTCAGGAGACCCATCTCACATGCAGAGACACACATAGGCTCAAAATAAAGCGACGGAGGAAGATCTACCAAGCAAATGGAAAACAAAAAATAAGCAGGGGTTGCAATCCCAGTCTCAGATAAAACAGACGTTAAACCAACAAAGATCAAAAGAGACGAAGAAGGCCATTACATAATGGTAAAGGGATCAATTCAACAAGAAGAGCTAACTATTCTACATATGCACCCAATACGGGAGCACCCAGATTCAAAAGCAAGTCCTTAGAGACCTACAAAGAGACTTAGACCCCATATAATAATAATGGGAGACTTTAACACCCCACTGTCAACATTACACAGATCAACGAGACAGAAAGTTAACAAGGATATCCAGGACTTGAACTCAGCTCTGCACCAAGCAGACCTCATAGACATCTACAGAACTCTCCACCCCAAATCAAGAGAATATACATTCTTCTCAGCACCACATAGTATTTATTCCAAAACTGACCACATAGTTGGAAGTAAAGGACTCCTCGGCAAATGTAAAAGAACAGAAATCTTAACAGTCTCTCAGACCACAGTGCAATCAAATTAGAAGTCAGGATTAAGAAACTCACTCAAAACCACACAACTACATGGAAGCTGAACAACCTGCTCCTGAATGACTACTGGGTAAATAGTGAAATGAAGGCAGAAATAAAGATGTTCTTTGAAACCAATGAGAACAAAGACACAACATACCAGAATCTCTGGGACACAATTAAAGCACTGGGTAGAGGGAAATTTATAGCACTCAATGCCCACAAGAAAACATCTAAAATCGACACCCTAACATCAAAATTAAAAGAACTAGAGGAGCAAGAGCAAACACATTCAAAAGCTAGCAGAAGGCAAGAAATAACTAAGATCAGAGCAGAACTGAAGGAGACAGAGACACCTGCACATTGTGCACATGTACCCTAAAACTTAAAGTATAAAAAAAAAAAAAGAATTAAGGTTTATTCTTAAAACAAGAAAAAGAACATGTGGCAAAAAAAGCAACTATTGAACATATCTTAGTCCAAGATAAACACATTTAAAAATGCAGAAGAAATATGAAATTAGACAATAAAAGTGAGACATTGCTTGGGAAACTACTTAGCCATTGATCAGAGAGACTCTTTTCTTGATAGGTCAGAAATTAACCAATCAATATTTGTATAAGGCAGTGAAGGAAAGATTTACAGCTTGTATAAACAGACATCAGTCAGAATGGTTTTTCAATAATTTTTGTTTTCTATTCAAAACAATATTGACACATAATCAAATATCACTCACACTGTTTGCATGGCCCTTTCTTGTGAGAGTCCTTTTCTTTTATTGTTTCAAATTTCCCAACAGTGGCAACCCCTGACCCACATCTAATTACAGGAGAGATGGACAAAGAAGGGCTTGTTCACAGTTAGTGCTTCACTGGAGCT
This sequence comes from Homo sapiens, assembly GCF_000001405.40. Lineage (NCBI taxonomy): Eukaryota > Metazoa > Chordata > Mammalia > Primates > Hominidae > Homo > Homo sapiens. The sequence goes on from NC_000003.12 coordinate 180,563,619, forward strand.
GAGATGATCTTCCTCACTCTTTCGCACAGAACGTGATTGTTAGTGACAATATACAAATGCTACTTTTCCGGTTTTATTTGGGGCAGTGAAATGTGCATTACACTTTCCTCCAATAGAAATGATTCAGCAGCAAGCAGAAAATCTTATGATGTGGGGCAAGATGTGCAGAATCTGAAGAACGCTTCATGTTCTCGTTACTTCCCGTGTTTAATGTTTATATTTCTTAAGAGAAAAACACCCCAAACCTTGTGTGCAGTAGCTCCATGTCCATTTCTTTTCCCAGATGAAGGATTATCCCTTGACAGGCCAATGAAACTTGGCCTCAGAAACAAAATATTCCAAGGCTTCCTTGGCATGACGCAAAGGGCTGAGATTAAGAAAGAGCATACATATTCACAAAAGAAAAATGTGATATGCCGGATCTATGAAAAAGAGCTGGGTAAAATTATAATAAATGGTAAAATATTCCTGAGATCCTGTGATACTAAAGTTATTCACTTTTCTTTCATTTAATAATAATTCATAATAATCTATTATATATAAGGTACTGTATTAATATTACGTTGGTTCAAAAGTAATTGTGGGTTTTGCCATTACTTTTAATTGGCATTTAATGGCATTTGCCATTACTTTTAATAGGTGTTTAATATTGGCAATATCTTAATTGGCATTAATATTACATTGGTGCAAAAGTAATTGTGGGTTTTGCCATTACTTTTAATGCCATTGCGGGTCTTGCCATTACTTTTAATTGGCATTTAATGGCATTTGCTAGTACTTTTAAAGGCAAATCCCACAATTACTTTTGCACCAACCTAATATAAGTAACTAATATTTATTGAGCGTTTACTGTGTGTGAAGCACTACACTATATATTTTACACACATTATATCAAAGATATTATGAATAATAATTATAGGTATTATTATTATTATTATCCCCATCTTACAGAAGAAAAATAGGAAGCTAAAGAGGTTAAATAACTTGTCATATGTGGCAGTGCTGGGATTTATTTTTTTCTATTATACCACAAGACCCACCTAAAAACATTTCAAGATTGAAGGAATACAGATATTGAGAGTGCCAAACAAAGCATAAATCAATACTTTGTTAAGGTAAATATAAATCATTTTTTAGTTAGCCATCTAAATTTCATTTGAGGTCAAAAGCATAAATATTAAAGTACTTTTGCTGTTGACAGTAATGTTTCCCAGTCTCATCGGTAGCCCCTGCCAACAGCCAACGTCATGATAAATTTTACAGGGGGTAACAGGAAAACTATCATTGTTTTGGTCAGTGTGGAAATTTTCCTGCTGGCTCTTCAGTTGCAGCCTTTGACAGTGAAGTTACCTCTCAAGTCTAAAAGGCCTAAAGTCTGTAAAATACCCCAAACTGGGATTTTTCCTGTGTTTGACAAACAATAGCTAGGAGTTGCAGCTACTCAGTTCTATTTTAACTTCTGTGGTAGTGAACTTAACTGTGATCATTTCATAAAAACATTTGATTATTGATTTACTTATACAATAAACTCGTACTGAGTACTTATTCATGTAATCGACATGACAGGGTATTTTGTTCATTTCTTTAAATATAGTCATATATAACCAAAGAAAATATAACCAATAGTAGTTTGCATATTTACCTTGGGCAACTATAGCATGTTTAGGGCCATTTCTATGACTCAGTTCACATATGCTCTAAGGAAGACATGTGAAGAGTATCTGTAACTATTCCCAGGTCCTCTGGATACCTCAGACATTACTAAAGAGGGTTAAATGCCTTTTTCACTATGTTTAACCCTAGTCCCATGTGCATGCTTCGTATAGTTTGTGTTAAAAGAATAATAATAAATCTGTTGGATAAATGAGCTTTATATCATTTCAAACTTTTATAGGACACCTTTAATAAAAGAACAGTATTCTGTGGATCAGAGGTTCTGATTCTACTACTGACAATATGCCAACCCCACCATCTGTCTATTTAAACAAGCCATAGTAACTGACTGCTTCCATGAGAGTCAGTGGAACTGAATGGATGGTAAGAGTGTTAACGGATAGTACCTGATGTTCGTTAGTATAGCCCCAGTGACTTTCAGCTCATTTCTGAAAATAGAATGAACAAATAAACCAGGCCTTTCACCAGATAGCCCATGATGAAGAAGTAGGCTTTTAGAGACAATGCTGGGAAGTGTTGGTGAATGGTCCAACCCCTGCAGACCCAGGAACTATGGAGAAGATTAAAAAAAACTCTGGGACCCTGCTTCAGAATGGGTTCAGAAGTTCCAGCAGGGATGACAGAGTCCAGGGACTAGATGGCTCCATCTAATGAGCAGACTGAGAGATAAAACTGACTTTGGTCAGCAAAAGAAAGTACAATAATCACAATGTACCTGTGATCCTGGGAGAATAAAGATAGATGGGCCAGATGGAGGCTTCCAAAAGAAGTAAATAGTTAAGGCCCCCCGCTTCATGAGCAGTTGAAGTATTCTTAGAGGGAGTCTGACAGCAGTGCACTTCATGGACCTGTGCAAGCAAATAAAGTCTTAGTCTGGGCTTGGGAGGAAAATGCCAGACTTTAGAGGCATAACTACAAATAGCACACAAGGTCAGGGCAGGACACAGCAAGGATAGACTAATGTTGAGTCTGATAGTCACGAAATTTCCCAAGAAGAGCTCTTAAAATCACCCTGCTGTTCACTCCTTATACTAGTCCTCAGAGTCTGTGACAGCCTTTTGCTCAGAGAAAATCCATTTATTTAATTCTATTTTTAACACTTTCCTTCAACTCCTAAGCTATCTATAGCCAATATTTTCAAATGGTTCTACATATGACTCCTTTGAATAAGAATCAATGAACAAAATGTAAAATGGTGACAAGATCACTTAAGCCTTACCTTAGCAGTCTAGTGATGGCACAGATCCCAAGATCACCTGGCTCCCTCCCCTCATTTTACATGCAAAACACTAAGGAACTGGGAGGTTGAATGACTTCTTTGACATAGCACAACTGGTTAACATTTGAACTAGAATCTATGTCAGGAACTCATGCCTAGTACGTACTTTCTGTTTCCCTGCACAGTGATTCCCCCATTTTGCTCTCCTTACTTACTATTTCCTTTGTTGCTCAAGACTTCATGAAACAATATTCTTATGAGAGTGTACTTCCCAAATAGCTTGCTTACTAGTTCTCTCTTAATGAAATCAATGTCTTACTTGTTGGACTTCTGAATCTTGCTTGTTATTGCTAAAAACAAAACAAAACACAAATGTAATGTCCAATGGATTTATACATTTATAAGCCTATATGACTCAAAAATTGCCAAATATGATTTATGTGTGATTGACACTATTAATGACCAATGACATTTCAAAAATCTTTAAGTGACCTTATCAATAAGGGATATGAAATTTGATAGGATACAGAAAACTCAAGAAATTCAAATTAAATGAAAGGCAGAGATGTAAAAATGCAGTGAAAATGATCCAAGTAGGCATTCCAGCTCAGCCACTAATTAATTCTGCGACCTCTGTCAACTCACTTAACTTCTCTATGGCCTAGATTACATACCTGTCAAAAACAATTTTTTAACAAGTTGAAATTGTTGAATTGAATAGCCTAAAAAATTCCTGAATAAATGAAGCCTCCAGAGCTCCATATAGACTGTACTCCAATTATTAGCAATAATAAGGTCTAAGATATAAGCATGGCTTATGGACAGAAAAGTCTGTGTGATAACAGCTAACTTAAAGAACAATAACCGGCCGGGCGCGGTGGCTCACGCCTGTAATCCCAGCACTTTGGGAGGCCGAGACGGGCGGATCACGAGGTCAGGAGATCGAGACCATCCTGGCTAACACGGTGAAACCCCGTCTCTACTAAAAATACAAAAATTAGCCAGGCATGGTGGCGCGCGCCTGTAGTCCCAGCTACACGGGAGGCTGAGGCAGGAGAATGGCATGAACCCGGGAGGCGGAGCTTGCAGTGAGTCGAGATCGCGCCACTGCACTCCAGCCTGGGCGACAGAGCGAAACTCCGTCTCAAAAAAAAAAAAAAAAAAAAGAACAATAACCATATGCCACATTGTTGAAGAGCTATATGTAAACTCATACAATAACTGCCACCCAAACTAAATGAGGTAAGCACCATTGTTTTCATCCCCACTTTCCAGATGAGTATACTGAGTCACAGACAGGTTAGTAACTTGTTAATGTTACACATATAGTAAATAGCAGAGCTAGGATTTGAACCCAGTCTCACTCCAGAGCCATGCCCCTCTGGTGATGGGTAACCTGACAGATTTAGGTAGCTGGTCATGGCAGAGATTAAGAGACCCTGATGGTCTTTTGAGGTAAAGTGGATAATAAGTTCTGACAACAGCATCTTTCCTAAGGCTGGTTTCTCAGTTTATAGTAGTAAGTTGCCAATATTCACCCAGGTGCTTAAGCTAAAAATCAAAGAATCATTATTGATGTTTGCCTTTCTTTCACCCCATAGCCCATTAGCAGGTCTTATTAGGTTTGCCATCAAAATAAATCCAGAATCCAACCATTTCTCACCACTCTACTACTACCACTTAGTGCATGTCCATCTTCATCATCACCAGGAATATTGCAATTGCCTCCCTATTGGCTTTCCTGCTTTTCTACTTACCCTTCTATAGTCTCATCTCCTTATAGCATATGAGTAATCATTTTTAAAACATGGGGTAGATCACATCACCCCTCCCCCTACTCAAAATCTTCAGTGACTTCCCATCAAATTTTGAATAAAATACTACATGATCTAGCCTGACTACCTCTCTCATCTCATCCTTACCCACTCTCCCTAACTTACTCCACTAGCTTTCTGGCTGTTCTTCAAATATGTGAACTCACCCCCACCTCAGGTCCCGTGAACTGGCATTTCTATTTGCCTAGAATGTTCTTCCCAAGGACATTTATACATTTGACACCTTCACATCATTCAGACCCCTGACTAAATGTCTCTTCCACAAAGAGCAATTCCTGACTACCCTCTCTAAAACAACTCAGCCCTTCAGTCACAATCCCCACACCTCAGACTTCATTTCTCTTCATAGCATTTGCAGTTACCTGAAATTACATTCAAAATGTATTTGATAATAACCTTGAGGATACAGGCCTAGGGTACCTTTTTAACTGCTTTACCTTCAGTGCTTGGACAGTGGCAGCTATAATAGTAAATGCTCAATTAACCAAGTGAATTAATTCCTCCGAGCTCCATCATTTTTTGATACCATGATATTCACAGGACCTGACCCTGTCAGATTCTGAATAGACTTCACCACTCATCTATCTTAGGGCAGACTACTTGGAATTGGTGGCCCATAACAGCACCTTTCTTAAGGAGGTAAATGCTCCACCTGCAGTAGCACTCCTCTCTCGTTTTCTCTTTTCCTGGTATGGCGTGAGGAGGCTTTGCTGTTTTCTCTTTCCTTTGAGGTAGACACATTTTTTCATTTCTCATTATTCAGTTTGTTTTTGTCATGGAATATATTTTGCTATCTAAATAAAGCTTCCTGAAGTCTTTGAACTTCTGTGGTGATGTTCTGTATTCTTTCCTACCAAAATATAACTGCTATATATCTGTTAGATGAGAGTTAACTCATTAGCATTAAACACTAAGATAATTACTGCATTAAAATCTCCTGCCATGTGGAGATGTAGAAATGAAAGCTGCCCCCTGCTTCCTCTGCTCATCACAACCTCTGGAAACTTTTCTAGGCTTCCCTGAGAATTTTTGTTAAGTAACAAACACAACCTGTGCAGCAGTCTTTTATTCTCTATTCATCATTAAAAGTGAGAAGTTGCTGGCTAGGACTGAAGTTTGTTAGCTCAGATGGAAACTTTGGAATAATTACTGATATCGTGTATTGTTAAAACCTGTGCTAAATTAGGTGGCGTGCATACATAATGTATGGAAAGGTAAGGCTGCTGCTTCCACAAACCCGACTTCTTCATAAAGAAAAATCAAATAGATTAAACACAGCTAACAGAGAGAAGTTGAAAAAGAAGCCCTTATTTCCAGTGATCATTCAGGAAAGGGCCTTAGAAGATTCCGTTCACATGCTAAAAGCATCCATTCCTCACTTAGACATCTACAGAAATAAGGAAAATTTAGTGAGTTAAAGGACAATATACTGGATGTAACCCATTTTTCTTTTTATTAAATATCCCACTGCAACATCTAGGATTTGACATCCATATGTACAGGCAATAATAAAACTAAAATTTTCTACACTGGCTGATATCTCAGTTCAACCACAACAGTTAGCTCTCAATTTCCAAAACAGTATGAAAAGCAATAGTCTTTTTATTTGCTAACCAGAACTGTGAATTTAATCCTCTAGAAATAGATTTGAAGTTGTGCTCTCTTGCTTACCTTCTACTGTGATTAGATCTATATATTTTAAACTGTATTTGGAGGATAGAGTAAAATTTCTGTGACTCTGTCATTAAAATAAGTAACACAAAGGTAAAATATGATCACAATGAGCCAAGGAATTAAAGTGAGATACATAGTAATTCATGCAAAGGGCAAGATAGTTTCTCTGCTGTTAGCTTCAAAGGTTGTAGGTAATAAATTAAAAACTATAAGCAAATTTAAAGAATTAAAAGAAAAGCAAATAACTCTTGAGACTGATTTAGGTAGGTAATTTATCACTTCTTTATATCTCTCCCAGGAGATTAACTAGAGAAACTGTGGATATTGTATCAATGAGTGACATTCAAAATATTTTACAACGAACATGGCACCAGCACCAATCTAATACAGCAGACTCCAGCCCGAATGAGGAAGTAGGTCCCCGAGTGCCTCTTTTGCAGCAGGCATCAACCATTTAGTTGCTGATTATGGGGGGCTCTGGTGGGTTCTGGGAAAGGGTCTAGGGCAGCCAAGGCAGAGGGAAGACTAGGGAGGACCCACTCAGAGATTTTGCTGCAGAAACTCTTTACCAACGTAATGAAAGATTTTCAGTATTTTTAACACTTGGAAGAACCATACAGTGCATTACCCCTGGTGCCGTCATGAGCTTTGAGGAACTGAGGAAGGAGGAAAGGAAGAGAAAGGAGGAGCAATGAACATATCGTTTCCTCTAGAATAATTTACCTTTCACTTCTCTTCCCTTAGTGAGATCCTACTCATCTTATGGATCTCAATTCACATGTCATATATGAAGTCAAATTCCTCACTACCAACAGAAACCTCTGCCCTACTTCTCATTCCCCTCTCTCTGTAAGTATACATGTATGTGTGTGGTCATTTGCTTACTCTCTCTTTTTCACACTAGACTCTAAGGCCCTGAGCACAGGGACCTTCTCTTTTTGCTCAACATTTTCTTCCTAGCAACTAGAAAAATATTCGATGCCAGCACTTTGGGAGGTTGAGGTGGGCGGATCACGAGGACAGGAGTTCAAGACCAGCCTGACCAACATAGTGAAACCCCGTCTCTATTAAAAATACAAAAAGAAATTAGCTGGGTGTGGTGGCATGCACCTGTAATCCCAGCTATTCAGGAGGCTGAGGCAGGAGAATCACTTGAACCCAGGAGGCAGAGGTTGCAGCGAGCCAAGATCATGCCACTGCACTCCAGCCTGGGTGACAGAGCAAGACTCCGTCTCAAAAAAAAAAAGAAAGAAAGAAAGAAAAAAAAATATGTGATGCACAACAAGAATTCTTAATAAACGAATGAATGGAAAGCTTAGTTTGGTTTTTTAAATTTACATGCTACATAAGGCAAAATAAAAGATCAATTAAACTGACTTCGTTATTATTAGTCCACTCACAGTAAGGGAGAAAGTTCTGCAAGTAAAAAAAAGATAATAATAAAAATATCTAGCATTTATTGAGTTTTCCTATAGGTTAATCACTGTGCTAAGTGTTTCAAATACTGTCTGTCAAACAGCAGAGGCTGAACTCTTAATCTCTACCTATTTTTCTTCTCATGTTTAATCCATTTTATGTGGGTAAGCTGGCAGATATTTTGTGCTTCTGTACAGGATTGGATTAGGTATGCATAAGAACCAAAGTAATGCATTATAAGAAAAGAGATAACTTAAGAAAAACTGCGTCAGACTTTTTCAGGTTATCTATTCCATGAGCAGATGGTATACTTCTGAGGAAATATCAGGATATATTAAAGAAAACGTTTAGGCAACTGATGTTTATGTGGGTGCCGATTTCTGGCTACAGCAGATGCCTGTTGCTTCCTGACATCTGCCATATTCCACTCTAAGTACCAAAAAAACATACAGCTGACAAAGTTGCATAGATAATGGCTTTGCATATCAATAAGTTGTGCTAGCTAGTCCTACAAGGCATTATCTAACCAGGAACTCAAAAGCTGAAGTTGATCTCTCAGATACCGTATAACAATAGAAAGAACACAGACATTGGAATTAAACAAGCCTGAGCTCACTATCTTGGGCCTCCCATTTACATGCTAGGTAATTTTGAAAAATATTTTTAACCTCACAGAACTTAAGTTTCTTTATTGGTAAAATAATTTAGTAATGTTTAACCTGCTGGTTGCCACAAGATTCAAATACACATAAGTGCCTGAAAAATCCTAGGCACTTAATAAATGCTAGCTAAATGTCTAAACTACACCAAAATTTGATCTTGTAGAAATGTGTGTTGATGGTCTGATGAAACAGAATAAAATAAATGTTAAATCTGGAGGTTTTGAGTGTAGGACTGGGCCTATGAGCGGCACAGGCTTGAAACCGAAAGAGGAATAGAAAGAGCTGGCATCTATTCTTGGGTCGAGATATCCACAGACATAAAGGCAATCTCACTTTGCAGCACTCCCTTGGAAAACGGCTCAGAGGAGATGAACAGTAGAGAGAGAAGTGGGGCTGCCAAGAGAAAAGCTGAAAAGGGAATCGTAGAGGATGGGCTCTGAGGCTAGTTTGACTACTGCTTCTTCTGTGGTATAAAACTTCAAGTGACAAATTGTAGTGTTATAATTAAGGCTCACAGGAGAAAGCGGATTAACTGAGACAATGGCCCATTGCGTGGTAAAACCAAAGGAATTCTCTAAGAGGCCTCTAGTCAGAAAGGATGGAAGCTCCCCTTAGAGGTCAACCCTCAGAGAAAGTATGGGAGCTCAAGTAGATTTCCTCCCCACACCAAACCCCCAGGCTCATATGGCCGGTAACCAGAGGTCTGGGAGCATCTACAGGAAGGCAGCAAGTCCCTACTTCTGCTAGATGGACAAAGTCTGAGGTTACACCTCCTGAAGCCAGGAGGAAAGTTCATTTTCTTCTTGTCTTCTAATTGCCCAGGAAAAAACTCTAAGGAAATTCAGATCACTGAGTTAACGCCTCTGCTAAAATCTCTGCTTGGTTCAGAACCATATTGTTTGCTGCAACTGATTAATTGTATATGCAGTTAAGTTTTCCCTTTTAGGAATTAGCATACCATGTCTAAAAAAAAACCCTTAATTAATTGTGCCCCACACCAATTGATTATTATTGGGTTCACCGTCTTCATCCATCCCAATCATTAGACACTTATAAATAAGAGTTTTGCTTAATACTATGGGGATCATATGTCTAAGATCTGTTAAGAAAATGTGACGGTTAATTTTATCTGTTAACTTGCTTAGGCCATGGTACCCAGATTTGGTGAAACACCACTCTAGATGTTGCTGCGAAGGTATTTTTTTAGACAAGATTAACATTTAAATGAGTCAAGCAGATTACCCTCCATAATGTGAGTGTACCTCATCCAATCATTTAAAGGCCTCAAGAGGAAAAGAAGACTCATATCTCACAAGGAAGAGGGAACTCGGCCTCCCTATTGCCTTTGGAGTTGAGTTGAAACATCACCTCTTCCCTGGGTGTCTCCATCTTGCCAATCTGCCCTGCAGACTTTGGACTTGCCAGCCCCCACAATCATGTGAGCCAATTCCTTAAAATAAACCTCTCTCTATACACACACACACACACACACACACACACACACACACACACACACACACACCCTATTGGTTCTGTTTCTCTGGAAAACTCTAATACAGAAAGCTTTTAAAGTTGGGGACTGGTAGTGTTGCAAAAAGGGAGTCTTTTAAAGTGTTATAATCCAGGCCAGGGGTCAGTCAACTTTTTCTGTAAAGGGCCAGATAGTAAATATTTAAGGCTCTGCACATCATAAGATCTTTGTAGCAACTACAAAGCTCTGCTATTGTAGCACAAATGGGTATGGCTGGGTTACAATAAACTTTTACTTATGGACACTGAAATTTGAATTTCATATAAGTTTCACATGTCACAAAAAAGCTTTCTTTTTATTTATTTTTTGAAGTTTTAAAACGTAAGAATTATTCTTATCTCACAAGCCATAAAATAACAGTCCACGGGCCACAACTTGCTCTCCCTGGTCTAAGGTGACAACTCTTAAACTATAATCTTTGGCTTCCTGAGAGCTGCAAGGTTCCCTGTGGTAGGATCTGATTCAAAATTGTGAGTTCTTTCTTTGGTGGTGAAGGATTGAATAAATGAGACAAGTGCTATATACTTATTTTTATGTACTATAAACTACTTATTAGTAATCTAATAATGCTTAATAAAACTAAATGGTTTATTAAGCATTACTTAAATTTGGCTATAAAAACTAAAACCAACTTAATGCTAGAATTTTTCTCCACCTCTGAACCTGTTTAGCTTTAACAATACAAAGATTACATGTTATATTCCCTAAATTACTTCACAGACATTATATACCATCATAACCATAACATACTATACTTTTATTCCACATCACTTACCATAGTTGTAATTAATTAAATTGTTTAAAGTCTGTTGCTCTCAGTAGACTCTACACTTCATAAGGTCAGTAACCATGTCTTTTTTTTCACCAACATGAACCCAGCCCATAGTATGTCTTGTACATTATGCAAATATATATATATATGTCTATGTGCATATATATACATATACATGTCCATACTTGTGGGCAAAAAGAATGAGTGAATGAATTGCTTCTGGTGTTAACTGCTGCAATTCTTACTTTTTAATTATATAGAAGTTATTATATAGAAGTTTTCACGGCCAGGCACTGTGGCTCACGCCGGTAATCCCAGCACTTTGGGAGGCCGAGGTGGGTGGATCATTTGAGGTCAGGAGTTCAAGAATGGCCTGGCCAACATGGTGAAACCCTGGCTCTACTAAAAATACAAAATTAGCCGGGCGTGGTGGCAGGCGCCTCTAGTCTCAGCTACTTGGGAGGCTGAGGCAGGAGAATCACTTGAGCCCGAGAGGTGGAGGTTGCAGTGAGCCAAGATCACACCACTGCACTCCAGCCTGGGGCACAGAGCAAGACTCTCTCTCAAAAACAAACAAAAATAATTTAAAAATAAAAAAAAAGTTTTCACTTAGGTTCAACATGATCAATCCAGTTTATTGGTGATTACTTGATTACCCTATTGTTTATAATGATGAATGTTTGTACCAGTAGTATTTGGGGTCTATAATTCTGCACTGGTCTTTAAGAAAAGTACGAAATGTGTTTCTGAGTTATTCATATTTCCATTGTTAAAACAGCCATATAAAATTTACTCCTGGGATGTGGGAGGAGTAGTAGCAGTTAACAGAGATCTTTATTGTTACCTCCAACTTCTTATTCCACTGGAAAATAGGCAAAAGTTTGACAGCATTGTATTTGCAAGAAATGTTAATGACAGAGGCATATCTCACTTAGTTGAAACCCTTTGATTCAGGGGTCCATGGACGTTTGGTTTTTATAAATTGTTTCTTCTTTACCACAAGGCTACACATTTGGAACACTTCTGCTAAGCCTCACCTCAGCTCCACTTAAGGTGATAGAACTTGTGCTAGCTGTTTCCAAAGCAAAATGTGAGAAGACAGGAGTCCCAAGATAATACTTCCAAATCATTAGGTCTCTGTGTGTTTTGTTTTTACAGACATGCATGTACAAACAGGAGCTGCAGGGGTAATGGTGCAGATCTTCGTGTCTTAAAATCTGGGCCTACTGTGAGATAGGAGAAAGGCTTCCGTGGAAAACGTCAGGACCACTGATCTGTACTCAACAGCTCCAGATACAGATTTGATCTAATTAACCTCAGTATTTCTATCACTTAATCAAGAAAGATCCAATTCCAGCAACTCTAATTTTAAACTGTTTCACTAAGGGCAGCATTAAGGTAATTTAGGTAAAAACAAAATTTAAACAAAACAAGGAAAGGGAATGTTAATTACTTCAGGGAAATGTATTAACCTCCCTGTTCATTGAATGTTCAATGGTTATTTGTTGTAATTGCTCTTTAGTGACTACTTATTGTGCACATTAGGCAAGCTGCTCTTTAGAATTGCTGATTTGGAGATAAGAGGAAAACTGCAAAACTACCAACAAGTTCACCAGGCATAAAGATTCCTGAAACCCTTTATGTTCTTTAGGCTTTTAGCAACTTCTGCACCAAGTTATCAATGAATCTAATGACCCAGTTCTGCCAAACCCCAATCTGCTACTCTGATATGTATTCAGAATTTAATCTGCAAGTTTTGCATAGGTTGGCCCAATTTGCAAAGTTCAAAGAGGTGGCTAAAATTGTTCCTGAGTCTGTAACAACTCTTCGAAAAGAGATAATCTTGTCAAGCTGTGATGTCTAGTTATCGCAAGAAAAAACTTAAGGAAAGGAAGCTTGTGTGTGTGTGTGTGTGTGTGTGTGTGTGTGTTATAAGTGTGCAAGTGTTTGGAAAAGGAAGTGCTGCTTGAATTAAAACTGTTTTTGTATTTTCCTTATTTTAGAGGAAGAACATTCTAGTATGTCCCTTCCATCCCCCACACACCCACCCCCCACACACACACAAAAAAAGCCTGCTCAAGTCTTGCCTTCTGTCTTTAGCCTAGCTTCTACAACATAACATCTCTCAGAGAAGCTTTCCGCCTCTCCACTGATCCAGAGCCTATCTGTTTTTTCAATTCCAGATCAAGCCCTCCCCCATCCAACTTCTTCCTGAGTTGCCTTCCAAATGTATCAGTCTATATCAATTCCCCTTTTCTCTAAAGCAACATTGTCTCTGTCTCTCATATATCTTATTTCTTGGTTGTTTGCTTTTACTGAGCTGTTTCACTTCTCCACTTCTCCACCTCCCCATAATCAAGAGTATAAACTCCAGGAAGACTAGGACAGTGCTTCATTTCCTTTCAAACTAAGGAGAGAAGTGTTATAGGAGCTATTCATAGGGTCTTGTAAGTACACTAACAGAAATGGGGGAGTCAGGAAAACCTCCATGGGAGACACCCCAAAGCGACATTCTCTCATACCTAGCTAGGCCTCTCTGTTCAACCCAACGTTCTAGCAAAGGCTCTGGCTCTTTTTGTCTTCTTTCTGCCTATACTTACCTCTTTTTTTGAAAGCAGATTCCCCTAATACTCAATCATTTTGCTTTTGCATCATTGATGAAACTTCCTTCCTTTCTTTCTTGCAAGAGCAGAAAGAACTGAGCTAAAAACAAGTCTGCTGTAGGTTTAATGATCTCTGCTGTATTTTTATTTTTCTCTTATATGTCTATATTATATATGCTGTGGTACTATTGCATATGGATTGGTTCCAGGTCACTGGTTGGCAAACCTAAACTCCAATTTTCAAATGGTATTTTACTTGCAGACTTCACCATCTGTTGAGCAAGTATGTTATTTGTGTCAGAACAGATAAATAAATAATAACACAGCAGACCTACCACCTAGGGGTTTGTGTGTTCTGCAAGCAAGCGGTAGCATTATACCTACTTTATGAGTAGGTGGCTGAGGATGTAGAAATTTTGTGTATCTAAAAAGCATAGAAATGACCTTTTAGGGTTTTTTTTTTTCTAAATTAGAAAAGGGGCTTTCTCACTCGAATAGTACACATCAATGTTCACAGCAGCATTATTCACAATAGTGAAAGATGGATGCAACCCAAGTGTCCATCAATAGATGGATAAACAAAATATTGTGCATACATACGATATATTATTAGCCTTAAAAAAGAAGGAAATTCCAACACACACAACCTAGATGAACCTTGAAGATATTTTGTGAAGTGAAAATAAGTCAGCAACAAAAGGACAAATACTGTATGATTTCATTTATATGAGGTACCTAACGTTGTCAAATTCATTGAGACAGAAAGTAGACTGGTGGTTGCCAGGGGCTGGGAAAAGGGAGGAATGGGGAGTTAGTGTTTAATGGGTCTAGGGTTTCAGTTGGAGGAGATGAAAAAGTTCTGCAAATGATGGTTGCACAGCCATGTCAATATACTTAAGGCCGTAAACTGTACACTTAAAATGGTTAAAATGGTAAATTTTGTTATGCACATTTTAACACAATAAAAAGGGGGCCTTTCTTGATCAATGTCAGTAATACTTTTTTTCCTCAAAAATAATGGAAAAATGAATGAGCAAGTAAACGTGGGATCCTGCCCATCTCTTCACTTGGCTCATCCTAGCCTCGCTGTTTCACTGATTGGTTATATAAATAATTTCTACTTCAGGTATTTAATAAAAACAATAAGTAAGCCATCTAGGAAATGGATTTCAACACCATTTTAATACTTTAAACTTTTCTTTAAATTGGTGTTGGGAACAAGCCCCCAAAATCTGGCCATAAACTGGCCCCAAAACTGGCCATAAAATCTGTGCAGCACTGTGACATGTTCTTGATGGCCATAACGCCCACGCTGGAAGGTTGTGGGTTTACTGGAATGACGGCAAGGAACACCTGGCCTGCCCAGGGCCGAAAACCACTTAAAGGCATTCTTGAGCCACAAACAATAGCATGAGCGATCTGTGCCTTAAGAACATGCTCCTGCTGCAGTTAACTAGCCCAACCTATTCCTTTATTTCGGCCTATCTCTTTGTTTCCCATAAGGGATACTTCTAGTTAATCCCATTTCCCATAAGGGATACTTTTAGTTAGCAGAATATCTATAGAAACAATGCTTGTAAATTTCTTTGACCAGCATGGCACATGTATACATATGTAACTAACCTGCACATTGTGCACATGTACCCTCAAACTTAAAGTATAATAAAAAAAAAAAAGAAACAATGCTAATGACTGGCTTGCTGTTAATAAATACATGGGTAAATCTCTGTTGGGGGCTCTCAGCTCTGAAGGCTGTGAGACCCCTGATTTCCCACTTCACACCTCTATATTTCTGTGTGTGTGTCTTTAATTCCTCTAGTGCCACTGGGTTAGGGTCTCCCTGATCGAGCTGGTCTCGACAAATTGGCATCACCTTCACATACCAAGTAGGCTTCTACTTTGTTCCTAAATATTTCCCACACCATTTGTCATCTGAAATTCCATGTGCAGGGACATAAAACTTGTGTTCCAAAATGAAAAACAGGAAATAATATGCACACAATAACTTAGGAATGAGAAGAAATTTTCTCAAATTCACTATACCTGTGTTGTTCACAGTATGATCTTGCAGCATACTGCATCACAATAACTACAGAGAATCTAGTAAAAATCCTATCCCAGGCCTACTTAATTGGCATCTGTAGAACTAGGGACTTGTAACCTGCATTTTAAATTAGCTCCTCCAGTTACACTTATGCACACTAAAGTTTGAGAGTCAGTAAACTAAAACATAAGTGAATGATACAAGTATAAGGAATATTTCTCTTTAAAAATGCATGAAAAGATGAAAAACCATAAGAGTAATGGGAGTCTGATTGAAGGGCAGAAACATGACACTGGGTACATCAAAATAAAAATAACACATCCTTGCTCAAGCCCAGCTTTGTACTCACTGATTCTTTAACTAAGATAAATTACATCAGAATGATGTCACAGACTTACACAACAAAGAAGCAAAAGTTTTTATTGGGAGATACACTAAAAGTAACAATCTATCTTAAGTGTTTTTGGAGAACTTGAAGGACCCGCGTACTGTGTCATGCGTCTCTAGTGTGTCATAGTAGGAACAAAAAAAGGCACACAGTCTCTTCGCATTGTCATCTCTGACCAGCCTGCCCAAACTCAAATAGAACTTTGTATTATATAGTGTTTTTATTTCATTTGAATTGCCTAAGTAACTTCTACCTAGGGCTACCCAAAGACCCTTACACTTTGCTTCTTTGCAGTTTTCTGTCTCATATCTTTGAGAATTATAGAGTGTCTTGTGGCCATATCATATGAAAGGTGTCAAACAATTAAAGAACGCATGGAGTGGCTTTTGTCTCTTCAGGAACCACTTTTCCATTAAAAAAAAATAAGAGAGAGAAAGACAGAAAGAGAGAGAAAGAAAGAAAGGAAGGAAGGAAGGAAGGAAGAAAGGAGGGAAGAGAGCTCAAAAGCCAAAGCAACAAAATAGGTAAAAATATTGTCAGTGCTGCAAAAGCCCCAGTGTTCACACAGCCTTTCTGACAATCTCAATATGTATCCTACAATAAGAATTTCAGAACAGTATGACTGCAATATGTTTCAAAGTCAATGTGGTTTGCATGATAAGGCTCATTTCTCTTCAACTCTTCTAATGTACATAGTGTGCTTTCATGCTGGTTTTTTTTTTCCTGCCTATATGTCTACATTTAACTCTTTACCTCCAAATAAAGAATTTCATCTCTGACCATGACTATATAAGAACAGCTCTTTTTTTAATCACTAGTTTCATTTGTGTTCTGTCAGCAACTTCAAAATGTACTGTGAATAAATCACTTTGGAGCATTTATCTAAGGAACTGCCATTCTCACTCCCCACCCCATACCTTGTGTTTCATATCCATGTCATACTCCCAGATACTCTGGGTTCAGAAAGCAGCAGCTGACTGTGTAGCATGTGAGGACACCTATCCATGGGACCAGAGAAAGGGAATGGATACAGGGACATTGGGAGGGAAGAGTCTTTAGGTTTTCATGACTGGAGGAATGGGAGAGGCTAGGGAGAAAGGAAAGAGTTCAACTTAAATCAGAGATTTCAAGCTGGGTGATAAAGAGAATCATGATACCACCAGCAGAGACAGAAAAGAAAAAAACTGGTTTTGAGAGCAAGATGATGCATTTCATTTTAGATATAGAATTTTCAAACTGATGACAGGATGTCCGAATAGAAACATCTGGCAGAAAACTGCAGATGCAATACTGCAGCTAAAAAGAAGGGTTGAGGCTGGAGATGGTAATGTGATCATTTTCATTTATGTAATGGTTATGTCATTACAATAGATGAAATAGCTGAAGAGGAGGGAAGGGAGACAAAGCAGAGCATGTGGCTAGATCTTTAAGGTATGAAGAAGAAGAGAAGCCAGTGAAAGAAAGAGGGAGGGATAAGGTAATCAGAGAAATTGGATAGGAACTGTAGTAGCTCAGAGTTACAGAAGTCAAAGGAGGAAGATAATCAAGAAAGTAGAGATTCAGTTGCATGAAGCAGTAGGAAAAAAAGACCAATGAAAATGAGGATCACAAAAACATTAGGTGCTTGCTTCATCAGCACATACACTTAAATTTGAATGATACAGAGGAGATTAGCATGGTCTCTGTGCAAGGACGACATGCAAATTCATGAAGTGTTCCATATTCATTAGGAGGCTATTGGTATGTTTTAGTAGAGCCAGATTTTAGGGTAATGAGGGAATGGGAAGATGGGTTATGACACCACCAGCAGAAATAGAAAAGAGAAGAACTGGTTTTGAGAGCAAAATAATACATTTCATTTTAGACATGGAATTTTCAGACTGATGACAGGATATCCAAATAGAAACTGGCCAATAGAAATATAACGTGAACACATATGTAATTTAAAATTTTCTATTAGCCACGTTATTGTCTTTTTAAATCACTCTTCCCTTTAAAATCCTTCCACAGCTCTCCATTTATCCAGAATAAATCTAAACTCTTTAGTATACAAAGTCCTTCTAGGATAGTCTCTTATGCTTCCTCTAGCCCAGCCCCAGCCTGCATGATGACACAGCCATATTGGGATTCTGCAGTGCCTTACATGTGCCATGCTGTCTCACATCTCTGTCTTCTTTCTCCTCTACCTGTAGTTCCCTGTTCCCCTGACCCCTGCCCCAGTATACCTTTCTATTCCTACTAATCCCTCAAGACTCAGCTTGTGTCACCTCCTCCATGAAGCCTCCTCTAAATGCCAAACTCATTCTTCATTTTAACACCCTGCATATCTTTCTTACAGCATTAATCACTCAGCACTGTGGTTTCTGGATGCAACCAAGATATCCTTCAATAAGTGAATGGATAAACATACTGTGGTACATCATACAATATACTATTATTCAGTGATTTTTAAAAAGATAAATAAGATATCAAGCCACAAAAGACATGGGGGAAACTTAACTGTATATTGCTAAGTGAAAGGCAGTCTAAAAAAGCTACATACTATTTGATTCCAACTATATGACATCCTGGGAAAGGTAAAACTATGAGGACAGGAAAAAGATTAGTGGTTTCCAGGCTTAGGGGAGGAATGGAGGGATGGTGGAACATAGGAGATTTGGGGGGTGATAAAACTATTTTGTATGATACTGTAATGGTGAACACATGATATACATTTCTCAAAACTCAAGACTTTGTAAAAGTGAATCCTAATGCAAGCCACAGACTTTTGCTAATAATAATGTGTCAATATTGGTTCATCAAGTGTAATCTAATTTAAGAGAGGTGAACTATTAACACAAGGCAGTATAAGAAGCCATAACATTTCAGAGGGCTGGATTACTAGAGGGCTTGTGTTAATAGTTCATTTCTCTTAGATTAGATTACACTGTCCTTAAGAGCAGGAATCATATTTCTTTGTACTTTTGAATCAACAAAGGTGCCTGGCAGAATTCTACACTATAGGAATTATCTATCTATCTATCTATTCACTGACTTATGACTGAGAAGAAAAAAAAACCCTACCATGTTTGTATTTGTCAAGTTTGAGCTTTTCCTTTATTTGGAAGGTGAAAATATGCTACTTATCACCACCTTTTGACTTTCATAAACTGAATCCCTAATTCCTATTACAGAACTCTTATGTAATGTTAATTATAACATTAATATTCTTATCTATTTTATCTATTATATTTCCCTGAAGACTGGCACGTATTTTTTAAGCTTGCTGTTGAAATGGATTGAAAGGAAGTATGCTACACATATGACAGGATACGCCTATCAACTTTATGGCTTAAATTTTTTTTTCTTAGGTTGGGGCAATCCAAATATTTTGTTTGATTAGCAACATTAGTAGATATTGTGGTTCAGAAGAATATGGCAATCATATATTTATTACTAGTTTGAACTGTTGTCCAATATAAAATACTGCTACTATAAGTGAAGAGCCAGGGAAAGGCAGATGAGATGAGAAAGTGTCTTGACTAATTTAGTATTCTCCATTCAAAGCAGAAATAACATTTTGCTTCATGTTGACGATTTAATATACTCCACAGCCTCAAGCTAATATTGAATAGACACTGCTATTAATCCATTACATATGTTCAATGTAGTTAATCTTTTAAATATTGTATCACTAAAAAAGCTCATCAGGGCTCATGAATTCAGACTAATTGAAGAAAAGCCTAACATGGTAAAAAGTTAGAGTGATAAATCATCTTAAATTAATCTTAACACCTAAAATATACAGAGTAATTACATGATACCTAGTTGACTTCTTCAGAACTTGCTTCAGTGAAAAAATTTGAAATTAGCATACTTGTTGCTGTGTCCTTCTGAACTATATAAAGACCTAAGGAAAGTTCGTTCTTATAAATCATGAGATGTAAATTCACTGAGTGTAGATTTCAGTGTGCATCTTAAAATTATTTCCTTTATTCATTTATTCACAAAAAATTCAAGCAGTCCTCTTTTTAAGACCTGGAGAAGTGAAAATATAAATTTATAAGAGCATAGTGATGCTTACCTAGAGATACTATGGCAGGGTTCCACCGTGGTTGCACTAAAAGGTAGTTTCTGTGAGTGGTAGACTAGAAAATAATCCAAAATCTTAGAGTAAGTCCCCACTCATGTAGATGCCAACAGCCTTCAGTTCCCTTCACCACCGACTTCCTAAAATTCCATGTATTGCAAAAATTCTAAAATCTTATCATGATACTAAATTGGGCATTCACTATCAAGCAACAAATTGTTCAAATGGCTAATCTGATTTTGTCTTTTAAAATTACTGCATTTTCCACTTATTTTGAATACCAAAATGAAAGGAGTATGTATCACTCTGGCTCCTGGCAGAAAGAGACGGCTCACTCAAACTGTATAATTGAGAAGAATTTAATAGAGGCGCTATTTACAGAAATATGGGAAGGGCTAAGGGAAACCTGTTAGGGATAATGTTTTATTCCAGAGCTTGCAATTGTGAGAAGGTATAACACCCCTGGATCTGATGTGTACAGGGAGAAGATGGCTACTCAAACCTGGAGAGGAAAGGGAACTTGACAGGATCAATAGCCTTTAAAAGAAGAACCATTCAACCTTTTGTGATCTAGCAGGGAGAGCCCCTAGAGTATATATGTTCTGACCTCCCTCTCTAGGGAGATTGCCACTGGCTGAACACAATCAGAAGCCAGAGGGCAAATGTGTTGTTTGATACAATCCTTACAGGTAAGTCCCCAGGCACAGAGAAGGTTGGAAAAAAAAATAGAGAGTGAATCTGGAGAGCAAGTGTGAAATACTCAAGGTAGTAGGACTCTTGCTGCAGGTAACAGAAAATATAATCAAGCTAATCCAAGCAAACAAGGGAATTCATTAACTTACGTATCTTAAAAGTATAGGAGTAGCTCTATCTTCATGCCCAGCTCAGCTTGATCCGACATCTCAAAGGACGTCACTGGGATTCAGTATCTTTCCATCTCTCAGCTCTGTTCTCCTCCATGCAGACTTCACTCAAAGCCTCTATGTGGTGGCAAGATATCTGATAGTAATTTCAGCTTGATATTCAGAAGTTAGCCAGGTGTGGTGGCGCAGGCCTGTAGTCCCAGCTACTCAGGAGGGTGAGGCAGGAGAATCGCTTGAACTCGGGAGGTGGAGGTTGCAGTGAGCCAAGATCGTGCCACTGCACTCAAGCCTGGGCAACAGAGCAAGACTCTGTCAAAAAAAAAAAAAACAAAAACAAAAACCAACAACAACAAAAAAACCAAAAAAATTTAAGTATCCCTAAATTAGATAGCATTTTATAATAAAATCTTGTATAAATTTAAGTTCACGTCCCAAAGAAATTATAGTATGATGAGGTAACAATGGTAGAGCTGCTGTATTTTAACCAGGTATACTACTACATGAACTTGCAACCCACAGTGAATTTTTCCAAGTGAGTGGCAAGGAACTATTAGAACTGAGCTTAGATGTGTATTTTCCTTAAATCGTCCTGATGTTTAGAGAAGAAAAGCTTTAACCAAGTAGACATAGTATTCCGTTCTCTCAGATCACACTGATAGGGTAGATGGAGATTTTTATTGCAGCTGTGTATGTGCAGATAAGACAAAGTGAAGTATGCAAGTATTTAATCATCACATCTTTAAAATGATACAGAAGATCATTTCTTTTTAGCTGTCTATGATGCTTTTTTTACCTTTCCTTTCAATAAGATAGCTACATATTACTTTGTAAATTGCTTTCCTACACAAAGTGCATTAGCTTCACACGAATTCGTTGGCTGGTTTCATACTTCTCTACAGAAATAAGTACATTTCTAAACTTATTCACTAATGAATCTAAAGCTACATGTTTAGAAAAGCAATTGGGGAGCAGGATATCATTTTATTTCAGCCTGTTTAACAAGAAACAAACTGAGATGTACCAAAATGAAACAAACTGAGATGTACCAAAATAAATAGTGCACTTAGCACTATTTAAGATTGCCTTCTTTTTGCCCTCTTTCTCTTCCCTAGTTGTTGCTGGGATGGGAGCCTTAACTAAATGCCACCATGCCATCCTGATAGAGGTTGTGTACTTTGAATTTTAACTGGTCTCGTTCTTAGGAGCTGGTATCTTTGGAGATCATGTCTCCCCACTGTTTTGATAATCTACTGAGATGTGGCAGCATTTTCTTCTGATCTTCCCACGTCTTCCCTAGGGGTTTCCTCATCCTGGCTGAGGAAACGAATAGGTCTCCTCCAAGTCTGTTGAGTTCCCCTTTCTCACCTATATTCTGTGCCCTTTCTTTCTTGTGGACACAGAGAAACATTCACTGCTTTTTTCCATACCTCTTGGACTCCACAGTATCCCAGGGTTGTCAGCAGGTATTCATTGTTCTAAAGCATCCCTTATGCATTTTCTGATTCATTTCTTTCAAGTCGCCACAGCATGGTAAACCTCGGCAAGCCTACTAGAGCTCCAGAGAGAAGGTGTAAGACACAGAGACTAGACCCATCAGAGGAAGACGGGGAGAAGAAATTTACCTCTACTGTCTTCCTTCCTTGTACTTGCACCAGAATTTATTCCAAGGCAGAAACCGAGAGAAAAAAACAATGCCTAAGTTATTTTTCCTTTCTTCCATCTCCATTCCTACTTTTTTTTTTTTTTTTTAAGACAGATTCTTGCTCTGTTGCCAGGCTGGAGTGCAGTGGCGTGATCTCGGCTCACTGCACCCTCCTCCTCCTAGGTTCAAGCGATTCTCCTGCCTCAGCCTCCTGAGTAGCTGGGACTACAGGCGCACGCCACCACACCCAGCTAAATTTTTGTATTTTTAGTAGAGATGGGGTTTCACCATGTTGGCCAGGATGGTCTCAATCTCTTGACTTCAAGATCCGCCAACCTCGAACTCCCAAAGTGCTGGAATTACAAGCGTGAGCCACCGCACCCAGCCTTAATTTTTATACATATTATAATAGCTCTTTAAAAGTCCAAGTCCATTAATTTTGCCTGTTTGTAGAACTGTTTCTATTAATGGATTTTTTAAACCTGGTTAGGGATCACATTTTCATGGGTTTTTTTGCATGTCTAGTAACTTTTGATATCTATATATATATTGGATATGTTGAATTGCATTGTCTATTTTGAAACTTCCTTTTCAACTTTGTTAAGAAGGGTCTAGAAGAGATTTTACTATAAGGCTAGTTTTAGCCCTTCTTCTTAGGACTAAAACCAAAAAGGGGTATGGCCTTTTGGGGATCTCTAATGAATTGCCTGAGTGTTCCACAGGGTCTTTCCACCCTACTTGTTCAGCCCTGTGAAATTCTGATACTTGTTCAGCTTATAGCTTCCCAGTAGTTGCTCTTTCCCTGGTCATTGTTCTTTGGTCTTGTGGAGTCTCACCCTATATTTGTGCAGATTAGTAAGCAAATACTCAAAAGGAACCTATGCAGATTTCTGGAGTTCTTTCCCTGCTTGGTTCTCTCCTCTTTGGTCTTCTACCCATAAATTTCAGCTGTTTGTGCCTCTCCAAACTCTAATATCTGTCTCATCATCTCAGCAAGGCTGCTATGCTCTGTCTGGGTTTCACCTCTCTGCACCTTTGCCCAATAAGTGCCTCTAACCAGAAAACTCGACAATAATAACAGTTATCTAGTTTATTTTTTTTTTCGCTCAGACAGTGAAACCCTTCATGACCTGTTGTCCGATATCTGAAAGCAGTTGTTTCATATAATTTTGTTTCCTTTCTGTGGCAGGGGATTTGTTAATGGCGGAAGGGTTAGTCTTGTACCAGTTACTCAGTCATAGTTGCAATCAGGAGTCAAGGCTTTTGATTTTCTTCATGTATACTATTATTGACAGTCCCTAAAACAATAGTTACCCTTCTATGGTAAGTGCCCAACTGAGAAAAGGATCACCATTTAATCACGCAGACCAGGAAAAAAAATCAATAATTCCTAAGTCATGCCACCATACCTTATCCCCAGTTGCCATGCGTCTGCAAACCAGATTTGTCAAATTTTATTACTACTGCAATGACTTTAATCCAGGTATGTGACGTGGTAAGATAGGGCTGGAAGACTGATTGGCAATACAGGACAAAAGATAACTTACTGGAACAGAGGAAGAAGATGGGTACAGGAGCTAGAAATGACTTCCAGAAGAAAAAAAAAGGAACTAAATACTGTTCTTTTCTAATTAAACTGAAAAGAGTTCCTTAGGGAGCTGGTATTTGATCACTTCATGGTCTCTGGGAAAATAAAACATAGTGTGTGGAAAAGAGTAAATGGATGCTAAAGTGAGGAAGATCTAAAAGAATTTTCATCCCTCCCTCCAAGACCTAAGATGTGACATGGTAGGGCTAGCCTTAGAGAGGAAGCATGTCATATGCCCCAAGTGAACATGAGTCTTGCATGGATCTTAGAGAAACTGAAATGAACACCTATGATAGAGTTTTAGGAAAACTGAAAGCTGCATACAACCTAAATGGACAAGTATGCCAAAAATATCACATATGAGTTCTCAGAACAGATAAGGCATCAATGTTTGAAAAAGACAAACAGTTTTGTAAAAGACAGACTTCCAAGAAAAATCTCAGCAGCAATATGCTGTCAATCCACTTAGTATTATCTATATAAAACATATTTTTGTTTAATCATTTTTAATATAATCTATCATAAGAAAATCTGTATCCCAGTTCAACTCTCTTGCTTCCATGAACGCTGGGAAAAGAGTTTATGTAAACCAAGACTATTCCGTAAAACAAATATCCTAGTAAATGGTACAGAAATTTCACTGATACAGTTTGCACAACACTAGCTCCAAGGGTCCTACAGAGACTACTTTGTTATGCAATTTAGAAAATGAGTTATCTTTAATTCAGCCTGAAATAAAAGGTAATGGCAATGGCTTAGAAATATTTTAATTATACAGATATAGTCAAGGTGATGATATTTATTATTGTGAAATTATACTATTTTATTGTGAATTTTTTTCTTCCCTACATCTTTAAATCATAAAAGGGTACTAGATATTTTATTCTGTGGAGCTGATGGAAGCTATAAAAAACAGAATACTTTTCCTTTCATATCCAAGTCCATAGGTTTAGAATTAAGGAACATTTCTCAGGATGAAAGCAAAACATCAGCAATAACCACTCACACTATCTTTTTTCAACTGGGATTTTTCTATGATTTGTTCATTACTGAATTCCCAGCACCTACAGCTATTTGGAACAAGGAGATAGTCAAATAAACGTTAGGTGAATTTCTGAGTTACAATTCTCATATTGATGCTTGTCACTACGATTCCAATGAAAATGGATACAATAAATTCTGGATTATTGGCTAATAAAAAGTCTCAGGAAAAAAATAATAAAAACATAGCCAAACAACTTTCCTAACATAACGGTGTTTCTTTTGTTTGTTAGAAGTGAAATGTGGCCACAGAAATAGACATGAAATGGGTAACAGCAAAAATCTAGGCTGCCACAATTAGGAATGATCTTCGATAGCTCAGAAAAGGAAGTCACCTGGAGTCAATGACCCATGCAAAATCAGTCATCGCATGACCCCAAATTTTTTACTCAGTGCTCAACACATAAATTATTTTTCAGAAACCACCATGGAGGATAAGGAATATCTTTAAGTTCTAGAACTTGAAAGTGGAAAAATAAAAAAGCATTATAAGCTTAGAAATTTTGTTGATAAAGGCCTTTAAATGAACTTAAAGCAATTTTACACCAAAAGACTATGAAATCTCTACCATTCATATTATAACTCTGATGTAAGAAATGATGATGCAACTCAGATATTGGCTGTGTATTAAGTGTGAAACCCAGTAGATTAAACAAGGCAGTATTTCTATACATTCCTAGTTACTTCAGCTGTTCCTCAAATCATGTGATTTCCAGCTGCTTCACCATCATGGGGTTGTAATGCTTTAAATAGGCTTCATTGTCTTAAAATATGGCATTGAAGTAGGACATAATTGCAATGGTTAATTATATGTCAACTTGGCTGGGCCACGGTGCCCAGATATGTAGTCACACATTATTCTAAATGTTCTGTGAGGGTGTTTAGGGGGTGAGATTAACAATTAAATTGATGAACTTTGAGTAAAGCACATTGCCCTCCATCATCTGGGTAAGGCCTCATCCAGCTAGCTGAAGACCTGAATAGAACAAAAGATTGACCTCCACCAAGAAAGAGGGCCATCTACCAGCAGATAGCCTTCAGACTTAAACTGCAGCATTAGCTTTTCCTTGGTCTCCAGCTTGCCAACCTACTCTGTATGTTTTGATTTGTCAGCCTCCTAAATCACGAGCCAATTCCTTAAAATAAATTTCCTTCTAAATATACATATACCCATCGTATTGGTTCTGTTTCCCTGAAGAACCATAATACAAGAAGTATGCAGATATTTGTCCCATAAGCATGGACTACCACAGAGAGACTATTCCTAGTCACAGATACCAATTTTCCCCACTGGGTCACCACCACCAGGATGTGACTGCTGAAGGCCGTGCACACCACCTGGGTGGGGACCCCACACACCACCTCTGTCTTCTGTTTTGATATCACCAACGGCGTGTCTTCCATGGTGGGGCTCTTCAGTGGCAGCTTTAATTTAGGTTAAAAAGAAAGGGGGAAAAAAGGAGTCAAACAGTACAGCCTTGGGGCTCCCAAAAAAGTAGCACCAGGCATTGAAACAGAAACGCAAGGAGGCCCATTCAAAAGAGGCCAGGCGCAGTGGCTCATGCCTGTCATCCCAGCACTTCAGGAGGCTGATACAGGACAATCGCTTGAGGCCGGGAGTTTGAGACCAGCCTGGCCAACATAGCAAGACACCCCCCATCTCTACCAAAAAAAATACAAAAAAAATTAAAAATCAGCCAGGTGCACCTGTGGTCCCAGTTACTCAGGAGGCTGAGGGGGGAGGATCACTTCAGCCCGGGAGGTCGAGGCTGCAGTGAGCTGTGATTACACCACTGCACTCCAGCCCGGGTGGCAGAGCGAGACCCTGTCCCGAAAAAATAAAACAGGAGCAGGGCCGCCCGTACAGACCACACCTGGGGCTTTCTGGGTTAGGGGATCGACTTGCACGTTCACACTGCCAGGCTGGGCGGTGACTTCCTGCCCCTCGGCCTCACCGGTGCCCCGGCCCTGCAGCGGAGGGCCTAGGACCCCCACAGCACGCGGTGCCAAGGCTACGTGGGCTACGGAGGACGCAGTGGTCTGGGGAGGCCCGCGGGTACCCCCGCTTACCAAGCCAGCCGGCATCAGATTCTTATAGGAGTGAATACCCTACTGTGAACTGCACAGGCAAGGGATCTAGGTTGCATGCTCCTTATGAGAATCTAATGCCTGATAATCTGTCACTGTCTCCCATCATCCCCAGAGGGGACCATCTAGCTGCAGGAAAATAAGCTCAGGGCTCCTACTGATTCCACATTATGGTGAGTTGTATAATTATTTCACTGTATATTACAATGTAATAGTAATAGAAAAAAGAGCACAATAAATGTAATGCACTTGAATCATCCCAAAACCATCCCCACTGCCCCAGTCCATGGAAAAATTGTCTTCCATAAAATCGGTCCCTGGTGCCAAAAAGGTTAGGGATTGCTGACTTAAAGGTAACCTCTCCAGCCATCATTTGCTGTGTATGAGGGAGAGGGGGCTGGAAACAAAAAGGAAAATATATTACTTGGTTGAGTTCTCAGTATCTTCCTGTCTATTTTATATATTGGGCTTCCATCTTAAGAAAGTTAAAACAAAATTGAAAGCAGTTTTCAAACATATACACACATAGCAGCAGTCATATTCTCAATATATTTGCTATTATTCAGTTACATATTTACATATGCATACATGTATATTTTATATATTATATACGTGTGTATGTGTGTGTGTGTGTGTGTGTGTGTGTGTGTGTGTGTATAAAGAAAGAGAGATTAAAGGGAGAAAGAAAAGGATGACAGGTAAGCAGAGTTTTTTATGTCTTAGAAGAAATACACATGCAGAGGAAATGAATGCATAAGATTACATAGTTTGATGAAATTAGTCATTAAAAAATACCCAACAGGCTGTTTTTGTTCTTATTTTGGGCTCACAAACAAGCTTCTGACTGAAGTTGGCTTTCCACCGGAGAATATATTGATACTTCTACGAGTTTCTGATTCACATAACATTTACAGTTCATCCTTAATACATTGTCAACGTGATTTCTAAATCAGTGTTTAATTTGGTTAGTGTGTATCAGTATGTCGAGCTTACAGTTCACCCTTAATACATTGTCAGCGTGATTTCTAAATCAGTGTTTAATTTGGTTAGTGTGTATCAGTATGTCGAGCTTACAGTTCACCCTTAATACATTGTCAACGTGATTTCTAAATCAGTGTTTAATTTGGTTAGTGTGTATCAGTATGTCGAGCTTACAGTTCACCCTTAATACATTGTCAACGTGATTTCTAAATCAGTGTTTAATTTGGTTGGTGTGTATCAGTATGTCGAGCTTACACTTCACCCTTAATACACTGTCAACGTGATTTCTAAATCAGTGTTTAAGTTGGTTAGTGTGTATCAGTATGTCGAGCTTACAGTTCACCCTTAATACATTGTCAACGTGATTTCTAAATCAGTGTTTAATTTGGTTAGTGTGTATCAGTATGTCAAGCTTACAGTTCACCCTTAATACATTGTCAACTTGATTTCTAAATCAGTGTTTAATTTGGTTAGTGTGTATCAGTATGTCGAGCCTTACTTGAATTTCTGCACTTGAAAAACTAAGGATCAGTGTCCAGAACTCAATCTACCTGATGGAACTGCCACACTGAGACTTCCAAACAGTGATCAGCCAATCTCCCCCTGTGACTTCTGTGGCTGGTCCCTTTTCTAACTACAACTAAAGGAACTGTAAAGAATCTCATTCATTTAAAGAGACCAGCCACAGTAGGAAGCCACACTTACCAGTACTGCAATACAATAGGAAAATAACTTCATACAGATTTCATAGAAAAAGAAGCACACTGACTTAAAGAGAGACATGCAGTTTTAGCACCTGAACTGTTCATCATAGAACAATGAATGTTAAGGGTTAGATCTCAAAGTTCATCTCATCCAATCCCTTAGTTTTAAAGGTGGCAAGAGAGGCATGGAAGATTAGATTATTTACTCAAAATACAGCTGGGACTTCTGGGCTAAGCTCTTTCCACTATGATAACTCCCTATTTCATAATTGCGCACATTCTTTTTTTTTTTTTTTTTTTTTTTTTTTTTTGAGACAGAGTCTCGCTCTGGTTGCCCAGGCTGGAGTGCAACGGCGCGATCTCAACTCATCGCAATCTCTGCCTCCTGGGTTCAAGCGATTCTCCTGCCTCAGCCTCCCAAGTGGCTGGGATTACAGACATGCGCCACCACGCCTGGCTAATTTTATATTTTTAGTAGAGATGGGGTTTCTTCATGTTGGTCAGTCTGGTCTCAAACTCCTGACCTCAGGTGATCCGCCTGCTTCGGCCTCCCAAAGTGCTGGGATTACAGGCGTGAGCCACAGCGCCCGGCCCTACACTCTTAATCTTCTTGCAGCTATTGAAACTTCATATTCTTATTCTATGCAATGATAGGTAAATTTTAAAATGAAATTATGTTTGCTAAGAAATAAGAAGACATCCTACAAAACTTTCTCCCTTTTATTGTGAGCAATAGGTATTTAATCAATTCCTACCTAGATAACAGCCAAAGTGATACTTTTATAATGAAAGTCATAATGTGCCCTCCTCCTTAAAACCCTGAAGCTACTCCCAACCACTAACAGTAAAAGCCAAGTTCTTGCAATGGCCTACAAAGCCCCATACGTCCATCCTCCATGCTCACTCTGTTCCTGCCACACCGCCTTCCTTGCTATTTCTCAAATACATCAAATACCTTCCTGTCTCAGGACCCTTGCATTGGTTGTTCCCTCTGCCTGGAACTCTTTTCCCTCAAACAGGTTGAATGACTAACTCCTCATCTACTTCAAATCTTTGCTCAAATGTCACCCTCTTAATGAGATCTGCTGTAACTATTTAAAACTACCACACCCAGGCCAGGCGCGGCGGCTCACGCCTGTAATCCCAGCACTTTGGGAGGCCAAGGAGGGCGGATCATGAGATCAAGAGATTGAGACCATCCTGGCTAACACGGTGAAACCCGTCTCTACTAAAAATACAAAAAATTAGCTGGGCATGGTGGCGGGGTGCCTGTAGTCCTAGCTACTTGGGAGGCTGAGGCAGGAGAATGGCGCGAACCCAGGAGGCGGAGCTTGCAGTGAGCCGAGATTGACCCACTGCACTCCAGCCTGGAGAAAGACTCCGTCTCAAAAAAAAAAATTAAATAAATAAATAAATAAATAAATAAATAAATAATTAAAAAAACTACCACACCCACCCCCCTGTACTTCCAATGCCCCTTACCCTGACTTACTTCTTTCTGTATAGGATCTATCACCTTCTAATACATGCACTATATCATTTACTTATTTATTATATTTGTTACTCATCATATGTCTCCCTCCAGAATATAAACTCCATAGAGGCAGGGAGGTTGGTGTATTTTTTTCACTATTATATTCCTAACACCTAAAATACAGCCTAAGCCTCAAATATTTATTAAATGAATAAATTAATGCATTTGGCAACTTGACCATTATGTCTACAGATAATCAAAGGCTATGTCTAATGTGGTCCAGATCAAGGTTAAATCATTTCCCTGACATACTGGATCTTCCAATGAATTCCATTAAGAAGGGCAATATACTAAGCCACTAATATATTTCTACTCCCCAAAATTCTCCTTTAGTGCTGCTGTCAATAAAACAAAAAAGAATGTGTTTAAAAATTAGAAGATGACCAATTGCTTTCATTTTAAAGGAATGTCTAAATTGCATTTAAAAAATCGAAGCAATCCAGAATGTACTGACAAATACTATTTATTGAGCATTAAACTTTCAATTCTTTTGATGATAATCCTGACATGTTCTCCCATATAGCATTCTGAGAAATTGCTGCAAAACAAGAATCTGAGAATCTAAGAGGTGTGTGTGTGTGTATGTGTGTGTGTCTTTATGAGCAGTCATGACCAAGAACCTGATGACAAACACCTTAACCTATTCCATATCAGTATTACACACATCTTTTGACTTTTTTTCTAACAATCATGATAGATTTAATCTGAAATATCTTCATTCTATTTCCTCATCCTTTTTGTAAACAAAGACAAACATGAAAGAAATGCTAGCTGAGACTAGCACTGCAGATGGTCACTACAACTGATCAAAAGTTGCACATCTCCAGGAATACCACATACCCTGAAGATGGATTATAGTGTATCACTACTCTGGCCTCTTGTCCTGGAGTTGTGCAATATTCACCTCTGGGTCTGTTTAGAACCATGCTGAATTGAAACTGAAATCAGTAATCTTTCTTCTTAGAAAAAAATAACTCAAGATTACTAAGTTAATCAATTCTAATGAGATATGAACTGATTTAAATTAAAATAATATCCTCAAAACATTTATCAGTCACTAAAAGGTGGAGACAGTGTTAGACATAAAATTATCCCAAAATGACTGTATATAATAGGGTCACAGTTCCCCATCCCTAAATCCTTGTTTAGTTAGCAGGTTTTCTGGTGAAGGACATAAAACTGGATACCATGATGATCTTACAGCACCCTCAAGTGGATTAGACTGACAATGTTTTTTTTCTTGAAGAAAGGTGTTGGTCTGTGATATGAAAAAGAAATAGAAGCTGGGAGAATCTTTTCAAACAAAAACCATGGGAATGAATGAAGATGTGCCAACTCTTATCAGAAGGGCTTGCAGTTTGAATTATTCCTCTAACAACAGGGATAGACATTTGGCTGAGTTTGCCATATTTTCCATTTAGTATTCCTCACTCTTCCTTGAGTCACTTCAGGACAGCTTTGAATAGAGTGTTAAACACAGATGGCTACCTTATATGGTAGCAAATTTGTAATCTAAACCTTTTACACCATGTGCTTAGGAATGAAATCAAGGGGCCCCATTATGGGAAAAAAAAGAGTTCAAGGCGATCTTTAGATAATAACATAATAACGGACATTTGTATTAGTCAGAGTTCACCAGAGAAACAGATAACAGGAGATACACATACACATACATACATACATACATACACACACACACACACACACGATGAAGACTTAGCTCATACAGTTATAGAGGATTATGGAGGCTGAGAAGTCTTGGGATCAGCCATCTGCAAGCTGGAGACCCAGGAAGGCTGCTGGCATAATGTAGTCTGAGTCCAAAGGCCAAGGAGAGCCAATGATATAAATCCTACTCTGAGGGCAAAAGAAGATGAAATGAGATGTCCCAGCTCAAACAGTGGGGCCAAAAAGGGGCACATTTTCCCTACTTTTGCCTTTTATTCTATTCAGGCCCTGAATTGATATATATATATTTTTTGAGACAGGGTCTCACTCTGTCGCCCAGGCTGGGAAAGGCTCACTGCAGCCTCAACCTCCCAGGCTCAGACGATCCTCCCACCTCAGCCTCCTGGGTAGCTGGAACTACAGGCATGTGACACCACACCTGGCTAATTTTTGTATTTTTGGTGGAGACAGGGTTTTGCCATGTTGCCAGTGCTGGTCTCAAACTCCTGGGCTCAAGCAATCCGCCCTCCCGGCCCTCCCGAAGTGCTAGGATTACAGGCATGAGCCACAGATCCTGGCCCCTCAGTGGATTTGATGATGACCAACTACATTGCGGATGGCAATCTACTTTACTGAGCCCACCAATTCAAATGCTAATGTCATCTGGAAACACTCTCACAGACACACCCAAAAATAGTCTTTAACCAACTATCTGGACATCCCCTGATCCAGTGAAGATGACACATAAAATTAACTACAGGTTGAGCATCCCTACTCCAAAAATCCAAAATCCAAAATTCTCCAAAGTTGGAAACTTTTTGAGCACTCACATGAAGCCACAAATGGAAAATTTCACACCTGACCTCATGTGGTAGAACCCAGTCAAAATGTAGGAACGTGGCACCATGTTTACTCAGCGTCCCAAGGGTAAAATAAAATTACCTTCAAGTTGTGGGTATAAGGTGCATACAAAACATAAATGAATTTTTTGTTTAGACTTGAGTCCCCAAGGTATCTCATTATATATATGCAATTATTCTAAAATCTCAAATTCAAAACACTCTGGTCCCAACCAGTTCAGATAAGGGATACCTGACCTATGTCATAATTTTTTTTAATAAAATAAATTCCATACATATATTTTAAAGCTACATCCTTAAAGAGCATGGTTTCACTGACCCTCTAAATGGCATGGTAATGGTAGAAAGAGTACTAGATACACAGTTAGACGACATGTATTCTAAAGTTAGTTTTTGAAAAACAAAAGCATGTATTAACCTCTCCATATTTGTTTCTTCGTTTTTAAAATGGCAGAGTAGAAAAAGCAGAGGCTACTAGTTGGTGGCTTCTTAGTGTATTAGTCAAAACCTTTGGTTCCAAACTACAGATTTCCTCCATCTGGCTTAAGCAACAAAAAGGGACTATTTTCAGGAAAATAAAGACAGTAATTGGAGAAGAACGAAGTTGGAGAACTGGAACTACCTGACTTCAAGACTTACTATAAAGCTATAGTAATTAAGACAGTATGGTATTGGCAAAAGAATAGACAAGTAGATCAATGGAACAGAATAAAGAGCCCAGAAATAGACCAACATAATACATAAGTACCGTCAACTGATCTTTAACAAAAGTAAAAAGGCACTACAATGGAGAAAAAAGATACTCTTTTCAGCCAGTAGTGCTGGAACAACTGGACATCCATATGCAAAAAAATGAATCTATACACAGGTCTTACATCCTTCACAAAATTAACTCAAAATGGATTATAGATCTACATGTAAAATGCAAAACTATAAAACTCTTAGAAAATAACATAGAAGAAAATCTAGATGACTTTGGGTTTGGTGATGACTTTTTAGATACAATACCAAAGTCATAATCCATAAAAGAAAAAAAAAACTGATAAGCTGGATTTCATTAAAATTAAAAATTTCTACTCTGCAAAAGATACCACTGGGAGAATATAATCCACAGGCCAAGACAAAATATTTGCAAATATATTAAAATATTTTAATAAATATATAAATTAAAAAATGGGCCAAAGACCTTAACAGACACCACACCAAAGAAGATATACAGATGGCAAATAAGCATATAAAAAGATGCTCCACATCATATATCATCAAGAGAATGCAAATGGAAATAACAATGAGATACCACTGCACATCTATTAGAATGGCCAAATTTCAGCACCCTGACATCAAACACCAGTGATGATGTGGAGCAACAGGAACTCTCATTAATTGCTGATGGGAATGTAAAATGGTACAGCCACTTTGAAAGACAGTTTGGTGCTTTTTCACAAAACTAAACATACTCTTACCACACAACCCAGCATTTGCACTCCTATGCAAAAGAGTTGAAAACTTATGTCCACCAACAATATGCACATGTATGTTTATAGCAGCTTTGTTCATAATTGCCAAAACTTGGAAGAAACCAGTATATCCTTCAATAGGATAATGGATAAATTGTTTTATAAATCCAGCAAATTGAATACTATTCAGCACTAAAGATAAACAAGCTATCAAGCCATGAAAAGACATGGAGGAAACCAAAATGCATATTACTAAGAAGCCAGTCTGAAAATGCTATATACTATATGATCTCAGATACATAACATTCTGGAAAAGGCAAAAATACGGACACAGTAAAAAAATCAGTGGTTGTCAGGGGTTCCAAGGAGAAAAAGAATAGACAGAGCACAGAGGATTTTTAGGGTGGTGAAACTACTTTGTAATACACTATAATGGTGAATATGTCATTACACATTTGTCCAAGCCCACAGAATATATGACACCAAGAATGAAACCTAAGATAAACTATGGACGTTGGATGATAGAGAGGTGTCAGTGTAGGTTCATCAATTTAACAAATGTACCACTCAGGTGGGGGATATTGATAATGAGGGAGGCTATGCATATGTGGGGGCAGGGGATACATGGGAAACTTTTTACTTTCTCCTCACTTTTGCTTTTAACCCAGAATTGCTCTAAAAAATAAAGTCCATTTTTTCTAAAAAGAAGAGAGCCTTTAAAAGATACTGAAAAATTAAAGTTAGAAGTATCATAATAGATTTCTAGGACCTTATTTGGTACCCACCATCCCTGACACACACACTCCAACCTTAACCCCAGCTAAAGGTGAGGCCTTGTTGAAACTGTTGGCATCAGGATCAAGAACCAGAAACAATCTATCTATAAATATTTCTCATAAAGTCATGGATTATTTGTAGATTCTTAACAATTGGTTATAAACGTTTCCGAGATGTAAAAAAAAGACTTTATCTTTTGCAGATTATGTCACTAGCTGCAGAAGTTATTTGTGGAAACTTGGGAGATCCAAGAAAAGCTACAATGAGATATGCTGCTTCTCCCACTTCTTTATGTGGCTACCTTGTTTCACCTAAGTTTCTGTGTTCTTTGCTAAAGAAATCAGGAATTTACTCTGTGTGTGTGGGTGTATGTATGTGTGTTGTACCCACAGAGAGGCACCAGGGGTTTCTTCCCACCAATCTATAGCCTACCTGAAATGACACGCTTACATAACCAAATGTCTATAATTAAAATATCCCTACCTACCTCCATTTCACACTTGCTGTCTCCAGAATGTATCTTGCTTTTTCACACCTCTACTTCTTTAATCATATTGCCCTCTGTGCCTGGACTGCACATAGTTGCCTCCCCCTCTCTCCTCTTACCCCCAGCAACTCCCACTACCTCACTTCACAGAGAAGAGGAATCTATGCAGACACCCTAGTAGGTGTCCACAATAGCACTTACCACTGTGCCATATTTGTTTCTTCTTATGTCTAATCCTGTGTTGCACTGTGAGCCACTCAAGAACCAGAGTTATTTTCTTCACCTTTATATCTCTAGGGTCTAGAGTGTTTATTAAATAATGTACATATGTGTTTATTTAGAAATTGAATTTAACATTTACAATAAAAATAGGCACAGGAACCAGACATCAAAGATCTGACTGCTTTAGATGTCCTGCCTTCTTCCCCCAACCCCATCCCACACTTTCCCCTGTCCCTCTCCTCAACATATTCATTTAGTTATTTATGTTGCTTAATCTGGAAAAGTTTCTCGAAAAAGATTTTTTTAAGGTAAGGCAAGAAGTAAAAAAGAAAAACAGTATTTTCTTCGTCGCCCACTTGAGAGGCCCCACATGTGGGACTAGTTTTTCTAAAATGAGAAGCAAACCTAGTCCCATTTCCTTTCCTCACTCCCTCCAATCCCATGTCAAAGATCCAGTGCCCTGTCCCCTTCAAAGTCAAAGGGGTGTCTGTCTCAAAAGAAAATGAACTCAAATACACCTGTAATTGTAAAAGGCTTTATCCTCTGCAATGGGAGTAGTATTCCGGAAGTAAAGAATAAGACTGCCTTCGGCACCCAACTAATGTGGCTACTTTCACATAAGGAACTAACCAAAGACAGAAAATCCCACGCTGAGTTTTGAGTACATTTGCTTAAAGTGCATTTCTTCTGTCACTACTATACGAAAAATATCACTCTTGATAAATGCTGTTTACCCCCTAAAAGGAGCTGCTTTCTATGTTCACGGCCATTTCAGATGTTCAAGGTATGAGGTGGGGGAGGGTTATCCTAGTGTTGGAATTAGGAAGAAGTATAGACAGATCCCATAGTGATAAAACCATGTGCTACTGAAGAATGGCCTCAGAAGGTGACATTCCCAGGCTAAGTAACACTATTTGGTGTCTGGTTCTCAGACACCGGTTTCTTAGTCCCTCCAAAAAATGAGGTCCTTGATCACAGATTGACTCTAACACAAATCACATACTTATCAAGATGTCTATAATAATTTTTAGTGGTCAGCTTTCCTTTTCAGTGACAGCACTCTTTCCTAAAAACAACCATTCTCTAGAGTTATGGCTTAAAACAAGTCAGTCTGTACCATTTATTAAAGTTGATATGCCTATAGAAGCTTGAAATTTATTTATTTATTTATTTATTGAGACGGAGTCTCCCTCCGGCGCCCAAGCTGGACTGCCGTGGCGCGATCTCAGTTCATTACAACCCCCGCCTCCGGAGTTCAAGAGATTCTCGTGCCTCAGCCTCCCGAGTAGCTGGGACTACAGGCATGAGCCACCACGCTCGGCTAATTTTTGTATTTTTAGTAGAGACGGGGTTAGGCCATGGTGGCCAAGCTGGTCTCTGAACTCCTGACCTCAAGTGATCCACCCTCGGCCTCCCAAAGTACTGGGATTACAGGTGTGAGCCACCGTGCCTAACCCAAATTTATCTTTTACAGTTGCATTCTTGTTTGTTGCATTTTCTCAAGTCTCAAACTGTTTACCTATTTGCCTGGGTTTTCCACAAAACAGTGTGGCAGTATCGATTATGTTCTGGGCTAGATCTCCTATACAAAAGTGGTAACACAGTGAAAGGCAAGTTGATTTCCTCAAAGACACATGGTGGGAAGTGGAGAGACTAACTGTCACCGTTTATTTCTGTTCAAGAGGACTATACTGAACTATTTACACTGAACATATTTAAATGGTACAAATTTTATACTGGAATAAAACGAAGCTACATGATCTCAAAATTAGGGTTAGTTAGACCTTCCATATGATAAAATACTCAATCCAGCAACTCTGCCTGAGAAGACCAATTAATACTTCGTTTGGAATCCTAACTCTAGCCTCTTACTAGCTGTGTGCCATTGAGCAATTTACTGGGACTCTCTGAGCATGTTTCCTCGTTTTCTAAAATGAAAAAGTACAATAGCTACCATAGTGGTTAGGTTCTCAAGTCAGTAAGTAAGGGGATGGGGGACCTAAGTTGAAATTCCCTTTGAAAATCACTTGAATTGTCCATAAGAACAGTATATTGACTTTTGCGT
This sequence comes from Homo sapiens, assembly GCF_000001405.40. Classification (NCBI taxonomy): domain Eukaryota; kingdom Metazoa; phylum Chordata; class Mammalia; order Primates; family Hominidae; genus Homo; species Homo sapiens. The sequence goes on from NC_000003.12 coordinate 180,601,483, forward strand.
ACATACCACTATACAGTAAGTCCCACAGACACTAAATTTTGAGCAACCATTGAGATAAACTAAATAAGAAATGCATGTGTTCATTAGTTATTGTAAAACTTGAATGGCATATGCACGTGTGGAGACATTAAAGCCATCCTGGTTTTAGAATTCACAATCACTAACAGTAAATGGGGTATGGATGGAGAACACCACTCCAGGTGCTTAACAAATGTCCGTGTCCTTCCTTTCTTCTGCCCTTAAAACCACCTGGAAACCTTCCCGGAGCAGCCGGTTGAATGGGGTTACGCCAGAGACACAGGTATTGATTTACGCAGAGAGTACGTCGAGGGAAGAAGCTTGGAGACTCGTATAGGGTTCTTACCCTGGCACTGGCACTTAGAAGCACCTTGATGAATACGAAAAGGAATTATTATTTACCCTAGGTTACAGCTCGAGCTATTTCGACGTAATAACGATCCCACGTACACTTTAAAAAGCAAACTTCTCACATACATCACTTCCTGGAAGCCCTAGTCAGCCTTTAGCCCAAGCAATGCTGAGCCCAATCCTTCGGCCTTCCGTAGTCTCGCTCGGTTTCGCGAGATCGAGGCTGAGCTCCGCCGCGCCGCCGTGGGGGCGACCCCAGAACACTTCCGGGTGTAACTGGTTGTGCTGTCTGTGTACTTCCGGCAGCCTCCAGACAGTTTCTTCCGCTTCCTGTACCACCCGGCTCAAGTAGCGGACACGGAACAGGGAACTATCAGCCCGTCGGCCTCCGGGCCCTGCATTCTCTAGCCATGGACCGGGACCTTTTGCGGCAGTCGCTAAATTGCCACGGGTCGTCTTTGCTCTCTCTACTTCGGAGCGAACAGCAGGACAATCCACACTTCCGTAGCCTCCTGGGGTCGGCCGCCGAGCCAGCCCGGGGCCCGCCGCCCCAGCACCCGTTGCAGGGCAGGTAATGAGACGTTGGTGCCACTGCGCCACGGAAGAGGGGACGCAGCTCTGGCAGCCACTACCGCAGCCCCGGGTTTGCGTCTAGAGGAAGTGGAGCCGCGGCCGTGAGCACAGGACGATCGCGCGCTGGTGTCTTGGGCTGGGTGGACGGGGGGCGCTCCTGGGTTGTGCAATGCGGGATGCGGGCTGAACTTTTTCTCTGGCACTGCTTGGTAGAGGCGCAGATTCCTTAGCTAAAAATCCCTTGAGCTTTCCTATCTGAGTTGGAGGCGTCACTTTTTAAGTTTCCCCGCTCTCCACCTCCAGGTTGGTTAATGAGGGAATGCCTAGTTAAAACTTTTTGTCTGAGGTTGTATTGTCTGCAGCTTAGGATGGAGCGGAATGGGCGATGAAAGCCATAAGCAGAAGGTTAGAAGTAAAGAGGCTTTGCAGATAACCCAATTTTCATATATATTTTTTTCTTTTTAAGAAAAGAGAAGAGAGTTGACAACATCGAGATACAGAAATTCATCTCCAAAAAAGCGGATCTGCTTTTTGCACTTTCCTGGAAATCAGATGCACCTGCAACTTCTGAAATTAATGAAGACAGTGAAGGTCAGTTTAGCCTTAAAATCTTTAAGATTGCGGTTCGGTTTAACAGTACTTCAGGTGAAACGGAACTCAAAACTATCGTTAGTGATTTTGTTAATTTTTTTTTTTTAGATCATTATGCAATCATGCCACCTTTAGAGCAATTCATGGAGATACCTAGTATGGATCGGAGAGAGCTGTTTTTCCGAGATATTGAGCGTGGTGATATAGTGATTGGAAGAATTAGTTCTATTCGGGAATTCGGTTTTTTCATGGTGTTGATCTGTTTAGGAAGTGGTATCATGAGAGATATAGCCCACTTAGAAATCACAGTAAGTTATTTTTGTTACTTGGATTGCTTCTGTTTTTGTTAACGCATCTCAATGCAAGAACTATATCTTTGCATGCAGTTGTGCTCAAGTATACCTGCCAAGATGCTTTTGGAAATTAAATGTTAATTGGAGAAAAATAGTTTAAAAAAATTAGTGTAAGTTACCCAGTTTCTCCCTCCATTTCTGGTTTTTGGGATTTTTTAAATTTAAACTGGTTGGCAGGCACAGTGTTCTTTTCTAAATGCTCAAAGAGGTATCAGTGGACGTGGTGAGGTTGATTGATATTCAGACTTATTTCTTGTAGTTGAACATATGTATTCTTAATTAGTTAATATTTGGCATTGTATATTTTCATGTGGATAATTTGGAGAGAAGTTTCATTTATATATTTACAATAATTAAATGTAAGTGGTTTGTACATTATATTAAGATACTTTGCCCAAGATGGATAGTCCTGAATTTAAACTAATGTGTCACGATAAAAGATTGGGTATTTGCCATCTATCCAGGCAGATAAAAAGGAAGAAAAGCAGAAGGTATTACAGATTGGATAACAGACAAAATACTTTGGAGAATTGGCATTTCATTTTCACTGGAATCCTTATACCTTTTAGACAAATTTTAGTTTGTTTTTGATGCATGTTGTATACTGTCATAAGCCATCATATTTGGTTCCTAAACTAATGGAAAGTTTCATGAGATTTTAGTTTTTTAACTGAACCAGCAAACATATTTTACTGTGTTTGGACACGGAAATTACTTTTAACTAAATCCTTATTTAAATTTTTACTTTAGGTTGTTCAACTACTAGCTGTTTCATACCAAACAACTAAGATAAAAGAAGACACTGTTCTTATCAAAGCTTGAAATGTCTGGTGTTTTAAAATACTTCTCATTACAGGCTCTTTGTCCCTTAAGAGATGTGCCTTCTCACAGTAACCATGGGGATCCTTTATCATATTACCAAACTGGTGACATCATTCGAGGTGATTAGTTTCATCATACTAATAAAAAAGTAATGATTGTTGAATTTTTGTTTTTATTAATTTAAAAAAATACAGTCTAAGAGGGTAGTGTTTGGGAAAGTTTATATTTTTTATGTTAGTTTACATTTTCTTACTAATCAGCTTAGTTCTCTTTTTTTTTTTCTTAAGCTGGAATCAAGGATATTGACAGATACCATGAAAAGCTAGCAGTATCTCTGTATAGCTCTTCTCTTCCACCACACCTATCTGGTATTAAATTAGGTGTAATTAGCTCTGAAGAGCTTCCTTTATACTACAGGTAATTTATCCGTATTATTTCAACAACAGTTCATTACAAAAGTCTCTTGGATTGAGGAATACCACATTTTTATAACGGTTAAATTACTTCAGACTTGGTAAAAGGAAACCATATCATAATATTGCCACACCATCTTATGCAAAAAATGGAATTAGTATTTAAACCTCAAATGATATTATTTCTTTACTAGAAATGGAATGTCAAATTAGTCATTTTACAATTTTTGTGTTTGTATTTTTTTAAGGAGAAGTGTTGAGCTAAATAGCAATTCTTTGGAGTCCTATGAAAATGTCATGCAGAGTTCCTTGGGATTTGTTAATCCAGGAGTAGTTGAATTCCTTCTAGAAAAACTAGGAATAGATGAATCTAATCCACCATCTTTAATGAGAGGCCTACAAAGGTATAGTACATCAGTATTACTCTTAGATGGTGAGGGGAGTGGCAGTAAGCTCAGAAGCTGCGTTTAGCTGAAGGACGTATTTTACCATCCTAAGCCACCTAGTAGCAGGCATATGCCAAAGGTTGAATGAACCAGGTGATCCCATCTTCTGGACTGGACTGTCTTATCAGTGATTAATATGTGTACCATGTAACCAAGTAGAGAAGGATGCAGAAACTTTTTATAAGAATTTTGTGTGTATGCTAAAGAAAAATACTGGGTTTTTTTGTTTTTTGTTTTTGTTTTTTGAGTCGGAGTCTCACTGTGTCACCCAGGCTGGAGTGCAGTGGCGCTATCTCAGCTCACTGCAAGCTCTGCCCCTGGGTTCACGCCATTCTCCTGCCTCAGCCTCCCAAGTAGCTGGGACTACAGGTGCCCGCCACCACGCCTGGCTAATTTTTTTTTCTTTGATTTTTAGTAGAGTTGGGGTTTCACCGTGTTAGCCAGGATGGTCTCAATCTCCTGACCTCGTGATCCACCCGCCTCGACCTCCCAAAGTGTTGGGATTACAGGCGTGAGCCACCGCACCTGGCCAAGAAAAATACTGTTTAACAATAATAATCATTTCGAAAGTTCAAAGATTTTGGTATGTAAATAGAATGCAGATTTCTTGCTTGGGATTCATACTTTCACTGTCGAGTGCCTGTCAAGCAGAGTTAAGTATAGTTACTTAAAAAATATTTGTGGTTTAACTTTTTAATTTTTATTTTCTTTAATAGCAAAAATTTCTCTGAAGATGATTTTGCTTCTGCATTGAGAAAAAAACAATCCGCATCTTGGGCTTTAAAATGGTATGAAGACTGTCTTTCAACAATTGCATTATATCTAGTCTAAAAGCTTAGGGCAAGGCAAGCATGCTTATATCATCAATAAGACAAATTTGAGATGCATTAAAGTGATGCCTTTTTGACATGAGCTTTTCTTTTATAGATGTAAGTAGTCTTACATTTTACACTTAACAGATAAGTTTTACTCAGCATTTCAGTTTTCTCAAAAGGAATTAGTATATTGATATCTAGGTTTCACCAATATTTGTTGTGAAAATGTCCAAAGGCAGAAGAACGTTCCTTAGGTATATTGTGAGTACTCTGAAAACTAAATATTTTGCCAAGTTTGATGACATTTGCTTTTAAAACTTATTCACACTAACATTTTATTTAGATATTGTTTGAAGTGTTTGTGATGCTTTACAAATGTCTTTTTTAGTGTGAAGATCGGAGTTGACTATTTTAAAGTTGGACGCCATGTGGATGCTATGAATGAATACAATAAAGCTTTGGAAATAGACAAACAAAACGTGGAAGCTTTGGTAGCTCGTGGAGCATTGTAAGTGAATCATACATGGATTTTAAGGAATGTTTACCAGGTAAATGCGAACAAGATTTATGAAGAGCTTGTGAGATACAGCCCTCTATCTTTGTTTCATGTCTCTAGATATGCGACAAAAGGAAGTTTGAACAAAGCAATAGAAGATTTTGAGCTTGCATTAGAAAACTGTCCAACTCACAGAAATGCAAGAAAATACCTCTGCCAGACACTTGTAGAGAGAGGAGGACAGTAAGTATCAGATTTTGTTTAATAGTGGAGGTCTAATGTTCAACCAACCACTAAAAAATTTTGAACTTAAGGAAATAGTTTCTTAAGCACTTAATTTATAACACTCTTGGTTTCAATAAATAAATGGGAAAGTACAAGAGATTAGGCAAATACTCTTTTCCTAGATAATATACTCAAAAGTTTTTGGTTTAATGACTATACTATTTGTGTAGTCATTCCTGTTTGTGATCACAAATTCCAAGTTGATTAAATTTTGCAATATTCGTTTATAATTTATAGGAACTTCTATTTAATGATTGGAGCAGCTTTTTACATACTTACTAGGTGGATAACTAGTAACTACTTATATGTGGTTGTCTTATAGCCTTGTATTGATGTCTTTGAGCTGAGTGAATAGCAATACCCTGTAGTTACCTAAGCCAGAGATACTGTTCATCTTTGACTTGTCCTTTGTTTCCCATATCCAGTCTACTGACACAAAAGTGATCCCATTGTATTTGTTTTATAGTAATTTCTTTTTCCTTCTAAGAACCCAAAGCACTTTGCAACATCTTTTGACTGCTTTATGTCCAAACTTTCTCATTCTGGTGTTTCACAACCCAGACTTGTGAAATTCATCTAATGATTATGCTATTTACAGGCTCATTGTGATATATGTGTATGTTGGTATTTCCAAAGATTTCCAAAATTTTCTGTAGATAATTTTTCATAAACTACTAGGGAAAAAAGCCTGCTGGTATAATTCTGTGCTAAAATTCAAGATCATACTAAATTTGTGGACACCCATTTATCATGGGTTTTTGTGTATTACTGCAAAAATGTGCCAATATTGGACATATACCTTTAGTTACTAGTAAGATTTCTGTTTATGTGGTCTATGAAATAAATTACAGTAAAAAGCATATTATTTTGGTATTTTATTTTGGAAAATAATTTACTTGGCTTTTCCCTAATAAGCTCTCTCATATAAGCCTTTGACCTGTATGCATATTTGGATAGTTTTGTTGTTTTTACAAAAAAGCTAAATCTTTCTTTCAAATTTAGGTTAGAAGAAGAAGAAAAGTTTTTAAATGCTGAAAGTTACTATAAGAAAGCTTTGGCTTTGGATGAGACTTTTAAAGATGCAGAGGATGCTTTGCAGAAACTTCATAAATATATGCAGGTGATTCCTTATTTCCTCTTAGAAATTTAGTGATATTTGAAATAATGCCCAAACTTAATTTTCTCCTGAGGAAAACTATTCTACATTACTTAAGTAAGGCATTATGAAAAGTTTCTTTTTAGGTATAGTTTTTCCTAATTGGGTTTGACATTGCTTCATAGTGCCTCTGTTTTTGTCCATAATCGAAAGTAAAGATAGCTGTGAGAAAACTATTACCTAAATTTGGTATGTTGTTTTGAGAAATGTCCTTATAGGGAGCTCACCTGGTGGTTTTTAAATTATTGTTGCTACTATAATTGAGCTAATTATAAAAACCTTTTTGAGACATATTTTAAATTGTCTTTTCCTGTAATACTGATGATGATGTTTTCTCATGCATTTTCTTCTGAATTGGACCATTGCTGCTGTGTCTGTGACATCTGGTGCTGCTCATCCCCATCCACAAACTGGAAAATGATTTCCTATGTAATCATGCATCCAACTGGGCTGTGCTATTTTTTTAAATGGTTTGTATTTGAACATGGTGATTCCTCCTTCACTTCACCTTAACGGAATGTCTTTATTTGAATTTTATTTGTAAAATGTGTCCTGTTTAAATTTTTCAATCTTTAAAAATAATTTTTATGTACTTTTTTTTTTTTTTTAACCTTTCTTGCACTCTGGGTCATGGGTACCACTGCAATGGCTTCCCCTTTTTTTATGGGATACCAACTGCAATATGGTCCTCAATGCTGTTCTGGCCATTTCAATGACTAATGCCAAACATCTGTATGACTAATTTTTTTATGTTAAAAAAATACTGTTTAATGCTGGCTCTATGGTGATTTGGTTTTACTAAATTGGGTTTCTCGTTGGGGGTGGTCTTTTGAATACTGGGTTTTATATATTCTGCTATTTTTAACGTGTGGTTTTTTTCGATATCTGGGTTCTAAAAGAAATCTTTGGAATTAAGAGAAAAACAAGCTGAAAAGGAAGAAAAGCAGAAAACAAAGAAAATAGAAACAAGTGCAGAAAAGTTGCGTAAGCTCTTAAAAGAAGAGAAGAGGTAAACTATAATATTCAGTATTTTTAAACTTAAGGCAACTACTGAATTGAACCCAAAGTGCCATACTGGAGGTAAAGTAAATAAAAATATGAAAGTATTTCAAGTGCCAATCAGTGACTGTTAAGAATCTTTAGCAAATATGTGTTCCATGTATTTTCTTATTAAAGAGATGAAGTGGAATTTAAGGCTAGAATTCTACAAAAAAAGAGTATCTTAGAATTAAAATATAGAATAAGTTACTTTAATTATGTTTTAGGAAGAAATATTTTAGAACTAGAGCAGTGGTTCTCAACTAGGGGTGGATTTATTCACCCGGGGACATTTGACAAGATGTGGAGACATTTTTGATTGCCATAACTGATAGGGTGCTACTGCATCTAGTGTATAATGGTCAGGGATGCTCTTAAACATTCTGTAATGCACAGGTCAGCTCCCACCCGCACCCCCACCCCCTACCAAGAATTATTTGGCTGAAAATACCAATAATCAGGTGAAGAAACCATGAACTAGAGGTAGCCAAATAAAAAAGTTGAGTTCTCCTTTATGTGTTCAGTAGTCTTAAGTTTTTAAGGTAGTGTTGAAAAAAGTCTGTCTTTCAGAGATGATGGATTTGCTTACAATGATACCTGTCTGCAAGCATTTTTTCCCCCAAAAGTGCTTAATAGTAAAATTAGATCTTGTAGTAGCCGAGATTATTGTATCATTTATCTGAACCACAGCTTTTATAAAATCTTTAAAGGAAACAAATAGGGCCCACATCTTTATGAATAATTTAGAAACATTTTTGTATATATATGACAAATGAACTGTTTTTTTTAGGCTAAAGAAGAAAAGAAGAAAATCAACTTCTTCTTCAAGTGTTTCTTCTGCTGATGAATCAGTGTCTTCATCATCATCCTCTTCCTCTTCTGGTCACAAAAGGCATAAGAAACATAAGAGGAACCGTTCAGAGTCTTCTCGCAGTTCCAGAAGGCATTCATCTAGGGCATCCTCAAATCAGATAGATCAGAATAGGAAAGATGAGTGCTACCCAGTTCCAGCTAATACTTCAGCATCTTTTCTTAACCATAAACAAGAAGTGGAGAAACTACTGGGGAAGCAGGATAGGTTACAGTATGAAAAGACACAGATAAAAGAGAAAGATAGATGCCCTCTCTCTTCATCTTCACTTGAAATACCGGATGATTTTGGAGGTAGGTCTGAAGATCCAAGAGATTTTTATAACAGCTATAAAACCCAAGCAGGTAGTAGCAAAACAGAAAAGCCATATAAATCAGAAAGACATTTTTCCAGTAGAAGAAATTCCTCAGATTCCTTCTGTAGGAATTCAGAGGACAAGATTTATGGTTATAGGAGATTTGAAAAGGATATAGAGGGAAGAAAAGAGCACTATAGAAGGTGGGAACCAGGTTCTGTGAGGCATTCTACCTCACCAGCAAGCTCAGAATACTCTTGGAAGTCAGTTGAGAAATACAAAAAATACGCTCACTCTGGATCACGTGATTTCAGTAGACATGAGCAAAGATACCGTTTAAATACAAATCAAGGAGAATATGAAAGAGAGGACAATTATGGGGAGGATATCAAAACAGAGGTTCCAGAAGAAGATGCACTAAGTAGCAAAGAACACTCAGAAAGCAGTGTTAAGAAAAATTTACCTCAGAATTTACTGAATATATTTAATCAGATAGCTGAATTTGAAAAAGAAAAAGGAAATAAGTCAAAAAATTAATACACCAAGGATATCGGCACCATTACACAAAATGCCATTAAGTGAAGTTTTTGGTTGTATTAGTCATAACAGTTGAGTGCAGAAATCTCTGCTTCTAAAATTATTTGTAGAGATTACAGGAAACAAATGCTTTTAAGTAAGTTTTTCTCAAATTTTGTTTCAGTTCTAGGTCCCTTGTCACAGCTTGGTTTTTAGACTTTTTATGTATATGTTTATGTACAGTATATTACTCTTGACAGTTTGAATTTCTTCACCTAAAGATAATTCTCTGAAAGTACTGTTTCTTCATTCTATTGCGGTATATGAGAATTCCTGGGTGCATCTTATTCTGCTGTTTGAGAGAAAAATTTGTGCATTGAACACTTGGATCATTTTTATAAAAATTAATTTCATTTTCTTTTCTGTTAAATTAAAAATCGTCAGCTTTTGAAAGATTATATGTTCGAATGTTTCTTGAACACTTTTATATTTATCAGTTTAAATATTACATTTTTTGCCCAATTTTTTTTAAAATTTTTAAATGGTAGATTATATGTCTTAATTTTCCTCTAAAGCCCAATTTGATTAAAAGTGGTTTGTGAACAGTCATTGGCTTCCACCCAGCATAAGTGCCTTAGGAATAAGATCATAAAAGTTGAATAGGAGCCCATTTTGCTTATTTCTCCATTATTTTTTACCTCATTGCTAGCATAGCCATAAAAAGCTTTTTAACTTTAAATATTTACAAGGCCCTTAGGGCCTGTATTCCACGCAAGGGTAAATCAGAAAAGAAAAAAATCCTTTTAGCAAAAACATAGCAGTAGCAGAGAAGCACATTGTAAATCTGGCTTTTCTTTAGGGAAAGAAAATTGGGAGACTCTCCTAGTGTAGCAGATGTTCAGTCCAGAAGGCACTAGGCATGTCGTTAAATCTGACCTGCATTTCTTCTTACCACCTCCTGTGCCTTGATGCTTCTCTGATGACCCCTTTCTCAGAGTCTGAATAAATAACTAGACCAACTAGAGCCTGGTTTTACTAAGAATAATAAATTCCAGCAGCTAGAGCTGAAGAACAAAGAGACTTGGATTATAAAGATCCTCCCCAAATTGCTGAAAATAGTGTGGTATATTCTTTGGGAGACAGATAGAGATAGGAGTCATAGGTACTGGGTTTATGATGTCATTAGAGTTTGCAGTTTAAGATTCTCAAAGCTGTAAATTACAATGGACTTTAGATACTGTCACACACAATGACACTAGATAAGTGGGTGGGTAGCTGAGGATCTACAGAGGTCTAAGTGAGGGAGAATAATAGAGGAAGAAGAGACTTATTCCTTGTTCTGTCTTGCAGTTCTTGCCAACAGTAAAATGTCCAGGCCTTAAGTACTGGGTGTGTATTATCTGTGTCTATCAAACTCCAGTAATGAGAGCCTAGTGAAAAATCTGAAATTTCTTTTGCAAATGGAACAGTGAAAAGAAACCCTGGTCAAGAGCAATAGATAATGGTGATAGAAATCGGCTAGTCACTCAAAGCATTAGTCTTTGCACCAAGAAGAAGCTTCTTTAAGAAATTCATCTTAAAAAGAGTCCTTAATAATTCTATGTATTAATAGCTCCAGTATCATCTTTACAAAGTCGTGTTTATAAAGAAAGAGTGAAAACTACTTCTTGGCATACATAGCCTTTGACCTTTTGGAATCCCTAGTTCAGCTTAAAATTTTAAACACAACATTTAAAAAATTTTTTTTTCCTTAATTAATTCATATAAATTTAAGGGGTACACATGCATTTTTGTTACATGGATCTATCGTGTAGTGGTGAAGTCTGGGCTTCTAGTGTAACCATCACCCAAATGATGTACATTGTACCCATTTCATAATTTATCATCCCTTACCCCCCTGCCAACCTACCAGCATTGGCGTAGGCAGAATTCATGATTCAGACCTCAAAAGTGGAAGCAAGAGGGGCTGAGTACAGTCACTCATGCCTGTAATCCCAGCACTTGAGGCTGAGGGAGGAGGATTGCTTGAGGCTAGAAATTTGAGACTGGCCTGGGCAACGCAGCATGACTCCATCCAAATAAGTTGGGTGTGGTGGTGCATGCCTATAGTCCCAGCTATGCGGGAGGATCGCTTGAGCCCAGGAGTTCGAGGCTGCAGTGAGCTCTGATTGTGCCACTGCACTCCAACTTGGGTGACAGCCAGACTGGTGTCTTAAACACAACAAAAACAAAATGGGACTTAAGTAAGCTACGAAGTTCTTGCACAGCAAAAGAAATAACACAGTGAACAGACAACCTGCAGAATGGGACAAAATGTGCAAACTATGCATCAGGCAGGGGACTCATCCAGAATTTACAAGGAATTCAGCAAACCAAATCACCCTATCCAAAAGTGAGCAGAAAACATGAATAGGTATTTTTCAAAAGAAGAGATAAAAATGGCCAAGAAGCGTATGAAATAATACTCAACATCACTAATTAGAGAAATGCAAATTAAAACCAAATGAGATATCTCTCATCAGTCAGAATGGCTATTACACCCCATTCAATGTAAGAGAATAGTACCTTATCCTGTAGGCTGCCTGAATTTATTAGGTAGGCGCAAAAGTAATTGCAGTTTATGCCATATTAAGCAGAGTATACAAACCAATTTCTAAGGAAGTTCATCACAGCAAAAATTATTGGGGATTTACATTGTCAAGAATAGCGACATCTTCAGTAATTTTTCTCAAGATCATATATTGCCATATCTTGGTCTCCATAAGCAGATGAAGCATGACTTTTGGATATGAGGATAAGTGTCCAGATTTGGAGATAGGTTGATCCCCTGTCGCACCATTTGTCATTACTACACTGAAGTTGTTAGAACTGTTATTTAAGGATTAAATGTAGATTCGTATGCTGGCCCAAGAACCAAACCATTCCACAAATTCTGTGCTAAGCTCCAGGTGGCAACTCAGTAAGTAGAAGTTATATAGTGCAATTTCTGTGTGTCAAGCCCTGTGCATCTTTTTTATATTATCAAATTCGGTAAACTTGTAGGTAACTTTCTGTGTCTATAGTACAAATGAGGAAAACAGGGAAGTAACTATCCAAGGTTACAGAGCTAGTAAGATACAACCTCTACCTTCATAGAAGAGTGTTTAATATTACTTCAAGTTTTAAGTAATTCCCAAACTAGCACAGGGCTGAGAATAAGAACTTTGATGAGCAAAGTGACTTTAATTAGTTTTTAGGTCTTATAAATCTCATGCATTAGAGCAGTACTTTAGCCAAAAATTTTATTACCTACCTTTTTTTTCGCCCACCTTATTCTTGACTTTGCTATGCCTTTTTCCTATTTCTAAAACAAAACAAAAAATAATCAGGAGAACTATTCACTACCACTACTGCTTTTCAGAAAGAAGTACAAACAACAGTTCTAAAATAATGACAGTTGTAATGAGCATTTTTTCCCAAGGTTTGAAGGAGACACATGTACATTCGTGAATTCTAATACATTTATTTAAAATCCAGTTTTATAATATTCCACACTCTATTCCAAGAGTACAAAGTGTTGGGCACATGTTATAATGAAGTGTTAACTGGAAAAACTACTACATTTGGCAGTCTACCTCCAACTGTAAATGAAATTTCTATTGCAAATCAAGTCATACCTAGCTTTCATTAAATCGTTTATTAAATCAAGAAAATTTCAAAATTGTTTATACTTGGTTGGCTGTATCTGAAAGCAAATCTTTAATGCGTTTATTTCAAGGTCAGAAGTGATTTATTTCAAGGTCAGAAGTGATTTTTCTAAATTTATGCTGCATTTTAAAATTGATATACAGTGTTTCTCTTACCGGTTTTTTTTTGGGGGGGTGGGGTGGGTAGGGGTTGATGCTATTTTTTGGTTAAAAATTATAGCAAAAGAAGAAACTGCCTTTAACAATTTTTCTCCCCAAAAGTCTGAGAAATAGTTACTTTGAATAAAGAAAACCTAATTTTGGTGTCTTGTAGGGTAAATGAGATTTTCACATTGCAATACGCTCATAATAGTACAGTAAATCTTTAGAAATTTCTTCTTGAAAGATTGTTACATTAGAAGTGAGTGTAGTTTCGTGAAATAATGAAGCAAACTATTTTCTAACACTACGAACATCAGAATTACAGTGAAATACAGCATTTTTCCTATGCTTGTATAACATGTAGCCTTGTCAAGAATCTGCTATTAATTTCTTCAGTATGAAGAAAACAGTAGAGAAAATGAGAACGTTCCTTTTTTTTTAAAACTATCAGTTTTTACACTTACCACTAAGTTTTTACACTTTCCACTAGATAAAATGTGTTGGGTCGTTTTGTATTTTAAAGTATATTTTTGTTTTTGTGTTTACAACTTTTTCAGAAGAGATTAAAATGTTTATTTGCTGCTCTTTTTGCTCTTAACATTACTAGAGCTACTACTAGCACTAGATGGCCTAGAAGGGCTGCCTACTAGTGAAGAGGAGGCCGGGAATTTAAGCTCCAGTACTTTAATTGAAGACTGAGAAGTAGATGTACTTGTACTCCTAGATGACCTAGAAGAAAAACCAGAATTATAAATTCAATGCAAAGTTTATATTTTAGTATAGACCCTCTCATTATTGGCAAAAGGTACCATAATTCCATAAGTAAAGACATCAAAAAAGTACATATTAATAGTGTTAAGTTTTTAAATGACCATCAATAGATATCAAACAATTTAAACAGGAAAGGAAAGATGAACATAGATGAGTTTCAAACCAGTAGAAAAGTAGTTTAATAAGTATGTTCCTACATGGTAAAAATGCTTTGAACTATAATCAGTTTTTTAGAGTTGGAATCATTAAGCATTGAAAGTTTCCAAAACAGAGGAAATAGGGCCAAGAGGATTTGGTGCTGGCAAAAATAATTAAAATGATACCTTTTGTAATTTAAGCTGAAGAGAAGAGAGAAGCATATTGATGGATAAAGTGGTGGGGTCATTTGAAAAACAGCTAGCTATATAATTCTGAAAAAAGTTTTAAATATATATTTTATGAAAGTACAGGGATGTTCAGTTATATAGAAACAGTTTTTTATACTTAAATGAAACACTTTTTTTAGGGGCCTCTTCATGAAATTTTTACCTGGACTAAGGAATAGTAATTTAATAAGTAGCTGCTGAATGCAGGAGATTGTGAATTCTAAAATCAGGATCATTATTAATAAATTTTTGTCAGCAAAGCACAAGAATGTTTGCTTAAGCATCTGGTGATAGAATTCTGGGTAACAACTGCAGAAGAAAAAAAAAGGGGTTTCCTTTTTAGCAAAATAAAGCTTCATAAAGTCAAATCCTGATTATGTAAAATACCACAGTGTGGTTTGAATCACAAAAATCATATTCTATATGTCTGTACATCTAAGCTGCCCTTACATGTTTTTAAAAAAATTCCCCCAACTTGGGGGTTCACCCCCAAATGCTAGATGTAGCCCCCAAATTTATTTCTGTTTTATCCTACTGAAATAGCTCATAGTCACAGAGCACTTGGGCTATACTGGAAATAGTGACACCAGCAGAAGTCAGAAGGAAATTCTTGTTCTGCTGGCTGTTTCTGCATCTAATCTATATGATGCTGACTAGTGAGATGTCTGACAGTGAAAAGAACACTGGCAGTGAGTGCATGGGCCTGCCTAACAGCTGCGGTGATGTAGAAGTGGCTGGAATCACTTAGTGTACAGCTGTGAGAGTTAAGCAGATTTTTTTTTAACCCTCCGCTTACCTTGCTGATAGTGAAGTATGTGAAGGAGATCTAGAGCTCTGACGACTGCCTTTTGTGCTAGCTGTAGGTAGTTCTAACCCACTCTGGAGGAATATTCAATAGCAATCATTAGTACTACCTACTGTTTTTTAGAAGATAAATATTTTTAATTAGCTTTCACTTCATGATGAATGTCATGAAAGTTTTTATTTTCATGAAGTTTTTAAGAAATATTTAATAGAAGGTGCTGTATTACCTGTTGAAAGTATGTTTGAAGGATAATACGGATCTCAGTATTTTCTTCTATGATATCAACTAACATTTCATCAATAACTTTGTGAAACTGTTTCATTTCACGAAGTTTGATGTCTTGTTCTTCCATTGTTTCATCTTTTGTGTCTTTCAAAAGACGGATTTCCTTTGTGAGTTTTGCACACTGTTGGTAAATAATAGTCAATTATTCTATAAACGTGTTTACCAGAATTTAATATTTTTAATAGATGAAGGAGGATTTGGGACTTCAAAAATGTAAATATGAAAGGTCAGTTTTTAAAAGATATCGATACCTGTTTGGTCACTCTTTCTAATTTTGGCTTCTGCTCCTCCGTTTCTTTACTTAGTTGAAATGAATAAGCCTGCTTCTCTGATAACTTTTCTTTAACATTATTTGCCAAATGTTCTATAACATCTAATGTATTTTCCATGCTCTGTAGAAAAAATATTAACATGTATTTTTTAGAATCAGAAATTGACTTTTATAACTTGTCATTTATCAAGTATTCATTTAATTTTAATTCATTTATTTTTGTACATAATATACATTATTTCTGTTGATGTACCTCTTAATGACATCTCGGTCAATGATGGACTGTATATATGATGGTGGTCCCATAGGATTATAATGGAGCTGAAAAATTCCTGTTACCTAGCGACATTGTAATGTGGCACAATACATTAGTCATGAGTTTGTGGTGATGGCTGGTGTAAACAAACCTGCATTGCCAGTCATATAAAAGTCTAGCACATACAATTATGTACAGTGCATAATACTTGATAGTGATAATAAAAGATATTACTGATTTATGTATTTACTATACAATATACTTTTATTATTTTACAGTGTACTCCTATTTATTTAAAAAGTTAACTATAAAACAGCCTCAGGCAGGTCCTTCAGGAGATATTCCAGAAGAGGGCATTGTTATCATAGATGACAGCTCCATTCATGTTACTGACCCTGAAGACCTTCAAGTGGGACAAGATATGGAGGTGGAAGACAGTGGTATTGATGATCCTGACCACGGGTAGGCTTAGGTTTATGTGTGTGTATGTGTCTTAGTTTTTAACAAAAAAATTAAAAAGTAAAAAAACTAAAAATAGAAAAATGCTTAGAGAATAAGGATATAAAGAATATTTTTGTGCAGTTGAACAATGAGTGCTTAAGCTAAATGTCATCACAAAAGAGTAAAAAAATTTTACAAAATTAAAAATGTTTAAAGTTAAAAAGCTCTAGGAAGCTAAGGTCAATTTATTATTGGAGAAATAAAATTATTTTTATGAATTTACTGTAGCCTAGGTGTACATTATTTATCATGTCTACAGTAGTGTTCAGCAATTAGGCCTTCACATTCTCTCACCACTCACTCACTCAGTCACTCACCCAGAGCAGCTTCCAGTCCCGCAAGCTCCATTTATGGTAAGTGCCCTGTACAGGTGTACCATTTTTTTAATCCATTATACCATATTTTTATTGTACCTTTTCTATGTTTAGATTTGTTTAGATACACAAGTACCACTGTGTTACAGTTGCCTATAGTACTCAGTACAGTAACACACTTTACAAGCTTATAGCCTAGGAACAATAGGCTATACCATCTAGGTTTGTGTAAGTACACTCTTATGATGTTCACACAGTGACAAAATCGCCCAAGGATGCATTCATCAGAACACATTCCCATTGTTATCCAATGCATGACTGTATAATGGTTTTATGGATTAAATTTTTTATGTAATTCAACTGGAAAGTATTTTTATGTTATTTTGGAAAAAATAAAACAATGACAATTGAAATCATGGAATCTGCAAAGATTCACAGTATCTCTTCTGCTTTATTAGTAAAATCAATGTTTAGCGCCTGCTTACAAGGCACTTTTTTTTTTAATTATACTTTAAGTTTTAGGGTACATGTGCACAACATGCAGCTTTGTTGCATATGTATACATGTGCCATGTTGGTGTGCTGCACCCATTAACTTGTCATTTAACATTAGGTATATCTCCTAATGCTATCCCTTCCCCCTCTCCCCACCCCACAACAGGCCCCAGTGTGTGATGATCCCCTTCCTGGGTCCACGTGTTCTCACTGTTCAATTCCCACCTACGAGTGAGAATATGAGGTGTTTGGTTTTTTGTCCTTGCATTAGTTTGCTGAGAATGATGGTTTCCAGCTTCATCCATGTCCCTACAAAGGATATGAACTCATCCTTTTTTATGGCTGCATAGTATTCCATGGTGTATATGTGCCACATTTTCTTAATCCAGTCTATCATTGTTGGACATTTGGGTTGGTTCCAAGTCTTTGCTATTGTGAATAGACAATGCACATTCTTTTATCTTTCAGTGATTTGCCTTAGTAAGTACTTTCTACTAGATTATTATTTTTTCTTTCAAACTATTTTGTTTTAAGGAGCAATCTTAATGTGATCTTTAAGAAATTAAAGTTCATTAAAGGATTAATGGGTAGATCATAATAACTATGACCTACCAACTAATAACAAGTAATCATCAGGGCTTACCACTAGGATTTTAACTAATTTACCTAAGACTCTGAGCACTTGTTTTTGTCTCCTTTAAATGAGACTGTTATCTCTTACTATCTACTTCCCTAAAAGAGATTCTAAATAACTGTCTTCTTGGTGGAAGAGCAAGAGAATAGAAGTAGCAGTAATGATAGTTGACTTTTATTGAAGGCATATTACTAAAAATGCCTGTAGAATTTACCTGGATGTCTTCTTGAAGTTCTCTGATTTGTCTTTGTTTGTATCTGTATTTTTCATCAACAGCTCTTTTTTGTTCTTCTAGTTGAATTTTTAGCTCATACTCATCACCTGAAATGTAGAACATTTTTAGTTTAAAATTTCAACATACTAAGTAGAAATCAATTTTAAAGTATTATGTAAATTGCACCAATATTTTTGTTATGAAAGTTTAAATTTTTTATATCCACTTGTAGAAAAACACTATGGGCATGTAGTAGCCATTTCTTGTTTTGTCAACATAGAGCAGCAATATGCTGCCATTTTTTTTCAGTCTTTGAATTAATTACCCTAGAGAGGTGATATGCCATACAGATCCTGAACTAATAATGGAAGTAACACCCTAGAAAACCACTTAGAAAAAAAAATGTCGTGGGGGGAGGAAAGAAAAGGGATTAGTTTTTCTGACCCAATCTAACATAGTTTGCTTTTGTTCTTCCTCATGTCTCACAGTGTTCCTTTTAACTATACACTCGTCACTGTATATATGTATAAAAAAAAGTTAACTCCTACATACTAGATGGAGTCACTTTTTTAAAAGATTGCTTATAATTGTTGTTACAGCTGTTCAGCACTTGAAGGGTATTTTCTAGAGCGTAGATTTCTTTTTCAGCTTTGTTGATCTTGGCATCCAAACAGTCACCTTCCCTTTGAAGTTCTTCTTTTTCTTGAGCAGCCTATGAAGTACAGAATAGAACTGGTTGAATAAAAGCATTTACTATGGGAAGAAATGCCTAATGGCTGTCTTTGGAGCAGAAAATAGTTGACTTGTGACAATAACAGTTTATCTCATGGCCTACATATGGCACCAAGCATTTATTTGTTGTGCTTGATTTACAGTGAAAGCCCAAATTATCAGGCCTTCAAAATATGGCACATAGGATACAGAATTCAAAACCGTGATGGAAATGTAGTAACTAACCAAAGCTTATATAAAAATTTCCAGCAAAAATTGCCAAAGAGTTAATCAAGTATAAATATTACTGGGAAGAAAGGGAGGGAGGTTTGATACTAGATATTAAATCAGAAGAATGTTTCTGGCCTGAAAGAGGTTCAGGAACACTTTATTTCAAAATTTAGGAGTAAAAGAGGTAAAATGGCATGTATTTTGCCACAATTTTAAAAATAATTTTTTTAAAAAAAGATCATTGTAATAAGTGTGGCTGAAAAAGATGAAGTCTATGAATTGCTAAAGGCCAAAATTATTTCCTCTAAGAGTGGACATACTCAGTGACTTTCTACCAGGGTAATGCTGTCACTGGGCTAAGCGGTTCTCTAGAGCTGTACCTAAACAATTCCAAAGAACGTCCTAAAGGCTGACATAGATAGTATGCATATATATACATATATATGTGTATATATATGCAAGAAAATTTTTAGTCAAAATCACTAATAATTTCATTTAAATTTATTCAGTTCTTAGATGTATGTATTTAAACCTGAATGTAGTCAATTAGAAATATAAATTTTTTTCTGATTATTTTTATTTGTAAAAATTTATGGAGTACAAGTATATTTTGTTACATGGGTATATTGTGTAGTGGTGACTAGTGTACTACCTATCATTGGAATACTGTACATTGTACCCATTAAGTAATTTCTCATTATCCATGTCCCTCTGATACCTCCACCATGCTTCTGAGTCTTCCGTGTCTATCACTCCACGCTCTACCTCCATGTGTACGCGTTATTTAGCTCCCACATATAAGTGAGAACATATGGTATTTGTTTTTCTGTGCCTGAGTTGTTTCTCTTAAGATAAGGGCCTCCAGTTATATCTTGTTGCTGTAAAAGACAGGATTTCATTCTTTTTTCTGTCTGGATAGTATTTCATTGTGCATATATACCACATTTTCTTGATCCAGTCATCCATCAATGGACACTTCGGTTGAATCCACATCTTTGCTATTGTAAACAGTGCTGCAATAAACATAGGAGTGGAGGTATCTTTTTGATTTAATGATTTCTATTCTTTTGTGTAGATACCAGGTAGTAGGACTGCTGGATCAAAAGGTAGTTCTATTTTTAGTTACCTGAGAAACCATTCTGTTTTCCATAGAGGTTGTGTTAATTTACATTCCCACCAACAGTGTATAACCATTCATTTTTCTCCATATCCACACCAACATCTCTTGTTTTCTGTCTTTCTAATGGCCATTCTGATTGTTGGCTTTAATTTACATTTCTCTAATGATTAATGATGATGAGCATTTTTTCATATTCTTCTTGGCCATTTGTTTGTCTTCTTTTGAAAAATGCCTACTCATGTCCTTAGCCCACTTTTTTTTCTTCCAACTTTTAGGTTCAAGGGCTACATGTGCAGGATTGTTACATGGGTAAATTGTGTGTCATGGAGGTTTGGTGTACAGATTTTTTTGTCACACAGGTAATAAGCATACTTTCCCCAGTGTATGTTCTTGTCAGTTTTGTCCAAGATCAGTTAGCTGTATGTGGGTCTATTTCTGGGTTCTCTTTTCTGTACCATTGATCTTTGTGTCTCATTTTATACCAGTACCATTGATGTTTTGGTTACTATAGCCTTGTGATATAATTTGAAGTCAGATGATGTAATCCCTCCAGCTTTGTTCTTTTTGCTTAGGATTACTTTGGTTATTTGGATTTTTGTGTTGCATGTGAATTTTAGGATTGTTCTAATTCTGTGAAAAATGAAATTGGTATTTTGATAGGGGTTGCATTGAATCTGTAGATTCCTTTGGGCACCATGGTCATTTTACCAATATTAATTCTTCCAATCCATGAGCATGTAATGTTTTTACCTTTGTGTCATCTATAATTTCTTTCATCAGTGTTTTGTAGTTTTCCTTATGGAGCTCTTTTACCTCCTTGGTTAAATACATTTCTAGGTACTGTTTTTGTATCTGTTATAAATGGAATTGCCTTCTTCATTTGGTTCTCAGCTATATCATTATTAGTGTTTAGAAATGCTATGGATTTTTGTACCTTGATTTTGTATCCCGAAACTGCTGAATTCATTTATCCAATCTAAGATTTTTTTTGGTGGAGTTCTTAGGGCTTTCTAGATGTAAGATCATATCATGTGAACACAGATAATTTAACTTCCTCTTTTCCTATTTGAAAGACTTTCATTTATTTCTCTTGCCTGATTGCTGTGGTTAGGACTTCCAGTACTATGTTTAATAGGAGTGGTGAAAGTGGGCATCCTTGTCTTGTTCTAATTCTTACGGGAAATGCCTTCAGCTCTTTCCCCATTCGATACGATGTTGGCTGTGGGTTTGTCATAGATGGCATCTATTATTTTGAGGTATGTTCCCTCTATGCCTGGTTTATGGAGGGTTTTGTCATGAAGGAATGCTGAATTTTATCACATTGCTTTATCTGCATCTATTGAGATGATTATATGATTTTTGTCTTTAATTGTGTTTATGTGATGTATCATGTTTATTAAGTTGCATATACTAAACCATCCTTTCATCCCTGGCATAAAACCCCCTTCATCATGGTGTATTATCTTCCTGATGTGCTGTTGGACTCAATTTGCTAGTATTTTGCTGGAGATTTTTGTGTCTGTGGTCTATGTTCATCAGGAATATTGATTTATCGTTTTCTTTTTTGTGTTGTGTCCTTGTCTGGTTTTGGTATCAGTGTGATACTGGCCTTATAGAATGAGTTAGGGAGCATTCCCTCCTCCTCAATATTTTGGAACAGTTTCAGGAGGATTTGTATTAGTTCTTCTTTGTATGCTTGGTAGAATTTAGCTGTTACTACATCTTACCCTGGGCTTTTTTGTTGTTGTTTGGAGATTTTTATTATTATTATTATTATTATTATTATTATTATTATGGATTCATTCTTGCTATTTATATTATCGGTTTATTCGGGATTTTTGTTTCTTCCTGGTTCAACCTTGGGAGGGTGTATTATATGTTTCCAGAAATTTATCTGTTTCCAGGAATCCATTTACTCTAGGTTTTCTAATTTATAAGTTAGTATAGTCCCTGATGATCTTTCATATTTCTGTAGTTCAGTTGTAATGTCTCCTTTTTGTTTTCCGATTTTGTTTGCTTGGATCTCTGTTCTTGATTAGCTAGCAGTTTATCAATTTTGTTTGTCATTTGAGGAACAAAGTTTTAATTTCCTTGATCATTTGTAAATTTTTTTGTCTCTATTTCATTTAGTTTTGCTTCTGATCTGTTATTGCTTTTGTTCTGCTAACTTTGGTTTGGTTTTGTTTTTTTTCTTGTTTTGCTAATTCCTTGAGGTGCAGTGTTAGGTTGTTAATTGATGATCTTTCTACATTTTTGATATAGGCATTTAATGCTATAAACATCCCCCTTAGCATTCCTTTTGCTCTATCCCACAGGTTTTGGTATGTTGTGTATCCATTTTCATTCATTTCAAAAATTTTTTTAAATTTCCATCCTGATTTCTTTGTTAACCCAGTGATCATTTAGGAGCATATTGTTTAATTTCCATATATCTGTAAAGTGCCCAAAGTTTTCTGAGCATTGATTGCCGGTTTTTCACTCCACTGTGGTCTGAGAAGATTTTTTTTTTTATTTTTTTTGAGACTTGTTTTCTGGCTTGTCTTGGAGATGTTCCATGTGCTTATGAAAAGAAGGTATATTATGCAGTCGTTGGGTAGAATGTTCTGTAGATGTCTGTTAACGTCCATTTGGTCTAAAGCCCGATTTAAGTCCAGTGTTTCTTTGTTGATTTTCTGTCTTGATAATCTGCCTAGTGCTGTCAGTGGGGTGTTGACCCACCATTATTGTCTTGCTCTTTCTTTATTTCAATCTGGTAATGCTTGTTTTATGAATCTAGGTGCTGCAGTGTTGTGCATATATAATTAGGATTGTTATATCCTCTTGCAGAAGTAATCCCTTTATCATTATATAATAACCTTCTTTGTCTTCTTTTACTGTTTTGATTTAATATCTCTTTTATCTAATATAAGTAAAGCTACTCCTACTTGCTTTTGGTTTCCATGGAATGTCTTTTTCCACCCCTTTACTTTCAGTATATATGTCTTTTCCAATAAGGTGAGTTTCATATAAGCAGCATATTGTTGGATCACATTTTTTATCCATTCCACCATCTATATGTTTTAATTGGGTCGTTTGATCCATTTACATTCAAACTTATATTGATATGTATGATTTTGTTCCTGTCATATTTTCAACTGTTACCTAGTTGGTTTATAAATTATTTCTTTTTTTTCTCTGTGTGGTCGTCTGTGTTTTGGTAGAATTCTGTTATGTTGCCAGTGATGCCTTTCTCTTCCTCTTTTGTGTGTTTGTTTTATAAGACCTTTGAGTCCTGTACTTTTGTGTGTTTTCACGATGGTGAATACTGACATTTTGTTTCCATTTTAAAACTCCTTTGAGCATTTCTTAGAGGACCAGTCTAGTGGTGAAGAATTCCCTTAGTGTTTGCTTTGCTGGGTATTTCTTCTTCCTTTATGAAGCTTATTCTTGCTGGATATAAAATTGGGGGCTGACAGGTGTTTTTTGGTTTTATTTTGTTCTGTTTTTGTTTTTGTTTTCCTTTTAGTGCTTTGAAAATTCTGTCCCATTCTTTTCTGTCCTATAAGATTTCTGCTGAGAAGTCTGCTGTTATTCTGATGGGGTTTCCTTTATAGGTGACTAGATGCTTTTCTCTTGCTAATTTTAACTTTTCTCTTGCAGTTTCACTTTGACTTTAGACATTCTGATTACAATACACCATGATGAGGTATTGTTTTGAAATGTATTTTCCTGGGGATTGCTGGGCCTCTTGTGTCTCGGCGTCTAACTCTCTTACTAGACTTGAGATGTTTTCATCAATTATTTCCTTAAATGGGCTTTCTAAACTTATTTCTCTCTCTTACCCCTCAGGCATAACTGATAATTTGTAAGTTCAGTCACTTTACTAGTTCCAAACATCTTGAAGGCCTTGTTCACTCTTTTTTATTCTTTTTTTTTTAATTTGTCTGACTGGATTATTTTAAAAGACCTGTCTTCAAGGTCTGAGATTCTCTCTGTTGCTTGTCTAGTCTGTTATTGACTCTTTCTTTTGCTTGTGTAGTCTATTTTTCTTTTTTTTTTTTTTTAAGATATCTCCTTGGTGAATTTTTTGCTCATACCCTGAATTGATTTCTGATTTCTTTATATTGGTTTTCAGATTTCTCTTGCATCTAATTGAGCTTCTATCAATATTTTGAATTTTTCATCTGGCATTTCAAGGATTTCTTTTTGAGTGGGATCTATTGCTGAACAGTTGTTATATGGTGGGTCACATTTCCTTGCTTTTTCATGGTTCCTGTGTCCTTCCATTGATAGATGCATATCTCATGTAACAGTTGCTTCTGCTAATTTTTTGAAATTGCTTTCCTAGGAGAGGATTTTCTCCTGAAGAAGTACATATGTAGTTGGTGTTTTGATGTGGGGTGCCTGTGGTAGTGTGGTCTTTGTATGATTTCTTAGGCAGTACACAGGTTCAGTGGTATCTGTGATTTCCTCAGTGACTTAAGGTATGGTTATTAGTTGAGCTTTGGTGAAGTTTTGCTGGGGTCTAGGATGCCAGGTAAGCCTGTCTTTGGGCCCCATTGGTGGCAGTGGTGGGCTGAGTGTATCTATTCTCAGGCCAGAGAGTAGCTTATACTGTCACTGGTGTTAGTGGATCCTGGAAGGCTGATTCTTGGGCCTCTGGGTAGCTTGCTCAGATGTTGGTAGTGGGAATGGTGGGCCCGACATGCAGGCGGGTTTTCAGGCCCCTGGGCAGCTGGTGTGATGCAGGTAATGGCAGTAGCGGTGGTAAAGCAACTCACTGGAACCCAGAAGGTCCATACTGGTGTTGCTGGTAGCTGCAATGGGTTGGACATGCTGGTCCTCTGGCCTGTTGGTAGTGCATGGGAGTGGGTGTCAGCTGTGGTGGTATTTGTAGGTTGAATTGCCCCAACTTCAGACTCTAGCAGGACTGATCATGTGCCAACAGTGATGCACTGGGTTAGTAAATATCTGGGCCCCTGGATGGCATACTTGAGTACTTGGGGGATGGGTTTGGGCCAGCAGACTAGTCCCAGGCCCCTTGGTAATACCTTTAAGGAGGTTCTGGCTGTGACAGTCAAAGGTGGGGTGGTTCCCAGGACACTGGCAGAATACTCAGATATGGGCTGTGGTGGCTGTGCTGTAGGCCTGCCACCAGGGAGGGTGCAACCTTTCTCAGGTGGAACAGCATGGGTAAGAAGCTGTAGGAAGTCCCACAGCAGCCATAGTGGGACAGCAGGAATCGTCACCAGAGTACATGGGAGTGCCTGGTCTCTTTTCTCCCTCCTTGGATCGGAGACAGCTGCAGCAATGTCAACCTGCACTTGGCCCAAATGTGGGGCACGGTGTAGCATTAAACTCTCCAAATGCTCCTGGCTGTGGCCTTGCAACCAGAATGCAGGGTTCCTCTCAGGTGAGGTGCTCAGGTGGGTAACAAGTTGTGAGGAGTGCAGTCTTCTCACACCTCCGTCTCACAACAGCCAGTAGCAAGGTCGTGGGAATTGTCTTAGGGGTGCACTGGAGTGCTTGGTCACCCCTCTCCCACCTTGGACAGGTGGTAGTTGCAGTAGTGTTTCAAGGCACAGCCCAGCGTTAAATTCTCAAAATGGCAAAATCCTAAATCTACTACATCAAGAAACAGAATCCACTACATTGAAAAACAGACTTACATTGAAAAAACAAAAATTAACTTCTAAGTGGCAAGGTTTTTCCCAGCAGTGAAAATGCTATGGGCCCATGGCCAGAGAGGTTGTGGTTCCTCTCAGGTGATTTACATGGGTAGGAAGCTGTGGGGAGTACAGTCTGCTTATGTGTCACTTTCACAGCAGCCTGCAGCAGGGCAGGGGGAATTGTAAAGATAAGTTTTATTAGTAATATTTCCATTCTTAACATTTTCACTGGCATTTATTTTATCGTGCTTCAGAACATTAGTTACACATATTTTGTGATAAGTATTACATAATTTTAAAAAGTTTAGCAAAAAAATTATAGAAATTATATCTAATTCCTTTGAGTCTCAAATTGGTAACCCCATTTCATCTGAAATATAAAAGAATAGTGGGAAAATGAGCTGGAATGAGCCAAACAAATTTTAGTTGTGGACTACTGGGTCAGTTTCTTCATTTTTCAAATGAAGGAGTTGAATTTGTTCATTTTATGCAAATTCCTGATATAATTCCATGTATAGCTTGAAGTTCTAAAATTCTGATTCCATTCGCTTCTAAATCAGAGATGATATATCTCTCAAAAGTCTGTCCAATATTTTCAAGTAACTTAATTGGACAGTGTCATTAAATTGCAGTCAGAACTATACTGTTTCCTTATAAAGACTAAGAGGAACTTGGAAATGAGATTTGAAAAATACTAGTCCTTCACTGGTTACTAATTATATTTTTCAGTTTGGCCTTTAAGGGTTAGATATTATAAGATACTAGAGTTGATGAAAAAGCCATGTATGCCCCATAGAACAAAGACCAAAGACAGGAGCTTACTACAAGACCAAAGACAGGAGCTATGAATTGAGCTGTGTCCCTTATAAGAAGATATGTTGATATCCCAACCTGTGGTACCCCAGAAGGTGACCTTATTTGGAAATAGGGTCTTTGCAGATATAGTCAAGTTAAATGGAGGTCATTAGGTTGGTCCTAATCTGATATAACTGGTATCCTTATTAAAATGGGAAATTTGGACAGAGGGAAAACTGTGTGAAGAGACACAGGAAGGAACACCATGTAAAGATGAAGGCAGATTTCAGGGTGATGCATTTACAAACTAAGGAACACCAAAGATTGTCAGCAGACCACCAGAAGCTAGGAGAGAGGCATAGAACAGGTTATTCTTCATAGCCTTCAGAGGAAACCAACCCTATCAACACCTTCATCTTGGACTTCTAGACTCCAGATGTATCAGATATATATTTCCTTTTTTTTGAGACGGAGTCTCACTCTGTCGCCCAGGCTAGAGTGCAGTGGTGCAATCTTGGCTCACTGCAAGCTCCGCCTCCTGGGTTCATGCCATTCTGCCTCAGCCTCCCGAGGAGCTGGGACTACAGGTGCCCACCACCACACCCGGCTAATTTTTTGTATTTTTAGTAGAGATGGGGTTTCACCATGTTAGCCAGGATGGTCTCGATCTCCTGACCTCGTGATCCACCCACCTCGGCCTCCCAAAATTCTGGGATTACAGGCGTGAGCTACTGCACCTGGCCTGAGACATATATTTCTGTTGTTTAAACCATCTAGTTTATTGTATTTTGTTACAGCAGCCCTAGAAACTAATAAAAAGGGTCAACAAGCTTTGTCTGTAAAGGGCCAAATAGTAATTAGACTTTATGGGCCATTCAGTCTGTCGAAACTACTTCATTCTGTCATTGTAGCATGTAAGCAGCCATAAACAATATATAAATGAATAAGTGTATGTATTTTGTCTTCCAGTACTTACTTACAAAACAAGTGGTGGGCAGCATTTGGCTGGAGTGCATAGTTTGCTGAGGCCTCATCCACAACATTCAGAAAACACAACAGTGGTTAGCATTGTAATCAAATTCCTATTACCCACAGCCATAAACATAATATATGTATCCATCAGGAGAGATCCCTTTGTAGATAACATAAGAAGAATAAGGGAAGGGAAAAAATTTTGAACTGACTAAATTTAAATCCTAAATCTACTACATCAACAAACAGAATCCACTACGTTGGAAAACAGACTTACATTGAAAAAACAAAACTTAACTTCTAATTGGCAAGGTTTGTCCCAGCAGTGAAAATGCCAAGGTACTATTTTCAAATAGTTAAAAATTCTTATACAAATATGAAATGAACTTTTATTAAAGGTTTTACTCAACTTGTTAATGAAGAGCCAGTAAGATATTTAGACTTATTTCAAAGAAGAATATGAAAACAGATTTTATATTATAGACATGTTGAATCAGAAATGCTGACATGAATTTGCTGGTAGATGCAAAACATATTAATATATTTTAGTGTAATAAACTTCAGTGCTTGGGTTATCTTTTCTACAGAGCAGAGTTGTATTTCTACTGGCCAAAATTCATTTACATTGTTAGCAGCAAGATATCACTTACGTTACTATCAGTTGTCTGCAAGTTAGTTATCATCTATACCTACAGAGTTGTAAAATAAACTAGTCAATAGAGAGTCGAAGGTCTGCACTCCTATAGAATCAGATAATACCTGGAGGGCCCACTAGAAAATGCCAACACCTTGGTATCACCATGCACTGGCATCATTGCACCCATGGTTTGCTTTTCTCTATTTTTCAGGCCATAATTTTTCCTGATATAAGCTAGACTGAGTTTAGTTATTATTTAAGTTTCATTTTTACACATCTGAGACTTGTGAAGTGTTACCAGTAAAAAGTGTAAACATGCTATACAACAACAACAACAAAAAATGGGAATAACTGCGTGGCAAGCTGTGGATCCCAGAGAAGATGGAAGATAAGAAATATGGCATCAGGACATTGAGAAAGTAACTGATAGCCTCAGTTCATTTAGCATAATCATTATTCTGATATTTATCCAGCACTTTCACTGTAAACAGAAGGAATATTCTTTCTTCATATAAAACTTGTCTGTGTTCCTGTGAGTTAGGTTAATCAGCATCATCACAGTAATAATAATAACTAACATTTATTGAGGACTCATTTTGTGCCAGCCACCGTCCCAAGGGCTTTACATGTATTTTCTCTTTTCTCCCAACAAAAGTAACAATATTACCCTCTTCATTTTCCAAGTGAGGAAACTTAGGCCTCACATGGTTAAGTAACTTATTCCTGGTCACCTACCGAAGCAGTGGTAGGATATGGATGAAGGCACACTTAACACCAGTACTTTTAGGTAACCCATCACACCACTTGTTAGAGAAACTTAATTGGAATTGCAACATCTTCCGATTTCCCAATACCTAAAAAATTAGAGCCTACCCTTTATCCTTCAGGAACTTTTAAAACCTGAGAGGAGAAAAGTCCTGTTTGGGCAGAAGCCTGAGGTATTACAGACTGACAAGTTATAAGAAAGTTTTGAGAGCTGGGACTGATTTCTCATAGGGAAGGCAGAATTTCAAGCAAAGTGACAGGCATACCATACTTGCTGCATTTGTTAGGGGCAGATTTGAAGAAGAGCTACAGGAGAAAATTTGGCCAATTAAGTTGGTAGAAATCAAAGGGAGAGAGCATCCACAAGAGCCATTCTCTGAAGGTGTGAACTGGAAGATGATCTCACCCCTATTCATGTATGGTACAGGGAAGTGAGTCAAAGTTACAAGTTCCATCCCTTGTTTGTAGCATTTTGAGTAATTTCCTAGACCTTTCTGTAAAGGAAATTACTCCTGTTCAGGGTATTTTCTACATGGGAAAGATGAATATAGCAGTGCTTAGAGAATAGCATTCAATTCCACATCACTTAATGAATTTCCCCTTTGGGTTAAAGATAACCATGGGATGACAGACAACTGTCAAACATCAGAAAAAAACAGATTCACCTGGTCTGTCTCCCTATAATATCATATTATAGGGATATATGGGCAGGGAAGCAGCCCTCTTCCTCTCTGAACAGCTGCCATACCAGGACTCTAATGGTAAACTGGAGTTTAAAATTCAGAGGTGGTGTAGCTCCAAGAAATGCTAAGGTCCAGCCAGGGTGTGGCATAAGAGTGGGTGGCTATAGTGAAGTAAAGGAAAGCTTTAAGCCTCAATTGTTGAACAGGTTGTCACATGCATACCAAAGACACTTAGAGTGATAATAGGTCTTAAAAAGATTACGAATCTTGCCTAGGAGAAATGACATTCTGCAAATAATAGCAAAAAGAAAAAAGTGTCAAAGAATGGTCAAGTAGAATGACCTGAACTCAAAAGAGGAAGACTTCTGGAGCAAGTTCACAGTAAGTTTTGGGAATCAGAGGGCAGTGCTTGACCTCACGGACTAGAGGTATATAGAATGAATACTGCTTTCAGTATCTCCATTTAGGAATGAATGTTTTGGCCTTTGTTAAGTGTAATAGTGGCCCTAATTAAGTGAAATAGTTGCTAGATTTCATGGAGGGAAAGTTGCAATATTGTTGTTTTTTTATTTAAATTCAGAGGATTATGATGAATGAGTTAACAAAGAAAATTTCATACCATCACAACTGTGAATCAATTAAAATTACCTTTATTACATAATAGGCCTGTGTTTTCTCCTCTTCTCCTTCAGGAGGCAGCATAACAACAGTCAGAATTTCATATCTATTCTTCAGCTTCTCAATTTTACTTAGCCGCTCGCGAAACTCAGTGCTAATAAGAAAAAGAAACACTGAGAAATGAATAACATACTTTACAATTTTTAAAGGACTATCAAGTGTTCTTATTGAAGACATTTGGATTTGTGTTACTACTAAACTCAAACAGGTTAAATTTGTTCTCACGTTTTAATTTAATAAAAAGACTATCAGGTGTTCTTATTGAAGACATTTGGATTTGTGTAACTACTAAACTCAAACAGATTAAATTTGTTCTCACGTTTTAATTTAATAATTCAGTGTGAAGGATCTGATATTTACCCTACTTGAAAGCTGACAAGTTAGCCTGCCACAGTTTCATTGTGTCTTTTGCTGGCAGAAGACACAATCCCTGTTTCAGAGACAACGGACTTTATTTCTCATGACACAGCAAGAAGCATAAGATTCCTGTTTGACTGGCTCCCCTTGCTCCCTACATCCCATGGGAGCAAGAAGGGGCTCAAGTGGATGCTGCAAACAGTAGATTTGCATCACAGCTGAGGAATCTCAAGCCTAGGTAACCCAAATATTTTATAGTGGGAAATAAGCAAACATGCCTAACTTTTGCTCCAGAAGGAGATACTACCTCTAGTTTCTGAGGCTGTTTGCTATTCAAACGTCTTTAAAAAGATAGTCCAAACAGGGCGGTTGAGAATTGTCTTCCAGAATTCAGATTCTTAAATCTGTTGGTTACTTTCTCCTTTTATTTCAGTAAATTTATATTTTATGAGCTATTTTTTAGAACTTAATACTAGTAATCTTAATATATGCCTGGCAATATGGAGAGTGCCTCAACTGCCTGCTACAAACTCATGCAAGTAAGCTCTCTAACCATGGTGAAAAAGAAATCCTCAACCTACCAGTTTTTCTACTGCTAGAGAAAACTCATGGTAAGATATATTTAGTGTCATAAGTTACAGTTTTTCTTATTTTTAATTATCACTCATTTCCTCAGAAAATATTTACTCATCCTTTATGTGATCATAAAAACTTGCTGGACTTCAAGATTGTGGACCAAGCACAGTATATTACTCTTCCTTTCTAAAATAAAAAAAGATTAAAAAAAACAGCAACATAGCAGTTCTGAGAATCAGAAAGGTACAATAATTTTTCATGAATTCATGGAAAACAGATGGGGTAAGATTAACGGAAAAAAAATAGACACACACGGAAGACCACTGCAGAAGCAGGAGCCATTTTCCACCAAAGAAGTCTGAAAAAAATCCAAACTCAGAAACAAGAAAAAGAACAAGAGTGATCTGTGAGGCTATAATCAACAACTCTGGGCCATTCCCCTCAACCCCTCAAAACATACAGAAATGTCAGGAATGCTTTCTGCTCCAATGATAACCAAAAAATTACCACAGTTCCTAGCATGTATGTTGAAGCTAGAGAAAGAGGTAAAAACATGACAGTGGAAGTAAATGAAAAAGAAAGGCAGTTCTACTTAGGAATGAGATAAAGTCTTCATCACTCAAAATAAACACCTCCTAACTTTTTGTAACCATGAAATCCTAACCCTGCTTAATAGCTATTACGCTCTTTACAGGACAAACTAGCACGAGCCTACAATCAGCCCTCCCATTTAGAGGAGCGATCTGTTGGAGAAAACCAGAGATCCACTTAATTGCAGAGGAAACCCTTACCAGTTAGCTACCAATATCCACCGATTAATAAGCATTCATTAATAAATATTAACAAAGGACCATTAAACATTTATGGAAAGCAAATGGCAAAAATGAACAAAGAACAGACCTGACACATAATGCATAGAAGACAATGTTCAGTCTTCTAATTAGTACCATCTAAAAGAGAAGAGGATATTGATTCCAAAAACACCCATAAAACAAGATGGGCTGCTATGAAAATAAAGGACTAATGAAAGAATAACAGTGCTTGCAAATAAGTTTTCTTCTTCAATGTAAGAGCAGTGAAGAATAAAGATTTAATGAGCAATCTGGAGAGAGAGACAAGGGGGGAGATTAGGCAGAGGAGAGGGGAATAGGGAGAGAGAGATAAAGAATATCTGAGAAAGTAAAATACAAGTAGA
The DNA here is from genome assembly GCF_000001405.40 of Homo sapiens. Lineage (NCBI taxonomy): Eukaryota > Metazoa > Chordata > Mammalia > Primates > Hominidae > Homo > Homo sapiens. The sequence goes on from NC_000003.12 coordinate 180,633,627, forward strand.
AAAAAGAAACCTGGAGGACAGACCTAAAAGGGCCAACATCTAGTAAAAATGAGCAACAAATGGAGAAAACAGGAGAGTATGATGGTAAGAAAAAAATTAAATAGAAAAATATTCTCCTGACCCAAAGGAAGACTTGAATGAAATAACTAAAATAGACCATACAGAAAGGAGTTCAGCCCCTCTTCCCTGGGAACCCCTATCCCCTGACTCTTCACCAGGCAGGGGCCCCAGCCCGTGACCACAGAACAGTTGCTCCACCCATGGCTGAGCATACCCACTGGTAGTGGCCTGGAGTGTCCTGCAGAGGCTCCCAGAGGCACATGATAGCCCCTCTGCCACGACCACAGCAGCAGTTCTATCCCTGCTGCCCTTGATTTGGGGAAAAAACAGCCTGAGGACTATGCCTGAGCTTACAGCACACTACAGTCACCATGCAGAGAAGACAACCACTCTCTTCTCCTGACTCCCTTAACTCCTTGCTCCCCAGCAAGCCACAAGCTCACACCAGCAGTACAGCCACCCCACCCCACCCCACCCCACCAGCTGAACACTACCAGTAACAGCAGCTAAATGTTTCTCAGAGGTAGAGCCGTCAGAGGCAACCAAAAGCTTCTGCCACTGGCTCTGCAGTGGTACTACCCCAGCTATCCTCAGATTAACCAAGGAGCAGAGACCCTAAGTGCCTCATCCGTATTTGCAACAAGCTGCAATCCACCCAAGGAGAGGAAGCCAGTCCATCTCCCATGGATCACATAAACACCCACTGCTCATCACCAGGTAGGGTGTCCCCAGATTGGGCCCATAGCACAGACTACCTCATCCTGGGTTTATTGCATTCAGTGATTGCTGACCTGCACCTCTCTGGGATGAAGCCATCAGGAGACAAAAGACCCTCAGCCACAACCACTACTAAGGTACCTTATTCAGCTGCCTCCAAGTTGGGAAAGAAACATAAACCCTGAGATCACCCCAGAGCTGTGGTGGGCAGCCCAGTAGCACCAAGCCGTGATCTACAGCCAGCACTCAGGTGAGAGAGCAGCCCCCACTTACAGAGCACTGAGAGAGAGCATGACTGTGAGGAAATATAGAGCAGCCACACAGCCAAGCAAGAGCCTACCTACTGACCACTACACCTAAGCACCACCTACTGGATCACACCCCAAAGCTTCAACACCAAAAATAACTTCCTAACATATACCCCTGTGAAACCAAAGATAAGAAGTCAGCTACAAATAAAGACCCCACACAAAGCCTTGGCCCTATGAAAACATCCAGAAAAGAAATCTGTTGACTGTACTCAGTCTACACCACAGTTAAAGGAATAACCATTTAATTAGTCCATTTTCAAACTGCTATAAAGATACTACCTGAGACTGGATAATTTGCAATAAAAGAGATTTAATTGACTCACAGTTCCACATGTCTGGGGAGGCCTCTGGAAACATATAATCATGAATCATGATGGAAGGCAAGGGGGAAGCAGCATCTTTACAAGGCAGCAGGAGAAAGCAAGAGACATTTTTAAACCATCAGATCTCATGAGAACTCACTCACTCACAAGAACAGCATTGGGGAAACCACCACCAACATCCATTACTTCCCACCAGGTCCCTCCCTCGACATGAGATTACAATTGTAGATGAGACTTGGGTGGGGACACAGAGCCAAACCATATTCTGCCCCTAGTGCCTCCCAAATCTCATGTCCTCACATTTCAAAACCAATCATACTTTCCCAATAATCCCCCCAAAGTCTTAGCTCACTCCAGCATTAACTCAAAAGTCCAAGTCCAAAGTCTCATCTGAGACAAAGCAAGTCCCTTCCGCCTATGAGCCTGTAAAATAAAAAACGAGTTGCTTCCAAGATACAATGGGGGTACAGGCATTGGGTAAATGTTCCTGTTCCAAATTGGAGAAGTTGGCCAAAACAGAGGGGCCACAGGCTCTATGCAAGTCCAAAACCTGGCAGGGCACTCCTTAAAGCTCCAGAATAATCTCCTTTTACTCCATGTCTCACATCCAGGGCACACTGATACATGGGGTGGGCTCCCAAGGCTTTGGGTAGCTCTGCCCCTGTGGCTTTTTAGGGTATAGCCCCTGTGGCTGCCTTCACAGGCTGATATTGAGTACCTGCGGCTTTTCAAGGTGCATGGTGCAAGCTGTCGTGGCTCAACATACACAAATCAATAAATCTGATTCATCACATAAACAGAACTAAAGACAAAAATAACATGATTATCTTAATAGATCTATAAAAGGCTTTTGATAAAAGTCAACTCCTCTTCATGTTAAAAATTCTCAGTAAATTAGGCGTTGAAGGAACATACCTCAAAATAATAAAAGCCATCTATGACAAACCCACAGCCAACATGATAGTAAATGGGGAAAAGCTGGAAGCATTCCTCTTGAAAACCAGCATAAGACAAGGATGCCCTCTCTCGTCACTCTTAGTCAACATAGTATTGGAAGTCCTGGACAGAGCAGTAGGCAAGAGAATGAAATAAAGAGCATCTAAATAGGAAGAGAGGAAGTCAAACTATCCTTGTTTGCAGATGATATGATTCTATATCTAGAAAACCCCATAGTCTCAGCCCAAAAGCTGCTTCAGCTGATAGACAACTTCAGCAAAGTTTCAGGATACAAAATCAACGTATAAAAATTACTAGCATTCCTATACACCAATAACAGCCAAGCCAATAGCCAAATCAGGAACGCAATCCCATTACACAATTAACACAAAAAGAATAAAATACCTAGGAATACAGCTAACCAGGGAGGTGAAAGATCTCTACAATGAGAATTACAAAACACTGTTCAAGGAAATCAGCAGAAAACTGATTTCTCATGGATAGGAAGAATCAATGTTAAAATGGCCATACTGCCCAAAGCAATTTACAGATTCAATGTTATTTCTGTCAAACTACCAATGACATTTTTATAGAACTAGAAAAAAACTATTTTAAAATTCATATGGAACCAAAAAAGAGTCTGAATAGCCAAGGCAGTCCTAAACAAAAATAACAAAGCTTGAGGCATCACGTTACCCAACTTCGAAGTACACTACAGGGCTACAGTAATCAAAACAACATGGTACTGGTACAAAAACAGACATACAGACCAATGCAACAGGAGAGCCCAGAAATCAGGCTGCATCCCTACCACCATCTCATCTTTAACAAAACTGAGAAAAACTATCAGTGGGGAATGGACTCGCTATTCAATACATGGTGCTGGGATAACTTGCTAGCCATATGCAGAAGATTGAAACTGGACCCCTTTCTTATACCACATATAAAAATCAACTCAAGATGGATTAAATATTTAAATGTAATACTCAAAACTATAAAAACCCAGAAGACAACCTAGGCAATATTATTCTGGACAGAGGAAAGGGCAAAGATTTCATGATGAAGATGCCAAAAGCAATCACAGCAAAAACAAAAAGTGATAAATGGGATCTAATTAAAACTGAAGAGCTTCTGCACGGCAAAGTAAACTATCAACAGAGAAAACAGACAACCTACAAAATGGGAGAAAATTTTTGCAAACTCTGCATCTGATAAAGGTCTAATATCCAACATCTATAAGGAACTTAAACAAATTTATAAGAAAAAATACAACCATATTAAAAAGTGAGCAAAGGACATGAAAACTTTTCAAAAGGAGACATGCATGTGCCAAAAAGCATATGAAAAAAAGCTCAATAGATCTTTAGAAAAATGCAAATCAAAACCACAACGAGATACCATCTCACACCAGTCAGAATGGCTGCCATTAAAGTCAAATAAAATAAAATAAAATAACAGATGCTGGTGAGGTTGCAGAGAAAAAGGAATTCTTATACAATATTGGTGGGAATGTAAATTAGTTCAGCCATTGTGGAAAGCTATGTGGTGATTCCTCAAGAAAGTAAAAACAGAAGTATCATTCAACCCAGAAATCCCATTACCGGGTATATACCCAAAGGAATATAAGTCACTCTACCATAAAGACACATGTGCACAAATGTTCATTGTAGCACTATTCACAGTAGCAAAGACATGGAATCAACCTAAACACCCATCAATGACAGATTAGATTTAAAAAATGTGCCATATATACACCATGGAATACAATGCAGCCATAAAAAAGAATAAGATCTTGTGTTTCATGGGAACGTGGATGGAGCTGGAGGCCATTATCCTTAGCAAACTAATGCAGGAACAGAAAACCAAACACTGCATGTTCTCACTTATAAGTGGGAGCTAAATGATAACTCATGGACACAAAGAGGAAAACAATGGACATTGGGACCTGTTGGTGGGTGGAGGGTGAAAGGAGGGATAAAAACAGAAAAAATAACTATTGGGTACTAGGATTAGTAGCTGGGTAATGAAATAATCTGTATAACAAACCCCCATGACACAAGTTTACCTGTATAACAAACCTGCACATGTACCCCTGAACCAAAGATAAAAAAATTTTTAAAACTGAAAGAGCTCCAGGAAGGGTCAAGCAAGAGAAACTTTAAAATGACAAAATGCCCAGACACATACAAGAAAATTATAAAACACCAAGGATAAAGAGAGTGTCCCAAAGCTTCCAGAAAGAAAACAAACAAAGCCCAGTTTCCCTACAAAATAAATTTCATTAATCTGTAATCAGACTTCTCATAAACAACACTGTAATCTAGCAGAATATGAAACAATGTTTTACAATGTTCTGTCATTCAAGTTTAAGGGAGAATAAATATATGTATTAAACATGCAAGGACTGCAAAGTTTCAGAAAACATCAGTTCGACAAAACAAATTCAAAATCATACTCCAAAAAATGAAATGAAATCCAAGAAAATAGAATGATGACAAGGGATACATGAAAAAACCATTAAATCAAGAAACAAAACACATACGTAATTTTAAATTATTGCTGACATTTGGATCCACAGCTTAATGCACATGAAGAAGTTTTTAAAAAAGTAAAGACATAATATTAAAAACAATAGCAAGAGACTATAATCAGTATTTCAACAATATGTGAAAGATGGGAAAAGGAAAAGAAGAGGTAAGAGATGCTAAAAGTCTTACTCTTTAGGAAGGGGAAAATAATAGAAACTAATTTTCAATATTCATAGAGAAATGATTAAAGTTTCTTTTAAATCTAAGAATAACCAACAAAATAATTAAAATTAGAATGTATACCTTCCAAATAAAGAAAAGGCTAAACAAAATTCAGTAAAAACAATGAAAAGCAGGAAAGACAGAAATAATGAATACATGGCAATTTCTTAATGTTTCCTGAAAAGTTAAATATATACCTACCACATGATCCAGCAATTTTACTCCTAAGTATTTATCCAAGAGAAAAGAAAGCATATGTCCATACCAAGAACACATATGTTCATAGTACCTTTGTTTATAATAGCTAAGAACTGGAAACAACTCAAATGTCCATCAGCAGGTAAATGTATAAATCAACTGGAGTAAACACATGCAATGGAATACTGCTATTTAACAAGAGAAAGCCAGGGTCAGTAAACCATCCTGCCTGCCACCTGTTTTTAGATAGCCCACAAGCTAAGAATGACTTTTAAATTTTTAAGTGATTAGAAAAATAAAAGAATTATATTTCATGAAAATTTAAAACTTCAGTATTCATAAAGTTTTAATGGAAAATAGCCATGCTCATCTTTGACAGTGTCTGTGGCTGCTTTCAGTCTACAATGACAGAGTTGAGTGAGTTGAGTTATTCAAACTATGACTGGAAGCAGCCTAAATGCCAATCAACCAACAAGTGGATAAAGAAAATGTGGTATATATACACCATGGAATACTACTCAGCCACAAAAAGGAACAAAATCATGGCATTTGCAGCAACTTGGATGGAGTTGGAGACCATTATTCTAAGTGAAGTACCTCAGGAATGGAAAACCAAATATTGTTATGTTCTCGCTTATAAGCAGGAGCTAAGCTATGAGGATGGAAGAGAATAAAAATGATATAATGGACTTTGGGGACTTGTGGGGGGTGGAGTGTGAGAGGGACCTGAGGGATAAAGGACTATACTTTGAGTACAGTGTACACTGCTTGGGTTCAGATACACCAAAATCTCAGAAATTACTGCTAAAGAACTTATCTGTGTAGCTAAAAACCACCTGTTTCTCAAAAATTATTGAAATAAAATTTTAGAAAAAAATTGAAAAATAAAACAAAGACAATATGGCCTGCAAGGAACTGTAAGTTAGTTATCTAGCTCTTAGAGAAAAAGTGTGTCAACCCCTGACAAAAAGGAATGTATATTGATATACACAACATGGATGAATTTCAAAATAATTATGCTGAATGAAAAAAGCCAGACAAAAGGCAGACCTACTATTGGATTCCATTTATGTTAAACTCTTGAAAATGCAATCCGAACTATATGGATGAAAAGGAGATCAGTTGTCCGGAGAGAGAAACATGGGGGAAGGACCGAAGGGAGGAATTACAATGGGGTACAAAGAAACTTGTGGGGGTGATGGATACATTATCTTGATGGTGGTGATGGTCTCTCCGGTACATTACGTATGTCAAAACCTATCAAATGTACACTTTAAATATGTGCAACTTATGTATCTCAAATATACCTCAATAAAGTTTAAAAAGTAAAGTCTATGACAATTGAAAGACAGGAAAGGTAAAAAAGAAAAAATGGCAATATTAATTTCTTGTGGGATGCAGCTAATATAATACTTAGAGGGTTTTTTTTACTTCAAAACTGAAAATTAATGAGCTAAGCATCTGAAGAATTTAGGAAAATAACATTTAAAAACCCTGTATAAAAGAAGGAAAAAATAGTAAAGGCAAGATCAGAAACTAATGAAATAATGAATGGACAATAGAAGATAGCAATAAGAGCAGATCCTTTCCAAATAATGTTAATACTGATTAACTTGTGGTGAGAATTATCCTACCCCAAAAGAATGCACAAATAACCAATGTCAGGAATATAAAAGGAATCATCTCTAAAAATACTACAACTATTAACTAATAAAATTATAAACAACTGTATGGCAATAAATTTGAAATTTGGATAAATATAGAAAATTTTTCCTAGAGAAAAATAGAATTTACCAAAACAGAATCAATAATAAATACAAAATCTGCATTGTCCTATAAACAGTATATAAACCAATAGTTGAAAATGTTCCCCCATAGAAAACTTCAGGCTCCCAATGGCTTTTTTTTCCAGTGGGGTCTTTGAAAAACAAAAAAGATATAATTCCACTCTTTTAGAAACATATTCAATGTATAGAAAAATAAGAAATACACACAAGTCATTTTATGAAGTCAGACATAACCTTAATAGCCTGATACCCTGACAAGGACAGTAGAGCAAGGAGAATTATGGGTCATTTATACACATGAACATAGATGCAAAAATTGTATTAAAATATTCCCTAACAAAATCTAGATGTATGCAAAAGATAATATGTAACAGACAAGTTGGGTTTATTCTAGAATGTAAGGTTGGTTTGACTTTGAAAAATTGATCAATATGATTAAACACAACAGATTGAAGAAGATACATCTTGTCAATAAGTGCTGAGAAAGCATATAATAAAAGTCAACATCCATTCTTGATTAAACAAAATAACTTCTTAGTAAAGGATAAAAATAGATAGGAGCTCAATGTGGTAAAAGGTATCTAAAAAATAGAAATAAACTACAGTAAACCTTATATTTAATGCAAAAACAATGAAAGCTTTCCCTTTGAGATCAGATAATAAGACAAGGATACCTGTAATCAACACTGCTCTTCAGTATTGAACTGGGGAAAAAAGAAAAGTTATAAAGATTGGAAAGCAAGAAATAAAACTGTTATTATTTGAAAATAATATAAATGAAATACAGTATATAGAAAATTAGAATGTACTGATTGTTAGAACAAGATTGTTAAGCAGGGTTGCTGAATACTTAATATACAGAAATTAACTGCATTTCTACATACCAGCAGCAAACCAAAAATGAAATTGACAGTAACATTAAAGAAAAAACATGTAGCCAGAAATAATCTTATAAAAGATGTGCAAAATCACTTCAATAGATGCAGCTATTGAATATCTATTTTTAAAAAGACGTGTTATTGGACTTTACCACAAACCATACATAAAAAGCAATTCCAAGTAGATTAGTGATCTTAATGTAAAAGGGACAATCTAAAGAATGAAGAATTAACCAAAAGAAGAGCCTAGATTTATGGCTATAACATGCCCTATGTCTTTCTTATATGAAAAGCCATTTCGAATGAGTAAAAACGATGCACATCCGGGATGTTAGAGGGGGCAGCTAGTTCTCCTGACATCATCCTGTTTTTTTAATTCCTCAGCAGTTTTAAAACTGAAAATTACCTTATGTTTTCCCGTTCTTGATCAACATATCTTATTTGTGACGCAAGCATTGTTTTATGAACCTTGATTTCTTCAGTTCGCTCTTCCATTGCTGTGTATAATTGCTGTTTTCTTTTTTCTAGGGAAAGAACTTCTTCTGCCTTACTGTGAAGCATTTCTCGAGTACGCTTAACTTCAAGTTTTAAAAGATTGTCCTCTATCATCAAATCCTATCAACGTAACAAAATGGTCAAATATTGAAATTATTTTTAATTGCAAAACCAAAATTTTTTTTATTGCTATATAAGTAAAACTTGAAAATATACCTTTTTCCAATTTAACCATTGACTAAGATATTAGCTAGGCCTAAAATTGATCATAGTTTTTTTTTTTCTTTTAAGAAAAGGGTTTATAGTTATTCCAAATCTTTTTCATAATTCAATTTTAAAGTCAAGCTTTGCTATTATAAAAAACAAAGGGAAGAAGTTATTCCTGAAGTTAAACTTACGCTATCCAAAAAACATAAAGCCCTATGAATGGCCATTTTTATACTCTGAATCTCACAAAATAATGTGGAAATATATTTTTATTTTAAAACAATTCAGTCGTGAATAGAGTACTGACATAAGAGTACACATATCAATCAATTTTCAGAATAGAAACCCCAGAAAAAAACACTCCAGGATATAAGATTTTATTGTTTCATAAACGTGGCTTTTCATTTGGAGAGATTAGATACTTACATCTCACGTGCACCAAAAATATATTCTAGATGAATGAAAAATCTTAAGAGATGAAATCAACGTAACTACTAGAAATAGTAAACATTTGTCTGATTTTTAGTGTAACCAAGAAGTTTCTAAGCATAAAAATTAAAAAGAAAAAAAAACTAAGAGATTTGATGTTTTAAAAAAAGTTTTGTGTCACAAACACTGAATAAAAATGTAAAGGTAAATGGGGAAAATATTTACAATATTTATGACAGAGATAATTTTTTTTTTTTTTTGAGACGGAGTCTTACTCTGTCGCCCAGGCTGGAGCGCAGTGGTGCGATCTCCGCTTACTGCAAGCCCCACCTCCTGGGTTCACGCCATTCTCCTGCCTCAGCCTCCGGAGTAGCTGGGACTATAGGCGCCCGCCACCACGCCCGGCTAATTTTTTGTATTTTTAGTAGAGATGGGGTTTCACCATGTTAGCCAGGATGGTCTCGATCTCCTGACCTCATGATCCACCCGCCTCGGCCTCCCAAAGTGCTGGGATTACAGGTGTGAGCCACCGTGCCCGGCCGACAGAGACAATATTTTTACATATGAAAATCTTTTATAATTTATATATGTAAACTTCCCAGCGGAAAAAAAATGGGCCAAGAATACAAACTAGAGCTCCAAAGAAAAAAAATATGGAACATGACATAACAGAGAAAAGTGTTTTAAACATTTTTATTTAAACATAAATGTTTGAAAATGTATCATTAAACAAAATATTTTTAAACCACCAATTTTAAAAATGCAGACTAAAACAATGAGATACCATGTTTATCAAATTGGCAACAATTTTTTAAATTAGGATATCCAGCCTCAGTGGTAGTGAATAAAATAGAATGCTTACATACTACTGATAGGAGTATTAATGGTACCCTCTAGAAGAGAATTGGGCTTAAAAATTGTTTCAAGACGCTAAAAATATTCATTTCTTTCTGAATCATAATTATATAGCTAGGAATTTATCCAAAGGAACTAACTGAATAACTGCACAATGAACAACTAATTGAACAACTGCACTGTACATGTAGTACTATTTACAATAGCCAAGCATTAGAAAGAAACAAAAATCTAAAAAATAGGGGATGGTTAAATAAACTATGGTAATTTCATGCAATGGACTTATAGAAAGCCTTCAAAAATGTTTTTGAAAGAATAGTTAATGTTTTAGGAAGCATATGATATATAGAAATTTTTTAATACAACATAAAAAGCCAAATTTCTTTACAAGACTGGAGGGAAATTATAGACTTTAACACTGTTTATATTGGGTATAGTGATTATAGTGACATTTTCTTTTTCATAATTTGCTATATTTTTTCATTTGTCTACAATTAACATGGAAACATGGTTTTCAATACTACATATGCATACAATTTTACTGCACCTGCTTAAAACCTTTGGCTTTATCAAGTTCTTTCTCTGATCTGTCGATGAAAAGGTTTAGTTCATTTATTTTGGTCATAAGGGACTGTTTTTCATCACTGTTTTTACTATGTGCCTTCTTGATAAAATAAAGATCATTCTGCAAAAAAGAAAAAAGGTATATAAATGTATGTTTTAAATATTGACAAAAATATTAAATACATGCTGTATTATATATATCTTACATTAAATTATATACTCAGATATTTAAAATAATCCTATGTTTTATTATCTCTCTTTCTGCTATGTCTGTAATATAATACACATGGATAGTCACATAGAAACATTTTCATTTTTATCATCAATTGATGTTTTGGATGTAGTATGAGTTCAGTAATTCTAGGCAATACATAACTTCCAGTTCAACCTAATGAATCACAGTCATCCCTCAGTATTGTCTGGGGATTGGTTGCAGGACAACTGCACTACCACCACCAAAAGGTATGGATGTTCAAGTCCCTTATATAAAATGGCATAGTATTTGCATATAATCTACACACATCTTCCTGTATACCTTTAATTATCTTTACATTACTTATGTAATAAAATGTAAATGTTATATAAATAGTTGTTACACTATATCATTTAGGGAATAATGACAAGAAAAAAGTCTGTACATTTTCAATACAGATGCAATCACCCATTTTTCTGAGTATTTTCAATCCTCAGTTGGATGAATCTGCAGATGTGGAGCTTGTGGATACAGAGGGCGACTGTGCTAGGAGACAGCCATTTATGAGGAGATGGGAGCATACACCAGTTCATCACATGGTTTACCACTCCCATATTGGAGTTCATTGTTTGATTCTACGCAAGTCCCAGATAGTAAGGATATCAACAATCTGAGAAACCATAGGGTGCTGGTTAAGAGTACAAGCTCTTAGAATCAGATGGCTTTAATTACCTACTAACCATCTGACCCTAGTATGATGGACTCTTCCTCAGTTTCCTCATCTCTAAATGGAGATGAGGACAGTTTCTACCTTCATGGGTTATTGTGAAGATTAAAGATGTTATTGTCAAAGCATGTGTATAACAGTGCTTGACACATAGAAGTGCCATGTAAATGTCAGCTATTATTAATTACATACATAATCACATATTGCTAAAGAGAAAAATGTTTGATTAGAACTAATTCCATCATATGCATAAATAGATCATACATTTGCAGATACCAGTTTTCCAGTTTTATACCTGTTTAGATCCCTCTTCCCACCCAGAACCCAGAATAAGGTTTGTGCTCTTATTCCCTTCTTGTTTCCTAAATCTAAACTTTCCAGTTCCAAGATCTCTTTCCCTCTCTTCCTCCCTCTATCCGTTCCTCCTCTCCTCTGTTTCTAATTGCCTGCATTTCTCTGAAGTATTGGGACCTAAGATTTCAGCAAGATAGTAAGAAGAGGAATTTTTTGCATAAAAATGTGATTTTATAAAATTAAATTTGATAAAAAGAGCTAAAACAATGTGATTTTCAACCTGAAGAAACTATTTTCTGTATGTAAAATGAGATGGAGTGGCATGTGAGAGGGCATACAGGATGACTTTACAATCTGTTGCTACTATTGAAAAGAGCAGCTCTTCATAATGACCAAAGGCTAACTAGCTTTAATATAATTTGTTAATTCACTTACATTTCTATTAATTTATGTATCTCTCTGTTAAAACCAGAGTTGGAATGGCATAAGCACTTGACAATGGTATGATGGAGGGAGCAGTCAGAGTAGTTCAAAGGGGGAAGAATTATAACCATCCCCACACAGCAAAACAGACACAATCCAGGCCAGGGGCAAGAAACAAAGTCATACCTCTAACATTCTATACCATTCTCATATTCTAAATAATCAAAACAATACCACATATTGAGTACCTACAATTGTGCTAAGATATAAATTGCTTCTAGTTCTCCCAAATGTCCTAAAATAATATTAATTTTTCCCCCATTTAATAGACGAGTAAACTAGAGCTCAGAAAATTTAAAACAGCAGTAGTGGTATAGCCTTGAAATTTAAAACTAGTTTTATCTGATCCAAAAACAAGTATTTTTTTCCACTAAACAAAGATAACCATTTTAAAATATTTCATCAGACTACAAACTACTCCAAACCAAAATTTTGTCTTCTTAAGAAGAAAAAAAAAAAGTAATAACTCTCCACCTTTTGCAGCCCTCAAGGAATTTAGGGCAATTCTTTTTATAACCACCAGAGGACACATCAATAGTCTTTCCAGTGGTAAATAACAATTAGACCCTACTAAGTTCTCACCCCATTCATGTCCACACTCACTATCTCACTTTTACTCTCTAGTCAAACTTTAACATAGGTTTTATATTACAAGAAACATAATAAAATGCCTAAAGATGAAGACGTTCTAACCTTATTAACAGAATCCAATCATTTCAAATATTATAACTAAGTAAAGATTTGAATAACAACTGCTGACTCATAAAGAGCAGTTTCTTTTTACATGGTGTTTTAAAGACAAAGGGCCATCAAGTTATTTGTTATGGCAGTTAATAAAATAGAAAACTAGAACTTATCAATGTTCTAAACAGTGTACTCTTGAAGAGTATTTAGAAGTCAAATGCAGGAGGGGTCAAATCCTAGCTCTCTGTGTACTAGCAGTATAACCTGGACAAATTACTTACTCTATAAAACAGATAATAGTATCTTCCTCACAAGACATCTGTAAGGATTATATGAAATAAAATACTAGAGGCATGTCATACAATATTTAGCATATACTAAATGCATCATCAATGGTAACATTACACACTAATAGTACAAAAATAAGAACATTGTTCATACATTTGTTATATATGTGTGTAGAGTGGCAGTCACCCTATCCAAAGTAGTCTTAAGAACATGTTGTCCTAAAACAGAATGACTAGGATATTTGAAATATAAAATGTATTTTGGCTAAGTTACATGAAGCTTCTTGATCTGTGTTTCCAAAAGGCCACATGTAGATTTTTTCTCTTCCAAAGACTTCCTAAGTTCAACAATTTTTGCTTCAAGCGCTTGTTTTTCTTCTGAATTAATTTCTCCCTTTAACCGTGACATTCTCCGTTCCACTTGTTGAATGTGAAAATCCTGTTACAGTTTAAAAAAAAAAAGGTATTACAAAGAAAAAAAAAGCATTTCTACAAGTGTAAAAACAAAGTGAATACTTTCTTATGACTTTGGACTAGGCATTATCATGTAATAAAGTCACTTTAGTCTTTCAGTAATTCAGGATAAAATCCTTTTCACTCTAAGAGGAACAAAAATAAACTATATCTCAACAATCAAGGTACATGATAGACACAGAAATAATCTTCTGAAAATATGACAAAGTTGGGGGATGTTTATCATACTACCATGATGGAATCTCAGTAAATTCACTGGATTTACATGAATTTGGATTTCTGAGGGCACATTATCTAAGGGATACAAAACAGGTAGTCACTAATTGTTAGCCATGAAAGGTTCAAATATGAACATCTAATTAATTATTCTTAATATTATACTTTAACATCTGTAATTTTTAAAAACTAAGAATATATATTAGATGAGAAAATTAAGATGTAGAGATGGAGAATATTAAGAGATTAACACAAATATATAAATAGAACAAAATAAGGAAAAACTGAAAAAAATGCTTTTACTCTATTAGCATGGGGGTGAGGGTGGGGGTGCCTAACTAAGAATCAACATACAGTTTTTCTCGGTTTCAGATATCTCGTGCCTTCTTCTGTTTTACTCTGGATGCAAATGTCTCAGGTTCCTTTAAAACACGGTTCTCCCTCACTAGAGTTCTCTCTCCTCTTGCCTGTTTATTTCAGATTGAGGGGAAAAAATAGTTTTTAAGGCTCCCTCACCCTACTACTGATCTAACATGATGTCTCACCTTCAGCATCTGTCTGTCCTCCACAAAAGGGCTTATAATTCTTTGTTTTCTTAGAACATGGCGTATCTTGACCATCACAACTGTAATAAATCAATATGGAAGATATTCATAAAAGTAACATCTACCTGGCTGTACATAATTTCTTGCTGCTTCAAGGTTTCAAAATCCAGTTTTTGTAACTGATGGTTGAGATGTTTCAGAGAGGAACGAGTTCCTTCAATTTCTGATAAAACAGCTTTTTCTTTCATTGTCTCAGTCTGTAACTCCTGAGCTTTCTTAAACAGCACACCTTTTATGAGGTTCAGTTGAACATCTACTTCCTGATAATGAGAATTATAGTGATTAATGGAATTAAATATATTGAAATGTTGTATTTATATGAACATAATAATTTAGAAACTCAAATAAATTTGAACCCTCCACTATTTTAGCCCTTTAGAAGATAAAGCTCTTCCCACAATTTTAACAAGTCCCCAGCATTTCTTATGGTTTATTCTATTCTAGTAGACTAGGGTAGCTTTTACGCCCGTGTCATACACCTTGACCTGTCGTCTTAATTTCATCCCATGCTACCCTAGCCTAGCAGTTGGTCATTCTACTGATTTCCTCAAAAAATAAAGTCCACTGGAAATATGCAGCCTGTACATGCACAGAGTTTCCTAAAGTCTTGAGGGTGCTATGGGGAAGAAATCACACCACCCAATCTCCCACCTTTCAAGCACTATACAGTGGTGAGCAGGTAAATGTTAAATGTTTAACCATCATCTCTCTAGGAGATGAGAGGCTAGGGGGAGAATCTGATTTCCACGGTATAAATACTCCCATTATGGCCAATTTCCTGCTACTAACATGATTCCACTAAAGGCAGAGTTGGGAAGAAATTCACAGAAACAGACCATTTTGTGGTGTTTCCAACATACAGATAAAACAGACATAGGTAACCTTAAGAGTACAAAATAATAAAATATTTGGAAGTAATGAGTGCTGAGTATGTATTACTTTTTTTGTAAACGCTATTTATTTAACTATGAGTTTATATAATCTCATTTTTAATCATAGCTGTATTTAGGAAAATTTCTAAAAATTTAACTATTGGCTCTTGTAAGCTGGTAGGAGCACTACCAGCACACTACAGGAACTACCTGTCACTCACTCTTTGCCTCCAGTTGGCCTCCACCACGTGCAGCTCTAGGAAATAGAAATGAGTCTCCCATTCCCACAGATACTCTCTCAGGAAGCAAACCTGTCTTGACCCGGAAGCCTCACAACCAATGTGTTCTAGGCTTTAAATTGATCTACCATGCCATGATCAGTTGAAAATTATCATTTTTAAATGCTGAAATAATTTGCCTATGTGATCTTATACCCAAATAAGTATATTTTCCTTTAGCAACCAACAAACCTGAATATGACACAAAACAAGTCTGTGACTGGCACATTGAAATCTTTGCATAAACAAGAAATATAATCTGATATTCAGTGCATTATTTTACATAAACAATTTTCTATAGGTTTAAGATCTTCTCAAAGATTGCCTGGCAGAGTTTTAAAGCCAATGCTTCGTGGTGAATAACACAGTACATCTCCAAAAAAGATAGGGTTGGGATTTTTTCAAACAAACAAAAACCAACAGCAATGAAAAAACCCCCAAGACTATGAACACAGCCCTGCTAAAAAAACAATCGGTACACCCTGCTGCTAATATTATTAATTTTTCTAATTTAGCCAGTTCTTCAAAAATGTCTGAAGTTTTTAATTCTCTGTGATGAAAAGGTCTATTTCATATAAATTTCACAGTGTTTACAGGTTTCTGATAAGTACTAATATCATCTGTTACAGGGAATTATGCTCTTAGGAAGAAAACACCAAAACTTTTAAAACATAATGTGTAATTTGAATATCATTCATGTCAAGATTGCAGCATGATTTTATGACTTAGAAATTTTACAGCACACTGAGGAAGCTGGATCCCATCCAAATACAAATGGAGCCAGATGAGATATAAGCCTTATATTGGGAGATTTTGCCACCATCTTCAACTACCCCTTTTTCAACCCCCCCAAACGAGTAAAAGCAAGAAGTAGAGTCAGGTCACACTTATAGTTCACACTTATAGTTCACTTTGAAGTTTTCAAAGACGAAGTGGTGCACCAGCCTTTTCCAGTTCCTCAAAAATTGGCTTTAATGCCATCAACATGCCAAAAAAGACTGAGGTAGAAGAAGGTGCCAGTAGAATTAGCAAAGTTATAGCATTTCAAAGCCCATTTACCAAAAAATTTTGCCAGAGTATAAGGGGTTAAAGAGATAGTAGATGATAAAGAAGTACAAATCAGGAATGTAGATGATGATGGGAATTTGATTACAAAAAAACAGTGATAATCATGTAGAAATCAGTTGTAAAACAAAGCCACTTTTTGAACTATTTGTATGCAATATACAAATAGATATATGGATGATGGCAGGGACATAGGTACAGTAGGCTTTGGGAAGGAATGGAATCCAGGGCACAGTGGGGGAGCTACTTTTTTAAAAAGTAGCCAGGCATGGTGGCTCACACCTGTAATCCCAACACTTTGGGAAGCGGAGGAGGGTAGATCACTTGAGGTCAGGAGTTTGAGGCCAGCCTGGCCAACATGGTGAAACCCCATCTCTACTAAAAATACAAAAATTAGCCAGGTGTGGTGGCACGCGCCTGTAATCCCAGCTACTCAGAAGGCTGAGGCAGGAGAATCACTTGAACCTGTGAGGTGGAGGTTGTAGTGAGCTGAGATCATGTCACTGCACTCCAGCCTAGGGGATAGAGCGAGACTTAGTCTCAAAAAAATAAAATAAAATAAAATAAAAAATAAATACAAAGACATCAAAATTAGTAGCTTAAAAAGAGAGGAGGCTGGCCGGCACAGTGGCTCACACCTGTAATCCCAGCACTTTGGGAGGCTGAGGCAAGCAGATCGAGACCAGCCTGGCCAACATGGCGAAACCCCATCTCTACTAAAAATACAAAAATTAGCCAGGCGTGGTTGCAGGCACCTGTAATCCCAACTACTCGGGAGGCTGAGGCAGGAGAATCGCTTGAACTTGGGAGGCGGAGGTTGCAGTGAGCCAAGATCTCGCCATTGCACTTTAGCCTGGGCAACAAGAGCCAGACTTCATCACAAAAAAAAAGAAAAAAGAGAGAGGAGACTGAGAATAACTTCAGAAGCAATGCATGAGAAGAGGTCCAAAACCAGATTATAAATGTGATCATACCAAAAAGCAGAGCTTCTTACAAGACCTCCTCGTCCTCTGATCCTAGGAGTCTAATTAATTCACTGTTGCTAAATTTTCTGTGATTTAAAGAAAAATTAAAACTAAACTTTACCTTCACATCTTTTTCCTCCTCCTTTAGCATATCTTCCAAATTAGTAGCTTTCTCTTCTACAGACATGGTTTTCTCAGTTATCTCCTTTAATTTTGTTTGTATTATCTCATTATGATTTTTAGTTTTTTGTAACCTGAAGAGGGTTTATCACAAAAAGATAGAAAACGTGCCTAAAAAGCATTTCATACAAACAAATAATAGTTTATCCTAATATTTATTTGTATAACTTGAAGGGGTTTTTTGCGTAAACCTTTTTATTACCACTACATATTTAATAGACCATAAAAATATGGCTTCTGAGTCTTTGTGATGAAAATATGAGTAAAATTTTTTTAAGTTTAATAACGTAGTAGCTGGCCAGGCGCGGTGGCTCACGCCTGTAATCCCAGCACTTTGGGAGGCCAAGGCGGGCAGATCACGAGGTCAGGAGATCAAGACCATCCTGGCTAACACGGTGAAACCCCGTCTCTAATAAAAATACAAAAAATTAGCTGGGCCTGCTGGCGGGCACCTGTAGTCCCAGCTACTCAGGAGACTGAGGCAGGAAAATGGTGTGAACCCAGGAGGCGGAGCTTGCAGTGAGCTGAGATCACGCCACTGCACTCCAGCCTGGGCAACAAAGCAAGACTCCCTCTCAAAAAAAAAAAAAGTAGTAGCTAAAATATTGCAATTATTTAAACAACAAATAGTCTTAAGTATTTAATAATTTTCTAGATATAGTAAAAAATAATCATAAACATATTTAGATAGTTTTTTTCTTACCTTGCTGTTTCTTCATGAATGTCCTTCTTTATCTTGGAAATATTTTTCCTCAGAGCTTCTAAATCACTGGAAGTTCTATTCACAGTGGCTTTTAAAGAATCCAGCTATTTATTAGTTAACAGACAGAAATTATATATTTACTCTGTATCTTATAACTTATTTCATTTCTGAGTTTTATTCTGCCCACTTTAAGTTCTAACCTACATCACACCCACAAAAGTAGTAGCCATTTTTTTATATTTAATATATAAACAGATTTCCATATTGATCTGCTATCAAATTTTAATTGGCTTTGTTGTATAATCCTAGCAAATTATAGAGAACACATATGTGTTGAAAGTAAATACAGAAATGTCTAATATCACTAGACCTGCTCAGAAAGAGCACATCCCCAAAGTCCAGATAAGCTAATATATATGTGCTCATAAGAATCATAAGTTTAACTGGATTTGAAAAATCTCAAAAGATTCTAATATATCAGACTTCTAATAACTACATTTTACTGTTAATCAATAGTAAACTATATTTTACTATTAATCAAAATTATTTAAACAGAAAATCTAAGATACAAATTTTCTTTTTTATTAAGGACCTTTGCAAAAACCCTAAACTCTCCACCAAATACTCTCAGAACAAATTCAGTAAGGTTTCTGGATACAATATCAATATACAAAACCAGTTACATTCTATACACTTACAACAAGCAATCCAAAAAAGAAATCAAGAAAACAATCCCATTTACAATGGCATCAAAAAGAATAAAATACTTAGGAATAAATTTAACCAAGGAAGAAAAAGATCTGTACACTAAAAACTACAAAACATTGATGAGAGAAATTGTAGAGGACATAAAGATATCCTGTGTTCATGGATTGGAAGAATTAATACTGTTAACATGGTCATACTATTCAAAGCGATCTACAGATTTGTGAAAGTTGTCAAAATCAAAATGGAGTCACTTGTGTCAAACCCTGACAAAACTGAGCTGGGGAAGGCCATGAAGAGAGAGTTCTCATACATATTTGCCCAATAACAAGAACTATCCCAAGAGACTCTGCCAGAACCACAGCCTTGCATAAAGACCACTGCAACCTTGTACAAAACCCTTCTACAAAGACATCTGCCCAGCAACTGACTGATCAACCTTGGACTGACACTACCCTAATTGATTCCTATAGCCAAGGATTATTATTTTAATACAACTTAGGTAAAGTTACTCATTTTACCTTTAAAAACTTTTGCCTTCCTTTATCTCCCTAGATATGCCTATAATCTGTCATAGCCTGTATATACTGGATTTTCAAATTCCCTGCTCATTCCTAATTAAGCTCAATATTTTTAGAGGGCCTCTCTCTGTTATTTAGGTTGACAGATTCAATACAATATCAAAATTCCAATGTCATTCTTCACTGAAACAGAAAAACAATTCTAAAATTCATATGGAACTATAAAAGATCCCAAATAGCTCAAGTAATCTTAAGCAGAAAGAACAAAGCTGGAGGCAACATACTTTTTTATTTAAAATTGTATCACAAAGCTAAACTAATCAAAACAAAATAGTGCAGTCATCCATTGGCATCCACAGGGGATTGGTTCCAGGATCCCTCGCAGATACCAAAATCTACGGATGTGTAGGTCCCTTATATAAAATGACATGTATTTGCATATAACCTATGTACAGCCTCCTGTATACTTTAAATAATCTCTTGATTATTTTTAACACCTAATACAATGTAAATGCTATGTAAATAATTTTCATATTTTTAAAATTTGTTTCCCTTTTTATTGTTGTATTATTTTTATTGGGTTTCTTTTCTGAATATTTTTTATCAATTGTTGGTTGAATCTACACATGCAGAATCCATGGATAAGGAAGGCTGACTGTACTGGCAAAAAAAAAAAAACCAGACACACAGAAAAATGGAACAGAATAGAGAACCCGGAAATAAACCCATGCATATATGATCAACTAATTTTCAGTAAATGTGTCAAGAATACACAATGGGGAAAGGATAGTCTCTTCAATCAATGATGTTAAGAAAACTGGATAGCCACACGCAAAAAAAAAAAAAAAAAAAAAGAGAGAAAGAAATTGGGCTTTTCTCTGGTACCATATACAAAAATTAATTCAAAATGAATTAAAGACTTAAATATAAGACCTGACACTGTAAAACTTCTCAAAGAAAACACAGGAGAAAAGCTCCTTGACATTGGTATCTGTAATGATTTTTTGAATTTGACACCAAAATTACAGGCAACAAAAGCAAAAATAAACAAGCAGGACTACATCAAACTAAAAACTTTCTTTAAGGAAAAGGAACCACCAACAAAATGAAAAGGTAACCTACAGAATGGAAGAAAATATTTGCAAACCATTTACCTGTGATGTGAATGGCGCCCCGTGGTGCTTAATCAGGGGTTTAATCAGAGTATCCCAAAAGTTCCACAAACAAAGAGACATTAAAAAAAAAAAAAGAAAAAGGAAAAAAAAAAAAAACTAGAAGTAGTTTCTTTATCACAGGAAAAGCTTTATGCTTATTTTATATTTTATAGTGATTTGTCGTGAACATACAAGCCAGTCTTTTTTGAGTTGACATACCTCACCCTTCAGCTGAATTCTACTAGTTTCATGGTCCTGATATGCCGTTCTACATTTTAAAAGTTTACGATCAGCCACAGAAATTCTTTTCTCAAACTCTGTGTTATTCCCAATCTCACTTTCCAAAAACTTGATCTTTTCTTTAACCAAATTTTCTTTTTCTCTCGTTTCCTGCTTTATCCTTGCTAATTCCTAGGATTAAAACAAATATGTTTACTTAAATATATGTTTAAACTGAGAAAACTAAAAGGAATTTAGTTTCTATTTTTCTATTATTACATTTAGTACTTATTTTACCAAAACTTCTTAGAAGACATTTTTAAATACTTTTATATTAATAAAAACAAAATATTAGTATGCTACATATTAATGTCTATAAATTCATATTGTTAAATGTCTCTGTTTTCTTTCATATATCTGGAATTTTGCTAAAGAGATGAGAAAAATGGTTATGCTTTTATATATGAAAGGTAAAAACCTACAAATGTAACAGTGTTGAATATTTTTCACATGGAAAGCGGGGTTTCAATGAAGTTTTCCAAATATTTTACAGACCGGTTTTTTTTTAGTGTTTTGAAAATAGCATTTTAGTTATTGGTTTCAATAGGAATGTCTTCACTCAGGCCTTTCACTGGTCGTAGAGACAATAATAAATAGAATACACAAAACACTGTAACTGAAATGTGGACAAAGTACCATGGGAACAAAGAGATGATGAATTCTTTCCAAGAGGAGTCATTAGTCGACATTATACTTTCCTGGCTTTCCAGGATAGGGAAGAAAAAAAAAAAGAAAAAGAAAAAGTAGAAGAAGAAAAAAGACGTGCCCAAGAGGCAACATTTGAGTCAGGCTTACAAACATGAATGGGGTTGCATAAATACTCTAATGTAGTTAAAGTGTAGGGTGGGAAGGCAGGGGTGCAAAAGGAATATATTAAGAAGGGTTGGGGTCCAGATGAAAGAGATAAAGCTGGAAAGGTAGGGTTTAGGGCCAAATTGTGAAAAAATTCAAATGTCATGTTAAAGATCAACTTTTAAGCAATGTGAAGCAAAAAGATTTCAAAGCTGGGAAATAAAAAGATTAGATGTTGTTTTTACAAGTGATGCTGATGGCAATAAGTTGGATGAATTAGAAAAAAAATTACCCTAATGTGTATTACTTGCATGTATTCCAAAATGAGGTCCTTCCAAACAACTAATCACAGGAGATTGGGGGAGGAGGTATGTGTTCTGAAATCAACAGGTTTTAGAAATGCTGCATGTATACATATTAGCATATTAAATGGCTACACATCTGAGATATATTTTAAAAAGGAAATTTTAAAGTTGTTTAGTTTTCAAGTTGTTTAATCCAATTTTTAAGTTGTTCTAAATATTTACTGTGTTCATTCACTCAAAAGACACGTCAAAACTTCCTAAGTTTAAATATTTCAGAATATGAATCCAGAGTTTCTTGCCTTATGATTTTTTCTACCACTTAATCAGATGCTTTAATTCTACTTCAACATCATACTTAATAGTGCTATGCATCATAAAATTTTCATATAGGTAATACTAAGTAATATTTTAAAACTTCTACACTGTAATAAAAGCATAGTAGAAAAATATTTTTCCACTTCTACACGTTGTTTCTTTTAAGAATACAATTTCAGGATTTTATGACCAGACCCCTGAAAAGAAAATGCTGAGAAGGCAGGAATGAACTGTTTTGCAGGAAGAGGAACAAAAGAGTATAATATCAGTTAGGAGATAAAATATTCCACCCTCCAATATGCTACCGTCAGAGGCATTTGAACCATAGCAACTCCATCTTGAAGAGGAGCAGCGTTAACATAAGGCTGCGACCTACGGGGCTGCATTCCCAGACAGGCAATCTAAGTCACAGGATGAGACAGGAGGTTGGCTCAAGATACAGGTCATAAAGAACTTGCTGATTAAAAAGTTTGCAGTAAAGAAACCAGCTAAAACCCCCCCTGACCAAGATGGAAAAGAGAGTGACCTCTGGTCATTTTCACTGCTTATTATATGCTAATTATGATGCATTAGTCTGCTAAAAGACACTCCCACCAGCACCATGGCAGTTTTCAAATGCCCTAGCAATGTCAGGGAGTTACCCTATATGGTCTAAAAGGGGGAGGCATGAATAATCTACCCCTTGTTTAGCATATAATCAAGAAATAACCATAAAAATGGGCAACCACCAGCCCTCAGGGCTGCTTTGCCTATGGAATAGCCATTCCTTTATTCCTTTGCTTTCTTAATAAAGCTGCTTTCACTTTTACTCTGTGGATTTGCCTCAGATTCTTTCTTGCATGAGATCCAAGAACACTCTTTCAGGGTCTGGATCAGGACCCCTTTCTGGTAACAGTATGAAAATAATAAAACCATAGAAATCAGAAATCCTATAGATCAGGGGTTTTTTCAAAATGTGTTGTTTTGTTTTATTCTCATATAGCAGTTGTCAAACACTTAGAAGCATCCTGCTGCCTAACGGAACCACCTCTTAGCACCCTCCTTAGTCTCTGACAGCACAATCAGGAGATGTCAACATGTAAGTAAGGAACCACTATGAATGTGACCAGGGAGCTACTAGTTGTGTATTCTGCCAAATCAGCTGACCGAGTTACTTTAGCCATGGGGTTGTATGAGAAAACTGATTGTGGATCCGTAATCTTGGATCTCGCACATGACTGACAGAGAGGAAGCAGTCATGACTTGAGAAAAGAATTTTTATCTGAGAATTTTACATTATCAAGCCCAGAAAGGCATTAAAATCAGACAGAAATAACATCCCACTGCACCCCTTTTATGAGCTGTGTACTCATGTCTTGATACAGCTTGCTATTGCCACAAGCAGCTATAAATTAACCTAATAATGCCTCAGCAGATACTATAACCCACACCCTGCAGCTCAACAATGTATAGCCAATCAATAGCTGATGTTATTTCAATGTAAATTCTTGATAAACAACTCAGGAACTCGCTCTTTTTTCCCTCTTTAAAAATCAACTTGTAACTGCTGCTAATTGGAGTGTATATTCAGGGCAACTTGAATCTATACTCCCAGGTTCCCAGGAATCAATCCTCAAGCTTGGCCAAAAGAAACTCTGCTTCCATTAATTTTGCTTCAGCTTCTTCCTTGTAAGTCAACAGCTTAATGTTTGAAAGCAATGAGAAGTTAAGAAATATTAATAGCAGGCCAGGTGCGGTGGCTCACGCCTGTAATCCCAGCACTTTGGGAGGCGGGTGGATTGCCTGCGGTCAGGAGTTCGAGACCAGCCTGGCCAACATGATGAAACCCTGTCTCTACTAAAAAAAAACTACAAAAATTAGCTGGGCGTGGTGGCGGGAGCCTGTAATCCCAGCTACTTGGGAGGATGAGGCAGGAGAATTGCTTGAATCCGGGAGGCAGAGATTGCAGTGAGCTGAGATCACGGCATTGCACTCCAGCCTGGGCGATAAGAGTGAAACTCAGTTTCAAAAAAAAAAGGTAGTATCAGCATTAATTAAAAGAACCTCCTTAAAAAAAAAAAAAAAGAATTAAGAGAACCTCTGCCAGGCGCGGTGGCTCATGTCTGTAATCCCAGCACTTTGGGAGGCTGAGGCAGGTGGATCACGAGGTCAGGAGATCGAGACCATCCTGGCTAACACACGGTGAAACCCCGTCTCTACTAAAAATCCAAAAAAATTAGCCAGGCATGGTGGCGGGCACCTGTAGTCCCAGCTACTCGGAGGCTGAGGCAGGAGAATGGCGTGAACCCGGGAGGTGGAGCTTGCAGTGAGCAGAGATCAGGTCACTGCACTCCAGCCTTGGTGACAGAGCAAGACTCCGTCTCAAAAAAAAAAAAGAGAGAATTAAGAGAACCTCATAGTTAAGATTGGTTCTCCTTTGTCCCTCCTAGGGAGGTATAACCAGTTTTGTTGATAAAATGTTGGTTACTTACAGAAATTGAAAATATAACAACCAAAAGTAAACCACACCCAGATACCAGAATTTAAACTCCCAGTAGCCTGAGCTGCTTGCCAAATGCCTTTCCATGGAGTAGATAGAATTTAACCCATCTTCTCACCTGACTCTGAATTCCTTCTCTTTCTCAAATCTTCCCACTTTTATTCCCCATTATTTCATTCCTTAATGATTTTCCAAAAACATTCTCCTAAATTACCTCTGAAAATAACAAGAGATAACACTTGGTCTGTGTTATCAGTGCAGTATTCCCCGCTTCCAAGCCTCTTTGTCATTATTGGTGTCTCAGCTTCAAAAGTGAAACTTTACTGCAGTCTAGGTTTCTTTTCTGACTCCTTGTCCCTTGGCTGTTCATGGAGGTTCCATTTCCCTACTGTAACTTATTGCCAAATAGCATACACATTAAATCCAAGGGACCTTGGACAGCCATGTGTAAGTCAGGGCATTGGTTTTATTGCCAGAACAGTATCTACTGACTCTTTCTTGTTCCGCAATTCTGAGATGACAGGATCCAGTGTTTGGAGTTATAATACTACACTCAAATAATCTTCATCACATTTCCAAATGGATATAGAGTCAGCTTTCAAAAATATTTACCAAAACTACTGAATATTGCTACAAAAGTGACTTTCAAATAACAATGTGATTTACATTTGGAATAATGAGTTAAATACAAAAGAGACAAATGCAGCTGAACATTACAAGGACCAAACAACTACTTTACCAAAGCACAGTTATCTATGTCTCCATCCCTCTTCTGCATCTGTTCTATTGTGTTCTCCCATTGTTTAATGAGTTCTTGTCTTTCATTATGAATCTTACGAAAATCTTGTGCTGCTTTATCCAATTCTAACTGTCAAACAGAGAGCAAAGAACATTTCTGTGAATTTAAGTGGTTTTGCAAACATCACCTTGAAAATTAAGAAATAAAAATCTTCCTTAAACTAACCTGTGCGCTTATAGTCTCTGTAAGTTCGTTGTCAAGTATCTTTCTTTTCTGATTACATTCCAAAGTTAGTCTTTCTAATTGCAGAGTCAGTGCCTATGATGTAATTATATACAGATACTTATAATTCTCATTCTATTAATTTAAATGTTATTAGTGTATCTAACATTAAATAGTATTACACTATACATTTACATTTATTTTATATCTAAAACTGTGAAATAATAAATATCTTTCTTATCTTTTAACCCCAAAAAGCTAATCTAATGTGTTTGCATATAGCTGCATAAAAACTCAATTGTTTCTAAAATGACTTTTAATATTTTTAAAGTAAATTAGAAAAAAGATTAAGTTATAATTTCCTATTTGAAAGTTTTAAAATAATGCATTGGTATTAAATCTACTAGAAAATAGCATGTTTTATAATACTAGCTTTATTAGTATCACCAGATATAAGTAGATTTTAAGTGATTTTTATAACATAATCAATAGCACTACAGTCTCAAATCAGCAAAAACTACATGTAATATTCAAACTACATTTTAGGCAAAATAGCTAAAATATATTAAAATAGTTCTAGTGGAAAACTTTCTCTTCTGAAATGCTTTTGAGCATCCTTATAAATCAGGATATTCTTAACCTGCGATCCATGAATCCTCAAATAATCAAAGGGAATCAGAGAATCTATGAAACAGTCAGCAATATTTTATGGGTATTTGAATATAGTCATTTTTTCTACAGAGAAGACATTTGGCTTTATTAGCTTCTCCAAGAAGCCTCTGACTCAGAAGTTTAAGAATTGCTGCCTTAAAAATCCTAAGTATAACTTTAGGTAAATAGGTTGACATACTACAGAGTTAGAGAAAACCTAACAGTTACAATTTGTAATTTCTCACCCTGATTTTATTATCATCTTGTTGTGCATACTTCTGGAGAGTGAGAGCATCACTATCTTTATGAGCTGATTCTTCTAACCAGGCCTCCAATGCTTGCTGGTCCCAGTTCATTTGACATTTCAAACCATCCAATTTTTGAGTGGCTTTAAATATGCCATTCTAATTTCCAAAGAGAGAGAGAAAAGGGGAGATTACAAAACATTACTTACTATACAGACTAAAATAAAACATACCTTTATATACTATGGAGCAAAATTAAAAATGAGGAAATCCTGTCCCTGCCTTCCAGATGTTTATAATATGCCATATTTTAATAATATAAACTATAATTATATAGCTTGTATCTTAATTCTTTCATTGTAAAATAGAGGAGAGATGACTATACAAAGTCAAGAACAGTAGTTGAGCCAAAGCTTGCTTTAAAAGCCTTTAGGCTTTAAGGTAGCTCCCTCACAGCAACTGCATTAATCATTCCACCAAAGCCACCCCAAATATATATGCAATCATAATTAAAATAATATGTTTGGTATGCTAACTCAAATCCAAGACAAGTATCCTTCAGCCCCATTTCCAATCATATTGTTTGCCCTAAGAAGTCTCTTATAGAGAAATTTTGGAAACATTTCTAACTGAAGTAAATATAGTAAAAGAGATAAAAACATTTATGTATATTTAGTCACTTAACAAATCTAGACTCATAAAAAAACAGAGACAACTATATAAACAAATACAAATTAATAAGTATGTAATTATACACAAAGATTACATTATAAAATATGTAAGTGTATTTCCATATGTATATGCACATGTAAAGAGAAGAATCAGAATTTGGAAAGAGCTCCCAAATCAAGTAACTATAAACTAAAGAAAAGACAGAAATAGGTTAAAGTAGTTTAATGTTAGAGTCACAAAACTGATAAATCAATATGAAAGGTCAATATTTTAAATGAAATTCAAAACTAAAAGTATTTTTTAAAATGTGGCTGTTAAAAATCTAACACTTACATATAAACCACGCCTAGTATTTTATAACAGGCAGCAAGCATGGTACTTTGCATATAGTAAGCCTCAGTAAGTAGCTGATGAATGAATAATGGGAAAATGTACTATTCTATTATTGTTTCATTCAAATCACAGCTCCATGTGCCTTTCACTGTCCAAAAAATACGTAAGTAAACACTAGGAAACTAATGTATGCCTTTCCCATACAAGAAAAAAAAAAGTCAATGCTCATTTGGTGATGGAAGAATGAGCAGTAGCACAGAATTTTAAGTAATATTTCAACATATACTTCTTTATCACTTTTCTTTTCCAGTATTGAAGCCATCTCATTTTCCAGCCGTTGAATTTCATCTTTCACTCGTCCCAATTCTCTTTGAGCAATGGCCTTAAAATGTTCTTCACTTTCAGTCTCACGCTCCCTTGCTTTGCAAAGAGACTACAGAATAACACACAAGATAAAAAGGCTTTTAAAATTTTAGAAATTTTGAATACAAATATTTATAATAATCCATTAGATTAAAACAAAGTTCCCATAAATTGCTTACATTAAGTACTACTAATTCCACTACTCTAAAATCTACATTACATTAGACTGTGATTACAATATAGTTGGTGTTGCTCACTAGTTGTAAGAAAGTCAATGAACTGTGCTAGGAGAAAATACTGTCAATAGTTTTCAGATACTACGCTGGTCTAGGAAAACTAAAGAAAACCAAAGTTTCAGTTAGACTTAAAACTTATTATCTACAAATAAGAAATATCCATTAAAAAACAGTTGAGAAATGACATGTTTTATATGAATTGATCACATATTCTAATTAACAGACATTATTTTTAAATAATTATTTAAACACCAATGGTTGTGAATATTCTCTAGAATATATTAGCATATAATCACATCTTTATGTTCAGTTTTATGTAATAAAAGAGTATGTGTTAACTAATTTTACAGTGCTTCAAAGTTATCACTTAGTATTAATTTTACAGTACTAAAGCTACCATTGTTGGAGGTTTATTATTCTTTTGTCTCTATTACTCTATTCATTTGAGGTTTGATGATAATAAGATACAACTACAGAGTCTCTGCCTCTCCAATCCCCAGCTCAGTAGTTTAACAACTTAAGGAAAAGTGTTGTTCCAAATAGTTTATCAATTACTCAATCACATTGAGATTCAAGAATTCTGAGTTTGTTTTTAAGTTTATTAAATTTGTAACTTTCTAATAAGACTTGTAAGTCATGAAATACTTATCTATATTGATTATAAATTGCTTTTTAAAATATGGCACTGTTCATTTTTTTGAAACTACATACTATTTCTCAGACAGTAGATGCACTTTAAAAAAACTAGTTTGAGACAGAAGTTAGAAAACTCTCCAATGCTGTTTGCTGAGCTGCCTGGTTTGCTGGGCATCATTAGGGAGTGAGTTTCTACACTTGAACAGATTATGAAGCTTACTTAATAACCACAAGTTTTAATTTTTATTATATTTATGTTAACATTTCTAAGATGCCTAATGTCTTCCCCAGTTATCTTAAATAAAGTCTCTTAAGTATAATCTAACTTTTTAATCTCAGGATTATTATTATGAATTTCAATTCTTGAACAATGCTAAGATGTGTAGACTACTGGCCTCCACTCAAAATGGCCCCAGTGAGTTGTGCTGAAAAATTAAAAAGGAGACAGAAATTTTATTATGTATTATATTAGTTCTGTTTCTGCTTATAGCCATCATTTCTCACCACCATCATTGTACCTTTCTCAAATAACCTGCTGTCTAATACAGATTGTTTGAATAATGATTTCTCCTTTCATATGGATTAATTTTTTGGTTAAAATTGGAGCAGTCGCAGCACTTTGGGAGGCTGAGGCGGGAGGATCACCTGAGGTCAGGAGTTCGAGACCAGCCTGACCAACATGGTGAAATCCCATCTTTACCAAAAATACAAAAATTAGCTGGGGGTGGTGGGTGCCTATAATCCCAGCTACTCGGGAGGCTGAGGCATGAGAATCTTTTGAACCCAGGAGGCAGAGGTTGCAGTGAGCTGAGATCACGCCACTGTACTCCAGCCTAGGAAACAGAGCGAGACTTCATCTCAAAAAAAAAAAAAAAATTGGACCAGTAGTTAGTTCCTCTAAGCCTTTTTCTATCTACTTTCATGTTCAAGGTTATGTTCACAATAGTTTAATTATGCTAAGGTTTCCTATTATAGCTGTAAAAATCGCAGATGTAAATATACTATGAGATGTTCCATGACTACACGATATAATCAACATAAATTTCAGTTACTGTACCTGTGTAATTGAGAGCTCTTGCTTAACATTTTTGAAGTGAGAAGTCATAGAATTAATTCGCTCTTCATACTCACGTAACTCATCTTGCAAGCTTGCTCTTTCATCCTTCAGCTTTGACAACTGTAAATAATAAATACTATGATTAACCAAAGTCCTATTAAGTTTTACCATATGAAGGACCTAAAATCAAAGAAAATTAAATTTTCATTTACATTGTCTTAGTCAATTTGGACTGCTATAACAAAAATATCATAGACTAGGTAGCTTAAACAAAATTTAATTTGATTCATGAGAAATTCCTCACAGTTCTGAAGGCTAGGAAGTCCAGGATCAAGGTGCCAACTAATATGATTCCTGGTGAGGGCCCTCTTTCTTATTTGCAGACAGATGCCTTCTTGCTGTATCTTCACATGACAGAGAAAGAGATCATCTCCCTCTTGTCTTTTCTTAAAAGAGCACCAACACCATTCATGAGGGCTCTACCTCTATGACCTGTTTACTTCTCAAAGGCTTCACCTCGAAATACCATCACATTGAGGATTGAGACCACCATATGAATTTTGGGAGGACACAAACATTAAAAACATAGCATTTTGTTTCTTTAAATGTCCACATGAACTTCTAAAATCTACTAATTCTTTAAATGTTATAAAATAGTGTTGTGATTTGGAGATTGCTGTGGGAAAATTAGCACCATATTACACGGAATGGAAATCTCTCTTAGATTTGCAGCGGTAGCAGATCTACTCAAAAATGCATTTTTCATACAGCAATACTATATTTTTATAGGGCAAAAATGAGATTCTACTCCATTATTAAACCACAAGAGATCTTTTTTTTTTTTTTGAGATGGAGTCTTGCTCTTGTCACCCAGGCTGGAGTGCAGTGGCGCGATCTCGGCTCACTGTAACCTCTGCCTCCCGAGTTCAACGAGATTCTGCTGTCTCAGCCTCCTGAGTAGCTGGGATTACAGGTGCCCACCACTACACCTGGCTAATTTTTTTTTTTTTTTGGTATTTTTAGTAGAGAAGGTGTTTCACCATGTTGGCCAGGCTGGTCTCGAACTCCTGACCTTAGGTGATCTGCCCACCTCAGCCTCCCAATGTGCTGGGATTACAGGCATGAGCCACCACACCTGGCCTAAACCACAAGATATCTTAAGCGAACAAGAGCATACTAACAAGATGTAACAAAAACAGAGCAGGAACCATAAATGTGAATAGTCGCAAGGCATCAAGCATGATTTCTTCTCCAAGAACTCCTTTTCAAACCCCATTGAACTGGGCTAAGTTTAAGAGAACAGAACAACTGACTCTTATGTACCTAGAAACTGTTGCTTAATGTATTTTGTTTACCTTTGAATTATAACTCTGACTGGAAACAAAACTGTGTAAATGTTAAACAAAATAAATCCTTGGGAAATTATAAGACAGATTCTCAGGATTATTAGAATATACTGTCCCTCAAAGCAGCATATAAGCTCAACAAAATAAAAATATGCTTTCTTGAGGTCTGGAGCTACAGTCCCCAAAGTCAGGGATATCTCCTGAGGGTACACAACACAATCCACGGAAGTGTGAAAGGAAATATTAGAATTTCAATTTAAGAAAAAAATACTAATTTACTCATTTGTATGTCCTATACTAATATTAAATTTTTTTTTGCTTTTTGTGTCATTAAACTTTTAATTCCCTCTCGTTTCCTGTTCTTTTTTTAAAAAGTTATTAAAATGAGTTCTTAGTTTCTTTACTTTTTGTCTTAATGATTGAATTAAAAAGGCATTTAAGGCTATATGTTTTCTTTAAATAAAATTTTTGCCGTTTCCCATGGATCTGGGCATAAAGCAGTCTCTTTATTGTTTTCTAAAAGGTGATTTTTCCTTTTCAATTTCTTTTTCATATAAGGGCCACCCAAGAATATTTCTCAGAAACATGCCTAAGTATTTAATACGGAGGATCATTTTTAATTATTTAATAATTTTTAAAAATAATTTAAAAATAATCTATTATAAATTCTATTGGCTTATCATCAAATAATGTGACCTACAAAATGTTTGTTTGTACAGCATTTTAGGGATTATAATTTTTTAATTTTGGCAAAATATACAACATAAAATATTCCATTTTAACCATTGCTATGTGTACAGTTCAGTGGCAATAAGTACATTCACCCTGTTATACAACCATTACCACCAATCCATCTACAGAACTTTTTCATCTTCCCTGAACCTCTATACAGATAAACACTGACTCCCCATTCCCTGCTCCTCTCAGCCCCTGACATCCACCATTCCACTTTCCATCTCTATGAATTTGACTACTCTAGGTACCTCATATAAATGCAATCATGCAATATTTGGCCTTTTGTTTCTGGGTTATTCACTTAGCATAATGCTTTCAAGTTTCGTCATTGACTTTTAATGCATTAAGATTTTGTTTTGGTATAGTACATGATCCACTCTTGTAAATGTTTTATGGGTATGTTTTAAGGTGTATGTTATCTATTCAAGAGACAGGTGTCTCTATGTTTTTACTTTTATTGTATTATATCCCATATATCCTTATTTTTGTCTAGTAGAGTTGTCTAATTCTGAGGTGCTCATTAATGAAATAGCTCACTGTAACTGTACTTTTGTCAAAGTCTACTTGCATTTATAATAGGTCTTGCTTTTAAGTAATTAGCTTTTGTGTTTTGTACATACAGCTTTATGACTTTTATTTGCTTCATCAATTATGCCATTTATAATTGCATAATGTCCCCAGAGCAAACTTCTGACTTTTAAATGAAAGCATAATTAACTCTCCATAAGTTGAAAAGCCCTTCCCCAAAGAGTTTCCAAACAACATTTTATAGCTTCTTTCTTAAATATAAAGGGACATGTAACAATCACCAGATATTTATTGAAAACTTACATCATGTGCAGGATGCCAAAATAAGCAAAGAAGATCCCAGAAGAAACAGATAATTCAGGACAAAAAAGACAAGAACTAAATACATACACATTACACATACGCACACACACACACACAATCAGATTGGAGAAGATATTTTACCCCTAAAACAAGACCATGGTGCTACAAAAAAGCAACAAAGAACTTGAAAATATAGTTCATCAATATAGTTGCCGAAATAAAACATGCAATGGAAAGATAAAACCCTAAATACTTTCAGAGTTTTTTTTTAAAAAAGGTAAACTACAAAGAAACAGAAATCAGACTAATATCAGATTACTAACTGAAACACAGCTGGAAGATAATTGATACATTCCAAATTCTGAAGTAAAATTATTTTCAACTTAGAGTCTTCTACCCAGTCAAACTACCATCAGATGTGAGTGTAAATAAAGATATTTTCAGAGATTCAAAGATTCAGAGTGTTTACATCTCAAACAGTCTTCTTATGGAGACACAAGAAACTATTCTATCAAAATAAGGGAATAATACAGACACACTCCATTTCATTGCACTTTATTGTACTTCTCCAATGGCACATTTTTAACAAAGTGAAGGTTTGTGGCAACCCTGTGTCTAGCAAGTCTATTAGCATCATTTTTCCAATAGCATGTGCTTATTTTGTGTCTCTATGTCACATTCTGGTACCTCTTGCAATATTTAAAATTTTTTCATTATTATTATATCTGTTATGGTTATCAGTGATCAGTGAGCGTCGATGTTACTATTGTGATTGTTTTGGGGTGCCACAAACCGTGCCTCTCTAAGACAATGAACTTAATCAAAAAATGTTGTATCTGTTCTGACTGCACCACTGATCAGGCCTCCCTCATCTCTCTCCCTCTTTTGGGGCCTCTCTATTCCTTGAAACACAATATTGAAATTAGGCCAATTAATAACCTTGCGATGGCCTCTATGTATAAAAATCAAAAGCTAGAAATGATGAAGGCCCAAAGTTGACATTGGCCAAAAACTCAGCCTCTTGCACCAAACAATTAACTAAGTTGTGAATACAAAGGAAATGTTCTTGAAGAAAATTAAAAGTGCTGCTCCCTTGAACACACAAATGATAAGAAAGCAAAATAGCCTTATTGCTGAAATGGAAAAAGTGAGGTAGGGATGGGTCTAGACTCCAGAGGCAGGACTCAGACACCAGACCAAATTGAGGACTAGCTAAAACAGGTTCAGGCGAAGGCAGGTTTCTATAAGACATGCTCACCAGTGTGCCATGTCAGTTCACCTTTGCCATGGCAACACCCAGAAGTTATTACCCCTTTGAACCAGGCACAATGGCTCATGCCTGTAATCCCAATATGTTGGGAGGCCAAGGCGGACAGATCACTTGAGACCGGGAGTTCAAGACCAGTCTTGCAAACATGGCAAAACCCATCTCTACTAAAAATAAAAAAAAATTAGCCGGGTATGGTGGCACACAATGGTAGTCCCAGCTACTTAGGAAGCTAAAGTAGGGGGATCACTTGAGCCTGGGAGACAGAGGTTGCAGTCGGCTCAGATCATGCCACTGCACTCTAGCCTGCGCAAAAAAATGAGACCCTGTCTCAAAAAAACAAAACAAATGAAAAAACCAAGGACTCTTCCAGACTTGGGGTCTTCAGATATGCTGGTGTCTCTTCCTAGAACATTTTTCTTCCCTAATGGCTAGTTGTATATTATTATTCAGGGCCTCATATTATTCAGTTTGTATATAAAATTAGAGAGGCCGTCCCTGCCCACTTAATTCAATACAGTTTTTCCCAGTTATTTTCTCTCATGGCAACCTTTTCACATTTAGTAATTACCTTCAAACAACTTACCACAATTAGTAACTATGTTTCTATTTGTTGTTTATTTATTTTCTATCTTTGCTACTAGATTATAAGATGAATGACAACAGGAACCATATGCATTCTTAAAAATTTTTTGCTTAAGCTTAATAGCAAGAAGCATATGCATTTTGTTCACCAGACATTCACAATCTAGAGTAATGCCTAGAACATAATAGCACTCAATAAAAATCCACAGAGAGAACAGATATAGGAATTACAAGAGTTTTAGATTTGTATGGAGTTATATCTGTCAGTCCTTTCTTTGGTGATTTTTATGTTTTGTGCTACACTGAGGAATGCCTTTCCCAGATTATTTTAAAAGTCTCCAATAATTTCTTCTCATACTTATATAATTACATATTCTACAGCAAAATTTGTAATGCACATGAAATGCATGTTCGTATGTGAGAGGAAGCAGATTCATAACTCTTTTTTCAAAACAAATAGCAATAGACCATTCATTAAATAGTTTATCTCTCTCCTTTGATTTGAAATGCATTCTTTTTATATTAAATTCTCACACATGGAAAGATATGCTTCTGGATGTCTGGTGTTTGGCTGATTTATTTATCTTTACAAAAGTGCCACACTGTTTTGAGTAGCATAGCTTTTTAGTATGGTAGGGCAAAACATACTACCACCACCATCACAACTATTCTGTCTAGTATCACACACTTTCACCTCCAAATGAACTTTGGAATTGAGTTGTCAAGTGTTTTTTAAAGAGCCCTAGGCATTTTCACTGAAACTTTCTTGAATATACAGAATAATTTAAGAACTGAAACTTTTATCATATTGTCTTCCTACCCAGAAATATCTAAATGTCTCCATTTGTTCAGATCTTCTTTTATGTAATTAATTCTTAATATACTTGCACATGACCAGATTCAGAGCATTTCTATAACCCCAGAATTAGAAGAAACCTCCAAGATTGCCCTGACTACAAAATGTACATCAGCAACATGCAGTGCTTTTACACTTCCACTGATTAGGTACTCACTACCTCCTAAGGAAATACATTTTCCCACAATAGATAATGAAATAGATAATGACTTGGATAATGAAATAAGTCTCATAGGGAAAATGTCAGAGGGGTCCTGTAATTGTCCTGTTTCACAATTTCCTTATCTACACAAAATGCTTTTTTAGTGATGATTATCTTGACCAGTATCTATAAAAATTTTTAAAAATGTACACGTCACAAGGCTGCATCAGATCGTTGACTGCTCTGTTGAGCACTGTTAATGAAAGAGATGGATGTAAATAAAGTCTTTATAAAGGGGCACTGACTTCACAGCCAAATATTATGCAATATTTCTGAAATCATTGTTACTTTTTTTCAGTGTTTTCATCATTGTTCCTGGCACATAGTAATCTCTTGATTAATACTCACTGAATTAACGAATCGATCGTTCTTATGGATTTTTTCTCCTCATAACGGGGACATAACTACATTAAAAACATGTTCTAATGCAGAGGAACAGTAAAGACCTCTCTAATTACAGACTTTCAATATCCTTTTCTGGGAAATACACATTCATAATTTGTTTTTGCCCATGACAACCACTGCCTTGTAAAAAAAAAATTATGTAATATACTTAATATTTTTAAGGATGTGTACAAGTATTATCATGTAATTAAGTTGGGTACAGTGGTGTGTATGGAAGGGGTGTGTGTGTGTGTGTGTGTGTGTAATTAATTCCTGAAGATGAGTGACATTAAACAAAAGCTGACAATTTTCTATGACTATTTCCTAGAATCCAAGGCAAAGAAGAAAAGAAAGGTCTTTATATCAAAGTATTCTCACCTACAAGTAAAATGGTCCTAAAAATCAAAAGATTTGGTTAAACCAATACTTTAAGAAGCTTTGATATTCAGAGGTCCACACTTTTACTAGTGGAAAAACACACTTTACTGATTTTATTCATTTACTCTAATTCCACAGATGGTGCTTCATGTCTGTATATGTAAAGTACCACAGTGCCTTTTTTTTCTCTTTTTTTTTTTTTTTTGCTTTCTTTACTTTTTTTCATTTAATTTCTTGAAATAAATCAAAAGTGCTACTCCCTTGAACATACAAATGATAACAAAGCAAAATAGCCTTATCACTGATATGGAGAAAGTGAAATATGAGGTGGGTCTAGACTCAAAGGCAGGGCTTCAACCAAATTGAGAACTAGCTAAAGCAGGGATGAAGGGGAAGCAGCTTTCCATAAGACATGCTTGCCAGCGTCCCATGTCAGTTTACCATTGCCATGGCAACACCCAGAAGTGATCACCCCTTTGGGCTGGATGCGGTGGCTCACACCTGTAATCCCAACATATTGGGAGGCCAAGGCTGGCAGATCACTTGAGGCCAGGAGTTCAAGACCAGCCTGTCCCACATGGCAAAACCCTGTGTCTACTAAAAATACAAAAACTAGCTAGGTGTGGTGGTATGCACCTGTAATCCCACCTACTTGCAGGGCTGAGGCACAAGAATGCTTGAGCCTGGGAGGCAGAGGTTGCAGTGAGCCAAGATGGTGTCACTGCACTCCAGCCTGGGTGACAGAGCAAGACTCTGTGTCAAAAAAAAAAAAAAAAAAAAAAGTTATCACTCCTTTCTATAGCAACAACCCAATCACCTGGAAGTTACCACCCTTGTTTTAGAAACTGCTGCATAATCTGACCCTAAGTATATGTATAATTAAAAGTGGGTATAAATATGACTGCAAAACTGCCTCTGAGCTGCTACTCTGGGCACCTGTTTTCAAGTATCCCTGCTCCACAAGGAGCAGTACCTCTGCTGCTGCATACTTCCACTTCAATAAAAGTTGCTGTCTAACACCACTGGCTCACCCTTGAATTATTTCCTGTGTGGAGCCAAGAACCCTCCAGGGCTAAGCCCCAATTCTGGAGTTTGCCTTCCCTGCATCAAAAGATTTAGTGGTCCAGATAGAGGATTAAATCAGCCACAATCAGCTTACAGGTGCAGTGGTGTGATCTCGGCTCACTGCAACCTCTATCTCCTGTGTTCAAGCGATTGTCCTTCCTCAGCCTCCTGAGTAGCTGGGATTACAGGCATGCACCACCATTCCTGTAAGCCAAAGCCTAATCCAGAGAAGGGCCCTTAACTTTCTTCAATTCTATGAAGGCTGAGAAGGGTGAAGAAGCTGCAGAAGAAAAGTTTAAAACTAGCAGAGCTGGGTTCATGATGTTTAAGGAAAGAAACCATCTCCACAACACAAAAGTACAAAGTGAGATAGCAAGTTCTGATGTAGAGGCTGCAGCAAGTTATCTAGAAGATCTAACTAAGATCATTGATAAAGGTGGCTACACCAAACAACAGATTTTCAACATAGATGAAACAGCCATATATTAAAAGAAGATGCCATCTATGACTTTTATAGCTCAATAGGAGAAGTCAATGCCTGGGTTCATAGCTACAAAGGACAGGTTGACTCTTAGGGGCTAATGCAGCCGGTGACTTTAAGTTGAAGCCAACACTCATTTACTATTCTGAAAATCCTAAGGCCCTTAAGAATTGTGCTAAATCTACTCTGCAAGTGCTCTATAGATAGGAAAAAAAAGCCTGGATGACATGTCTGTTTACAACATGGTTTACTGAAAATTTTAAGCCCACTCTTGATTCCAGCTGCTCAGAAAAAAAGGAATATTACTGCTCATTGGGCCAGGTGTGGTGGCTCACACCTGTAATCCCAGCACTTTGGGAGGCCAAGGCAGGCAGATCACTTGAGGTCAGGAGTTCAAGAGCAGCCTGGCCAACATGGTGAAACTCCATCTCTACTAAAAATACAAAAATTAACCAGTCATGGTGGCACATGCCTGTAATTCCAGCTACTCAGAAGGCTGAGGAAGGAGAATCGCTTGAACCCAGGAGTTAGAGGTTGCAGTGAGCCAAGATCACACCAGTGCACCTCATCCTGGATGATGACAGAATAAGGCTCCATCTCAAACAAACAAAAAATTAATGCTAACTGACAATGCACCCGGTCACCCAAGAGCTATGATGGAGACGTACAAAGAGATTAATGTTTTCATGCCTGTTAACAGAACATTCTGCAGCCCATGGATCAACAAAAAATTTTGACTTTCAAGACTTACTTCAGAAATACATTTTGTTAGGCTATATCTGCCATAGATAGTGATTCCTACGATGGATCTGAGCAAGGTAAATTGAAAACCTTCTGGAAAGGATTTATCATTATTGATGCCATTAAGAACATTCATGATTCATAAGAGAAGACCAAATATTGGTATTAATAGGAGTTTAGAAGAAGAATATTCCAGCCCTTATGGATGAGTTTGAGAGGTTCAAGACTTCAGTGGAGGAAGTAACTGCAGATAAGGTAGAAATAGCTAGAGAACTAGAATCAAAAGGGGAGCCTGAAGATGTGACTGAATTGCTGCAATTTTATTAACAAACTTGAACAGATGAGGAGTTGTCTCTTACAGATGAGCAAAGAAAGCAGTTCCTTGAGATAGTATCTACTCCTAGTGAAGATGCTGTGAACATTGTTGAAATTACAAGGAATTTAGAATATTACATAAGCTTATTTGATAAAGCAGCAGCAGGGTATTGGAGAATTGACTCCACCTTTGAAAGTTCTACTGTGCATACAATGTTATCAAACATTATTGCATGCTACAGAAAAATCTTTCATGAAAGGAAGAATCTGTTGATGCGGCAAAGTTCATTGTTCTCTTATTTTTAAAAATTGGCACAGCCACTTGAACCTTCAGCCACCACCTTGATCAGTCAGCAAACATCAACATCAAAACAAGACTCTCCACCAGCAAAATGGTTACAACTCACTGAAGGCTCAGATGCTTGTTAGTATTTTTTTTAACAATAAAGTATTTTCAATTAAGGTATGCACACGTTTTGAATTTTTTATTGAACACCTAATAGACTGAAGTAAAAGTAAACATAACTTTTACATGCACTGTGTGACTTGCTTTATTGCAACGTTCATTTTGTTGCAGTGGTCTGGAACTGAACTCACAATATCTTGAAGGTAAGCCTACACAAGAAAAACGAAGGTATGTGATCTAGGAAATACAGCCTCAGCTCAGCAGAGGAATAAAGAGAATTTCCAAGGTAACAGTTGTAAAACAGGCCTGTGGGAAAATCTGTACATATTGGAAAATACAGCACTCCAGAAGGAAGTGGGTGGGAAGTAGGGGGCAGAAGGAATAGAAGAGTACCTTGAAGAGCTGATGCTTTAAGATGTATAAACTTAAAGCAGGCAATGCAAGGAAGTAGACTGGCAATCTAGGATGCAAGAAATTAAAATGACAGTACTTGGCAATGCAGGCTCTTTCTTGGTTCCATATAAATTTTAAAGTAGTTTTTTCCAGTTCTGTGAAGAAAGTCATTGGTAGCTTCATGGGGATGGCATTGAATCTGTAAATTACCTTGTGCAGTATGGCCATTTTCACGATATTGATTCTTCCTATTCATGAGCATGGAATGTTCTTCCATTTGTTTGTGTCCTCTTTTATTTTGTTGAGCAGTGGTTTGTAGTTCTCCTTGAAGAGGTCTTTCACATCCCTTGTAAGTTGGATTCCTAGATATTTTATTCTCTTTGAAGCAATTGTGAATGGGAGTTCACTCATGATTTGGCTCTCTGTTTGTCTGTTATTGGTGTATAAGAATGCCTGTGATTTTTGCACATTGATTTTGTATCCTGAGACTTTGCTGAAGTTGCTTATCAGCTTAAGGAGATTTTGGGCTGAGACGATGGGGTTTTCTAGATATACAATCATGTCATCTGCAAACAGGGACAATTTGACTTCCTCTTTTCCTAATTGAATACCCTTTATTTCTTTATCCTGCCTGATTGCCTTGGCCAGAACTTCCAACACTATGTTGAATAGGAGTGGTGAGAGAGGGCATCCCTGTCTTGTGCCAGTTTTCAAAGGGAATGCTTCCAGTTTTTGCCCATTCAGTATGATATTAGCTGTGGGTTTGTCATAAATAGCTCTTATTATTTTGAGATACGGCCCATCAATACCTAATTTATTGAGAATTTTTAGCATGAATGGCTGTTGAATTTTGTTGAAGGCCTTTTCTGCATCTATTGAGATAATCATGTGGTTTTTGTCTTTGGTTCTGTTTATATGCTGGATTACGTTTATTGATTTGCATATGTTGAACCAGCCTTGCATCCCAGGGATGAAGCCCACTTGATCATCGTGGATAAGCTTTTCGATATGCTGCTGGATTCGGTTTGCCAGTATTTTATGGAGGATTTTTGCATCGATGTTCATCAGGGATATTGGACTAAAAATTCTCTTTTTTTGTTGTATCTCTGCCAGGCTTTGGTATCAGGATGATGCTGGCCTCATAGAATGAGTTAGGGAGAATTCCCTCTTTTTCTATTGATTGGAATAGTTTCAGAAGGAATGGTACCAGCTCCTCCTTGTACCTCTGGTAAAATTTGGCTGTGAATACATCTGGTCCTGGACTTTTTTTGGTTGGTAAGCTATTAATTATTGCCTCAATTTCAGAGCCTGTTATTGGTCTATTCAGAGATTCAACTTCTTCCTGGTTTAGTCTTGGGAGGGTGTATGTGTCCAGGAATGTATCCATTTCTTCTAGATTTTCTAGTTTACTTGCATAGAGGTGTTTATGGTATTTTCTGATGGTAGTTTATATTTCCATGGGATCGGTGGTGATATCCTCTTTATCATTTTTTATTACATCTATTTGATTGTTCTCTCTTTTCTTCTTTATTAGTCTTGCTAGCGGTCTATCAATTTTGTTGATCGTTTCAAAAAACCAGCTCCTGGATTCATTGATTTTTTGAAGGGTTTTTTGTGTCTCTATCTCCTTCAGTTCTGCTCTGATCTTAATTATTTCTTGCCTTCTGCTAGCTTTTGACTGTGTTTGCTCTTGCTTCTCTAGTTCTTCTAATTGTGATGTTAGGGTGTCAATTTTAGATCTTTCCTGCTTTCTCTTGTGGGCATTTAGTGCTATAAATTTCCCTCTACACACTGCTTTAAATGTGTCCCAGAGATTCTGGTATGTTGTGTCTTTGTTCTCATTGAAGCCAAAAAAACAAAGCTGGAGGCATCACGCTACCTGACTTCAAACTATACTACAAGGCTACAGTAACCAAAACAGCATGGTACTGGTACCAAAACAGAGATATAGACCAATGGAACAGAATAGAGCCCTCAGAAATAATACCACACATCTACAACCATCTGATCTTTGACAAACCTGACAAAAACAAGAAATGGGGAAGGGATTCCCTATTTAATAAATGTGCTGGGAAAACCTGCTAGCCATATGTAGAAAGCTGAAACTGGATTCCTTCCTTACACCTTATACAAAAATTAATTCAATATGGATTAAAGACTTAAATGTTAGACCTAAAACCATAAAAACCCTAGAAGAAAACCTAGGCAATACCATTCAGGACATAGGCATGGGCAAGGACTTCATGTCTAAAACACCAAAAGCAATGGCAACAAAAGCCAAAATTGACAAATGGGATCTCATTAAACTAAAGAGCTTCTGCACAGCAAAAGAAACTACCATCAGAATGAACAGGCAAACTACAGAATGGGAGAAAATTTTTGCAATCTACTCATCTGACAAAGGGCTAATATCCAGAATCTACAAAGAACTCAAACAAATTTACAAGAGAAAAACAAACAACCCCATCAAAAAGTGGGCAAAGGATATGAACTGACACTTCTCAAAAGAAGACATTTATGCAGCCAACAGACATGAAAAAATGCTCATCATCACTGGCCATCAGAGAAATGCAAATCAAAACCACAATGAGATATCATCTCACACCAGTTAGAATGGCGATCATTAAAAAGTCAGGAAACAACAGGTGCTGGAAAGGATGTGGAGAAATAGGAACACTTTTACACTGTTGGTGGGACTGTAAACTAGTTCAACCATTGTGGAAGACAGTGTGGCGATTCCTGAAGGATCTAGAACTAGAAATACCATTTGACCCAGCCATCCCATTACTGGGTATATACCCAAAGGAATATAAATCATGCTGCTATAGACACATGCACACGTATGTTTATTGCAGCACTATTCACAACAGCAAAGACTTGGAACCAACCCAAATGTCCAACAATGATAGACTGGATTAAGAAAATGTGGCACATATACACCATGGAATACTATGCAGCCATAAAAAATGATGAGTTCATGTCCTTTGTAGGGACATGGATGGAGCTGGAAACTATCATTCTTAGCAAACTATTGCAAGGACAAAAACCAAAACCAAACACTGCATGTTCTCACTCATAGGTGGGAATTGAACAATGCGAACACTTGGATACAGGAAGGGGAACATCACACACTGGGGCCTGTTGTGGGGTGTGGGCAGCGGGGAGGGATAGCATTAGGAGATATACCTAATGTAAATGATGAGTTAATGGGTGCAGCACACCAACATGGCACATGTATACATATGTAACAAACCTGCACGTTGTGCACATGTACCCTAAAACTTAAAGTATTATAATAATAATAATAATAATAATTTTATATATATATATATATATATATATATATATATATATATATATATATAAAATCACAGTACTATGGGCCCTTCTTGCAACAATCATTTGAGGATAAAATCCAGCCAGCCAAAAGACAAATCAAAATGAAAAGTTCAAGAAAGATAAACTGAATAAAA
Source organism: Homo sapiens (assembly GCF_000001405.40). Lineage (NCBI taxonomy): Eukaryota > Metazoa > Chordata > Mammalia > Primates > Hominidae > Homo > Homo sapiens. Next base: position 180,677,325 of record NC_000003.12, read on the forward strand.
GTGACTGCGGTAAGGACCATTAAAGCAAATCAAGTATAAAACTAACACTAAACACTTGTGATAAATTAAGGGCATTGAATCAAATGCAAATAAAACTTGATAATATTAAAAATGATAAAACCATTATTTTTAATAGGGGAAAAGGAGGTGGGAAAATGTGTAAGAGTGCTAACTTATTCTTTAAAATCAGAGACATTCAGTAATCTATATTTGAAATATAGAGTTCTTAGAAACATTAACCATTTAATTTTTTCTTAACTTAGAGGAATTTTTTTAGCAATCAGCACCTCTTGTGATCAAGTAATATTTACCTGAAATTCAACAACTGCTTTTTCTTCTCTCAAATACTAAAATAAATATTTTGTGTTAAATACCGCATATATATAATTCCATTATAATACTCATTTTTCTCTTCTTTCTGTATATCTGTATACCAAGATGTCTGAAATGTGTGTTTAATGCCATGGTAATCATTTCTACAGTACAGTGGACACTTTGGAGAGGAAATACCTTATGTTTTTATCTCATACCCTTCTATTCTGTTTGAATATCTTAAATTTACAGGAGTTGCTTTTTAAATGTCAGAGTTTAAAAAGCAATTTAATTTAATGCAATTGTGGTGCTCATTTTTCTTCTTTATATGGCTCTATACTTTTTTAAAAGAGCTAATATACTTAATATGTACATAAAAATCCTGTGTGACACATATTATGGCAAGAATACTAAAACCTAAAATTTGGATGGAACCTTAACCCATATTATGTCCCTAGAGCCCGCGAAGTAATTAGTTTGTTCATCTCCATCTCCGCTTTACAAAAAAAGAAGCAGGATTAGGGTTGGTAAGTAGGATCTGAACCCAGGGCTGGATACTTAGTATTAATTCCTCGGTACTCAGTGCTAGATCCCTTACATTTCCTAATATTGCCCTCCTTTGGGGAAAAATTGCAGTCTTCTAAATTACACATGAGTAAATAGGTCAGAACGTGTTAAAAAGCATTTCCATTGTTTTCAAAAGGTAGAGTAACAGGATTTTCATTTTCCTTTTTTAGAGCTGAGAAAACTTTCTGTTCCGTTTTACAAAGTTGTGTAAGCATCATCTGTTATTCTTGGACCTTCTTCTACACAACATATCACCACCAAAGTTTTTCAAAATTTGCTGACCCGGTTGCAATTTTTTATTTTTTTATTTTTTCGTAGAGACGCGGTGGGAGGGGTTTGTGGGGGGTCTCGCTTTGTTGTTCAAGCTTGTTTTACTCCTGGCTTTTAGGGTTCCTCCGCCTCAGCCTCCCAAAGTGCTGGGATTACAGGTGTGAGCCACTGCGCCCGGCCTGCAATTTTTTTTTTTTTAACAACTGCTATGAATTGTAGTTAGTGTAAGTTCGTCCTTGCAACGTAAAATTTCTTATGTTAATCTGTGACAACTCAATCTTCTCTTTGAAAAACTGTAAACCGCACATTTCATTCTTACCGGGCTGTTCCTCTTGAAAACATCTCAAGTCACTTTCAGCTTTAAACATTACAGACAAAAACTCACAAAGAAATATGAACCTTCTGGAGTTTAATTTATAAACGTGCGCAAATAACCGTTGCTATGCAAACCTCAGAAATTCTTTTCCAAGTAGCTCTTTAATTTTTGAGCAAGGAAAAAGCGGGCGCCGGAACCAGCCTTTCCTCTCTCGCCAGGAGGAACGAAATAAGTAAGAGGAGTGGGCATGAGGAAGGGAGTAATAATTCGAGCTTTATAACCCTAAATGTCAATTATGGTTTTAATAGCATTTTTAAATGCTTAACAATTACTGAAATAGGCAGAGAGGGTAAGGGAGGAGGGCGATGGTGCGGGGGAGTGTTAGAGGAAGCACAGGATTAGGAAAGGAGAGAAATAAAAGGGCTGGGGTAGTACTGCCAACCAGAAAACGCCCCCAACAGGCTCTCTCTGCTTCCTCCCGCCTGCTTCAATTGATCTCACCTGATCTTCCAGTAGCTTGTTCTCCTCGTTCGCCACCGGGATGGCGAACCCATCCTCCCAGTGCAGCTCAGCCAGGAATTCGCTACTCATGACTGCAAACGGATAGAGAAGATACAGAGCAAAGATCCGCCTTCTTGTACAGCGGGTGAGCAGCACCCGCGTCAAGCCCAGGCACCTGCACAGTGCCGCGGCAATTGCCGGGGGAGCCCTAGCAACCTTCCCGCGTCCTTAGTTACCAAACAGGAAACGCTCCAGCCCGAAGGCGAAACTTCCGGTTGAGAACTCCCTGCCTGCAGGCCGAAGAATCTTTTTCTTACCTTGAGCACTGAGGGATGAGCAGCAACTTGCCCCTCCCGACGTTCCCGGGGGTTGCCAGGCGGCAGCGTAACTTTCCACGAAAAGGCGGCTCTCGGATCGCTCCCGGAGCGTGTGAAAACTGTGGCCCCCGGAGCTGGCTGGAGGACCACGGGGCAGCTGGCTGGAAGTAAACCACACGATCCTCCGATTGCCTGGGGGAAGACGGGAGCCAACAGGGATTATAAACTAAGTTTCTTTTCAAGGTGTGTTTGCTGTGTTGTGTAGATTTCAGCTACTACAGTAGGTGAAAGTAGACCGAAGTGAACTGGTGTTTGGAAACAACTCTCTCTCTGGCATCACTGGGATGTTCTGATCGTCGCCTGTTTCAGTCGGCCAGCCTTCCTCACCGCACTCACCGGCCCCATCGCGGATGTCCCAGTCGATCACAGACGCGGACCGCGCGGAGGCCGCACACTTGTGGCGCGGTGTGGTGGTCCCTCCGGCACCACTCCCATACTTGCATTTTTCTTTGCATTTTTGTTTGCTAACATTTAAAGTGTGGAATTTCGCATAAACGTCTGTATTTCCTCTGCTTGAAAAAGGGTAGGTGACACAATCCCCATTATCAAAAGGCAATGTTCCGCTGGAGAGGCGCCCCCTTTAGACCAACAAAGCACTTTACCAGTTCACTAATTTGAATTACCTGCTTGGCACGGGTAGGCATTTGAGTTATAGTCTCTCTTGTATAGTATCTCAGAACTGGAAAGGACAAAACAATCAACTAATCTAATCCTTTCATTTTCTCGGTAAGTTAAACCGAGGCTCCTTGAGGCAAAGTGATTAAAGAAGGGATGCTGTGCATGAATTAATTTTACGTATCCAATAATCATCTGTAATTTTTTTTGCTCTTTCGAATTTTATTTTACCTAGACATTGTTAAACTTTTATTATAAATATTTTAAATGTATATGGGAATAGAAAGCAGAGTATAAATAACTGCTATATATGCATCACCTTGATTTAGCATTCATATTTTGCCATGTTAGCATCATCTGTATCTTTTGCTCAAGTGAAAAAATAATCATAGACATCATGACATTACAGCCCTAAATACATGAGCATGTATTGGTAGAAGAGTGGTTAATGTTATCTAACATAAGCACAATATCATTATCACACCTATAAAAATCAACTATTCTTCAATATCATCTAATAACCATTTCAGATTCATATTTCGACTGTCCTAAAAATGTCTTTTTACAGTCGATTTGTTTGTCACTATAGTTCTGAAATCCTCCTGTAGGAGCTTTGTCTCTTTGTGCCTACATTGTTTTCCATAAACTTAATCTTGTGGACTTAGTGCCTTTAAAGACTAGAATTAGCAAAGCATTTTATTCCCCCTTTCTACAATGATTAAAGGCTGGGGAGAAAGGCTCAACTTGTAGAAGAAATTTGACCTGCATGTAATAGTGGAATTTTAGATATAATGACATTTAATCCTTTATAAATGATCATTACTTATTTTATAATAGTTTAGTCATTCCAACTAATGAAAATGTTAGTATTCAGCTTATGTTAAGATGGTACATAGTTATTTATACTTGGGATATGTTGTGGCAATGCTGCTTTCTAAAATTATTGGTGTTGGGTCAAAGGTGGGGAGGAAAATGGCAGAACAAGACTTCCAGCAATCAGCCCTCACAGAAACATCAATTGGAACAAAACTATTCACCTACGAAAATACCTTCACAAGAGCTAAGGAAACCAATCACATTTAATTACCTTTTAATACAGCAAAAAGTAAAAATAAAATAATTGGTATTATCACCCATGTATCTTAAAATTACCTAATTTACCATCCCAGTTTTTAATATGAATACTGAGCTGCCTCGACCTGTGCCAATGAGTTGAAGCACCCCTCTCAGTGTCAGCTGTAGCTGCCAAATGCATGACTGTGGAGTCTTTTTCATCTTTCCATTAATTTTACTTCTAGGAATACGTCCTACAGAAACAGTTACATAGGTAAGTTCCATGCCCTTATACCGCACGGGCATAAGAAGTCTAGCAACTGAAGCTCTGAGAATCCCATGTCTCATTTCTCAAAGATTCCATTTCCTGAATTTGAGGATAACAATTATATGATATTTACTTCTAGATGAAATGCCCATGCTTTCTCCAAATTCTACAATTCTGCCTTAAAATGGTATCTCATTACAGAATCTCGTATCACCTAGTTCCCACTCGAATTCTACAAGTTCTAGACCATAACTCTATTTGCATTCATCCAGATCTAGCTTTGGAAACAAAACCCATAGTTTTATAAGCTTTGTTGTTGAAATGCTCAATTTAATTCCAACATGCTAAAGAAGATGTTACCCTTTTACTGTCTTATTCCCTTAAATTCACCAAATCAAGTTGCGCAGGCTAAAACATAAAGTTTATTTGTTCTGCAAAAATAATGTAGAAAAAATACTTCTATGTATGAAGTAAAAGAAAAAGATGTATTTCACCTCCATGCCAATCCTACTTGTAAGAGAGTACCACTGTTTAGTGTTTACCTAACCAGCATTTTTAAATGAAGCTATAAATATTTACATATGTCAATTTTGTCCTACATAAATATAATCATATAGTAAATATTATTCTGCAAATCCATTCTTTTCACTTAACAATAGTGGCCATGTTTCCATGTCAGTACATTTAGATCTACCTTAGTCTTTTTACAGAAGCTTAAAATTCAGTATTATCAATTATAACTTTATAAACAGTGCTGCAATGCACATCTTGATAATACTGCATTTCATCAATTCTGGTTATACTTTTTTTCACATTTTTATATCTCTGAAATCGAGATGCATCTTTTAATCAATGAAATTAGATTTGGTGAAATATGATATAATCTTGCATACCTATGTAAATGTCTCTACAGGAAAAATTCTTAGAAGTAAAATTAATGGAAAACAGATTTAAGCAATTTTATTTTGATAGGTAACACTAAATTATTCTTCAAAAAGGCTTTACATATTCTCCAAAAATATGAGAGTATCTTTGCATACCTGGATATTATGAAATATTAAATATTTTACAATATAGAGAACAAAATACAGTATCTCATAGTTAATGGACATTTCCCTAATAAGGGAGACTCAGCATCACATTTCTTCTAAGAATTTCTTTATCATATTCTTTGCCCAGTTTTTCCCTACTCAGTGATCTTATTGAATTATAGCAGTGCTTTCTGTGTTATGGATAGTATTCTCTCTCTCTCTCTCTCTCTCTCTCTCTCTGTGTGTGTGTGTGTGTGTGTGTGTGTGTGTGTGTGTAAGTATTTTTCTCCCAGTCTGTTTTTGGAGGCTTTCTGTTTAACTTTGTTTTTAGTGTATTTTGCCATACACACCTCAGAAACTACCCTTGTTGCCATCAGCATGCTTCCTACTCAGCGGACTCTTTCATCATCAACTTACCCAATCTAGCAGCAGCATTAAACTCACCTGTTCTTTCCCTGTTAAAACATTTTCCTCTCTTGGCTTTTATGAGTTTTTCTTTCCTGTCAGTTTCCCATTAACTTTATTTATCTCCTTTGCTGCTTTATCTTGGCCCATTTGGCCACTCAACAATGGTATTCCTCAAGACCCAAAGCTGATCCCTCTACTCTTCTCTTCTTACAATTGCTTCCTAGGTAATGATATCCATTTTCATGTCTTTAAATGCTATGGTAGGTGTATTAGTTTGCTAGGACTGCCATAATATCATACACTAGGTGGCTTAACAGAAATTTATTTTCTCACAGTTCTAGGGGCTAGCAATTCAAGAGCAAGGGATGGTTTCTGATGAGGCCTCCCTCCTTGGCTTGCAAGATGGCTGCCTTCTCACCGTGTCTTCACATGGTCTTTTCTCTGTGCACATGGATTGCTGGTGTCTCTTTCTCTTCTTATAAGGATACCACCAGTCCTGTTGGATTAGGGTTCCGCACTTCTGACCTCGTTTAACCTTAGTTCCCTCGGTAAAGACCCTGTTTCCAAATACAGTCAAATTGGGAGTGGCTTCAACTTATGAATTTGGGCAGGGGAGGGGCCCAACTCAGTCCAAAACAGCTGATATTTTCTTAATTTTATTCTTAACATTTCTCTAGCCCAGATCTCTCTTCTGTTCTCCAAACATACATCCAGCTGCTTACTAGAAAATTCTGTCAAGATGTCTCATCGATATCTTAAACCCGATTCACAGGTCTAAGATAGAATTCTTGACTTCAACTGCACATATTTCAAAGCTGTTTCCCTGTCTTTTCTACACAGCCAGCACACCGCCATCTACTGAACTGTATAAAATCAAATCCTGACTGTGATTACTGATTCCTTCCTTTTCCTCACCTCTCATCTTCAATACATCACTATTACATCTCACTTTCAGCCCCCAAAGCTGTACTGATCCTACTGCTCTCCATCTCCACTGCCACTACTCTAATTTAGGCTTTCATCACCTGTCACTACGTTACCAAAATTGTCTCCCCATCAATCTGCCCACCTCTGCTCTTGTTCTCCTAAAAATCCATCCTCCCCTCAGCAATTAAGGTAATCTTTTCTTTCTGACATCAAATTCCAAAATGTTTCCAACATAAAAAAAGCTGAAATAGTTTTAGTCCTCTGGATCTAGTTGGTACCTAGATCCTGCCATTAATATTTGCCTCTTCATATGTTTATCTCTCTATTCATCCATCAATCCGTATTATTTCTTCATGTATTTCAAAATAAATTCTAAGAATCAATACACTTCCTTCTTAAATACCATGCTTATGTTTACTTTTGTTTACATTTCTCCTCTACAGTGAAATTTACATACAAAGAAAAACACAAATCTTTCGTTTTGACAAGTGCATGACTTGGTTAACCTAAACTACTCTCAAGATATAGAATATTACCACTACCACAAAACATTCCCTCATGCCTCTTTCCAGTCAGTCCCTCCTCTCACCTCCCCAAATCCCCAGAGACAACTATTTTTCCAGGTTTTTTTTTTCTATTGTAAGTTTTCTTTCTTTTAAAATTCCAAATAAACAGAAAGGTACCATATTGTACCAGTTAATAATTTATTGCCTCTCAGCTCCAAATTCACCCATTTTTCCTGTTCTGTTAAAACAGTATGGGCTCTTTAAAGAGTTCTCTTTTGGCTGTTGGCATAAAATTAGGCTTTATCAACAGAGGGCATAGGAGAGACATTGCAGAAGGAAAATAGATTTTTTTTTTTTTGCTTTGTTTTGTTTTTCTTTCTGGTTTCCATGAGCTCACCTGGCAGGCTCCTGTAGCACACACAGCTTCTCCAGCCCCTGGCTCCTGTGTTGCACACAGCTTCTCCAGCGTCCAGCCCCTGCATCACAGGCATTTTCTCCAGCATTAGGCTCCTGCAGTGCTTGTGACTTCTCCAGTTCCCAGCTCCTGCAGTGCGAAGCAGGCAGCAGCATCCAGAAGCTTTCCTTAGCGCCCCACCCCACTCTGAACTCTTCACTTGGGCAGTTCTGTAGCAGAGTGCCTCTGGTGAGACATGTCCCAATGAATAGATTTCCCTGGCATCATAAAGAATAGATTTTCAGCCAGTTCCACTGCACCAAAACAACTCTGCCATTCACTGAACCCTGTGGTGGGGGTGGAGGAGTCTCTTCCTTGGGTACTGTATTTCAGCTTTAGGGATACTGGCTGCTCCTTATAGCTGCTATTTTTATATTCCTTAGAGCTCTTTACATCTTAACAGTCAACCATTGTTGACTCTTATCCTCTGTATAATGAAGAATTTTTATATTAAACTTTCCCTGTTAAGTTACTATGTGGTTTCTTTCTCCTCACTGGACCCAGATTCATACAAGGACAGTTTGTACTTTTAGAAATAACATGCTTTTTTTCACTCTGCATGATGTTTTTGATATTTATCCATAATTGTGGTACATAGCAATAGTTTGTTTCTTTTTATTACTGTGTTGTTTCCAGGTTTGGATAATTATGAATAAAGCTATTATAAACATCCTTGTACCAGTCTTTTTAACACATTTTTTATTTTAGAATAGTTTTGGATTTACATAAAATTTACAAAGATAGTAAAGAGAGTTTCCAGATACCCCTCACCAAGTTTTAGTTTCCCCAATGTTATTATTTCACATTGTCATGGTACATTCATCAGAATGAAGAAGCCAACCATGCTACATTACTATACACTACACTTGATTTTTTTGTTTTGTTTTGTTTTAGATGGAGTCTCACTCGTCGCCTAGGCTGGAGTGAAGTGGCACGATCTCGGCTCACTGCAACCTCCACCTCCCAGGTTCAAGCGATTCTCCTGCCTCAGCATCCAGAGTAGCTGGGATTACAGGCGCCCGCCACCACACCTGGCTAATTTTTGTATTTTTAGTAGAGATGAGGTTTCACCATGTTGATCAGGCTGGTCTCGAACTCCTGACCTCGTGATCTGCCTGCCTCAGCCTCCCAAAGTACTGGGATTACAGGCGTGAGCCACTGCACCCAACCCAGACTTCTAGTTCTTCCATTAATGTTCATTTTCTGTCCCAGAATCCAATCCAGCATATCACATTGCATTTTCTTGTTATATCTCATTAGTCTCCCTTGTGTCTGTGATAAGTTCTCAATTTTTTTCTTGTTTTTCATAACCTTGACAGTATTCAGGAGCACTGACTCATCTAATATTGTGTAAAATATCCCTCAGTTTGATTTTGTCTGATGGTTGTCACATGCTTAGGCTGGAGTTAGGGGTTTTTGGAAAGAAAACCACAGAGGTTAAGTGTCCTTCTCATCACATAATATCGGAGGTATATTATGTCTCCATGACATCACTTGTGATTTTATCTTCAGTCATTCTGTTAAGGTAATGTTTGCCAGGTTTCTTCACTGTAAAGTTACTATTTTTTCCCATCCATACTCAATTCTTTGGAAGCAATTCACTAAGTTCAGCCTGGTCTCAAAGGAGGGAGATTAAACTCTATCGCCTAAAAGAATAATATCTACATACAATATTTAAAATTTTTTGTAAATAACACTATTTCTTCTTTATTTGCTCAATCTTTTTATGTCACTATGGACAAATGCGTATTTTATATTTGGGGTTATAATCCAAACAATGTTAGTCATTTTGTGGCTCAATTTGTTCCATCCTTGGCCATTGGCCCCTGTGTGTCTTTGACATGCCTTCATCATTTTGTTTTTGTTTCATTTGGTTTGTTTTTGAGCACCTCATTACTTTCTGGTACTGCATGACTTTTCAGGTTCATCTTGTATTTTTCCTAACCCAGCTTGAGAATCAGCCATTTCTCCAAGGAGGCCTGGTTCCTTTTATGGGAGAATGGTGTTTAGAAACCAAGATCTGGAGTCTGGGTATGTTTGTTTTTGTGGTGGTGTCATTGCTTTCAGGTCCTCTCAGAGTCAGAGCTAAATAATATACGTATGTACATTATTAACCCATGAATTCATACATATCTATCATTGTTTTTGCTTCTGTATGCATAAGCTAAACACTAGCACATATTGCTATCTCTGACTCTCACCCAGTACCATAAAGCTTGTACTAGCCTTCCCTTTTTACCTATTTATAACTTTCCTGCTAGTCATGAGAAATCTTGCTCCTACCATCGATTATTCATTTACTTATTTTTTCCAGCCCCAGTATACATTTAAAGTACTTTCAGAATTACTAACCTGTACTTCCAGTACCAGTGTTTTCATGGACATATGTTTTTATTTCTCTTGAATAAATTCCAAGAAGTGCAATTGCTGACCGTAAGATAGGTGTTTGGCCAGCATGGTGGCACACACCTATAATCCTAGCTACTCAGGAGGCTGATGCAGGAGGATTGCTTCAGCTCAGGAGTTCGAGACCAGCTGGGCAACATACCAGGACCCTGTTTCTTAAATAAAATTGTTCTAAAAAAGATAGATGCATGATTAGTTTTATAAAAACACACCAGAGCTTTTTCCAAAGTAATTGTGCCATTTTAAGGGTTTCTTTTGTTAAATCAAATTTTTCCCAAGTTAAAACTCTTCAATGGACTCCTAGTTTAGTTAGAATTAAATCCAAACTCCTTAACTGGTCTACAAAGTCCTGTGTGATCTGACCTCTGCCTATTTCTCTCATCCCATCTCTTGCCAACTTTTCCTTCACTAACTACATTTCAGCCATACTGACTTTCCAAAATTGTTTCTCCAGAGCCTCAAAAAACTGACCGGGCATGGTGATTCATGTGTGTAATCCCAACACTTTGGAAGGCCAGAGTGGGCAGATCACTTGAAGCCAGAAGTTCAAGACCACCCTGGGCAACATGGCAAAACCCTGTCTCTACTAAAAATGAAACAATTAGCCAGGCGTGGTGGCATGTGCCTGTAGTTCCAGCTACTCAGGAGGTTGAAGTGGGAGGATTGCTTGAGCCCGGGAGGCAGAGGTTGCACTGAGTTGAGATTACACCACTGCACTCCAGCCTGGGCAACAGAGTGAGACCCTGTCTCAAAACAAACAAACAAAAAAAAGGAGTGTCTTCAGATACACTGGTCTCTCTTCCCAGAACATTTTCCTTCCCTAATGGCTAGGTCCTTATTATTCTCCAGGGCCCCATATTCTTCAGTTTATCTATAAATTTAGAGACACTTCCCTGCCCATTTAATTCAATACAGTTTTTCCTAGTTATTTTCTCTCATGGCAAACTTTTCACATTTAGTAATTACCTTCAAACAACTTACCACAATTAGTAATTATGTTTCTATTTGCTTATTTTCTATCCTTTCAACTAGACTACAACATGAATGACAACAGGAACCATATGCATTTAAAAAAAAATTTGCTTAAGCTTAGTGGCAAGAAGCATATGCATTTTGTTCACCCTATATTCAGAATCTAGAGTAATGCCTGGAACATAATAGTAAAATCCATAGAAAGAATAGATATGACAAGACAATGACAAGAGTTTTAGATTTGTATGTAGTTATATCTGTCAGTCCTTTCTTTGGTGATTTTCATGTTTTGGCTACACTGAGGAACGCCTTTCCCAGATTATTTTAAAAGTCTCCAATAATTTCTTCTCATACTTATATAATTACATATTCTACAGCAAAATTTGTAAGGCACATGAAATGTATGTTCATGTGTGAGAGGAAGCAGATTCATAACTCTTTTTTCAAAACAAATAGCAATAGACCATTCATTAAATAGTTTATCTCTCTCTTTTGATTTGAAATGCATTCTTTTTATAATAAATTCTCACACATGGAAAGATATGCTTCTGGATGTCTGGTGTTTCGTTGATTTATTTATCTTTACAAAAGTGCCACACTGTTTTGAGTAGCATAGCTTTTTAGTATGGTAGGGCAAAACATACTACCACCACCATCACAACTATTCTGTCTAGTATCACACACTTTCACCTCCAAATGAACTTTGGAATTGAGTCGTCAAGTTTTTTTTAAAGAGCCCTAGGCATTTTCACTGAAAGTTTCTTGAATATACAGAATAATTTAAGAACTGAAACTTTTATCATATTGTCTTCCTACCCAGAAATATCTAAATGTCTCCATTTGTTCAGATCTTCTTTTATGTAATTAATTCTTAATATACTTGCACATGACCAGATTCAGAGCATTTCTATAACCCCAGAATTAGAAGAAACCTCCAAGATTGCCCCGACTACAAAATGTACATCAGCAACATGCAGTGCTTTTACACTTCCACTGATTAGGTACTCACTACCTCCTAAGGAAATACATTTTCCCACAATAGATAATGAAATAGATAATGACTTGGATAATGAAATAAGTCACATAGGGAAAATATCAGAGAAGTTCTGTAATTGTCCTATTTCATAATTTCCTTATCTACACAAAATGCTTTTTTAGTGATGATTATCTTGATCAGTATGTATAAAAATTTTTAAATGTGTACAGTTCACAAGGCTGTATCAGATTGTTGGCTGTTCTGTTGAGCACTGTTAATTAAGGAGATGGATGTAAGTCTTTATAAAGGGACATTAACCTCACAGTCAAATATTATGCAATATTTCTGAAATCATTGTTACTTTTTTCAGTGTTTTCATCATTGTTCCTGGCACATAGTAATCTCTTGATTAATACTCACTGAATTAATGAATTAATGAATGGATCATTCTTATGGATTTATTTCTCCTAATAACAGAGAGACATAACTACATTAAAACAAATTTTCTAATGCAGAGGAACAGTAAAGACCTCTCTAATTACAGATTTTCAATATCCTTTTCTGGGAAATACACATTCACAATTTGTTTTTGCCCATGATAACCACTGCCTTGTAAAAAAAAATTATGTAATTTACTTAATATTTTTAAAGATATGTATGTATATTATTATATAATTAACCTGGGTACAGGGGTGTGTGTGTGTGTGTGTGTGTGTGTGTGTAATTAATTTCTGTAGATGAGTGACTTGAAACAAAAGCTAACAATTTTCTGTGACTATTTCCTACAACCCAAGACAATGAAGAAAAGACTCTTTATATCAAAGTATTCTTACATATAAGTAAAATAGTCCTAAAAATCAAAGGAAATCACTAAACCAATACTTTAAGAAGCTTTGATATTCAGAGGTCCACACTTTTACTAGTGAAAAAAACACACTTTACTGATTTTATTCATTTACTCTGATCCAGTAGATGGTGCTACATGTCTGTATATGTAAAGTATCACAGTGCCTTTTTTCTCTCTCTCTTTTTTTTTCCTTTCTTTCTTTTTTTCTTTTTTCTTTTGACCCAGAACTCTCATCAACGTCTACTATTATAATGAAGATCATTATTCCTGACATCTGAGCCAAATCTTTGGGTGCAGCTTTAAAGATGTACTTAAGAAGAAAACCCCCTAGAAATAATTTTGGACCAGATACCAACCTAACAATTTATTAACATTTTTCCCCTCAGTTCGTTTTTACTTTAAAATGACAAATCTTTGACCCCACACAGAACTCTCTGTCAATCCATGAAAAACATCTAGATGCAAAATCATAATCCCTCTTATTCTTCTAAACACTGCTAGTTGCTATTGTTTTAAAGCAATCAAAATAATGATAATAATTAATAATGAAAGTTCAAATTCAGGATCGTAATGGATAAATCAGCTTGTTACTCAAGTTATAAACTTAGATATATAAAAATTTATAAATGAAGTTTTTGTTGAATCAGTGATTAATCTAGTCACATAAATTAATGTTTCTTTATGGATCATAAAAAACAGAAAGCTTTAGAAAAGCAGGGATGATATTTTAAGTGTCAGCACAAATAACCCATATCACCCTGCAACCTACAAACAATTAATTTATGTTTCCTATTTACTCTAAACACAACTAAACTTGACATATAATCTGAATCAGAAGTTATCCATTTTTTGCCTCTTTTGAGTTTGATTTAGTGATGATGAGAGCTATGGTCACTAATCAGTGCTATAGATAATACAGGTATTCATAATCTGCTGACACAAGGCTTAATAAAATGGCTTTAGTTGATGAACTATACCCCTTTAAGGGTTAAATTCTAATACAAATATAGAAAAATCAGAAGTAACCTTTCAGATGACTTATCATTTATGCTTTCCTTCATTCATATCTCCATTAACTCTTTTACCTATCTTTGAACAAACTCAAGGAAACAGGATAGAATCGGTTACTCCTAGGTACGTTACACAAAATAGAAAAGCACATGATCTTTATCGAGAGAATGACAACTTAATGAAAAAGACCAAAAATATATATAATAAAAATGATCAATTATAATATAGGCAAGGTGGATAATATAAATCAACTTAAATATCTCTTGGTAGATGAGGTCAGAGTAGGGTGCTGCTAACACCTCCTTTGTATAACTAGCCTAACTAGAGGTGATAACATTGACCGAACGACTAGATGAGCCGTAAAGGGATAGAACTTCCTAAGGGAAGTAGCTTCTAAATTCTTACTTTTTTGAGATATGATAATTGTCATAAGTAAAGTTCTTCATTTATAAAAGAAACATTGCATTCGTTCAGACAGGATCTAAGCCCTTAATTTACAACAATGAAAAAAATGATTATCCTTTCCTTGAGTTTACTATCAAGTGGAGAACTGACCACAGAAGCTGCCTGCTATCTGGACTCCTGACCTCCATAATTGATTTCTCTAATATCATCTCCATACCTCTGCCAAAGTGATTTTCCAAACCTCAACTCTGAGTACATCACCCCTTCCCCATGAACACTCCTCCATGGCTCTCCATGACCCCCTCTAACATGGCATATAAGGCCTTCCTGAACTGGCCCCTCCTTCTTCCCCAGCCTTACCTTTCACTCACCTTCACCTTAACACTACAATTTCTAGCCCGACTAAATTTTTTTCCCTCAAGTTCTCTCTCACTTCAGTCTTTCACATGTCTGTTCCCTCTGCCTGGGTACTCTTTTCACATTTGCCCAGCTAATCCCAACCTTCTCTAACCTATATGTGCCCCCCTAACACCATATTTTTGCTATCATGGCACAGTCCTGCCTCCTTGAGTTTGTTATACTTTTTATTTCTCCTGGTCTTCTATTATTCTAAAAGCAACATAAGTCAGAGAGCATCCGCCTTATTTAGCACTGGCTCCCTAGCGCTAGGTACACAGTAGACATTCATGCGTTCATTGTATTAACAGTCATTGAGCACCAAATATGTGACATGCTCTCAGTAGAGAGTGATAGGGACATGTATCTGTGAACAAAGAAGACTCGAATGTTGCCTTCCAGAACTTTTGTTAAATTAACAAGAGCAGACCAAGTGCACACAGTACAGCAAGGCTGTCAGGACTCATCAAGGCAAGCATTTCTATGTCTCCAGGTGGGAGGGCAGCAGGGGCAGAGGAGCCACCCAGGAAGAAAAGCCTCTTACCTGAAGCTTTTAAGATAGGGATACAAAGGTTCCCATAAAAAGTTGGGTGAAAGTGCATTCCACGTGGTGGGAATAACAATAAAAAGACAATAATGTAGAAACTCCTGAGTTTGGCTGGGAGAGTACAAGGAACTACTTGTAATTAGTGGAGAAATACCAGTAGTTTAACACTGCTGGTCATAGGGTGACTTTTGTGGAGTAACATTTGCCTGGGAGAATGACATGACATAAGGCAGGACGAGTTGAAAGATACCAGATCACAAAAATATTTTCTTGTAGACAATAAGCATAAATTGAATAATTTTAAATGGGCAAGATGAGAGGAAAGGAGAATATGAAATAGGGGAAGAGAAAAGAGGCAGAAAGTAAGACTTGTGACTATTTTAAAGGGGGGCCAACCAAGAGGATGCTTTTCTCATTGTGTGAGAACTATCAGGGACCAGGGGATTTGGGGTGAAAAAACTAACCCCCAAATCTACCAGCAATATTGTGCCACAAGTAGCAAAGTTTTCAAAACCTCTTTAAGATCACCTTATAAAGTGTAAATATGTTTTTGCCTAACTTTTCAAATGCGTATATATTCTCCAACATTCCTAACAACCACACTCCTTAAGGCATCAGAGTATATATTAACACCTACGAGTGCCTGTATGTTTGTAAACATCAGCTAATTATCCGGGGTCCACGGGAAGACCAGGCCTCAGCACAGGAAATAAAGAAAAAAGGGGCAGGAATTCTATGCCCCGTGTCTTATGCTGCACTAGCTGTTAGTAAAAGAAATATTGGCAATGACTTTCTTTGCTTTCAGTGTTGCTCTTCAAAATTACACTATCTTTCATTTCCTTCCTTGCTCTTTCTTGAACTTTTTTCATGTTCTTTACAATGAGCATGAACTACTCTTATAATTAAAAGAAAAATACTTTCTAACAACGATATGCCAAAAAAAAAAGATCCTTGGTGTAACAAGGAGTAGTGAAAACAGCAAACAAAAAACATACCCACCGTGTAACCACTGTATAGAAAAATGCGGGGTAAAGATATAAGGAAATGTGTGTCTGTCATGATACTGTACACACCATCCATGTGAGCACAGCACAAAAACAAGGCTGGTATGAGGCTTCAGCTTGAACTTCCATGCTGCTATATGGAAAAAGCACCCCTCCACTGGGCTGAGACACTTGGCTTTCTTATAGCTAAGGCTTTAATTTAAGAGACACTGCAGAGAGGTGGCTGGCTTTTATTCTATGAGCTATAGCTCTGCACATAATATATGGGTAAGTTTACTCAAAGCACTTTTTATCAGCTGTCAATCTGTTTCTTAGCTTGCATTTGGCTACATTTCAGGTAGCAAAGGAGAAAGCAGGGATTAGTCCATGGCTCTTGCCCTGGGGGAATTAATTGTTGCTTGTTACTTTAGTGAATTGTATGTGGAAGTAATTGCTGTTCTTCTGCTATATTCTGTGGTTTTATTCACATAAATCCTATGTAAAGCTCATTCTGAGTACAATCTAGTCAGTATATTCAAAAGCGGATGAACTGCCTGTATTCATGTACCTAGATAGTTGGAAGCAGTTATTTGAAAAACTGTCTTACAAATACTATCCCATGTTGACACATTTGTGAAGTTACGTTGACTCCTTCATCCTGGAATCCGGTCAGTGTGTCTGCCCATGTCCTACCATAGGCTGAGAATTTTATGCTATCAAATTTTTTTCTTCTCTCCACACTCAATGCCAATTTCTTATTATTCCCATATCATTATCTTACTCCAAACTCCTTTATGAGTGAGTGTCTTAAGTTTCAATGAGGATTTCTGAAGATACAAACTATTCTACCCTTTCTTATTTTCTTTTAACCCTGCCTCTCACTAAGGTTCATTGAAGGGTAGCTAGTAATGGTAGGGGAGAGACAGAGAAAGAGGAAGAGAAAGAAAGAGAGAGAGATGCACACATTAACCAACAGTTTTCTTTTATGAACAAGAAAATTGGCCATTTTCCTATTAGCATATGAGGAACCTAAGAATGTCTCTTGTTGTCAAGGCAACAGCTATTCCTTGGGTAGCTGCAATAGAAAAGAAACCAGAGCAATCTTTATAGGACCAAGTTTTTTTATCATCAAATCATAGAAAGGAAACTTGGGCATCTACCTAGCCTATTCTCCTGCCTTTAGTTAAGACCCACAAAAATAATGTGAAACCAACACAAAAACAGTCCTATTTTATATGCTTCTGAAGATCTTGCATAGCTTTCCTTGTTAATCATTTGCAGTGTTTTTCAGGGCATATTGCAAATAAATTTTTTTCAATCATTCTAACTTAAATCTTTCATGCTGCAGCTTGAAATTTGCTTCCTACACTTCCATTCTCAGTAGAAATAAACCATTGTACACTTTCCTTTCTAAGAATCTTGGCCAAACTTGAGAAAAATAACAAAATTATCTGTCTTAAACTCCTCAAAGTGAACAATGCTAGATCCTTTATCTTTCAAACCATTGGTATTGTAGGTCTCCTCTGATGAGTCTTATATTCTGCAAGACCATCTCTAATTAGGGAATCCAGTCTTGCCTCTTAACTTTCATAGAAAGCTGGCCAGTGGCACCCAAAAAGGACAGAACACCATCTAGTTTCAGTCTGTCTACTCAAGTATCATTGGTAAAGTTTTTATCTGTGGAATTATGTTCATTGTCAGATGGTTTTAGTTGCTGTTTTGCACAGTATGGCTAATACAACTTTGACTGGTTTGTGCTGACTGGTTTGAGCACAATCACTCGTTCCACATCTGGTACTTGGAAAACTGATTTTATTCACAGGACTCTGATACATAGACTATTCTTTTTCCTTGTAAAATCATATTTTCTTGATTCTTTCTTTCAAGATGAAATTCACTCCTTTCTGAACTCACAGTGACAAGTTTAGTAACCATCCTTTCAGTTCCCCTGTACATGTCTCTGATTAATATATGCTGAGCACTAGACACAGGAAGGCATCCTGACATTTTTAAAAAGATATCCATATTGGCCGGCCAAGCAGAAAATATTTATCATCCAGAACCAAATATTTCTTTTTTCTCGCTTGATTTCTTGCGTCATTTTGACCTATTACCTTAGTGCTTCTGCCATAGATGCCATATTTTCTGGTCCTACTTTTCCTCATCTTTGAAATGAAGAGGCAGCAAACATAGACTAACAGCATTTATTGATCCCTTAGTCTATACTAGGCATTTTTATTTTTTATTTTTTTATTTTTATTTTTTTTTTTAGACAGAGTTTCACTCTTTTGCCCAGGCTGGAGTGCAGTGGTGTAATCTCTGCTCACTGCAACCTCCATCCCCCAGGTTCAAGAGATTCTCCTGCCTCAGCCTCTCAAGTAGCTGGGATTACAGGCACCCCCCACCACACCCGACTAATTTTTGTACTTTTAGTAGAGACGGGGTTTCGCCATGTTGGCCAGGCTGGTCTCGAACTCTTGACCTCAGGTGATCCACCTGCCTTGGCCTCCAAAGTGCTGGGATTACAGGCGTGAGCCACCTAGCCTGGCCTACACTATGCACTTTTTAAAGCACTTTATATTGTCTCATTTTGGCTTCACAATAATTCTATGAGGTAGATATTTATTGTCATTACCATTTTACAAAAAAAGAAAACTGAAGCTTAGCATGGTCAAGTAGCTTTCCCAAGATAACACAAATACTGGGTGGTTGAGCCAGACTTTGAGATAAGGTGATCTGATCTCTCATACTCTTAACCACTGTTCCATGGGGGCAGGAAAATGAGTACTCCACTTACACGCTGCTGTAAGGAATAAAGATTGGTAGAATCTTTCTGGAAGGTAATTTGTTAATATGTTATCAAAGTCTTTTAAAAGATGCATATCCTTTGCTCCAGTCCTTTTTTTATGTTACAGATATCTATGTTGTATTTGCAGTGTGCCAGTCACTGCTCTAAGTGTTTTTCATATATTAAAAAACAAAATAATGACCACAGCATGAGGTAGGTACTAATATCTTCATTTTGTAGAAAACCAAACTGAGGCAATTAGAAGCTAAGTGATTTTCCCAAAATCTCACAATTCTTCAGGTGTGAAGCTGAGTTGTAGCTACAGAATCTAAGTGTCCTTAATCACTGCACTATCCAGTAGTTTTAATTTTAGAAATCAAGTCTTGAGAAGTAATTATGTATATACACAAGACATTATCATTATAGCTCTGTTCCTATAATAAAAAAGTGGAAAGAAATGGTTGTAAATTCATATGGCACTCTATAACAAATAAATACTTTGTTGTAGAGGAAGCAAGTACTATATTAACATCACACATATGATATATTGATAACAAAAGAGAGTAAATGAAATAATGTTATGACATATCTAGTTTTTATTTTAAAAGTAGGCATATATAGGCACAGAAATAAACTAGAAGAATATACAAACAAACTAGAAGAACAACAAAAAGTAAACAGTAGTCTTTGGGTGATGAGGTGGTAGGTGGTTTTTTTATTGAATATATATTTTTTCTTTTTTCAAATAATTAAAGTATATTTCTAAATAGCAAATCTTAATTTAAAAGTAATCTAAGGAGGTTGTAATGGAGTATGTCTGGGGTCTTTTAGACAGTGGGGTGGTGCTTACATTGTATATTTATAGGAACAGCCATGCTTTAACTTTAACTGGAATCTAATCTCCCTAGTCAATCCTTTGTTGATATCATGCTGGCAAACAAGAAGGATTACCTGGCTTGTTTTAATGCCGATTTTATGTGATCTGAGTAACTCCTAATGAGAATTTGGAAACTCTTGCCCCAGATCTATCAATATGATAAGCCATTTAACTCCTTTTGCTACATCTCTGCATTCTGTTGATGGTATTAGTGACTTTAAGATCGAGTAATGGTTAAGTGCCAAGTTCCAGGCATCAGTTCTCTTTGGTTCCATTCCTAAATCCACTACTTAGTTTAGCCATATGACCTTGAAGTCTATAGACTTTATTTTCCTCATCAGTATATAGGGGTTTTGAGATAATTAACTGAAATAACATATGTAAAACACTACTATGTAGGGCACTTAGTAGTTACTCAGTAGATAGATGGTAGCTATTTTTATTAATAGCCTTTGTTATTGTTCAATGTTCATTTTTAAAAGTGCATATGAAGCATAGTAGCTCACATCTGTAATCCCAGCACTTTGGGAGGCCGAGGTGGGAGGATAGTTTGAGGCCAGGAGTTCAAGACCAGCCTGAGCAACATGGCTAGACCCTGTCTCTACAAAAAAAAATAAATAAACAAAAATAAGAAATTGAGCTTGTCATAGTGGCACACAACCCAGCTTCTTGGGAGGCTGAGGTGGGAGGATCCCTTGAGTCCAGAAGTTTGAGGCCACAGTGAAATATGATTGTGCCATTGCACTCCAGAGAGAGACCTTGCCTCTTAAAAAAATTGTGCGTGTGAGATTCTCTAGTAAAAGCTACTATGCACTTTTTATGTGATATTCTCAACCGAAGAATTTAAATTTTTCTTTGGCAGAGAGATGAGGAAAAGCAGGCTATCATCTATGAGAGGATCTATTTAAATTTGTTAAACTGCATGTTTTAAATGATCCCTGTGGTTTTCTAAGGCCAGTTTTCATGATCAATGTGATTAGCATTATCTATTTCAATTAAAAAAATAATTTTTATGAAACTATTTCAAATTCATAGTCAATATACACTGATTGTTTTAACTATGCTATAGACTATTTGCTTTTACATGTAGATAAACTCTCAAATCAAGATGTGGACCCTCACACACCCTAATTATCATCAGAAACTAATGCTATATTGTTTGATGCCTACCAGTTTCCATGGGAAAGGATTATCAGGTTAAATTATGTGTCTTATGTGCAAGAAGAATATCAATGAAATACCTTTATCCCATAGCATTCTATGGCTACTTCCAAAAAAGACTTCCATGTTTATATGCCAACATAAGGAATGATGAATGCACACACACACACCTTATTTTTCAATAAACGAAATTAAGAGGGTAGTATTCACCTCCTAACACTGTCTCCTCTGAGCTCAAAAGAAACAGCTCTGGAAAAACTCTAGCTGTCTTTTGCCAATAGAGTTGTCCACCAAAATCTGAACCGGCTTTTCAACTGGGTCTGGTTGTGTGAGGCAAAGCAGGGCTTGTGTTGTCAGACATCTCTCTACCTCTCCCCATGCTCCACATTAGCTGAGCCTCACTGCCCTTCACCATAATCCTCCCAGGCCTGCTCTCCACGTTGGTTGAGCCTCACTGCTCCAACAAGTAATGCACTTCCCACACAATGGAGGCATGGCAGGAGCAGTGTGAAGGAAACCAGATAATGCAGTCACAAGCTTGACAGACTTGCTCCCTTTCGAGTGGTACATTATGAACTGGCCAAGTGAAACATGAAGGTATTATCCTGTCTTATCTGCTGGTTGAATGGGGTGCAGCCTCCTTCATGGTAAGGTTTTTGGCTTGTTGCCAGAGGATTCTCACTTTAGCTGCTTCACATATTCGCCCAGAGTCCTGCCTCTTCACCTCTGTTAACTATTTTGGCTCTGACTTGCTCCAGAATGAGAAATGAGGACATGTTGGGTCCAGGTGATGACTCTGCCAAACGGGTTTTATGAATCACAGGTCAATTCTGAAGCTGATTTAGAAACATCTGCCACTGTAAAGTGAGTTTAGGGAACCAGGTTACATTAAAGAGGACTTGGGTTTCCTACACTTATCTGCCTCCACAGAACTGGCTTTAGTCTTTTCCCAGAGAAATATATTATTTTGGGTCATAATTCCCTATCTGAGAGAGGAGATTGTAAACACATGCACACACACGCACACACACACACACTCTTCAGAGTCTACATGAAATGGATTCAGGGTTGGGTTTTACAACAAGATTCCAAAGTGAATATGATGCCAAATCTGTAGCTTGAGAATGACTTCCCATAGAATTCCTAGTCCCAACTAAAGACAAACTCAAGGGCTAAATTTCTAAGTTTATGAGCCTCTCTGATAAAGCAAAAACACCCTTAAAGCCTAAAGTTCCTTTTATAGTTGGCAATAATTAACAATAAAACATATAGCACTGCTTTTGATAAGACACCCAAAATGGGTGCCTAGTTTTTATTAAACGTTGTAAGTAAACAGCTGAGTCTGCCAGAACCAAAAGCATAGCCCTTTTTACATAATAATTAATTCTACAAAAGACCAGCACACAGACCATCATCCAGTTATTCCTTGCATGATCCTAAAGAAAATTACTTGAGGTAACTAAGGTTTAGTTTCATTATGGGTAAAATGTTATCTCTATCCCATAAAAATTTGCTAAGGATTAAAGGTAGGTAAAGAGCCTAGCCCAACACCCAACCAGTGTAATGTAGGTACCCAATTTAGGTCAGCTTCCTTCTCTTCCCTATTCCTTTGACTTCTTTGCAAACAACTGGATTGTGTATCACTGTATCAAGAGATCTTAATCAGATCAGAGAGCAATCAGCATAATAAAAAAAGGTCTGTAAGAGCACAGTCCAATTTACTTATTGGTTCAAATTGCTGAAATAGCCCCTGGATTTAAAGGCTCAGGAAAGTAATTAATGCATACCATCCTAGGATTTCAAAGGTGTTTATAGGTAATATTTTATTCAAGTCTATAAAGGCCTGAAGTTGAAGGCAGCACAGATTCTCATCTTCATTTTACAGGCACTTGAATTTTTTGAGATTGTGTGCTTCCAAGAAAACAACCAATCTGTGACCAAGATGTAATTAAGACCCATGATTTCTAATTCCCAGGCTTTGACTCCAACCTCTGAAAATGCTTCAATTCAATGAAACTAATGGCACTTTGGTCTCTGGAATTAGATCCTGTTATCAATGACTTCCACATGGAAAGATCATTCCAAAATGTGTAATTAACCAAGAAAATGCAAATAAACCAATTTGTACCTGCTATTTAGAGGTAAGACACAGAAATGGCTTGAGTTTATTATTTGAAAACCTAACCTTTTTCCGCTTTGAATGTAGCTCATGTTCTCTAGTTCACATAGTTTTTTTGCAAAATTTACATTTTCAGTGAAATATTTTAATCATTTGTGATTCTGTTATCAGTGCAGAGTTTAGAATGGAGAGAGAAATATATGTCATTGGGCACAATGTGAAAACACAAAGGTCTTTCAATGACCTTTCACAATTCAACTCAATAAATATTTTTCAAAACTCGACTCTTTACCAGGCTTTATGCTAAGTAGGGTAGGAGTCAAGCTTTCAGCCTAGCACAGTCGGAAATACAGTAACATTTGGCCAGCATTACTGAATGAATGAACCTAGTAGAATGATTAAATACTTATGTATACCTTCTAAAAAGCAGACAGTAATCAGTGTAATAAAAGAGGTCTATAACGACACAGTCCAGAAAGGCAACCTAGTGAAAGAAATATTTAAGCAGGACCTGGAAGACAATTTCTTTCAAGTGACAGAGGCTCAATTCAAAGTAGTTTAAGAGAAAAAAACAAAACAGAGATTATGGGTTGGCACTGTTGGAACATGGCCTGGAACACCCAGACTCTCTTAGTCTCTGACTCCTTAGCCTATCTCTCTGATTCTCCTTAGTCACGAAGCATGTTGGCCTCATTTTCTCCTACTGCATGTGAGCTTTCTCCTTCTGTTTGCTGGCAGAACATGTTTACTGGCAGCTTTGGGCTAACATAATTCCAAATTAATGACTCAGAAGGAAAGAGTAACTCTCGCCTAACTTCAATATAGGAAGGACTCCACTTGGCACATTTGGTTACTTACTTATCCTTGGACCAATCATTGCGGCTGCAAAACTGATGACTTGCTTGGTGTGGGTCATGTCACCAGAATTGAGTCGCTGCTGTGATGACAAGCCTTCCAAAAACACATTTTTGCAGTGAGAATAAAACAGGTTCTTAACAAAAGAGGGGTTCTGGATAAACAAAAAGAATGAATTCCATTGCACCCTACAAGACAGACTGGCCACTGTTAAGCTGACATGGAGAAAAAGGCCACTCTAAGCGGGGACAAGAGTCTGAGTAAACAAGAAGAGGGGAAAAGTGTTTATTAAAGGAACGGATGGTATTGGTTAAACACAGCAGGAAAGGATGGAGGGTTGGTTGGGGTCAGATAGATGTGCATATTTGAGCTCTATGAAGAAATTGGCCAGGTGTTCTCTGAGCAATGTATAGGTTTTTAAGGTTTTGAGAGTCACACAATATACTTTCTGTTTTATAAAGGTAACTGTGATTATATTGTGGAGTATATACTGGACAGAAATGCTGAAAGTCAGGAATTGAGTAGGAAAGGTATGTCAGGCATGGATTTTTTTTGTTGTTTTGTTTGATTTTGTCTGAAAGCATTAATTTCTTGGGAAGAACTTCTCCTCTGCTTTGTCACAGCGTCCCACATAACCACAAGGCAGGGCCAATGTTGAGCTGTATTTTCTGGGACACAGTGATTAGTTCATGGGTAAGCACATAACTCAAGCAGGACCAATCTGTGTCCCTTCTAAGGTTTAATACCTGAATCCTTTCAGACAGCATTCTCCAAGAATGTAGACTAAGTTTCCAGTAGCCATCTTGCCATTACATTGAAGCCAACACATGAGAAAAATCAAGATGAAAGGAAGAAAAGAGGCAGAACTCTATTGACATTGCTTCAGCCCTGGATTGAAAGTGTCTTGAAATTCTCAATTACATGTGTCAATATTATCCTCCTTTTGTTCAAGCTCATTCAAACTCCATCTCTTTCATTCAGTGACTAAAAAAAGTCCTGACTTAAAAGAAAAGGCACTTGCCATTTATTGAACACTTATTGTATACAAGGCATGGTGTTGGGTACTTTATGCCCATTATCATACTAAATCTTTATAATAACCTTGAAATGTAGATATTATGATCTTCCATTTTACAGAGGGAAAATCCTTGAGTCAAATAAGTAACTCCCCAAAATTTAGTTAGTTGTTAAAAGTTGGAAATGACATTCTAAAGTTTTGTTCAACTCCAAAGTTTATGTTCTTTCCACTTTACTGTCTCTATGCTACATTGCTTCAGTATCATTAGAAATCAATATTCCAGGTGAGAAATAATAAAAGCCTGAACTAAGGTATGGCAGTGAGGACAAGAAGAAAAGACAAAATCAAGAGATATTTAAGAAAGAAAATCTAGTGATTCTAGATTCCTGTTGATTTTATCAATGAATTTTAAATATTGAGGAACAGTTAGAAATCTAAGAAAATTCTGAAATCAGGTTAACTTAAGTAAGTATAGGAAGAAACATGGCTGGAAGGAACAAATCATGTTTCATTTGAAGTGCTTGTTGAATATCCAAGTGGAGCCATCCAGCTGGGGTTTTTTGTTTATTTGTTTGTTTTTTTAGAGAAAGGGTCTCATTCGGTCACCCAGGCAGGAGTGCAGTGGCTCGATCATAGCTCACAGCAGCCTCAAATTTGGGGGCTTAAGTGATACTCCTGTCTCAGCCCACCAAGTAGCTGGGATTACAGGCACACAGCATCATGCCTGGCTAATTCTTGGGGCTTTTCTTTGCACAGATGGGGTCTCACTGTGTTGCCCAGGCTGGTCTCAAACACCTGGCCTCAAGTATCCCGAAAGCTGGTCTCAAACTCCCTCTTCAGTATCCCAAAGAGCTGGGATTACAGAAATAAGCCAACACACCTGAGAAGTGGGTTGTTAAGAACACAGTTCATTTTGCAGGGATGCTCTGGGGGATTAAAAAAAAAAATTAAAAAATAAAAAAAGAATACAGTTCTGCTGATCTGTAGGAGGGCCATAATAAATATATAGGCTTGAAAGTAATATATCTATACCAGTGTTTACAGCCTCCACAGTGGATGAGATTGTTCACAGACAGCCCATAGAGTGAGAAGTAAAAGATGGTGGAAAACGGACTCTCTGTAGTCTAAAACATCAGCATTTAAAGAGTAGGCCTTTGTTCATGATAATCCCTCAACCTGGAGTGGTCTTTTTCCTTCATCTATCTTATGAATGTATTGCTGGGGATAGGCCCCCAAATCTGGCCATAAACTGGCCCCAAAACTGGCCATAAACAAAATCTCTGCAGCACTGTGACATGTTCGTGATGCCCATGATGCCCATACTGAAGGTTGTGGGTTTACCGGAATGAGGGCAAGGAACACCTGGCCCACTCAGGGCAGAAAACCGCTTAAAGGCGTTCCTGAACCACAAATAATAGCATGAGCGATCTGTGCCTTAAGGACATGTTCCTGCTGCAGATAACTAGCCAGAGCCCATCCGTATGTTTCCCGTAAGGAATACTTTTAATCTATAATCTATAGAAACAATGCTTATCACTGGCTTGCTGTCAATAAATATGTGGGCAAATCTCTGTTCGAGGCTCTCAGCTCTGAAGGCTGTGAGACCCCTGATTTCCCACTCCACACCGTATATTTCTGTGTGGGTGTCTTTAATTCCTCTAGTGCTGCTGGCCTAGGGTCTCCACAACCAGGCTGGTCTTGGCAATGTATCTTCATCTGAGATGATACCACAGAATCATAAAATCTCCATGGAGTTTTGTTGGATCTTCCGTTTTTCATCATCTAGTAGACTTCAAACCTTTGTCCCATGCCCCTGGGGCTTTGTACAATAATATTCTTTTTATACTTCTTGTAATATTCTTATTCTATAGCACTGGGACAAGAAAACAGACTTCAGATTTTATACAGATCTGAGTTGGATTTCTACTCCACAATTCACTGGTCATGTGGCCTTGGGCAAATTACCCAAGTCATGGTTTTCTCCTATGTATTAAAAAAAAAAAAAAAGAAAGAAAAAAAGGCAAGGATGTGGGGTTCTGCTTGCGGAAAGTGAGGTTGAGAAAAATACCTCCTTCACAAGATTGTTTTGAAAATAAAGAAGACAATTGTGAATCTTTTACTAATATAGTGAGTAGCACATAGAAAACACTAGAGTAATGGTAGATATTATTGGTTTATGAGTCTGTTTCTACCTACCAGACTTCTTGAATGCAGGTTCTGTGCCATTCATCTTTGTATCTCTGTTCTCTAACAAAGTATCTGGCACCTGACAGTCACTCAGGAAATGTGTGCTGAATTAATACCTGAGTAAATATGAAGTCAGAATGCTTGATATGTATTGTCTTATTTGTTCTCCACTGACTGTGTCACAAATTGATGAGCTCCTCACTAGGTCTCTTTCACCATCCCCACTCTACTGGGCTGTGATAGGTGCTGTATGTTCAGTTGGTGTGAAGAGATATTAGGCAATTGTTTATTATGACAGGCACACCTACTGCTCTATTTGAAATGACTCACTAAACAAATGGTCACATTTTCTCTTTTTTCAATAACTGGTATGTATCCCTGATTTAAGGGCATTTTTGAAATGTTTCTGTTTTCTGGGAACACTCATAGTTTTCTGGGAACACAGGGAACACTCGAAATATTCATATAAAACATCAGGTCAATTTGGCATCATCTATTAAGAGACTTACAGATGTGAATAATTTGATTTAGCAATTCCTTTTATAGGAATTTATTCTAAGAAAACAAAGGCTAATACTGCGTAAAAACATGCTCATTGCTACAGTATTTATTATAGCAAAAAAAACACAAAACCTAAATGTTCTTCAATCGGGAAATGGTTTACAAATTATAGTACAGGGGATGATTATCCAGTCAGTACAATCATGTTTTTAAAGATTATATTATGACATAGGGAAATGTATAAATATAATGTTAAATAGAAAATCAGAGCACAATCACACATTTGACTTGTAGCCAATTTCGTGAAATGTCTACATTAAAAGATTGGAAGGAAATACAAATATTTCATGCTATCCAAACTCATATCAGTTTCTGAATTCAGATAATAAGAATTTGGACAGTTAGAAATAACTGTATATTAAAAGAGTTAAAAAGTACCTGTCTCTGAATGCAGGAATGGGAGATTACTTTTATTTTCTTCTATTTTTGCAAATTATGCACACTTGCTAAATTAAAATACACTAAATGCACTGCTAAATTTAAAGGTACTTTTCCTTCTTTGCTGTCAAGTGATTAGAGAAAAACATGAACAAAAGATAACTAAGTAGTTAAGTAACCTACAATGACCCAACCACATGTATCATTTAGAGTCTTCTCTTTTCTTGGGCCACACAAGTCATCCAACTCTAAGAACTGTCCATGTTCCCTTCTTGAAAATCTTTGAATCTGTCTGCTTCTTTTCACTGCCACCACTGTTACGCTAGCTCAGTTCACCGCCACCTTTTTCCTGCATTTGTCTAAAGGCTTTCAGCCTTCCTGGCCACTGCCCCTTTGGTTCACGTAGGAAGCAGGGTTATCATCCTGAAGTGTAAATCTCACAAAGCAAAACCTTCACAGGCTTCCCGTTCCACTGTTCAGTGGTTAACTCTTTAACATGGTTCATGAGTGCCTCACCTTCTGGGGTCTGCTTACTTTTTCAGCCTTATGTCTTCTACTTCCTTTTCACACATGGATACTCTTGCACCAGAACCCCTAGAATATGCCAGGTCCTCCCTCACCTCTTGCGGAGTTTCTATGTCTACAACGCATCTACAGTGCTTTTTCTTTCTCCCCTTACCTCTGTGCCTAACAATAGCTGACATCTGGTTGTCCTACAGGCCTTAGCGTGGATATATTTTTCTCCAGGAACCTTTCCTTGACTGCCTAGTCTGTGTAATACTTCCTGCTCCCACAGCATCCTATTATAGGCACTCAGGCATATTATGATATCGTAAAGTATGCTGTGATAATATACGATGTGGAATATATGGTAATAGCATTTTATCATAACTTTTTTTTGATATGTTTGTTATTTGTTTACATTTTATTTGTTTGGGTTTTTTTTTTTTTTTTTTTTTTTGGTCTCTCAATGCCCAATGCACTGCCTGATTTCTAGCAGAGGCTTGATCATATCATGGAATGATTGCATGGACAAATGAAAGAGGCATCTCAAATACAAATACAAATGACTAGTCCCTGGGTTAGCACAAGTAGAGAACAGCCACCGTTCCACCATTAACACATAGACACAGCCCCTATTTCACTATCAATATGGAGGATAAGCACACTGGTTTATACAAACCATACTATATAACCTATAAATCAGAGGCTTATTTAAGAAATGAAATAAAAAAGCCCGGGCGCAGTGGCTCACGCTTGTAATCCCAGCACTTTGAGAGGTCGAGGAGGGTGGATCACCTGAGGTCGGGAGTTTGAGACCAGCCTGACCAACATGGAGAAACCCCATCTCTACTAAAAATACAAAATTAGCCAGGCGTGGTGGTGCATGCCTGTAAACCCAGCTACTCAGGAGGCTGAGGCAGGAGAATCACTTGAACCCGGGAGGCAGAGGTTGCGGTGAGCCGAGATCGTGCCATTGCATTCCAGCCTGGGTAACAAGAGCAAAACTCCATCTCAAAAAAAAAAAAAAAAGAAGAAAAAAGAAAAGAAATGAAATAAATAAATAAACGTTAGTTAATAAAATAGTTTCTAACAATCTTTAAAAATACCACTCATTGTTTTAAATTCAACTGAGTGCCCTTATTTTTTGTATACCAGAATTTGAAGTCATCCATGTTCTCTTTTTTCCTTTGATTTCCTTAATTTTTGTTCATTGTCTTTTCATTGCAGGAGGCATAGTAATTCACTGCTATCCTCAAAAGGACATTCTAGAAAACAAATGGCCTTTTTTATGTATTGTGGAAAAAGGAGGTATAGGCAAAGTAAATTTGGATTGTGTGGCTTATTATTTCCTGGCTGAGAAAAATTTGTTAAATTTTTTTGAAGCCTGAATTATCAAACCTGTTTGATCTTCAAGCCCAAGTAAAATATTACAGAAAATACTGATATATGGGTACAGGATTGGATTCAAGGTCAGGAGCCCAGGCTCCACTCTTGACTATGCCACCACAAGTCACGTTAGTTCCTGAGCCTCAGTTTCCTGATTTGTAGAACGAGAAAGTTAAACTAATGTCTAAGATTTCTTTAGACCTAAAATTCTATTCTGTGTCAAATCGTATGTTGATCTACTCTGCATGAGAGATACCTAAGAAAAATATATGTCAAAGATTATTTAATGTAATCATGGAGAAACAAATTTTATTACACTTACATTCTGCATTTTAATTTTATATCATCATCTAGATCTCCAGATAGATGTCGAGACATCTGAAACCTATTTGATCCTCATTCATGAAAATAAAAAATAGTTAATTTAGCCCTCCATGCAATGGTCCTCTTAACTGCATAGTGCCATTTTTTTCTTTTCCCTTCTGATAAGTAACTGAAATAAAACTAATGGATATACAAGTACAAAGATATCATAAGGTTGGGACCTCTGAGTCTGACAAACAAAAAGCCGATTCTGCGTCTGCAGCATGCTGTAGACACATGTGGCTTACTTTAGCTCACAATGGAGTAATATGAATTGTGCTAAAAAGCACTATTTGTGCAAATGCAAATAATATTCCATCTGCTCAGGATTTTTTTTTCCTTATATAGCTTTTGTTCCAGTGTGGTAAAAGCCTGTTTCTTTACCCTGAAGTGCTCCTGCTGATGAAGAGTGAAGTACATGACAATGAACTAAAATCCATTATCAAACAAATACAGTGAGCTTTTCAGCAAGTCATCACGGGGAATGTTGCCTTTTTCTCTGGCATTAAGTTGAAAGCGATTTGTGCTCATGCAAATAAGACAAAGTGGTAGGTTAAAAAAATTGTGTGTGTGTATATATATCTCTCTATATATAGATATATATATTCCATACACTGTAGTTTGCTTTGTAAATCTAACATTTTTATCTCTTTTTTGGTGGGGGAGGGCAGCAGCGAAATAGTTTGGCAGCCTTCTTTAGATTTCCTTATGGTTTGAGTCATGTTAAATTCTTCAACAGAAGAATTTAGCTCTGCCTTATGTTGTCTTGAATACCTTACTTGGGATTTGGGAGAACTGCTTTCCCAGTTCCTGAGAGAACCTAGGGCAAGTTAGAAGAAAACTTAACTCCTATGCTGCTGAAAGAAAACCATAAGTTTCAAGAGATCCAATTTCAGGATTTGCTGGTGGTGACAGTCAAAAGGTAAATCATCCAAGTTCAATCTAAAGGTATACATTTCTGCGTGCTCATATATTCCATTCTGTGTCCTGGACCTTAATCTGAGGGCTTTGTGATAATTATACACCTTCTAAAATTAATAGGCCATTTCTCTAGTTTTAGGAGGAGATAGAAATGAGGGACAATTATATGACTATTACACAAGATGTTGATAAGCCAACTCCAGAGAACACCAGTGTTTGGGAAAATGTATTCCATCTTCTTTTCGGTCCACTTGGTCTTCAGCTTTGTCCTTTGATTTACTTCCTTGCCCCCTTTCTCCTAAGATCCATGATTTCTATTTGGACAAAACAGAGAAAAAAAGCAAAAGAACTTGATCCTTTCTTCCTAAGATCAGGGAAGAACTGGGGCAGAAGAAGATTATAAGCTTGTATGAGCATGAAAACACACTTTTATTTTACACAAAAATTGAAAGCTCATTTTAAAGCATTTTTGGCTGTTTTATTTATGCCTGATGATTTTATTCAATACTAGTTGGATTTTAAATAATCTAACTAATGTTTTTCCTCTTCATGAAATTTGAAGATTATTCTTTTATGAAACAGTAGTTTTGGAGTTTAGCTTTTTTAAAATTTTTGCAGTTTATAGATTTCAGGCATTATGCATTTTTCTTTTCAGTTCAGCTTTATAATGCCATTTTCAATGAGCATTTATTTGTAGGTTTGAAATATAATAGAGCACGTACACTTTTATTCTGTTTAAATTTTTTTTCAAGTTTCTACATACAGCATTGATGAGCACATATAGTGATGTTAAGAGACAATGAAGTATTAGATGTAAAAGCACTTCAGTTATTAGGGTGAAAGATGTTATAGGCATTTAAAGTATTAATTCTATTAACACATATAATTTATAATTCTGGAAGAAATAATTGACTGAAAATGAACAGTATTTTCTTTCTAGAGTACATAGTAAACATCAACAGCTAATTTTATTATAGCTTATTTTCTGTGATATATATTAAACTACCTTTCACAGTTCAAGTAAAACCTGAAATTAAGCACTCAAGTACACAATTATCTCACATCAACAGTTTTGCTGTTAAGCTATCTGCAGATATTAACATCATTCCCCAAAGCATTCTATTTAACAGCTAAAACTGTGATCTAAGTGAATTAATAATTTAGACTATAGCAGTTATCTTTACATAGTGTCTATAATTATATTTACAATCTTGCAGTGTATTTTAGAGCTACTCAGAATTGTGAAGCAATAAAATAATATTTGCCCTAATAAGACCATTTATATCAAACGTGATTTCCTTTTATGTTAAGACAAGATAACTTTTCCCTCTTCCTGACTTCAAAGGGAAACACATTATTTCAAATATATTTTAAACTTTTACCATAAAACCCTTAGACATGAAACCATTAATATGTGGTTGGTGAGGAAAATGTCTTATTCCACTCACAATAAAGTCTGACTTTAATTAGACCCTGAAAAGTAAAGGATTTATATTCAAATCCTGGCCAACATTAATTACAGAGTTCTTAACATTGTAGCATGCCCTTTACTAAGTTTCGACAATATGTTCCATGCTAAATAAAAAAGGGGATCCACTTCTGGGGACAAGGGACTTGTTATTTTTAAATGTCATATGTACTGATATGTGATATATCATTGTAATGGCATCTCCTGAAATCCAAAGTGGCAAGGTAGAATTCCTTGTCTATTCCAGTGTTCTTTTTCCACATGGATAGGGAGCCAAAGGCCTGCCCTGAATCTTGAACATTTTTTCAGCTTATTCAGTAGGAAGATGATTCCCTTTGCCACTCTTTTTATAGTCCCTCCTCAATCTTAGTTAAATGAAGAGTTTATTTACATACAGCTGTGACTGCTACTGCCACTGCCAAAAAGGACCATTCCTGGGCCCATTTCATGGACAGTAGAAACGGGACCTAAGAGTGGCTGAG
This sequence comes from Homo sapiens, assembly GCF_000001405.40. Classification (NCBI taxonomy): domain Eukaryota; kingdom Metazoa; phylum Chordata; class Mammalia; order Primates; family Hominidae; genus Homo; species Homo sapiens. The sequence goes on from NC_000003.12 coordinate 180,710,541, forward strand.
GATGAAAATACACAGGTGCAAGCCAGGTCCTCCCGAGGCCTATTGTGAGACCCTTTGCAATCTCTTCTTACTTAATACATGAAGATTTGCTCCTTTATCAATCAGTCAAGCAATCAATAGTTTTTTTTATTAAGCATCCATTTTCATATCAGGAGTTCTATGAACTGTATCCCAAGGCAGCATGCTGAAGGGCAAAAAGCCCTGGGCTAGATTTTGCATTCCCACCCAGTCCTGCCAATCATAAGCCATCTATGTGACCTGGTTAGTCTCTTAACCAGTCTTAAGGTGGCTCAGTTTTCTTACCTGTAAAATAGTTATAACTTCCCCCATTTGCCTCTTGGCATTGTTCTGAGAATTAAATAAGTTATGGAGAAAATGCTCTGGAAATTCTGAAATACTAAGCAGACAAAAAGTAGTAGTGGTATTGGACTTCATTCTGTAAGATCAATACATTTCTGTAACTACCCAAAGAAAAAGTCTTAGTAATTTCTAAATTGCAAAAAAGAAAAGAAAACAAATCTATTGTAAAAGATGCTTTAAATATCAAGTGAACACTGTCAACTCTAATTTTAGTAAATATTCAAGTAATTTGAAAGTTACTTTGGTACAAACAATAAATACATGTGATTTATTTCATTCATTTACCTCTTACCTTATTTTAGGCAGTCATCTTGAGTTTCTGGAAGTAAAACAGAAATAATTCTTAGTCAATCAGTATTCTGTAAATTTGGTTTTAGACTGAAGGAATTGTAAAAATTTGATAACGTACCATTTGTGCTTCACTGTGGGACTCCTTCCTGGTATTTCTTAGGATGTTTTCATGTTTTTCAAAATCCCATATTCTAAGAAAAAAAATTGAGAAACTGGGAAGACAGGAAATGTGTTATAATTATCCTGCATGAGTTAAGACTTCACAATCAACATAGGCATGACAGGTTTGAAGGGATCCACTGACAAGAAGTCAAAAGTAAGAGCTGGAAGCACTGCATGCCTGAATAACAGTTTGCCCATTCTGAAGCTTGGGTCTCTAGCCTCCTCACCAATCTCAAAGCCAAAAAGAAAAGTTAAGTAGTTGAAATGTATATTATAATATCCAGACAGTAAAATTTACACACTTTTCTCCTAGGAGAGACTTTTTATCAGTAATCAAAACCCATCTACTTCCTAATGGACATTTCTAATTTGTTCCAAGGTCAAAAATGATTAGAAGCAGCAGATTAGGAAAGGAGAGAAGGGTTGTAGAAGGATATTTCCTACAAACAGACTTTGGTATTTTAATAAGAAATGACAATGTAGAAGAAAAAGAAAACAGAGAAATACCACAAAAAATAAAGCAAGAACTCAAAAAAGGCAGGTATGTAGAGGCATTTAAGGATATGGTAAATGGTCTTATATATCTCAGAGAAGCCCTTTATAATTACCTACTGAAGACTCTTGAAAATGTCTGCGTTGTTAGTAAACAAAAGATTGACACTCATACTGGAAAATTTTTCAGTGAGAATTATTGAAATACATATTAAAGGGTTGTCAAGAGCTTAGTCCTTAGGAAGCAAGTTTGCCTTTAAAAATATAACCCACTTGCCAAGAATTCAAAGTACCCAGATTTAACTGTATTTTTACCTTAATTTTCAAACCAGCTGAACTCTGCAAATAAATATTATTGGCTCTCTGCTGATGTGGCAACTATTTAAGATAATACTGTATGTGGTTTTGTTACACTGTGATAAATTTCTACTTCTGTCTCCTAACTAGCAGAAGTGATCATTGGTTTAACATTGCTTTTCCTCAATTTCCATGCTAGCACCGACTATTCTTGTTTCATGCTTGTGACTATTATTGCAAGGTTTGTAATCAATACTGTGGCTGAGATAACGAGACCCACTGTATTCATAACAGTTTATCAACTGGAATAGTTTATTGCTTAGAATTTATTTTTCAACTGTTTTGACATATTATCTTATGATGGCAAAAAAATTTAAAAAATAGATTTGTATATAGGCTTTGTTAATTTTTTTGTGGCAATTCACAATTTATATCTAATTAATGGATTCCAATGTGGGTGCTCACAAGCCAAGAGGGCATAAGACAATTCATTGACAGGTGAGAACAAAATTATGAATTTATTTTTATTTTTGTCTTAGAAATAAAATAAATTATATTAATATTTAATAAATAGTTGACATTGGCATCCAAAATTGTTCAGCCTTTCATAAAACATTTATCAGTTTGCCTGAAGCATGTGTATGATTTTAGCAAGGCAGAGGGTTGACAGGAAAGCTCTAATATATCTACAAGCTTTTAGCATATTGTGGTCTATTGCAGTCTATGTCTGTGGATAAATGTGCATACACATATTACTTTAAAGAACAGAATCTTTACAATATCTAGAGTTAGATTGGAAGTGACCATAAAAATCCTGGTATATGGGGAGGCGGAGGCTGCAGTGAGCCAAGATTGCGCCATTGCACTCCAGCCTGGGCAACAGAACAAGACTCCATCCCAAAAAAAAAAAAAAAAATCCTAGTATATTACAGATGCTTGCTAGTAGTCTTTCCAAAAAGTACTTAGAAAAGTATTTGAGCTTAAAGATGAGTTGTGGCTTTTTTTTTAAAACAACTGTTCTAAATTTGTTGACTTTTACTGAGATGATAAATATTTGGCATTGGGTATTACCCAGCAGACATTTTTTTAAATAAATAAATTTAATGATGATAATGATGATGTTAGTGGGGGGAAAGGAGTTTTCTGTAACAAGTAAATAAACAAAACAAAATTATTTTTTAAATAATCACTTCATTTTTATCCTTTATTTCCTTTGTAATTTTGTGAACTTTATAACATATTTAATGTATATTACATATATTATATACTATATTTTATATGTATATATTTGTAGAGTAATGCTTCTAATAAATAAATGTATTGAAGCTGCATGCTCAAACACTTTTGACTAACTGAGATGTGAGATCAACTAACTCATGCATAATGGCAGCGACACTTTTGTACCTAAAGAAATCTTACTGATAACAATTGCCATGTTCCTGGTGATGGTCTATAGCACTCTAGAATCATGCTTTTATTTGTTTACCACACTAGACTTGGAAGACTTAATATGTATCAGTCACGATGTTTTCAATTGTAAGTAACAGTAATCAGCCAGAGGTAATTTGGGCTTCAGACAATGGATATCAGAGTACTAGGCACCACTTCATGTTATTTTCTTAGCTTCTCTCTTCTCTTTGAGTCAGCTTTGGCCTTTGGTCCCCGGGCTGACTTGCCTCATTATCTCAAGATGGTTGCCAACAGTAGCCAGGGCAACAGAATTCCTTGTTCATGTTTGAGGACAGTGTGTGTGTGTGTGTGTGCATGTGTGTGTCAGAGAGAGAGAAAGACAGAGAAATACTACTCCTACCAACCTTATTAGACACAGGAAGCTTCTTTCCCAGGGGGCCTAAGCAAGACTCTTCTCAAGTTTTATTGGCCTAAATTGGTTTAGACAGGACCTTATCTAAACCAACTTCTGTTAAGTGTGATAAGACTATCATAATCTGCCACTAAAGAGTTAAGATGGAACCACTATTGAGAGAGAATTCAATGATAATGTTCACTAGACAATATTCTCCCCATCTCACAGATTCTTTCCATTTTACTTACCCCAAACTGAATAATGTACCTAAGATTACCTAGCAAATGAGTCATTGACTTGAATGAAATACTTGTCATCATCATGTTTATTATTCACTATTATTATTACCAAAATACTAATAAAATAACTGAGATTTGTATTATATAAAAGAGCACGATATTAGGGGGATAATACCTACAGAAAAATAAATCAAAATTGTCAAAATCTAAGTCGGAAAGCATCATAAATCAATGAGACATCTAATACAAGGGGTTGGAAAAAGTGCCCAACTATGTACATGTAAAAATAAAACTAACAGCCTACCTCTTCCTAAATTCAAAAATAAATTTCAAATGGTTTGTGTAAATGTAAACATTGAAACTATAAAATTTAGAATTAATTTTTTTTTTGACGGAGTCTCACTCTGTCGCCAGGCTGGAGTGCAGTGGCACGATCTCAGCTCTCGGCTCACTGCAATCTCTGCCTCCTGGGTTCAAGCGATTCCCCTGCCTCAGCCTCCCAAGTAGCTGGGACTACAGGCACACGCCACCATACCCAGCTAATTTTTTGTATTTTTAGTAGAGATGGGGTTTCACCATGTTGGCCAGGATGGTCTTGATCTCTAGACCTCATGATCCACCCACCTCAGCCTCCCAAAGTGCTGGGATTAAAGGCGTGAGCCACCGCACCTGGCCAGAATTAATTTTAAGCAATAATTTTCTGCTCTCTAGGAGTGAAATATTTGGAGGTGACATTTATAAAAGCGCTAAAATTTATAACATTAAAAATAAAAAAGGACGTGTTTTCACTATAAAAACATAAAAATTTTCTGAGTGGGTGTGTGCTGATGCAGGAGGACAGAAGTCAGGCCAATCACACCATAATTGTTGAGTAATGGCATAGTCCAAAGTGAGCAAACTTTTCTATAAAGGACCAGATAATAAATATTTCAGACTTTGCAGGCCATATATTCTCTGTTGTGACTATTCAGCTCTGCCCTTGTTATTTAAAAGCAACCATAGATAATAAGTAAATAAGCAAGTATGACTTTGTTCCAATAAAACTTCATTCATTAAAAAATAAATAAAATAAAAAGACAAAAATGCCAAAAGTTTAAAACATCATAATATCAAAAGGCCAACAATAAGTGTAAAATAATAAAGGGTTTGTATTTTAATGTGTAAATAGTCCTCATAAACCAATAACAAAAAGATAAACACACCAATAGATAAAGGAAAAAAGGATAAGATGATTTACCAAAAAAGACATTTTAATTCCAATGAAGGTAGAAGAAAAAAGTCCAAACTCACTAGCAATAAAAAAAGTCCTAGTAAAAACAAATATATCTTTCACTTTTTAAACAAATTTAGTCAAAACAAATGAGATAGCTTGTTTCATTTATAGTGTTCAGTGCTAATGAGGCTTACATGAAACTGGTACTCATGCACTTTTGGTAGAAATTAAAATGTTCAATTATTAAATTTACAAAAGTTTTGAGAAATAATGTGATCAACTTACAAAAGAAGGATTTGAGAAGAATATTCTCACAGTTTGCTTGTAGCATACACAGTGCTACAACTCTTCTAGAGTTTGTCATTGTATCATAAATACCTTTAAAAATGTTTGTATTTGTTGACCACTATCTAATCTAAGAAGATAACAAGAAATACAGATAAAAACTTTCATTAATTAATCTATATAGTAGCCTTAAATTAAAAACAACCTAAGCATCTAAAAATAATAAATGGTTTGATAAATTACTGTTTAAGGTCACTCAATTGGCTATTTTGCAGCCGTTAAAAATTATGCTTTGATAATAAAAATATTATATAAAATAGCAGTATAATAATTTAAATACAACAAAATATAAATAGTATTTTAAAATAGTTAAGTCATGGTAAAGCACTATTATAGTGAAATATATATCAAATCTTAGAAAATACAATATGACATCAACTTTGAATATCTGAGTAGAAAAAAAAGCTGAGAAAACAGCACATTTAAATGCCTTTGAAATAAGAAAAGAAAAATTTAAAATTTTTAATATATATTGCTCTATATTTCTTAAATATTCTACAATGAAAATATCAAGAATTTTTTTGTTTAGAAGGTATTAAAATGTGTCATATGTTCAAAGTCCCAGTTCTCTTTTGAGAAACAAGCCCATCTCTACATTACTCATGGATGTACGTATTGAAGAATTATGTATGGAGATCATACCAATATACTAAAAAACACATAAGATCTAAAGTACAACAACAAAAAATGGTTTTACATACCTCTAGTTGACTAAACAGTTACATGTGGAAATCATAGCAATAATTTTACAAAAAATATGTAAGATCTGAAGCACACACAAAAAAGTAGTCTTACATACCTTCAGTTGATTAAGTGCACCTAATGTTTATTGAGTACCTATATATTAATAAGTCAATTATTTTTATCCATGTTTTACTCAATCTTCCCAACAAACTATGAGTAAAGTACTGTCATCTCATCTTTCTAAATGAATAAATTGATGCTCAAGTGAAGTTACATATCTAGCCAACATAGAGTAGCTAGGTAATGCCATTGCCAAATTTCAAATCTAGGTCTGTTAGATTCAAGAGTTTATAACTTTCTACAATTATATGCATGCTGCCTCTGAGGCAATTCACAAAGACACAACTGATCAATTAAACGAGGAATTAATTAAAAGTAAACTGTCTGAGGCCAGGAGCAGTGGCTCACGCCTATAATCCCACCACTTTGGGAGGCTGAGGTGGGCAGATCACGAGGTCAGGAGATCGAGACAATTCTGGCTAATATGGTGAAACCCCATCTCTACTAAAAATACAAAAAATCAGCCGGGCGTGGTGGTGGGTGCCTGTAGTCCCAGCTACTCGGGAGGCTGAGGCAGGAGAATGGCTTGAACCCAGGAGGCGGAGGTTGCAGTGAGCCGAGATGGCGCCATTGCACTCCAGCCTGAGCGACAGAGCAAGACTCCATAAAAAAAAAAAAAAAAAAGTAAACCGTCTGGAAAAAAAAAAAATCAAACTAAAGTTTTTGAGGAATAGCATGCAATTAATTTATTTGCAAAACTTTATTTTGTCTGAAGTATCCTGATAATTTGATTTATTTTCTAGTTTTAGTTTAGATTTCTTTCTTCCTATTCCAGAACGCTTAGAACTTATAGGAAGTTGTGACTACACAATGTTAATCACATTAATACTTTAATTATCTCAAGGAATTGGTGTCTCACTCTTTATGCAAGAGCTAGACTACATGCAGACTTCTGGGGAATAATGACACTTTGATTATTTGTCTTCTGTGGGATTTCTTAATGGCTCAAATCACCATTGCCAAAGTCAAAACAAGACATCTAGGAAGTTTCAGTTAGTTAAGTATCTTATAAACAGAGGATTAACATATCATGGTCCAAACAGCTGACTGATCTCAAACTCTGTAGTCTGTCTTTTGGGGACATTTGACAAAGCTCAATTGCTGGTGAATTTCAACTTGCAAATTTCAGAAGAGATTTAAAAGCATCCTAAGACTATATAATTACACACTGAAAATTTTAGAATTTATAATGCTAGACACATAAATAGTATTTTTCATTCGGTGTTGTTAAGGAATAAACATTTTGTCATTAAACTTTACCAGAAGGAGAGATGACACTATTTGAAAATTGCTATGGATAGATCTGAAAATGATATTTTACTCTATCTTATAGAAGCATCATTTTCAGAATCATTTATGTGCCTTTTGAGTTGTGTTGCTAGGTTTTATTTGCTTGATATTATTTTTGAGTGTCAGTTTTAAAACACTGTAAGCACATTTGTTACCTTTGTTTGAAAGATTTCTCCCCAAAAATGAAGGGAAATTGCTAGTTTGGATTCAGAGCAGAGATGAGAAAAAGAGGTATGTATCTCCCTTCCCCATCCCACTGTGCTTTCCCAAGACCCGTCCACTCTTACTCCACACATACACCACAAATACTCATTTGTAATTTTTTTATTCATATCAATAACTTATACTATCAAGATGGTCTTTTTAAAACGCCATTTAGTTATGGACAAAGCTTATATCAGAACACTATGAAGAAGAACCTTAACAGAAAATGAGCTTAGTTTATTTTTTGGAATTAGTTTAAAATGCTCTTTGAGTACTGTAGGTATCCTCCCTGGCACAGGATGCAATTGTCTTAAAAAGTGACCTCTTTATACTGAAATTTTATGAAATGCTTTGGAAGCTGTCCTTATCTTCTTCAGTCAGAACTATAATTAGGATTTATTTTCAACATAGTATTTTGATGGCTTTTTTAACACCATGGCACTGAAAGTGTAGAGCTTCCTCAATAATATTTATTCAGCCTTTGAAGACACAGTCACCTGATACATCCTAAGAAACTTTTGATCATAGCTGAACAAAGTGAAATAATTAACAGGAATTAATTTTAAGTGATTGGGAATTCCACTTAATTGAGAATCTTAAGTGATTTCCAAAACCCTCTGGAAATAAAAACTTTTCACCTGTGGTTAAACCAAGAGATCAAGTATTCTTTGACCAATAAAGACTCTCCTCACCATCAGCTAGAAAACACCCTTTGAAATCCAGTTAACTCTTTCATGCAGACAATGTTCATTTTCTATTTTATCAGAAAGTTAAATTTGCCATTCTATACTCCAATAAAAGTTAAGTTGTTTTGATCTGATAATTGTAAGATGTACTGTATGTATCTTAATTTATAAGTTTTAAATGCTAAAGCTCAAGGCTGTTCAGATATAACAGGAGTGCTGGAAATGAGGTACAAAATGCTGGAATTCAAATTAACCAATAAATATATTTTAATATATATCAGCAGGACTCTAGAGGATTCCATTAATGTTGAAAAATAGAAAGGATTTAGGTTAATTTGGTAAGAAGGCAGGTCAGAACGTTTACAACAGTGGTATAGAATTGTATAGAGATGCAAAATTTTTCAAGAGAGCAGAATTTTTTCAAAAACGCTGACTCTAGCTGTCACAGCCCTGCCTTGGCTAAATCCAGTGGAGAGATAGGAGGACTTTCTAATTTGCTTTCCCTCTATTTTAATAATAGCTGTGCATAAGTAATTTATGAAAGGCCAACCAGGCAGTGGGCAACAGAAAATTAAACTCATTTTATCTGAAAGCAGGTGGATTTCTATATATCATTAGCATGCATAGAATTCTCACAATGTTATTTCTCATACTGATGGAATGTAACCAAATAATATATGAGTTTTTTGCTTATGCACGAGTGAAATTTTTAGATAAAAGTGCCAGCCCCAATGGCAATTTTCTGCAAAACGAAAACTAATTCTGCGAAGCTTCTTATTACTGGAAAGACTCATTTGGCTTGCATTAGAGACTGACATAAGTGACTTTAGGATTTTACTAACAGATTAGATGAGATGTGCCACATACTGTAATATCATTAGAGAATGTAACAGCACTGGAATGCTTTGGGGCACTTATTAAGGGTACCGACACAAGTAAATTGTTTTCCTTTTTGACGCGAGCTTTTGAATGTCTTCCCTCTGATTAGAATGCTTTATTTTTATGGTTGCTTTTTATGATATTTAAAACAACTTTTATTTTATGCTCCCTGAAACTGCACACAAATTATGTTTTGCATGATTCAGCTCAGTGTTACTAAATGCATTATCTATGCCTTATTTCGTGAATATCACCTAGGCAGAGGGTAGATACGTATTAAGAAAACAGCTTACACAATACTAAAGTCAGAATTCTTCTAACAGAATATTATCCTAACTTACAGCAAAGACTAATCTTCATGGCTCTGAGGAATTTTTGCTATTAGTACCTTTCACTCAATGTTTGTGTGAGTTCTACTATCAACTTCTAACAAAATCTTAGAATTAGATCATTAGAAATGGTTACTATAATATGAATACTTCTATTGTTCCGTTTAACTACCATCCTAAAACTCATTCAAGTATATTAAATATTATAGTTCTTTTTATTCTGATGAATCTTCCCTTATCAAAAATTATGGATCAAGCAAAATTTTTTTGCTAAGGTAGGCAAAAATGTGAAGTGGGGATGGAAATGCTTATCACCTTATGAAAGAAGCTAAGGGAAAGGCTGGAAGTATAGGGGAGATGATTTTATGCTCAATATTTTTCCTTTTCTGAGTTATCTTTTCCTGATATAAGTTTTTACCTTTTCCTGGGCATAGAGCAGGTTGGGTCCTTTCCCCCTCCTTTTATACTTCATCATCAGAAAAGAAAATTAATGAGAAAATGAACACATACAGTTACCTAGAGCCACAGAAATGCATTTTGGGAAGTGTTATTCAGTGTCCTAATCTATAGAGTGCTGAGGTTTACAGCCTGTGAAGCCAAACAGATGGGCAACTGAATCCCAGCTCTGCCATTTGACTAATTGCCTAATTTTAGACAAACGACTTACCATCTTTTAGTTTTTATTTCCTCCCCTATAAAACGGGATTATGATAACTCTGACCTCGAAGGCTCTCTGTGAAGATCTCATGCAACTGAATCATTCTGCTGTTCATATTCTATCACCATAATGGAAGGGGAGGCACCTGAAAACAAAGGGTGGCCTAATGGGCCATTTACCACTCATTGTGGTAAATGTTTCAGATTTCTGTAGTAAGAACTCAAGAACCCAAAATTGTGTTAGTTAAGAAATAGAATGTGAAAATAATCCATGAGACAATCCTCCTTGAAATATCATGATCTAAAGACTCTTCAATCTAGCCGTGACTGAAGTCAGTCATCTCTGTGTTCAAAAGTCATCTCTTCTGAGGACTTCGTTGGTCACAGACACCTGTGTGCTCCTAATTCTATTTTTTATTAGCACACTTATCACACTGCTTTGGTATTATTTACTCAAATATCCTCATGTCTTGCACTCTTTGAAGGCAGGCACTTTGTCTTTTCAACTCTAATTCTAGCAGCCGGAACAATGCCTGATACATAGAAGTCACTAAAATACATGTCTACGAGCTTTCCATGAATTTACATTTTTCCATGAATTTATGTTTGAGATCTGAAAAAAAATTAATACAAAATAGAAAAAAAAACTTTTAAAATGAATGTATTTAATTAAATTTCCATAAAGTGCTCCATTCATGTCTTATTACCTATGAAATTTAATATTCATAAAAATTAATTACATTAAAAATGTAAGGTGTATTTTCACATCAGAAAAATTTCTGAGATGCACAATAATTACCAAGAAATTATAATCAATCTTAAAATAAGTTATACATAACCAAATAATTTTGGATATAAAAGGATTAAAATCCTTTCAAATTATTTTTACAGTAAAAAATCTATATATAATTAATACAGAATATTGGTGCATTTTGATGTGATACGATGTGGGATAGGGCCTGTGAAAGTGTGAGTGCCCAGGCCCTCGGAGGTCTTCAACAGCCTGATAACAGTGGGCCAGAATTTAAACAGGCTGGCTCAAGCATAGTGAGACTAATCAAGAAAAGCTTCTTAGTGGAGGTTTCCCTGATCTTCACTATAAAGGTGGAGAGAGAGAGATGGTTTGGAGAAGCGGAGTTAGGCTTCACCAGAACTAATCTCGTAAGTAAGCAAAGTAAGAGACTGAGAGTATTTTCCAAGATGCTAGACAAGACCCCTTGACTCATTGCACCTTCATCCCCTCACCCGAGAAACTTTTCCACTATGCTTTTTGAGACCTAAAATTCTACCCAAAAGAATAATTTTATCTAAAACTTATGTCAGCTAGTATATGTAGATGTGGCTGAGAGATACAACCCTTAAAACAATATATTTGATTTAGACAATAGTGTGAGTTTAACATTTTCTTTCTTGTGGTTAGATTTGATTTTTTAAAAAAGAAATACATTTAGTGCAGGTGGGCACTAAATGACCAAATAGGGGTACACTTGGAGAGGAGTGGTAAGCCAAAATATCAGAGACAAAAAATGCCAGTGGTCTACTGTAGACTGCACTTGAGACAGCTCGCATTCATGGTCAAAACCCAAGATTATCACAAATTGTACTGAACCAGCTTTTGGAGAAATGTGAGTTGTGGGAACCACTGAGGGCTTGTGAGTTATTGAGCAACCTGGTCAAAAAATGAGAATGGAGAATAACCTGAGGCTGAAAAAGAAATAGAGAAATATGTGTAACAAATGGCAGCAGCCACCACATTCTTACTGAGCCACTGCAAGAGGGAAAAAAACGGATTCATTCTATACAGACGCTAAAGACAGGATAGTTCACCTTAACATTTCTATTGCTAGTTGTTTTATATATTTAACTTACAGAGTTTAATCATATGTCCCAACTAATAGATGAACAAAAATTGTCTCTAGGAGAAACAGCAATGTTTAATGGCCACTCTGAAATATCATGCATGTATAACCTCTACGGTTAGCAGTATCTATGATCTTTATCCAACATCTGGGAAAACATCCTTTTAAGTCACCATATTTTTAAAAGAAACTTAATTCAAGTTAGCAAATAGAATATACACAATAATACCAGGAGACTGGCAGATCAAAAGTGATAGGAGTATTTGTAATTCTTATCCATCTCAGAAAGTCAGAGGTGGCATGGAAAGACTCAGTCCTATCATTAGAGTTGAGTAAACCAGAATTTCATAGCAAGTCTTTGAGCCCATAACCATATTTCTTATTATATCTAAATTTATTCTTACTTTAAAAATGGAAATCTATGCAGTAGTTGAGAGAAGAGTAGTTCTTTTCACTTCATTGTTTTATATTATTTTTATCTGTCCTGTGCTTTCCATGGGTAAAAGAGTTAGTATCCAAGATAGCATCAGAGGGTGCCCCCATTTTTCCTACAACATTAAATTTCCTAATTCCTTTTCCCTGTTCTCATCATAAAATATTAAATCTCATATCCTGTAATATTCAGACAATTTCAGCTCAAACTGAGCAAAGAATTATTATGCGAGAGTTTGTTTCTATCCTCTAATTTAGGGAGGAGTCTAAATATTGATCTTCGAAAGACCTTTGGGAATGTTATGAAAATGGGTTACCATTTATTTTAGGAGGGCTCATTAAGGGTCTTATTTAAAATAAATAATCTCATCCTTTCAAAATCAGGGAATGAAAAAAATGTATATTTTTCTCAAAGTATGAATGCCACAAGGGTTTCTCACATTGATTCATTGCTTATAGATAAAAACAACTTAAGCTGATTTTTCTTGTGTGTAGAGTAAGTGTAAAATGTTCCACCAAAATAGGTAATGACATTTTTGTGTCCATAAATGTGCGTGTAAGTCCAATTATGTATTTGTTGTCATTTAAACATCACCACCATTATTGAAACAGAAGTGCCGGTACTAATTCTTGCTGTCACATTTTCCAAAAATGAAAATAAGGCTTTTAAGCAAAATGCTAAGGTTTTCAATGTGAATTATTCATTCTTTGCATGGCCTTAGCAGAACACTCTCAGCAAAATAGCTAAACAAAAGCCTACCAGGGTTCTGGTTTCTAATCTGGTTAAGAAATACATTATAGGATTTTTCTTTTAACTTCACAGTTAATGGAAAAGTTTTCCTTTCCTGAAACTCAGCAGAGTTCAAGAAGCCTTCTCTAACTACCACAGCCTCCGTCTAATTGAAGTACCATGAACAGACCTTGAAAACAGTGTCATTAGTCACACAGCTAAACAAACCACCTTTGATGGTACCAGCCAACCAATCAGAACCATTCCCCAGATGATCTTTGTGGGAATAGCAATCCATTAATAATAACTGAAGTAATGATCTTTCATGCCACCTTTCTTTCATGTAGGACCACTCCACTGGTAATCTCTTAGGGGAACTATTAGCTACTTCAGTGTCCTTCAGAGAGGGCACTCTGCCTGTTCCAACATTTATTTCCACTGTAACTATTTTTTCTCTCCCACAGAAGTGCCTTTTAGAAATTGAAATAATTCTCACTGTGATTCTAGCAGGTAGACAGGGGTAAAGAAAAGAATAAATGAGTGGCAGAATAAATGAATTAAGAAGGAAAACACCTTCTCCCCCACACCTAGCTCTGAATTTCAAAGTTATCAAAGATAAGTAACGCACTTAATTATTTTATCCCATAGTGGTTCATCATCACTATTCTTTGTCATTAAGGAAACTAAATCTATGTGTATCTAACTGGTTCATGCTAAATATAAATAAAGTTTTACATGATTTTTTTACCCCTGATCTTAATAGATATGAATATATGCTAGAAGAGTGAGGGTAGGAGAGAATAAAAATCTGAGGTAGTCCAAGCTGTACCCCCAGCTTCCTACAATACTGAGCTCCAAGTTGGGGTCTATGTATCATTTGATTTATCATGTTTAGTGCCTTGCCCTGCATAGGTACTCAATAAAGGTTTCATGAATAAAATTTCTCCCATGAACGGCAAATCAGGCAGAAATCAGCCATACTGCTGAATCTTCTACATTCTGCACATTAGCCGCCTTTGTCATTTTCAACATCGGCATGAACATTGCTATTACTTTATTTTGATCCTATGCTTCACGCTCTCAACCTTCATTCTCTTACAGGGTCTCCTTATATTTTCCAAAGTATAGTTAGATCAACTACCACAAACTCTTAGCAATAGAGGTGATAATTTGGTAAACATTTTCCATTAGCTAAACTGTACAGAATACCTCATATAGTGAAATCTTTAGCCCGCTAGTATGGTTTGACTCTGTGTCCCCACCCAAATCTCATCTTGAATTGTAATCCTCATGCATTGAACATGGGGCCTGATGGGAGGTGATTGAATCATGGGGGTGGACTTCCCTCTCACTGTTCTCATGATAGTGAGTGAGTTCTCACGAGACCTGATTGTTTAAAAGTGTGTAGTACTTCCCTCCTTTCTCTCTCTCTCTCCTGTCACCATGTGAACATGTACTTCCTTCCTCTTCCCCTTCCACCATGATTATAAGTTTCCTGAGGCCTCCCAGCCATGCTTCCTGTATAGCCTATGGAACTATAAGTCAATTAAACCTCTTTTCTTCATAAATTACCCAGCCTCAGGTAGTTCTTTATAGCAGTGTAGGAACAGATTAATACATCCACCCTTGCCCCCGAATCTGTTGACTTAAAATAAACTGATAAAAAAAAAAAACCTCCTCCAGCTTATAAAATATTTTAGCAGTTCCAAACTTTTCACATCACTAGCACATCTAACATGGTGAATAAATAACCAAAAGATGTTAAGAAAGTATCAGTGATTCATATTTTTATTCATTAAATGTATCCAAATGCAAACGCTGGATTGGGTAGTTGGTTTGTGCAATAGGATGAAAATTTGAGATAGTAACAAGATATCTTCCTTTCAGGAATCTGATTTTACCTTATGATTCTTCTCACTTGGTCAGAACTACACATTATTTCAGGAAAGGAGGAAAATACCTAAAAGAATGCAGAATACAAAGACATTTAGTTCTTGTTTTCTGATTGCCATAACAGGTTCTTACAACTCATTTTATAAAACATATTTATAATGAAAATTCTCAAACAAATACAAAAGCAGAGAAACTAATATAATTAGTTCCTATATATGTAGCACCCCATTTAACCATTAACTGAAAGCCAATCCTGATTTATCTATACCTACCTAACACTCCCCTTCTGTTGTGAAGTTTTAAAAGCAAATTCCAGACATCATATCATTTCACCCACAAATATTCAGCATATTTCTCCAAAAGACAAAGGGTTTTTGGACTCCCTCTTTCTACATCAATCTTTTTGTTGTACACGATGTATTAATCGGAAGAGGTTCATCTTTTAAATATGATCACAATATTCTTATCACACTTAAACATTAAACAATTCCTTAATATCATCAAATATGTAGGGAGGCACATTTCTCCAATGGCCTCATAATGAAACACAAAGCTTTTTATCTGTAAAATCTGAGATTAAAGAATTTCAAAAATCTAATCTTAAGGATCCAGGACATAGATTTTACCCATTAAAAAGTAATTAGGCCAGTGCAGTGGCTCATGCCTGTAATCCTAGCATCTGAGAGGCCAAGGCAGGAGGATCACTTGAGCCCAGGAGCCAGGAGTTTGAGACCAGCTAAGGCAATAAGCAAGACCCTGTCTAAAAAAAGAAGAAGAAGAAAAAAAACACAAACTACTACAAATGAGTAAGTAAGTAAGTTGGAAAGAGGGGAGGAGAGGAGATATACCGTCTCATTCCAAGGCTAAAGAGAGATTGTCATTCCAGAGGCTAAAGAGAGATTGTCCAGACTAGAGAAAGTAAAAGGGCGGGGGAAGAAAGCATCATGCTAGATGTTTACAATGGATTGGAGAATGAGTTCTCCCCCCAACTCTTGATGCCAAGATCCCAAAATCCTTGGTGAGTATATTGGTCTGCTTAGGCTGCCCTAACAAAATACTAGACTGCTTAAGCAACAGAAATTTATTTTCTCATAATTCTTGAGGCTGGGAAGTCTAAGATCAAGGTGCAGGTTGATTCAGGTTTTGGTGAGTTCTCTCTTCCTGCTTTGCAGACGGCTGCGTTTTCACTATGTCCTCATACAGAGAAGAGAGAGTGAATGAACTCTCTGCTGCCTCTTCTAAGAACATAACACTATCTGGCTGGACGTGGTGGCTCATGCCTGTAATCTCAGCACTTTGGGAGGCCAAGGCGGGAGGATCACCTGAGGTCAGCAGTTCGAGACCAGTCTGGCCAACAGGGCAAAACCCTGTCTCTACTAAAAATACAGAAAAAAAAAAAAATTTAGCAGGGCATGGTGGCAGGAGCCTGTAATCCCAGCTACTTGGGAGGCTCAGGCAGGAGAGTTGCTTGAACCTGGGAGAGAGAGGTTGTGGTGAGTTGAGATTGTGCCATTGCACTCCAGCCTGGGCAACAAGAGCAAAACTCCATCTCAAAAAAAATAATAATATAAAATAAAATAAAAACACTATCAGATCAAGACCCCACCCTTATGATTTCATTTAACCTTAATTACTTCCTTATTCCAAATAAAACCATACTAGCGTTTAGGGGTTCAGATTATGAATGTAGGAGTACGGGAGGGACACATACATTCAGTCCAAAATCATGGTGAGGGCCAAGTAAATCCAGGATTTAGATGCAAAGTTGAATTAACTAGGAGTTTAATTTCTGCCTCTTGGTGGCATGAGTACTAGAGATAGATATTAATTCAGCCTGTAGAAAAATAAAGTGTTTTGACACACCTGATTAGTAGACTGTAAAATTCATTCTTTTTTTTTTTTTTTGAGACGGAATCTCACTCTGTCACCCAGGCTGGAGTGCAGTGGTGTGATCTCAGCTCACTGCAAGCTCTGCCTCCCAGGTTCACGCCATTCTACTGCCTCAGCCTCCCAAGTAGCTGGGACTACAGGTACCTGCCACCACGCTTGGCTAATTTTTTTGTGTTTTTAGTAGAGATGGGGTTTCACGGTGTTAGCCAGGATGGTCTCAATCTCCTGACCTCATGATCTGCCTGCCTTGGCTTCCCAAAGTGCTGGGATTACAGGTGTGAGCCACCACGCCCAGCCTCTTTTTTGTTTTTGTTTTTGTTTTTTCTGAAACGGAGTCTCACTCTGTCACCCAGGCTGGAGTGCAGTGGTGCGATCTTGGATCACTGCAACCTCCATCTCCCAGGTTAAAGCGATTCTTGTGCCTCAGCCTCCCAAGTAACTGGGATTACAGGTGTGTGCCACCACACCTGGCTACTTTTTATATTTTTAGTAGAGATGGGGTTTTGTTATGTTGGCCAGGCTGGTCTTGAACTTCTGACCTCAAGTGATCTGCCCACCTTGGCCTCCCAAAGTCCTGGGATTATAGGTGTGAGGCACTATGCCCATGCCTGGCCATCTGTCAATTTATTCTTAATCCACTTGATGATTTGGTGACCTGCCCTGCATGGCTAGCCAGACTCTTGGAAGACATAAAATAATATCCAGTCACATCTCTCATCTGGAAAAGCTGTGTTCGTATCTGGTCCACCCAAATATAAGAACTATTACCCCTGAAAATTGTTTCTTTGGGCCCCACAAAAAAGAAAATTTCCAAATTCTCATTCCTGGAATTATTAGGTTTCCTGGTTTTAAGTTCCATATAATGCCACAATAACAGAAAAATAACAATAATAACGTAGCCATCTTGACAGGTCTAAGACACTGTTCTAGGCACTTTAGATGGGCTACCTCATTTTATTTTCATAAAAGTCCTTTAAGTAGCTGCTGTTATTCCCAATTTATAGATGAGAAAAACAAAGTCACACATCTAGTAAGTGGAAGAACAAAGAGATTGACTCTTCCACGTGTGTAACTCACTGGAGTCACACATTTAAACACTATTCTCTGAATCCTTTCCTTGATAATTAAAAAAAAAAAAAAGGCTTTTCAGGAATATGGTCTCCAGAAGTACCATTTCCTTGAAATTTTAACTCTTTACATTTTTATTTTGTATCATTAGTTTAAACTTCGAAGTATAGATTGAGAATAAAATGTGCTTAAAAATAAATTCTTTAAAATGCTAACCTGTATTAATGCTTTACTTGTTTTTAACTATAATAAGCTTTGCATTTATTATCAAACTGCTTTTGCAAGCTACAAGTATAGAATTTGACCTGGTATTCATGACTAGGGTTTCTGTAATTCCAAGTCAGAATTTTTTTTAAAGAAATTATGAGACAATGGCTGATAATGTTGAAAAAAAAATCCATATTTACGGGAGATTTTTCAAGTGACTTACTATGATGTCTATTCATTGGAAGAAAGCTTTTGAAAAGACAAGTATATAAAGAAGTTATCCTACAGTGAACAGAACAAAGCCCATTAATGACAACGATGTGAACACTCAAGGAATTATTAAAAGAACTTTTCACTTTGAGGGAAAATTAATTTACCCAGAATTTAGTGCAATTGTTGAAATAAGAGAAACAGTTAGAAGGCAGCAGACCTTGTGGCCAAAGTTTTGCCTAAAGCCATAGCAGTTGGAAGGAATAAGTGCTCTGCTTGTTTCTTTTATATTTTGTCACTGGAGGCATACACATTAGTAGCTCCTAACATTATTTCTCTAACAGCATAGCTTTTTTTTTTTCCTGTCAGAACTTAATATAATTAATAGGCCTGGAGACTCATCTCTGTTTTATCTACACACACTTCAAAACTCCTATTTCTTGAATTTTTGGGAAAATAGCTTTAGCTTTATTTCATCTAATTCTACTTTTTTCTTTTTAAATATATTCTAATATATAGAGCCTTTCAGGTAAGAAGTAGTTGTTTACCAGGGACGCTTGTTCTGAAGCAGAGAGATGGCCTATCTGGCTGCCTTCACACTGAGTAGCCATTTTTGTCTAGGAAAGTCGATTCATACTTCTAATCTGATGTAGATTCTTCTCTCCCTAAACTAACCAATGAACCAGGAATAAGAGAAGAAATCAGAGAGGTTAGACAGGTCCCTTGGCCTCATATTTCATTTAATTCTCATTTTCTCTGTTTGTCAATCTATAGCTAAATTGAAACCTTCATCTCCACTGCTTCAGGAAAGAGAGACAGAAAAAAAAAAGTAGAAAAGCAAAGTAACTAGTTCTTGGTTTTTGAACTTCAGAGTGATCTGACCATATCCATTTAAATAACAATTTAAGATATGTTCTGGGATAATTCCCACATAAGATGCAACTCTAGTGAATGAGTTGAATAGTGTGTCTATGTTGTTTTTAGACCATAAACAGAGACAAGATGACACTTTGGACTACAGGGAAAGTTTCACACTGAGTGTCCGTGAGATTCATACTTCTCCTTGAAGGATGGTTGGTTTCAAATGAAAATAGATGGGCATTCCAATTCAAGAACCAGCCTAAGCAAGCAGCACAGGCAATGAACTTAAGACTCAGCAGTGACTATGTGAGGTCCCTAGAAGACTTACCTGAGAGAGAATCCATCAGGGTGACCACAAGCACATTAGATTCCCCTATGCATACAATATTAAGTGCTGACTTCTTCGTTTATGTCACTGTGTCATGGATGGAAAATGCTTCTCAATTACAGGGAGAATTTAATGTCATTGTTTTGAGAATTTACCCTTAGAGCTTCACCTCATAAAATGACAACATGCTCCCATCAAATAATATATGTGCTCCCTGCTGCTAGCTGAGGTTCTGTCCTCTAGGACTCTATTCTCCTGCATGCTTCTAAATCTTTGCATTGCAGTCAAGCCTTACTTTCTCAAGGATTGGTTAAACCATGTATTAGTCCATTTTCACACTGCTGATAAAGACATACCCGAGACTGGGTAATTTGTACAGGAAAAAGGGTTTAATGGACTTACAGTTCCACGTGGCTGGGGAGGCCTCACAATCATGGTGGAAGGCGAGGAGGAGCAAGTCATGTCTTACATGGATAGCAGCAGGCATAGAGAGAGCTTGTTCAGGGAAACTCCCATTTTTAAAACATCAGATCTTGTGAGACTTATTCACCACCACGAGAACAGCATGGGAAAAACCCGCCCTCGTGATTCAATTACCTCCCACCAGGTCCCCCCCACAACATGTGGGAATTCAAGATGAGATTTGGGTGGGAACACAGCCAAACCATATCAAACCATAACTTTATATGTGAAATCTTCCTGACATCTCCAATCCTAGAAGCACCATCCCTCATTCACTATTAAGTGGTATGCATAACTTAATTAATATTACCATATGGCTATATGCATCTTTTCACCTGTATTCCCTTCTGACTGCACTGTTGATCTTCCAGGATATAAACAATATCTTATGCATGTCTTTCAGTTCTTAGCTCCAAGCCCAGTGAGTGACATATGTTAAATACCCAATTTAAATTTATTTTTTGGGGAAAAGGGGTGGGAAGAATGAACTTTCCTTGTAAGTACCTAGGTAACCTCAATTAGGCAGGTCAGAAGCTGTGAAGGTAAATGTAAGAACAGAGAAAGGAAGCATAGAACTTGTTTTCCCAGACAAGCACTGCTATACTAAATTATAACTAAAGCATTCTGACTTTCAAGTCTTCTTTACTCTATTTTAGGGCTTCAGCCTCGAGGATCCCTGGTACCCTTCTGATGTCCTTGGTGGATGTGAGTTTCTCACCTGGACTTTCCTCCCCAGGCTGAATCCAATATCCCACACAGTTTTCTATTCCTTCCCTACAAACCCACATTCTATTCTCTGCATTAGCTTACTGCTGTCTGCTAGCAAATCTAAAACTTCCATGTGTAGAAATATGTGATTGTGTTCCCAATGTGTTCTGTAGACCGAAACCTCCTGAGATGTTACATGAAAAGATATTTCTCAATTAAATTTGGAAAATGTGGCTGGTACACTGGATCACGCCTATAGTCCCAGCACTTTGGGAAGCCAAGGCAGTGAATCACTTAAGGCCATGAGTTTGAGATCAGCCTGGACAACATGGTGAAATCCTGTCTCTACTAAAAATACAAAAATTAGCTGGGTGCAGTGGCGCACGCCTGTAACCCCAGCTACTTGGGAGGCTGAGGCAGGAGAATCGCATGAGCCCAGGAGCTAGAGGCTGCAGTGAGCCGAGATCACACCACCTGCACACACTGCCTGGGTGACAGATCAAGACTCTGTCTCAAAAAAACAAACAAAAAAAAATTGGTAAGAGTTTATACAAAACCTCCCTCTTATAGCCTCAAATGTGCATTAACATATTAAAGGCTCAGAGAAGTCTTGCACTAAGGGAACTTTGTTGATTTTGTTTAATATTTGACCATGAACCTTTTTTTTAAACTATCACCTCTTAAGGTCATACAGGACCCCTGTTCCACAGAACACACCACAGAAAACACTAGGTAAGGATTAGCAATTCAAAGTGGCTTATTTGGGTAGCAATAGGTGTTTTCTGAAGACACTAGTTTAACCAAAAGTCCTGCTGCTTTAGTAGAAATTTCAAGTGCCTACTTGCGATGGAACTTTTGGGTAGTCTCTGTAGAGCACTTCAGATCCTAACATGATGGAGGAATTTTTTACATGTTTATCAAGCGTTAAGCAATGTGCTATATGTGTTCACATATGTTCTTTCACTTAATCTGAAAAACAATCCTAGTTATATTTTTACCCACTTTAAAAATGAGGAAAGTGAGCTCAGAGGTTACATAGCTTGCCCAAGATCACACAGTTAGTAAGTGGTGAAGATGGCTCAAATCCAGCCCTTACAGCATTAAGTCTCATATCAAGCTCTTCATGCTACCTGAATTTCTAGGTCAGTATCTCTCAAAGCCTCATCCTAGGATGCTTGTCAAAAATTTAGATTCCTAGGATCTATCCTAGGTGTACTATATCAGAGTTTTAGGGATTGGATTAGGAACAGACGTGCTTAACAAGCTCCTCAATTGATTATTACATACTCAGAGAACCACAGTTCTTGGTGTATGTTATTTCTTACCACATTGTACTAACATCATCCAACTAATTAATAAACTAACATATTATAATATTGTACCTCACTCATATTACTCTACTGTCAAGTCCAACAAAATAAAGTCTCCATCCTACATTGTCCTCAAATGTTACCAGATAAGTCCCTTGAGTAAGGCAACTCACTATACCCTGAAAATGAATTAGACAACAAATGAATCTTCTTATGCATTGTTTTTGTTGGTGTTACAGGTGAAACCCACCACTTCTAGAGGTTATCTCAGTAAAATAATTCATGTCTCAGATGGCAAAAAATTGAGAGCAAAAAATATCCAATGAAAGGCAGGGTTTGAAATTAATCAAAAAAGCTCAGAAGGCTTTTGACTCTCCTCCTCTAAGAGTGATAAAAAGATTTTGCTTCTTCCTTTCAGCTGATGCCTTCTATATGTTACTATCTTCCTCTTCACTAATTCCCTAAACAAACCAGTTGTACTTTCTGTAAAATGGCCTCTCATAAAGAGCAAAAAAGCCAAGTAACTGTCTTTCTTTCCTTCTCTAGATTGTGTGAAATATTTTCTGCTGTACAGTGAGGTTCCCTAGACAAGAAATAGTGAAAAACAGCCAGAATGTATATAAAAGTGTGTGTGTGTGGTGGGGAATTAGAGAGTGAAGAAGAGGGAGAGAGAAAATGGAAAGGCCCTTTCCCCTTGTTTTTCGTTCCTTAGAAACCACCTCTGTTTTTATCTTGTGTTTCCAATTAATTATCATTGTTATAGACTTCACCTAATGCAACTGATATATCAGGGCTCTGTACTTGCATTTATGAGAAAATTAGTAAGGTTTAAAGTGAAGAAATAAGTCACCAAGGTAAAGAAGGGATATTAGAATAGTTGACATGTAGACAGAGACTAATAACTGTCTACTCTGACATTCATTCTCACCTTCTTCCTTATTAATAAAACTCCAGTGCTCAGCTGGACACATCACTGCCCAGAATACAGAATACAATCCCAGCCTTTCTTGCAGCTAGGTGTGAATATACACTTAAGTAATGGCTTTCGAAATGCAACTGGAAGAGATCTGCAGCAGCTTCTGGGAATCTCTTTTGCCCTCCATCTTACACATCTTCTCTTTATTCCCGCTGGCTGGAATGCAAACATGACTGGTGCTAGAACCGCCATTTTCAGAAATGAGGTAAGCTCAGAATGGCAAAGAAGAAAGAACAAAGGAGTTGGGGTCCCCAGTGACCATGGAGCCACCAGATCAACCCTGGACTCATTATCTCCAGAATAATTTTACTTGAAAAAGAAAGAAACTTTTAATCTTATGTCTTTATAACTTGGGCATGCCATCATATGCAGCCGACCCTATGCTGACACAGCCTCTATTCACTTGAGGACTGCAGACAGCATGACTCTAATCCTGAATTTGTTTTGATGTAAATAAAATAAAAGTGATTATATCAATAAGGATGCTTTTGTTTAAATATTTTAAATCCTAGTTATCTTAAGATGTTCAACTCACAGCTACAAAGCTGTGTGAGTCCATGATTCTTCAGTGAAATTACATGAAGGCCACAAGTGGTACAGGAGATTGCAACAAACTGCACATTTATACGTGACTTAGGCAACTTTTTCTCATATTGAGCAAAGTCTAAATTGCTCAATTTTAAGTTAAAACTAGGTGACTGTCATTTCTAAAGTTTCTATATCCTGACTTTTTCTTTTTCATTTTATTTATTTTTTAAATTCAAGTTTTATTTTAGATTCAGGGAGTACATGTGCAGGTTTGTTACATGAGTATATTGCTTGATGCTAAGGTTTGGGGTACAAATGATCGCCTATGCAGGTAGTGATCATAGTACCCAACAGTTAGTTTTTCAACCCTTTCCCCGCTCCCTCATGCTATAGTAATCCCCAATGTCTATTTCCTCATAGCAATGGTCATACCTGATCAACACTGAAAAGTTGGAAAACACAAATGTTTCTCCTTTCCCTTGTTTCTTCTCACCCTTTGTTTCTCCCAGGGGTACACAGCAAAGACAAGGAGAACGTCAAAATCTAGACGATCTAGGAAACCCAAGGGAAAAAAAGGATTGAGGTTTTCAAATGTGCTCGTCAATTGCTATAGACTGGGCAGTGGTGTGAAGAGAAGCAGTTGGCATGTCTGTATTTTCAGAGCAAGTCTCATAGTAGCACCTTCCTCTGTTGTTTTTCCTTAAGTTTTCCAGCTCTTTCTTCTTATGTAAATATATAAGTCCCACACCCCATTTCATGCTTTATTATTCCCAAATAGCAAATGCATTAGGCCCTTTGATTCATCTGTGGAGAATGCATTTTGAAGCAAAGCTTAATACCCTAAAATGGTTAGTTCATGGGGTTTTAATTTTAGGAATATCAGAAAAATATTAATTCATAGTCTTCAGTTGGCACAAAAACTCAACAGATCTCCTCATGGAAAATGCCCCCTCCTGTCCTTTGCTCAGAAGTGTGCAGGAGACTTAATGGAAATCAAAAGCCCTTGTAAGATGTGTGTGTTGCCCTGCTGGCTCCCTGGACCACGGTCTTGAAGAAAATTGTCTCCATAAGGGAAGCAAGTCTTCCTTGAGGTCTTTTGGTGGCCAGCCAAAAGAAACCTTATGCCATCTCTGGGTCTTTCAAAATGCTTTTATTAGAGACACAGTTTTAGTCCCATGGCCAAGGGAAGGCCTGAAGACCCCAAGTTTCTGCATTTTACTTTCTGCCCTGATTAGAACATCCTGATTAGTCAGATTATTTTGTAAAAATAGGATAGTCAGATCCACATCACAGAAATATTAACTTAAAATAGATAATGATTCATTAAAACTGCATAGTGCTAATGATAATTTGTAACTATTATTAACCAATGTGCAATTTTTCCCTCTATCTGCATAAGCATAACTTTTAAGCAACTAATCTTAGCAGAAAAAATAGTTTCATAGTAAAGGGATAGTTGGAAAATAATTACTGAAAAACAAAGCAAACCAAAAAACAGAAGGAATGTTACTGCTTCTCTAAATGTTCTCGATGTAAAATTAAATTAAATTTCACCAACAAAAATCCTAATAAACAAATTTGGGAGAAAAAACAGCAAACACTTTTAGTAAGTTAGATGTCTTTCAATTACTTTAAAAAATGTTTTCTATATGATCTTATCACTCAATATAATGCCCCACTTGGCTATCAACTATAGAAATAGGATTCCTTAAATGCTTCCTGGCAAAAATCAGGGCTCAGCCTGTTTTAGAACTCATCCTAAGGTTGGTCTAGGTAAGAGCAATTTGAAAGAACTAGTTCATTATCTTAAGTACTTAATGCTCTGACCTTGGACTCACTTTCTAGCAAATGCCCTTCTATCTTGTTTCTATAACCAGGCCTCTACTTAGAACCCCTGAGCTGGGCCCTGACTCCATGCGTTCTACTGTATTCTTGACTCCATACCCTGCTTGGTTCTCCCCAATTATCTGAGGCCCTGGAGGCTTGTTCCTGAATGTCAGCCTGGAGATCGGGGCCAGCCACCTGCTTCCTCTTTTGCCTCATGCTCCCACCTGAATCTCCATGTAGTTCCTAGTCTGGAAACCTCTGTTCGTCTTTGAGAACCTACCTCTTGCTGTACCACCTGATGTTGCTGTCTAATCAGACTATCACCTGTTTAAGTCTCCATTCTCTCTGAACATTGTGGCCCGTCCAGCTAGACTTTTTCCAAGTGCCTGAATCATTCCAAAGGCATATAGGCTTTCCAGATCCTCTCTGCCCTGCCTGGCCAAACTCTAAGCTATCCACCAACCTCCAGTCCTAGCATTGATTTCTTAAGTTTTATATTTTAATATTTATTTATTTATTTTCTAGGGATGGGGTCTTGCTACATTTCCCAGACTAAAGTACAGTGGCTATTCACAGGTGCAATCCCACTACTGATCAGTATGAAAGTTTTGACCCACTCTCCTTCTGACCTGAGCCATTTCACCCCGCCTGAGGCAACCTGATGGTCCCGCCTCCCAGTAGGTCACCATATTGATGCCTAACTTAGTGCATAGCACAGGATCAGCATAGCACACTGCAGCTCAGAACTCCTGGGCTCAAGAAATCCTCCCTCTTCAGCCTCCCGAGTAGCTGGGACTACAGGCACACACCATAAC
Source organism: Homo sapiens (assembly GCF_000001405.40). NCBI lineage: Eukaryota > Metazoa > Chordata > Mammalia > Primates > Hominidae > Homo > Homo sapiens. The sequence goes on from NC_000003.12 coordinate 180,736,697, forward strand.
ACCTGGCATATTTTAATTTTTTTTTTGTATATCTCTAGCAGTATTTCAAAGCTCTACCTGTTCTTATTTTATAAATTGCCACAAGTTATCTGTTCTTGGGGCTGAGTTATTAGGAGAGCCCCAAATATGGGAAAAGCAACAAAGGTGAATGAGGACAGAAAAGCTATGAGAGAGGTGCTGAGGAAAGGGAGCTGTACCAGGGTGACAGAGGAACAAGCAGGAGGCCAGAGGATTATGTTAACTGAAAGGAAAAGCTGAGATTCCAGAATGAGGCAGGCTTCTTGGGGCGAGAAGGGAGGCCAGGAGGAGAGATCTTTTGAATCGGAATGGAGTAGGAATCTGTCTCTTTCATTGCCTTAGAATCCTGGTAATGACAGACATTTCTACATTAGAGGCCAGGCACTTGATAGGAAGCTATGTAGAACTAATGGAGGTTTTATTGTTGTATTTGTTCCCTCAATGCCAATTTCCACTGCAAATTAGGTGTTTTTTCCCCCCATTTCACAGGTGAAAGTACATAGTCTCCAAAATGTAGATAAAAACTGGCAATGTTTGAAGAAATAATTACGTGACTTTCAATTTCTTCAGCTTCTAAGAAAAATAACCAGAAGTCAGAATAATGGTGGTTAGATCCAAACTCTAGTCCAATTCCTGTCTGATCTCATAGAAGCCGTTTAACCTCTCTGAGCCTGAACTTCTCCATCTATAAAAAAAATTAGTGCTAAAATATGTCTTACTGCACTGCAGAGTTCTTGTAAAGCTACAAAATAAAAGCCATCATTCATCAAATTCTTACCCTGGGCCAGACTTCAAACTCCCTGATTTAGGAATGTTAGCTCATCAATCCTCACGACAGTCCTGTAAGATAAAAATCCATTTTCCAGGTGGAAAAACCGAGGCTTCCAAAGGTTCAGCAATTTGCCGTTATAACTTTAATCTACACTTACCTGATTCCGAAGCCCTTTCTTTTAACTAGGTGCTAAACTGTGGGAAAGGATTAGCAACTGTAACTCATATGTAAGCACATGAAAGGAAATATTAATAAGAACCCTGTCTTCCCTGCAGCATGCCTTGCTTATGTGAATCAGGCAGTGGGCTTCTTGTCACCATTATTTTCACTGCAGAAGAAAAAACAAGACAACTGTTAAAAAAAATTAAACAATACAAAAGTATAAAGAGTAAAAACTTCATTGAATGCATAGAAGCAGAGAGTAGAATGGTGGTTTCCAGGGGCAGGGGAGGAGGAGAGAAGGGAGATGGGAACATGCTGGTCAAAGGATACAAATTTTCAGTTAGACAGGATGAATAAACTTTGAGCATGTATTATATAATATGGTGACTACAGTTAATAATAACTTATTGTAGACTTGAAAATTTCTCAGAGAATAGATTTTAAATGTTCTCATGACAAAAAAAAATAAGTATGTGAGGTGATGAACATGTTACTTAGTTTTATTTCACAATGTATACTACATATATCAAAGCATGTTGTTGTACATTGTAAATATATATGATTTTAGTTTGTCAATTATACCTTAATCTGGGAGAAACAGAAAAAACTCTCTCTCTCTCTCTCTCTCTCACACACACACACACACACACACACACATACTGCAACCTGCTAATCTCAATTTTGCTTTTCCACATACTACACATATACATACAAAGCATGGCTTTCACAAATACAATTACACTACATGTATTATTCTGAGATTTGCCTGTTTTTCACTCATCAGTGGCCCTCTTTCCATTTATAGATCTATCTCATTCTTATTAATGGCTGCATAGTGTGATGTATCATATTTATCATCCTAATATTGAGGAACTCTTAGTATGTTTCCAATTGTTATTATAAGAAATGTTATAATGAGCACCATTATATGTATACAGTCATGCACTGCATAACATTTCAGTGAACAGAACACATATGCAATTATGAGTATAATACTGTATGTTTACCATGCCTTTTCCATGTTTAGATACACAAATACCATTGTGTTAGAAATGCCTACAGTACTCAGTACGGTAACATGCTGTATCAGTTTGTAGCCTAGGAGAAATAGTCATATTTACCACATATGGCCTAGATATGCGGTAGGCTATATATCTGGGTTTGTGTACGTGTATTCTGTGATGTTTGCGTGATGCCAAATCACCTAGCAATGCATTTCTCAGAATGTATCTGCATCCTTAAGTCATGCATGACTGTATCTTTGGGTTCACATGCAAAGTATTTCTATAGAATTGTTTTTAGAAATGAATTACTGGGCCAGGTGGTTTGTACATTTTTAATTTTGATGAGTACTGCATGTTCTTACTTATGAATGGAAGCTAAATGGTGAGAACTTATGAGCACAAAGAAGGAAACACAGACACTGGGGTCTACTTGAGTGGGGAGAGTGAGAGGAGGGAGAGAAGCAGAAAAGATAACTATTGGGTACTGGGTTTAATACCTGGGTGATTAAATAAAATGTAAAACAAACCCCCATGACACATGTTTACCTATGTAACAAACCCTCACATGTACCCCCAAACCTAAAATAAAGGTTAAAAAATTAAATAAATAAATAATAGTATTATAAAAAAATTTTTGATGGGTATCACATCAATCTATATTTCACCAGAGTGTATGGGCGTATCCTTTTCTCCACATCTTCATGGATACTAGATATGAGCAGGCTTTTAAATTTCTGCTAGTTTGATGGATAGAAAATGGTAACTTGCTCTTACTTGCATTTCCCTGAGTGCTAGTGAGATTATGCATTTATGTTTACTGCCTAGTTTGATTTCATCTTCCAAGAATGAACTTCCTCTCCATATCCTTTGCTCAATTTTCTCTTGAAATATTTTTTCTTTTTATTGTTGGATTTATAGGAGAACTTACATATTGTGGCTATTACTCTTTTGAATATTGTATGAATTGCAGATATGTTCTTCCAGCCTCTTTTTTGTATTTTAACTTTTTAGAAATGGATCTTTATAGAAAAGATTTTTATTTGCATGTAAACTTGTCAATTCTTTCATTTATGATTTGGCAGTTTTATGTTTTGCTTAGAAATGTCTTCCCTAGTTATAGATCACAAAAAAAATTCTCTTGTATTTTCTTCTAGGATTTTTCTGGTGTTAACTTGGTAGCACTCTTTTTCATTTGTTTATTTGTTACATTAAATCATTAATCCTTCTGGACTTCCTTGTGAACAGTAAAGACGTAATTGCCTTTTTTTTTTTTTCCCAAATGGGCAATCAATAGTACATCTATTACACTGATTTAAAATGTGTTTTTATCATAAATACATTCCGATCTGTATATTGAACTTGTTCTAGACTTTGTATTCTGCTCCATTGATTGTTTTGTTTATTCCTGCATGAATACCCCTTTGCATTTTAGCATATCTTCACTAGCACATCTTCATAATATTCTTTGCTCCTGGTAAGGCAAATCTCCAAACATGTTGTCTTCCTAAATTTTCTTAGCTATTATAAGTAATAATGCCAAGGTGCCCATATACATCCTACATGCCCATTTAGTTTTGGAGCTTTGCCAAATTCATTTTTAAAATTGTGCTGCTTTTGATGAGAACATCATTAATGCATATCATGCCAAAACTGAAAAAAGAAAAAAAAACACGACTCTTTTGAATCTACCTAAAGTAGCAAATTCAAGCATTACATCATCATGGTAAAGTCATTTATATCCCTGATTGAGTGATCCAGAGAACTCCAGTCCTCTACATCTTTCCCCCTTTTCCCAATCATATGATAAGAGATAGATGTTTCCCAAATCTTGTTCCTTTGGAGAAGAAGAAAACTGATTAAAAATCCTGATTTTTCATACAAGATAATATAACACACTGGCCATATAATTTGGAACATTATTTAAAAATAATGATATATAATAGACATATTTAAGTAATTAGAGCCAGAGTAGTCCAGTGATTTAAATTATGGGCTTTAGAATCAGACAATTGAATTCAAATCCTAAATAGTGGTATTTAACTTCTCTGGAGACTTGATTTCCTCATCTACCTAAGGTTTAAATTGCCCACTTAATCATTTGTATGGATTAAAAATATTATGTACAAATCATTTACATATTGCATCACTTAGGAGGTACCTAATAAATTGTGATTGTTATTGCTAATAGGTTTTTCTGTTGTATATCTTGCATGCATATAGCAGTTTTTTCAAAGCGCTTTCATAGATCTTTTCTCTTCGTGTTCCTTTTACAGGTGAAATATGGGCAGAGGGACACTAAAAGGGAGGGCTGCTGGCAATTGTTCATTGCTATTGAAGGAAGCGAGGGTGAGCTTGAGAAAGCACTGTACACTGAGGAATCTCAAGGACTCAGCTTCCTTCTGCACCCCTAGTCAAGATCCGAGAGGCAGAGCTTCTGTGAGAGCATTTGAGTGCTAGAAATTTATAAGGTTTTTATAAGATTATCCACTTAAAATAGACCATATTTAATCCCATTTAGGATCTGGTTTAGATGAGCTTTTCTATATAACCATTGTGAATGAAAAGTACTATCAAAATTCTATCTTCCCCCTTACATTTGCACAAAATCAGTGGGAAATAAAGATGCATTTACATTTTGCACCATTTATTTGATCTTCCTTTTAGCCCAATAAGTTATATATTAAAAAATCCTCAGTGCGTCTAAATTGCTTACCTGCTAAATTAGCCAATTGCTTGCAATATGCAAACTTTTTTGTAGGTGCCACTTAGGAGTAAGACTAAACGGCCAGCTGATGCTTTCAGTTCAAGCAGTGAACAACTGTATTTTTTTAACATTGTAAAAAAAATTCATTTACTATCTATTTGCTAAGAATGACTTGCCTAGATATTTTCTTTGTACCTCTAGAGCATGGGTCAATGTGCTCTGGTACGTATGCAAGTTAGCATAGAATAACAAGGGCAATAAAAAAATAAACCTTGATTTGCTCATAATTAGGTTATTCTGGGACCGAGTCAGAGAATATGTCTTTTGGGGAGTGAGGTGCAAAAAACATGCTATGTGCCTTAATTATTGTGTATTTAAAAGTAGAGTATTACTTTCTGGGACTTAATGTCCAATAAGGATCCTTGTCTTTTGAGTCATAAGATTATATGAACACCGACATCAGATGGAAAAGGCAGAGTGAATAATACATATTTCAGAAGTTTGCAATATAGTATTGGAATTGCATTTGAATCTATAGATCATCTGCAATCATTTGTTTTGTAGATGACAATGTAATAAAAATACAATTTAAAGCCAATTCTTAAGTGAACAAAGCAATAACCATATTTAAATAAAAAAAGAACACTTTTTATAAAATTAATAAAAAGGTCACTTGGTACATGCATGACCATATATTTTTATATTTTGCATTTGCAAATAATGAAAGCTCACATGGGTTGTAATAATTGTTACTAGCTTTTAATATTGGGCAAAGCACAAATACAAAATGTACTTGAAGCTCAGCTTTAAGTAGATTATGAACATTTAATATAGAATGTTATCATAATATTCAGAGCACCAAATTGCAGACTTCTGTCACCCACTTTCAAGCATGCTTCTGAAGATCATAGTTAATTCTGCTGATTTATGGTAATGCTGCAGCATTATCGTCCACAGCATCAGAAACCACTAACAAGCTTAGTATAAGCTTGGGCTGAAATGGTTTGAGGTTTAAATTTCTGTAACGATTATAAAGTAGAAGGAATAAAATCCCACTTCAGCAAAAAAAAAAAAAAAAAAAAAGTACTGCATTTCGTCTCGGTATCACAACCATCCCCTACCTCCCAGTAGCCTTCCCCCACTGCATGAAAAAAAGTAACTTTTAATGGACTGGCATTTTAAATTTTCTACGTAGTATTTTCTAAATGGTAGTATTTCTAATTCAAATATATAATGCTCACAGTTTTTCCTTGGTGAGGAGAACTGCTCTAAAAGAGGTTTCCCCACCCCATCCTTCTAAAATGATTGCTCTTTTTAAAACAAATTCCCTTCTAGAAGCCCCTTTTTTGAACATTAATTTACATTACATTCACTCGTCTAGAAAATGGTTAGAAATCAGAACATTTTAATGGCCATTATCCTCATCTGGCCAAATGATTGTGTCGTACTTAATGTGTGGCCCTTAAGCAGATGAGGCCCACTTATTGTCTTCTTCCCCGCTGTTGAAGTCAAAAAAGGCTCCTGGCTTGAATTAGCACAGTTAAAAAAAAAAGGTGGGGGGAAGGACCGTCTACCAAGACTGCTCCCCAAAAGATGAGTGCCTCCTTGTCAGTGAACACAATGAACAAACACTGATGGAGGCAAAAGATTTGTGGCGTCTTGAAGATGAAAAATGCAGTAACATCAACACCATCCCTGCTGAGAGACAAAAGAGCAGCTACTCTTGTCACAAACTGATTTCCAAGAGAGTGAGCTAAAGGAACAATTCTGTGTCACACACTTGTGGCTGTAATCTCCTGCTTGGAATAGGACAGAAATAGATTCAACAAGAATTGCCTTCGTGTTTTCTACAAGAAAATCAACTCATGCCGCCCTTCAGATCTTTAGCAAATGTCTTTTTATGAAAAAGCAAACTCTTCCCTTTGGTTTTGGGGGAAATAGCCACAATTGAAAAACAAGGGAGTGGGGAAACATATGTTCCACAAAGGTGCTAACAGTCTGGGGTGGAGTGGGTTTGAGCTCAGGTCCACCATGAATCCGTCCTGAAAGAATCAGAGATGGTCCAGCGGCATGTACCTCCCCAAACTCTAATTTAAAATTCAACCCCCATATAAGCTGCCACTTAGGATACATGGATAACACATAGGTAAAGAAACAAGAATAATAATGTGTGTTGATTTATTGTTTATCTCCGCATTAAGCATTAAGGAATATTTCATGACACCCGTTCTTATTTGAGAGAAAAGACTGACCAAATTTTAATATCCCTTTAGGCAAAATCTAGTTCAGAAAAAACAACTGAGATTTCTAAAATTTTTCAGTCTATAAGGGTGAATGTTTTGTATTTGGCTGGAGGAGGTGTCTCTTCAGAGTCTACACAGAAAGCATTGAACCCTGGCGATGAGGACTAGCAGTTGATGGGGTGAAGGAGAGTGAAAGAATAGAAAGTTCAAGCACAGTTAGGTTGGTGAGGAACTAAGGAAGGAAGGAGGTGGAAGGGTTGGAGGGATTTGGTACACAGATGGCAAGGGTACCTAGGGGAACGGAGCCTTCGTGAATCCAAATGGGCTTACCAAGACAGAGCAGTGAGATCAGCCGGGGATTTTCAGTATAAAGTGGGTGACAGGTCAAAACAAACAAACCAAAAAAGCAAACCCACGACGGAAAGTAACTCGTAATTTCAGTCCTTTTAGAACCCAGAGCTAAGCGAGGAAACCACAGGTCTCCTAAAGATTCGGGATGGCTCATCTTCTGAAGTTCAAACACTGACTCCTCACTACGGCTTTCTTTTCAGGATGTCATTCTCCCGCCTCCACACTCACTACCAAACAAACATAGAAATCTACTACTGTTCTCCCCATGCACTCCATTTTCTTCCAATCTGAGAGCCATTTGTGTGTATAATTGAAAATTAGCAGTGCAGCTGTTTGAAGAGAGTAATTTATCACAGCGCATTGTTCGTGCCTGACACTTTAGACCTGGCTCTAACAAGCCAGTGGTTACTGGGGGTTGAGCTACAGAAAGTGATTCGGCTGTAATGCTGCGTTTCCCCTGCTTTGTTGCTAATTGTAGCCTCTTTTTCTCCATTGAATTGGGAGTTGAGTAAAAGAGCTTGTTTGCTCTGTGCGGTGAGGCTGCCAGGGCCGCTTGGGCTATTATCACAAGATACTCTTGATCTTTTGAAAAGCAGGAAATAGAATTTTTCTCCAACAGGGAAAGTAATTTGCGATGCGTCCATTAGTTCTTCATTAAAGCAAGATTAAATTGCACGGCAAATCACATCTGTGTTTGGATGATTAAAGGGTGGCATTTTAGAGGCCAAAACTAATTACTAGTCAAAATGAATGGGAGTGAAAAAACAGTCATGTTTTTACATTAGATAGTGTGGCTTGTAATTAGATTCAAGCTAATTCCACTATTTCTTCTCTTTTAATGAGATGAGCCTGTCCTCATCTTTTTCTAGGCCATGCTAACAGCCCCAAATGTATAATTTTGATAATCCTAAGAGTTTACTTTATTGAAATTTCTTTGCTACCTGCCACAAGTGACTGTTCTCTCCAGTGGTACTTCATTACATAGAAACACAAGCTACTCGGCAATGTAGTTTACAATATAAGTCATTCCTAGAGGAAAAAGAGTAATCTTAAATGAATATGTATAAATGTATATATGTAAGAATGTATATTTTTAAATGTTATTGAAATTAGCCATCTCCAGAAATTTGTGCTGAACAAATCCTTCTCAGTTGGGCAACTACAAGTATTTTTAGTAATGTGGAATAAGAGTAAGATATTTGCATGCAACAGAGTGTTGAAGTGTTCTAAATTCAGTGTGCATTGGGTGTTGGTTTTTTTTTTCCTTGCTTTGTGATATAATTTTTCCTCTTATCTTCAGGATGTTTTTACCTTTTCCTATGACTAAGGCATGTTATGATGGATTCCCTTCTAGGTTCGACTTTTCTTTTTATTAAAAACACACATTAGGCTGGGCATGGTGGCTCACACCTATAATCCCAGCACTTTGGGAGGCCGAAGGGGGTGGATCACAAGGTCAGGAGTTCCAGACCAACCTGGCCAAGATGGTGAAACCCCCATCTCTACTAAAAATACAAAAATTACCCGGGCATGGTGGCATGAGCCTGTAATCTCAGCTACTCGGGAGGCTGAGGCAAGAGAATTGCTTGAACCAGGGCGGCAAAGGTTATAGTGAGCCAAGATGGAGCCACTGCCACTCCAGCCTTGGTGACAGAGTGAGTTCCGTCTCAAAACAAACAAACAACAACAACAACAACAAAAACACATTAGAAATTAAAAGCATTGCATTAAGAAAAAGAAACAAAATCTGAGACTCTTTAAGGAATCCTTCTGATATTTCTCAAAAGTAGATTAAATTTGCTCTCAGAAGTCTGTTTTCAGTTTTTGATGGTGGGAAATGGTAATTTCTGAAGAAAACTACAGATCATATTTAGATAAGTTATTGAAGGAAAGAGAGGAGTAGACAGGCATTTACTCTGAACTAGGTGCTCTTGGACATATTGCCTTATTAGAAACATCTTAGAAGGACAAGAATCCATTTGGTTTCCGAGACATGGTATTTGAATACACCAGCTTTAGTGACCTTGGTAAAGTAGACAACACAGTTTTGCCTTTCAAGAAATTAACTGGACTTTGACATCAGAATTCCCAAATCCTGAAATCGTGCCACTGCACTCCAGCCTGGGTGACAGAGCAAGACTATGTCTTAAAACAAAACAAAACAAAATTCCCAAATCTCTCATAATGAAGGCATTATTTTAACAATACTCTTTGTGGAAAATTTTCCATTGCATCTTCAAAGATTGCACTTTCTTCCTCAGTGTATTTCCAGAGCCTCACATCCTTTATGGAAATAAGATAAATGAATGATTGAACACAAAAGATAAATAAATGAATGACTGAGGAAAGCAATTTTTACAAATCACATTTTCTTTAGTACTTTTTCAGTGAAATTTATGAAACATGGGCTGTTCTTCCTACCGTAATATTGTAAGATGCATATTAATATAGGAAGAAAATCATAGTATACAGCATTTTAAAACAAGTGGTTTACATGTGATGCCAAAACCAAAATAAGAACAGGAACATGATTCCTGAGATCTAGAAACTGTACCAAATACATGGGTTTTAGATTAACCATTTATTTATCCCTTTACGTACTTTTTCATTAATTCCATTTTTAGATGAATTTTATTAGTTTAATTCCATTCTTAAACTTTTCATGCTACAGTTTCCACACAACCAACACTTTATACATGACTTTTCCTAAGACGATAATAATTCCTATCCCAGTTCCTGTTTGGCATCTTTTTTCCTATTTCAGTTCCCTGTTCCTAATTTTCTGCATCTTGTCAAAAGTGCCACAATGGCACAGATAGGCATTCAAAGCCTTTTCTGGTACAAAGCAGGAGATGTACAGAGCAACAAATAGAGGCAGTCACAATGGGATGTTTCTATACTGGTTGTTCATGCGTGTGGTTCTTTGACTGCACTGCAGGTAACTAGAGATCATTTCATTTGATAACAATACAAGAAAATGATTAAACCAAAGTTTGTGTTCCCTGGTTCCACATGAGCCATTGTTGCTCTTATTAGCCATCTCAGGAGAGGGTTCTGAGTTTGAATGGTTTCTCAGCCAAGTGTCATTAGAAAGGCATTTGTAGTCAGCAGCCTTCACTGGACCTATGGAGTGCTCCTTTTCCAGGCCCTTCAGGGTAGTGCATAAATAACACAAGAGACACGTTTCTTACTTTTAAAAAATCTGAACTAAGGATCTTTGTTGGTGATTTTAAAAAGAATCTACTGGTTGAGTGCTGTGGCTCACTCCTATAATCCCAGCACTTTGGGAGGCCAAGGCGGGCAGATCAAAAGGTCAAGAGATAGAGACCATCCTGCCAACTTGGCAAAACCTCATCTCTACTAAAAATACAAAAATTAGCTGGGTGTGGTGGCACATGCCTGTAGTCCCAGCTACTCGGGAGGCTGAGGCAGGAGAATCACTTGAACCTAGGAGGCAGAGGTTGCAGTGAGCAGAGATCATACCACTGCACTCCAGCCTGGTGACAGAGCAAGACTCTGTCTCAAAACGAACCTACCACTTACTACACATAATATTAAAGTCTCTTTCTTATGACTGAGGCCTTTGAAAGCTGTGAAGTAACAATAACTGTTGTCATTCTACAAACATTCTACAAATACTTATTGAGGGTCTACTGGGCGCCAGGAACTGTTCTAGGTGCTGGGGATATAGCAGTGAATAAAACAAAGTTCTTCCCTCATTGAGCCTATAAAACATAGAAACAAGTAGCAATAATAACTTTAACATTGTTTTAAAGAAGGATTAAGAGGCCTTTAAAACACAATATACGGAGGAACATTACGTGGCTTATTGAGCATGCCACACCCATTGTCACTTCTTTATGAAGAAGTCCAATTTAGATGCAAAAATCATTACAAAGTGTGGCTTTGTTTTCATCACTGCTGCTCACCTCAACTCACCTGGGAGACAGGGACAATGACTGAATGAACTGTGAAGAGGGTGGAAGACCAATTGTCCTTGTGTTAGGCAGCAACAGGTTGAAAGGAAGAAGCACTCATTGCCCAAATCACCCCACTCCTGTGTGCCATTAACTCTCTCCTCAGGGATTGAAGGCTGGTTGGGAAAGACAGATCTGGGTAAAGGGTCAAATGGGAACTAGGCAAAAGTCAGAACTGAACTATGTATTTTTTATAAGGCCCAGCAAGTTTCCCTGAGGTCAAACAATTTGGCAGAGTTCCAGAATCCCTTCTGTGTTTCTGTTTGTTCCAGGCTGTGGGACTGAAGCACTCCCTGCCAGTCCTCCTCTGCAACTCACCTTTGACGATACAGAATGGCTGCTAGGAAAATTCATCCTAAAGTTTTCTGTGCTGTGTTCTTTCCAACTACCTGCTTCCAAAGGAGAAATATCTGTTAGTTCCCAAGCACAAGTACCACTTAAGACCCTGAAGCCCATTTGGATGTGATTATTTTCCAGTTATTAGCTTAATCAGAAAAACTGTGAACACAAATAACTGCTCTGTGTATCCTCAGAGAACAAAAGGACATAAGCATTAAATTGTGGCATAAGTAACTTGTTTTAGAGATATTTTTAAAATGTAATTATTACGATGCCTGGCTACAGTGGACTGTGGGGAGGGGTTGAACTCAGTAAACACTGTGACAAGGACTGCATCTCTCAACTTGAACCCCAGATTGTTTGATGAGACACAAAGCCAACAGGCTAGGATGAAAAACTTTCTGAACAAATTATTTCTTTTATTTTTTTAATTTCCCTTTTATTTACTAGTCTCTCAAGGAGTGGAGGAAGTAAGGAAAGGAAATGACAAAGATAATATCCAGGCAAGTACGAGAGTTTTCCTGTACTAACTATACTCTAGGCAAAACTTTGTCACCAATGAAACTATTGGCAAGTCTCAAGGAAAAGATATTAATGTGGCTTTCCAAGACCAACCTGCTAGGGTACCTACTGGGCAGGGAGAGGGAAGGAGGTTTAAGTGTGTGGAATTACTGTTAAAGGAATGGAAGCCAAAAGTGCTTCAGCCACCCTTGCATCAGTTACACTATCTTATACATGTATAATACGATACCACTTTGGACCACAAAAATATTAACTGTATACATATAAGCAGATAGAGTTAAGGATGTGTGTGTGTGTATATAATATACAGTTATATATAGAAATATGTGTAGGTTTGTGTGTGTATGCATGTGTAAAACCCTATATATAGGATTAAAGATATAGATATAAATATAGATACACAGTACAGATCTAGCTGTGCACATTGACCTAGTGGTGGGGAGGGGAGCAAATATGGAAGACTTCCTAGGGTTTTTATTTTAACATTTTGGCTTGTATTATTAGCCTACAATGTCTATGCTTTACTTTTTCTTCTTTAAGAGCAGAAGGAGGGTGGTTTGTCTCTCAGACCACACTGAAGAATCGGAGAGCATCCTGTGTACCAAGCTCTTGGCAGCAGCAGACTTGTGAAAAGTACCCCACTAGCTCAGTTTCCTACGCTCTGGGAAAAGCTCTCAGGAGGCAATCCCTTCCTCCTATATACCCCACCCCTTTCCCCGCTTCTGTAGGCCTAACCCAGAGTTAGAATCTGGGGACAGACCTGGCTGGAGCCTGGAACAGGGACCCCACTGCTTCCACTGTGCAGAACAAAAAGGGCACTGCAGGGACACTCAGTGATGCTAGAGGAATTGACCTAACCCACCAAAAGCTGCCCTGACCTTCTCTTAACAAACAGCCTGGAGTGAGCAATATCCCTGTCTTCAAAACAACTTTTAAAATGCTTGCATAACAGAAAGAAGGCAAGTGTGCCTAGAATAAAAACCAGCTAAGGGAGAAATTACATAGCACTGGCTTAAACAGTGTGTGAACTGGTTGCAGGAAGAGAACTCCAATATATTTCTTATATATTTCACACACATTAAAAGGAGGGCTGAAAGGACATTACACAGATTATAAATTCCACTTGTCATTGGTATATATAAGTGAGAAATAAATAGTTGTGTCAGCATTTTTGTTTCAATCCTTTGATCTCTAATTCTCACAAGCCTCTGTTTAGCAGCTAAGAGAGCTGTTAAGAGAAAGTAAAAGCAACTTTTTCAAGTCACATACAGTTCAGCTAGTTTAAAACTAAAGTCTGTCAAACACAAATCCCATACACATTCTCCTCAACACACAATTTCTCCAAAAGGAAGCTACTGCTTTATGTAAATAAAGTGAAAATTATGATGATGATGCAATTAAATGTAATTTTGGCTATTATTTATAGCTAAACAGAGTAACTTCCAGAGTAGCTGAAGTTTTGTCCTCTATGGCAGAGATACAGAGCAGAACTGAAGCCAGACTCTGCATGGAGACTGGGGAAAAGTAATGTTCAGCAACCTCACCAACTGTAAGGTAGAAAATAAAGCAAATTATTTTGTTAAAAAAACCCCACAAAATTATCTATATCCCCACATTCAGAAATAAGTACTCTTTACATTTTGATTTATTTCCTTCTAGCTTTTTAAAATGTGAATGTTTTCTTTGTTTGCCATTAGGCTCTTACTATATTAACTGATTTTTGTGTTTGCTTTAAAAATTTTAAAGATAATACAGGCAAAAACAGTGAAAAACTAAATGTCTTTCAACAAATGATGGTACTCATAAGGAATCTAAGTAGCTATTAAAAATAATAAAACAGATCTGTATGAAGTGACTTGTAAAGTTGTCTAGGATATGTAGTGAAGTGGAAAAAGCAAAATGCTGAACAATATGGAGTGTATGATCCCAATAAAGCAAAAAGAAACTATGTGGCTATGTGCATGCATGTATATGTGTACATGTATTATCCTCTCCCCATATATGTTTGTGTGGTCATAGAAAAAAAGACTAGAACAGTGGTTGTCTCTGTTATAGTAAGTATATGTGCTATGAACTGAATGTATGTGCCCACCATAAAATTCATTTGTTGAGACCCTAACCCCAGTGTGGTCATATTTGGAGTAAGAAAATGATTAAGTTTAAATGACATCATAAGTGTGGGGTCCGGATTTGATAGGATTAGTGACCTCATAAGAAGAGAGACCAGAGAACTCGCCCTCTCCCTCTCTCCTTGTGCATATACCAAGGAAGTGTTCTGTGAAAACACACAGAAGAGGCAGCTGTTGACAAGTCAGGAAGAAAGCCCTCATCAGAAATTGAACCTTGCCAGAACCTTGATCTTGGACTGTCTAGCTTCCAGACCTGAGAGAAAATAAATTTCTGTTGTTTAAGCCACCCAGTCTGCAGAATTTTGTTAAACAGCTCAAACAGACTAAGACAATGTATTTCCTTTGAAATACAAAAATAAAGAACAACTATTTTTTTAAAAACAATCCTTGTGCATTGTAGACATTTTGGGAAAAAAATGAAAAATCTTACCCTAAATTTCACTCTTCTAGGATCAGCCACTGTTAACAGGTACAGAACCTTCTAGTCTTTCCTCTGTGTATACAAACATATGTATATATTTTTTACCACCATGAGACCATACAGTTCATACCATTTCAACATTTGCTATAAGAAAAAAAAAATTATCACAACTTTCCATTCTTTTAATATTCTTGTCTAACATTATTTTTATATGTTCTATATACAGAGAAGCATATAGAATGGTGCTTTGACTTGAATGTGTCTCCAAAACAGTATGTGTTGGAAATTTAATCCCCAAGTGCAACACCATTGAGAGGTGAGGCCTAATGGAAACTATTTAGGTCATGAGAGCTCCACACTCATGAATGGATTAATGTCAATTATAAAATAGCTTGAGGCTGCAGGTTCAATCTCTTGCTCTTTCTCATCCTCTTTTCGCCCTTCCACCATGGGATGATGCAGCAAGAAGGCCCTTGCTAAATGCAGGCCCTTCAATCATGGACCTCCCAGAACCATGAGCCACTAAATTTCTGTTCATTATGGATTACTCAGTCTCAGGTATTCTGTTATAGCAACACAAAATGGACTAAGACAGATGGATATATTATAGCTTATTTTAAATAGAAAGAAGAGACTATTATTTTGCTGGTCACAAGAGTTCTATTTCCCACCCTCCTGCAACTTTTCTAGACCTTACCCTGATCTCCCTCCAAGTGACCAGTGATGAGCTATAGGACCATGTCATAAGCAGCCACCAAAAGAAAATCATTCACTCTATGAATCTTCTTGATAATATGCTAGTGGTTGCAGATCTCTTTCATAGAATATCCTTCTATATATTTGTCAAATAAAAACAAATCTGGACTTAGTAAGAAGAGATTTTATTCAAAAAGATTATTGTAAGGGAAGATTATTGTAAGGAAACTATTGCAATGGGGGAGGAGGACTATTGTAACAGGAAGAATGCTCTGACCATGAGATCTGCAAGCATCTCAAAAGTTAGGCAAAAAAAAAAAAAAGAAAAAGAAAAAGATTTTTTTCTTTTTCAGAGAGGAATAAATAAAGCTAGGAAGAGCCAGGTGTGAGAAAGTAGAATAAAAGATGGTGCGATCAGATAGTATATGAGAGAATGTCTGACCTCGAGACCAGCTTATTCTAAACCGGCATTGTATGCTAGCCCAGGCTGAGGGTGGGCCAAAGTTCAGGGTCCTGGAGGAAGGAAAGAAGCTTAACCAAAGTTTGAATACCAAGACTTTTGTTCCAATTGATCAATGGGACAAGCAGTTTAGCTAATCATTTATGAGGCTAAAAAAAGAAATTTTGAGGATCTATGTCGGGCCTTGTTATAGGTAAACAAAGGAGGCATCTGTAAGTCTTTCTATATTATTATTATTTTTTTATTTTATTTTATTTTTTTTTTGAGACAGAGTCTTGCTCCGTTGCCCAGGCTGGAGTGCAGTGGTGCGATCTTGGCTCACTGCAAGCTCCACTTCCCAGGTTCACGCCATTCTCCTGCCTCAGCCTCCGGAGTAGCTGGGACTACAGGCACCTGCCACCACGCCCGGCTAATTTTTTCTATTTTTAGTAGAGACGGGGTTTCACTGAGTTAACCAGGATGGTCTCCATCTCCTGACCTCATGATCCGCCCTCCTCGGCTTCTCAAAGTGCTGGGATTACAGGCATGAGCCATCGCGCCCAGCCTATTATTATTATTATTTTAAACAGAGTCTCGCTCTGTCACTCAGGCTGGAGTGCCGTGGCACAATCTCAGCTTACTGCAACCTCCACCTCCCTGGTTCAAGCAATTCTCGTGCCTCAGCCTCCCATGTAGCTGGGATTACAGGCACACACCACCACGCCCAGCTCACTTTTGTATTTTTAGTAGAGACGGGGTTTCATCCTGTTGGCCAGGCTGGTCTCGAACTCCTGACCTCAAATGACCCACCCACCTCAGCCTCCCAAAGTGCTGGGATTACAGGCGTGAGCCACCATGCCTGGCCTCTGTAAGTCTTATTAAGTCATTTTCCAGAACACAAAGAGTGGGGGGATTTCTTACCCTTTACTGTTTTTCTGGCTCAGGTGAAATTAAACATTGTGAAATTTTGCAAATAAGGTTAAAGTCAGTTACTGGGTACCCTCAGTATTGTGTTGGGCATATTCCATAAATATTTTATAACAATCCCATAAAGTACATGCTATTGTAAGTCCTTATTTTCATAAATAGAAACTAGCTCAAGGAGGTAACATTCTCAATATTACAAGACTAGTAAGTGAACACAGAATTTACTCAAACTCAATTCTTTGTAATTCACTCAGTTCTCAACACTGTACTGCTTTCATCAAAGTTACATGGAAAATATGTGTAACTGGAAAGTTGGTAGGTTCCTTGGAATGTAAACAATCGAATTATCTTGGAGTTTATATAGTCTAAGTGGAAGGTGACTTGGAGAAATGAAACTTATGTGATAGAAAAAAA
This sequence comes from Homo sapiens, assembly GCF_000001405.40. NCBI lineage: Eukaryota > Metazoa > Chordata > Mammalia > Primates > Hominidae > Homo > Homo sapiens. The sequence goes on from NC_000003.12 coordinate 180,753,815, forward strand.
ATACAGATTTACACATCAAACTATCTGGCTCTGAGTCCTAGCTGCATCATTTCCTGAGGAAGAAATTTTGGGTGAGTTACTTAATTTAGTTGAGTCTCAGGTTCCCTACCTTTGTGGGGAAGAGGTTATAACAATATCTGCCTCACAGGAGCGTTTCAAGGTTTCTCTAATTTGTTCAGGTATATTACCTGCTTTGCAAATTACAAAACACCAGTAAAAAATTAGTGAGTTAACCTTTATTTTCCTTCCTAATTATTGACCAACCAAACTTCAGAGGGTGCTATTAACAAGATTAAAGCTCATCAAAGTTAGCTAGAATGTTCTATAGAGTTGTTGACATGTTAAGTTGAAGCTGTTATTTACTTCTACAGATGAATATGTAGAACATTTCTAACAGGAGAATGATCCAGGGCTAATAATTTAAACCTGACAGGGTCACCTGAGATTGCAGTGCTTCATATGCAGAAGATGCGTGAAACAATTGGATAAAAAGAAACAGGGAAGCTTACAGAACACTTGACCAGTAACACTGTGTATAAAAGCTAGGAGTGCTTTACTGAGATAGTGAAAAGATATGCCTCTAGTCATAATATAGCAATGCACTCAACCCTCATTACACAGTGCTGCCTACAAATGTTGTTAGAGTTTATTCTAACTCTGTTTCCATTATAATAAAGCCCCACTTTTGAGGATTTGTAATTCAGCCAAAATAATTTGCTACAGGAATGTTTCAAAAGACCTTTTTATAACCCTTTGAATAAACCCCAACATTAGAAATTCTAAACAATAAAGACCCTGCCACTTCTAAAGCAGTTGTTGTTGGATGAGTGTTAAATTTTTGGTCACGTGGGCTTTATTTCTATTACATGAAGTTCTTCTAGATCACATCTTACTCTAGTTAATAGGCACTAAGAGGAAATGGAGGGCTTCAAAACAGATTTCTTTGGTACACTTTTTATTAAGGGAATGAACAAAAAAGGCATTTGAATATAAAGAAAAAAAGTTAAGCATGTTTGCTAGGAAGTCAATCTAGCCCTGAAAATTTAGATTTACAAAATATGAAATTTTTACTTTGCCTAAACCATATAATAAAAGCCATGTGCCTAGGGAAGTTCATTAAATGTTTTAAGGTACTAAGCGAATGATGGGAAATACTGTAATAGAAAGATCACTTAATCCAGGATTTTCAAACTTCGTTCCTAGGAACATCAGATGTTAACAGTTGGCCCACGCCCAAACAAAACAAACTAAAAAAAATAAACAGGCCAGGTGCAGCAGTTCACTTCTATAATCCCAGCACTTTGGAAGGCCAAGTGGGCGGATCACTTGAGGTCAGGAGTTCGAGACCAGCCTAGCCAACATGGCGAAACCGTGTCTCTACTGAAAATAACAAAAATTGGCCAGCCAGGATGGCATGCACCTGTAAGCCTAGCTACTCAGGAGGCTGAGGCAAGAGAATCACCTGAACCCAGGAGGCGGAGATGGCAATGAGCTGAGATCATGCCACTGCACTCAAGCCTGGGTGACAGAGTGAGACCCTGTCTCAAAAAAATAAATTAATTAATAAACAATAAACAATAAAATGAATTCCATTCATTATATAAATTTGGCTGCAAAAAAATAAGCCCTCCTTGCAAAGACAGAGAGCAACAGCATATTGAAAAGTTAGAGAGCATCAGCATATTAAAAATCCTGAGAAATACATTTAAGCCTGTTTAATATGTTTAAGTCAGTATTTCCCACATTCATTTTTACTATATGGCTTTTTTTTTTTTTTGCAATCAACCACTGTTAACCAGCAAACATCAAGAATCAGTAATTTAATCTACAGAGTAGAGATTCTCTTTGACTGCTGAGAGATCATTCACTGCATCAGAATCCCCTGTTAACAATACAAATTCCAGAACCCCAACCCCAGACTCACTCACTCAGCCCGAGGAGTAAGAACCCATTCTGCATAGTGACACTCTCCGCATCCCTGGGATTATTATGCATATGAAGCATGGCAGCCTGTTATCCAATAGGATAGATAACCCAAGGGTGTAAAATTGGTGGGTGCTGTTTTCTGGGATAGAATGGACACATTTTTTAAAGACAAAAATATCTTTTACTAGGAATCATTCTGTAGAGGACATATAGACAAGTAAGTGTAACACAAAAGGTGCTCTGCAAAGTGACTTTACAGAAACACAGAAAGGCCTCTGGTTGAAAAATCTCTTGTCATCAGTCACGGCAGTCAGAATTTCAATATCAGAAATTCCATTGTTCTTGGAAGTATAAATTGAAATAACTTTTCTCAAAAGCTATTTTACATTAGATGTCAAGAGACTAAAAAATATAAAATGGCTTTAACTTAGTGATTCTACTTCTGGGAAAAAACACTTAAATTCAGAAAAAAACTTTTCATACAAAGAAGTTAATTGTAAACTTTTAATAGGGAACCTAAACCTCTGACAGTGTGTAAATAAATTAGTGTATATTCATATAATGTAGTATTAGGTATTTATACTAAAATTTATAATAGCACAAAAAACACATTGTAATGCTAATTTTAAAAGCAAAGATAGTGGTCATGTATAGGAATTAGGGAGAGGAGAAAAGGAGGCAAATTGCCTTTTACTTTTAACTTTTAAACTCTTAGGATTTTTTGTTACAAACAACATGCATCATTTTGACAATTTTTTTAAAAGTGAGATTAAAAACAGCCTTAAGAATATAAAAAAAAAATACACCAAAACTTAATAGTGCTTACATGTAAGGAATAAGATTTGGAATAATTTTAATATTTGTCTTCAATCTTATGTGTTTACCGAATTCTTTCTTATAAATGTGTACTCCTCATATAAACATAATCTGAGCATTATTCTTTTAAAATTCTACCAGTTTGAGATAGACACTCTTATACATTACAAATGGGACTAGAAATTGGCAGAACACTTTCTGAAGACATCTGACATGAAAGTAAATTCCTTTCACAAATAGAAAACAACATAAATCATAAACGTAAATCATAAACATAAAATAAATTTCATTTTTAAAAAATTACCAGGAAGTGTTCAGCAGAGAAGTAACCTTATCTAGGCCAGGCTTGGTGGCTCACGCCTATAATCCTAGCACTTTGGGAGGCTGAGGTGGGCAGATCACTTGAGGCCAGGAGTTCAAGACCAGCCTAGCCAATATGGCAAAACCCCATCTCTACTAAAAATACAAAAAAAAAAAAAAAAAAAAAAAAAAAAAAATTAGCCAGGCTTGGTGGCGCAGGCATATAATCCCACCTACCCGTCTCTACTAAAAATACAAAACAAAATTAGCCGGGCATGGTGGCGGGCGCCTGTAGTCCCAGCTACTCGGGATGCTGAGGCTGGAGAATGGCATGAACCCGGGAGGTGGAGCCTGCAGTGAGCCGGGATTGCGCCAGTGCACTCCAGCCTGGGAGACAGAGCAAGACTCCATCTCAAACAAACAAACAAAAAGTAATTAAAAAAAAGAAGTAACCTTATTTAGTGCATTGTGCAGTAATTTGCCCTCTAAAAGAACGAATACTGTTTGGAATCTCTTTCAGAAAACTGTAAATGGAAAATTGGATGCAATTCCTAAAACTTAAGAGCCTAGAGGAGGGACCATGAGAACTGGGTCTTGTACCTGTGAGGAGAACGCACAGGACAATAGATGCTGTTATCTCTGAGAGTCTGCATTAGTGCTGATTCCAGAAAAGCTGCAAACTAGGGCTGGTGCGGCGGCTCACGCTTGCAATCCCAGCACTTTGGGAGGCCAAGGCGGGTGGATCACTTGAGCTCAGGAAGTTCGAGACCAGCCTTGCCAAAATGGTGAAACCCCGTCTCTTCCAAAAACACAAAAAATTAGCCGGGTATGGTGGTGGCTACCTGTAAACTCAGCTACTCAGGAGGCTGAGGCAGGAGAATTGCTTGAACCCGGGAGGTGGAGGTTACAGTAAGCCGAGATTGTGCCACTGCACTCCAGCCTGGGTGACAGAGTGAGAGGAAGAAAGAAAAGAAAGAAAGAAAGAGGAAGGAAGGAAGGAAGGAAGGAAAGAAAGAAAGAGAAGGGGAAGGGGAAGGAAAGAAAGAAGAAAGAAAGGAAAGGAAGAGAAACAAAGAAAGAGAGAGAGAGGGAAGGAAGGAAGGAAAGAAAGAAAGAGAAGGGGAAGGGGAAGGAAAGAAAGAAGAAAGAAAGGAAAGGAAGAGAAACAAAGAAAGAGAGAGAGAGGGAAGGAAGGAAGGAAAGAGGGAAGGAAGGAAGGAAGGAAGGAACTACAACCAACAGCCTTTTTTTTTTTTTTTTTAGTTTTTTTTCACTTGCTGCTGAAACCAACTGACAGGAATAGGAAGCAAATGCAGAACAGGAAGCAATCCAAGAAAGGTCAAGTCCCATCTTCCTCTTCCAGTTTTCCTATCTCCCACTAGCACTGCCTACTGGCAGAGCCTAACAGGAAAGCATTTGAGCAGAAATGTAACTGCAGAGTCTTCAGCCTAGTATCACAAAGCAAAGAAGGGAGGGTTTGGAGCTGAATGACAATCGCTTAATAATCAGGACACACAACATGTTATATAAAACAGGCAACTTGAAAATGATTCAAAAACCCAACTATGTCACCCTTTTTGTCTTAGGAGTCCAACAATGGAGAAATATTTCCCTAGCTTTCTATAGTCTTTCCTGTATTTAACACACAATGAAACAATAGGACAGTTTCCAAAAAATACTTGAGGTCTTGTCTTAACCATTTGTTAAAAAGTAAAAAGAGGTAAAATTAATTTTAATAATATTTATCATTTAACCCAATATATAAAAAATATTGCAATTTTGATATATGATCAATATAAAAAATGAGATATTTTACATTTTTTCCTTGCACTAAATTTTTGAATTCAGTGTATTTTACACTTATACCACATCTAATTTTTTCTAGCCATATTTCCAGTTCTCAATGTCACATGTAGCTAGTGACTAACTTACTAGACAACATAGTACTAAAGGATGAGTTTCATCCAACCAAGAGATAACTGAGAAAATATCAGCAAAAAAATGAGTGTATATGTGTGTGTGTGTGTGTGTATATATATATATGTATAATTATGGAGTATTACAAACAAAATGAGGACAAAGGAGGAATAATGTACAAATACTATATATTGTGAAAATAATTATTATACAAATGGGAGAAAAAGAGAGGGAAAGAGAAAAAATTTCTATGCAGCAGGGTCTTTTGATCTCAGCAGTTTTAACATTTTGTGTCAGATAATTCTTTGTTTTGAGAGCTGTCCTGTGTATTATAAGATATTTAGGAGCATCTCCAACCTCTACCCACTAGATGCCAGTAATATCCCCTCAGTGTGACTATCAAAAATGTCTCCATTGCCAAATGCTTCCTATGGGGCAAAATCACCCCAATTGAGAATCACTGTTGTATAGGTAATAGGTAGAAGAGTTAAAGGAGACTATTAAAACCTAATAAATCAGATAGTAAAAGATTACATGAGGAAATAGAGGTGAATAGGTATTATAAAAGATAGTACAAAGTACAAAGGTAATCACCACAACAAAAATAAATATCTTTGTAAATACTGAAAGTAAATATAAAGGAGCAAAGAACACACACCTCATAGAGAAACAAAGCAAACATTATACAACACAAATAATTATGTATATATTATATCAAAATCGAGAGCAAACATATCAGTCACATCAATACATGTAAATAGGCTGAACTCCCCTACTAAAAGAAAAATATTTTCAATTTGGCTCACAAAGCAATACCCAGCAATGTGCTGTATATAAAAGTCACATTAAGACAAAGTGATTCAGAACTAATAAAAGGATGGATAAATGTACCAGGCAAATGGAAACAGTAAGAAAGCTATAGTAGCAACTCTGATATCAGAACTCAAGCCGAGAAAGCAGTATACGTAACAAAGAAGAGAATGTTTACATGCTAAAAGCTAAAATTCACAAGAATATTTATTATAAATTTCTTATAATTTGTATTTCTTATAACCAAATAATATAGCAATCACCTTTATAAAGCAAAAGCTATAGAGATGCAATGAGACAGAGATTAAAACACTAATAATAGAAGACTAACACACTATTATCAACATAAGTCACATCAAGTACTGTCCTATCAGTAAGGATATAGAAGACCTAAACAACACAGTCAGTAAGTTTGTTCTGATGGCTATATATCAAAATTTGTGCACTGATTAGAGAGAATAGCACTTTTTCTCAAGTGCTTACTAAACACTATAAAATTAATTAAATATTAAGCTGCAAACAAAACATCAGTAGCTTCCATAAAGTGGAGATATTAAAGCAATAATCTATGATCACAAAATCAAATTAGAAATTACTAATAAGGTAAAAAAAGGAAGATCCTTCCACCTAGAACTTTAAAAAGAAACACCTATTTAGCAACTCTTGGGTAAAAGAGAAAATATAATCCAAAATTACAGAATGTTTAAAAAATAATAAAAATGAAAACACTTCATAGCATAATTTGTTTGAACACATTTACAGTAGTAACCAGAGGAAATCATACCACTAAACACTTAACCAATAAAAATAGAAGAATGGAAATAAGTAAGTTATATTTCCAACTCACAAATGAGGTAGAAGAAGCAACAAAATAAACCAAAAGAATTTATAAACAGGAAAATCAGGAAGATATGCAAAAATTTGTAGGTGGAGAATAGAAAAACAGTAGAACTAATTAATATATCCAAATCCTGCCTCTTGGGAAAAAATGAACAAATTGCTAGTTCTCATGGTAGAGAAAAATCATATATAAATATACAGAATAAGAAATTACAATGAGGGTCCAGGCGCAGTGGCTCATGCCTGTAATCCCAGCACTTTGGCAGGCTGAGGCAGGTGGATCACTTGAGGTCAGGAGTTCGAGACCAGCCTGGCCAATATGGTGAAACCCTGTCTCTACTAAAAATACAAAAATTAGTCGAGCATGGTGATGGGTGTCTGTAATCCCAGCTACTCAGGAGACTGAGACAGGAGAATTGCTTGAACCTGGGAAGTGGAGGTTGCAGTGAGCTGGGATCATGCCACTGCACTCCAGCCTAGGTGACAGAGTGAGACTCCATCTCAAAAAAAAAAAAAAAATTACAAGGAGGAAATAACCATTCAAATAAAAAAAAATTAACTCGTAAGATGTTAATTTGTGGCCCTCTATGCAAATAAATTTAAAAGCCTAGAAAGGAATGATAATTTCTAGAGCAATATAACCAAAACTGATCCCATTAGAGAGTAAAAGCTTGAATAGAATGATTTCTTTAAACAAAATAATGTTATCAAGGAATTATCCCACCAAAAGCACTGGGCTAAGACAGTTTCACAGGGAATTTTTACCAAACCTTTAAAGAACAGAGACTACTAGTGCTCCATATATTGTTCCAGAGTAGGGGTCCCCAACCTTCAGGCCATGGACCAGTGCTGACCCATGACCTGTTAGGAACTGGGCCACACAGCAGAAGGTGAATGAGCATTACCGACTGAGCTTTGCCTTCTGTCAGATCATCAGCAGCATTCACTTCCCATAAGAGTGCAAACCCTATTGTGAACTCCACATGTGAGGGAACTAGGTTGTTCTCCTCATGAGAATCTAATGCCTGATGATCTGAGGTGGAACAGGTTCATCCGGAAACCATCTCCCCCAACCCCCAATCCCTTGTGTGGAAAAATTGTCTTCCACGAAATTGGTCCCTGGTGCCAAAACATTTGGGGACTACCGTTCCAGAGCATTGAAAATGAGCAAACCGACTTACTTCTTTTAAAGAAGGAAGTAGAACATTGATAATTATATCTAAAAGTACAAACAAATGAAAACTAAAGACCAGTGAATATCCATGCAAAAGTGCTAGGTAAAATGTTGGCCAGCAGTGTCCAAACCTAAGGAAGAAAATAACACACCATGATCAAGTAAGATTTACCCCAGAAATCCAAGGTGTATTCCACATTATTTAAATCCACTAATATAATAAACTATCTTAATAGATCTGAGGGGAAAATGTGTTATTTTTATAAATGCTGAAGAAAAACTTTGACAAATTCAACACTCATTTCTGGTAAGAAAGTTACTCAGAGAATAAAAATTGGTGGATATTTTCTTAACTACCTAAAATACATACACCTTAGCCTTAAAAAGTCTTAATGAGGAAACACTTGAGGCATTTTTCACTAAGATTCAGGAACAGGCAAGAAGGCCAAATATCTCCATTACTATTCAACTTTGTAGTAGAGGTATTAGTCAATGCACATAAATAAGAGGAATCAACCGAAGGCATGAGAATTGTTAAAGACAAGTAAAACTACCTCTATTAAGTAGATGATATGCTAGTGCACATAAAAACCCCCAGAAATTTGAAGGTAAAACTGGCCCCAATAATAAATGAATGAATAAGTCAGGACATAAAATTAACATTCAATAATCAATAGTCTTCATCTACACAAATAATAACCAGTTAGAGAAAATAATAGTAGACAAATTCCCAATAATGACACCAATGGAGAAAATTAAATATTTAGAAATAAACTTAAGAAATGTGCAAGACTTGTGAGGAAAGCTTTAAATCAATCCTGAAAGTCACAAAAATAGATGTAAATGAACAAAAAGGCATTTTCTCTTGTTGGATACTACAATGCAGCAGAATAAAGCTGTCAGTTCTCCCCAAAGTGAATTTATTAATTTGATGAAATCCCATTAAATATAGTCACAGCTTATTTATGAAGCTAGATAAGTTGACAAAAAGGTTCATAGGGATACTTTCAGTTTCAAATCTGACTTGTAAACAGCTTGGAGGTTGTCACACTGTGTTTACAAGAAAAAGCTGTACAAACTGAAAAATCAATTATTTTTCTTTAACCCATTAGAAAACTGAGATTATAAGGCAAATTGCTACCCCCAAATCTGGAGAAGCAAGCTCATCTAGAGAGACACATCTGAGATCCGCTTACTTGGAACAGAAGTCTCTGGGTCCATAAACTAGTAGGAACTTTCAAATGGTAGTTTTGATGAACTGCAGGACAGTAAGTTTGAACTCGAATTGGAATGAGAAACTCCTGGGGACAGTATCCTTGGGGTCTATAATTCTGTGAGCTTTCCTTTTAGGAACTTTATCAGGTTCTCAAAGAGAAGACTGAGAAAGACACGCTCATGCCTCTGACAGGCGGAAGGAAGAGTAATCATTGTGAAATACAGAAATATGCACAGAGCTTTCTTTGTAAGAAAGGTTTACTTGAAGGGAAGAAACATTGCCAGAGTCATGATGAAATCTTTCTTGATATAATCTGTAATAACCTGTGGGGTTCCTATCAGTAAATCATTCCTCCCACTCCAGTAGCCTCTAGCTTTTCTGACTCACCTAAAAGGGTTTAAAATAATGTTAAAACGTGTCAGGAATTAGAGGCAATAAATTGGGAATGTCATAGCTAAAGAAAGGAGCAGGGATGAAAGGAGAGAAACACAGGTGAAGGTCATAGCCCCAAAAGAGAGGACCACTAAAACACTGAGATTTAATTGGAATATTATAGAATGCTCCCATCCCTCCACACCTTACCACCATACCACCACACAAACAAGATTACAGTATAATTACCATTGGCTTATAGCTAAAGGAGCAGCAAGATACAGACTCTGAAATGTACTTAGGAAGTGCCAAAATCAAGAATGGAGAAAAAAAACAAGGGACATATTTGAAGCCTCTGATAACTATAGCTATAGGAAACATTAAACATAGCCCCACTCCTAGGCAGGTTAACATAAATCCTCACATTAAAGGCCAATTTACCTCAGTTCATATTATCTGATACAACATGTCCAGCTTTTAAGGCATGACAAGGCAAAGAAAGGCAAAAGGCAAGAAAATAATCAGTCTGAAGAGACAAAGCAAGCATAAGAACCAGACTCAGATACGACACAGATGTTGGAATTATCAGACAGGGAATTTAAAATAATTATGATTAATATGTTATGCACTCTTGGGAGACAACATTCAAGAAAAGATGGGTTGTTTAAGCAGAGGGATGGAAACTCTCAGACTCAAAGGGAAACATTAAAAGTAAAAAGCACTGTAACGGAAGTGAAGGGCATCTTGGATGGGCTCATCAGGAGACTGGACACAACCAAGGAAAGTCTCAGTGAGCTTGCAGATAGGTCAATAGAAACTTCCCAAATTTAAATGCAAAGAGAAAAGAGGAAAGGAAAAGTAGAAAAACAGAACATTCAAGAACTGTGGGACAGTTTAAAAAGGTGTAAAATACATGTAGTATAGGAATAAAAGGAAATTCTCAAACAAAATCATAATGATGGGGTTATGTCAACTGGACACAGGAGCCAACTGAAAGAGTCCTCAGGGGCCAAACTTGAAACAATTTCATTAACAAAATAAAGAAATATCAAATTATACCCCAAAATATAGAATAAATATCCATGAGTCTATCCTGATATAAATAAATAATTGAATAAATATATGGGGAAGAATAGATAAATCTTTAGGGTGAAATTTCAAATAATTTATGTAGATACTCGATCCTCATGGAAGAGGAGCATAACTCCCCAGTCTTTAAGTGTGGTCTATATATAGTGACTTCCTTATCAAGAGTAGCATGAAAAGGGTAACTTCACTGTGGAGAAACATGATAAAAACTCTCTCTGCCAAGTGTTCAAGGTTCACATCAACAGTGATGTCACGTTGACAATATATGGTAAGTATGTCACTTTCCATCTTTGGTTTTCCTCTCTCAAACCCAAAACCCAATATAATCATGAGGAAAACATCAAAGAAATCCCAATTGTGAGATCTTCTATAAAATGCCTGACCAAGAATTCTTAAAAACTGTCAAGGTCATCAAAAAAACAAGGAAACCCTGAAAAGCTACCACAGCCAAGTGGAGCCTAGGAAGATATGACAAATAAATATAATGTGGTATCCAGGATGGAATCCTAGGACAGAAAACAAACATTAGGTCAAAACCAAAGAAATATGAATAAAGTATGAACTTCAGTTAATAACAAGGTATTATTGTTATTGGTAGTTATTGGTTCAATTATCATGACAAACGTACTATACTATTTTAAGATGTTAATAATAAAGGAAAACTGTGTGGAGTATATCGGGAATTTTCTGCACTATTTTTGCAACTTTTTATATATCTAAAACTATTCTAAAATAAAAAGTTTATCTTTAAAAAGTTCATATGAAAAACAAATATGCAAAAATTGTCAGGAAAACACTAAAAGCAAATCTATGAGGGATACTAATCCTGTCTAGATTTAATCCTACATTAAAACATACTATAGACCATACATAGTGAAAGTAATGTGATACTGATGCATAGACTAACAGAAATTAAATAGAAAGCCCAGAAGTAGACATAAATATATGTAGAAATTAAATATATGATAAAAATGTCATCTCAAATCACTGAAACAAAGGTTTAATAAATAGTGCTGGTGTTATGGGTGGGTCTTTGGTCTTAGAGCTCCCAAGATGGTGATGGGCTGCTCCCAAGATAGTGGCAGCCACTCCCAAGATGGCAGCAAGCCTTTTGTTCTCTGACCTGGGGTTCTTGGCCTCACAGATTCCAAGGAATGGAACCTTGGGCCATGCAGTGAGTGTTATAGCTCTATTAGAAGCCATGGGTCATGGAAGAGAACCGTGGAACCCAGCGGCTAGTGTTCAGCTTGATTAGGACAAACCCGGGCACTTAGCTGCACAGGAACAATGACGAGCTTCTAGCCCAAACGGGAGGGGCAATGGGCACCTTGCTGGATCAGAAGTGCAGCAGACACCCTGCCGGATCCGGAGGGGTGAAAGTCAATGGTGGGTCTGTGAAGGTGGCGATCAGCAGTGGTGGACAGAGAGCAGAAGTTCAGCTCAAGCCAGAACAAACACGGACCAGAAGAGTGTGCAGTTGCAAGATTTAATAGAGTGAAAACAGAGCTCCCATACAATGGGAGGGGACCTAAAGGGGGTTGCCCACTCCCAGCTCAAAGTCCTGGGGTTTATATCCCAATCATTGCCCCTCCCTGTGTGCTCTCAGGCAATATATGATTTGACTACTTCTTTACCTCCTGCTTTTAGCCTAATTTGTATTTTAGTGAGCCCTCTTTACTACCTGATTGGTCAGGTGTGAGCTGAGTTACAAGCCCTGTGTTTAAAGGTGGGTTGCAGTCACCTTCCCCAGCTAGGCTTAGGAATTCTTAGTCAGCCTAGGAAATCCAGCTAGTCCTGTCTCCCATTGGGTCAATTGATGAATCATATGGAAAAAAACAAAATTAGATGCAGACTTCACATCAAATACAAGAATAAAATTCACAAATTATAAAATATAAATATTTTAAAATGTAATTAGACAAAAGAAATGGAATTTACTAGAAGAAAGCATGAGGGAATTCCTCTTTAAACCTCATTGTTAAGAGAGGCTTCCTATGACTCAAAATCCGGTGGCAATTTTTTAAATTGAGAAATGTGAGTACAGTTTTAAAAATAAACATTTTTTGCCAGGCACAGTGGCTCATGCCTATAATCCCAGCACTTTGGGAGGGCAAGGCATGTTAGGGACAGGCCCCCAAATCTGGCCATAAACAGGCCCCAAAACTGGCCATAAGCAGAATCTCTGCAGCACTGTGACATGCTCACAATGACTATGATGCCCACACTGAAGGTTGTTGGTTTACTGGAATGAGGGCAAGGAAACACCTGGCCCACCCAGGGCAGACCACAACAATAGCATGAGTGATCTGTGCCTTAAGGACACATTCCTGCTGCAGATAACTAGCCAGACCCCATCCTTTTGTTTCCCATTTTAGTTAATCTATAATCTATAGAAACACTGCTTATCACTGGCTTGCTGTCAATAAATATGTGGGTAAAACTCTGTTCGTGGCTCTCAGCTCTGAAGGCTGTCAGCCCCCTGATTCCCACTCTGCACTCTGGATTTCTGTGTGTGTGTCTTTAATTCCTCTAGCACTGCTGGGTTAGGTATCGATTGAGCTGGTCTCAGCAAAGGCAGCCAGATCACTTGAGGTCAGGAGTTTGAGACCAGCCTGGTCCAACATGGTAAAACCCCTTCTCTACTAAAAATACAAAAATTAGCTGGGCATGGTGGTGGGCACCTGTAATCCCAAATACTCAGAGGCTGAGGCAGGAGAATTGCTTGAGCCTGGGAGGTGGAGGTTGCAGTGAGCTGAGATTGTGTCACTGCACTCCAGCCTGGGTGACAGAGCAAGGCTCCGTCTCTAAATAAATAGATAGACAGACAGACAGATAGATAGATAGATAGATAGATAGATACCTTTTTATTGCAAGAAATACCATTAGTAACATCAAAAGACAAACAATAAACTAGGGGAAGAAAGAGCACCTTCTGTCCACACTGGAGACTTTCTCTTCCCAGAAAAAAAAAATTTAATTTAATTTAAAAAAGACAACTGACAAACTAGGAAAAAATACTTGCAACATTACTGCAATAGAGATGTTCCTAAGAAACAAAAAAAAAACTTTAAAAATTTTAGAAAAATATTTAGAATATAAGAATTCTTATGACTCAACAATAAAAACACAAACAACCTAATTTTAAAAGCCATTTGAATAACACTTCATTAAAGAAGATATATAGCCCAGGCACAGTAGCTCACACCTGTAATCCCAGCATTTTGGGAGGCCAACACGGGCGAATCATTTGAGCCCAGAAGTTCAAAACCAATCTGGGCAACATGGCAAAACCCTGTCTCTACAAAAAAATACAAAAATTGGCCAGGCTTGGTGCTAAATTTGCAAATTTAAAAAAGAAAATAAAGAAGATATACAGAGGGCAAATAAGTACATGACAAGATGTTAGACATCATTAATCATTGAGAAAATGTAAATTAAAATGCAAAGACCTACCACACATTTACTAGAATTGCTACAATTCAAAAGAATGACAGTATCAAGTCAAGACAGGGATGTAGAGCAACTGGATGTCTCAAACATTATTGGTTAGAATGCAAAATAATACAGTTCATGTGAAAAATAGTTTAACAGTACCTATAAAGTTAAATATATTATATGAACCAGCAATCTCATTTGTAACTATCCAAAATAAATAACAATATGTGACCACACAAAGACCTATGTGGAAATGTTTATGACTTTATTCATAATAGTCAAAAACTAAAAACAGCAACATATAAACATACTGGTAAATGGAGAAACAAATTGTAGTACAACCATGCAATGCAACACTACTCACCAGTAAAAAGGAACAAACCACGAATACATGTAGCATGTATGAATTTCAAAGCATTGTGTTAACTGAAAGAAGCCAGACACAAAAGGCTACATACTTTATGGCCAATTATATGACATTCTGGAAAGACAACAGCATATAGAGAGAAATCAGATCCATGGAAGCTGGGGGTAAAGAGAGGGGATTGTGCAAAGAGGTATGAGGAAATTTTTAACAATAAAAATCTGTTAAAATTTTTAAAAAGAGAAAGGCTAGAATAACCTTTGTAATATTGGAATAAATTTGAAAAATAAAACAGAGGTGGGGAAAGAAAAAGACAAATTAAGCGTTTCTTAGAGACTAATCAGGGCAGGAGGTCAGATGGAAAAGAAGAGATACCTGATGACTGGAGGCTGAGAGGAGATTCCTGGGAGAAGAGATGTCTCATAAGGCTTTTTCTGGAGAAATTCTGAGTTTTTGTGGGTAAAACTTTATTTTGTGTCCCAAAAATCTTCAGGAATAAAAGCAAACGTCTCATTGGCATTGGCTCTATTGGATTTCTTGTGGATGTATTAAGGTTAGCTCCTGACTAAAACAGAGTTAGTTTATGCACATGAACATGGTTAGTCAACATCCTGCTTTTGTTTCAATGTCTCAGATAAAAAAGTTCTTCAAGTCTAAGGTTGCTGAATTGGCCTGGCATTTTTAGCATGCATAATTTTAAAGAGAATGACCATTTTGAAAAGCTATAGTCTTTTATCCTCTTTTATATCAGGTTTATTTTATCAGAGAAATAAAAGTAGAGAGATTTTACTCATTTCAGGGAGTGCCTTAATAGTATTCCAATGTCTATTGTGATGATAAAAGTGAAAAATTAGAGGTAGGAGAAATTGCTAAGAGTGTTATCTACAGCGAAGACTGTTGAGACAAAGTTTGCACGTGACAGATTTTGTTTTCAATTTTAGTTATTTTCTTTTTTCCCCCTCACATTCACTTCATTTCTGGAAAGCAAGTCCTCTCCAAATCTGCTTGACACCAAGTTTTGAACACAGAATTACTTTCTTCTGTTTTATTAAAATAATGTTAATACCTTTAATGCTAAAGTTTTCTTCTTGCTTCATTTGTAAACATAAATAAATACATAAAGTTATGTGTAACTGTATTAGTCCATTTTCATGCTGCTGATAAAGACACACCGGAGACTGGGCAATTTACAAAAGAAAGAGGTTTAATTTGACTTACAGTTCCCCATGGCTGGGGAAGCCTCACAATCATGGCAGAAGGCAAGGAGAAGCAAGTCACATCTTACATGGATGACAGCAGGCAAAGAGAGAGCTTGTGCAGGAAAACTCCCCCTTATCATAACCATCAGATCTTGAGAGACTTACTCTCATGAGAACAGCATGGGAAAAGCCTGCCCTCATGATTCAATTACCTCCCACCAGGTCCCCCCCACGACACGTGGGAATTCAAGATGAGATTTGGGTGGGGACACAGCCAAACCATATCAGTAACTTTAGTAAATTTGCAATTACTGTTTAGGCAAACTATACTTTTAATATTTCAAAATAAACATTTTTATTAACTCTAGTTTTGTAAAAAATGATTACAAAGATATATACTAGATAATATATATAATAGATATATATAATAGATACATACTAGATAATATATATCTACTATATTACAAATCACACAGGTATATATTCTTTTGAAACATGTGTTATATAATTTCAATTATATCTACCCTTTTTCTTTTTTATTTTGATGGAGAAAATCTTTTTTTTTGATATTTATCATCCAAAGGATATTATATTGCTTTACATTCTCAACCCTCTGAACCTTACCCCACTCTTTTTCTTTCCAAATAGCCACATTGTCCTTGGATACATCAAAGAAGTCTGGATATAGCATAAGGCTGATAGATGAGAAACATAAATGAGAGGTTCCAAAAACATGGCACTGTAAGATTAACACAGGTACCACCACTGACCCTCAAAAATAAGACTTCTTTTTTAAATTAAGATTTCCATAACAATTACAACATGTTATAAATAATTATATCAAAAGCCATCTGAATTTATTATTTTACTTATTTCTTTCTTAATCCAATTTAATTTCATAACTCAATTACTTTAGAATGCTGACACTAGGAATTTGCAGTTGAAGAGATAGCACATTTCACCAAAAACAATCTGAGGCTTATAGTTTTTTCAAGCAAAGTTTTTGCATGGAATTTTTATTAGTTCATTTTGTTGAATGTACCTTCTTGAATTTCAGGGGCCATTGGTCATGTGATAGAAAAATCTTTGACCATTGTATTGTAGTCATCACGAACAAATTATTTTATATTTTTATTAAGTGTACTTGTTGCTAAATGATGTGATTTCTTTTTTTTCTTTCCAGCTTTTAGGTTCTAGGGTACATGTGCTGGTTTGTTATATGAGTAAGTTGCATGTCTCTGGTCTGGTGTACAAATTACTTTGACACCCAGGTAGTGAGCATAGTACCAAATAGATAGCTTTTCAATTCTCATCTACCTCCCACCCTCCACCCGCAGGTAGGTTCTGGTGTCTATTTTTCCTTTCTTTGTGTCCATGTGCACTCAATGTTTAGCTCCCACTAATAAGTGCGAACATGCAGTATTTGGTTTTCTGTTGTTAATTTTTTTAACTGGATCTTAAAGTGGAAAACATGTTTATTAACATTCAAACTCCCCTCATACAAGGCCATATAAAAATTCTTAGTATTTTGATTATACATTAGTCTACATTTTCTACATAGTTACAATGATGACATCATTAGTTCTGTTAAACATAAGTCACTTACTTTCAAATCCAATACTTGAATAATTTCCTCTGTACACAGTTTAGCAGGGCTAATTAGCATAAGATGCCATTTATTAAGAGGTATATGATCTGAGTATTAACAGTTGCTGAGGTTTGGTATTTTTATGCAGCATTTTCTTTTTGCTTTGATAACAATACCACAAAACTCTTAAGGATACTGAAATTTAGTAAGTAAAGTTCAGAGACATTACTTTAGCTGTTGAGTCAAATCTCTACATAACACTATAATAATTAAAACGTTAAAAAAAAAAAAAAGAAGTGTTGAAATCTGCACTAGTATAGACTGCTCCTGTCAGGATAAGACTCTTTGGAACAGAAAGGGAAAAGACAGCTTTGAGTTTCTTTGTGCTGATAGGAGGAAAGGCACTGAATTACCTTGTTGCCTCTCACCAATGATGGAAGGTCGGGTAAATGCCAGAACATATTCCAACTCAACAACTCTAGGTAACTTTGTGGAGGTGGAAGCTGGGTTATTTCATGCTAGGTGGCTGTAGCACTAACCTCATGTATAAAATGCAAAACACTTAAATACTGTGATCTAGATCTTAATTGCAAGCTATGCTGAGGACTTTTTGTTGTTGTTGTTTTGGCTATACTTTCATTCCAAAAGAAGAGCTGAATTGATGCTTGAGTTATAGCACCAGTCTATTATTATTAGTGAAGAAGTACACTCTTGCAGATAAATACCATATCAAAAGTCCTTTTTCAGTAATTTGATTAAATTTTAGAGTACTAAAAAATAAGTTATTTCTAGAGAAATCTTTGAAGGGAGCAAAAAAAAATCATATTACAGTATATACCTAAATATTTTAAAGGGAAATAAACCAATCATCTTCTGAAATTCAAACAGTATTTGCTATGTATCAGGGGAACCCACCCCCAATATTTCAGCATAGGTTCTTTCTGTTTCCCATAAGTGTTGACCGGCTGAGAAATAAAGAGAGACAGTATAAAGAGAGGAATTTTACAGCTGGGCCGCCTGGGGTGACATCACATATCAGTAGGACCATGATGCCCATCTGAGCCTCAAAACCAGCAAGTTTTTATTAAGGGTTTGAAAAGGGGAGGGGGTGTAAGCACAGGGAGTAGGTACAAAGATCACATGCTTCAAAGGACAAAAAGCAGAACTACTTATAAGGGTCTATGTTCAGCGGTGCACATATTGTCTTGATAAACATTTTAAACAACATAAAACAGGGTTCAAGAGCAGAGAACCAGTCTGACCACAAATTTACCAGGGCAGAGTTTTTCCCCACCCTGGTAAGCCTGAGGGTACTGCAGGAGACCAGGGCTTATCTCAGTCCTTATCTCAACTGCATAAGACAGACATTCCCAGAGGGGCCATTTATAGACCTCCCCCCAGGAATGTATTCCTTTCCCACGTTATTAATATTAACATTCCTTGCTAGGAAAAGAATTTAGTGATATCTTCCCTACTTGCACATCCATTTATAGGCTCTCTGCAAGAAGAAATATATGGCTCTTTTTGCCCGACCCCACAGGCAATCAGACCTTATTGTTGTCTTTCCTTGTTCCCCAAAAATCACTGTTTTTCTGTTTTTTTTCAAGGTGCACTGATTTCATATTGTTCAAACACACGTTTTACAATCAGTTTGTACAGTTAACACAATTACCACAGTGGTCCTGAGGTGATGTACATCCTCAACTTATGAAGATAACAGGATTAAGAGATTAAAATAAAGACATGTGTAAGAAATTATAAAAGTATTATTTGGGAACTGATAAATGTCCACATTAAAATGAAATCTTCACAATTTATGTTCCTCTGCTGCATCTCCAGCTGGTCCCTCTGTTCGGGGTCCCTGACTTCCTGCAACAGCTATGTTCATTCACCATTAGGCTGCAACTGGACCGCAACATTATGTTCATTAGTTTCATTTTCTTCATCACTACTGTTGTTATCTTCATTGTCATCTTCCTCATAGTCTGAAGATTCGGTCATGTTCTGATGTGAGCGGGATTCTGACAAAGCCCCAAATGACTGGGCAATGACAGAAGCTAAAGGTCTAAGTAAAGGGTCACTTCATTTTATTCTTGACTACCATCTGTGTCAGAGTCTGGATTGCCTTGAGAAGGAAATTTTTGCTTGCACACAGGACAGGTTTTTTTGGTTTTAGTTAGCCAAGGGTCTACACACTTGCAGTGATAAGCATGGGAACAGGGAAGGATTCTGAGCTTGTCTCCATCTTCCTACTCATCTGAACAAATGGCACATACATCATACTCATCTCCTTTCTTGAATTTATGTACAGGGAGTTTCTTAAGTTGATCTTTACAAAGTCTGTTTCTTCTAGCTCTATGTCTATCCTGGAAAAATTTTGTGATCCAATAGAAATGAAAGCATATTTCCATATAACAAATGTCCATATCAGCTTTATTTGTAATAGCCAAAAACATGAAAATGACTATCAAGATGAGACAGATACTCACTATGATAAGGAAGGGAATTAGGCAGCATTCCAAAGGAAGACTAAATTCTGGAACTAAGATAAGGTGGTCCCCTTTTTCATACATGAATTCATCTTTCAGAGAATTAGCTGATGATTCACCAATAGAGACAGATAGAATGTCAATTTTCTTTAGTACCTCAATGTCATTGGATCCAATGTTAATGAGGTCATCAGAATCAACATTGTGAACTATGGCTGCTTTGTATTCTGCTCTCTGTGCATTTAAAATCTTTATATCAAAATTACAATCAAGTCTTCTAATTAACACAATGAAAGTGCCAGACAAATTGTTTTTTACTGGTGGAGGCACTCTGCGTTCACAGGCATTCTCTGGTTTTGATCAAAAAACCCTTTAAACCTTCAGCTGGAAGTCTATAACCAAATCTTGCAGGGAGGTCACCAAAGGACTGAGATGTATTTTCAAAGTTATATGCTAAAATGTCTGCTTCTACAGGCAGTAGGTTTAAGAATGCAAAGAGCTGGACAGCCAAGATGGTGTAGACTTGTGTGGCTGACAGCATAAGCATCCCTATGGAGAGCAGCATCTCGAAAAATCACCTGGAAGTCCAGCCCCTGGAACACAACCAGTCCTGCTGGCCACATCGCAGGAGAAGTCCCTACCCTGACTTCATGACTGAATATCTGCACTGACCCCAAAGCCCGGAGTAGGAGCAGGGACAACACCACCATTTGTGTTATTTTGTTAAGATAATGGCCTCTAGCTGCATCTTGCAAATGACATGATTTTTTTCTTTTTTATGGCTGTGTAGCATTCCATGGTGCATATGTACCACATTTTCTTTATCCAGTCCCCCACTGATGGGCATCTAGGTGGATTCCATGTCTGTGCTTTTGTGAAGAGTGCTGCAATAAGCACATGCCTGTGTCTTTTTGGTAGAACAGTTTATATTCTTTTGGGTATATACCCAAAAATTGGATTGTTGGGTCAAATGGTAATTCTGCTTTGAGCTCTTTGAAAATTCACCACACTGTTTTCCAAAGTGGCTAGGAACTAATTTACATTCTCACTAGTAGTGTATAAACTTTCCCATTTCACTGAAAACTCACCAATATCTTTAATTTTTGACTTTTTAGTAATAGCCATTCTGACTGGTGTGAGATGGTATCTCATTGTGGTTTTGATTTTCATTTCTCTGATGATTAGTGATGTCGAGCATTTTTTCATATGGTTGGCCACATGTATGTCTTCTTTTGAGAAGTGTCTGTCCATGTCCTTTGCCCATTTTTTAATAAGACTGTTTTTTTGCTTGCTGATTTAAGTTCCTTATGGATTCTGAATATTATACCTTTGTCAGAGGAATAGTTTGCAAATATTTTCTCCCATGCTGTAGGATGTCTGTTTATTTTATTGATAGTTTCTTTTGCTGTGAAGAAGCTCTTTAGTTTAATTAGATCCCATTGTCATTTTTTTGTTTTTGTTGCAATTGCTTTTGGAGTCTTTACCATGAAATTTTTGCAAGGGCCTATGTCCAGAATGGTATTTCCTAGGTTTTCTTCTAGAGTTTTTATAGCTTTATGTTTTACATTTAAGTATTTAATCCATCTTGAGTTAATTTTCATATATAACATAAGGAAGGGGTCCAGTTTTAATCTTCTGCATATGGCTAGCCAGTTATCCCAGCATTTATTGACTAGGAATTCCTTTCCCCATTGATTATTGTTGTCATCTTTGTCAAAGATCAGATCATTGTAGGTATACAGCTTTATTTCTGGGTTCTCGCACTTGTTTCTTTGGTCTATGCATCTGTTTTTGTACCATTACCATGAGTTTTGATTACTGTAGCTTTATAGTATACTTTGATATCAGGTAGTGTGATGCCTTTGGTTTTGGTTTTGGGTGGGTTTTTTTTTGTTTGTTTTTTTGTTTGTTTTTGCTTAGGATTGCTTTGGCTATTCAGGCTCTTTTTTGGTTCTATGTGTATTTTGAAATAGTTTTTTTCTAATTCTGTAAAAAATGTCATTGGTAGTTTAATAGGAATAGCATTGAACTGTACATTGCTTTGGGCAGTGTATTAGTCCATTTCCATGCTGCTGATAAAGACATATCTGAGACTGGATAATTTATAAAGAAAAAGAGGTTTAATGGACTCAGAGTTCTATGTGGCTGGAGAGGCCTCAAAATTATGGAAGAAGGCAAAAGGCAAGTCTTACATGGCAGCAGCAAGAGAAAATGAGAGCCAAGCAAAAGGGGAAAACAGTTATAAAACTATTAGATCTTGTGAGACTTATTCACTACCATGAGAACAGTATGGAGAAAACTGCCCCTGTGATTCAATTATCTACAACTGAGTCCCTCCCACAACACATGGGAATTATGGGAGCTACAATTCAAGATGAGATTTGGGTGGGGACACAGCTACACCAACTCATTCCACTGCTGGCCCCTCCTAAATCTCATGCCCTCACATTTCAAAGCCAATCATGCCTTCCCAACAGTCCCCCAAAGCCTTAACTCATTTCAGCATTAACTCAAAAGTCCACAGTCCAAAGTCTTATCTGAGACAAGGCAAGTCTCTTCTGCCTATGAGCCTATAAAATCAAAAGCAAGTTTAGTTACTCCCTAGATACAATGGGGGTACAGGCATTGAATAAATACACTCATTCCAAATGGGAGAAATTGGCCAAAACAAAGGGGCTAAAGGACTCATGCAGTCTGAAATCCAGTGGGGCAATGAAATCTTAAAGTCCAAAATGATCTCCTTTGACTCCGTGTCTCACATCTGGGTCATGCTGATGCAAGAGGTGGGTTCCCATGGTCTTGGGCAGCTCCACCCCTGTGGCTTTGCAGGGTATAGCCTCCCACCCAGCTGATTTCACGAGCTGACGTTGAGAGTCAGTGGCTTTTCCAGGTGCATGATGCAAGCTGTCAGTGGATCTACCATTCTGGGGTCTGAAGGATGATGGCCCTCTTCTCACAGCTCTGCTAGCCAGTGCCCCAGTGGGGACTCTGTGTGGGGGCTTCAAGCTCACATTTGCCTTCTGCATTGCCCTAGCAGAGGTTCTCCATGAGGGCCCTGCCCCTTCAGCAAACTTCTGCCTGGACTTCCAAGCATTTCTATACATCCTCTGAAATCTAGATAGAAGTTCCCAAATCTCAATTCTTGACCTCTGTGCACCCGCAGGCTCAACACCACATGGAAGCTGCCAAGACTTGGGGCTTGCATCCTCTGAAGCCACAGACCGAGCTGTACCTTGGCCCCTGTTAGCCATGGCCAGAGTGGCTGGGATGCAGGGCACAAAGTCCCTAGGCTGCACACACCTGGGGGGCCCTGGGCTAAGCAAAGGAAACCATTTTATCCTCCTCGGCCTCTGGGCCTGTGATGATAGGGTAGACCATGAATGCCCTATGACATGCCCTGGCGACATTTTCCCCATTGTCTTGGTGATTAACATCTGGCTCCTCATTACTTATGCAAATTTCTATAGCTGGTTGAATTTCTCAGAAAATAGGTTTTTCTTTTCCTCTACATCATCAGGCTACAAATTTTCCAAACTTGTATGATCTGTTTCCCTTTTAAAACTGAATGCTTTTAACAGCACTCAAATCACCTCTTGAATGCTATGCTGCTTAGAAATTTCTTCCACCAGATACCCTAAATCATCTCCCTCAAGTTCAAAGTTTCACAAATCTCTAGGGCAGGTGCAAAATGTCACTAGTCTTTTTGCTAAAACATAGCAAGAGTCACCTTTACTCCAGTTCCCAACAAGTTCCTCATCACCATCTGAGACTACCTCAGCCTGGATTTCATTGTCCATGTCATTATATGCATTTCAGTCAAAGCCATTCAACAAGTCTCTAGGGAGTTCCAAACTTTCCCACATTTTCCTGTCTTCTTCTGAGCCCCCCACACTGTTCCAACCTGTGCCTGTTACCCAGTTCCAAAGATGCTCTCACATTTTCAGGTTTCTTTACAGCAGTGCCCCACTCCTGGTACCAATTTACTGTATTAGTTCATTTTCACACTGCTGATAAAGACATACCTGAGACTGGGTAATTTATAAAGAAAAAGAGTTTCAATGGACTGACAGTTCCACGTGGCTGGGGAGGTGTTATAATCACAGTGGAAGGCAAAAGGCACATCTTACATGGTGGCAGGCAAGAGTGAATGAGAGCCATGTGAAAGGGGAAATCCCTTATAAAACCATCAGATCTTGTGAGACTTATTCACTACCATGAGAACAGTCTGAGAGAAACTGCCCCCATGATTTAATTATCTCCCACCACGTTCCTCCCACAACACATGGGAATTAAGCAAGCTACAATTCAAGATGAGATTTGGGTGGGGACACAGTCAAACTATATTAGGCAGTATAACCATTTTAACAATATTGAATCTTCCTGTACATGAGCATGGAATTTTTTTTATTTGTTTGTGTTGTCTCTGATTTCTTTCAGCAGTGTTATGTAATTCTCATTGTAAGATACTTCACTTCTCTGGCTAGCTATATTTCTAAGTATTTTATTCTTTTTGTGGCTATTGTGAATAGGACTGTGTTCTTCACTTGGCACTCAGCTTGGATGTTATTCGTGTATAGAAATGCTACAGATTTTTGTACAATGACTTTGTATCTAGAAACTTCACTGAAGTTGTTTGTCAGATCTAGGAGCCTTAGGGCAAAGGCTATGGTATTTTCTAGGTATAGAATCATATCATCTGTAAACAAAAATAGTTTGGCTTTCTCTCTTCCTGTTTGGATGCCTTTTATTTCTTTCTCTTGCCTGATTGCTCTGGCTAGGAATCTGGTACTATGTTGAATAGGAGTAGTGAAAATGGGCATCTTTGTCTTGTTCCAGTTCTCAAGGGGAATGCTTCTAGATTTTGCCCATTCAGTGTGACGTCAGTTGTGGGTTGGTCATAGATGGCTCATTTTGAGGTATGCCTAGTTTATTGAGGATTTTTAACATGAAAGAATGTTGGATTTTATCAAAAGCCTTTTCTGCATTTACTAAGATGATCATATGGTTTTTGGTTTTAGTTCTGGTTATCTGATTAATCACATTTATTGATTTGTGTATGTTAAACCATCCTTGAATTCCAGGAATAAAGCCTGCTTGATCATGGTGGACTAGTTTTTTGACATGCTGCTGGACTTGGTTTTCTAGTATTTTGTTGAGAAAGTTTCCATCTAAGCTTATCAGGAATATTGGCCTAAAGTTTTCTTTTTTTGCATGTCTCTACCAGGCTTTGGTATCAGCATGATGCTGGCCTCATAGAATGCATTAGGGAGGAGACCCTCCTCCTCAATTATTTGGAATAGTTTCAGTAGGATTGGTACCAGCTCTTCTTTCTATGTCTAGTAGAATTCAGCTGTGAATCCATCTAGTCTAGGATCTTTTCTGGTTGGAAGGATTTTTATTACTGATTCAATTTCATAATTCCTTATTGATCTGTTCAGGGTTTCAATTTCTTCTTGGTTCAATCTTAGGAGGCTGTACATTTCCAGGAATTTATTCATTTCTTCTAGGTTTTCTAGTTTGTGTGCATAGAGGTGTTCCTAATAGTTTCCAAGGGTTTTTTACTTCTATAGGGTCAGTGGTAATGTCCCCTTTGTCATTTCTGAGTGCATTTGTTTGGGTCTTCCCTTTTTTTCATTAATCTAGCTAGTAGTCTATCAATATTATTTATTCTTTCAAGAACCAACTGTTGCCTTCATTGGTCTTTTGTATGGATTTTTATGTCTCCATTTCATTCAGTTCAGCTCTGATTTTGGTTATTTCTTTTCTCCTACTAGCTTTGGGATTGGTTTGCTCTTGTTTTTCTAGTTCCTGTAGGTGATGCTAGGTTGTTAACTTGAGATCTTCCTTTTTTGATGTGGATGATTAGTGCTATAAACTTTCCTCTTAACCCTGTTTACAACAGATGAGTTTAGGTCCCAAATATCTGTTTTAGATCTTAAATATCTTTAATAATTTTCTGCCTCACTGATCTAATACTGTCACTGGGGTGTTGAAGTCTCCTACTACCATTGAGTGGTTATCTAAATCTCTTTGTAGGTCTCTAAGAACTTGATTTATGAATCTGGATGCTCCAGTGTTGGGTGCATATATACTTAAGATAGTGAAGTCTTCTTGTTGAGTTGAACCCTTTATCATTATGCAATGCCCTTCTTTGTCCTTTTTGATTATTATTGGTTTAAAGTCTATTTCATCTGAAATAAAAATAGCAACTCCTGATCTTTTCTGTTTTCATTTTCTTGATAGATCTTTTCCATCTCTTTACTTTGAGCTTATGGGTGTCATTGCACATGAGATGGGTCTCTTGAAGACAGCATACAGTTGGTCCTTGCTTCTTCATCCAACTTGCCACTCTGTGCCTTTTAAGTGGGACATTTATCTTGTTTACAATTAAGGTTAATATTGATATGTTATGGATTTGATCCTATTATATTGGCTTTTGGTTTCTGTGTAGACTTGATTATAGTTGCTTTATAGTGTCAATGGTCTATTTACTTAAGTGTGTTTTTGTGCTGGCCAGTAATGGTCTTTTTGTTTCCATGTTTAGCATTCCTTTAAGAACTTCTTATAAGGCAAGTTTAGTGGTGATGAATTCCCTTAGCATTTGCTTGTCTGAAAATGATTTTATTTCTCCTTCACTTATGAAGCTTAGTTTGGCTGGATATGAAATTCTTGGTTGGAATTGATTGTCTTTAAGGATGCTAAATACAGGTCCCTAATCTCTTCTGGCTTATAGAGTTTCTGCTAAAAGTCTGCTGTTAGTCTGATGGGGTTCTCTTTGAAGGTGACCTGCCCCCTCTTTCTAGCTGCCTTTAATATTTTTCCTTTAACTTTGACCTTGTAGAATCTGATGACCATTTCCTTGGGGATAGTCATCCTGGATAGTATCTTGATGGGTTCTCTGAATTTCCTGAATTTGAATGTGAATATGTCTAGCAAGGTTGGTGAAATTTGCATGGTTAATATTCTTAAGTATGTTTTCCAAATTGCTTGCTCTCTCTCCTTCAGGGATGCCAATAAGTCATAGGTTTGGTCTCTTCACAAAATCTCATCTTTCTCAGAGATTCTGTTCATTTTTTAAAATTCTTTTTTCTGTGTTTTGAAATGACTGAGTTGATTCAAAGAATTGGTATTCAGGCTCTGAGATTCTTTCCTCAGCTTAGTCTATTGTGCTGTTAGTATTAGGTTGGTGCAACAGTAATTGTGGTTTTTGCTATTTAAAAGTAATGACAAAAACTGCAATTACTTTTGCACCAACTAATACTTCTAATTGTATTAAGAAATTCTTTAGTGAGTTTTTCAACTCTATCAAATCAATTTGATTCTTTTCTAAAATGGCTATTTTGTCTTTCAGCTCTTGAATCCTTTTACTGGATTTCTTAGATTCCTTAGATTGGGTTTCAACTTTCTCCTGAATTTCGATGATCTTCATTGCCATCCAGATTTTGAATTCTATGTCTGTCATTTCAGCCATTTAATTCTGGTTAAGAACCACTGCTGGGAAGCTAATGCAGTCATTTGGAGGTAAGAAGACACTGGCTTTTTGAGTTGCCAGAGATCTTGTGCTGGTTCCTTCTCATCTGTGTGAGCTGATGTTTCCTTAATCTTTGAAGTTGCCATTCTTCCAATAGGGCTTTTTGCTTTTGTATTCTTTGATGCCCTTGAGGGTTTGACTGTGGTATAAGTTGGGTTTAGTTCACTGGCTTTATTTCTTAATAATTTCAGTGGGCCAAGGCTCTCAGCATTCGTGGGCTGTGTGCTCTAACCCTGGGGGCTGAGACCAGGCCCACAGCTTTGTTCTCTGCCTCCTTGAGGTTAAGTACCTGCTGTGCTAAAGGATCTGAGATGTCCCTGCTGGCAACACCACTCTGATGCAGGGGATGCCTGCAAAAGCACTTCATTGAGGGGGTGGCAATAGGGTCAAAGCACATGCAGACAACAGCATGGCAGCAGCGGGGTGGTGGACTGTGCACATGCATGCGCTAGTGGTAGGACAGCAGCAGTGCAGTTCACACACGCATGTGCATACACCAGCAAAGTGCTGGGGGAAGGCTGCAAGCAGATGCACACTGGCTGGAGTCCATCTGCAAAAGCTCTCTGATGGTTAGGCAGTGTCTACCAGCAAAAGAGCTATGGTGGTGGCCACTGAGAAGCACCCCAGTTAGGTATCTGAGGCTGTGTTGCAAGTGGGTGCAGCCACACATGAACCCTGGGAGAGGCTAGCAGACAAGAGACACTCAAATCAGACTGGCCCTGTCCCATGTGGCAAGATAGACCTGTTCTGTCCAGGTCCAACAGTCAACAAAGGCCAAAGCTACCTGAAGGAGCAAGGGAAGCCTTGGGGAATGGGTGTCCCTGTCCATGTTCTACTGCAGCTATTCCTGAGCCAAACTATGAGCTCCATGCAGGCTGGATTCCTGTTCCCGCCAACTCTCCAAGCAGCTCTCCCTTCCAGCTCAAATGTTCATGGGGCTATAAAGTCTCCTGCAGCTAGGATTCTAGAGGTCTTTGGTGAGAAGGGGCCACTCCATACCTATTTAACTCACATTTTCCCCAGGAGCTACTCGGGATCAGAAACGAGATCTAGTGCTCAGTAACCCAATGCAGGTTTCCCAGCTTCTTCACCCTTCAGCTTACCATCTGCATCGTCCTCTGTCCACATTCAAGGCCTTCCTTTCAACAACCTGCTTGGAGGGTGCCAACTTTCTTGCTGGTCTGGTCTTCCGGTGGGAGAAGCTCTTCCTGGCTGTGTCTAGTCGGCTCCTCTTTTTGATTACTCTGAATTTAAAACATAGTTTTGATTAGAAAATGGAATCCTTCATTTAGAGTAGTTACAAAATTTTCAGTTTATAGACCTCCATTTAGGGATAGTTGTAAATATTTCAATTTATAGATAAAAAACAGAAAGTATAGAGTGACTAATAGACAACTAGGATTTACACTTACAGCTTTGCACTCCATCTCCTGTAAATTTTGGAGTTTCAGCTTTTCATAAACATTTACTAGTGCCCTCTGGTGACAGTATACATAAGAATAAATATGTGTAACACAGGCTCCTCTTCTCATAATGCTGCTTTTCTTTAGAAAATGGAAATTGAGATTATTTAGATAAGAATGAAACTGACTTCACTCTTCCTGGCCTCTTTCCACTGAATGAAACATGTGAATTTATATATTTTCCTCTTTTCCATTGGTTTCTATTTCTCATAATTCTAAACATTGAATAATCAGCTTGGAAATTATGCAGTGATACCAAGAATATTCCCCTGTACATCTTATATCTTCAGCTTTTGTGTTTTTTTTTCAGCCTATTTTCATCTTTTTACTTCCTTCATGAGGAAAGGAAAGGACAGGAGGACACAAATGTGCTTATTTATATCCCTACTTTCTTTCATACTACAGAACACCCACTGACCTCAGGCTACCCTCATATGAATACATAGCGTCTATTTGCAATGCACCTCTCCCCTACTCCCTATAGTCCAGTCTGAGTCTCATCTAGCAACAACAACAAATGCCCCAGAGCTACCACAAATGAACAGTGACTACCAATCTGATGGAAACATTATAAAAGATTTTTATTTATTTGTCTTTCTCTAATAAAGATTCTTATTTTAATATTTAAAAAATTCCATTGAATTATTGGAAAGACAATGAAGGTTATAAAATTACCATTTGCGCCATTATAATTTTGATGAAAATATTAATAGTAACTTTATCCACCTCTTCCAAAGAAGGACAGAAAAAAAGATAGTGGCCTGGAATCTTGAGGAAGGGGAAATATGAACTACTATGGCCTCTCTTGAGATAAGCCTCTTCTAAAATGGTATTAGTATCCTTTATTCCTTTGGCAACAGCCTGCAGCATTCCTTAAATAATAACTGGCCCACCAGTGAAAGAGTCATATACCTTCTATAGGACAAGTGAGCCTGCCAGTCTGTTTGCTTCTGTCTCATTCATTTGCTAAACCACATGGTTTGATTTTCCTTAGTATGGGTTAGGACAGAGTAGGGAGATAGAAGAATACTGGGAACATAAAATCGTTCTGTGTTGTTTTTTATTGTTTCAGCTTTATATTTGTTTTAAAACCTGCTGTACATAGTTCTGGTTTTTGTTGGTGGTGGTTTATTGTTTCAACTTTATATTTGATTAAAAACTGCCATGGACTTTCTTACATTTAAAGGATCAGTGTTAAAGTCTCCCAGCGGATTTCCACCAAACATTAGTCCCATGAAATGCCCCATGAAATAAAGATTCTGTAGCCATATAAACTTGGGAAATAGTACAACTATACCTCCCTCCTGGAGATTCACAAGGCAAGGTAGAAACTTAAAGTTTCAGAGTAGTCATATAAGAAAGAAAACAGTTTAATTTTATTAACTCGGTGTTACCCAAGTTTACTTGACCACATTGTTTTTTCATATAACACTTGAGCATCAAGCTAGTGTTCAAAGACTATACTTTTGGAAATGCTGACTTTAAAGGCTCATAAGCCAGCAGGTTTTATCATGTACTATTTCAGTATGAGTTATTTTCCCATTTAACTGTTATTCTATGTACATGTTTGTTTGTTTACAAATTCATGGAAATAAATCTAGACCAGTAGTTTCCAACCACAGATCATCTTGCCCCCCAGGGACACTTGATGATGTCTGAAGATATGTTTGGTTGTCACAACTTGGCAGTTGCTAATAATATCTAGTTGGTATGGGGTCAGGAATGATGCTAAAGATCTCACAATGGATAGGACAGTTCCCCATAACAAAGAATCATCTGGCTTACATGTCAATAGTACCATGATTGTGAAATTATCATCTAGACAGTGGTTAACTCTGAGAAGTAGGATTGCAGGTAGGGGTGAAAAGAGAAAGGTTCACTTTTGATTTTATACAAGAATACTTTATTTACTTTTATAGTTAAAAATATAATTAATCAATGTATATATGTCATAGAAAAGTTTAAAAACACACCAAAGATAAATTTAAAATTACCCTGACATAAACATTGTTGAATGCTGTTAGAAATACTACAATACAAACGTACATTCTAACCCCATATTCCACCCAGATTTCTAGAAATAGAAAAATACTATTAATAAATCCACAACAGCCTAGAATAACAATAGGGGATGGTTGTGTCAGTCTCAAAAGCATATAAAAAAATCTCTGAAATATAGGAGGCAAGGGAGGTTACCAAAGGAGGAAATCAGAGCTCCAAATTAATAGATGTGCAGAAGTAGCTTAAAAGGTACTTCAAGTCAAAGGTAGCATACGTGGGGAGCAGGAGGAGGTCTGTAGAAAACAGCAAGGTGATTTTGGGGAATCCACGGAAAGTGCAGACAGTTAGGTCTCACTTTTCCTATCCTGCCCGTTTATCTAATGCTGAGCAGCAGAGGACTCAGGTCCCAAACAAAAGCAATGAGTGTGGAGTGTCTTTAGTCCTGAGAGGCAGGTTAGTGCCCAGAATAGATGGAAACTCTCCGAAGGTATGAAGAGACCCCATACCTAGAATATCTCACTCACTCTACAGCCTATACCACCTCTCCCCAACAATTGTTAGTTGTAGGTTAAAGTTTGAAAAAGAAATACACAGCATTCATACATAGAACAAGAGAGAATCTAAAATAAGATTCTAAAAATATATGTACATTAAGAATTTGAGGCCGGGCGCGGTGGCTCACGCCTGTAATCCCAGCACTTTGGGAGGCCGAGGCGGGCGCATCACGAGGTCAGGAGATCGAGACCATCCCGGCTAAAACAGTGAAACCCCGTCTCTACTAAAAATACAAAAAATTAGCCGGGCGTAGTGGCGGGCGCCTGTAGTCCCAGCTACTTGGGAGGCTGAGGCAGGAGAATGGCGTGAACCCGGGAGGCGGAGCTTGCAGTGAGCCGAGATCCCGCCACTGCACTCCAGCCTGGGCGACAGAGCGAGACTCCGTCTCAAAAAAAAAAAAAAAAAAAAAAAGAATTTGAGGGCCAGGCACATTGGCTTACACCTGTAATCCCAGCACTTTGGGAGCCTGAGGCAGGCAGATCACGAGGTCAGGAGTTTGAGACTAGCCTTGCCAACATGGTGAAACCCCCTCTCTACTAAAAATACAAAAAATGAGCCGGGCATGGTGGTGCGCACCTGTAATCCCAGCTACTCGGAAGGCTGAGGCAGGAGAATCGCTTGAACTCGGGAGGTGGAGGTTGCAGTGAGCCGAGATTGCGCCATTGCACTCCAGCCTGGGAGACAGGGCGAGGCTCTGTCTCAAAAAAATAAAATAAAATAAGAATTTGAGAAAACAGTTCTAGTCTTCACAATGACAGATGCTACAGCAAATTCACATTAGAGGAGTATGTCTTCACCTAAGGCAATTGGTGGAGGCTTCAATTTGTTGAAATACAGTAGTTGACATTGACTAAGGTGTAATTTTAAATTTAATGTAATATAGTTATGATGGGTGCTGTGAATATGTTTTAGGAATATCTCAACCAATTTTCCTTACTTACATATTTTTCTGTGTATAAGAGTGATATATAATAAAACCTATGTTGAAATAAGCCAAAAATTATTTCCATAAAATTAAAAATCAAGGTGAAAAAGTATTGTGTCATCGTTTCATTGATAGTATTTTTGTTCTTTCATAGTGACATATGAAATAATGGCATCTTATATAACACAAAATAGATATAAAAGCCATAAATTAAATATTAGCAAACTAGATCCATTAATATATGAAAAATATATTATATCTAAGTTGGGTTTAATTCCAAAAATGCAAGGTTGTTTTAACTTAAGAAATCAATTAATGTAATTCACCATATTAGCAGATTAAAAAAGAAATAGCATTTGATCTTCTACCTAAGTGAAGAAAAAAGGCTCTTCAGAAAATCTAACATTCAGGCATGATAATATTCATGGCTAAGAATAGAAGAGAATCTCTTTAAGCTAGTGTGATGGTTAATACTGAGTGTCAACTTGATTGGATTGAAGGATGCAAAGTATGGTTGCTGGGAGTGTCTGTGAGGGTGTTGCCAAAGGAGATTAACATTTGAATCAGTGGACTGGGAGAGGGAGACCCACCCTCAATCTGGGTGGGCGTGATTTAATCAGTTGCCAGCAGGCTAGGCTAAAAGCAGGCAGAGGAAGTGGAAGGATTAGACTGGCTAAGTCTTCTGGCCTCCGTCTTTCTCCCATGCTGGATGCTTTCTGCCCTCAAACATCGGACTCCAAGTTCTTCAGCTTTTGGACTCTTGAACCTACACCAGTCATTTGCCAGGAGCCCTCAGGCCTTTGGTCACAGACTGAAGGCTGCACTGTCAGCTTCCCTACTTTTGAGTTTTTTGGACTCAAGACTGCTCCTCAGCTTGCAGAGAGCCTATTGTGGTACTTCACCTTGTGATCATGTGAGTCAATACTCCTTAATAAACTCCTTTTCTTTCTCTTTTTCTTTTTCTTTTTCTTTTTTTTTTTTTTGAGACGGAGTCTCGCTCTGTCGCCCAGGCTGCAGTGCAGTGGCGTGATCTCGGCTCACTGTAAGCTCTGCCTCCCGGGTTCACGCCATTCTCCTGCCTCAGCCTCCTGAGTAACTGGGACTACAGGTGCCTGCCACCAAGTCCAGCTAATTTTTTTGTATTTTTAGTTAGAGAAGGGGTTTCACTGTGTTAGCCAGGATTGTCTCAATCTTCTGACCTCGTGATCCACCCGCCTCGGCCTCCCAAAGTGCTGGGATTACAGGCGTGAGCCACTGCGCCCGGCTAAACTCCCTTTCATATATGAACTTATCCTCTTAGTCCTGTCCCTCTAGAGAACCCTGACTAATACACGTAGTAATGGATGTTTACAAATAAATAAACAAAAAGCTGCTGTAAAATTATGCATTATAAAACTCTTGAAAGCTTTCTCTTTGAAATCAAGAACAAAACAAATATGACTAGTAATGTAGTTTGGATGTTTGACATCTTATCAGATCTCATGTTGAAATTTGACCTCCAATGTTAGAGGTGAGGCCTGGTGGGGGGTATTTGGATTCTGGGAGCAGATTCCTTATTAATGGCTTGGTGTCCTTCTCGAAGTGGTAAGTTCTCACTATTCATTACCACCATAACTGATTGTTAAAAAGAGCCAAGCATCGCCCTTCCCTCTCTGTTTATTCCTCTCTTACCATGAGATCCCCACTCCCCTTTGCCTTCCACGAGTGGAAGCTTCCTGAGACCCTCACCAGAAACAAATGCTGACACCATGCTTCTTGTACAGTCTGAAAAACCATAAGCCAAATTAACCTCTTTTATTTATAAATTATCCAGCTTCAGATATTCCTGTATAGCAACACAAATGGACTAAGATACCTACTGTCACCACTACAATTCCACATTGTATGAGGATTTTAGCTAGCATAATAAAGCACAAAAAAGTGTTAATGTTCTGGAAGGAAGAAACTAAACTTGATACTTACACATGAAATAAGTGTGATGTAAAAATTCTAAAACTATCTACAGATAATTTTAAAATAAGTAGGAGAGTTTAGTAGAATTGCTGGAAATAAAATCAGTTTACAGAAATAAATTGCTATATTTCTATATGCCTTTAACAAATAGTTATTTTTAATAGCATTAAGCACACAGAATACCTAAAAACAAATCTTATGAAGAATTTTGGAGACATTGATGGAGAAAACTATACAATTTTATTAATGGATATAATAATTTATTATAAATAATTTATTTTACTAATGGTTATAAGTCCTAAATAAATGAAAAGATATATCATCTCATTAAGCAGAACACTCAATATTTAAATATGTAAATGTTCTCCAATTAATTTAATTTAGATTCAATTAAAAGCCAATAATCTCAACTTGTTTTTGTGAATCTTGACAAGTTAATTTTAAGATTAATGTAAAAATATTTAGGATCTCTGCTGGGCGTAGTGGCTCACACCTGTAATCCCAGCACTTTGGGAGGCCAAGGTGGGCAGATCACCTGAGGTCAGGAGTTCGAGACCAGCCTGGCCAACATGGCAAGACCCCATCTCTACTAAAAATACAAAAATTAGCCAGGCATGGTGGCACATGCCTGTAATCCCAGCTACTCGGGAGGCTGAGGCAGGAGAATTGCTTGAACCTGGGAGGCAGAGTTGCAGTGAGCCGAGATCACGCCACTGCACTCCAGCCTGGGCAACGGAGTAAGACTCTGTCTCAAAAAAAAAAAAAGTATATATATATACACACACACATATATATGATCTCAACTTACTTTTTGTGAATCTTGACAAGCTAATTCTAAAATTAATGAAAAAATATATAGGATCAAGAATAGCCAAACACTTTATAAAAGAAGAGGAAAGATTTGCTTTACCCAATAGCAGGACTTATTTATTACAAAATGACTGTAGTTAAAGCTACGTTAAGTATTGGTGTAGGAACGGATAAGTAGATTGATGAACAGAATAGAGCCCAAACACACTCTACAGATATTTGAAGATACACTACAGATATTTGGTGGTGAGCCCACTGAGTAGCCACATGGAAAAAAGTAAAATTGTATCTCTATCTCGCACCAAACACAAACACCAACTGCAAGAGTAATAAAGACTCAATCATAAATGACAAACTAAGAAGCTCTAAGAAGTGAGGAGAATGCCTTCATGATTTTGGAATGGGGAAAAGTTTCATAACCAAGACACAAAGAGAACTAAGTATTTTTTGAGTATTAAGAAGTGAGACCACATTAAAATTAAAAACTTCAGTTCATCATATGCCACTATAAAAGAGTGAAAATACAAGCTGCAGAGTAGGATAAGATATTTGCAACACATATAACTAAAAAGTACTTCTATTCAGAAAACACAAGGAACTCCTAAAAATTAGTAAGAAAAAACTGAAATACAAATTTTTAAAATGGGAAAAAGTCTAGAACTTCACAAAATGGAAACTTCAAATTATCAATAAACATATGACAAAATATTAACTGTCAGCAGTAATCAAGGAAATGCAAATTAAAACCAGTATGAAGTAGCTTTGGGTACCCATCAAATTGACAAAAATAAAACTTCTGACAATATCAAACGTTGGCAAGGATGTGAAACAAAGGAAATTCTATACATCGTTGATGGTCTGTGAATTGTCTACTAAAGTTTGAAAATTAATTTAGCATTTTAGTAAAGTCAAAGATATGCAAACTCTATGCCCTAGCAGTTTTTCTTCTACATACATCTTTTAAAGAAATTCTTATATACGTGCACCAACATAGTGGTACAGAATATTCTTAGCAACATTGTTTGTAAGAGTAAAAAACTGTAAAACAACCCAAATCTTATAAAATATTGATGAATAAATAAGTTTGTGGCACAGTGCTACAACTGAATACTACAACACAATGAAAATGAATATAACTGAAACCCCACACTACCATGTGAATAGATCACAAAACCTAATATTGACATAAAACAAGTCCAAAATATGATTCTATTTATGTGAAATCAAAAGTTCAAAAATAGGCAAAACCAGACTATAGTGCTTAGGATGATGTTATGAGTTGAATTTTGCTCCCCTAACATATCTGTTGAAGTCCTCACTCCCAGCATCTGTGAATGCAACCTTATTTGGAAATGGGGCATTTGCAGATGTAATCAAGCTAAGATGAGATCATTAGGGTGGACTGTAATCCAATACGACTGATGTCTTTATTAGAAAAGGAAAGAAAAACACATAAGACGACCAGGTTATGATGAAAGCAGGGATTGGAGTTATGCTGCCACAAGTCAAGAAATGCCTGGGGCTACCAGAAGGTGGAAAAGGCAAAGAAGGGTCCTTCCATAGATGCTTTAGATACAGCATGGTTCTGCCAACACCTAAATTTCAGACCCAAAACTATGAGAAAATAAAATTATTTTGTTTCTGATATTTGTTAAAGCACTCCTGGGAAACTAATGCACGTAAAAAAATTATAAATAAATTTTTTAAAGCAAAAAATTTAATATCTCAAAAAGCAGAATAGCGTTTACCTCTAGAGCCTCCAGAGGCCAGGAATTGGTGCTGATACATATCTTTCCTATCTGGTTATTGTTAAGATGCTCTCTTTTTGTTTGAAGTTTGTAATTTAACTATGATTTGTCTCGGTGTGGATATCTCTTTGTCTTGCTTGATATTCTTAGACTTCCAATATCTGAGACAAGTGTCTTTCATGCATTTAGAAATATTCTTAACCATTATCTCTCCTAATATTACTTTTCCTTCCTCCTCCCTATTCTCTCCTTCAGGAATTCTGACTGGATACATGATCGATCACATGCTACCTTCCAGATATTTTCTATTTTCTACATCATTGTCTTTCTGTGCTGTATTCCATGTAATTTCTTCATATTTTGCCATTTTGCAACCATCACGGTAATCACTGGTTTGGGCAATTATCATCAATGAATGTGGATCCTTCATGAATACCTAGAAAAGAGGAGAGTTTGAGGGGAAACTGGCTAATTGCATGATCTCAAAAAGTTTCTCTCAAGGCTATGTATTAGTCGCAAAGGGGAAAGCAGTAACTATATTGTGGCGAAACTAGAAAACATCTAGATTGCATGATCAAAATTAACATCAATGAGGAATAAATGACGTTATGTGCCACCAGATGTGATTTTTTTGAGACAGGGTCTCACTCCCATCCCCCAGGCAGAAATGCAGTGGAGTAACCACAGCTCATTGCAGCCTTGACCTCCCAGGCTCAAGCAATCATCGTCCCACTTTATTTTTTAACTTTTTCATAGAGATGAGGTCTCACTTGCCCAGGCTTGTCTCGAACTCTTGGGCTCAAGCGATTCTCCTGCCTCAGCCTCCCAAAGTGCTGGGATTACAAGCATGAGCCACCATGCCTGGCCCAGATGTGATATTTTGAGAAGGATGTAATGCCACTTATTTAGTAGTCTGATCTGTGATGTATAATCTGAACTAAATCATGAAGAAACAATGAAACTTTCTCACCTAGTGTTTCATGAAAAATGTAAGCCTTACAGAAAATGACTTGAGTGACTATTTTCTCAATTTTCCATCCTAGATGCGTAGGAGAGAGGTTAATTCATTCTACACAATGTATGCTTCAGGGCTTAGTTCTCCTGAGGAAACTCAGTTAAAAAGGGATGGCTCACACAAATTCAAATTGAGGCATTCTATTATAAATAGCCCATATTCTTCAAAAATATTAATGTCAACAAAGACAAAGAAAGGCTGGTGAACTATTGCAGATTCAAGGAGATGTGACAACCAAATGCAATATGTAATCCCGGACTGAATGCTTTCCTGGAAAAAAAAGTTATCAAAGACAACATTGAGACAATTGACAAAACTGTAATATAGACAGTAGATTAAAGTATTATGTCAATGTTAAATTCCCATAATTTGATAGCTATACTGCTGTCATATAGATATTGTCATTCACAGTAAATACACAGACAGTTTAAGATGGTAAAGAGGTATGATATATGCCGCCTACTCTCAAGTAGTTCAGAAAATAATTACATATACACATCCACACAACATCAGCTGTATTTCTTAAAGTAAGTACAATATTGGTGTTCAACCTTCCCAGTTATCTTAGAAATGCAAATTAAAACAACATATGACTTTATACCCAAAATAATGGCAAATATTAGAAATTCAGGTAAGATCAAATGTTGTTAAAGATGTGGGAAAATGACGATTCGCATGCACTGATGGTGAAAGTATATTGGCAGAGAAATTCTGGAGTGCAAACTGCCAGTACTTACCAACTCATGCTTTGGTCCATTAAAAAAAATCAAATATATCGATAATTCCAATAAATCTAAAAGAACTAAATTCTCCAATTGAAAGAAGAAAATCAGAAAACAACTCCAATGTTTATCAACAATTATGTGGAAAATAAATCATGGTAAGTTAATATTTGTAACATTTTACAGCAATGAAGATGAATTAATTACAGCTACACACATTGATGTGGAAGAATCTCAGAAACATATGAGGAAAAATGCAAGTCAGGGCCAGGTGCAGTGGCTCAAGCCTGTAATCCCAGCACTTTGGGAAGCCGAGGCATGTGGATCACTTGAGGTCAGGAGTTCAATACCAGCCTGGCCAACATGGTGAAACCCTGTCTCTACTAAAAATACAAAAATTAGCTGGGTGTGGTGATACACACCTTTAATCCCAGCTACTCGGGAGGCAAAGGCAGGAGAATCGCTTGAACCCAGAATGCAGTGAGCCGAGATTGCACCACTGCATTCCAGCCTGGGTGACAGAGCGAGACTCTGTCTCAAAAAAAAAAAAAAAAAAAAAAAACCAAGTCAGAAGAGTGCAAAAAGTACCCTCCATTTATTTAAAGTGCAAAAACAGGCAAAACTTAACAATATAATGTTTATTATTCATACATGTGCAATAAACCTTCAAAAACAGTTAGGTAACGATGAAGACAAAACCCAGGGTAGTTGTACCTCAGGGAAAAAAGAGAGGGCACAGTTGAGGAGGGATACCCAAAAGGCTTCATAGATGTTGGTAATTTTCTATTTCTCCAACAAAGTGGTAGTTACATATGTATTTAATAGCTAATACTATTTAAACTGTACATTCATACTCCCTACTCTCTTGGTAAGTGTAACTCATAATAAACAGCTAAAATTAAAACAATACTTTCAGGAGTATGTGTGACAAATGTTAAGATATGAAAAGGAAGGATGATGGGTACTCAGGTATCCGTTATATTTTTCTCTGTGCTATTGTGTATATTTGAAAGATTCAGTAATAAAAACAGAAAGGAGATGCAAGGAGGCATTAAATATGATTCTCTTGACGTCTACAGATCAAGTTGATGGAAAATAAAGATATTAAAAAATTTGGGTTATATCACTAGTGGTTTGCACTAATAATTTCATATAAAACTTTTCACTGCCAAAAATGAAAATACGTGATCACATATAGGCCAGTTAGAAAATCTCAAAACATTTGAAAAGCAGACAGACAGCATACAGACTAAATTTATATATGTGTACATATATAGCCTATTTGAAAATTATAAAATCCGGGGCCGGGCGCAGTGGCTCACACCTGTAATCCCAGCACTTTGGGAGGCCAAGCGGGCGGATCACGAGGTCAGGAGACCGAGACTATCCTGGCTGATACAGTGAAACCCCGTCTCTACTAAAAATACAAAAGAATTAGCCAGGCGTGGTGGCTGGTGCCTGTTGTCCCAGCTACTTGGGAGGCTGAGGCAGGAGAATGGCGTGAACCCGGGAGGTGGAGCTTGCAGAGAGCCGAAATCGCGCCACTGCACTCCAGGCTGGGCGACGGAGCGAGACTCCGTCTCAAAAAAATAAAAATAAAAAAATAAAAAAAAAGAAAGAAAATTATAAAATACTGTTTATTGGAGACACTGTCCTTTTCCCATTGTATGTTTTTGGCACCTCTGTCAAAGATGAATTGGCTGTAAATACATGGATTTATATCTGGTCCACTAGTCTACATGTCTGTTTTAATGCCAGTACCATGCTGATTTGGTTACTATAGTAGTAGGTTTTAAAGTCAGGTAGTGTAATGCCTCCAGCTTTGCTCTTTTTGCTCAGGATTGCTTTGGCAATCCAGGGTCTCTTGTAGTTTCATATAAATTTTGGAATTTATTTTCTATTTCTTTGAAGAATTTCATTGGTAGTTTGATAGAGATTGCATTGAATCTATAAATTGATTTGAGTAGTGTCATTTTAACAATATTAATTCTTCCAATCCATGAGCATGGAATATCTATTTTTTATGTCCTCTTCAATTTCTTCCATCATTGTTTTATAGTTTTTGATATGGTTTGGCTCTGTAGCCCCACCTAAATCTCATCAAATTGTTATTCCTAGTGTTGGAGGAGAGGCCTGGTGGGAGGTGATTTAATCATAGGGGTGGACTTCCCCTTTGCTGTTCTTGTGATAGTGAGTTCTCATGAGATCTGGTTGTTTAAGAGTGTTTAGCATTTTCCCTTCCATTCTCTCTTCCTCCTTCTCCAGCCATGTAGGACATGACTCCTTCCTCTTCACCTTCCACCATGATTGTAAATTTCCTGAAGCCTCTCTAGCCACGCTTCCTGTACAGCCTGTGGAACTGTGAGTCAATTAAACCTCTTTTCTTTATAAATTACACAGTCTCGGGTAGTTTGTTTGTTTGTTTGTTTTGAGATGGAATCTTGCTCTGTCACCCAGCCTGGAGAGCAGTGGCACGATCTCGGCTCACTGAAACCGCTGCCTCCCAGGTTTAAGCAATTCTCCTGCCTCAGCCTCCCAAGTAGCTGGTATTACAGGCGTGCACCACCATGCTTGGCTAATTTTTTTTTGTATTTTTAGTAGAGACAGGGTTTCACCATACTGACCAGGCTGGTCTCAAACACCTGACCTCGTCATCCGCCCGCCTCAGCCTCCCAAAGTGCTGAGATTACAGGCATAAGCCACTGTGCCCAGTCTAGGTAGTTCATTATAGTAATGTGAGAATGGACTAATACAGTTTTCCCTGTATAGATCTTTCATTTTGGTTAAATGGAATCCTAGTTTTTTAATATTCTTTGTAGATATTGTAAATGAGATTGCTTTCTCTTTCAGACTGTTTGCTGTTGGCATATAGAAATGCTACTGATTTTTCTATGTTGATTTTGTATCCTACAACTTTACTGAATTCATTTATAAATTTTAACCATTTTTTTGGTGGAGTCTTTAGGTTTTTCTAAGTATAAGATCATGTTATCTGTGAACAAGGCTAATTTGACTCTACCTTTTCAATTGGAATGTCATTTTTTTTTCTTTCTCATCCTTAATTACTCTAGGCAAGGCTTCCAGTATTGTGCCAAATAAAAGTGATGAAAGTAGGCATCCTTGTCTTGTTCCAGATCTTAAAGGAAAGGCCTTCAATTTTTCCCTATTTAGTATGATGTTAGCTATGAGTTTATCAAATATGGTCTTTCTTATTTTGAGGTATGTTCCTTCTATACACGGTTTGTTGAGGGTTTGTATCATACCAGGATGTTGAATTTTATTAAATGCTTTTCTGTCATCTATTGAAATAATCATATGGTTTTTTATTCTTGTTTCTGTTAATGTGATGTATCACACTTATTGATTTGCATATGTTTTAAAGCATCCTCACATCCCTGGGATGAATCCCACTTTATCATGGTGAATGATCTTTTTAATGTATTGTTGAATTCACTTTGTTAGTGTTTTGCTGATTATTTTTTCATCTGTGTGCATCAGTGATGTTGTCCTGTCCTATAGTTTTCTTTTGTTGTGTGCTGGGTTTTGAAATCTGAATAATGCTGGCCTCATAGAATGAGTTTGGAAGTGTTCTTTTCAATTTTTTGGAAGATTTTGAGAAGGATTGTTATTAGTTCTTTAAATGTTTGATAAAACTCAGCAGTGTAGCCATCAGATCATGGGCTTTTCACTAGTGGATGACTTTTTGTTACAGTTTCAATCTCATTATTCATTATTGGTTTGTTGAGGTTTTCTATTTATTTATGGTTCAATGGTGATAGTTTGTATGTGTCCAAAGAGTTATTCATTTCTTCTAGATTTTCCAATTTTTTGTGTATTGTTGTTCATAATTGATTTGGTTTGGCTTCCCCACCCAATATCATCTTGAATTGTAACATCCACAATTCCCAGTGTCATGGGAGGAACCTGGTGGGAGGTAATTGAATTATGGTGGTGGGTATTTCCTGTGCTGTTCCTGTGAGAGTGAATAAGCCTCATGAGATCTGATGGTTTTGAAAAACGGGAGTTTCCCTGCACAAGCTCTCTTGTCTGCCACCATATGAGATGTACCTTTTACCTTCTGCCAATGATTGTGAGGCCTCCCAAGCCACGTGGAGCTGTAAGTCCAGTAAACCTCTTTCTTTTGTAAATTGCCCAGTTTTGTTTTTTTTTTTTTTTTTGTAGAGACAGACAGGGTTTCACCATGTTAGCCAGGTTGGTCTCGAACTCCTGACCTCAGGTGATCTGCCCACCTTGGCCTCCCAAAGTGCTGGGATTACAGGTGTGAGCCACCACACCGGGCCTTCGGTATGCCTTTATCAGCAGCATGGAAACAAACTAATACAATAATAGTCTCTCATCATTCTTTGTTTTTGTTGTTTTTTTGTTGTT
The DNA here is from genome assembly GCF_000001405.40 of Homo sapiens. Lineage (NCBI taxonomy): Eukaryota > Metazoa > Chordata > Mammalia > Primates > Hominidae > Homo > Homo sapiens. The sequence goes on from NC_000003.12 coordinate 180,796,462, forward strand.
GTTGTGTTGTTGTTGTTGTTGTTGAGACAGGAGACAGTGTCTAGCTCTGTTGTGTAGGCTGGAGTGCAGTGGCACAATCTTGGCTCATTGCAACCTCCATCTCCCGGGTTCAAGTGATTGTCGTGCCTCAGCCTCCCAAGTAGCTGGGACTACAGGCACGTGCCACCATGCCTGGCTAAGTTTTGTACTTTTAGTAGAGACTGGGTTTCGCCACATTGGGCAGGCTGGTCTTGAACTCCTGACCTCAAGTGATCCACCTGCCTCGGCTTCCCAAAGTACTGTCATAGGCATGAGTGACCATGCCCACCCCATTCTTTGTATTTCTGTGGTCTCAGTTGTTTTCTGTTTTATTTGTTTGGGTCTTCTCTTTTTCCTAGTTTAGCTAAAAGTCTGTTAATTTTGTGTATCTTTTTTTTTTTTAAAGGCCCAACTTTTCATTTTGTTGATCGTCTGTATTTTTTTTTTTAGTCTCAATTTTATTTATTGCTGCTCTGATCTTTATTATTTCATTCCTTCTACTAATTTTGGGTTTGGCTGGTTCTTGCTTTTCTAGTTCCTTGTGGTACATTGTTAGGTTATTTATTTGAAATCTTCCTAGTTTTTAAATTTAAGCATTTATTGTTATAAATTTCCCTCTTAGAATTGCTTTTGTCATATCCCATAGGTTTCGGTATGTTGTGTTTCCAGTTTCTTTTGTTTCAGTAAATTTTTTAATTTCCTTCTTAATTTCTTCATTGTCCCATTGGTTGCTCAGGAGCATTTTTCCTAATTTGTGTAGTTTCCAACATTCCTCTTGTTATTGATTTCTAGTTTAATTCCATTATTGTTGAGAAAAAATACTTAATATGGGTTCTACTTTTTTGAGTTCCTTGGGAAATGTTTTGTAGCCTAATATATGATCTATTCTTCAGAATGTTCCATGAACTGATGAGAAAAATGTGTATTCTACAGCAGTTGGGTTAAATGTTCTGTATATGTCAGTTAGGCCTATTAGGTCTAGTGTGTGGTTTCACTCCGATGTTTCTTTGCTGATTTTCTGTCTGGATGATCTGTCCACTGCTGAAAGTGGGATGTTGAAATCTACAATTACCATTTTGCAATCTCTCTATCTATTAATGTTCACTTTATATACTTGGAGCTCCAGTGTTAGATAGATAGATATTTGTAATTGTTATATCCTTTGCTGAGTTTACCCCGTTATCATCTTATAGTGACCTTGTTTCTTTTAACAGTCTTTGATTTTTAGTCTATCTACTTCTGCAGCTTTTTGGTTTCCAGTTGCATAGAATATCTTTTCCCACCCTTTTGCTTTCAGACTATTCATGTCTTTATAGGTGAAGTAGGTTTTTTGTAGGCAGCATATAGTTGAAACTTGTTTATTTTTCAACCACAGTATGCCTTTTAATTAGAAAACTGAATTCATTTACATTTAATATTATTATTGACAAGTAAGGACCTACTACTGCTATTTTGTTGCTTAGTTTTTGGTCGCTTTTTAACTCCTTTTTTCCATTTTAACTGTCTTCTTTTGTGGTTAAGTGATTTTTTCTCTAGTAGTATGTTTTAATTTGTTGCTTTTTATTTTTAGTGAATCTATTACAGATTTTTATATTTTGGTTACCATGAGGCTTACATAAAACATCTTATGTATATAACAAGTTATTTTAAAGAGATGACAACTTATCTTAGATCAAAAGAAAGGTATAGAAACAAATTTTTGAAAAAGAAAAAATTCTATACTTTAACTCTATCCCCCTACATTTTGCCTCAATTTATATTATTTTTATATTACCTATCTCTTAACAGGTTGCTATAGCTATCATTGTTTTTCATAGATTCGAAGATGGGACTTTCATCACAGGACTCTGTGCAGACACTCCCCTGTACTAGCCTGGAGCTTGATAGCTCTGCTGTGTGAATAATCACTCAGTTTGGCTCTCAGGAAGCCACATCTCTAGGGGAAGGGGAGGAGCAATACATTAAGGAAGCACCCGTGGGACAAAAGAATCTGAAGAGCAGCCCTTGAGTCCCAGATCTTCCCTCTTACATAGCCCGCCCAAATGAGAAGGAACTAGAAAAACAATTCTGGTAATATGACAAAACAAGATTTTTTACCACACCCGAAAGATCACACTAGCTCATGAGCAATGGATCCAAACCGAGAAGAAATCCCTGAATTGCCAGAAAAAGAATTCAGAAGGTCGATTATTAAGCTAATCAAGGAGGCACCAGAGAAAGGTGAAGTCCAACTTAATGAAATAAAAAAAAAAGAAAATGATACAAGATATGAAGGGAAAGCCCTTCAGTGAAATTAGATGGCATCAATAAAAAACAATCAGTTTCTGGAAATGAAAGACACACTTAGAGAAATGCAAAATACACTATTAAGTCTCCATAATAGAATCAAACAAACAAAGAACTTCAGAGCTCAAAAACAAGGTTTTCAAATTAATTTTAAAATTACCAACAAAAAGTTTGAGACCAGATGGATTCACAGCTGAATTCTATCGGATATTCAAAGAAGAATTAGTACCAATCTTATTGGCACTATTCCACAAGATAGAGATAGAGATTCTATGAAGTCAGTCTCACCCTAATGCCACCTCACCTAAAACTACAGGCCAATATTCCTGATGAATATAGATGCAGAAATACTTAACAAAATATTAACTGAATCAAACAGCGTATCAAAAAGATAATCCACCATGATCAAGTGGGTTTCATACCAGGGATGCAGGGATGGTTTAACATACACAAGTCAATAAATATGATAAACTACATCAATAGAATTAAAAACAAACATTACATGATCATCTCAACAGACACAGAAAAAGCATTTGACAAAATCTAGCATCTCTTTAGGATTAAAAGCCTCAGGAAAGTCAGCACAGAAGGACATACCTTAATGTAATAAAAGCCATCTATGACAAACCCACAGCCAACTTAATACTGAATGATTCTGCACCTGAATCAATACAGAATATTGATTCTACTCATCCATACATGCTCATGGATGAGTAAAACCAATATTGTGAAAATGACCATACTGCCAAAAGCAATCTATAAATTCAATGCAGTTCCCATCAAAATACCACCATCACTCTTCACAGAGCTAGAAAAAATCCTAAAATTCATTTGGAACCAAAAAAGTTCAAAGCATTCCCCCTAAGAACTGGAGCAAGACAAGGATACCCACTCTCACCACTTCTATTTAACCTAGTACTGGAACGCCTAGCCAGAGCAAACAGACAAGAGAAAGAAATAAAGGGCATCCAAATTGATAAAGACGAAGTCAAACTCGCTGTTTGCTGATGATATGACTGTATACCTAGAAAATCCTAAAGACTTCTGCAAAAAGCTCCTAGAACTGATAAATGAATTCAGCAAAGTTTCAGGATACATAATCAATACACACAAATCAGAAGCTCTGCTATACACCAACAGTGACCAAGCTGAGAATCAAGAACTCAATCCCTTTTACAATAGCTGCAAAAAAAAAAAAAAAAAAAAACTAAAATTTTTAGGAATATATTAAATACCTAACCGAGGAGGTGAAAGACCTCTACAAGTAAAACTACAAAACACTGCTGAAAGAAATCATAGATGACACAAACAAACAGAAACACATCCCATGCTCATGGATGGGTAGAATCAATATTGTGAAAATGACCACACTGCCAAAAGCAATCTACAAAGTCAACGCAATGCCCATCAAAATACCACGATCATTCTTCACAGAACTAGAAAAAACATCCTAAAATTCATTTGGAACCAAAAAAGAGCCCGCATAGCAAAAGCAAGAAGAAGCAAAAAAAAACAAATCTGGAGGCATCACATTACCTGACTTTATACTACAAGGCCACGGTCACCAAAACAGCATGATACTGGTATAAAAATAGGCACATAGACCAACGGAACAGAATAGAGAATCCAGAAATAAAGCCAAATACTTACAGCCAACTGATCTTCAACAAAACAAACAAAAACGTAAAGTAGGGAAAGGACACGCTATTCAACCAATGGTGCTGGGATAATTGGCAAGCCACATGTATAAGAATGAAACCGGATCCTCATCTCTCACCTTATACAAAAATCAACTCAAGATGGATCAAAGACTTAAATTTAAGACCTGAAACCATAACAATTTTAGAAGATAACTTTGGAAAAACCCTTCTAGACATTGGCTTAGGCAAAGATTTCATGACCAAGAACCCAAAAGCAAATGCAATAAAAACAAAATTAAATAGATGGGACTTAATTAAAAACTTCTGTACAGCAAAAGAAACAATCAGCAGAGTAAACAGACAACCCACAGAGTGGGAGAAAATCTTCACAATCTATACATCTGACAAAGGACTAATATCCGGAATCTACAAGGAACTCAAACAAATCAGCGGTAAAAAAAACAGACAATCCCATCAAAAAGTGGGCTAAGGACACGAATAGACAATTCTCAAAAGAAAATATACAAATCGGCAACAAACATATGAAAAAATGTTCAACATCACTAGAGATCAGGGAAAAGCAAATCAAAACCACAATGAAATATCACCTTACTCCTGCAAGAATGGCCATGCTCAAAAAATTAAAATATAATAGATGTTGGCGTGGATGTGGTAAAAAGGGAACGCTTCTACGCTGCTGCTGGGAATGTAAACTAGTACAACCACTATGGAAAACAGTGTGAAGATTCCTTAAAGAAATAAAAGTAGAACTATCATTTGATTCAGCAATCCCATTTTGGATATTTACCCAGAGGAAAAGAATTCATTATACAAAAAAGATACTTGCACACGCACGTTTATAGCGGCACAATTCGCAATTGCAAAAATATGGAACCAGCCCAAATGCCCATCAATCAACAATTGGGTAAAGAAATTGTGATATATATGTACCATGGAATACTGCCAAGCCATAAAAGGAACAAAATAGTGGCATTCACAGTAATCTGGACATAATTGGAGACCATTATTCTAAGTGAAGTGACTCAGGAATGGAAAACCAAACATTGTATGTTCTCACTCATAAGTGGGCGCTAAGCTATGAGGATGCAGAGGCATAAGAGTGATACAATGGAGTTTGGGGCCTTGGGGGAAAGGGTAGGAAGGGGGTAAGGGATAAAAGATTACACACTGGGTACAGTGTACACTACTCGGATGATGAGTGCACAAAAATCTCAGAAATTGCCACTAAAGAAGTTATTCATTAATCAAACACCACCTGTTCCCCAGAAACCTACTGAAATAAAAAAAAATAAATTTTAAAAAATGCTTAACATCTCGAATCACCAGGGAAATGCAAATCAAAATCACAATGAGATATCACCTTGTACCTGTTAGAGTGGACATTATCAAAAAGATGATAGATAAGTGTTGCTGCAGATGTGGATGAAAAGGAGCCCTTGTACATTTTGTAGGAATGTTAATTTGTGGAGCCATTTTGGAAACAGTATGGAGGTTCCTCCAAAAACTCAAAATAGAATTACTATATGATTCAGCATTACTACTACTGGGTATATATCTAAAGGAAGTGAAATTAATATGTAAATGAAATACCTGTACCCTCATGTTTATTGCCACACTATTTACAATAGCCAAGATATGAAACCAATTTAAGTGCCCAGCAACAGATGAATAATTTTTTTTTTTGAGACAGAGTCTTGCCCTGTCACCCCGACTGGAGTGCAATGGCGTGATCTCGGCTCACTACAACCTCTGCCTCCCGGGTTCAAGCGATTCTTCTGCCTCCGCCTACCAAGTAGCTGGGTTTACAGGTGCGCACCACCACACCTGGTTAATTTTTGTGTATCTTTAGTGGAGACAGGGTTTCACCATGTTGGTCAGGCTGGTCTCGAACTTCTGACCTTGTGATCCACCCGCCTTGGCCTCCCACAGTGCTGGGATTACAGGTGTGAGCCACTGCACCTGGCCAAATGAATGTTTTTAAGTTTTACACACACACACACACACACACACACACACACACACACAATGAAATACTACTCAGCCATAAAAAAGCAGAAAAATTTGCAACATGAGTGAATCTAGAGGACATTGTGTTAAGTGAAATAAGCCAGGCACAGAAAGACAAATATCATGTAGTCTCACTTATATTTGATATCTAAAAAAATCACAGAGTAGAATGGTAGTTACTGGAAGTTGAGCGGGGTGAAAAGGGTGGAGAGGGAAAGGGGACATGTTGGTGAGAGGGTATGAAGTTCCAGTTAGACAAGAGGAATAAGTTCTGGTGATGTTTTGCACAGCAGGGTGACTTTAGTTAGTAATAACGTATTGTATATTTCAAAAATTTCTAAAACAGTGGATTTTAAATGTTCTCACCACAAAAAAGTGATAAGTATGTGAGGTGATGGATATGCTAATTGGCCTAATTTGCTTACTCCACAATGTATAGATGCATTAAAGCATCACATTGTACCCCATAAATATATACAATAATTATTTTTCAATTAAAAATTAAGAAAAATAGTTTAAGCTCTCCCCTATTCCTGATTGAATCTAGAATCTGCACCATTTGGTGGAGGTCTGCTTCCTTTGCTTCACTTTTACTCTAGATGGCAGCAGCAGAACAAAATAGAGGAGAAAAATCTGTTCTCAATGAGATGATTCCCTGTCTACTATGTAAAAAAAAAAATCTCAATGTTATTTGAAACAAAATATACCACTTAAAAATTTTCTTTCATTATAGAAATACTTTAACAGTATTTCAATTATTAAAAATCAATGTACAGATGTCTTCATAATTGTTCAACTTGTCAGGACACTAATAAGATATTTACAGAAATTTTTTATGATAATATTTCTGTAAAGACTCACTCACTGCTTATATTAACAGATTTACACTTGGAGGCTAAGGTGTCATGTTTGAATATCAAATACACTTTTTAAATTGATGGAAACATAAGGGATAAATAATCGAAGGGATAACAGAAATTCTCTGGGTGAATATATTACAGAAATAAAACTTTAATATTTCTCTAATAACCATGTTTTTAAGATTATTTCAAATAAAAATATACACATGAAACTGGCTTTAAATATATTAAAATTATAGCTTGTAAGCATTTAAAAAGAAATAATTTTATTATAAAACAACATTTTCCACCATCACACTTTAAACTGTGAGGATTTATGATGCAAGAGAATTTGTAGATGAGATTGCAGAAACACTGGAAACATTATAAAAACAAAGAGACCTAGAGAGGAACCAAGAGATTAAAAGAAAGATGCAAGTTATCATAATTTTCAAAAAGGCACTTCCAGAAAATATAATTTATTTTGCTTGACATTATAGCCTCACAAAACTCTCGTCTAGATTAAACAGAATTCCCAAGAGCTTAGAAAATAGAATTGTCCAAGTTTTGTGCCTTATAGCTCTATATTCATGCCTCTATATTCATAGATTTATGTATTTATTAAGACAATTTTCCTGCAGAGGGCATCAAAATATCTTGGAGAAGGGTTATCTTTTTCCAAATTACACAAAGGTGCCATTTGGACTAATGGTGGCACTGTTATCATGAATCAGAATGGCTTTACTAAATTAAAGCCCTGCCAAACTAAAACTTCCCTTTTTGTGCTAGAATTATTGGCTTAATAAGAATTTATTAATCAGAGCCTTCAGATTATCATTGTCCAATCAGTTATTTAACCAGATAGATGGAGAGGCAGCATAGAATAGTGTCAAGGAGGCAGGCTTTGGGTGGAGATCTTAGTTGGATTTCTAGCTCTGCCATTTACTCATAGGCCCCGCTTATGTTTATGTGAATTGGAAAGCAGCTTGGCATTCTGTGATTGGAACATTAATTTTTTATTTTCTTTATCTAACCATTGCATTCAAGAAATTTAACCTGAGGGAAAAATCAGGAAGGTGGAAAAAGCTTTATGCACAAAGAAATTAATCACTGTGTGATTTATAATAGTGAACAAACTGAAAATGAGGTACAACAGGGAAATGGTTAAGTGAATTACAAAATACAGTAAGATTCAGTAATCAAATGAGCATTTATCAAAGGTTTACAACATGCCATGTATTCTGCCTGGCACTGGAGATTCAGCACTGAACAAGATAGATATGGAATCTGACTTTTCTATGATAATTTAACATCAACTTAAAGTAAGCAGGAGGCAAGCACTTATAACACCATACTATCCACTATACGGTTTATATATGGATATATGTATATGTGTGTATATGCAGAAAAAATACTAGAAGAAAATAAATCAATATGTTAATAATTGTTAGGTCTTTTGTTATAATAATTTTATATACTTTTCAATATTTTCTACAATGAGAATGTTACTGTTAAAATTTTTTTTTTAATTATACAAAATGGCATTATACCAAAGGTAGGCTACAAAAGAAAACAAAATTATCGAATAATGTACTTAAAAGTCAAGATCACTTCATGGTACAGGAAATCCCTTCAGATATAAAGACATATTACATTGTCTTTTCTTGTATTTTGATTTCCATCACAGTGTCCTTTGGAAAGCTCACTTCCTCTCTAGCATTCGGAAGGCCTGTCTGTTCTTATGCGGGGAAGGAATGTGAATGCTAGCAGCACATTCCACCCTGGTGACACAAGGGGGTGCACAGGACTTGCTTCCAAATGTTTCCCTTTGTCTTCTTGGAAAGAAGAGGGAAAAAAAAACCTGACATTTGATTTGGTGACCAACTAAAATGTTTTAACAGGCTTATGTATACAGTTCACAGCGCGTTTCTAACGCGAGAGATCTCTGAGGGCATGATCCTGTGTACAAACCACTCCTACTTCCCCACATTTATTTCACAAGAAAAAATATTGCAGGAGAATGAGTGGCCTTTTAAAGCACAATTAGTGAAACAGGAGACTGCCTGAATGGCCCAGAATAGGGATTGTTAAAGAAATGATGGCACATAATAAACAAATTAGAAAATAACCATTAAAAATAATGTTGACATGGAAAGGACATTAAAAAGCAATTCATACAATAATACATACAATATGGTCTAATTTTTTTATTTAAATGTATTACATGAATAAGTAGAAAAATCTGGAAAGAGATATACCAAACTATTAACAGTCATTATCCTTGAAAGCTGGATGACAGGTTTATTACCTTCTTCCTATATATCTACATTTTACAATTTTTGTGTACAATGAATAAAAATTTGATTTTAAAATAAGAAAAATAAATGAGTATTCCCAAATAAGTACCAGTTCTTATGATCCTTATTAATTAAATATATGTAAATTGCTACAAATCACCCAGAGATATGGTGACAATATAGCCCTGTTTGCCAAAGACAATTTCACTTTGTAACTGTTGTTCTCATACAACTGTGAATAATGCCACTTTCACTCCAAAATTCTGAATAAGTCACCCTACATGTATATTTTTAAATTTGTACCCCTAGCAAGTTGTGCCACTTTTGTCCTTATATCAGCAGGTTGCTTCCAATCCAAAAGATCTCAATCCTTCTCTCTCCTAATATGCTAAGATGCAAGGCTAGTCCAGAAATCCTGAGATTCTCATGGCTGCACCAGGGTTAGCATGGGCCAGGGTATACCCCAAGACCCATCCAAATCACAGTCAAGACAGAATATTTTTGAGGCCCATCTTGACCCCTTGGCTGAAGTGCCTTTAAGGCACCCTACTAGCAGGACATCTTCTGACATGTTTTTTGAGACAGAACCCTGGCACTACTATGAGAGAGAATATTTTCCAAAGCACTGCTATACATGTAAAATCAATGATCCTACTGTCTTGGTTAAAATTCCTTGAATTAGAAGTAACAAACATGCTCAAATAACAAGTAAAAATGAAAAATTTGCAATTAATCTAAGAGTATCTCCCAACGTTTAGTACCTGGAGTCCGGCCAGGCTCTGGGTCTTAATTTCTAAGAGATACAATCTAATTGATTCAGTACAATGAATGGATTGGTTCCTCCTGGATTAGGTGTCCACCCTAACTCAATCAATTATGGCCAGGGAGTGGTGGAATAACAGTACTGAAATGGACTGCCCATGTGAATTAGGAAACGAGAATGTAGTCTGGGTAGATAGCCTCATGAAAATCTGCTTGCTAGCTTTCCCTCCTTCACGGAGAACTAGACAAGCTTCTCCTCTTCAATGACATACTCTGACTACATAGGCAGAAAAGAAGGAGCTTTTACCTGTACATCAGAAGTATTGTGATGATACCTCCAATGATACCCTTGACCATAGTTTTCAGCACAGCTGCCTCATAATTTCTTAATTCTATTGCCAACTTCCACAAGAACTGGGACCATAGTCCTTATCCACTTTCTCCATACTTTACATTCTATGATAAGGAGTCATGAGGAAGTTTCGGGTCACCCATCTGAACAGCAAAAACTTTATTCTTTTGCTTTTTCATCCATTCAGTCATGTAACAAACATTTATTGCATTTCTATCAATTGTCAGGACCTGTACTTAGTGCTGTGGGCAGAGATAAGACATGGTCCTTATTCACAGGCATTCACAATGTAGTGAGAGTCAAAGAGATAAAAGAATAATTATGTTACAATGTGATATGACATACAACAGAAGTATATATAGAGTGTGCTGAGTGCAGAGAAAAAGGATCTAAACCATCCCTTTGAGAAATTCAGAAAGGCATTAAAAAGGTGATTATATTCTATTTAGATGCTGAAAAAAATACTTTTCTTGATGGAGATGAAGTCTCCCAGCTAAAATACAACAATAATAAATAGCTACCATATCCTTAATATTTACTGCATATAGAGACACTCTGACATATGCTGTACATGGATTATCTCGTTTAAACTTTACAGCCCAACTGGTCTGCTTGTCACACCATTGCCCGTATGTATCTCAGGACCAGCCAACCATTTAGAACAGAACTACGAGCACATAGGGATTTTAATAAATGCCAACAAATTAACTGAAAATATTCTATGTTAATATGTATGAAAACAAGAGCTTTTATCTACTGCTGATGGAAATATAACTTCCTCAAGGACAATTTGTCAATGTGCATCAAAACTTACTCCTGGAAATTTGCCTTAAGGAGATAATTGAGAATTTAGGCAAGGTTATAACTACAAGTATGTTCATCACAGTATTTTTCCTTTTTAATTTTTTCTTTTTTTCCGTATCTCCTCAAGTTCCCTTTACCACATCACAGTATTTTTTATAACAATCTAAATTGAAGTTGTCCAACAATATCACAAAAATATGGTATAGAAGCATATTTGTTTGGTATAAAGATGTCCATAACAAGTTAATATTCAATATATAAACAGAATATATAAAATTGTCTCTATTTTACTTTATAACTGTATATATACAAATATGTGTATATAAATTTAAAATGTACACATATATTTTAAATGTGTAACTGTCTTTATAGACATGTATTTTATTGCATATATGTTTAGTTTATATATGTATATATATATTTATGTGAAGCACTGGAAAGAGATACACTAATCAGTAATTTTTCTGGCCAAAAATTTGGGGATTGGATAATCTTTCTTTTGGTTTATCTCTATTTTCAAATTTTTCTACAATAAGATCATATTACTTAAGCAAATAAAAAATGAGATCTTACGATGCCATTTATTGACAGGAATTCATAATTTAATCATTTGTTTACATTTGCCAAGCCAAGAAACAAGATCTTAAGGTATGAGCTACACTCAAGATAAAATTACTTGGTATTTATATAGGAGTGGCATCTCTGAAAATTGTAAGGTTTTGCATCTTTGAACAATATTTTCATAGAGATTACTCATATATCCAAATTATATCCTTTTCCAATAAAGGTGAAGAATCTAAAAAGGAAGAAGCTCCCAATCTGCCACTTATCAGTAATTTGAGCTTTGGTGAGTCACTTAACCTCTCTGAGCTTCAGGGTGATTATCTATAAAAAAGGAACAAAAGCCTATCTTAGCAGTTCTTGTAAGGATTGAACGAAGGTACCTGTGCATGCTTTATAAACTTTATACTAGGGGTCAGTGCAATTTTAACTAAGATTAGATATTAGGTCTTAAGTTCTCCTTTTGGGGATCTTCTAATTTTTAAGAATGTCCAACAGCTTTATAGATGACAAAGTCATTCTTTATTATTTTGTCACACTCAATCCAGGAGACACTGCCAACCCAGGAAAACTGCATTGTTTCTATTAATGGGTTTGGCCACTGCTCTTACAGCTTTGGCAATCTACCATAAAGAAAGAATTTCATGTTGCTACTTGAAACCTTTTGTGAAATTGATTCGAGCTTCTTAGTGCATTTAATTGTCCCTATAATAGTCCTAAGCCCAACATAATAGCCGATGAAAATGCTCATGCTAATTTTAACTCCTCAGTTTTTCTGTAGCCATTTGCCCAAAGATCCAAAACTAAAGTCACTTTTTCCCTGGTATAGTCAAAAAGCCAGTTATTTCAGTCATTGGAATTCTTTTCTCAGTCTAGCTCCTCATGTCCTCCCTAATCTGGAGAAACCACTTTTAAACATGCTGACCAAGGGACCTGATTTCACCTCATTTCACCTGTTGAGTTCTAGCTCTGTTTTTTTTTATGGCTTAAGACACCTGTTTCCTGTACATTATTGAAAAACCACAATGTAATACGACATTAGAGTCTTTAGTCATTGAAAACCTCTTCTTTAGAATAACTTTTTTTTCTACTTTTCACAAGCATAGTCCTTCCCTTAGGTCAGCTTTTGATAAATACTCATAAAATCACATTGCAATGCTGGTAAGCATATTCACTTGGACAAACCAAGAAGATTCTAATTTTGGAATCTTAAAATCTTCTGGCATCTCTAAACTTGAAAGATGACCTGGGTAGTGAGCCTATAATTATGTGTTCTAATCTTCTTTGGGTCTATGACACCATTATGAACACACTAGGACACATCTGAGGGGTGTTTCCCTTCCCCACCCTGCCCATGATCCACCAGTTCAGCCAACTGTTTTGGTGTACTGTTATTCTCTACCCTTCATGCTTACCAGGGTGGATAATGGATTAGCAACTGCAAAAGGAAGCTGAACTGAAAGTATTCTTCTTTGTCTATTAAACTATACTTCAACAGTCACAGCTTTCAGTACCTTTTATTGTAATTGCTCAATTAATTATAATTTACTATATTTGCTTCCCCTTTAGATCCTAAGTTCTGCTGCTATCTCCCCATTATCTAACATAGGGCCTGCTACAAATTAGGTACTGAATAGTAACCTATTAAATGAGTGAATCGTCTCTCTCAATCCTGGTTTCCATTTTTATTAACAGAATTAGAGCCAGGCAAGTTGGTAAATGCCTATAATCCCAACACCTGGGAGGCTGAGGTGGGAGGATCCCTTGAGCCCAGGAGTTTGAGGCTACAGTGAGCCATGATTGCACCACTGCATTCCAGCCTGGGTGACAGAGCGAGACCCTAACTCTTTATAAAAATATTAATCAGCCAAGGGGGCTTGTCAAGGGGGTGGCTATGTGAATAAATTGCAAAAAATACAGTCTACCAGTTAGTCAAAATTTGTCCTCTGGAATGTGAATCAGTCCCCAGTATCATCTATGTGTTTTTACAATGATAAGTGAAGATACTGAAGTAAAATATTAAAATAAGTTATGTTGGATCAATGGCAAGGCATTTTTCAAACTTTTCATTATTTTAAAATAAAGAGCCTCAAGCAAACGCTCCTTCCTCCTCATAAGAGCTAAGCAACCCAGAGTTATATTGTCAACGTTTCCAAAATATGTAAGTGGGACAATCAAATCCATTTCTATTTGAATGAAGAGCCCAAGTTCTTATCTACTAAACTCTACCATTTACCAGCTAAAATTTAGAATTTCCGAGTTTGTTTCGCTTAATTCTATTACATTCAGAAAACATACTTTGTATGATTTTCATTGTTTAAATTTGCTGAGTTTTGTTTTATGATACTTAATATTGCCTACCTTGGTTAATGCTCTTGGTCAACCTGAAGAAAATGTGTATTCTGCTGTTGTTGGGTAGAGTCTGTGAATGTCAAATAAATTCATTTGGTTAATGGTGTTTTTTAGTCCATCTTTGCTAATTTTCTCTCTACTTGCCTTGTCAATTACTGAGTTGACAGAACAAGAAAAATTGAGCTGAAGTTTCCAACTATAATTTTCATTTGTCCAGTTTTATCAGTATTTGCTAGAGCTCTGTTGTAAGTCACATACATATTTAGCATTGTTATCTACTACTTAATAAATCTTTCCTAAATCTACTTAGTAAATTAACCATTTTATAATTATGTAGTGTCCTTCTTTATCCCTAGTAATTTTCCTCTCTCCGAAGTCTTTGTCTTATATTAATGTAGCTACTCAGCTTTCTGTCAAATAGTGTCTGCATTGTATATTCTTTTCCATTCTTTCATTTTTCACCTATGATATTGTTATATTTAGAGTGGGTTTCTCATAGACAGCATATTATGGTTTTCCTCATTCTGACAATCTCTGTTTTTTAACTGGTATATTTAGATAATTTACACTTACTATCATCACAGATACATATTTGGATTTAGGGCTACCATTTTGGTATTTAAGAGTAAATTGATTCTGAATAAGGGCCCCTTTAAGATTGAATGAGTTTTAATAAAAAGGAACTAGGGCCATATCTTTCGTTGTATAATAACCTTTTTTATTCTTTAGAGCAGTATCCAGTTGTGTTAAAATAATTAAAATTTCCAAACTTTCTATAATAAAAGTTACCTTTATAATTGAAAATGAGAAATATTATTTTAATGATAAAATAGCTGTATAAATTATTAAGAGAGTTCTCCTAAATCTGTGACTCTGGTTTAAATGTGACTGCTAAAGTCACAGGCACATAGCTCAACCATTTCCACATATACACCTGCCCTTCCTTAGCTTGGAACACCACATGGATAAGTTCCAGGCAAAGCAAAGGAATCAAAGGAACTTTCTAACTTTGGGAAATTCCATGTTCTCTTTGTTCCTACATTATTGTAGCTCTTCACGGTGGGGAATAAAAGGTCAGGACTTTAGCTTTCAAGAAACCAAGTTGGACAAATCACTATACATACAGTCCTGAACTCATATGCATGACGGAGTGAGTCCCCAGTCAATTCCTTCAGGCATTGAGTCTGGCATGAGCACAAAAAACATTTTCATAAAATTCATGTTTTACTGTTTCCTGTTCCCTATCCATGGTTGAAGTTCAGTGGGTCAAGGATAGGTAAACTGTTAATGATTTCATCTTGCAGAAACAGAGCAATAAAAGCACACATTTGGAGAGAAAAAAAGCAATATAATAAAAAAAATCTCCTCCCTTTAAAAAAGTAATCAGGTTTAATTAAAAGGAAACAAACATTTGACTTGAGAGTGGCTATTTTTTTCTAACACTTTATTGTAAGACTCTATGTTAACAAAAAAGCTAAAAGATATAGAATATTTATCACTTAAGGCAATAAATAAAAATATTCAGTCAACTCTGTTGCTGCCACAGGAGTAATACTGTTATCTCAGAAGATCCTAAGTAATATTAACCGAGATAACATATGTGAAAAATTACTACACTATAGAGGGAAAAAGCAGACTAGTGTTTGCCAGGGGCTGGAGGTGGGGGAAGGAGTTGACTTTAAGGGCCCAGGGAAATTTTTCTGGAGTGATGGAATTGTTCCATGATTTAGTTGTGGTGCATTTATGTACATTTGTCAAAACTTGCAGAGTGAATATTACTGTTCATAAATTATACCTTAATAAAAAATATTTTAAATGCCTCACACACAGAAGGTAGTCAAGAGAAATTCAAAAATTAGTTTTCACTTTAGATGATGTGTTATATTCTCAAAAATGGAATGAATGTGAGAACCAGTGCATACAGTTGAGTGTGTGTCTAAATTTATGCTCCTATTTGAAAGCTGACATGCTGTCTCACAAGTGTTTAGATGCTTATAAGCCTTATTTCTGTCATTGTCCACAAATAAGATACAGAAATAGGGTTTTTAAAGGGTTGTGGCTAGGTAGGCCACCTGCCAGTTCTGTCCAAACTGTCCAAACGTACCAGGACTGTCTCTGGTCTCTGATTTGGGGGTGGAAAAAGAAATTTTCAAGTAAAATGACACAGCATGAATGTAATTAACAGAAATGTTAAAATTGAGAGCTGCAAAAATAAAGTAAAATAAGCTAAAGAGTCATGCTAACACTCTGGGTCACAGTCACACTTGCCAGTGGCATTTGAATAAATGAAGCGTGAGATTTACCCACAGTTCTTGCAGACTTTGAATGTCATGATTCCATAGGTATGTGACTGTGTTAGGATTAGAATGTGAGGTGTGTGGCAGCCACTGAAGTGGACAATAGTGAAATGGGGTCACACCCTTTAGGAGCATTTTGCAAGCTAAAATCTTTGGAATGATGGAGGGTTATTCACTGCTGATAATGGCAAAAAGTTAATATTTCTCGCATTTTTGAAGTGTCAAGAATTTGGCTAAGTGTTTTATATTTATTACTCAGAATAGTCTATTGCTGTATTATTGCCTCCATTTTACAGATGGGAAAGTTGAGGCAAAGAGATTGAGTTACTAGCCCAAAGTCACAAAGCTAGTAAGTGTGGTAGAGCTGAAATTTGAATCCATCTAAATTTCCTTCTTCTAACCACTATCCTACAATAATCATTTGCTCAGTGGAAATGCTTTTGATCATATCTTCTGGTAGTTATATAATATTTATTGAAAAAAATATTTCATTTTATAAATTGCACATTGTAAAAAGACCTTGTGAAGGAGGACAGATGAATTGAAAATTCAAGGTATTTTAGATTTTTAAATAAGTACCCAAGAGCTTATATCTGTAGTCTAAGGCTTAAATGCAGCTGAGGGAGGGAGAGAGAGAGAGAGAGAGAAAAAAAAGCAAAACATTATGGAGGAGATGGGCAGCAAGGACTGTGCTTCCAGAATTAATGCAGGGCACTCTGACCTTGCTGTGAAACTGACCAGACAGGGTAGAAACCAAGGGCTGGAAAGGCTCTGCCTTGTAAAAATGAGATGGAACAAGCCAGGGCCTTGATAGATAGCTGAGCAAATATTGAGGTCAAGAACCCTATATGAGTCTTATTCTAAGTTCAATCCAACTCCTGGAAATCGAATTATCTATTTCTTAAGATTTACAGTGATCCTACACTTCTTGGGGCCAATTCATGGAGTGATAAGGTGTTGTAAGCATCCAGGACACACAGCCTTTATTATTCTATGGTTCAACTCTGATGAAAGAAAAGTTCTGAAGAATCCGGGCTACTTTCCTTTGTTCAAGAAAAATTAGGGTTTATTTCAGAAACTCTACTTTTTCTGTTTAAAGAGATTATGTTAAATGAATATACCAGGCATCATTCAATAAAATTGTTTTTGCTTTTCTGGAAGGTAGATCTAGAGTCTACAATTATTTTATTCCCTTTTTGAAAATACACAGGACTTATTATTTGTACCATACTCTTCAGCTCTTGAATATATGCAGCTTGAACATCTCACTTATACTATTCTTTAATTGCCCCGTCTTTGTTGGTCTGGCTTTCTTAAGCTTTTTATAAGAGGGAAGATTCATATACTTCTTCTGCAATAAAATGTATGAATAGTCACATTAATTGAAATAGACTATAATCAGTTCAAGTCCAATTTTTCTACAAATTATTTACAAAAAACTTTTGTTTCTAAGATATTTTTGGATGTAGAAATTACAAATACAATGTACCAGTTTGTGGACCTGTAATACTATGCCAGAAAGGAGCTTTATTTGTTTATACTGCATATGTTATATTTTTAAATAAACAAATTAATAATCTTAAACATACAAAAATATACACATGCATATACTTGTACAAACTACAATTAGTATTAAAGTAACTTTCTTACCTAAAGCTTTCAAAAGAGTATATGCATTGACAATATTGAGTCGGAAATTTGAGAATGGTGATGCTATTAGCAAGATAATAATCTATTACATTTATATATTACTTTATGTTTTGTCAAGTGCTATTACATTTACTATCACTTCAATCTTCATACGAATTCTGTGAAGCAAACAAAGCAATAATTATTACTTTTTTAAAAAATCATGTCCATTTTTATCTAGTTCCCAAAGTAAGATAAATTTCTTCAAATGTATTATGGAAAATAACAGGAGAGAAAGTTGAGAGATTTTCCCTATGGTTTTACTGAAGAAGAAATTTGAGGTCAGAGAGATTCCATGGCTGACTCTGGGTCAATCAGCTAGAAAGTGGCACAGCTAGAATTGGAGACTAGTCTGACCCCAAGACTTGTGGATTATTCTCTCAACAAATCTAGTGAGCACCAACTTGGTGTCAGGCTCTCTGGTAAGCACATCTGCTATGCCACAATGTCTTCAGCCAAGAAACAGAAGAAAAGACACAGAATTTTACAACTTAAACCAACCATGGGAATCTAGGTCTGAAGAAAGTACTAGGACTACACTGTTAGCAGAATGACTTCTTTTCATTTTAAGGGGAATATTTAATTTGCTAAATAAAGCAGAATCTTTCTTCCCAAAACTTTGTTTCAAGTATTTGATGGGTCTCTTGAACCCAACAATCATAGTAGTGCTGGTTGGGGGCCTGTTCACTAGCGTGGAGCAAAGCTACCTTATACCAGCCACTCCCATAAATGGCCACACTTGCTTTGTAAGATATGAAACTTAACATGTGCAGCTCTGAGAATCTACTGATGGTTGGACTGAAGTGGTAAACATAGGCCAGTTTGGTGAACTATTAAACTATTTCCCAAAACTTAATCTTTCCCCTGATACTGTGGTGAAATGGTTATCATTAAACTATTCCTGATGGGTTTTAGAAAACGAATTTATCGTGAATTAGAATTGACCTAAAGCCATTTAATCCAATTGTCAACTTTATAATGAAGGGCTTCAAATTTAGATTTTTGATGTTATCTCCAACTGAGGTCATACATACAGTCTGTATTTATTTCCTGGCACTGCTGTCACAAAGTACCACCGACTACATGGCTTAAGCCATACAAATTTATCATTTCACAGTTTGGGAGGTTAGAAGTCTAAAATTGAAGTGTCAGCAACGTTGCTTCACATTCTGAGATATTGAGGCTTAGGACTTCAACATATCTCTCTGGGTATATGAAGGCTAATGTTGTGTATATCTTGAAGGGTGTTTTGGATGAGATTAACATCTAAATCAGTAAATTTTGTGTAAATCATGTTGCGCTCCATTATGAGGGTTGGCCTCACCAAATTAGTTGAAGGTCTGAATAGAACAGTAAGACTAGCCTTCCCTAGCAAAAGGGAATTCATCAGCAAACTGTCTTCACACTTCATCTGCACCATCAGCTCTCCTGGGTCTCCAGCCTGCTGGCCCCACACTGCAAATTTGTACTTGCCAGTCTCCATAACTGCATGAGCCAATTCCTAATAATAAATTTCTCTTAGGCCTGGTGCAATGGCGCACACCTGTAATCCCAGCAGTTTGGGAGGCTGAGGTGGGTGGATCACTTGAAGTCAGGAATTTGAGACCAGCCTGACTAACATGGTGAAACCCAGTCTCTACTAAATACAAAAAATTAGCTGGGCATGTAATCCCAGCTACTTGGGAGACTGAGGCAGGAGAATCGCTTGAACTGGGAGGCAGAGGTTGCAGTGAGCTGAGATTGCACCATTGCACTCCAGCCTGGGCAACAAGAGCGAAAATCCATCTCTAAATAAATAAAGAAATAAAGTTCTCTCTCTCTCTTCTCTCTTCTCTCTCTCTCTCTCTCTCTCTCTCTCTCTCTCTCTCTCTCTCTCCCCCCACCCCCATTGGTTCCATTTCTCTGGAGAACCCTAATACAGGGGTGGGAGAGACCCAGGAGACACAAAATTCAACATCACCTGTTGTGTATTATGAATTAAAATCTTTTTGCAAATCCTGTAATCATCTTGTGAATGTTACCATTATATTGCATTATACTTTCTAGTGTTTCAAATATCAGATAGATGTATTTGAAATATACCATAAATGTTACAGACCTGCTTTGGAATTTATTTCTATTTTAATATGTCAGAAGCCTCAAAAATTGGAAATAGCTTAAGTCTTTCTCAACTTCTCAGAGACTCTACTTAGCTGTTACTTCTCTACTTACCTCTGCCATTTGCCTCCAACTACCAGGAAATTCTTGCTAATTTTTGTCTAATGGCCTTTGCATACATTCTTCTTCTTCTTTTTTTTTTAATAGAGACAGGGTCTTGCTATGTTGGCCAGGGTAGTCTTGAACTCCTGGCCTCAAGCAATCCTCCCACCTCGGCCTCCCAAAGTGCTGGGATTACAGGCATTAGCCACCACACCCAGCCTGTACACATTCTTCTTCTACTTTCTTTCTCCGGTTATTTTCATCACCTGCTCTAAGATAGCTTCTCAAACTCCAACCTTACTTAATCACTATCTAATTAATTACATATTTAATTTGTGCTAATATAAGGAAAAAATCTTTTCTTCTTTCATTTTCATATGATAATTCCAGCCTTCTTCATAACTATGTGTGGTTTTGTGATAAAGTTGTCTCCAATATCTTATAGGTACGACTAAGCAATTTGGTTTCTAAAGTGTAGTGGGAAGCCACTGAAGTATCAGGAGAAGGTGAATTATACAATTCCATTTTTCTTGGAAAGATTCCTCTGGCTGATTTGTAGAGAATTAATTAGAGAAGGCAAAATGTATGCAGGAAGACAAGATAAGAAGCTCAAAAATTAATCCAGATGAAGAGATTGCAGTTTTATCTGGTACAGTTGCAATGAACACTGAGAAAGAAAAACATACTTGGTAATTGGTTAGATATGAAGAATAAGGAAGGAAGGAACTGTCAGTAATGACTAACAGATACAAAAAGATGGCCAACCTCACCCATAATAAGATAAATGCAAATGAGATCTACACTGAGATACATTTCTCAGCTTTATTTTTGAAAAAAAAAAATCCAAAATCTTGACAACATTCTCTGTTGATGAGACTTGGGGAAACAAACACTCTCATTTAATGCTGGTGGAAATACCAAATGGTATAGCCTCTTTCAAAGACAACTGAGCAACAGAAACATTTATCCTTTGACTCAATAACCCCACTTCTAAAAATCTGTTCCAAAATTACACTAGCAAATATACAAAACTGACACATGTACAATGCTATTCACCACAGAAAAATTTGTAATAGCAACCAGTGAATATATTGGAACTTGCTTGTATCCACTTGCAAAAATTGATTGTTACATTTCCAAGAATTTTGCAAGCTAGTTTTTAAACACAGCCACTGTTGAAATTATATTATATAGACTTACAATTAAATAAATTATGTTAAAAACAAAGGTAAGCCAGGCATAGTGGCTCATGACTGTAATCTCAGCATTTGGGGAGGCCTTGATGGGAGGGTCACTTGGGCCCAGGAGTTCAAGACTAGCTCAGGTAACATAGTGAGACTTTGTCTCTACAAAAAAATAAACAAAATTGGCCAGGCATGGTGACACACACCTGTGGTCCCAGCTACTTGGGGGGCTGAGGTGGGAGGATCATTTGGGCTGGGGAAGTTTAGGCTGCAGCAAGCCATGATTATATCACTACCATCCAGCCTAGGGAACAGAGCATGACCCTGTCTCAAAATTTAAAAAACAAAAAACAAAAACAAAAAAAACTATGCTGTTGAGATTATTTACATGTACTGTATCCAAATGTTGGGAATACTATATATTGAAGTGCTATTGTACATCACTTCCCCACTTCACATTCAGTGACATTATGTTAGTAGCTTAAAATCAGCCATGGTAGGAGTATTGACACTACAAAAATTTGCAAACTCCAAATCAGGACTTTTTTCCCTATAGAGATCTAGTTGTTAAATATTTACCAGCACACAACTGGAAACAATGCAAATATCCACCAAAGGGTTCTGGTTGATTAAACCATGATATACCCACTCAATTGAGAAATATGTAACTATAAAGGGAAACAGAGCTATTTTTATATACTTTATATAAAACTGATCTCTAGGAAAGTGAAAAAAGTAAGCTGAAGAAAAGTGTGTATGTTACCATTTATTGGTAGAAAGGAGAGATATAAAGGAAGAATATGAAAGAAGGGAGGATACAAAGACATATGTTTTCATATTTTTTTAATGTAAGGCTAAAGCAAAAAGGTTTTTAAATGGCTACCTACAGGGAGAGGAAAGAAACTATAAGGAAGACAGGAATAAATGATGAACTTTTTGCAATAGATCTTGTTTGGTACATTTCTTTAAGTCCCATAACCATTTTACTTAATTAAAATTTAAATTAAAGTTAAATTTTTTCAATCCCTAAAAATCTAAGCAAAATGAAACCAATCTAAGCAATGAGTGGATGGCATAATTATATATAGAAGAAGTATTTCAAACAAACTGAAAACACAATAATTTCATTTGTCTATTTGGATATACCCTGAAGCTCAAAATAAATAAATAAAATGTTTTTTAAAAAAAGATCTTGAGTAATTTTCAGCAATCATATTGTTAGTGACAACATTGGTTATGATTTTCTGAAACTATTATAATACAATCTAGGATAAAGAAAAATAGATAAAGGATAAAGAAAATAAGTAATTATATTTACACATTTAGGAACCAACTTTTTTTACAATAGTAGAGAGAATATAAATTTAAAATCAAAGAAGTCAAGTAAAAGTATTATAATCTTAAATTTAAAATTAAAATATCATGATTTCTATACACCAACAACATCCAAGCTGAGAGCCAAATCAAGGAAGCAATCCCATTCACAATACCACAAAAAGAGTAAAATACCTAGGAGTACAGCTAAGAAGGAAGGTGAAAGATCTCAACAATGAGAATTATAAAACACTGCTGAAAGAAATCAGAGATGATACAAAGAAATGGAAAAACATTCCAGGCTCATGGGTAGGAAGAATCAATATTGTTAAAATGGCCATATCACCCAAAGCAATGTACAGACTCAATGCTATTCCTATCAAATTACCAATGACATATTTCACAGAATTAGAAAAAACTATTCTAAAATTCATATTAAATCAAAAAAGAGCCTAAATAGCCAAGGCAATCCTAAGCAAAAACATTAAAGCTGGAGGCATCATACTACTTGACTTCAAACTGTATGACAAGGCTACGGTAACTGAAACGGCATGATACAGGTACAAAAACAGATACACAGACCAATAGAAGAGGTTACAGAACCCAGAAATAAAGTCATACACTGCAACGAACTGATCTGCGACAAAGTTGACAATGGTGCTGGAATAACTGGCTAGCCATATGCAAAAGAATGAAACTTCCTTTTTTTTGTTTTTTTTTTTTGAGATGGAGTCTCACTCTGTCACTAAGGCTAGGCTAGAGTGCAGTGGCGCAATCTCGGCTCACTACAAGCTCCTCCTCCTGGGTTCACACCATTCTCCTGCCTTGCCTCCCGAGTAGCTGGGACTACAGGTGCCCACCACCACACCCAGCTAATTTTTTTGTTTTTGTTTTTGTATTTTTAGTAGAGACGGGGTTTCACCGTGTTAACCAGGATGGTCTCGATCTCCTGACCTCGTGATCTGCCTGCCTCAGCCTCCTAAAGTGCTGGGATTATGGGCGTGAGCCACCACGCCCTGCCTGAGCCACCGCGCCTGGCCTTCCTTTCACCATATATAAAAATCAACTGAAGATGGATTAAAGACTTAAATGTAAAACCTACAACTATAAAAACCCTAGAAGAAATGTAGGAAATAACATTCTGGACATTGACCCTAGCAAAGATTTCATGATGAAGACCCCAAAAGCAATTGCAACAAAAACAAAAATTGACAAATGGGACCTAAAGAACTTCTGCACAGCAAATAAAACTATCAACAAAGTAAACAGACAACTTATAGGAAGGAATATTTGCAAACTATGCCTCTGACAAAAGTCTACTATTCAGAATCTATAAGGAACTTAGACAAATCAACAAGCCAAGAACGACTGCATTCACCTCTGAGACCGCATCTGCCCCATAAGCACAGAGTCTTGCCCTCGCCGCTCTGCCACGGGTCCACACCCACTGCCAGCTCATCATGGATAATGATATCGCCACGCTCGTCATGGACAATGGCTCTCCCATGTGCAAGGCCAGCTTAGCAGGCGACGATGCCCCTCCATCGTGAGGCACCCATGGCACCAGGGCATGATCGTGGGCATGGGTCAGAAGAAGTCCTACGTGGACAATGAGGCCCAGGGCAAGAGAAGCATCCTGACCCTGAAATACCCTATCGAGCATGGCATTGTCACCAATGGAGAAGATCTGGCACCACACCTTCTTCAACGAGCTGCATGTGGCTCCTCAGGAGCACCCTGTGCTGCTGACTGGGGCCCCCCTAAACCCCAAAGCCAACCGTGGGATGACCCAGATCATGTTTGAGACCTTCTACACCCCAGCCATGTAGGTGGCCATTCAGGCTGTGCTTTCCCTGTAAGCCTCTGGCTGTACCACTGGCACCGTGATGGACTCTGGCAGGGTCACCCACACTGTGCCCATCTACAAGGGGCACGCCTTCCCTGGTGCCATCCTGCATCTGGACCCGGCTGACTACCGCATGAAGAGCCCCGGGAAGTGCAGCTACAGCTTCACCACCACCGCTGAAGAGAGCGTGAGACATCAAGGAGAAGCTGTGCTACCTCACCCTGGACTTCCAGCTCCTCCCTGGTCACTGTGGCCTCCAGCTCCTCCCTGGAGAAGAGCTACAAGCTGCCTGAAGCCCAAGTCGGCACCATCAGCAACAAGCTGGTCCTCTGCCTCAAGGCTCTTTTCCAGCCTTCTTTCCTGGGCATGAAATCCTGTGGCATCCACGAAACTACCTTCAACTCCATCATGAAGTGTGACATGGACATTTGCAAAGACCTCTACACCAATGCAGTACTGTCCAGTGGCACCACTGTGTACCCTGGCATCCCCCACAGGATGCAGAAGGAGATCACCACCCTGGCTCCCAGCACAATGCAGATAAAGATCATTGCTCCTCCTGAGCGCAGATACTCTGTGTGGGTCCAGTGGCTCCATCCTGGCCTGGCTGCCAGGCTTCCAGCAGATGTGGATCAGCAAGCAGCAGTACCACAAGTCCCACCCCTCCATTGTCCACCACAGATGCCTCTAGGAGGACTGTCGCTTAGTTTTCTTAGTTTCATTACACTCTTTCTTGACAAAAACCAAACTGGCACAGAAAACAAGATGACATTGGCATGCCTTAATTTGTTTTTGTTTTTTGTTTGTTTTCGTTTTTGTTTTCGGCTTGACTCAGGATTTAAAAATTGGACCATGACAGTGTCAGCAATGGGTTGGAGCCAGCATCGCTCAAAGTTCTACAGTGTGGCCGAGGACTTTGATTGTATATTGTTATTTTTTTAATAGTCATTCCAAATATCATGAGATGCTTTATTACAGGAAGTCCCTTGCCCTCCAAAAAGCCACCACACTTCTCTCTAGGGAGAATGGTCTAATCCTCTCCCAAGTCCAGGGAGGTGACAGCATTGCTTTCATGTATATTATGTAATGCATAATTTCTTAAATCTTTGCCCTAGTACTTTTTAAATTTTGTTTTATTTTGAATGATTGGCATTGTGACCCCCCTTTTCTGTCTCCCAACTTGAGCTGTATGAAGGCTCTTGGTCTCCCTGGGAGTTGGTGGAGGGTGGAGGCAGCCTGGGCTTCCCTGTACACTAACTTGAGACCAGTGCAATAAAAGTACACACCTTAAAAAAAAGACCCCATTAAAAAAATGGACAAAGGATATGAACAGACATTTCTCAAAAGAAGACATACACAATGTCAATAATAAGCATATAAAAAAAGTTCAACATCACTAATCACTAGAGAAATGAAAAAAAAAACCCAATAACATACCATCTCACATCAGTCAGAATGGCTATTATTAAGAAGTCAAAAACAACAGATGCTGGCAAAGTTGTGGAGAAAAGGGAACACATATACTGCTGATGGGAATGTGAACAAGTTCAACCACTGTGGAAAGCAGTTTGGAGATTTCTCAAAGAACATAAAACAGAATTACCATTTGTTCCAGCAATCCCATTACTGGATAGACACCCAAGGGAATGTAAATCATTCTATCAAAAGGCATGCACATGTATGTTTATCGAAGCAATAGTCACAATAGCAAAGACATAAAATCAACCTAGATGCCCATCAACAGTGAACTGGTGAGGAAATGTGGTACATATATACCATGGAACACTACACAGCTATAAAAAAAGAATGAAGTCATGTCCTTTACAGCAACATGGATGGAGCATGAGGCCATTATCCTAATTGAAGCAATGCAGAAACAGAAAATCCAAATATCACATGTTCTTACTTATAAGTGGGAGCTAACCACTGAATACATATGGACACAAAAAAGTAAACAATAAACACCAGGGCCTCCTTGAAGGCAGAGGGTGGGAGGGGGGTGAGAACTGAAAAACTACCTATTGAGCACTATACTTATTACCTGGATGATGAAATAATCTGTACACAAAACCCTGATGACATACAATTTATCCATATAACAAACCTCCATATGTACCCTCTTAACCTAAAATGAAAATTGGTAGGAAAAAAATTTAAATAACAATTAAACTAAATTAAAATATTATAAAATCAGATTTTCTCTTTTAAAAAATGTATGTAATCCAGCTGGGCGCAGTGGCTCAGCCTGTAATCCCAGCACTTTGGGAGGCTGAGGCAGGCGGATCATGAGGTCAGGAGATCGAGACCATCTTGGCTAACACGGTGAAACCCCGTCTCTACTAAAAATACAAAAAATTAGCCTGGCATGGCGGCGGCCACCTGTAGTCCCAGCTACTCTGGAGGCTGAGGCAGGAGAATGGCATGAACCCAGGAGGCAGAGTTTGCAGTGAGCCAAGATCATGCCACTGCACTCCAGCCTGGGCGACAGAGCGAGACTCTGTCTCAAAACAAACAAACAAACAAACAAACAAAAATTATGTATTCCTTAGCTATGTTCACTGAACAAGTGTAGAATCAAGGACCAATGAAGCAACAATGAACACTCCTAAAACCCAGACCACGGTCTCTAAATATCATTTCCCAATACTAAATACCTTAGAGAAATGGATGATTTCTCTACTAGAGCAGGAGAGGTCTATGATAATCTTGATATATCTTATAATATTGAAAAAATTAAGCTATTAAGTACAATTGAAATTTGTTAAAAGGACTCAGGAGCCAAACTGAAGAAGCCTCTTGTAATACCAACACTTTGGGAGGCCGAGGAGGGTGGATCACTTGAACCAGGAGTTCCAGACCAGGCTGGCCAACATGGTGAAACCCTGTCTCTACTTTAAAAATACAAAAAATTAGCCAGGTGTGGTGGTGTGTGCCTGTAGTCCCAGCTACTCAGAGGATTGAGGTGGGAGAATTGCTTGAACCTGGGAGGTAGAGGTTGCAGTGAGCCAAGATCACACCACTGCACTCCAGCCTGGGCAACAGAGCGAGACTCCATCCCAAAAAAAAAAAAAAAAGTTCATTGATCACTCATGGAAGATGATACAGAATGAACTAATCACACTGAAAGCTGATGAATAAAGGAAAAGAATATTTTGTCTTTCCTATATGAAAGGTACTGCTGGATAACCAAAAGTTGTAAGGGGAAGTTAATCTTTATAGAAGAATTTCAACCAATAAATGCAACACTGATTAAAAAATAGAATATTAATATTTTGTAACCACTAACGATATAATGGATCTATTCTAAACAATGACCATCAACAGTTGTTCACATCACAAAAAGGAGAGACAATCTGACTTTCTGTGCTTCCTGATGAAAGTACCCAACACTTTCCATAAACTATTCCTATAAAAAAGCAAACCTGAACAAAACCAAGTTAAGCCTTCAGCTCAAACTACCAATTTACAGGAAATTAGGGGGACAAAAGAAAACTACAAGGCAAATGTTTCTTCAACAAATATATTTGGGATGAGGGGAATAAGAATGAGAATGATTAAAGAAATTTAAGATATTTGTCAACATTTGCCATTTACAGACTTTGTATGGATTCTTATTTAAATTGACAGTGAAAAAAAGAAAAAATTATGTGACAATTTATAATAATTTCATAAATATTTTAAGAGTCTTTATTGTTTTAGAGATACATACACAAATAAATATGCATAAAATGGTATGGTGTTTAGAATTCACTTCCAAATAATCTAGTTTGGGGCATGGTGGAGTGGGTGGCAACATAAATGAAACAAGATTAGCCATGCTAATTGTTGAAGTTAGGCATTCTATTTTTATATATATTATAAATTCTTTATATTAAAAATTTTTTTTTAAAAGTTTAAATGCCTGTCCTGTTTCTGTTTGAACTGTAGGGATAGAGATGCCATTTCTAACTCTGTAATATTTTGAGAAGGACCAATTTGCAGGTGGGGAAGAGATCTAGAAGGAGGAAGATTAATAATTTAACTTTCAGTTCTGAACATAATTCGATGTATCTGAGAGACATCCAAGTGAAGATACTAGTAGTCAGATATATACAGTCTGAGCCTCAGCAGAGAGACCTGGACTAGAGATATAAATTTAGGATTTGTCAGCATGTGGATCGGAATTGGCGCATTACATAGAGAACGAATATGCTACAGAATAAAAACAATTAAAAATACCAGCCGGGCGCAGTGGCTTACACCTGTAATCCCAGCACTCTGGGAGGCCTGGGTGGGTGGATCATTTGAGGTCAGAAGCTCGAGACCAGCCTGGCCAACATGGTGAAACCCCGTCTCCACTAAAAATACAAAAATTAGCTGGGCATGGGGCAGGCACCTGTGATCCCAGCTACTCGAGGGGCTGAGGCAGGAGAATTGCTTGAACCCAGAGGCAGAGACTGCAGTGAGCCGAGATCATGCCACTGCACTCCAGCCTGGGTGACAGAGTGAGACTCCATCTCAAAAAACAAACAAACAAACAAAAAAACAAACAATCCAAATGTAGTGTTCTAAAGTCCTTTTTTTTTTTTTTTTTAAATGGAGTCTCGTTCTGTCACCCAGGGTGGAGTGCAGTGGCGTGATCTCAGCTCACTACAACCTCCACCTCCCAGGTTCAAGTGATTCTCTCCTGCCTCAGCCTCCCAAGTAGCTGAAATTACAGGCGTGCACCACCATGTCCAGCTAATTTTTGTATATTTTTAGTAGAGATGGGTTTCGCCATGTTGACCAGGCTGGTCTTGAACTCTTGACCTCAAGTGATCCACTCATCTAGGCCTCCCAAAGTGCTGGGATTACAGGTGTTAGCTACTGCACCCAGCCTAAATTCTTTAAATGTATTCATTTAATCCTCACAATTATCCCATGAAGTAGTGACTATTATTATTCTCTTTTATATTTTAGGAAGTTGAGACACACAGAGTTTAAGGCTTGCCTGTAGTGAGTTCAAGCCCTGTAACCAGGATTTGGATCCATGAAGTCTAACTGTGTAAAAACAGAACAGCCCAGGATTGTTACCTAAATAGCTCTAATATCTAGAGGTAGAGATAGCTAAATGTAGAAAAGGAGAAGAGAGAAAAGGGCTCTGAAGAAGCAGCAGCCAAAGAGGTAAGAGAGAAACAGTTTAAACAAATGTCAGCATACGCCAAAAGAAGAGCACATTCAAGAAAGAGGGAGTGACCAGTGGTATTGAATGGTGTGAGGTCAAGGAAAATGCATACTAAAATTAATTCTATTACTGGTAGCAAACTCAGCTCATGACTCATAGTTGTTTTTTTTGTTTGTTTTGTTTGTTTCCTTCAGGATACTTTACTAGAATGACTTACGGTATTATTCTAACTTGATAAATAGAAAAGAAATGCTTTTGTAATAGCTTCTACTATAAACATATCTTGACTTAAAATACATGAAATACACAAATCCAGACACTCAAAATATAATTTAGAGAGAATTTTCCTGTGGCTAACAATAGAATTCCTCACTGAAATGATTCATCCTAGCATTCTTTTATATGGGATTTCTCTTAATACATTTAAAATATGATTTAATTTTCAAATCAGTAGGACATAAAATTTTAAAGACACATTTGCTGTACACCTGTATGATTTTTACACGTTGTAGTATTTGCTAAGATTAGGAAGACTTTAAATTTTCAGGAAGAATGAAGCTTAAGAGCGATTAAAGGAAAATGATTAGCTTTTCCTAGCACTCAAAGATTATCTTCTTTAAATTTTCAAATCTTAGTTTCAGTTTTAGTGAATAAATTGTTAGCATTTATGTTCTTGGGTTCTCACAGGGAATCTTTACATTCTCAAGAAATTTATGTGTGATAAGGATAATATAGTAAAGAACTTCATTTTCATCTGCATATATGCAGTTCCTAAAGAATCTTCAAGCACCAAGTGCATCACACATGGTGAAAAATGGATTACAGATATTCCTGTCAAAGGACATATTTGTAATTATCAATGTAATATTAGCTTATGTTTTAACTTTTATTAAAAAATTATATATACCATATAAAGTGTTTTTTGGCTTGAATTTTTACAACCTTTATGACAATATTAGAAAATGGGAGACACTTACTTTCCTATCTACGTGTGTTTGATTTAGATGCAATTATTAGCGCCTGTCTTTAATCCGAGATAAATGAATAGAGGAAAATGGCAGGATGCTCAACATGAACTGCATGATCTGAGGAAACCTATGAAAAACCAATATACTACTTTTCTTCCCTAGTAACTAGAGTAAAATGGAAATAATAGCTATGTTGGAGCTGCCAACTGTAGGACTAGATCAGGGTCATCGCCTGGCACAGTGACTGTTACATACTAGGTTCAGTAGATCACTGTAGAACAGACAAAGGAACAAATAAATGAATAACAAATGACGATTGTGTTTGCACCAGTAATGAGAAGAAGGAGGAAGTGTGTTAAATAACAGCCAATTTGTACTGCATGGCTATCATGTGTTTAGCACAGCAGATAATTATAAAAGCTGAGATTTACTAATGCTTACCATGTGCTCTACTACCTACCAAACCATTACTAATTGAAGCCTCGATAGGTAGCATTATTATCATTATCCCTCATCATTTCATCTTACAAATGAGTACTCTGAAGCAAAAGAGGTCAAGCAACTTTCCCTAAATCACAAAGCTGGTAAATGATAGTTTTGGGCTTTGAGCAGCTTATGTTCAAAGCCTGCTCTTTTAACTACCAGACCACAGTATACATTCCATATAGTTAAAAACTATATGTTGTATTTGCTGAAATCCTTGCAGTTCCACCACAAATCCTACCAACAGCCTTATTTGCCACTTTAGGAAGATATTTGTCTTCCAGAATCACTGACTTTCAGAGCTAGGTAGCAGCCCAGAGATCAGTATAAAGTAGTGGCCAAGTACATGGGCTTTGGCGTCAGGCCAGATGCAAACCTGGCCTTACCCTGTACCAAAAATTTCTTTTTGTTTTTGTTATTTGTTTTAAGCCCACTACGTTTTGTTGTAATTGGTGACTCACCGTTAGATAACTAACACAATTACCCATAAATCGGCTGGCTTTCAGGAAAACATGTCTTGAAGCACAGTTGAACTTGAATCTTTTCTGGGTCCTCCTGCTGGGCCATGCTGGGGAGCCGCTCCCGCTGCCTCAAGGCCTCTAGGCCATCCAGGTTGGGCTGGTGGCAGCGGCTGCGCATGACCATAACCCGCTGGCCCTGGGTGATGGCATGGCTGTGGCAGCCCAGCCGAGCCTGATCCCGGCACATCCAGTACACCTTCTCCCCGGCCGCCTTCTCCTTCCTGTAGAGGAAGGACTCGGGCACCAGGAACCTGCCCCCCAGGAAAGTCTTCAGAACTCCAGGGGCCGGAGGGGTTCTGGGCAGTCCCACTGCGCCAAGATGGAGAAGTGCTCCCGCTGCCGCAGTGCCTCCAGGCCACCCACGTCCGGTGGGCGGCAGTGCCTGCGCATCACCATGGCCCGCCGGCCCTGGGTGATGGCGAGGCTGCGGCAGCCCATGCGGACCTGGTCCCGGGAGGTCCAATACACCTGCTTATAGAGGAAGGACTCGTATACCAGGAAGCTGCCCTCCAGCGGGGTCCGCAGGAACTCAGGGCTTCCGGGGTCGGCATCCATGTCCTGGTCCTCGTCCAGGAATCCTTCCAGGGCTTGGGGATGGGTTGGCAGCTCCTGGTCTTCGACCTTCGCTCGCTTTCTGGGCCGGGGCCTGGTGAGAGTCAGGGGGCCGGGGCCCCTGAGGCAGAGAAAACTGTTCACGCCTTGGAGGAGAGTGTCCACTTGGCTCCCAGGGCCGGCCTGCACAGCCTGCAGCGTCTCCATGGCCTTCTCCTGCTGCCGCCGGGCCTCCAGGCCCTCCACGTCGGGCGGGTAGCAGTGGCCACGCATCACGGTCACCTGCTGTCCCTGGGTGATGGCCCGGCTCCGGCAGCTGTGCAGCGCGTGGTCCCGGCAGGTCCAATACGCCTTCTCCCCCACGGCCTTCTCCCGCTTGTAGAGGAACGACTCGTGCACCAGGAAGCTATCCCCGTAGCACGTCCTCAGGAACTCAAGGGGCCGGGCCTGTCCCAGGCCCAGGATCGAGCACTTCTTGGGCGTCAGGCTCAGCAGCTACAGGATTCGGGGTCCGTCGTCGTCCTCCGGGCCGGCTTGCTCAGCACTAGCCCAGGGGTGGGCTCTGGCTCCGGCTCCTTGGGGCACTGCCACAGGCCCCCCCTCTCCAGCGGCTCCTCCACTCGGCTTCCAGAGCCCTCAGGACCCCGGGGATGTCCCAAGACCTCTGGCAGGGCCAGGCTGGGCAGCTTCTCCCTCTGGCGCCAGGGCTCCAGGCCTTGCTCATCGGGCGCTTGGCAGCAGCCCCGCATCACTGTGGCCCGCAGACCTCGGGTGATGGCCTGGCCCCGGCAGCCCAGCTCAGCATGCTGGCGGCACTTCCAGTACACCTTGTCCCCGACAGCCTTCTCCTGCTTGTACAGGAAGGACTCAAGCATCAGGAGGCGGCCCCCAAATGGTGTCCTCAGGAACTCCAGGGAATGGCGGGGCTGTGTCCAGCTTGCTGCTCTTCTGTTCAGGCATCTGGGGGGCTGGCTGGACCACCCCTCCCTGCTCCTCAGCTGGCAGGATATGCAAGGTGCTGGCGAGGGTGGCGGGGCCGGCCATCTCCAGGGACAAGACACAGTGCACTTCCTGGGGCTTGAAGCCCACCCCAACCTCATCTTGGTTGGAGGCCGTGAGCAGGACCAGTTTGGAGAACTTCCCGGGCTTCCTGAGGCTGCCAGGATGACGTCCGTGCTTGGCTCGGGGGACGGCTCCTGCCCAGCCTTCCCACTCTCGCCCTCCGGCTCACTGGGCTTGGGCAGGGGCATTCCGGGACCCAGGGCCTGTCCCTCAGGTCATGCTCAGCGCCCCCGCAAGGAACCTGGAGTCCAGCGGTTCCGCTCATGTGCCCGAGCTGTTGCTGTTACTGCCTCGGCTGGTCGTGGTGGGGCTGCGGTGGTGTCTGGAGAATCCCTAGGTCACCACAGGTTCCCTGGGTTCCAGCCTTCACAAGTGAGTGAGAGCCGCCACCATCATCCCCCATACCTGGTCACGGCGCTGGCTTGCTGGGCAGGAGACCCAGGGGAAAATTCTGTAACTTCTCTGGGCTGGTTTCACCACCGCAGCGGAGCCCTCCCTCTCGGGCGACAGAGCTGCGACGGGTCCCTCAGCCTCTGCTGCTGCAGCAGCAGGCGTCAACCTCAAGGCCCAGGCCACGGCCACCCCGACCCCGGCTCCTACTCCCCATCCCTGACCTGTCCCTGGGGAGCGAGCCCCATCCAAAAATTTCTTAAAGGTCTGTTTATTATTATTTTACTTTGGAAAATGAGGCAAATATAGTGACAAGAAAGCAACTATGTACTGCTTACCAGGTATTGACTATATTAGTTCAAGTTCCCACCTACTGCTATTAAATTTTGTCTCAGTTAGCAAGACAAGAAAATCTAGTCATTAAGAAGCGGGTCCCTGCTTTTAATGAGTGGGCCTCAGTGTTAATAGTTTCTTACTTTTGGTGTTTTAACTTCATGGGAAATGGAGCAGTAAGAAGCTGGCCCATTTTTCTGAAAACAGAAGGGGAAATTCAAGACTGTAACAATATTGAACCCTAGTCAGCTTCTTCTTTTTTTTTTTTTTTTTTTGACAGAGTCTTGCTCTGTGCCCAGGCTGGACTCCCAGGCTGGAGTCTAGTGGCACAATCTTGGCTCACTGCAACCTCCACCTCCCAGGTTCAAGCAATGCTCCTGCCTCAGCCTCCTGAGTAGCTGGGATTACAGGCACCCACCACCACACCCAGCTAATTTTTGTATTTTTAGTAGAGACAGCGTTATGCCATGTTGGCCAGCCTTACTCCAGAAATTTTCAAAATGCAATTCACATACTCCTGAGATCTCCAAGACCATTTCAAGAAGTCTGCAAGGCCAAAGCTGTTTTTATGATAGTTTTTAAAACTAAGATGTGATTTTTCTTCATTATGCTGATAATTGCCAGTGTTGCTAAGGCAATGGTAGGTAAAACTGTAGGTTCCTTAGAAAGAATCAAGGTGTGATACCAAACTACACTGGCAGTTATCACATTCTTCACCATCACGCACTCACAATAAAAATAAAATGTCAGTTTCACTTAATCATATCCTTTATAAAGCAATAAAAATGATTAACTTTATTAAATCTAGACCTTTGAGTATACATCTTATTAATATTCCGTATTACAAAATGGGAAGTGCATATGAAGCATTTCTACCACACATTGAAATATGATAGTTGTCTCTAGGAAAAGAAACTCATGCAACTGAGTTACAAATGCAACCAGCATACATTTTCATAAAACATCATTTTTACTTGAAAAAAAAGACTGACAAATGATGAATTTTCAGATTATTTGGCAGACTTTAATTTTAATGGACAAAGTAAGCCTGTCGTTTCAAGAAAAACAACAGATGGTATTTATTGCCTATGATCAAAATGTGAGCTTTCAAGAGAAAATTAAAATTTTAGAAATCTTGAATCTACTGCTATGAACTTGATAGTTTTTCAACACTTACAAGCTTTTCTGATGAGATTAGTGGTGATATTAACAAAATAATTGCTGATATTGTATAAGGAAATGGGTCAAGATTCAGAAAATCTGAGTAAGTCAGTGAACTAATATTTTTATCATTGAATGATGTTACAAAATCATGCATGAGTAAAAAACCCATTCTAAGTTCAAAACAAATAAGAGGATTTTAAACACAACCACATACCTAAAATTTATTTATATAGTTTAAGGTTCTACAGTACGATTAACCTTTAAGAAACTAGCTATTGGGTGGGCGTGGTGGCTCTCGCCTATAATCCCAGCACTTTGGGAGGCCAGGGCAGGCAGATCATGCGGTCAGGAGTTCGAGACCAGCCTGGCCAACATGGTGAAACCCTGTCTCTACTAAAAATACAAAAATTAGCCAGGCGTGGTGGCGGGTGCCTGTAATCCCAGCTACTCAGTAGGCTGAGGCAGGAGAATTGCTTGAACCCAGGAGGCAGAGGTTTCACTGAGCCAAGATCGCTCCATTGCATTCCAGGCTGGACGACAGAACGAGACAGGACAGGACAGGACAGGAAAGGAACCGAACCTCTTACAGAGGTTTGATATAGTGTTAAAAATGAGAAAACAGTAACAGACAGAACAAGTGAATAGCCCACTATCAGAAATAAATTGCTGAGGATCTGAGATGAGAAACTTGGCTCTTAAATCCCTACCTCCCAGGAAAAGTTTCTACTAATATCACAACTGTATTATTAGTATTTAGGCTTTTTAAGATTCTGAAGAACATAGCCCCAACTTGATCCCCAATCATCAGAACTTAAAATTTAGAAAGAATTGGTCTACAAAATAGTTTCCAACTTTTTAATGCTAAAACACTTTGAGGATGTCTACATGGAGTGTTTATATTGTAAGCATCCATTGACAAAATACTGTAAGAAATTATATTTAGTCTTTGGCAACATGTGATGTACATTTTGATTCAGGTTATCCTTTCTTT
Organism: Homo sapiens; assembly: GCF_000001405.40. Taxonomy (NCBI): domain Eukaryota; kingdom Metazoa; phylum Chordata; class Mammalia; order Primates; family Hominidae; genus Homo; species Homo sapiens. Next base: position 180,832,537 of record NC_000003.12, read on the forward strand.
TTTTGTTTGAGATGGAGTCACTCTGTCACCCAGGCTGGAGTACAGTGGCGCGATCTCGGCTCACTGCAACCTCCGCCTCCATTCTCCTGCATCAGCCTCCCCTAGTAGCTGGGATTACAGGCGCCCGCCACAACACCTGGCTCATTTTTATATTTTTAGTAGAGACGGGATTTCACCACGTTGGCCAGGCTGGTCAAGAACTCCTGACCTAAAAGATCTGCCTGTCTTGGCCTCCCAAAGTGCTGGGATTAGAGTGAGCCACCATGCCCGGCCCAAGTTATCCTTTTTAAGCATCCAAATCCCACGAATTGGAATTCAAAGGTCGCAATCTAAATCTTTGAAAATGCTAATAACAGAGGTAACCCTCAGATTCAGACGAACACAGAAGGCAAAATTTGTCCCATCAGCTATGGAGAAATCTGAATTTATTTGTATTTTTATTGTAAATGTATGCGAAGAAGAGCCAATTTTCTCAAGATAAATCTGGTGCGTTTTCAACATTCTAGTAGCTTGGGACTGTGGGAGAAATACAACCGTCTAGTCTCCTTTGTGAAGGTATTACTACTCCAGTTTTAACCAGTGATCCAGATATATCTCATTCCTACCCAAAGATAAAATAGCACCATATTATTCCATTGCCAAACCAAACCTGGAATTGAAGCAGGCAGGAGATGCAAAGTAAAAATGGCCGCATGCAAATATAAGGTATTCTGTGTCTAGCCTCATTCTGCCTAAGACTTAGAATCAGAGAATTTCAGAATCAGCAGAAGTCTTACACATAATTTAGCCAATTATCCCTTTTCAAAGATGAGGAAACTGTGGCCCAGAAAAATTAAGTGGCTTGCTCAAGTTTTTACAGTAAATTAATGCCAGAGATAAGACGACAACACGGGCTTTTGTCTGTACCACAACTTGATCATCTAATTGCTTTTTTTTTTCTTGATTGTCAGTTTTCTATCTCTAAACCTACATTGAGGTTTTCCTAACCACAACAAAAAGGAAACAGCATGCTAAAGAATTGGTTAAATCGAATCAAGGAATTCTATTTACTTTCAAAAAATAAAAGAAACTCTTGTTAAATGCTAAGAAGTTTATAATAGTATAGTCAGTTGACACAGGTTCTCAGGTTTCAATTACGGAAAAACATATTGCCCAAGTCTGCAAATGCTATCCTAATTTATCAGATTACTTACTTAGAAAGCGTGCTTTTGATCTGCTCTTCCAAAGAAGAACAAATGTACAGACTTCAATACTTAATAAAGTTGAAAGCTTCTCCCTGGGGTAACTGAAATTTTTATCAAAGGGGCGATAGACCTGGTTGCAGCTGTAACAAAGAAGTACCATATAAAGCCAAGTGGAAAGCAGTTAGATATCATTGGTGGTAAAGGGCCATTGAACATGGTCATATTAATTGGAATCTATTGCGCAGGACATTCCACTACATGCTGAGCAAATGACCCTGAAAGTTTTGAGTCTCTCTGGTGTATAAAAAAGTTCAGACGTAAAAATAATCATACAGATGGTGGATTCTCTATCCTTGAATGGACATAGCTACCCTGAGATCTGGGTGGCTGGAAATTTCTTTTTTAAATAATGCCCTTTGAGTGAGTCCCCATATATGCATCTTCTTTTACAACCATTTGAAAACTTGTCTTCTAATAATTTCACACAGCGCTTTCAGTGTAGCAACATTCAAAAGAATGAAACTAATGAAACACAGCAACTTCTACATTTTCACTTTTGTGCTTTGGGAAAATTCTGATTAAAAGATATAAGACAGTTCGAATTGGAATTTCATCATTGCCCCCAAAATGAATAACTTCTAATCAAATAGAAAAATTAGAGAAATTGAAAGCCAAGGTAATATGGAACACATTTCAGATACATCAGGATGCAAACCTTAGGCACCTACAATTTAAATTATTTTATCCTCAGATGCTATATTGTTCTGGATTTCAGGTTATATGTAAAGAGTAATCACTATATTTGCCTTTTAGGCAGATGCTGTTCCAGACCTTCATCACAGCCACTTTATCTTATTCGTTACACTAAATATTAAAATAAACCCCCAGAAGATATCATAATATCAATAAATAATAATCTTAAAGTGCTAGAAACATTGTCGGGATATGTCAACTGATAAGAATAATCCATTTTTGACATAGCTACACAATAATACTGGAAGACTTCAATACCCCATTGACGGTATTACATTATCAAGGCAGAAAACTAACAAAAAAATTCTGGACTTAAATTTGGCCCTTGGCCAATTGGTTCTAATAGACATCTACAGAATACTCCACCTAATAACCACAGGATATGTATCTTCTCATCTGCACATGGTACATACTCTAAAATCTATCACATTCTCAGCCATTAGGCAAGTCTCAACAAATTCAAAAAAATTGAAATCATACCAAGCATATTCTCAGACCTCAGTGGAATGGAAATAGAAATCAACACCAAGAGGAACTCTCAAAACCACACAGTGACATGGAAACTAAATAACTTGCTCCTGAATGGCTTTTGGGTAGACAGTAAAATTAATGCAGAAATCAAAACATTATTTGAAACAAATGATAATGGAGACACAGCATGACAAAATCTCTGGGATGCAACAAAGCAGTGTTAAGAGGGAAGTTTATTGTACTAAATACTTACATCAAGAGGTTAGAAAGATCTCAGATTAACACTCTACCACTTAAAGGGACTAGAAAAACAAGAACAAACTAATTCCAAAGTAAGCAGAAGAAAAGAAATAATTAAAATCCGAGTAGAACTAAACAGAATTGAGACCCAAAAAACACAGAAAGAATCAATGAAACAAAAAGTGGGTTCTTTGATAAGATAAACAAGACCAATCGACTGCAAACTAGATTAACAAAGAAAAAAGTGAGAAGATTCAAATAAACACAATCAGAAATGATAAAGGTGGCATTATAACCGATTCAAAAGAAATACAAAAGATCCTCAGAGACTACTATAAACACATCTATGCATACAAATTAGAAAATCTAGAGGAAATGGATAAATTCCTGGAAACACATAACTTCCCAAGATTGACAGGAAGAAATTGAAACCCTGAACAGTCCAATAACAAGTTCCAAAATTGAATCAGTAATTTGAAAAAAAAAAAATCCACAAACCAAAAAAAGCTGTGGACCAGATGGATTCACAGCTGAATTCTAGCAGACGTAAAAAGAGCTAGTACCAATCCTACTGAAACTATTTCAAAAAACTGAGGAGAAGGAACTCTTCCCTAACTCATTTTACAAAACGAGTATCATCCTAATACCAAAATCTGGCAAGGACACAAGGAAAAAAGAAAACCAAAGGCCAATTAAACCTGATGAACATAGATGCAAAAATCCTCAATAAAATACTAGCAAACCAAATCTGGCAGTGCATTGAAGAGTTAATTCATCAAGATCAAGTGGGCTTTATTCTTGGGATGTAAGGTTGGTTCACAATACACAAATCAACAAACGTGATTCACCACATAAACAAAATTAAAACAAACTCATATGATCGTCTCAATAGACGCAGAAATATTTCAATAAAATCCAATCCTTTCATGAGTAAAAAAAAAACAAACCTCAGGAAACTAAATATCATGGGATAATACCTCAAAATAATAAAGGCGTCTGTGACAAATCTATAGCCAACATCATACTGAATGGGCAAAAGCTGGAAGCATTCCCCTTGAAAACTGGAATAAAACAAGGATTCCCACTTTCACCGCTCCTACTCAACATAGTACTGGAAGTCATAGCCAGAGCAATCAAGCAAGAGAAAGAAAGAAAAAAAAGGTATTAAAATAGGAAAAGAGGAAATCAAATTATCTCTCTTCACTGACAATATAATTCTATACCTAGAAAAATCCTAAAGACTCCACCGAAAGACTCCTAGACCTGATTAACAACTTCAGTAAAGTTTCAGGATATTAAAATCAACATTCAAACCCCAGTAGCACTTCTATACGCCAATAACATTCAAGCTGAGGACCAAATCAAGAATGTAATCCCACTTATTGTAGCCACACAAAAAAACCTAGGAATACACCTAACCTTGGAGATGAAAGATCTCTACATGGAGAACTACAAAATACTGATGAAATAAATCATAGATGACACAAATAGAAAAATATTCCATATTCGTGGATTGGAAGAATCAACATTGTTAAAATGCCCATAGTGTTAAAAGCAATCTACAAATTCAACACTATTCCTATCAAATGATCAACATCAGTTTTCACAGAATTCTGAAAAACTATTCTAAAATTCATATGAAACCAAATAAAAGAGGCCAAATAACCAAAGCAATACTAAGCAAAAAGAACAAAACCGGAGGCATCACATTACCTGACTTCATACTACAGTTTGAAGATGATAGTAACCAAAAACAACATAGTACTAGTACAAAAATAGACACATAGACCAATGGAACAGAATAGAAACCCCAGAAATAAAACCACATGCCTGCAACCAACTGATCTTTGACAAAGTTGACAATAACAAGCAATGGGGAAAAGACTCCCTATTCAATAAATGGTACTGAAAAATCTGGTTAACCATATGCAGAAGAATAAAACTGGACTCCTTTCTTTTACCATATACAAAAAGATAAAAAATTTAAATGTAAGACTGAAACCTTAAAAATCTTAGCAGAAAACCTAAAAATATCCTTCTGGGCATCGGCCTTGGCAAATAATTTATGACTAAGTCCTCAAAAGCAATTGCAACAAAAACAAAAATTGGCAAATGGAGCCTAATTAAACTAAAGAACTTCTGCACAGTAAAGGAAATTATCAACAGAGTAAACATACAACCTAGAGAATGGGAGAAAATATTGGCAAACTCTGCATCCAATAAAGGACTAATATCCAGACTCTATAAAAAACTTAAATCAACAAGCAAAAAACAAACAACCACATTAAAAAGTGGACAAAGAACATGGACGGGCACTTCTCGAAGACATGCAAGCAGCCAACAAACATATGAAAAAATGCCCAACATCACTAATAATCAAAGAAAGACAAATCAAAACCACAATGAGATACCATCTCACACCAATTAGAATGGCTATTATTAAAAAGTCAAAAAATAACGGATGTTGGCAAGGCTGTGGAGAAAAGGGAATGTTTACACACTACTGGTAGGAAAGTAAACTATAAGGTTGCTGCAAAACTAATTGTGGTTTTTGTTATTAAAAATGGCAAAATAGTTGAGCCACTGTGAAAAGCAGTTTGGAGATTTCTCAAAGAACTAAAAATAGAACTACCATTCCACCCAGCAATCCCATTACTGGGTATATACCCCCTCAAAAATAAATTGTTCTACCAAAAAGACACATGCACTTGTATGTTCATTGCAGCACTATTCACAATAACAAAGGCATGTAATCAGTCTAGGTGCCCATCAATAGTGGGTGAGATAAAGAAAATGTACATATACACCATGGAATATTATGCAGCCATAGAAAAGGACATCATGTGCTTTGCAGGAACATGGATGCAGCTGGAGGCCATTATCCTAAGCAAATTAACACGGGAACAAAAACCAAATACCCTATGTTCTCACTTACAAGTGGGAGCTAATCATTGAGTGCATGTGGACACAGAAGGGAACAATAGACACTGGGGACTCTGAAAGAAAGGAAGGAGGGAGGAAGACAAGGGATATAAAACTTCCTATTGGGTACTATGTTAACTATGTAGGTGACAGGATGAATAGAAGCCCAAAACCTCAGCATCACACAATATACCCTTGTAACAAACCTACACATGTAACCCCAGAATCTAAAATAAAAATGGAAATTAAAAAAAGAATAATCAGTTTCTAAGATTTCCAAATTTGCTTAGTTTTATAAATTGCCTAAAACTTATGTATAAATCAATGAAAGCATAAGCCCTGGTTACATGAGATCCAAATAATCAACGTCCTTTAAAAGTATTGCACTATGGCTGGGCGTGGTAGCTCATGCCTGTAATCCTAGCACTTTGGGAGGCCAAAGGGGTGGATCACCTAAGGTCAGGAGTTCGAGGCCAGCCTGGCCAACATGGTAAAACCTCACCTCTACTAAAAATACAAAAATTAGCCAGGCATGTTGGTGGGTACCTGTAATCCCAGCTACTCAAGAGGCTGAGGCAGGAGAATCACTTGAACTCGGGAGGCAGAGGTCACAGTGAGTGGAGACAGGCGTGGTGGCTCGTGTCCATAAAGGTCAAGGCAGGAGAATCACATGAGCCCAGGAGTTCAAGATCAGCCTAAGCAACATAACGAGACCCTGTTGCTACAAAAAATTTTAAAACTAGCTAGGTGTGTTGGCGCATGCCTGTAGTCCCAGCTACTTGAGAGGCTGAGGCGGGAGGATAACTTGAGCCTAAGAGATTGAGGCTGCAGTGAGCTGTGATTGCCTGTGTGACAGAGTGAGATTGTCTTTAAAAAATTTTTTTAATGTGTGTGCATGCGTATGTGTGTGTGTGTGTGTGTGTATTTATCATACTTCAAGCCAACTTTCATTTACTCTAAACTGGAAGCTCCAAATTCTTAAATATATCAATCTAGTGTCTCAAGACATCTATCACATACTAAAAAGTTGCTGAGTTTATATTACATCCAAGTTCTACTTTCCACCAGGGATCCACACAAACTGTTCAATGGATTTTTTAAATTAACAAGTAAAAGTTATGTCTATTTATGGTGTACAACACAATGTTTTTATATATGTATACAACTGTGGAATGGATAAATTCAAGCTATTAAACACATGCATTGTTTCACATTTTCTTGTGGTGAGAACACAAAATCTTTTAGCAATTTTCAATATGCAATATATTATTACTAACTCTAGTCACTGTAATGTACAATAGATGTCTTTAAGTTATTCCTCCTAACTGAAATTTTGTGTCCTTTCACTAACATCTTCCCAATCCCCCAACCTCCAGCCTCTTGTAACCATCATTGTACTCTCTTTCTATAAGTTCAACCTTTTACACTCTACATATAAGTGAGACCACGTAATATTTGTCTTTCTGCACCTGGCTTATTTCACTTAGCATAATGTCCTCTTGGTTTACCCATGTTGCTGTAAATGACAGGATTTCTCTCTTTTTTAAAGCTGAATAGTATTTAATTGTGTATATATAACACTTTTTCTGTATTTGTTCATCTGTCAATGAACACTAAGGTTGGTTCCATATCTTGCTATTGTGCATAATGTTGCAGCAAACATGAGAGTGCAGATATCTGATTGACAGTGATTTCAATTCCTTTGGATACATACCCAGTAGTGGTATGGTTGGATCATACAGTAATCTATTTTTACTTTTGTGAGGAACCTCCACATTGTTTTCCAAAATAGTCCTACAAATTTACATTCCCACCAACAGTATACAACGGTTCCCTTTTCTCCATATTCTTGCCAGTATTTATCTTTTGTCTTTTTGAATAGCCATTCTGACAGTTGTGGAGTAATATCTCATTGTGCTTTTGATTTGTGTTTCCCTGATTATTAGAGATGTTGGGATCTTTTTCACAGACCTGTTGGCCATTTGTGTATCTTCTTTTGAGAAATTTCTATTTAGGTCCCCTTTGCCCATGTTTTAATTGGGTTGTTTTCTTACTATTGAGTTGTTTCAGTTCCTTACATGTTTTGGCTATTAAACCCTTCTGAGATTATTGTTTACAAATATATTCTTCCATTCTCTAGGTTGTTTCTTCACTCTGATTGTTTCCTTTACTTTGCAGAAGCTTTTTAGTTTGATGTAATCCTACTTGTCTATTTTTGGTTTTGTTGCCTGTGCTTTGGCATCATATTTAAAAAATCGTTGCCCAGACCAATGTCATGGAGCATTTCCCCTATGTTTTTTGTTGTTGTTTGTAGGTTTACCATTTCTGGTCTCACATTGAAGTCTTTATAATCCATTTTGAGTAGATTTTTGTATATGGTTTGAGATGAGTCTAGTTTCATTCTTCTGCATGTGGATATCCAGTTTTGCCAATACTATTTATTGAAGAGACTGTTCTTTCCCCATTGTGTATTCTTGGCACCCTTGTCAAAAATCAATTGACCATAAATACAGGGATTTATTTCTGGACTCTCTTTCTTACATTTGTTACAAATGTAAGTGAAAGTGAAGCAAATGTTTCACTTCCTTGCTTACATTTATTCCTCAGTATTATATTTTTTGTAGCTATTGTAAATTGGATTGTTACCTTAATTTCTTTTTTAGTTTTGTGTTGATTTTGTAGCATGCAACTTTATTAAATTCAGTTATTAGTTCTAACATTTTTCGTGGAGTCTTTAGGGTTCTCTCTATATAAGAACATGTTGTCTGAAAACTGAGAGAGTTTAACATCTTCCTTTCCAATTTTGAAGCCTTTTATTTCTTTCTCTTGCCTAATTGCTCTGGCTAGGACTTCTAGTACTATGTTGAATAAAAGTAGAAAGTGGGACATCCTTGTCTTTTCTTTATCTTTATAATCAAAGACAGAGGATTCTGAGAGCAGCAAGATAAGCAAATCACATATAACAGAACTTCATTAAGGCTGGCACCATATTTCTCAGAAGAAACCTTGCAGACCAGGATAAAGAGGGATGACATATTCAAAGCACTGAAGGATATCTTCAAAAAGTATAAACCAAGAACACTATACCCAGCAAAACTGTCCTTCAGAAATAAAGGAGTAACAAAGGCTTAGTGATGGGTATGTCATATATGGTCTTTATGTTGAGATGCATTTCTTCTATACCTAGTTTTTTGAGAGTTTTTATCACAAAAGAATGTTAAATTTTTTCAAATGCCTTTTCTGCATCAATTGAGATCATCATGTGGTTTTTATCCTTCATTCTGTTAATGAGGTGTATCACACATATAGATTGGCATATGTTGAACTATCCTTGCATCCCATGGGATAAATCACACTCGATCATGGTGAATGATCATTTTAATGCACTGCTGAATTCAGTTTACTAGTATTTGGTTCCTTGGTTTTTGCATCTATATTCTTCAGGGATACTGGCCTATAATTTTATTTTCTTAGGTGTCCTTGTCTGGCGTTGGTACTAGTGTAATCCTTGCAAAATGAGTTTGGACGTATTCCCTCCTCTTCAATTTTCTAGAAAAGTTTGAGAAAGATTTATATTAGTTCTTTAAATGTTTGCTAGAATTCAGCTGTGAAACCATCGGGTCCTGGGCTTTTCTTTGAAGCAGGACTTTTTATTACTGATTCAGTCTCTTATAAGTTATCAGTCTGTTCACATTTTCTATATCTTCAGATTTAATCTTGGTAGGTGGTGTCTAGGAATGTATCTATTTCTTCTAGGTTATCCAATGTGTTGATATAAAATTATATAGTAGTTTCTTATGATCCTTTGTATTTCCATGTTATCAGTTGTCATGTCCTCTAATTTCTGATTTGAGTCTTCTCTCCTTTTTCCTAGCCTAGTTAAAGGTTTTTCAAATTTGTCTTTTTACAAAACTGTTAGTTTCATTGACCTTTTCTATTATTTTTCTAGTCTCCATTACATTTATTGCTGCTCTAATCTTTATTATTTCCTTACTGTTACTAACTTTGGGCTTACTTCATCTTCTTTTTCTAGTTCCTTGAGGTATAACATTATGTTGTTTATCTGTAATCTTCTTTTTCAATGTAGGCATTTATTACTACAAACTTCTGTCTTAGAACTACTTTTGCTACATCCTATAAGTTTGTATATGTTGTGTTTTAACTTTTGTTTGTCTTAAGATATCTTTCAATTTTTCTTTTAACTTCATCTTTGTCCCATTAGTTGTTTAGGAACATGCTGTTTAATTTCCACATGTGAATTTTCCAAAATTCTTTCTCTTACAGATTTCTAGTTTTATACCATTGTGCCTAGAAAACATACTTGATATGATTTCAATCTTCTTAATTTTATTAAGACTTATTTTATGTCTTAACATGTGATTTATCCTGGACAATGTTCCACGTGTGCTTAAGAATGTGTATTCTGTTGCTATTGGGTGAAATGGTCTTCATATGTCTGCTACGGTCATTTGGTCTAAAGTGTAGTTCAAGTCTAATGTTTCCCTATTAATTTTCAGTCTGGATGATCTGTTCATTGTTGAAAGTGGAGTATTTAAGTCCTCTATCATTACTGTGTCAGTCTCTTATTCTCTTCAGATCTATTAATATTTGCTTTATATATTTAGGTGCCCTGAAGTTGGGTGCATGTATATTTACAATTGTATCTTCTTGATGAGTTGACTCCTTTATCATTATATGACCCTTCTTCTATCATTTTATAGTTTTGACTTATACTCTACTTTATCTGATATAACTATCACTATCTCTGCTTTCCTTTGTTTTCCATTTGCATGGAATATTTTCATCCATTCACTTTCAATGTGTCTGTGTTCTTAAAGGTGACCTGAACCTTTTATAGGCAGGATACAGTTGGGTCTTGTTTTTTATCCATTCAGCCACTGTGTCTTTTGATTGGATAATAAAATCCATTTACGTTCAAGATAATTATTGATAAGTAAGGACTTACTACTGCTATTTTGTTAACAATTTTGTGGTTGTTCTGTAGATCATTTCTTTCATTCTCTCTTGCTGCCTTCCTTTGGGATTAGATAATTTTCTTTATTGGTATGCTTTGATTCCTTTAAGAGGGAGTTTCACTTATGTTACCCAGGCTGGGGTGAAATGGCACAATTTTGGCTCACTGCAACCTCCGCCTCCCAGATTCAAGTGATTCTCCTGCCTCAGCCTCCCATGTAGCTGGAATTACAGGTATGCACCACCATGCCCAGCTAATTTTTGTATTTTTTTAGTAGAGATGGGATTTCACCATGTTGGCCAGACTAGTCTCAAATTCCTGACCTCAGGTGATCCACCCACCTTGGCCTCCCAAAGTGCTGCTGGGATTACAGGCATGAGCCACCATGCCTGGCCACCTGGCTGATTCCTTACTTTTGTTTTTTTTTGTTTTTTTTTTTTTTTTCTTTTTGAGATGGAGTCTCACTCTGTTGCCCAGGCTAGAGTGCAGTGATGCGATCTCGGCTCACTGCAACCTCCACCTCCTGGGTTCAAGTGATTCTCCTGCCTCAGCCTCCGAGTAGCTGGGACTACAGGTGCGTGCCACCGTGTCTGGCTAATTTCTGTACTTTTAAGTAGAGACAGGGTTTCGCCATATTGGACTGGCTGGTCTCGAACTCCTGACCTTGTGATCTACGCTCCTAGGCCTTCCAAAGTGCTGGGATTACAAGTGTGAGCCACCGTGCCCAGCCTGATTCCTTACTTTTTATCTTTTGTATATGTACTATCAATTTTTTTGTGGTTACCATGAGGCTTACATAAAACATTTTAACGTTATAATGGGATATTCAAAACTGATAACAATTTAACCTTGGTCACATAAAATAACCCTACACTTTTACTCCATCTCTCACACATTTTGTTTTTGATGTCCCAATTTACAATTTTTTCTATTGTATATCCTGCAACCTATTGTAGCTATTATTTTTAATAGTTTTATCTTTTAACCTTCATACTGAATATATCATTGATTTACACACCACCATTTCAGTAGTAAACATTCTGTGTACTTAGTTTTTGCAATAAGTTTTATATCTTCATATGTGTTTGTGTTACTAATTAGCATTTTTTCTTTCAGTTTAAAGAGGTTCCTTTAGCATTTGTTTTAAGGTAGGTCTGACAGTGATAAACTTCCTCAGCTTTTGTTTGGGAAAGTCTTTGTCATTCCTTCATTTTTGAAGGACAGTTTTGCTAGGTACAGTGTTCTTGGTTTGCAGTTTTTGAATATATCCTTCAGTGCTTTGACTATATCATTTCACTTTATCCAGATCTATAAGGTTTCTTCCGAGAAATATGCTGCTAGCGTTGGTGAAATTCTGTTACATGTGACTTGCTTATCTTCTATCTTTGACTTTTGACAGTTTGATTATAATGTATCTTGGTGTCATCTTGTTTGGATTGAATATGATTGGAAATCTGTGATCTTCTGGTACATGGATATTATCTTTCCCCAGATTTGGAAAGTTTTCAGATATTATATTTTTAGATAAGCTTTCTACCCCCTTTGTCTTTCTCTTTGACTTCTTTAATATCTTTAACTAAGTATTTGCTCTTTTGATGCTGTCCTATACATCCTGTAAGCTTTATTTCTTTTCATTCTTTTTGTCCTCTGACAATTTTTTTAAATAACATGTTTCTGAGTTCACAGATTTCTTCAGCTTGTTCAATTTTCCTGTTGATGCTCTCTATTGCATTTTAAACTTCATTTATTGTGTATTTCAGCTCCAGAATTTCTGGATTTTTTTAAGTAATTCTAATCTCTCTGTTAAATTTCTTCTTTTGTCATTTTTTATTTTTCTGATATCATTCCATTGTTCTATATTTTCTTGAAGTTAACTGAGCTCCCTTAAGACATTTATTTTAAATTATTGGCCAGGCACAGTGGCTCACACCTGTAATCCCAGCACTTTGGGAGGCTGAGGCGGGTGGATCACCTGAGGTCAGGAGTTTCAGACCAGCCTGGCCAACATGATGAAACACCATCTCTACTAAAAATACAAAAAACAATTAACCAGGCATGGTGGCGGGCGCGTGTAATCCCAGCTACTTGGGTGGCTGAGGCAGGAGAATCACTTGAACCCAGGAGGCGGAGGTTGCAATGAGCCAAAATCATGACATTGTACTCCAGCCTGGGCAACAAGAATGAAACTCCATCTGGGAAAAAAAAAAACAACAAAAAAAAAACAACTTTGTCAGGCAGTTTATATATCTCTGTTTCTTTGGGGCTAGCTACTGTGAAATTATTGTGTTCTTTTGGTGGTTTTATGTCTCCTTGGTTTGTCATGTTTCTTGTTGTCTTACACTGATGTCCATGTATTTGGTGGAGCAGTCACCTATTGCAGACATTACAGACTAGTTTCACTTTGGAAATATTTTTGAAGGGTATGAGGAAACTTGCTCACTGGGGTGTACCAATGAATATGCCAGTTGTGTAGTCTCTGTGCAACTCTATCAGCTAGGGAGAGTGTTGATGAAGACTGCAGGTGTCCTCAGTGGTCAAGACTGTGGATTTCCACAGTGGTAGTGAGGGTTATTGAAGTCTTCAGTGGCAATGGCTACTAAGATCCTCCCACTCTTTTTTACCACTGGGGAAACTGTGTTTGAAGACCCTTTTGGCACTGGGTCTGGCTCATGGGCTTGCTTGGAGTGACAGTGGCACCAGCGCCAGATGAGTGGTGCCCATGGAATGGCCACAGAGCTGAACCCAGAAGCATGAGCATGCATGGAGGGACTACAGCTCTAGTATCTGGAGTGGTAATGGCACTGCTGCCTGAAGCACAGACACCTCTTCTGTTATATTGGTAATAGAATGTGAGGCATGAAGATTTGTGAAGCAGTCAGAGAAGTTGGGAATGGGAAGATAGGTGTGCACAGAGTTAAAGCAGCTTTGGGGTTAGGGTTGAGTTTACCTTTCTGTAGCTGCTCAGCTAGTACCTGAAACATGGGCATGCCCAGTGAGGGTTTGGCTTCAGGGCCAAGAATGTGAACTAGCTTACTCTGGTGATGGCTTCAGTGTCTGAGATATGGATTGGCCCAATGAAACCATACAGCCTGGGTCCAGAGCGTGGGCACTCATAGAGCAGCCACTGCTCCACAGTTGTGGGACACACAGGATTGGAAAAAGTAGTGGTTTTTTTTCAAAGTCCCTCAACAGTAGCAACTTCTTGGGTAAAGGAGAGGTGTGCAGCCACATTGCCCTCTTTGGGGATCCCCAGTGGGAATAGCTGTTGGTTACCGAAGTAGCAAAAGATCCTGATGTTTTCTGTGGAACAGGCCCCCAGGGACCATAGTGGCTCCCACTGCGTGGCTGATAGCCTCCACCTTTGTTCTTTGATCCTAGCCATCTTCTGGCATGTCAGTATGCCAGAATCACCACTGATCCTTCATGTGTGGATATTCTCTGGGGGTTTTTTGGTCCCACCATTTTGCTGCAGATTATTTAATGGCCTCTCAAGCCCTCCCTGGGCTCTTTTGGTTTGGGAGTAACTGTCCATATTTGTTTTTGTTAGGAGGAGTTGGTGGATTAAAGCTGGTATCTTCTACTCCCCTATCTTGGTGATATCACTCTTAATTGGATTTTTTTTGTCTTTTTTTGACTGCATTTTTGATTAACATGTTTATCCAAAACATAGTACTCATGAGAAGTCCAAACACAGAATTCGACACATTCACAAACATCTTCCCTGAACTAATTAATGCAAATAAAATAACCATGCTTTTTTCTTTCAAACCATAACTAGTATCTCCTCTACATTTAATTTTCTATTAGTAAGTAAAAGTTCAATGATTTCTACCTTTCACAAAATAATTACTTCAGAATTATTTGGAGTCTCCAAAAGGTGGACATTATTATTGCTGAGGGCAGCAGGAAAAATATATATAACCAGATCTTGTTAGATGTGGAGGAATTTCTATGGATAACCTCCCTCTTTCCCAAGGGTCAAATATCAATGAATATAGTATTTAGCCAGAAGCAACCTGACCTCCCGAGTTACATTTCACTGAGTAGAATGGAGCTAATGAAAGAGAAATAACAAATGAGGAAACATGATATTCTGCTGTGGGTCTTGCTTCCCTCTAAGTAGGGAAGGCATTCCCTCTTGAATGGAGGAAAAGCCAGAACAAAGATTTAATGGAAATTACAAGATAGGCATGGTAGACCCTGCCAAATTATCTCCTTGTAATGAACAACTCTTGTTGTCACTAGTTTTCTTAATGATTATAGCAATAGGCCAGGCGTGGTGGCTCACGCCTGTAATCCCAGCACTTTGGGAGGCCGAGGTAGGCAGATCACTTCAGGTTAGGAGTTCGAGACCAGCCTGACCAACATGGTAAACCCTCGTCTCTTCTAAAAATACAAAAATTAGCCAGGCGTTGGGGCACATACCTGTAATTCCAGCTTCTTGGGAGGCTGAGGCACATGAATCACTCGAACCCAGGAGGCAGAGCTTGCAGTGAGCTGAGGTTGCACCACTGTGCTCCAGCCTGGGTGATGGAGTGATACTCTGTGAAAAAAAAAAAAAATTATTATTGCAATAATCCAGTACAGGTATCCTCAAAAAAGGGTTAGCAAGACATTAAATAAATAATTTTCCTACCTTGTCCCTATGTTGTCCACAATCCTCTCTCCCATACCTCTTTACTAAAATTAATATAGTTATAATATTCTGTGAGGGGTGTGAACAAGTACTATTCTGTAAGTGGTTTCATCACGAAACACAATAGGCAGAAAATAGCAATATTCTTTTCCAAGATTATCTAATTTTATAAATTTTTTATAAATTTATTTCTCTTCATATTACACAAACAAGTTTTCATTGGGTAATCACAGTAGAGATTTTCATTCCAAGTCAGAGTACAAAGGTTTTCTAACAATTATATTTTGTATTTTTTCTTAGTGACTGATAAATCATGATTATTTTACCTGGCTGTAAAACCTAATGGGGAAACTTGAGGAACACTTAACTAAAAATCTATCATTGGCAATATAACATAGTTGGTTTAGAATCAGACAAATCTAATTTAAATTTAGACTATAGTCTAAATTTGGAAAGCAGAACATGAGCTGGATTTTAGCCTCCCCTAGCCACCTTAGTTAGGTGCTTCTGTTCAGTGGACAAACTGCACAACTACTTTCAGAAGCATTGGAAGCTACTAACAACAATGGCACCTAAGATTTCCATCATTTAAATAATGTCTTGTGAATAAACTTTTTCCCTCTCTCTAGGAAGCCCCTGATCTTTTGATATTCAATTAAAGTAAGATAATGAGATAGACACTTTCACATACAACTGACAGGAGTAAAAACTGGTAGGAAATCACGGGAGAAAAAGAAAGTGATGATATTCACTAAGAGCCTTACACAAGCTTATGCTGTTTGGTCTAGTAGTTCCATTTTAAGACTCTATTCTAAAAATAATCAGAGGTACAAAAAATACTTTTGTATAGTGTTATATATAATAGTGAGTATTAGAAATTATTTGAATATGATTATAGTGAAATGAAATACTCGGTACCCATTTAAATCACTTCTCAAAAAGTTTCAATCATAGAGCAGAAGTTTATTAAAATATTGAGTAAAAAAAGCAGAATGCAGAATTGCATATTTATATGATTCCATTAAAAAATAGATACAGATGGTCTCTGACTTACCATGGTTCAACTTTACAATTTTTGACTTTACAATGGTGTGAAAGCAATATGCATGCAGTAGAAACCATACTTCAAGTACCGATACAACATACTGTTTTTCACTTTCAATGCAGTATTCAATAAATTACATGAAATATTCAATAGCTTATTATAAAATACGCTTTTGGTTAATTTTCTCCAACTGTAGGCTAGTGGAAGTGTTCTGAGCACATTTAAGGTAGGCCAGGATAAGCTGTGATGTTCAATAGGTTAGGTGTATTAGTGCATTTTTGTCTTACAATATCTTCAACTTACAATGGGTTTACTGGGACATATCCCCATCAAAAGTCCAGGAGCATCTGTATATAGAAACGATCCTGAGGTAAACTAACAACAGCATATTTACAGCATTTATCTCTGAGGGGTGTAATTACAGGTGATTTTTAAATTATTCTTGACACAGTGTCCTTAGACCGAGCATTTTTACTATTATAAGCAGAAGAATTACTTTTTAAAATTTTCTTTAAAAATCAATGCATAGGATAGAAAACATTCATTCATTAGCCCTGGCTTATTAACAAGTCAATACATGACACAAAGAAATAATGAGCAGGAATAAGGTGATGGGAGGAAGATGCCAGAAATTCTTGGAGTTGAAGTTATTTTGAGTAGTCTGATTTACAAAGGTAGGAAGCTGAGGCTTTATACTTGGTTGGGCAAATAGGCAGTTAAATGGTATGAAGGATGTCTATTTCTGGCCAATGTGAAGTACCAGGGACCAGATATACTGCCCCACCTGAAATAACCAAAAATCAGATAAAATATATCAAATAATGGTGTTTTAAAATATGATTTCTTTTTATTTCCTTCCAGCTTTATTAAGGTATAATTGACAAATTATATATATCTACAATGTACAACATAACATTTTGATATCTGTATACATTGTGAATTAAATCAAGTTAATTAACATATTCATCACCTCACATACTTAGCATTTTTGTGGTGATAACACATAAAACCTACTCTTTTAGCAATTTTCAATCATATCCTACATTACTATTAATTACAGTTACCATGCTGCACAATAAATTCCCAGAATTTATTCATCCTGTCTAACTGAAACTTTGTACCCTTTGATCAACATCTCATTTCTGCTGCCTCCATCCCTGACTCCCAGACCAGGCAATCACCATCCTACTTTCTGCTTCCATGAGTTCAATTTTTTTTTTTTTTTTTTTTTTTTTTGAGACAGAGTCTCACTCTGTCACCCAGGCTGGAGTGCAGTGGCACGATCTCGGCTCACTGCAACCTCTGCCTCCTGATTCATGCCATTCTCCTGCCTCAGCCTCCTAAGTAGCAGGGACTACAGGCGCCTGCCACCAAGTCCAGCTAGTTTTTTGTATTGTTAGTAGAGACGGGGTTTCACCATGTTAGCCAGGATGGTCTCAATCTCCTGACATTGTGATCCACCTGCCTTGGCCTCCCAAAGTGCTGGGATTACAGGCGTGAGCCACCGCGCCCAGCCAAGTTCAATTTTTTTATTCTCCACATATAAGACAGATTATATTTGCCTTTCTGTGCCTGGTTTATTTCACTTTGCATAATGTCCCCTAGGTTTACCTATGTTGCTGTGAATGACAAGATTTCCTCTTTTTAGAAAAGGCTGAGTAGTATTTCATTGTGTACACGTACCACATTTTCTTTATCCATTCATCTGCTGATGGACACTAAGCTTGATTATGCATCTTGTCTGCAACAAACATGGGAGTGCAGATATCTGATGACATATTGATTTCAATTCTTTTTTTTTTTGAGACAGAGACTCACTGTGCTCTGTCACCCAGGCTACAGTGCAATGTCACAATCTCAGCTCACTGCAACCTCCACCTCCTGGGCTCAAGAGATTCTCCTGCCTCAGCCTCCCAAGTAGTTGTGATTACAGGTGCCCGCCACCACACCTGGCTAATTTTTGTATTTTTAGTAGAGATGGGACTTCACCATATTGGTCAGGGTGGTCTCAAACTTTTGAGCTCAAGTGATCCACCTGCCTCAGCCTCCCTAAATGCCAGGATTACAGGCATGAGCCACCGCACCCAGCCTCAATTCCTTTAGATAGATACTCAGTAGCAGTACTGTTGGATCACATAGTAATTTAATTTTTAGTTTTTTGAGGAACCCCCATGCTGTTTTCTAAAATGGCTCTACAAATTTACATTCCCACCAACAGTGCACAAGTGCTTCCTTTTCTCCATATCCTTGCCAACACTTGTTATCTTTTATCTTTTTGATAATAGTCATTCTAACAGGTATGAATATCTCTGTAGTTTTGATTTGCATTTCCCTGATGATTAGAGATATTGGGCATTTTTTCACACACCTGTTGGTCATTTGTATGTCTTTTTTTTTTTTTTTTTAGAAAGTTCTATTCAGTTCCTTTGCCCATTTTTTAATCAGGTTATTTGGTTTCTTCCTATTGACTTTTTTGAGTTTCTTATATGTTTTATAAGATATTAGCCCCTTATCAGATATGTGGATTACAACTTTTTTATCCTATTTCATAGGTGGTCTCTTCATTCTGTTGATTGTTTCCTGTACTGTGTAGAAACTTTTTAGTTTGATGTGACAGCTTAAAATACACTGGACGTTAGACAAAAAAGGCTACTCATATCTGAGAGAAAGGAAACAAATTAGGTGAGCTTTACAATTAAATACAAAACAGATAAAGTGGCCGGGTATGGTGGCTCACGCCTGTAATTCCAGCATTTTAGGAGGCCGAGACAGGCAGATCACATGAGGCCAGGAGTTCGAGACCAGCCAAGGCAGGTAGAATTCACAAAGCAGAGTGCTAGAGAGAGAAATCTGCACTGAGTGAGAACTCCAGAGGTCTGCAGAGGATGCTTTTAGCATATTCAACCGAGTACTAATCAATGTATACATGTAAGGAAAATACAAGACACCAGGGAAAAAAATATTCAATGGTTCAAAGGTACAATCCTCATACAAGACTGAAAATCATTCCTGTTCTCACTCAGATTGGAAAAATCTCATAATTTGTGCAATACAAGGTAGATTATATAAAAACATTTTGCCTCAGAAGTAGAACAAAATAAGTCTGAGAGTAAATGCTACTCTGGTACTGCCTAACAAAATGTGATCCAGAAAGATCAAATCATTTCCATGTAACTTAACCATATCCCAGGAAAAATTCAATAATATTCATAGGTATTGAAAAGTAATTTATTCACACCAACATCGCACATGTATACATATGTAACAAACCTGCACATTGTGCACATGTACCCTAAAACTTAAAGTATAATAATAATAAAATTTAAAAAAAGTAATTTATTTTACCCAATGATGTAAAATTATAATCTCTTACATATAGTCAAAAATTACCAGGCATGCAGATAAGCAGAGGAATAATGACTCTTACTTAACGAGAATAAAAATGAATCAATACAAACTAATCCAGAAATGACACTGATTATAAAATAGAGGACATTAAAACACATATTTTAAGCATATTATAACTATATTCCATATGTTCAGTAAGTTACAGAAATGATTGAACATGCATGAAAACTACAATGTCTGAGGTGAAAAATACATGGAATGAAATTAACTACAGGAAGACGTTGCAGAAGAAAAGATTAGTGAATGAAAAATGTAGAAATAGAAACTATACAAAATGAAAAATCTAGACGGGGAAAGAAGATGAAAAAAATTAACAGAACATTTTTAAGCTGCAGAAGAGCTTCAAGTAGTCTAACGCAAGCATTACTGAGGTCTCCAAAGGAGAGGAGAGATGGGAAGGCAAAAAAGAACATTAGAAGAAATAACATCTAAGAATTTTCCAAATTTTATAAATGCTATAATCCCATATATTTAAAAATATGAATGAACCATAAGCCCAAAAACATGAAGAAAAATATAGTAAGTCACATCATTAACAAATTGCTTAAAATTATTGATAAAGAGAAAAATCTTAAAAGCAGCCAGTAGGGAAAAACACACTACGTACATAAGAAATAGGATAAAAAAGAGCACAGATTTCTCATTGTAAACAATCCAAGCTGGAAGACAGTGGAGTAACATATCTAAAATACTAAAAGAAATAAAGTATTAACCTAGAATTCTATACTTAGAAAAAATGTCTGTTAAAAATGCAGGCAAACAAAAACTCTTTCATACCTAAAAGAATTCATCACCAGCAAGCAGAACTTCACTATAAAAAATGTTAAAGGGCCAGGCACGGTGGCTCACACCTGTAATCCCAGCACTTTGGGAGGTCGAGGCGGGTGGATCACCTGAGGTCGGGAGTTTGAGACCAGCCTGACCAACATAGAGAAATCCCATGTCTACTAAAAATACAAAATTAGCCAGGCTTGGTAGTGCATGCCTGTAATCCCAGCTACTCAGGAGGCTGAAGCAGGAGAATCACTTGAACCTGGGAGGCAGAGGTTGCAGTGACCTGAGATCGCGCCATTGCACTACAGCCTGGGCAACAAGAGTGAAACTCCATCTCAAAAAAAAAAAAAAAGTTAAAGGAAGTTCTTCAATCAGAAGAAAAATGATACCAGATGGAAATCTGCATCTACACAAAGGAATGAAGAGCACCAGAAATGGCAACTATGTGAATAATTATAAAGATATTATCTCTTATTGTTTAAATCTCTTAAAAAGATAATTGACTGCTTAAAGTAAAAATAACAATATATTCTGGGGTCTATAACATGAAAGAGTAAAATATGTAACAATAATAGCACAAAGCCTGGGAGGAAACAAATGCAAATATAATGTTTAAGGTGTTATACTATATGAAAAATGATTTAATATCACTTTAAGATATACTGTGATAAGTTAAAGATGTATACTGTAAACCATAAAGCAACCACTAAAAAACCATAGAAGAATTATAGCTGATAAGCTAATAACGGAGATAAAATAGAATAAAATATTCAATCTAAAATGAGGCAGAAAAAGAAAAAAAGTGAACAAAGAACAGTAGTACACACAAAACAAATTGCAAGATGATAGATTTAAACCCAAACATTTCAATATTCATACTATCATATAAATTTATATGATCTAAACACCTCAATTAAAAGGCAGAGGTTTTTCAAGATGGCTTACTAGAGACATTGGATGCCAGTTCTCAGAAAAAACGAACCAAGGTTACAGGGGAATAATCATGGCCCCAGTAAAATACTGAGAGAAGAGTGCAAGGGCATATTACAGAAATCACAAGAAAAAGTTGAGATGCAGAAAAAAAAATAAGGCTGGGCGCAGTGGATCATGTCTGCAATCCCAATCCTTTGGAAGGCGAAGGCAGGAGGAGTGCTTGAGCTCAGAAGTTTGAGACCAGCCTGGACAACATACAGGGACCTCACCTCTTCTAAAAGTCAAAAAGTTACCTGGCTGTGGTGGTGCATGCCAGCTACTTACGAGGCTGAAGTGGGAGGATTGCTTGAGCCCAGGAGGTCAAGGTTGCAGTGAGCAGTGATTGCTCCATGGCACTCCAGCCTGGGTGACAAAGCAAGACCCTTTTTCGAAAACAAAAAAGAAAAAAAGAAAATAAAAAGAATGAAGCAAGGTTATGGCAGAGATTGAACCCTGAGGAACTTGGAGTCCTGTGGAAAAGGTAGGTGAGGGTGTTGTTTGCTCCCCTCACTCCTGCAGCAAACTATTCTTTTCTGAATTGTTGGTCAGCCACTCTGCACTTGCAAGCTCTAGCATTGGCGTAGGCAGTGATTTGGGAACTTCTTGAGGGCTGAGCACTAGGCTACCAGCTTGTGCAGGGTCACTGCCCTCAGTCCAGACCTTAGCTGAGATGGTGGACACCATACTGGTTGTGCACCCATTGTGGGCCTCTGTCCCACCCTGGACATCTCAGTCCTTGTGTCTCTGCATCACTGGACCCCCTGCAAAACATTCCCCAGCACCTTGGACTGTGGCAACCACAAAGGACTGGCAGGACCCAGGGAGCTGCAGGATTCCCAGAGGTCTAACCTTCAATGCAAATTTCCTACAGGAAGAAAGAGTGCAGTGTGCCAAAGCACCCCTTGGGACTAAGGACACCAAAGCATGTGTTTTTCTGTGCCTAAGAGCTCCTCACTTGTGAGCTGAAGGTGACTGCACTTCTCCCATTGGAGACGTGGGTGCAGCCAGATGGTACCAGTGCTTGCAGACAGATGTGTAGAGGGAGACTTCTTCCCCCTTACCCATTGCTCTGGATGCAACCACAGCTCTTCTGGCAAGAGACTGGCATGGGTATGCCTATAGATGACCATTCCAATGCTATTAGGGGCAGCTGTACCTCCCTGGGTATGTACCCACCAGGCCTGGGCTTGCATGAATGGCTGGCCCCTCGTCCTCTCTATAGGGAGTATCAGCATTCCTGCAGTGGAGATTGGGCAACCTGCAAAACTGTCAGCTTGGGGCTGAGGGAAGAGGTTCCACCTTGAAGCCATTTACACAGAGAGGTTTTGTACTGGTGTCTTCCACAGCCTTCAGCTACATTGCAGACTGGAGATAAATGACAGATTTTATTTGAACTGAAAGTCAGGGGCCTCTGGACAAGGGTATGATAGGGATGTGGTTTGTTTTCCTGACTGCTCAGCATGTGGAGTTGGTGCAGAATCCCTCCCTTCACAGCTTCTGTCATCAGTCCCATCAGGTCTGGTACTTGAATGGATCATTGAGGTATCTGTGGGTGAATTTAGCAGTCCAGTGCTGCCCAGCTTTGTCCCCACCTCAGGGTTGAGCAGGGAACTCCAAGCACCGGGCATTCCACAGACCAGCCCACCCACTGAGACAACAGAGTGCCCCTCCTGGTAAACAAAGATCAAGAGCATACCAATCAGCTTCTGCCACAACCGGCTCTTACCCATAAGTGCCACCTACTGATATTGAGGTTGAACTGCATAATCTAATTTAAAATGTGCTGATAGAAGCCAAGCATTGTGGCACATACCTGTAATCCCAGCACTTTGGAAGGCTAAGGTGGGGGCACTGCTTGGGCCCAGGAGTTCAAGACCAGCCTAGGCAACATGGCAAAACCCCCGTCTCTGCTAAAAATACAAAAAGTAGCCAGGTGTGGTGGCACACACCTGTAGTCCCAGCTACTCAGGAGGCTGAGGTGGGAGGATTGCTTGAGCCCAAGAGGTTGAGGCTGGAGTGAGCCAAGATAATCCCACTGCACTCCAGCCTCAGTGACAGAGGGAGACCCTGTCTCAAAAAAAAAGAATAGATGAATAAAAAATAAAAATAAAATGTGCTGATAGAAGTGCACAGTACTGTCGAATAAAATAAGCTTCTTGAGACCTCTGCAATTCTAGTCCCACCATGTGCAGTAAGCGTGTTCATATGCTCAGCATATCACTGCTACAACCAGGATTTGAGAAAGCCACCGCACAAAGGCTATTTATAACCAAGAAACTCATAAGACTTGGGCCCCTGAAAGCACACAGAATCAAAGCCAAACAACCACACAATATACATTACAGTCATACCCTCAAGTGGGGGAAATGCTTTTTAAAAGTCCCATTCAAGCAAAAGTAAATTAAAAAATAAGAAGTGACAGCTTCTCCAGATAAGAAGGAACCAGCATAAGTATTCTGGCAATATTAAAAAGCAGAGTGCTTCAATACCACCCAAAGGATCACATTAGCTTTCTAGCAATGAATCCTAACCAAAATGAAAATTCTGAAATGACAGATAAAGGATTTAAAATATGGATTGTAAGGAAGCTCAATGAGATCCAAGAAAGGGCCAGGTGCGGTGGCTTATGCCTGTAATCCCAGAACTTTGGGAGACCGAGGAGGGCGGATCATAACGTCAGGAAATTGGGACCATCCTAGCTAACACGGTGAAACCGTTTTTTCTAAAAATACAAAAAATTAGCTGGGCATGGTGTCGGGTGCCTGTAGTCCCAGCTACTTGGGAGGCTGAGGCAGGAGAATGGCATGAACCCAGGAGGCAGAGCTTGCAGTGAGCCAAGATCATGCCACTGCACTCCAGCCTGGGCGACAGAACAAGACTCTGTCTCAAAAAAAAAAAAAAAAAAGAAAAGAAAAGGAGATCCAAGAGAAAGTTGAAAACCAATACAAATAAATCAAAAAAACAATTCAGGATATAAATGAGAAATTTACTAAAGAGATTTTTTTAAAAAAACAAAA
The DNA here is from genome assembly GCF_000001405.40 of Homo sapiens. Classification (NCBI taxonomy): domain Eukaryota; kingdom Metazoa; phylum Chordata; class Mammalia; order Primates; family Hominidae; genus Homo; species Homo sapiens. The sequence continues at coordinate 180,856,934 of NC_000003.12, forward strand.
CAAAACTTCTGGAAATGAAATGCTCATTGAAGGAATTACAAAATACAGTTGAAAAGCTTTAACAATAGACTAGACCAAGCAGAAGAATTTCAGAGTTTGAAGACAGTTCTTTCAAATTAACCTTGTCAGACAAAAATAAAGAACAAAGAACTTTTAAAATGTAAAAAGACTTGAAGAAATATGGGAGTATGTAAATCGACCAAATCTAAAAGTAATAGGTATTCTTGAGGGAGAAGAAAAACCTATTTGAGAAAGTAATTCAGGAAACCTTCACTGGTCTTGCTAGAGATTCAGACATCCAGATAAAAGAAACTGAAAGAACACCTGAGAGATACTTTGCAAGATAAACTTCATCAAGGCATATAATCATCAGGCTTTCCAAACTCACCATAAAAGGAGAAATCCTAAAAGCAACAAGACAGAAGCATCTAATAACATATATACACACACATACACATACATATGTGTGTGTATATATGCACACAATCCCATCAGATTTACAGTGGACTTCTCAGAAGAAACCTTACAAGCCAGAAGAGATAGAAGCCCTATTTTCTGTCTTCTAAAGAAAAACACTGCCAGCCAATAATTTCGTGTCCTGCTAAACTAAGCTTCATAAATGAAGGAGAAATAAAGTCTTTCCCAGACAAGCAAACCCTAAAAGAATTCATCACCACCAGACTGGTTCTACAAGAAATGTTCAAAGGAGTTCTAAAGATGGAAATGAAAGAGTAACATTCACCATCATAAAAGCACATGAAAGTTTAAAACTCACAGATCTCATAAAGCAATTACACAATTGAGACTACAGGACCACGTTATAACAGGAAAAAAACCTTACATATCAATACTAACCTTGAACTTAAATGGACTAAATTCTCCTCTTAAGAGATATAGTCTGGGGGAATGAATTTTTTTAAAAAAAAAATCCAAGCTTATGCAGTTTATAAGAAACTTACCTAATGGGTAAAAACATTTACAGACTCAAAGTAAAGGGGTGGGAAATATATTCTATGCAAACATAAATCAAAAGCAAGCAGGAGTAACTATACTTACATCAGATAAAACAGACTTTATAACAGGTAAAACAGTCAATAACAGTGAAAAAAGAGCAAAAAAGTCATTATATGATAAAGGGACCAACTAAACAAGATGTAACAATCCTAAATATATATGCACCCAACACCAGAGCACCCAAGTTCATAAAACAAATACTATTAGATGTAAGAAAATAGACAGCAATACAATAACAGTGGGGGATGTCGACACCCCACTGACAGCACTAGACAGATCACTGAGGCAGAAATTCAATAAAGTAACACTAGACTTAAACTGGACTCAAGATCAAATAGACTGGTAGGGCATGGTGGCTCATGCCTGTAATCCTAGCACTCTGGGAGGCCGAGGTGGGTGGATCACCTGAGGTCAGGAGTTCGAGACCACCCTGGCCAACATGGCGAAACCCCATCTCTACTAAAAATACAAAAATTAGCCAGACATGCTGACACCTACCAGTAATTCCAGCTACTTGGGAGGCTGAAGCAGGAGAATCGCTTGAACCCAGGAGGTGAAGGTTGCAGTGAGCTGAGATCATACCACTGCACTCCAGCCTGGTCGACAGAGTGAGATCAAATACACTGAACAGACATTTATAGAACAGTCTACCTAACAACCACAGAATATTATCTGTGCATGGAATAGTCTCCAAAATATACCATATGCTAGCCCACAAAGTCTCAATAAATTTTTTAAAAATTGAAATCGTAACAAGTATCTTCTTGGACAACATGGAAGCAAGAATAGAAATCAGTATGAAGATGAACTCTCAAAACTAAACAATTAAACAACCTATTCCTGAATAATATTTAGTTAAGTGATTAAATTAAGGCAGAACATATTTTAAAATTTTTAATGAGTGAAAATAGAGACAAAACATACCAGAACCTGTGGGTTACAGCAAAAGCAGTGCTGAAAGGGAAGTTTATGGGGTTAAATGCCTACATTAAGCAGAAAGGCCAGGTGCAGTGGCTCACACCTGTAATCCCAGCATTTTGGGAAGCCAAGGCAGGTGGATCACTTGAGGTCAGGAGTTAGAGACCAGCATGACCAACATGGTGAAATTCCGCCTATACTAAAAATACAAAAATTATCTGGGCCTGGTGGCAGGTGCCTGTAATACCAGCTATTCAGGAGCCTGAAGCAGGAGAACTGCTTGAAGCGGTGAGGCAGAGATTGCAGTGAGCCAAGATCGTGCCACTGCTCTCCAGCCTGGGCTACAGAGCAAGATTTCATCTCAAAAAACAAACAAACAAAACCAGATTGAAAGATGAGAAATATCTCAAGTTAACAGCCCAATGTCACACCACAAGAACTAGAAAAACAAGAAGAAGCCAAACCCAAAGCTGGCAGAAGAAATAACAACGATAAGAGCAGAACTAAATGAAATAGAAACAAAAAAGAAAAAAAGAAAGGATTAATGAAACAAAAAGCTGGTTATTTGAAAAGATAAACAAAATTGATAGATTGCTACTAGATTAACCAAGAAAAAAAGATAAAATTCAAATGAGCACAATCAGAAATGATAAAGATGACATTAAAACCGATATCACAGAACTACAAAAGATCATCAGAAAGTACTATGAGCATCTCTACAGGAGTAAACTGAAAAACCTAGAAGAAATGGATAAATCCTGGAAATATGCAACCTCCCAAGATTGAACCAGGAAGAAATAAAAGCCCTAAACAGGTGAATAATAAGTCATGAAATTAAATCAGTAATTAAAAAAAAATCTCCCAATTTAAAAAAAGGCCCAAGATCAGATAGATTTATAGCTGAATTCTACCAGACCTACAAGAAGAACTGGTACCAATCTTACTGAAATTGTTCCAAAAAACTGAGAAGGGGAGAAACCTCCCTAGCTCATTCTATGAATCCAATATTGATTGCCCTGATACCAAAGCCAGGAAACGAGAAAGAACAGAACGGCAAGAAAGAACAGAACGGAAAGAGAACAGAACGGAAAGAAAGAACAGAACGGAAAGAAAGAACAGAACGGAAAGAAGAGGGAGGGAGAGAGGGAGGGAGGGAAGGGGAGGAGAAAGGAAGGAAGGGGAGGAGGAAGGAAGGAAGGGGAGGAGGAAGGAAGGAAGGAAGGAGAGGAGGAAGGAAGGAAGGAGAGGAGGAAGGAAGGAAGGAGAGGAGGAAGGAAGGAAGGAGAGGAGGAAGGAAGGAAGGAGAGGAGGAAGGAAGGAAGGAGAGGAGGAAGGAAGGAAGGAGAGGAGGAAGGAAGGAAGGAGAGGAGGAAGGAAGGAAGGAGAGGAGGAAGGAAGGAAGGAGAGGAGGAAGGAAGGAAGGAGAGGAGGAAGGAAGGAAGGAGAGGAGGAAGGAAGGAGAGGAGGAAGGAAGGAAGGAAGGAGAGGATGCAAATTTAGCATCCATTCATAGTTTAAAAAAAATTCAACAAACTAAGCATTGAAAGAACATACCTTAAAATAATAAAAGCCATCTATGACAGACCAACAGCCAACATCACACTAAATGAGGAAAAGTTTAAAGCATTCCATGTAAGAACTGAAACAGAAAAAGGAAGCCCATTTTTATTATTTTTATTCAACATAGTACTGGAAGTCCCAGCTAGAGCTATCAGGCAAGAGAAAGAAAGAAATAAAAGACACCCAAGTTGGAAAAGAGGAAGTCAAATTATCTGTTTGATGCAGATATGACCTTATACCTAGAAAACCCTAAAGACTCCTTCAAAACACTCTTAGATTTGATAAATTACTTTAGTGAATTTGTAAGATACAAAAATCCATGAATAAAAATGAGTAGCATTTTTATACACCAATAATAATCAAGTTGAAAATCAAGTCAAGAAGGCAATTCTATTTACAATAGCTACAACACACACACACACACACCCCTAGGAATACATGTAACCAAGGAAATGAAAGATCTCTACAAGAAGAACTACAAAACATTGATGAAAGAAATCATAGAGGACAGAAACAAATGGAAAAATATCTTATGCTCATGGACTGAAAAAATCAGTATCATTAAAATGACCATACCGCCCAAAGCAATCTACAGATTCAATGCAATTTCTATCAACTTACCAATGTCATTTTTCACAGAATTAGAAAAAACAATTCCAAAATTCACATGCAACCCAAAAAAAGCCTGAGTAGCCAAAGCTATCCTAAGTAAAAAGAACAAAGTTGGAAACATCACATTACTTGACTTCAAATTATACTACAAGGCTATAGTAACCAAAACAGCATTGTACTGGTATAAAAATAGACACATAGATCAATTGAACAGAATAGAGAACCCAGAAATAAAGCCAAATATCTACAACCAACTGATCTTAGACAAAGCTGACAAAAACATACATTGGGAGGAAAGGACACTCTATTTAATAAATGGTGCTGGGAAACTGGATAGCCATATACAGAAGAATAAAATTGAACCCGTTTACTTACCATATACAAAAATTAACTCAAGATGGACTAAAGGCTTAAACATAAGACTGGAAACTATGAAAATCCTAGAAAAAAAAAACCTGGGAAAAACTCTTCTGGACATTGACCTAGGCAAATAATTTATGACTATGTTCTCAAAAGCAAATGCAACAAAAATAGACAAATGGGACTTAATTGAACTAAAAAGCTTCTGCACAGCAAAAGAAACAATCAACAGAGTAAACAGACAACCTACAAAATGGGAAAAAATATTCATAAACTATGCATCTAACAAAAGGCTAATATCCAGAATCTACAAGGAACTCAAACAGGTCAATAAGAAAAAAACAAATAACCCTATTAAAAAGTGAGCAAAGGGTGTGGACAGACAGTTCTCAAAAGAAGACATACAAGCAGCCAACAAACATATGAAATAATGCTCACCATTACTAATCATCATAGAAATGCAAATTTAAACCACAATGAGATACTATCTTATACCATTCAGAATGGCTATTACTAAAAGTCAAAAACAATATATGTTGGTGAGAAGGTGGAGAAAGGAAAATGCTTATACACTGTTGGTGAGAATGTAAATTAGTACAGCCTCTAAGAAAAACAGTATGGAGCATTCTCAAAGAGCTGAAAGTGGAACTATCAAAAGAAATCCTTATGTAAAAGACACCTGCACTTGAATGTTTACCGCAGCACTATTCACAATAGCAAAGTCATGGAATCAATCTAAATGTCCATCAATGGATGATTGAATAAAGAAAATGTAGGGTATATACACCATGGAATACTACTCAGCTATAAAAAAAGAATGAAATCATGTATTTTACAGCAATGTGTATGGAACAACTGGAGGCCAAGACCCTAACTGAAATAAATGCATGTTCTTACATATAAGTGGAAGCTAAATAATGGGTACACAGGGACATAAAGAGTAGAGTAATTAGTATTGGAGACTCCAAAAGGTGGGAAGGTGTGAGGGTTGAAAAATTACCTATTAAGTACAATGTTCACTATTTGGGCAATGGGTACACTAAAAGTCCAGACTTTGTCACTATGCAATATATCCACTTAACAAAACTGCATGTGTACCTGCTAAATCTATAAAAATTTAAAAAGTTATTTTAAGGCAGATATTGTCAGATTGGATAAGGTAAATAAGACTCAACAATATCCTACTTACAACAAATCCATTTTAAACACAAAGTCACGAACAAGTTAAATGTTAACAGAAAAAACACGCCATGTTAACACTAATCAAAATAAAATGGTAGAGACTTTATTAATATCAAAGTATATTGTAGAGCAAAAAATGTTTTCAAGAATAAAGAGGGTAACTTTATAATAAATGAGTCAATTTGTCCAGAGGACACAATAACCCTAAACATTTATGGATTTATTTATTTTGGCTACCCATCAAGAAATTGAACTCGGTCTTCCAAATAATTCCAAATATTTAAACACCTAATAACAAAGCTTTGAAATACATGAAGAATCTTTGTTCTTACCAGCAGATGAAGAAAAAAATTAAAAAATAAAGTAAATGAAGCAAAAAAAGTCTATGAACTTCAAGGAGAAATAGAGAAGCCCACCGTTAGAGTCAGAGATTTCAATTCCCTTGACTCAATAACAGAACAAGTAGACAGAAAATCCGTAAGGGTATAAAAGACTTGAACAACACTATTAATCAGCTCGACCTAGTTGACATTTACAAAACAATCCACCCCCAAAAAAATATATACACTATCTTTAGTTCCAGCTACTCAGGAGGGTGAGGTGGGAGCATCGCTTGAGCCCAGGAGTTCGGGGCTGCAGTGAGCTATATCACGCCATTGTACTTCAGCCTGTGTGAGAGGGCAAGACCCCCATTGCTAAAACAAAAACCCAAAATATCCAAAACAAAAGAAAAGTGAAACATTCTCTTTAATGCACCTGGAACATTGATAAAGTGAGGCCATACGTCTTGGGTTATAAAACAAAACTTAAACATTTGAAAGAATTGAAATCATACAATGTATGTTCTTGAATATAATTATATCAGATATCAATGACAGAAAAATATCTGAAAAATCCCTCAAAACTTGAAAATTTAAAAAACATACTTCTAAGTAACTAATAGGTCAAATTAATCAATAAGGAAATTTGAGTTTTGAAACTGAGATAATATAACGTGTTAAAATATGTGGAATACACCATAAGCATTAGAGGGGAATTTAGAGAATTACACACCTATATTAGAAAAAAAGAAAGGTTGTTAAGCAATGAGCTTAGCTTCTATCTTAAAAAACTGGGAAAGAAAATAAAATCCAAACTAATCAGAATAAAGTAAATAATAGGACCACATCTGAAGTCAATAAAATAGGAACTAGAAAAACATTAGAGAACAATACATAAAAACAAAGCTGGTTATGTGAGAAGATGAGTAACATTGACAAACCTATAGCCAGCCTGATCAGAAAAAATAAGCAAAGATATAATGACCAAGATCAGGAATGAGAGAGGTAAATTAATTTAAAGATTCTACAGGCCAGGCGCCATGGCTCATGCCTGTAACCCCAGCATTTTGGGAGGCTGAGGCAGGTGGATCACTTGAGGTCAGGAGTTCGAGACCAGCCTGGCCAACGTAATGAAATCTCGTCTCTACTAAAAATACAAAAATTAGCTGGGCATGGTAGTGTGTGCTTGCAATCCCAGCTACTCAGGAGGCTGAGACAGGAAAATGGCTTGAACTCGGGAGGTGGAGGTTGCAGTGAGCCGAAATCGCACCACTCCAGCCTGGGCAACAGAGCAAGACTCCATCTCAAAAAAAAGAAAAAAAAAGATTCTACAGATATTAAATGTATAATAAGAATATATTATAAGCAACGTTATGCCTTTAAATTCAGCAACTGGGACGAACTACTAAAATTCTTTGAAAGACACAAACTACCATTTTCTTTGGGAATGACAATTCATCTCAGCAGGCAAGAGCAGGTTAGTATATAATTGAAAGAGACCAGAAGGAAGCATGGAAAATTATGAGACATAGTTATAATGATAGTTTTTAACACCCAGAAACTTTCAGTTTCTTTATGATCAGTTTTCTTTTTTTTTTTTTTTTTTTTTAGCAAAAAGACATCAGTAGAATCTGAGAATATAATTTTAAATGTGTCAAAGATGTGATGAAAAACCCTTGACTTTTTTTAAGGCCTAAAAAAAGAGTCACTGAGTTTTATATATTTCTAACCTAAGATCTTAGGTAAAAAGTCATTTTAATGTGTTTGAGGCAAAGTGATTTCTTCTATTCTCCAGAAGTATCTTTTTATGACCTTCAAGAAAATGTCTATAATATTCGTAACTGGCATGGACTAAATCGCTATAATATATAAGAAGTTTCCACAAATTTACAATAAAGACAAAAGAGGCTGTAGAAAAAATGATCAAAGGATATTGACAAGCAATTTGCAAGAAAAAGTAACAAAAGTATTAAAACAGCTTCAACTTCATTAGTTATCAGAAACAAAACAATGAGATAGCATTTTTCATCTATTAGACTGACAGGTAAAAAAACTTAATAATAACCATTGCTGAAAATGAGGAAATGGGAAATTTCATGATTTCTTTTGGAAATATAAATTGCTATAGCTTTTGAGAGCAATTTTGTATTATCTGTTAAAGTTTAAAATATATATATGCTGAATAAAGGATAAAACCCACATGATCATTTCATTAGATGCAGAAAGAACATTTGACAAAATCAAATGCATTTTCATGATAAAAACACTCAACAAATTAGGTACAGAAGGAAAATTCCTCAACCAGATTAAGGGCATCTATAAAAAACCTACAGTTAACATCAATTTAATGGTAAAATACTGGATGCTTTCCCCTAAAATCAAGAACAGACAATGTGTCTGCTTTTATTACTTTTATTCACCATTGTACTGGAGGTTCTAGCCAGGGAAATTAGGTAAGAAAAACAAATAAAAGTCATCCAGATTGGAAAGGAAGAAGCAAAACTATCTCTATTTGAAAATGATAATCCCGTATAAAGAAAACCCTAAGGAATCTACTAAAAAAAACTATAAGAACTATAAACAGTTTCAGCAAGTTTGCAAAATACAAGACCAATACACAGAAATCAATTATATATCTACACATTAGTAATGAACAATCTGAAAGAAAATCAATAAAAATAATTTTTTGATAATGACACCAAAAAGAATAAAATACTGAGGATCAAATTTAACAACAGCAACAAAAAAAATCTGAGATACATACATGGGAAATTACAAAACATTATTGAAAGAAATTAGAGAAGATCTAAAAAAACAAAGATACACTTCATAATGGATTAGAAGACTTACTATTATTAAGATGACAACATTCCCCTAACTGATCTACAGAGTCAATGCAATCCTTATCAAAACATCACTGAAGTTTTTACAGAAATAGACAAGCTGATCTTAGAATTAATATGGAAATTCAAGTAACTCAGAATAACCAAAGCAATCAGGAAAAAAGAACGAAATTGGAGGACTCACCCTTCCTGATTTGAAACTTACTACAAAGCTACTGTAATAAAGACAGTATGGTCATGAAACAGAACAGACTATACATCAGTGGAACAGAATTAACAGTGTAGAAATAACCCCTTACATTTACAGTCTGTTGATTTTTTTGTTAAGACAGTGTCTTGCCTTGTTACTCAGGCTGGAGTGCAGAGGCACTGTCATAGTTCACTGCAACACCACACTTTTGGGCTCAAGAAATCCTCCCACCTCAGCTTCCCAAGCAGCTGGGACTATAGGCACATGCCATCCCACTCAGTTTACAGTGAGTTTTTTTTTTTTTTTTTTTTTTTTTTTTGAGACACGGTCTCAGTCTGTTGCCCAGGCTAGAGTGCAGTGGCCTAATCATGGCTCACTGCAGCCTTAATCTCCTAGGCTCAAGCAATCCTCCTGCCTCAGCCTCCTGAGTAGCTGGGACTACTGGTGTGTGTCACCACACCTGGCCAATTTTTTATTTATTATTATTTTTTTAAGACAGGGTCTCACTCTGTTGCCCAGCCTGGAGTGCAGTGGCACAATCATGGCTGTAGCTTCGACCTCCCTGGCTTAAGCAATTCTCCCACCTCAGCCTCCCAAGTACCACAGGTGGTACCACAGGCACAAGACACCATGCCTGGCTATTTTTGTTGTTGTTGTTTTTTATTTTTTGTAGAGACAGAGTCTTGCTATTTGCCCAGGCTGGTCTCAAACTCCTGGGCTCAAGCTATTCTCCTGCCTCACCTTCTCAAAGTGCTGGGATTACAGGTGTGAGCCACCACACCTGGCCCAGTCAGTTGATTTTTAATGAAGTTGCCAAGACCATACAATGAGTAAAAGGATAGAATATTCACAAATGGTGCTGAGACAACTATATAGTTACATGTAAAAGAATGTAGGAAGTTAGACCCTTCCTCACACCATATACAAAAAATAGCACAAGATATATCATAAGCATAAATATAAAAGCTAAAGCTATAAAAAATGTTAGAAGAAAACACGAGTAAATATTTTTACCTTGGTTCAAATGATGGTTTCTTGGATGCATCACCAAAAGCATAAGTAACCAAAGAGAAATTAAACAAAACATACCATCAAAATAAACTTGTGTTCATCAAAGGATACTTCCAAGAAAATGAACAGACAGCCCACAGAATTGGAGAAAATACTTGCAAATCATATGTCAGGTAAGGGTCTAGTATCTAGAATGTATAAGGAACTGTTACAACTCAATGATAAAAAGATAAATAACAAATTAAAAGTGGGCAAAGTGAACAGACATTTCCACAAAGAAGTATAAATGGCCAAGAAGCACATGAAAGGGTGCTCAACATCATTAGCCATTACAGAAATGTAAATCAAAACCACAATGAGATATTTCAAAACCACTAGAATTGCACTATATGTATGTATGTATACATATACATACATTTTATATTTATGCTTATGATATATATTGTGCTATTATATGTATGTGTATATATATATATACATGCATATATATACACGACAGACAATAACAAGTGTTGGTGAGGATGTGGAGGAATTTGGACTTTTGTACGTTGCTGGTGAGAATGTAAAATGGTACAGCTTTGGAAAATAGTCTGGCATTTCCTCGATAGGTTAAACATAGAGTTACTATATGATCCAGGAATTCTAATCCTAGGTATATACTCAGGCCAAATGAAAACATTCATCTACACAAACACTTGTACACAAATGTTCAGAGCAACATTATTCATAACTACCAGAAAACGAAACAATTCAAATGTCCATCAACTGATGAATGGATGAATAAAATGTGGTATATCCATCCAGTCGGTAGAACATTATTTAGCAATAAGAAAGGATGAAATTCTCATACACACTTCAACATAGATCAACCTTGATAGCATTGCGCTAAGTGAAAGAAACCACCACAAAAAAAAACACATTATATGATTTCGTTTATATGAAATGTCCAGAATAGACAAATCTACAGTGACAAAGTAAATTAGTGGTTGCCAAGGACTGGGGTTGGAATGGGGAGTGACTGCTAATGGGCATAGAATATTATTTTGGGGTGATAAAAATGTTCTAAACTTGATTATAGAAATGAGACAGGATAGTTCCCTTGACCCACTTCGTGGGTGGGAATGGAAGTGGCTCATTTCACTTAGCCTGCCACTGGCCACTCCTCATGAGACAGAGTGTGCCAGCAAGGGAGTGTGGGAACTGGAGAGAATGAACCCTGGACCTGGCCACTCTTCTCTGGCGGAAGCAGGTTCCGTGCGGGCCCTACAGCAGCATCCAAGCCCCTGTCCTCTCGGCACCTGAGTTCTTGTTTGGCATCCAGGAAGAATTAGGTCACCCACACGGATTGAAAGGTAGTGTATGTAGAAGATTTTACTGGGTAATGGCTCTCAGCAGGATGGGAGTTGGAAAGGGGATGGTGCGGAAAGAAAGTGATTTTTCCCTGAAGCCACACCATCTGAAGTTAGCGGCGTCTATCTGTAGTCTCTGACACTCAGTTGCTGCTTCTCTGCTTGCTGCGCATATACCCGGCGCTCAGCCGCTTGTGTTGCTCTGCCAGCTGAAGTCTTTTTTATATGGGCACAGGATAGGAGCATGGCAGGCCAAAAAGCAACATTTGAGGGCAAAAATGGGGTGAGCTGTTTTCACACAGGGCTGTGGTTCCAGGTTTAAGGGTGGGGTTTAGCCAGGAGCCAAGCCGTTCTGTATCATTTCCCCCCTCTGAAGAGGCACATCTAACTGCCATTAGGATATGGACAACGACCAGTCTTTCCGTTGTTTAACGAAAGCGGCAGTTGGATTCCTCCCAGAAGTCTACCCAAGGATCCCCAGCGAAAGGGAGCCATAGTCCGAGGCTCTGGCTGCCTGCCTGTTTGGAGCTTTGATGGCCTCGAGGTGAGAGAAAAAACAAGCTTTACATGGCCAAATATGCATGGATCAAACATGTATTATACAAGGAAAGAATCTAGTGTGAAATATTACAGAAATAAAAAGTGAAATATACTAGTAACATTGTACCCCAAGCTGTCTCACGCTGGTGAAAGAAATTAAACCTTGTATGGGAGAAGTTAAACTTTATGAGAGAGATAAGTGCTCTTGTCACATCTGTGGCAGTTAACAGGTGAACCTGAGGAATTCTGGGGTCTGTGGGCTTGCATGGTGGTCATTAAAGCTTCTGCCTCTTCCTTGTGTCTAAATGACCAAGGTGGCTACTTTCAGGAGGTCCCCTAAAGTACTATCTGGTCCCAGGGTGCATTTCTAAGTATAAACTGGAGGTGGTCACGTTTGTTGGTTGCCCATTCTGAAAGACAGGGAATTTGGCGTCTCTCATTCCCTTTCTTCTTTCAGTGAAATTTCGAGGTGTGAGGGAGAAAGAAAGCGGGCATTCTCCCTTTCTGTTCTTTTTGTCTGAGTCTCGGCAACCTTGGCAGGTGCCACCCATGGGTGCCAATGTGGCTTGCACCCAGGAAGCAGGGAGGGCCTAGAAAATAGGAATTACGCACACTCATCTGTGCTTCTACCTCCCCTACTGTCGACAACCTTTGAGTTCCCTGGGCCTCATTTATACCATGGAGCATGGCTTCCTTGCATGAAGCGGGGGGTTAATTGGCAGGAATCGGTCCTGCCCATTTACACTGGGACTGTTGCGTGGCTTCGGTTCCCTCAGATCTGGTTTTCCTTTCTAGGGCCTCAACCTGAAGTTTAGAATCAAGTTTGAGACCAAAAAAGAAGGTATTTCAGAGGCTGCATGGATTCATTTAGATTTAAGTCCCACATGGACTTTGCCAAATTTGCAGTTATCAGCCAGGAGGGGTTGCTCCTCTGTTGCCTCCCTAACATAAGCAAAGTGCTGAGGTAGGAAAAGAATCCTCTCGCTTAGAAAAGAAAAAAAGCTTCAAGTATCTCTAAGTTGGGGGGACCTGAGGGAAGAGCCTCTTGCTCTGTTGAAATGGGTTTCTTTAATCACTGTATCCCTCCCCTGGTTCAGACCTGCTAGACCTCTGTGACGGGAAACAAAACCAACATTCCTTTCACCTAAAGGAAAGAGAGAGTTGCCACGGTCTTGGAAAAGACACAGATCCAAAAGTTCCTCATTTTAACTCACTGTTTTTCATATCCTGGACAGGCCCCCAGATGAGACAGGATTGTTCCCTTCATCTTAACCCCCTTCGTGGGCGGGAACTGGAGCAGCTCATTTCACTCAGCTCGCCTCCTGCCACTCCTGGCGGCAGAGCGTGCGAGTGCGGGAACCGGAGCGACCGAATGCTGGAACCGGCCGGTCACTCCTCTCTGGCGGGAATAGGCTCTGTGCGGGCCTCACAGCAGCGTCCAAGCCCTGGCCTCTCGGCACCGGGGTACCTGTCCGGCGTCCAGGAAGAATTAGGTCATATGAACGGATTGAAGAGTAGTGTATGCGGAAGATTTGATTGAGTGGTGGCTCCTGGTGGGATGGGTACTGGAAAGCAGACGGTGAAAGAGGGTCATCTTTCCCTGAAGCCGCACCATCTGAAGTTAGCTGCGTCTATCTGTAGTCTTCAACACTCTTGCTGCTTCTCTGCTCACCGCTCAGCCGCTTGTGTTGCTCTGCCAGCTGAAGTCTTTTTTATGGCCACAGGATAGGGGCGTGGCAGGCCAAAAAAACAACATTTGGGCAGAAAAACAGGGTCAGCTGTTTTCAAGGCCGTGATTCCAGGCTTAAGGGTGGGGTTTAGCTGGGAACCCAGCCATTCTGTATCAGTGATAGTTGCACAACTATAAATATACTAACAACCATTGAATTGTGTACTTTAAGTAGATTAACCGTATGATATATGAATTACATCTCAGTAAAGTTGTTTTTTAAAAAATATGCATATACCTTAGTCTAGCCGTTCCAGGTCATATACTACAGCGATAGTAACAAAGATATAATATGTGGTTTATAATAATAAATATTGGAAATACTTAATCTTGCAAATGCATGATCAGTAAGGTAGTGGAGGCAAAAACTAGGTTTCCCAGGAGCTTCAGGCTTCTCAACTTCCAAGTAGTAATCTCAAGGAAGTACGTACTCTGACTGAAACTGTTTATGTCACAGACCTACTCCTTAGACCAATCACTGTTCCCATAGAGATAGCTCATTATGATTTGTGGAGTCAGAATCATGTGCCCACTGCTGAAATCAGGAATTCAGGGTCCTGGGAGAGTCACCCGTGCCACCCACCTAATGTTTTCTGGAAGTTTGACTTTAAAAGGAAGAAGACAGCAAGAGATCAATATAGCTAGAGTGTGGAGATGAGGTGTTTTCTTTAAAATAGAGGTGACTTGAACACGTTTAAATGCTTGTGCAAAGTAGCCAATATAGAGGGAGCAGTTAAAGACACAAAAGAAATAGAATATTTCTAATCAATAGATCTCAGGAAATTATTATTTCCCACTATCCCTCAGAAAATTATATTCAATAAAGGAATTTGTTTCTGGCTCCTTGGAGGATTAACTTTCCTTTTCATGCTTAGGCAATACAAAGTTGAATCACCACTTTAAACCACATTACACAGACTAGAAGGTGAAACTCCAATGCCCAGGCCATTATGTTAATCAATACTTCAACCTTCTTTTTTTTTTTGAGACAGAGTCTACGCTCTCGTTGCCCAGGCTGGAGTGCAATGGCGCAACCTCAGCTCACTGCAACCTCTGCCTCCTGGGTTCAAGCAATTGTCCTGCCCCAGCCTCTCACGTAGCTGGGATTACAGGCATGCGCCACCACACCCAGCTAATTTTGTATTTTTAATAGAGACGGGGTTTCACCATGTTGGCGAGGCTGGTCTTGAACTCTTGACTTCAGGTGATCCACCAGCCTCAGCCTCTCAAAGTGCTGGGATTACAGGCGTCAGCCACCGCACTCAGCCTCAACCTTCAATAAAAATAGGATTCCCTCCACTCACTCCTTTACCCAGTTAGGGTGTAATTGTGGCAGGCCATCTATCTGTCTTTGCAAAAGGGAACATGGTAATCTTTGTTTTGTTTGTTCACCTCTTCTCACATTCTCAGCTGCTGTAGCTGACCCCTCTTAGTTGGAACACGAGGAGGGAGGAGAAGAAAGGGAAGCAGAAAGTTCTTCCTTGACTGGTACTATTTTAAGACGGCTTTGCGCTCTCTGGTTTTGGCAGATGTTTAAAGCTGAGTCACACTTAAAGCTGGTTTCATGGATTCTTTGGACACTATCCTGCAGGACCCTTCCAACTACAACTCCTATGACATGGGCCAAATGTTCTGTTCTTATACTTCCTGATCCACCCTTAGCTGGAAACAAGAGCCCACTTCTCAGCTCTGTTGGGGACCCATTATTTTCCCAGGCAATCTTAGAAAAATCTCTTGCTAAGTGAAAGTATATGTTTTCCTCATTAAGTGAATCGAGTCATTGTTTTAGGTTATCTGCAGCCAAAGGCATTTTCACTGATAGAGCAACATGCATGAATTTTTTATTTTCCTGGTGTCCTGTTTAATTTAATGGGAGGGGAGTTGCTATTTGTGTGTTTGATTTCTCTTTAGAAAATGTCAGTGGTCCTGGCCAGGCATGGTGGCTCACGCCTGTAATCCCAGAACTTTGGGAGGCCAAGGCAGACAGGTCACCTGAGGTCGGGAGCTTGAGACGAGCCTGACCAACATGGAGAAACCCTGTCTCTACTAAAAATACAAAATTAGCCGGATGTGGTGGTGCATTCCTGTAATCCCAGCTACTTGGGAGGCTGAGCTAGGACAATTGCTTGAACCGGGGAGGCTGGGTTTGCGGTGAGCCGAGATGGCACCATTGCACTCCAGCCTGGGCAACGAGAGCGAAACTGTGTCTCAAAAGAAAGAAAGAAAGAGAGAGAGAGAGAGGGAGGGAGGGAGGGAGGGAGGGAGGGAGGAAAGAAGGAGAGAAGGAAGGAAAGGAAGGTTTCAGTGGTCCTAATTTAGAAGGTTTAAACTTCATCCATTCAGAGCCTCAGAGAAAAGCCTTTTTATATAAGAAGAATATTGAGGAAATAGTTAAATTGATTATGATTATGAATAAAAACTATAATAAATAATTATTTTTTAAAGTCTTGAGAACCTTATCCCAAAACCAGCAAAGGGCAGAGTTCCTGGACTTTTCTCCTTGAATCTTCCTAAGTGAGTTTTCTCTGAGAGTGACAGTTTTAGGAAATTAGATGGAATGCCCATATGTTTTAGGCAGTAACTGTGATATATTAATAGCTGCCTTAAAAACTGACAAGAAACCAAAAGAAATAGAACAAAGAGACTAATTTTGTACCCAGCTACATGCTAAACTAAACATAAAATGAACCAATCTGAACCTAAATGTAACTGCCACTTTCAGATGTCTATTTAATTTTATAAGCAACTCATAAATATATTCTATTATAAAAGATTCAAGCAATCTCAAAGTTCCGTTCCTTTTTATAAGTATTTGCATACACACACATAACTTTGAATATTTTACATAAATGAAATCATAAATGTATTTTTCTATGACTTGCATTTTTAGTTATTAATTTGGGAGGTTATTTTGTTTTTTTTTTTTTTTTTTTTGAGATGGAGTTTCGCTCTTGTTGCCCAGGCTGGAGTGCAATGGCATGATCTCGGCTCATGGCAACCTCCGCCTCCTGGGTTCAAGTGAGTCTCCTGCCTCAGCCTGCCAAGTAGCTGGGATTACAGGCATGTGCCACCATGCCCAGCTAATTTTGCTATTTTCGTAGAGATAGGGTTTCTCCATGTTGGTCAGGCTGGTCTCAAACTCTCGACCTCAGGTGATCCACCCACTTTAGCCTCCCAAAGTGCTGGGATTACAGGTATGAGCCACCATGCCTGGCCTTGTTGTTTTTTTGGTTTTTTTTTTTTTTTTTTTTTTTTTGAGAAGGAGTCTCACTCTGTCGCCCAGGCTGGAGTGCAGTGGCGCTATCTCGGCTTACTGCAACCTCCACCTCCTGGGTTCAAGTGATTCTCCTGACTCAGCCTCCTGACTAGCTGGGATTACAGACGCACACCGCCACTCCCAGCTAATTTTCTGTATTTTAGTAGAGACGGGGTTTCACCATGTTGCCCAGGCTGGTCTCAAACTCCTGAGCTCAGGCAGTCCACCCACCTCAGCCTCCCAAAGTTCTGGGATTACAAGCGTGAGCCACCGCACTGGGCCTAATAATTTGTTTTGACAATTTTCCAAGTCTGTGTACCGAGCTCATTTTAGCAGCTGCATAATATTCAATAGTAGGGTGTATTTATTTATTCAATCTTATCTATTAATGGATATTTAGATTCCTTCCCATTTTTAGTTATTAAAACAATACTGCAATGAGTAATAAACATTCCTTTATTCATATTTTTCTATAGCATTTGAAAAAAATCACTTGAAACAGTACACAGCTAGAATGACATTATCCTCTTAACCACTCCTGCATATATGCTTGCTTAAAGTTTTTACTTTAGTTGCATATAGAGAATTGTCTGATTGGTAATAATATACCATTTGAACAAATAGAGTACTGCCTGCATGAAGATAACCTAAAATAGTATCTTTAATAAATGTCACTTATGTCTCAAAATGGAACTGCAACAGACAAATTCATAAGATGACCAATCTAATTGAGAATGCAAGCAGACTTTAGGTGGAATTTATTATTCCTTTCTTCCTTCTTTCTTGCCTTCTTTTCTTCATTCATTTTTTCGCCCTTCTTTTCTTCATTTTTTCTCTTCCTTCCCTCCTTCTATCCTTCCTTTCTTCCTTCCTCTCACACTAGGCTATCACTAACCATTTATTGAATATGTTACAACACACCTTTCAAGTCTTGGTAACTCATTACCCATTGAGACATAAGTGTGTAATTATTATGTATGGGCTGGGCACAGTGGCTCATGCCTGTAATCCCAGCACTTTGGGAGGCTGAGGCAGGTGGATCACCTGAGGTCAGGAGTTCAAGACCAGCCTGGCCAACATGGCAAAACCCCATCTCTACTAAAAATACAAAAACTTAGCTGGATGTGGTGATGGGCTCCTGTAATCCCAGCTACTAGGGAGGCTGAGGCAGGAGAATCACTTGAACCTGGGAAGCAAAGGTTGCAGTGAGCCAAGATCTGCCATTGCACTCCAGTCTGGGCGACAAGAGCAAGACTCCGTCTCAAAAATATATAAATAAATAAATAAAATTATTATGTATGGACAACAAAGAGGTTTTTCAAATTTACACACTCTGTTAGAAGACTAAAAGATCTGTTTTGATAAGTGATTCCTCTTTTAAGCAGTTACAGAATTACACTTGTCAAACTGTTTGTTTTTCATTACAAGGGAAGACTTAGATCACATTTTTATTGCCTGAAAGAAAACCCTCCCATGCTTTTCATGTTATGTAGCCTATAAATAGATGCTCTCATTCAGCAGAAAGGAAGCAGAAATGTGATAAGTTTTACATAAGGCATGAAATATTCCTGTGGTTCATGGGTGGACAAACCGAACAATGAAACCAAATCTCCTTTACATATTATGGTCTGCATTAGCAGGAATTCTTAATTTGGCAACCTAAGAATATTATAACAGAATCAAGGTCTGAAGGCATCAGAGGGTATTTTTAGACTCTTCTATGGGGTCATGGTCTGCTCTTTTTAGGTGTGGATTTCACATATTAAAATTCAGTAACTAGTTTTCCAAACTTCATAAAGCCGGTAAGGCAGCAAGCATAATGAAAAAATGCTATGGGTCCCAAATTATAACAAAGGATACCTTTTAATTTTAATTCCAATATTGTTTTCAATAATATTTCAACATGTTTCCTGTTGTGCCCTGGTATTCTTAGGCAGCCAGTTGTAAAAGGCTTCTTTGATTTGGCAGTAAAGAGCTCATAAAGGAATGAGCACTAAGTTATTCATTGCCCATTAGCACAAATTGCAGGTTAGGTATCAGTCAAGTGAGGCAATGGATAACATTTCTTGTATATGTCTAAGAAACTTGTGAAACAGAATTTCCTGGCAGATTAAATTTAATTTAACCATACTGAATAAAGAAAAATTTCAGGGACTTTGTAAATGGATTTCTTAGAAGGATTTAAAAGTGGCTTAAGTTTTGCAGTTGAGTCTTTTTAAAAAAAAAAAAAATCTTAAATTATACTCTCAGCATTTTCATGCTAACACTCAGAGCAACCTCTTTATACTTCGAAGATTGTTTTAAAATGTAATGAATTAGAATCAAGTTTGAACTTGTATCGGTAAATGCACTTACAAAATTAGGGAGAATTTTTTTCTTCAATGTACTAGTAAATCCAGAAAAGATTTTCATTCTGATTCTGACTCATTCTAAGTAATCTAGGTAACTGTTGCAAGTATTTTGTACTGTTTGTGATTTATAAACCACGAGTGCTTTCTGATATGTTGATTGTATCATGAAGTAGTGTTCCAATATTCAAATTTTGGAAGTGTGTATTTTAAATGTTTTTACTAATCAATCAAATAGGTTTTTTAAAAAGACTATTATTGGCTCTTAATGTTGCAGCAAATGCATTTTATTTGATTCCTGCTCAGTGGTTATATGGAATCAGATCCTGAGAGGTGGAAGATCCGTTCATTACTCATTTTCTGTGACCAACATTTGCTAACCATTTACACCAACCCCTTGGCTATTTCTATTTTGTAGAGAAGAAATCTAATCTAAGGCATAGAGATGTTGAATAATTTGCCCAAGCTCACACAGCACTTTAGTAACAAATTAGAATCTGTCTTCTGGAAATTTCAGGATGTGACTTAACCTACCAAATAATCTTAAAATACCAATACAGTGGCTGAAGATAGGAATGAATTATAGTTGATGCCATAGTGCAGAAATGTTGATGCTTGCTAATGGCCATAATCAAAAAATAAAAAAAAAATAGATGTTAGCATGGATTTGGTGAAAAGGGAACACTGTTACTCTGCTGGTGGGAATGTAAACTAGTACAATCACTATGGAAAACAGTGTGAAGATTTCTTAAAGAACTAAAAGTAGAACTACCATTTGATCCAGCAATCCCACTACTGGGTATCTACCCAGAGGAAAAGACATCATTATACAAAAAAAGGTACTTGCACACGCGTGTTTATAGCAGCACAAATATGGAACCGGCCCATCAATCAACGAGTGGATAAAGAAGTTGTGGTTTATGTACCATGGAATACTGCTCAGTCATAAAAAGGAAAGAAAAATGGCTTTTGCAGTAACTTGGATGGAATTGGAGACCATTATTCTAAGTGAAGTAACTCAGGAATGGAAAACCAAACATCGTATGTTCTCACTCATAAGTGGGAGCTAAGCTATGAAGATGCAGAGGCACAAGAATGATACAATGGACTTTGAGGACTTGACGGAAAGTGTGGGACGGGGTAAGGGATAAAAAACTATACATTGAGTGCAGTGTACACTGTTCAGGTGATGGGTGCACCAAAATCTCAGAAATCACCACTAAAGAACTTATTCATGTAACCAAACACCACCTCTTCCCCCAAAACCTATTAAAATTAAGTTTTTTTAAAAAAAGCAGTGTTGATGCTTGCTATATTTATGATTTTTCCCAAGAGGAAAAAAGAGGAAACTAAACAAAACAAGAAATATAAATGGCAAATTAACATATAAAATATGTACGCCCTCTCTAAGAACTAAAAAAAAAAGTAGATACACATAGAAAAAAAATTGTGCAAGGATACACAGTACTTAATAATAGTTGCTTTGGGGAATTAGGATTGTGGCAGAAAATATTTTTATTTATTTTATTTATTTATTTTTGAGACAGGTTCTCGCTCTATCACCCAGGCTGGAGTGCAGTGGCATGATCCGGGCTCACTGCAGCCTCAACCTCCCAGGTTCAAATGGTCCTCCCACCTCAGCCTCCCAGGTAGCTGGGACCACAGGCACATGCCACCACGCTTGGCTAATTTTTGCATTTTTTGGAGAAATGGGATTTTACTATGTCACCTAGGCTGGTCTCAAACTCCTGGACCCAAGCGACCTACCAGCCTTGACCTCCCAAAGTGCTGGGATTACAGGCATGCACCACCATACCTGGCTCATTTTTAATTTAAACATTTTTATATTGTTTATATTTGTTACAGTCAAAAAGTATGATAGTCAAGAAATGTCTATTGTTTACTTCTACAGTGTGCCAGCACTGTTTTTAGAATACATCAGTGAACAAAACAAAAGTTCTTGTTGCCACAAAGATTACATTCAGCTTTCATTATACTGGATTTTTTTAAATGGCTGAGGAAAATGTAATTCAAGTTTAATTTAAACAACTGCAGCAGAAAAAAATTAGTGGAGGGAACTGCTCTCTCAAACAATACAAGTTACAGTGAGGTGCTTTTATTTGTTTGTTTGTTTGTTTATAATGATTGGGAGAACAAAAACCCAGGTAAAGGTAGAAAAATAGACAAAACAAAAACGAATTTCAGTGATAGATAATCTGGCAACATATAAACTATTTTTATCTCCAATAGTAGCCATGTTTTATAATTTCACAATTATCTAAAACATGAATCATAAAATTTAAAATAAACCAAGAATACAGGTCATGGTTCTTATTTATTTATTTATTTTTATTTCTGAAACAGAGTCTCGCTCTGTCGCCCAGGCTGGAGTACAGTAGCATGATCTTGGCTCACTGCAACCTCCGTCTCCCAGGTTCAAACAATTTTCCTGCCTCAGCTTCCTGGATAGCTGGGATTACAGGTGTGTGCCACCACGCCCAGCTAATTTTTGTATTTTTAGTAGAGACAGGGTTTTGCCATGTTGGCCAGGCTGGTCTCAAACTCCCAACCTCAGGTGATCCACCCATCTGGGCCTCCTAAAGTGCTGGGATTACAGGCATGAGCCACCACACCCAGCCTATGGTTTGTATGTATAGTAGAATATGGTTTCTGTAGTGCCTTTGAGAGAGATTTATCTTTTTGTAACTTGAGCAGAAACAGAAGGATGACAGAAGGAGAAGAAACCCATGAAAGAAATGAAAGAATAGCAAAACACAGTCTTAACTGAGCCTTTAAATCTTAACCCAACTGGTTCAGGTAATTTGATGAAGGAGGTATTGTAAATATTCCAGAACAGGGGCGTTGACTGCATTGCAACTGAATAAACCAAGGGGCCAAGTGATTGCTTCAAAATCTCCCATTAATTAAAAATTTATCGAGCACCATGGCTCACACCTGTAATCCTAGCACTTTGGGAGGCCGAGGCAGGCGAATCACGAGGTCAGGAGTTCAAGACCAGCCTGGCTAACATGGTGAAACCCCATCTCTACTAAAAATACAAAAAATTAGCCAGACATAGTGGTGGGCACCTGTAATCCCAGCTATTCAGGAGGCTGAGGCAGGAGAATCACTTGAACCCGGGAGGCAGAGGTTGCAGTGAGCAGAGATCACACCACTACACTTCAGCCTGGGTGACAGAGCGAGACTCTGTCTTAAAAAAAAAAAAAAAAAATTATTCCCTTGTTACTACAGTGACTCATATTTCTAATTAAATATTTTCCATTATCAAAAAGGTGGCCTATATTTTTAACTCTTAGAAGATACTTGTTTTTATTTATGAGCACATACCTATTTTTCAAATGTCTTTCAGACATTTACACGTACACCATACCATTTATTATGTGGTTTCAAATTTAATTTTACAATTGATTTTAAATTTATACTTAAAAATTTTCTCTGCTGCATGATGCATTTTATATGAATATGATTTTTAAGGCTGTAACAAAGTTTTGAAAATGCTAAATCGTACCTTGTACATTTGTAGTCATATTGATGGAAAGACTAATACTTAAGTACTTAGCCATAATAATCATAACTATATTCTTATCAAATGAATTATGCTACAGAGAGCTATGAAGGTCAATTCTATACCATATATTCCACTTTTATTCTGTTGATCTTGGATTCTGAAATACATATAAGTATAAATACATATATATCACATATGTTCTTTTTTATTTATTTATTTATTTTGAGACAGAATCTCGCTCTGTCGCCCAAGCTGGAGTGCAATGGCGCGATCTCCACTCACTGCAACCTCTGCCTCATGGGTTCAAGCAATTCTCCTGCCTCAGCCTCCCAAGTAGCTGGAATTGCAAGCACCTGTCACCATGCCCGGCTTATTATTTTGTGTTTTCAGTAGAGACGGGTTTCATCATGTTGGCCTGGCTGGTCTCAAACTCCTGACCTTCAGGTGGTCCGCCCGCCTCAGCCTCCCAAAGTGCTGGGATTACAGGCATGAGCCAGCGCACCTAGCCCACGTATGTTTTTTGTGATATATATATATATAAAATATATGGTTTTTTCCCTCCATTTATTTAACTAGTGAATGAAGAAAAAAATGGAAGTAACACTAGTGGAGAAAAATCTCTTAAAAATAAGAAGAAAGCAATGAACACTTTTAGTATATTTAATATTGTTTTGGGTTTTTTTGTTTTTACGTTTTTTGGTTTTTGAGACAGGGTGTCACTCCGTTGCCCAGACCAAAGTGCAGGGGCACAATCATAGCTCACTGCAGCCTCAAACTCCTGGGCTCAAGTGATCCTCCTGAGTACCTGGGACTACAGACAAGCACCAACACACCCGGTAATTTTTCTATTTTTTGCAGAGACAGGGTCTCGCCATTTTGCCAAGACTGGTCTCAAACTCCTGGCCTCAAACAATCCTTTTTCCTTGGCCTCCCAAAGTGCTAGGATTACAGACATGAGCCACCATGCCCAGCCAATATTGTTTTTTTCAAATGTTAACACTTGCCAGTATTCCACATTTTTAAAGCACATGTTCCTGGAAGTGAGGTGAATTAATTATATATTGCAAATTAAAAAAAAAAAAAAAAAAAAAAAAAAACCTCCGCCGGGTGTGGTGGCTCATGCCTGTAATCCCAGCACTTTGGGAGGCCGAGGCAGGCGGATCATCTGAGGTCAGTTCAAGACCAGCCTGGCCAACATGGTGAAACCCCGTCTCTACAAAAACAGAAAAATTTGGGCATGATGGCGGATGCCTGTAATCCCAGCTACTTGGGAGGCTGAGGCGGGAGAATAGCTTGAACCTGGGAGAAGAGGTTGTAGTGAGCTGAGATCGAGCCATTGCACTCCAGCCTGGATGACACAGAGAGACTCTGTTTCAAAACAAAAAAACAAACAAAAAAAACAGCCTGTAAAGTCAAGCTGCAGACATAAACAAGCAAGCTGGGAGCTTGCACAAGTGAATGCCAGTAGGAACTAGGGACTAGATACGTTCAAGATGGTGGCTCCGTCTTCCCTTCTCTTTGTCAGCCACGTGTACAGTAAAGAGCAGACAAGATGGCCCCCATCAACTGAAAAGCTCATTTGCATAATAAGATTAGGGTGGGGCAACCAGCCTTCCCCACGTGCTATGTAAACGTCATACCTGACCGAACCAATATGTGAGCCCTGCGCAAATCAGACACTGCCTCCTCAAACCGGACTGTAAAATCTGCTGCGTTCCCCCAAGTCTCCTTCTTTTTTTTTCCAGATCTCTCTCCTCTCTTCTTTCTCCTCTCTCCTCTCTCTCTGTCGCAAAGAGCTGCTCTCCTCTCTCCTTTCTCCTGTCTATTAAACTTTCCACTCCTTAACCTACCCACATGTGTCCATGTCCTGAATTCTTTCTCAGTGTGAGACAGCAAACCCCAGGGTATATATCCCAGACAACGTAGCCGTTTCACAGTGACTATGCACGTATTGTTCACACCTGAGCCATCTGTAGCATTACATATCCATTCTTGTGCAGCCAGAATTCCTAAAATCAATGCTGGCCTCATTTTTAAATTCACCTTTTTTGCTCTTGTTGCCCAGGCTGGAGTGCAATGGCGTGATCTTGCTTCACCGCAACCTCCACCTCCTGGGTTCAAGCGATTCTCCTGCCTCAGCCTCCCGAGTAGCTGGGATAACAGGTATGCACCACCACGCCTGGCTAATTTTGTATTTTTAGTAGAGATGGAGTTTCTCCATGTTGGTCAGGCTGGTCTTGAACTCGCAACCTCAGGTGATCTGCCAGCCTTGGCCTCCCAAAGTGCTGGGATTACAGGCATGAGCCACCGCACCCAGCCTAAATTCACCTTTTTTTTTTTTTTAATCATTAGTGTTCTGTAAAAGGTTTAACATCTCTACCAAAAGCCTTTAAATTATATTTTCCATATGCTCAAGCACGTCAATTCCATTTCTATCTTCCTGGAACCCTCTTAGGAGGTCTCCTTCTTTCTGGACCCTGGGCTGGCTGGGCCCTGGCCTATTGCTCTTCTGTCGTCCTGAGCCTCACCACTCCTCGGTGTTGTATACCCTATACCCTGTTTGGGGGATCTCCTGTCTTCTTCTTCCTCCTCTTCTTCCTCCTTCTTCCTTCTTCTTCCTCCGTCTTCTTCTTCTCTCTTTCTCCTTCTCCTTCTTCCGTCTCCTTCTTCTTCTTCCCCCTTCTTCTTCCCCTTTCTTCTCTCTTCTTTTTCTCCCTTCCTCCTTCCTCCTTCCTCCTTCTCCTCCTCCTCTTCTTCTTCTTTTTTTAAAAATTTACTCCTTCCTTTTGATGAAGCATTTCTCTAGTAGTGTCCTAATAAAAGTTACTTGGGAGCGTACTTGGAACATTTTGTTCTTCAGTGAAAAATTATGCATTGTTTAGAGCACACCTTTCCAAATTATCTGATTCTGATTATACAGAGGCTCAGTGCCTTTCATTACCTTTGAGCTATTTTACAACTCTGTAAATTGTGGATAACTGATAGCAATGCAAAATAATTCTTATCTATAGACACACAATAAACAATTCACATCCCTCTACCCACCTCCACAAAAAGAAAACAGCTTAATATCTATTTGCAAATATTTTTCAAAATTCCCTTATTCCATATAAATTTGTGCTTCTTTGAATTCTCCTTTAAACTGGCTGTAAAATCTTACTGGTTCCTTCATTAACAATGAGTTAAGTAAGATATTTAGCACATGTTCATTTTATATCTGTATGTATGAGAGTCATGATTTTACCTTTTCTGAAGTTATTCTTTAACAGAAGTATATGTTTCAAGCTACTATAGTCTGAAAAACCTTCGTACTTTACTGATAGATTGGCTGGTTATAAAATTATAGGTTAAAAATCCAATGCCAAAAAGAACAAAGAAAAAATAAAACTAGTATCTTTGAATGAGGGATCATCAAGAAGATGAAATTCAGAGTTATCACTTGTGTCAGTGTAAATTACATATTATTCTCCAAAAACTTCATCTTACCAATAACATTCTTTTCCCTAAAATGATAACTCTTAATATAGAAGGGAAACTTTCTATTTTCTAGCCATGGCAAAAAAAAAGATTTCACAAAGCAAGATCTGCAAAAGAAATAAAATAAATGTATAAGTGACACCAGAAAACAAAATTATAACAAAATATCAAGACTACTTGGATGCATTAACAATTTTTTTAAGTTCTCAAACCATATCTGAAGTGGTCATATATTAACCTGGTCTTTCTCATGAGATGTGCTAAGCCAATCCTCATTTAAACAAACAATATGACCTATAAATAAGAGTATTATGGTTACTGTCTTAATAGAAAGCTTGCACACTATTTAATTAGTGAACTTGAGAATTCAAAGGAAAATTAAACACTCAAGTATTATTTCATCTTTCTCTTCATTTATTCTGCTCTTTACTCCCTAGGAAGGGGACAATGAATCCACATAGTTCTAAAAATTTTACTCTAACCTGTACCCATCAAAAGAGTATGAGATTCAGGCTGGGCACGGTGGCTCATGCCTGTAATCTGAGCACTTTGGGAGGCCAAGGCGGGTGGATCACCTGAGGTTAGGAGTTCGAGACCAGCCTGACCAACATGATGAAACCCCATCTCTACTAAAATTACAAAAAACATTAGCTGGGCGTGATGGTGGTCGCCTGTAATCCCAGCTACTTGGGAGGCTGAGGCAGGAGAATCGCTTGAACCCGGGAGGCGGAGGTTGCAGTGAGCTGAGATTGAGCCGCTGCACTCCAGCCTTGGACAACAGAGCGAGGCTCCGTCACAAAAAAAAAAAAAAGAGAGAGAGAGAATATGAGATTGAAACAAACTGACCATGTACTTTTTTGCTTTTTATATACTTAGCACCTAGCCAACGCTTACCATGTTTATGTATTCCAAACACGTTTAGTTGATGAATGAATTTTAAAAACTGCTTTTATAAGAATTTTTCGGCAGGGCGCCATGGCTCACGCCTGTAATCCCAGCACTTTGGGAGGCTGCAGTGAGCCGAGATCGTGCCAGTGCACTCCAGTCTGGGTGACAGAGCAAGACTCCCTCTCAAAAAAAAAAAATAATAATAATAGTAATAATTTTTCTTAAATGTAGAAGATCATAATTGAAATTTTAAAAAATCTAAACAAGAGAGAATTGAAAGTCTTTCCTTAGTCTGCATACAAATGTGTATTTGATTACATTTCTTAGGTTAACCAATATAGTTAATAATGTTTGGGATAAGGGAAAAAACTTTTCTATAGGTAAGAGCGTCACTTGATACAGTGGACTGGATCCAATACACCTCCTTCATCCCCTGCTCCCATGGTTTCTTTAGAGCAGTGTGTCATTATCATTACTACAACTCTTTTTAGTCATTAGTTTATTCACAGAAAACAGAATGAAAGACTCACAAGAGAAAAACAAACAAAACACTTAATCGAGGTCAAATGACTCATTAAATCCTAAAAACACAAAACAGCATTCTCTTTGTACCTTCCATTGGATGAGATGTCTTCTTTCCCATTTTTACCCAACTGCACCTACTTGATTTAACATTTTTTAAATAGAAGTATCTTCCTCTCAACATATCCACGTATATATTTAAAGCAAAACAATTTTAATCAAATTCACATGCAGATTATATGGGCTCCCGCCAATTCCTCTTATCATAATCGACCAGAACAGTGGTACTGCCATGCTTTATAGAGTTTTAGAATAATTTTCTTTGATGCACATTTCATATAATTATAAAATGATATGGGCTGTTTAAAAATATGTTTTATAAAACCAATTCCCTCCCCTGTCTTATTAACTCGTGAAAGTACTGAATAGTAAAATTTTTGAAAGTTATTTGTTGCCCATCATTTTGGCTTTGAAATTTCCTTTATGTTGGAAATTGAACAAAACACTATTAAATTTCACCTGTGTTTCTAAGTAGTTTTACTTCTTATCCCAAATATAATAAACAAGTACTACAAAATACATATCATCTGTAGTTACCTTTCAAAATGCCTCATCAAAATTAGCAAAGGCAATTCATGTCCAAACAGAAAATAACTCTATGGTAAAATTGAAAAGTGCCGATTTTTTTTTAGTTTGTAAATCATCTTTAAAAACTTAAATGTTGGACGGGCACAGTGGCTCACACCTATAATCCCAGCCCTTTGGGAGGCTGGGGTGGGGTGCAGAGATCACCTGAGGTCACAAGTTCAAGACCAGCCTGGCCAACATGGTAAAATCCTGTCTCTGCTAAAAATACAAAAATTAGCCAGTCGTGGTGGTGGGTGCCTGTAATCCCAGCTACTCGGGAGGCTGAGGCAGGAGAATCACTTGGGCCGAGGAGGCAGAAGTTGCAGTGAGCCCAAATTGCGCCACTGCACTCCAGTACGGGTGACGAGTGAAACTGTCTCAAAAAAAAAAAAAAAAAAAGAAGAAGAAGAAGAAGAAAGGAAATAAAAAACAGATACAGCCTCATCCTAAACTAACATGTAATGGAGCAGTAGTAATTAAAACAATCTTATCCATACAATTGAACAATATGCACCAATAAAAGGAATGGAATAGGACCACAGTTCCCAAATTTTGTGCCACAGGCACCAGGACATGGCAGTGAATTTACAGGAGTGCTATGGGATACTTTTTTTTTTTTGAGACAGAGTCTCAGTCTGTCACCCAGGCTGGACTGCAGTAGCACAATCTTGGCTTACTACAACCTCTGCCTCCTGGGTTCAAGTGATTCTCCTGCCTCAGCCTTCTGAGTAGCTGGGATTACAGGAGCGCACCACCACGCCAGCTAATTTTTGTATTTTTAGTAGAGACAGGGTTGCACCATGTTGGCTGGGCTAGTCTCGAACTCCTGATATCAAGTGATTTGCCCACCTCGGCCTCCCAGAGTGCTGGGATTACAGGCACGAGCCACGGTGCCTGGCCATTTTACGTTTTTAAAATAAACATTGTGACACTTGACATCTGTTAGGCATTGTGCAAACTACTGTCAAGGTAGTTGATAGTTCATACATTAGACTATCCTACATTCTATTCCATGATGTTATAACCTTGCACGCATGGGGTTTTCAGTGATTGATGTGACAAAAACAAAAATCAAACAGGAAATACGGGTAGTAGTATATTTTATTAGGGATATTAATTACATATGTAAAACCCCTTCACCTTTGCCACATTCTATTGGTTACAAGCAAGTTCCAGGTTCTACCCACACAAAAACATGGATACCAGGGAGCAGAATCAGGAGGGGTATCTTAGAATTCTGTCTACCACAATATACAGAGTGCAGAACCTACTGGTGACTGAAAATCTGTGAAACACAGCTTTAACCAACCAACTCTCTCTAGACTGTTTCTTCTATTCATTCATTCATTCATTCATTCATTCATTCATCTATCCATTCATTCATCTGACTTATGTAAGGAACTTACAGCCAGGCACATAGTAAACTGATCATAAGTGTCGACTACCATTATTTTTATTTTTTTATGTTTTAAACAACAACTGAAGATCGTATATGCTCAATGCTAGGTAGCGGAAGGGAATACAAAGGAAAATAAGACTGATCTCTGTTTAAATTCTGGGAATGAAGGTGGAGGACAGCCACATAAATAAGCGATAACAATTCAATGGACTATGCAATATTACAACTCTGCACCATGTAAGATGGGTGTTCAAAGAAGGAATGCCAATTCTGCACTACGTCAGTGGTGCCTTTATAGAGCAGAAGACAATTTAGTGGCATCTTGAAGATACTGTAGTTTGGCTGATAGTCAAGGAAGGAGATGTTTCAAACCTAAGAACAACATGAAAAATGACCACAGTGTGAAAAAGCAAAATTCAGCCCAGTTTAAGCTTTTCCCTTTATTCACACAGAATTTGAAAATATTTCTACTTCATTGTATTATACCACGTAACTGTTTGCAACATTTTGTACTCATTATTTTTCATCAACTCACATGCTCTTTGAAGAAGTTTTAAAAATATACAGATCAACTATACTTGGTATTTAATAAGTAATTAATGAATGGGGAGATGGATTTGGGATTGAATTGGGAATAATACCATAAGCCACACTAAGAGGTCTGGAATTAATATATTTGTGAAAGGTAGCTGTGAGGTAATGTTAAGAACAAAGACCGTAGAGTCAAACTACCTGGCTCTGCCAAATTACTGATCTTGGGCAAATTATTTAACCTCTCTATGCTCTGGTTTTTGCATTTGTAAAATTGGAATGAAAATAATGGCTGCTTCAAAAGGGTTGATGCAAAGATTAAATTAAATAATATAAAGTACTTAGAAGAATATCTGGCATATATTATATGTTCAATAAATGTTTAAAATGATGATAATATGATGAATTGATAGTGTCAGATAACAAACAAGAAATCATGTGTTTAGAAGTAAGATCATTTGACTAAGGTTTTTTTTTTTTTTTTGCAGTTTTTACATTTTTATTTAAACACAAAACATGCATATGAGCTGTCTACTCATTTTCTTTGCTGTGCAGCCTGGCATTGGGGTTGGTGACTCTGATGGCCAGCTGGGCAGCTCTTTCCACCAAGGCTTTGCATTTCTTGGAGGAAACTGTGAGCGATCTCAGCACAGTAAGATTTGTTGCACATCAGCAGCACTTCCAGCTCCTTGGTGTTGTGGACCAGGAACTTCCAGAAACCACTGGGCAGCATGTGCTTTGTTTTTTTGTTGTTCCCATAACCAATGTTGGGCATCAAGATCTGGCCCTTGAACCTTCTATGAACCCTGTTGTCAGCACCTCTGGGTTTCTGCCAGTTAGGCTTAATTTTGACATATCGGTCAGACTGGTGCCAGATGAACTTCTTGGTTCTCTTTTTGAGGATCTTGGGCTTCATAAGGGGTCTGAGGGCAGCCATGATTCCGAGGAGGAGATGACTGCCACCTCCGTAGGTAGTGCCCAGGTTGGGGTTTTTAAAAATTAATTAACTTATTTATTTTGAGACAAGGTTATGAGACTATTTTTTTTGGTTTTTTTTTGAGATGGAGCCTCACTCTGTCACCCAGGCTGGAGTCCAGTAGCACAACCTCGGCTCACTGCAACCTCTGTCTCCCAGGTTCAAGCAATTCTCCTGTCTTGGCCTCCCGAGTAGCTGAGATTACAGGCACCCACCACCATGCCCAGCTAATTTTTTTTGTATTTTTAGTAGAGATGGGGTTTCACTATGTTGGCCAGGCTGGTTTCGAACTCCTGACCTCAAGTGATCTGCCGGCCTTGGCCTCCCACAGTGCTAGGATTATAGGCATGAGCCACTGCGACCAGCTGAGACTTTCTAACTTTTGTACTTTTGTAGAGACGGGGTTTCGCCATGTTGCCCAGGCTGGTCTCGAACTCCTGGCCTCAAATGATCCATCCACCTTGGCCTCCCAAAGTGCCCAGGTTACATGTATGAGCCACCAAACCTGGCCTAAGGTTGGCTTTTAAAAAGAGAATTCTTATCAGTAGAGAGGGATAAAGACTGAAAAATCACAATGGAGAAGGCAGAAACCAGTTAAAGAGCTACTGCAAGCATAGAGAAGAGATGAGTAGAAACTGAAGGAATACAATGAGAGTGTAGATAAAGAGATAAAATTGAGATATTTAAAATGTCGAAGTAATGAGGCCTACTAGGTAGAGATGTGATAAGAAATGAGGAGAGATTCATAGGTAAATTTAAGTTTTTACTTAAAGAAAACCTTATGAACAATTGGGTACATAATGATGCCATTAGTTAACATAGAACATAGAGGAAGATCCCTTTATCTGTGGAGGGAGATAAGTTCTTTTTGGAAAAAATTGTATTTGAGGTGTCTTCAAAACTTGCAATGAAGATTTTAGAGAAGATTAAATTTTGGGAGTCTGTAGTGAATGTTCAGCATTTAAGACTGTCGGATATAAAAATGCTCTAGAAATAAATGCTCGGTGCCACAAAGTGAAACCAGCACTCAGGCAAAAGTTTTCTCAGCAAGGCAATTTACTTCTGCAGAAGGGTGCCACTCACATCAATCAAGATAGCAAGAGCACATGGAACAAAGGAGAGCAGGGGGTTTTTATCTCTGACGTGTAGTCCTTACCTCTGTGTCACTCCCCAATGGGCTGGGGTCAGACCACACAATCTGAACTGACCTAATTGGCTACTTTCAAATATCTTTCTAAATATGGAAGGGAAGGGGGATGTGAGGTACAGTGGTAAAGCATGTGAGACGTGCAGTTTTGGGCAAACAATGGGTGCAGGTAACCAAGGAAACAGATGTGAGTTATTGATTAGAGCTGACGAGAAGGGGGTAGGCTGTTTAGAGTAACTAGGGGCGAGGAGGCAGGTAGAACAAGAAAGTTAGGTTTGGGAACAAAGAACCAGGAAGTTAGCAGGCTAAACCTTTGAGGAGAAACTTTATTGTATCCTACAAGATCAGGAAAACATGAGATTTTTTAGGGAAAGTTTATATGAGGAGAAACTATAAAAGAGTAAATGCAATTTATAGGAGGACTATTTTGAAAAAAAATAAAAAGAGGCTACATGGTGTAAATTACAGAGCACAGGAGACTATATTATTGTATTAATATAGACTATTGCATGTAAGAATATTAATAAAAGATGGAAGGCAACAGGCATGGTGGCTCATGCCTGTAATCCCAGCACTTTGGGAGGCTGAGGTGGGTGGATCACTTGAGGTCAAGAGTTCAAGACCAGCCTGCCCAACATGGAGAAACCCCACCTCTACTAAAAATACAAAAATTAGCAGAGTGTGGTGGCAGGTGCCTTGCAGTCCCAGCTACTCCAGAGGCTGAGGCAGGAGAATTGCTTGAACCCAGAAGGCAGAGGTTGCAGTGAGTGGAGAGTGTGCCACTGCACTCCAGCCTGGGTGACAGAGCAAGACTCAGTCTCAAAAAAAAAAAAAAAGAAAAGAAAAGAAAAAAAAAGATGGAAGGCAAAGTAACTGATTAATGTAGACTAGATATAAACTCCCCTGGAGCAAAGATGCAAAGATTTCTGTTTTGGCATGACATTATCTTGCCCAGTACTTCATTCATTATAAGTTCTAAGTAGGCCGGGCGCGGTGGCTCACGCCTGTAATCCCAGCACTTTGGGAGGCCGAGACGGGCGGATCACGAGGTCAGGAGATCGAGACCATCCTGGCTAACACGGTGAAACCCCGTCTCTACTAAAAATACAAAAATTAGCCGGGCATGGTGGCGCGCGCCTGTAGTCCCAGCTACACGGGAGGCTGAGGCAGGAGAATGGCATGAACCCGGGAGGCGGAGCTTGCAGTGAGTCGAGATCGTGCCACTGCACTCCAGCCTGGGCGACAGGGCGAAACTCCATCTCAAAAAAAAAAAAAAAAAAAGTTCTAAGTAAATATAGATGAATACATGAGATATGAATGATAAAAATAAATAGACCAGGTGCAGTGGCTCACGCCTGTAATATCAGCATTTAGGGAGACAAAGGTGGGAGGATAGCTTGAGCCTAGGAGTTCGAGACTTGCCTGGGCAATATAGTGATACCCCCATTCTCCAGAAAAATTAAAAATAAAAAACCATGAATAGATATACCTAATCTATGTAACAACATGGAAAATGCTTAATAATACGTGTACAAAAAATAAAGCAGAATATAAGTTGATCCTCTGGTGTGTACTGGAGTTTGAAAAAAAAAAGCTGATCAGCAGTATGATTATAATTTTGTAAAATTTATATGTGCAAATAGATAAGAAGTCAAGGCTTAAATGAAAATAGTTTGTTAGGGTGATTAAAATACTGCTCCCCCAACTTTGGAAGGCTGAGGCAGGCAGATCACAAGGTCACGAGATCGAGACCATCCTGGCTAACATGGTGAAAACCCATCTCTACTAAAAATACAAAAAATTAGCTGGGCATTGTGGCAGGCGCCTGTAGTCCCAGCTACTTAGGAGGCTGAGGCAGGAGAATGGCGTGAATCCGGGAGGCGGAGCTTGCAGTGAGCCGAGATTGCGCCACTGCACTCCAGCCTGGGTGACAGTGCGAGACTCTATCTCAAAAAAAAATACTGCTCCCCCTCAACCCCAACCACTTATTTGGAATTCCATTCATAATGTAATTTAATAAGAAAGAGAACTGTTAAAACATTTTTAAAATTTTATTTATTTACTTTAGAGACAGGGTCTTGCTCTGTTGCCTGGGCTGAAGTACAGTGGCATGATCATAGCTCACTGCAACCTTGAACTCCAGGTCTCAAGTGATCTTCCTGCCTCAGCCTCCTGAGTAGCTGGGATGACAAGCACATGCCACCACACCTGACTAATTTTTTAAGAAATTTTTTGTAGAGATGGTGTCTTGCCATGTTGCCCAAGTTGGTATTGAAATGTTTTTGACCAGAAGGCAGGATCACTGACCTCTATAGCAGGCTTGAGTCTATTGTGGTTACCTTAGGCTAGCCAATTCACCTCTTTGAGGTAGTGCCATTATGCCAAAACATGAAAAAGATGATTTCAGATATAACCAGGTGGAATGGAGACAGTAATAAAGGGGACAGTATTCTAGTAAGAATATGAAGGCTCCCAAGGAGCAAGATGACCGAAGCATAGAGTATAAGCGAGACATGGCAAGAGTTGAGCTCGGCCTAGAGACTCCTGGCAAACAATAAAGGGATTTATGTTTTATCCTCTGTCGTTTCAGCTATTTGGGTGGCTGAGATGGGAGAATCACTTGAGCCCAGGAGTTTGTATTTAGCCTAAGCAACAGAGTAAGACCCTTTCTAAAAAAAAGAAAAAGGAAAAAAAATGTTATTCTAAGGACAATGGGAATCCATTACAGGTAGAATAAAGCAAGCTGTGGCTCTTAGAAGACCAGAAGATCATGTGAGGAAGCATAAGGTTTTATCAAAACTTAGAGTTTACTCGAGAGGCTGAGGTGGGAGGATGACTTGAGCCCAGGAGGTCTCGGCTGCAGTGAGCCTTGATTGAGCCACTGCACTCCAACCTGGCTGACAGAGACCCTATCTCAAATTGTTTTTTAAAAAAGCAAAAACAAAAACACTTAGAGACTATCACAGGATAGCTGTTCACCTGACTTCCCTGGTCAGGTAAACTTAGGAAAATTCTCAACTTCTTCGGGAATGAGGACTTGAAAATATATTATCACAAATTCATAATCTGGGGGCTGTGATCAGTCTCCTAAAAACTTGCTCACCTCCACATTACCCTGAATATTTTCCAGAATTTGCATGGAAAATTATGGGCCTCCTTATTTTTTAATTCCTTGCTTTCAGTTCTTTCTTAATGTTATTGTTATGAAACAATACTCGCTTTTTAAAATAAAATTTTTACTATGGAATAATTTTAAATTTACAGAAAAGATTCAAGTGTAGTACAGAGTTCCCACATACATTCCAACTAGTTTCCCCTAATGTTGGCATCTTATATTACCATAGTACATTTGTCAAAACCAAAAAACTAATATTAGTATATTGCTATTAACTAAATTCCAGACTTTACTAAAATTTCACTAGTTTTTTCCCACTAATTTTTTTTACTAACACTTGGTGCCAGGATCCAATCCTGGATAGCAAATGGCATATATTGTCATGTCTCTTTCATCTCCTCTGGTCTGTGACAGTTTTCACTTGTTTTTCATGACACTTCATCAGTTTGAAGAAGTCAGTTATTTTGTAGAATGTCCCTCAGTCTGTTTTTGTCTGATAGTTTTCTTGTGATTAGACTGGAATTAAAGATTTTGGAGAAGAATACCACAGAGGGGAAGTGCCCTTCTCACCACATCCTATCACAGACGGGATGCCATCAACATGATTTGCCCCTGGTGATGTTAGCTTTGATCACTTGGTTGAGAAATCTGTTCTTCAGATTTCTCCACTGCAATTGTTTCTTTTTTTTCTTTTTTTTTTTTTTTTGAGACAGAGTCTTGCTCTGTCACCCAGTGTGGAGTGCGGTGGTGCAATCTTGGCTCACTGCAACCTCCACCTCCTGGGGTCAAATAAGTCTTGTGCATCAGCCTCCCAAGTAACTGGGACTACAGGTGCCTGCCACCATGCCTGGCTAATTTTTTTGTGTGTTTTCAGTAGAGACAGGGTTTCACCATGTTGGCCAGGCTGGTCTTTAACTCCTGACCTCAAGTGATCCGCCTGCCTCAGCATCCCAAAGTGCTGGGATTACAGGCATAAGCCACTGCACCTGGCCCAATTGTTTCTTATACATACTTTATTCTTT
Source organism: Homo sapiens (assembly GCF_000001405.40). Lineage (NCBI taxonomy): Eukaryota > Metazoa > Chordata > Mammalia > Primates > Hominidae > Homo > Homo sapiens. The sequence continues at coordinate 180,893,399 of NC_000003.12, forward strand.
TGACATCACTAAGTTCAACCCACACTCAAGGTGAGGAGGAGTAAAGAGGGGAAAGAGTGAATAAGTTCCATCTTCAGGAGCGGGGGTTATCTGCATATATTATTTGGAATGCTTCAGTAAGAAAAATTTGTCCCTTTATTCCCATTTATATGTTTATTTACTCATTTATATCAGTCTAGATGCCTTGTTGTTCACTGTATGAGTATAACCCAATACTACTTTTGTTTTATTTAATTAATTTATTTATTTATTTATTTTTGAGATGGAGTTTTGCTCTTTTTACCCAGGCTGGAATGCAATCGTGTGATCTCGGCTCACTGCAACCTCCACCTCCCGGGTTCAAGCAATTCTCCTGCCTCAGCCTCCCAAGTAGCTGGGATTATAGGCACCCACTACCACATCTGGCTAATTTTTTGTATTTTTAGTAGAGATGGGGTTTCACTATGTTGGCCAGGCTGGTCTCGAACTCCTGACCTCAGGTGATCCACCTGCCTCGGCCTCCCAAAGTGCTGGGATTACAGGCATGAGCCACTGCACCCAGCCTTATTTTATTTTTGTCACAGAGTCTTGTTCTGTTGCCCAGGCTAGAGTGCAGGGGTGCAATCTCAGCTCACTGCAATTTACATCTCCTCTACTCAAGCGATCCTCCCACCTCAACCTCAACACCAGCTAATTTTTGTATTTTTTGTAGAGATGGCATTTCACTACATTGCCCAGGCTGGTCTGGAATGTGCAGGCTCCAGTGATTCACCCGCCTCAGCCTCCCAAAGTGCTGGGATTACAGGTGTGAGCCACTGAGCCTGCTCTACTTTATTTTTTTGCTCAGATTACCCAGCTTTGGCCATTGAGAGCTCTTTCAGGTTGGGTCCTGTGGTCTTTGATGTACTCCCATCCTTTAATTTTCTGAGTACTTCCTTGCTTTCTATAAGCCTCTGTAAGCATCTGGAAGAAGCTTATGGCTCATTTAATAGTTTCTCTGGTCCAGCCCTAGAATAATTTATTTCTCCAAATATTCTTTTTCATTAACAATTTGTCCCAGCTAGGCACGGTGGCTCATGCCTGTAATCCCAATGAGACAGCCAGGTGGAAGAGGGTCCCTGGAGAAACTCCAACCAGCCTGCCCACTGAGGTGGAGCCTCGGGAAGTTCATGATGTTTGTAGCAGGGAGGAGCCTGGCTCCTCCTCTTCCTGTATGGAACCTGAGATTCAAGCTGCAGGTGGGAAGCACTCTATCAGGGACTCTGTCCTAGCAAGAGTCCCTGTTTCCCCCCCTTTTCTTCCTTTTCACCCAATAAAACCCTGCTTTACTCACCCTTCAAACTGTCTGCAAGCCTAAATTTTTGTGGCCATGGGATGAACAAGGACCCCATCTTTAGCTGAATGAAGGAAAAGTCCTGCAACATTTTTTGGCACCCAATGTGGGGCCTCAAAAAGCAGTAAGTGAAATGGGGACTCAAAACCTCTCACTGTTGCTTCTAAGCCTTTTCATCCTTGGACTTCTGAGGGTGGGAGAAACCATGTCCCCACCCCCCATCACTCCTGGGCCTTTTCATGGCTTTTTCCTTCCTTTTTCAGTACTGACCGGCGAGCAGCAGCTCCCCATGACTCTCCTCTCCTTGCTGGGGCTGGGATGCATGGCCCAAGGGTCCAGCACAGCCAGGTGGCTGGCATTTTCTGCCACGTGCCACTGGAGACTTCCCTTTCCCCAGCCAGGGGGCTCTACTCCATTGGACAGTAATTAAGCTTTTCTCCTGTTGGAGGAACCAGTTGTATAAGAATAAGAGGTTATTTCTCAGGCATGTTTAAACCTTTTTTTTTCCCTCTTCTCCACCCATCAGCAGTTAACCTTTAAATTTTTTCCCCCATTTAAGAAGATGGTTTTATTAGGCCAGGACCCAACTCTCACTGTATTCTTTGCAAAGTTTTGGTTGTGAAATCAAGCCTCCATCTTATTTTATATCCTGAGGGCAAGGCTTGTAACTCCGGTGGCAAGGCTTTGTTTAGCAATCCTGACTTAGGGAATAAGTTTCTTTCTGGTTTGATATCTGCATGTTTTCCTAGCCCTGTTTCTTAAAGGGTGACACCCAATGACTGGGTTTTCTCCTGCCTCTCAGTGTGTATGTTGTGCATAATGTCTGCAAAAAGAGCGTTAATTAATTTGGCCTAAAGGAAGACAAGGGCTTGGATCAAATACTTTTTAAAGGGAAGATAAATGCTGTGGTACCTTTTAGTTCACATGACTTTAATCTTTGAGAAATAAAAACAGTCCTAAAGACTATTGGTAAAATGCAGGTCAGACGCAAGGTTTGCATCTGTTTTAAGGTTACAAACTGCCACTGCACTCCAGCCTGGGTGACTGAGCGAGATTCCATCTCAAAAAAATAAAATAACAAGATTTTCCTAAGGTGATAATCTGCTCTTTGGCAAAATTTGTAAAGGGTTATAAAAGACTTTTGCTTCTTTGAAATTTCTAAGTCACGATTTTGGCAAAATAAATAACTTATGGTAATTTGGAATTCTTTTTTTATTTCCTTTGAGACAGAGTTTTGCTCTGCCGCCCAGGCTGGAGTGCAGTGGTGCAATCTCAGCTCACTGCAACCTCTGCCTCCCTGGCTCAAGTGATTCTCCTGCCTCAGCCTCCTTTGTAGCTGAGACTACAGGCATGTGCCACCACACCCGGCTAATTTTTGTATTTTTAGTAGAGACAGTGTTTCACCATGTTGGCCAGGCAGGTCTCAAACTCCTGACCTCAGATGATCCACCCATCTTGGCCTCCCCAAGTGCTGGAATTACAGGTGTGAGCCACCATGCCCAGCCCAGAAATCTGGAATTATATTTCATAATATCAAGTGTTTTAAACCTCAAACATTTAACAGCCTTCCCAAAATCAAACTTCAGTTTCAAAATTGTCTTTCCTGGCACCTGCCTTTTCGAATACTTTAGAGGGCCCCTGAAATGTCCAGAAAAGAGAGGTAAATGGGATTATGTGACAAGTTTAGGTACATGGAATTGCCAAAATATGCTCAATCTTGTTTAGGTTGTATCTTGGTGAATGATGCTAATACATGTTCCAAATTGTATGGAATTTCTAAAATTCTAATGTCTGAATATATGCTATCAATCGTAGTTAAGGTTTTTATGTTAAGTTATTGTAAACCATGGAGATAACCAAACTTCTTTGTCAATCATGTTTCTAACTGACTACCCTGGACATTTTGCTATTCACAGATAATTGTTGTCTTGTTTTAATCCTTTTCAAAGATGGTTTATAATGAGCTATATAACTTTTTTTTTTTTTTTTAGTAGAGACAGGGTTTCACCATGTTGGCCAGGCTGGTCTTGAACTCCCAACCTCAGGTAATTTGTCTGCCTCGGCCTCCCAAAGTGTTAGGATTACAGGCATGAGCCACCACGCCCGGCTGTGATGAGCTATAGAACTTTAACAGGTGCTCGCAAATATAGGCTTCTCATAACTTTAGAGATTGTAACATTGGAATAAAGGAAAATGTACAGGACTCATAAAGCTGAAATGCTCGTGAATATCAAGCAAAACAAGAGTTAACTAAATGGACAGAACTCAGCTGAAGCAACCTTTTTGAAATTTGCTTGGAATATTGCTGATCCTTGTTTTGTTTTTCAGAGTCAAGGAAACTTTTTTTTTTTTTGAGATGGAGTTTTGCTCTTGTCAGCCAGGCTGGAGTGCAATGGCGCTATCTCGGCTCACTGCAACCTCCGCTTCCTGGGTTCAAATGATTCTCCTGCCTCAGCCTCCTAAGTAGCTGGGATTACAGGTACTCACCACCATGCCTTGCTGATTTTTTGTATTTTTAGTAGAGACGAGGTTTCACCATGTTGGTCAGGCTGGTCTTGAACTCCTGACCTCAGGTGATCTGCCCACCTTGGCCTCCCAAAGTGCTGGGATTACAGGAGTGAACCACTGCACCCAAGCCATTCTGAACTATTTAAGGCCTTTAATAATTGAGTAAAGTATGCTCCTATGAACAAAATTTGGAGTATGTTTGTTTTTCTCTACCTGGTTCCTCTAAAATTTGGAAACTATCTGTGAGCATTCATATGGCAATATAGTGCACTAAGAATCAGTGCACTAAGAATCCATTTTCTTTTGCAAAAGAACCCAATTGGAGAAACTGGTTATTTTACCACTGGAAGGACATGCTTTCCTTTAAGGAGTCAATCTCAACTTGCAGAGCCAATAAAAGCCCAGTGGGGAAACTGGCCTCATACCCTTGCCTACACAGTCCCTGTACAGGATTCCTGACCTGTGGTCAGTAAAGAATGTCACTTTCTAACAGGTCTAGAAACTCCAAGTTTATCTTGAGACCTTAAGAGGAGAGAATCACCCAACTCACAGGTGTTTGAGGATACAAACCCATGGTTGGGCTCAGCTTTAAAATGTCTTATCTTAGATCCGTTGGGGAACAGAGTTCCATCAAAGCCAATCCAAAAGGCCTATGTAGAAGTAATTATTCTTGCTGCACTTTATGCAAATAATCAGGCCAAGTATAAGATTAAAATATATTGGGCCAGGCACGGTGGCTCACGCCTGTAACCCCAGTGCTTTGGGAGGCCGAGGCAGGCCGATCAGGAGGTCAGGAGTTCGAGACCAGCCTGGCCAGCATGGTGAAACCCCGTCTCTACTAAAAATACAAAAAAAAAAACTAGTCAGGCATGGTGGCACACACCTGTAGTCCCCGCCACTTGGGAGGCTGAGGCAGGAGAATTGTTTGAACCTGGCAGGCGGAGGTTGCAGTGAGCTGAGATTGCGCCACTGCACTCCAGGCTGGGCGACAAAGCAAGACTCCATCTCAAAAAAAAAAAAAAATTATTAAAATCTATTTTGCAAACCATTCAGTCCTATCGTAATTTTTTTTATTTTTAACAAAAATGAGGACTGGAGAGAGAGAAATTATGTTCCCAAACTTATCATACATTTGTCACTAAATTCTAAACTCACTAGCTGTTTTTAAGTTTTTGCCTACATGTTAGACTAGCCCTGCTTGTTCCTGTGAACCAACCAGCAATCTCTAGCTCTAACTCAGAAAAGACAAGAGGGATGGTAATGTAGAAATCCAGATCAATATTCTGGTTCTGGGCAATTATCCTACAAATCCTGCCAGATCGTGATGGGGATAAACAGGATGTCCATCACTTGGAGGTTTCCTTTTTGGGAAAGTAAAACCAAGGGAGCTAACAAAAGCCAGGAACCATGCACCCAAATCCTAACAAGCATAACTATAGCTACCAGTTATCTGGGTGTGTCACAAGACATCCTTTTCTCTCCCTTGTTGGAGGAGGACTTCAATTCCACAGTTTCACCTTAGCGTTCGGCTTATGATAAGGAGTCTATGCACCGCCCCCTCGTGACACATTTTTGTCCCAGACTCAACTTCAAGCTTCAAGTCAAAGCCGTGGGAAAGAAAACTGGATCTAAGGGATCCAGAGGCAGATGACAACAGAGGTTAAAAGGCACAGCGCAGGTGAGCGTGGCTGATTCCTGCCGATTAAGCCAAGTCCAAGCTTCCTATTTCATGGATAAAGGCCATGTTAATATCCATGATGTAAATTAGGTCTAGGCAACTCCAAGGCTACTGACAGCAGGGGAGACAGGGTATATGTGGATAACAGCAGATGATTCTTGCCCCCTAGATGCCCCCTGCTTCATGGGTGGAAGTCGCTTTGACACCCATGGCGGCACCTGCCAAGGTCGCAGGGACTCGGGGATGCAAGGACGGAAGATGGAAATAAGATGCTCCTCACATACCCTGGGTATCTGCTAGGAAGAGAAGGGAACCAGGGAAACCTGCTTCCCTCTTTCTAGATGGGTAGCCATTCATCTTCAGTCTGTACCCCATTCAAATGCATACTGAACCTCTGGGACTCCTTTAAAAATGCCTTCTTTTTCCTTTCTCCTCCTCTGTTCTCTCTTCACTAATAGGTAATTGTGTTTTCGTACTACACTCCCCTGAGATGCATCCTCCAACCTGAAAGAGTTAATTTGCCAAGCTTTAAACTGGTTGTCTTAGGATTGGACTTAGGGGAAGGGAACCCAGAAGCCCAACATGCCAGCAAAAGGGTAAATTTTTTTTTCCAGTTGGGCTTTTGGCCTCCCTCTCCCTGTGCAAACTGGTAAAAGGCCTAAGGATTTTTGAGCTGTCCTTACCCCTACCCTTGTTTCGTTTCGATACATGTTTTCTAATAACCTGGTTTGTCTGTTCTTGCCTTCAGGCCATCAAATTCCAAACAGTCATGCAACTGGAGCTTCTGACAATGGCCTCTTCTGCCAGGAACCCTTAAATAGGCCTCTGAGGGAGCTCTGACTGCTATTTCCCCCAAAACAGCACCCCCTGTCAGCAGGGAGCAGTTAAGATTGGTCTTCGTCCTTATCCTTAATCTAAGAGCAGTTAGATGTACCTTTTTTTTTTTTTTTTTTTGAGATGGAGTTTCGCTCTTGTTGCCCAGACTGGAGTGCAATTCATTGCATGGTCTTAGCTCACTGCAACCTCCACCTCCCGGGTTCAAGTGATTCTCCTGCCTCAGCCACCTGAATAGCTGGGATTACAGGCATGTGCCACCATGCCCAGCTAATTTTGTATTTTTAGTAGAGACAGGCTTTCTCCATGTTGGTCAGCCTGGTCTTGAACTCCTGACCTCAGGTGATCTGCCCGCCTCAGCCTCCCAAAGTGCTGGGATTACAGGCGTGAGTCACCGCACTCGGCCAGATGTACTTCTTTAGAGAGGGGAATGAGACAGCCAGGTGGGAGGGGGTCCTCAGAGAAACTCCAGCCAGTCTGCCCACTGACATGGAGACTTGGGAAGTTCACTTTGCAGCAGGGAGGAGACTGGCCCCTCCTCTTCCTGTGTGGAAAGTGGGATTCGAATAGCGTGTGGGAAGTGCTCTGACGGGGACTCTGACCTAGCGAGAGTCCCTGTTTCCCCCTTTTCTTCCTTTTCATCCAATAAAACCCTGCTTTACTCACCCTTCAAACCATCTGTGAGCCTAAATTTTTGCAGCTGTGGGACAGACAAGGACCCCATCTTTAGCTGAACTAAGGAAAAGTCCTACAACACCAGCACTTTGGGAGGCCAAGGCAGGCGGATCACCTGAGCTCAGGAGTTCAAGACTACCCTGGAAAACATGGCAAAACCCTGTCTCCACTAAAAATACAAAAATCAGCCAGGCGTGGTGGCACGGGCTTCTAATCCCGACTCTCAGGAGGCTGAGGCAGGAGAATCACTTGAACCTGGGAGGCGGAGGTTGCAGTGACTGCACTCTAGCCCAGGCAACTTAGCGAGACTCTGTCTCAGAAACAAACAAGAAACCCAGTTTATCAGATTTAGCCAGTGGGAACGTCTCCAAACTGGCTGGTGGGTTCTTATAACACGGTCCATCAGTATTTGAGCTATACGTATATTGTGGCACAGCAGCATGTACTAGGTTCATCTCATACTCTCCTTCCCCTGACATGGAATCAGCCATTTCTCCTGGAAGCCCTGGTTCCTATTATTCGGGAACTGCGTTTAAAAACTAAAGTCTGAATGATGGGTATACGTCTCCTTCTTTAAAAATATAAAATGTTTTATCAAAGACATTTTTAATGAACTAAAAAGGTAAGACTTTAGAATTTCTAATGAACTAAAAAGATATGACTTCAGAATTTTATTCATAGGCGTAAAATATGAGCTAGGATGCCATGGACTTCAAAAAGTACTTTTTTTGATTTTGGTGGTCTTGAAAGCATTGGAAACTAGGAGTTATTTTATTGTAAACATAGACTTGACCTTAGACTTTTATGAATATGATAACTTATTACTGTAGTGAAGACTTTGAAAAACATACCCAAGGCCAGGTGCAGTGGCACATGCCTGTAATCCCAGCACTTTGGGAGGCCAAGTCAGGGGGATCACGGGGTCAGGAGTTCAAGACCAGCTTAGCCAACATGGTGAAACCCTATCTCTACCAAAAATACAAAAAATTAGCTGGGCATGGTGGCAGGTGCCTATAATTCTAGCTACTTGGGAGACTGAGGCAGGAGAATCGCTTGAACCCGGGAGGTTGCAGTAAGCCAAGACTGCGCCACTGCACTCCAGCCTGGGCAACAGAGAGAGACTCCATCACAAAAAAACAAACAAACAAAAAAAGAAAAACATACGCAATTAATCATTTTTAATCATCTTTATCCTTCTATAACTGTTCATTTTATTTTCTCTTTCCATAATTGTGCATTTTATTATTTTTAATCTTCCATAACTGTTACCTTAAGTGCATTTATTTATTTTTAAGTTTTTTTTTCTTTAAATCAATGTTACTGTGCTCTTATTTAAAAGGAGGGGACCACCATTAGCTTCAAACAGCACTAGGCCAATGTTTCTCAAACATTTAAGTAAGCCTTTATTAGTGGAAAGTTCTCTGGTCTATTCATTAGTATTTTATTTCAACTTTTAAAATGTTGATAATATCCACTGAATTGATTTCATGATCCAATAATGAATCGGGATTAGCCGTCTCTATTAAAAATACAAAAAAATTAGCTGGGCGTGGTGGCATGCGCCTGTAGTCCCAGCTATTCAGGAGGCTGAGGCGGGAGAATGGCATGAGCCCAGGAGGCGGAGCTTGCAGTGAGCCGAGATTGTGCCACTGCACTCCAGCCTGGACGACAGAATGAGACTCGTTTAAAAAACAAACAAACAAACAAACAAAACACTAAGTAAGGCTGTGCGAGGTGGCTCACGCCTGTAATCCCAGCACTTTGGGAGGCCAAGGTGGGCGGATCATCTGAGGTCAGGAGTTCAAGACCAGCCTGGATAACATGGTGAAACCCCATTTCTACTAAAAATACAAAAAATTAGCCAGACGTGGTGGCACACACCTGTAATCCCAGCTACTCGGGAGGCTGAGGCAGGAGAATCGCTTGAACCCGGGAGGCAGAGATTGCAGTGAGCCAAGATCGCACCATTGCACTCCAGCTTGGGCAACAAGAGTGAAACTCTGTCTCAAAAAAAAAAAAAAATCACTAAGTATTTATAATGATTTCAGATAAATGAGTCTTGCACTTAAAATACTGAATCTAGCAGTAATAGACTTCTAGAGTTTAATAATAATAATTTAAGTGCTTATTACATGCCAGACACTGTGTAGTCAGCACCTTTACATATATTTCTTCACTTGATCTTATTAGCCCATTGAGGTAAACATTATTCTACATTTTAAAAAGAGAGAAGTAAAGCTCAGAGATGTTAACCAACTCACTAAAGACCATATAGCAAATAAAGGATTCTAATTCTAAAGTTCATGCCCTTAACCGCAACATCACAATATCTCAGCACTATTAGCAATTTAATTAAGGTGGAATGAGCATAAGAGTTACATTGTAAGAGTTGCCTAAAAAGCATAGTAAAGGAAAGCAGCTTAAGAGTTGAAAAATGGCATGATAGCATAGGCCTGAAATATGATCCTAAAGTTAAGAACCATGTCTTGTCTATTGACTTTCAGAACATTCTATTTTTCTCGGTCACTACTGGTGCTACCAGACCTCAGACCCTCAGTTCTGCATTAATGCATCTCAGTCCTGGATTGTCTACAGAGCAGAAAGGATACTCTTTCTTCTGAAGAAAATTGTATTTCTTCTTTTTAGCTTTGATCTTTGTCAAAAATTCTACCTATTTAAAGAATCAGGCTGCTTTGGGCACACTGCCTGTGGGGTAGCCCTGCTCCAAAAGGAGCGGTTAAAAAGAAGGAAAGGGGCCAGGTACATTGGCTCATGCCTGTAATCCCAGCACTTTGGGAGGCCGAGGTGGGTGAATCACCTGAAGTCAGGAGTTCGAGACCAGCCTGACCAATGTGGTGAAACCCCATCTCTACTAAAAGTACAAAATTAGCTGGCTTGGTGGTGGGCGCCTGTAATCCCAGGAGGCTGGGGCAGGACAGCCTGTAATCCCAGCTACTCAGGAGGCTGAGGCAGGAGAATCGCTTGAACCTGGGAGGCGGAGGTTACAGTGAACCGAGATTGCGCCACTATACTCCAGCCTGGGCGACAAGAGCGAGACTCCATCTCAAAAAAAGGAAAAAGGGCCAGGCGCAGTGGCTTAAGCCTATAATCCCAGGACTTTGGGAGGCCAAGGCAGGCAGATCACTTGAGGTCAGGAGTTCAAGACCAGTCTGGCCAACATGGTGAACCCCCATCTCTATTAAAAATACAAAATTTAGCTAGGCATGGTGGCAGGCACATGTAATCCCAGCTACTTGGGAGGCTGAGGCAGGAGAATGACTTGCACCCAAGAGGTGGAGGTTGTAGTGAGCAGTCTGGGTGACAGAGTGAGACTCCGTCAAGAAAGAAAGAAAAAAGAAAGAGAGACAGAGAGAACAGAGAGAGAGAGAGAAAGGAAGGAAGGAAGGAAAGGAGGGAGGGAGGGATGGAGGGAGGGAGAATCAATTAGTTCTCAAAAAATTTTAGAAAAACTTCAATGTCTCACTACTCTCCAAAATTATTTTCCTTTTCCCAGAGACAACTGCGTTTAACTTTTTAGCTTATTATTTGGTGTCTTCCATATCTCTAAAAAATACGTGGTCATTTATCTATTGCCCATATATTATGGGCATTGTGGAAGATGAGACCTCAGCTCTCTTCCCTTTATTTCCCACATTACACATGCACAAGTACCACTGCTCTTTCTTCAACTTACTCATGTTGGAATTCAGTTGGATCAATTTTATATGTATTTTCATAATATTTATACATTCAGAGCTGAGCCATGAGATAAATGAGGACTACTTTTCTGGAATGACTTTATTTCTTCCTAATGTTGTTAATTATCTTTTTAAAACTTGCTTAATGTTCTAACTACCTAGTCATAATTCAGTCCCAACAGTCCATTAACCATCTAAATATCTGCTCAAGAAGTTCATTCACAGGAAGCATTCTATCAGATTAATCCTGAAAAAGTCTCTCTCAAAGATGTTTTTACTTCCTAAAAACTGGGCTGGAGGCTAGGTGCGGTGGTTCATGCCTGTAATCTCAGCACTTTGGAAGGCCGAGGCAGGCGGGCAGATCACCTGAGGTCAGGAGCTGAGGCAGGAGAATCCCTTGAATCAGGAGGCAGAGGTTGAAGTGAGCCAAGATTGCTCCACTGGACTCCAGTCTAGGTTATTTTTAAAACAAAAAACAAAAGAACAACAACAAAAAACTGGGCTGGTTACACTCTTTTGTGTTGATGTTATTACACGCTTTTTAAAAAATATATTTTTTTTAGTTTTTCAGATAGCCATTTCTGGGTGCAAGTGCTGGTTAAACTATTTTTTCTTTCCTTTTTTTTTTTTCTGTTGGACACCATTGACTAGACGGTTACGCTCCTAATACAACTGTTATGCTGACATCTTCCTTCATCAACATCTGGGGATTCACTTTTCACCTCTCCTCTGTGTTAGAATCCTTTGTTGACCACTCAACTTTCTTTTTTTCCTTTGGAATAACCATAATCTTCAGCTGCTTCCTCAGAAAAAAAGTTGAGTAAGTAAATTTTTTACATTTTTTAATGTCTTCTTTTCTTTTTTTTTTTTTTTTGAGACAGAGTCTTCTGTGTTGATCAGACTGGAGTGCAGTAGTGTGATCTCGGCTCACTGCAACCTCCACCTCCTGGGTTCAAGTGATTCTCGTGCCTCAGCCTCCTGAGTAGCTGGAATTACAGGCATGTGCCACCATGCCCAGCTAATTTTTTTTTTCTTTTTTTTTTTTTTGAGACGGAGTCTCACTCTGACGCCCAGGCTTGAGTGCAGTGGCACAGTCTCGGCTCACTGCACCCTCCATCTCCCAGGTTCAAGCGATTCTCCTGCCTCAGGCTCCCAAGTAGCTGGGATTACAGGCGCATGCCACCGTGTCTGGCTAATTTTTGTATTTTTAGTAGAGACAGGGTTTCACCATGTTGGCCAGGCTGGTCTCAAACTCCTGATCTCGTGATCCACCCGCCTGGGCTTCCCAAAGTGCTGGGATTACAGGAGTGAGCCACCGCACCAGACGTTTTTTTTTTTTTCTGAGACAGAGTCTCGCTCTGTCGCCAGGCTGGAGTGCAGTGGCATGATCTCGGCTCACTGCACCCTTTACCTCCTGGGTTCAAGCGATTCTCCTGCCTCAGACTCCTGAGTAGCGGGGGCTACAGGCACACAACACCACGCCCAGATAATTTTTGTATTTTTACTAAAGATGGGGTTTCACCATGTTGGCCAGGATGGTCTCCATCTCTTGACCTCGTGATCTGCCTGCCTCAGCCTCCAGAAGTGCTGAGATTACAGTCATGAGCTGCCACGCCCAGCCTTATTTTAATTAGAGAAGGGTTTTTGCCATGTTGGCCAGGCTGGTCTTGAATTCCTGAGCTCTAGTGATCTGTCTGCCTTGGCCTCCCAAAGTGCTGGGATTACAGGTGTGAGCCACGGCACCCAGCCTTAAAGTATTTTCATTTTACTGTTACAGCTGATGATAGTTTGGCTGGCTATAAAATTCTAATTTTAAAATAATATTCCTTCAGAATTTTGGAAGGCATTGCTCAAGTATCTTATTTCCATTGTTGCTATTTAAAAGTCTAAAGTGATTTCAATCCTCCATCTTTTGTATGGGAACATTCTTTTATTTCTAGAAGCTTGTAATATCTTATTTTCTTCTCAGGCATCCTTGAATTTCTTGATGTGCTTTGGTGTGGGTGTGTTTATGTGTGGGGCACTAGATGGGGTCTTTCAATGTGGCACTACGTGTCCTTCTCTGGGAAATTTCCTGAATTATTTCATGTACAATTTTTCCTCCTCCTTTTTCTCCATTCTCTCTTTTTAGAATGCTTACTATTTGGAAATTGTATCACTTAGACTGATATTCTTATTTTCTTATATTTTCTAGTGTCCATATGTTAATCTCTTTGCTCCATTTTCTAGAACATTTTCTCAACTTTATCTTTCAACTCCTTTATTGAGTTTTTTGCTTTTGCTGACATACTGTTAATTTCCAGAAGCTCTTTTTAATTTTCTAAAATAAATAAATATATAATGTATGCACAATAGCATATATACATCATAGATTTTATATATATAAATATATACATATGTATAATTCTACACACACACACACACACACACACACACCCCACCATCACCACCACCACACCTAGCTAATTAAAAATTTTTTTTCTGTAGAGATGAGGGGGTCTCACTCTGTTGCCCAAGCTGGTCTCAAACTTCTGGCCTCAACTCAAGCGATCCTCCTGAAGAGCTGGGATTACAGGGGTAAGCCACCATGCCAAGCCTGAAATTTTTTTTTCCTTGAGACAGAGTTTTGCTGTCATTGCCCAGGCTGGAGTGTAATAGCGTGATCTCGGCTCACCGCCACCTCTGCCTCACGGGTTCAAGTGATTCTCAAGCCTCAGCCTCTCGAGTAGCTGGGATTACAGGTATGTGCCACCATGCCCGGCTAATTTTTGTATTATTAGCAGAGACGGGGTTTCTCCATGTTGGTCAGGCTGGTCTCGAACTCCTGACCTCAGATGATCCACCTGCCTTGGCCTCCCAAAGTGCTGGGATTACAGGTGTGAGCCACCGGGCCCGGACGATATTTTCAATATTTATAAAATCAGGCACAATTAGTTCTAGAAACTGTTGGTTGAGAAATTAAAAGTTATTTTATATTTCCTAATTTTTTGTTTCTTGAGAAAGGATAATTATCGTCTCAATTTAGAAAAGTTAAAATTGGCCGGGCACGGTGGCTTACGCCTGTAATCCCAGAACTTTGGGAGGCCGAGGCAGGCAGATCATGAGGTCAGGAGATCGAGACCATCCTGGCCAACATGGTTAAACTTCGTCTCTACTAAAAGTACAAAAATTAGCTGGGTGTGGTGGCTCGCACCTGTAATCCCAGCTACTCAGGAGGCTGAGGCAGGAGAATGGCTTGAACCTGTGAGTCAGAGATTGCAGTGAGCCCAGATTGTGCCACTGCACTCCATCCTGGCAACAGAGAGAGACTCCGTCTCAAAAAAAAAAATAATAATAACAATCAAATAAAAGTTAAAATTAATTTCAAGGCTGGGCACAGTGGCTCACACGTCATCCCAGCACTTTGAGAGGCCGAAGTGGTTGGATCACCTGAGGTCAGGAGTTCGAGACCAGCCTGACCAACATGGACAAATCCTGTTTCTACTAAAAGTACGAAATTAGCTGGGCGTGGTGGCGCATGCCTGTAATCCCAGCTACTCGGGAGGCTGAGGCAGGAGAATCGCTTAAACCCAGGAGGCAGAGTTTGCGGTGAGCCAAGATTGTGCCACTGCACTCCAACCTGGGTGACAAGAGCGAAACTCCATCTCAAATTAAAAATAATAATAATAATAATTAATTTCAAGTGAAATACTTTAAGGAGATTTAAAATGATAGCACGTTTCAATATCACATTAAGACAATTCAAGCTAAAAATAGTGCCACAAAATTGATCGAAACCTTAATCTTAATAAGTGTTCCAGTAGCTGTGTATACAAGGTTTCAATCTGCATTTACTTTTATTTTAAAAAAGTATTTTCCTTTTTGGAGTGCCGTGGCACAATCTCGGCTCACTGCAGCCTCCGGGTTCAAGTGATTCTCCTGCCTCAGCCTCCTGAGTAGCAGGGATTACAGGCGCCCACCACCACGTCTGGCTAATTTTTTTGTATTTTTAGTAGAGAAGAGGTTTCACCATGTTGGCCAGGCTGGTCTTGAACTCCTGACCTCAAGTGATCTGCCCACCTAGGCCTCCTAAAGTGCTAGGAATATAGCATGTAACCCAGGAGGCAGAGGCTGCAGTGAGCCAAGATCGGGCCACTGCACTCCAGCCTGAGCAACAAAGTGAGACTCTGTCTCAAAAAAAAAAAAAGGAAAAAGAAATAGTACTGCTTTTCAATACAGAAAACTTGGAAAATATAGAAACTCACAAAGAAGGCAGGGCATGGTAGCTTATGCCTCTAATCCCAGGACATTAGGAGGCCCAGGCAGGAGGATTGCTTGAGCCCAGGAGTCCAGGGTTGGCCTGGTTAACACAGCGAGACCCCAATCCCTATTTAAACATACATACACACACACACACACACACACACACACACACACACGCACACACACAGAAAGAGAGACAGAGAAATAAACATTCATGATGCCACTACCCTAAGAGAACCACTGTTAGCATTTTGGTAAAGTCTTTGTAATACATTTTCATGCAATATACATATATGTATCCTGTACAAAATTGGTTGCATATATAAGCTGCTTTTTACAGTTATAGACATCTTCTCATATCAGTAGATAGTCTTCTATAATTTCATTGCTAGTGGCTGTAGAAGATTCCATGGTATAGTATTTAAAAATGAAAATATCTTTTTTTTTTTGAGACAGTGTATTGCTCTGTTGCCCTGGCTGGAATGCAGTGGTGCAAACACAGCTCACTGCAGCCTCGACCTCCAGGCTCAAGCAATCCTCCTGCCTCAGCCTCCTGAGTAGCCTGGACTACAGGTGCACACCACCACGCCCTGCTAACTTTTGTCGCTTTTGTAGAGACGAGCTCTCATTATGTTGCCCAGCCTGGCTTTAAACTCCTGGCCTCAAGTGATCCCCCTGCCTTGACCTTCCAAAGTGCTGGAATTAAAGGTATGAGCCACTGTGCCCAGCCAAAAAGAACTTTTTTTTTTTTGATCAGGTAACATGCTCATTGTGAAAAATTCAGATGAGGCAAAAAATATAGACATTATATAGTTTACGTAAATCATTAGCCCATCTTCTGGAAATATCCTCTAATAATATATGGAAATATTAACTTTCAGACTTTATATATGTATATACACACTGCATATATATTTTAATATGATTATGTATGGTGTTTTGTGACATTCTTTAAAGTGAACATCTTTTTATGATGATGAAAATAGATCTACATCAAAATTTTAAAGTTTGTGTAATGTCCCATTTTGAATATTATATGGAGGCTGCAAACAGTCATTGATGTGGCACTGGAAATGGAAAGTAAGAGGGCTCAAATCGTAGTTCTGACACTTACAGCTTGTCTGATCTTACATGTGTTACTGGTTGCTATAGGGCTCAGTTGCTTAATTGAAATCACGAAGTCTACCTAGAAGAAGTAGTAAAGTGTTGGCTGGGTTCCAAATTCAAATGTTTTCGCTATGCAAGGCCTGAAGAGGGACAATACTTATTCTTTAGAGTTCAGGCAGTATGAGATGCTTTGGCCTGTGCCCAAGTGGAACTTTCGCATCCATACTCAAAATCACTCACATTGAGAACAAACAAAAAATACACTGAAAGCCAAAACAGAGAGAGAGAGAGGAGAGAAGAGAGAAGAGAAAAGGAAGAGAAGGGAGGGGAGGGGAGGACAGGAAAGGAGAGGGGAACCCATAAAGAAAAGCACACTGGGACCCTCATACACTGTTGGTGGGAATGCAAATAATGCAGCCACTTTGGAAAAGTCTGGCAATTCCTCAAAAGGTTTAAACATGGAGTTATCACGAGTCAGCAATTCCATTTCTAGCTATATACCCAAGAGAAACAAAAACATACATCTGTCTATACCAAAACATATACAGCAATTTTCATAGCAGCATTATTCCTAACAGCCAAAAAGTAGAAACAAAGCAAACTTCTATCAATTGATGAATTAATAAATAAAATGATGTGGTATATCCATACAACAGTATATTTGACAAAAAGGAATGAGTAGTAATACATTCTACAACATGGATGAAACTATAATACATTATACTAAATGAAAGAAGCCAATCATAGGCCAGGTGCAGTGGCTTACATTTGTAATCCTAGCACTCTGGGAGGCTGAGGCGGAGGCAGTGGATAACTTGAGCTTAGGAGTTCGAGACCAGCCTGGGCAACATGGTGAAACCCCATCTCTACAAAAAATACAAAGATTAGGCTAGGCGGGCGTGGTGGGTGGTGTCTGTACTCCCAGCTACTTGTGGGGCAGGGGGTTGAGGCGGGAGAATCACTTTAGTCCAGGAGGTGGAGGTTGTGGTGAGTGGAGATCAAGCCACTGCACTCCAGCCTGGGCAACAGAGTGAGACTCTGTCTCAAAAAAAAAAAAAAAGGAAAAAGAAAAAAGAAAGCCAGTCATAAAACAACACATATTCCGCGATTTCATTTATATTAAATATCTAGACTAGGCCAATCTATATAGGTAGAAAACAGGATAGTGATTTCCTAGGGCCTGGGGAGCTGGGGTTAAATCTAGAGTGAACGCTAACAGGTATGGGGTTATTTTTGCAGTGATGAAAATGTTCTAAAATTGACTGTGGTGATGGTTGCACAAATCTGTGAATATACTAAAAACTACTGAATTGTACATTATAAATGGGAGAATTATATCTAAAGAAAACTTTTTAAGAAAGCAAATGGGACATTATAATTCTGAAGGATCACAATGAGATACAATATAGAGTGTTAGCATAAGGTGCCCTTAATAAATGGTGGCTATTACTCATTGATGGGCATTTAGTTGTTTACATTTTTCTCATGATGATCAACACTTTAAAAAGAACATCCCAGCCCAGTGTGGGATGGCCAAGAGTTCAAGGTTACAGTGAGCTATGATTGTGCCACTGCACTTCAGCCTTGGCGATAGAGATCCTGTCTTAAAAAAAAAAAAAAAAATAGGCCGGGAGTGAATACATAGGCTGGGCACGGTGGCTCATGCCTGCAATCCCGAGGCAGGCAGATCATGAGGTCAGGAGTTCCAGACCAGCCTGGCCAACATGGTGAAACCCCATCTCTACTAAAAACACAAAAAGATTATCTGGGTGTGGTGGTGCGCGCCTGTAATCCCAACTACTCCGGAGGCTGAGGCAGGAGAATCACTTGAACCAGCAGGCGGAGGTTGCAGTGAGCTGAGATCTCATCACTGCACTCCAGCCTGGGCGATAGAGCGAGATTGTCTAAAAAAATAATAATAAATAAAATAAAATAAAATAAAATAAATATTGTAGTCCTAGCTACTCGGGAGGCTGAGGTGGCAGCATCACCTGAGCCTGGGAAGTCCAGGCTGCCACGTAATCACGCCACTGCACTCCATCTTGGGTAACAGAGTGAGACCCTGTCTCTAAATAAATAAATAAATAGAATATCCTGTACATAACAACAGTGAGCACTTTCACAGCCCTCATTTTTTCCCAGAATCTTCAGAGATGCAGACGTGCTCATAAAATGTTGTGTACATTTTATTTTTTTAGAATCTGAAAAACTGGGTCAGTGGGCGTTTCATGGGAAGTATAGAATGTTAGCAAAGTATCCTTTCTTAAGTTTTTCTGCGAAAACGGTAATAATGTAAGTATAACAAGGAGCACTTATAGTATTATTTTCCAAAGCCCTTGCTTAGGGAAGGAGCTTCAGTATTAAGTTGTTAAAATCCATACCCAAAGTATTTGTTATGCTTACAAAACTGGAGATGGTTCTGCTTTGATCCTATTTGCGGAAATTTGCATGCATTTAACAGAGGAAAACGTGGTCTCCTGCTCTATTAAGTTTGTCTGACTACTTTTAATAAGGCGAATTCACCTAAACTCTGTTCTAGGGTGTGAACACAATTACTTGCCCTGAAAATACTCAGTTTGACTTTTAAAGAGCTAAAGTGGTAACAGGTGGGGAGAGGGCTAGGCCAAATTGTTTGAGGGGGTGTGGAACTGTGGAATTTGAGTGAAGAGAAGGCCCAACTTTTTTTAAAAAAAGAGCGGGGCGAAATAACTTGGGGCACAACAGTATGTCTATTTTGTAGGCATCCCTCTTCCCCAGGGCAACTGGAGCCCAAAAAGTGGGTGAGAAAGCCATTCCAGGGCAGCCAGCACTTCCAGAAGTTTAAGGTCAGGATGCCGGAGCTCAGGGGAATGCCGATGCGCCGGGCAGGCTGTGCCTGGGCAGTTCATTCTGTGGCAGCTGGAGGCACTACTCGGCCGCCGCGGTGCGAACTGCGGGCACTGTGGGGCGGAGACCTAGGGGCGGGTCAACAAAGGTCGGGCGATTGTGTCTGGAGGCAAATCCGACGTAGACGGCGGCAGGCGGAGCCCAAAGCCGGTGATGCAGGGTGCGCAGGGATCCCACCTGGAGAGTCGGGGCGGCACGTTGAGACCCCAGGGGTGAAGGGCGGGGGATCCCAATCCCAGCCCTGTTTTCCCCTCCCCTTTCCCCGCCTCCTTCTCGCCCCTCCCCCCTCCTCCCCTCTGGTTGGAAAGTTTCTAGAATCTCTTCCCAGCGGCCTTTGCGGTTCCAACATGGCGGAGCTGACGGTGGAGGTTCGCGGCTCTAACGGGGCTTTCTACAAGGTACTGACCGTTTTGCCACTTTGTCGAGTGTTCTGGGTGCTGGAGCGCGTTTGAGGGAGGGTTGGTGGTCCCAGAGAGTGAGGTTTGGGGTCGGAAAGGCAGCCAGGCCAAAGCTCGAGGCCGCTGGATTCCTTGCTTCTCCCCCCTCCACCCGCGGTTTAACGGTCTCGGGGGCCGGGGCTCCGTTATGTTTTGAAACAACACGTCGGACACCTCTTGCATTTTCCTAGTTATGAACCCTCTTGGTTGCTAGTGCGGTTCTTGGCGGGCCGGTGGGAAGCAACTGAGTGGCTGCTGGGCGGCGGGAGCTCCTTCGGAGCAGGCCCGAGCTCTGGGAGGTGGGGGAGTCGTGAAAGGAGGCGGTGGGATTGTGTGGTCTCACCCGCTCCCCCGCCCCTCGAACTGGGCCGGGCGGGAGCTCCTCAGCCCGCTCCTCCGACCCCTCCCCACCCCTTGGGGCGGGTGTATCGCGGAATCTTTGGAATTCACCCTTGTATTTGAGTTTTGGGCCAACAAATCTTTAGTGTCTGAGGAGAATGGGGGTACCGGATTGAGGGTTAGGATCAAATACAGAAAAGCAGAAAACCTTGAATTGTGGCGGGTTGGAATATTTTTGCGGCCTGGGAAATTGGGCGGCGCCTTAGCCCCTCTATTACGGAAGAAAAGGAGAGTTGTGAGCTTTAAAGTAAGATTTAAAATGCGAAATGGATCAGGGAGATAGGTGGAGAGGTGACTAATTTCTTTATATCACTGCCCCTGTTTTTGGAGGGAGGTTTTGTTTTGTTTTGTTTTTTCTCCCACGAGGTTTTTTGTTTGTTTGCTTGGGAGGAAGGACATCCATTACTATGGAATCGGGGCTGAAAAACGTAAGAGGAATAGAGTAGAGGAATTTGGTGGGGCATTCAGCGTTCACATATCTGAAAATGAAATCCTAATAGTTTATTTTTTGCCACTATAGCGTTCTTTTCTCCTTATTTTCCCGAAATACGCCAGGTTGTTAGAAGATCAATACAGAATCTCCCCAGCTGTTGTCTGTCAGTCAATCTCACTAAGCCAGCATCTCAAATGTTTGAGAGTCTTGGCTATTTTTATGAAGGGCCTTCTTCTAATACATGAGTATTGTGCGTATGCAAAGTGAATTCTCACAGGTTTTCATTTCAGCGTACCTTTTATCCTATGGGTTTTTATTTTATTTGGCCACGATTTTCTATTTTCAGCATTTTGATTTTCTTTTCTTAGTTTACTGATTAGCTCTGTGGATTTGGTTTAACTGTCACGTGGTACCAGCATAATGGGGAATCACAGCGTATAAAGGATCCCCCTAAGCTTTTTGCAAGTTTAAATCTCCTTAGGTGGTAAACTTAAAGTAGGAACAGTGCCTGTTGGAAATGAGACTTTATGTTAATGCGTGAGTAGTTAACATTGACGTTCTCGGTTTAAGACTTGATGTCAGACCAATGACCTAGGTGAAATTTGAGTACATAGTTAATTGACTTTTGTTGTTATTGAAACCTGGTGGTTGCTTTCCCTGGACTACTGCAGATACAGTTCGCTGGGTAAGACGGCGAAAAGAATAGACTTATCTATGTTTTTCCTATCAATTGTAGATAAGTCGTTTTGCATCACCCCCCACCCCTTTCCCGAAAAGTTTTAAATTCTCACTATTTGGCCCTGTAGTTCTTGTATAAGGGAGGTATGCATTTTTTCTTGCATATTGGAAAAAATAAAGTGATTATTTTGCTTTATTTCATGGTTCTGCATCATGCATGTGGTAGACAACTATTTTTAGCAAAGTATATTTGTCAATAGCCTGCTATGCAAGATATTTTTTCCTTTTTTTAATAAGGTGAAGGTAATTTTAGTAAAGATTGTTTGCAGTCTTACTTTGGTTTCTCACGGTATTTTTTTTTTCCAGTCAATTCACAATGAATCAAATGTCCCCATTTTGGAACTCTGAAGTATTTATAATTGATCTCTATACATATCTACAATCTACTGCTTGTTTCTACTTAGACTTTGACTCCATTACTCATTTTGCCTCACAAAGTGAGTTGGTACTTTGACAAAGGTTGGAAAGGACACTAGCCACCTGTGTGTGCACTGAAATCATGTACGCTTGAACATTTGGAATTTTATGTCCAGCCATAATCCACTTGCATATGCACTTTGTGGAAACTGTGGTCTTCAGAACTCTGGAAGAATGAGAATGGCGGAGTGGAAAAGAGTCCTGGATTTGAAGTAAACAGATGAGAATTCTAGGTCTGTACTTCACCTTACCATTATCTAACAATGGACCCCTGAACAAATCTCTCTGTCTAACATGAGGGGCTTGAAGTAGTTCTGTGATCCCCAGTATATTTTTATCCTATTAAACTGCTGACTTGAAAACCATTGGCTTATTGCACAGAAGTTTATTGCTTTTTATTCATTAGAATGTAAAAGTTAATGTTAATTTACATACAGTAAAATAAGCCTTTTTTGGTGTACGGTTATGAATCTTGATAAATGCTGACAATTATCAAGATTAACTGTCACTTTAACTGTGGTGGTGTCAGCATTTATCAAGATTCATAGCCCCCAAATTTCCGTCATGCCCTTTTCAGTCAACCATTCCTCAACCCCAGCTTCTAGAGTGTTTTCTGTCCCCATAGTTTTTCTTATTCAGAACGTTACGTATATAGAATCGTACACTATATTGTGTAGTGTTTTGAGTCCGGCTTCCATTTAGCGTAGAAGCAATTTAATTTTAATTAGTTTTTTTCCAATTTAGAAGATAATACATGGTCACTGAGGTAATTTTGGAACTCAGCAAAAACTAGAAGTTGCCTTGAGATGAGAGCTGTTAACATTTTAGTGTATTTCTTTGGTTTTTTTTGGTGGTTTTTCAATGTACAGGTGATCTGAATTTCCCTTTTTTCCCCTCCTCTTACCCCGTATAGGCAGAAGACACACATTTGGCCGTAAGTGTGAATTGCCATTGATGAGTTTCAAAGTCAGTTATCATGCCTTGAGGCAGTACTCTGTAGACTTTGATTAAAGTTTTTGTAGTAGAACTGAAACTTCATTTCACAAATTAATTGGAACCAGTGAAACGCTGAAGATCTGAATATTTTACCTAAAATTAGGGTAGCCTTTAAAAAATAGTATGTACACAAATGGTGGCATGCTAAATACATTGTTCTGCATTTAACAGTGGCTCTATAGTTAGAGATATTAGAAACTTGATTTGTGCATGTTCGTAGCCCTATAAATCTGCGGGGATGAGAGAGAATGGGAAGATGTTAATTAAGCATTTGTTGGTGGGCTATGCTGTTATATAAAATAACATTATAGGCTTTGTACTTTTGTACTTCTCATACCTAAAGTAGCATCTTAGGTTTTATACTACTGGACATTTAAGGTGTCTTGAAAAAGAAAGTTTTAATGAGGTAGAATGTATATTCTATAAAACAACCTTTTTTAAGTGTACAGTTGAATGACAGTGTATTTACAGAGTTGTGTAACCACCGCCACAGTCTTCCTTCAGAACGTTCCATTACCCCACAGAAACCTCCGGCTCATTTGCATCATTAAAGTGCTTTTTAACTGATGTATAAATATATATTAGTCTTTGTAATAGCATTGCAATTTGTATGGCCTTGGGCTGAGTATAATTTCATTTTATTTTTATTTTTTGAGACAGAATCTTGCTCTTTTGCCCGGGTGGGAGCACAGTGGTGGGAGCGCAGTGGTGCGATCTCGGCTCACTGCAACCTCCACCTCCCAGGTTCAAGTGATTCTCCTGCCTCAGCCTCCCAGGTAGCTGGGACAACAGGCATGTGCTAACATGGCCGGCTAATTTTTGTATTTTTAGTAGAGACGGGGTTTTACTGTGTAGGCCAGGCTGGCCTCGAACTCCTGACGTCAAATGATCGCCCTCCTCGGCCTCCCAAAGTGCTGGGATTACAGGTGTGAGCCACCACGCCCGACCATGAGTATAATTTTAAATAGAAGTTGGAAGTAAGTCACTCAGTTTCTGGCTCATAGGAAAGTTTCCATGATGTTCGAAGGGAACCTGTAAGCTCTGAGATTTCAGTCACTTTCTGCAGAAGGTAGAGTTACATTTTTTTGTTTTCTTGAGACGGAGTCTTGCTCTGTCACCAGGCTGGAGTGCAGTGGTGCAATCTTGGCTGGCTGCAACCTCTGACTCAGTGGTTCAAGCGATTCTCCTGCCTCAGCCTCCTGAGTAGCTGGTATTTCAGGGACGCACCACCACGCCCAGCTAATTTTTTGTATTTTTAGTAGAGACGGAGTTTCACCATGTTGGCCAGGATGTTCTCGATCTCCAGGATGGCCTCCATCTGTCCGCCTCGGCGTCCCAAGGTGCTGGGAATACAGGCGTGAGCCACCGCGCCTGGCCAGAGTTAATTACTTTTAGAGCTGTCTGCTTCCACCGTGTAACTGTCTACAAAACAAATCTCAAAGTACTATATTTCTATAATTCCCTGTTTAGCTTGATTTAATATTAAGTGGAATTTGAGCGTAATCTAAATTATGCATAGATATATTAATAATGATGACCAATAGAATTATAGTAAAAAGTTGCGTTCAGAGGGTATGCTGACTTTTCAAGGTTAGTACAGAATCTTGTTAGTTGGTTTCATTGTGGAGATTTGTAATTGAAAAAACGATAATTGTCTTAATATTAGGCCACCCTGTTAATTTAAAAATACATAGTTCCAGATAATTTAAAATGGTTGTTTTGCATATTTAAAAAGATAATTTTCATTAAAATGCTAAGTAATGAAGATTTAACTGGATGTCAAAATAAATGATCACAACAGCTTTTATTTTCATTCACAGATAGTTGCAAAACGTGGAGGGGAAGGAAGGCTGGGATTTTCTACTCTATCTTGCTGATGGTGATCACAGTTATTAAAAAGTCAACTTAGGCCGGGCGCCGTGGCTCATGCCTGTAATCCCAGCACTTTGTGGGGCTGAGGTGCGTGGATCACGAGGTCAGGAGTTCGAGACCAGCCTGGCCAACATAGAGAAACCCCGTCTCTACTAAAAATACAAAAATTAGCCAGGTGTGGTGGCACGCGCCTGTAGTCCCAGCTACTTGGGAAGCTGAGGTGGGAGAATCGCTTGAACCGGGGAGGCAGAGGTTGCAGTGAGCCGAGATCATGCCATTGCACTCCAGCCTGGGTGACAGAGTGAGACTCTGTCTCCAAAAAAAAAAAAAAAAAAAAAAGTCAATTTAAATGCATATATTTCTTGTAAAGTTTTGTGTTTTGTATTAGAAGAGCAACACATAATTACGAAAAATATGAAAGCAGAAAAGCACATCTTACCTATCTAGAGAGATACTGTCAAGGCCCTGGCTTTAAATACTTCCAGAAAACATTATTTTTCCGTATTTTTACTTTTATGTACCTGTTATTTTCTATGTCAGATATTTGTGTGCCTTCTGTAAGATAATAGTTTAAGATGAGAGCCTGTTCTTTACTAGATTATGTATTAAGCTTCTATATGTATTTCCTGATTTTCTTTTCCCAAGAACTCTGTGAGGTTGGTTTTATTTTTTTAATTTTTATTTTTTAGTAGAGATGGGGTCTTGCTATTTAGATCAGGCTGGTCTCAAACTCCTGGTCTCAAGCAATACTCCCATCTGGGCCTCCCAGAGTGCTGGGATTACAGGCATGAACCACTGAGTCTGGCCAGCATTAGGGATTTTTCAAAGTAACTTTTAGGATAGTGAGCTTACATTTTCATTAGGAGGAAAAGGGCAGATACTTTGCTGGATTATCACTCTGGATAAGTTCTCTATCACAGTGTTTAAGGTTGTCAAATTAGCTTTTTTGTAGTGGGAAGAGCAATATGCATTCATTCCATGATTGACCCCTAATTCTTGTAATAGTTTTTAACTGGCAGGATCATCCAGGTAAACACCTTGGTTTTTTCATATGCAGTATGAAGCAGTTGTATTTCCTTTAACCTATTTATAAGTTGTGAAATCTTTGCTAGTTTCTGTTGATGGCAGTCCCATCTACCTCTAGCAACTGTAACTAATTTTCATTGAGTACCCAGACTACTTACCAGACTTTGTAGGTGCCTTACTCGAATTTCCCATTTAATCCTTTCAACCACAGTGAAGTAGATAACTCCACTATTTGAGAATACTGAGGCTAAGTGAATCCAGGTCTGTAAAGTTAGATGCTGATTCAAGATTCAGACTCTAAAGTTTGACACCACAGAACCAATTTCTTTAACCATTATGGTGCAATATTTTTTGAAGTACAAATGTTTTGCCACATTATTACTAATTTTGAATTGTTACTAATATGAGGAGAATTATGAGGAATAAATTGGGAGGTTCCCAGAGAAATGATTTGAGCTATGCCTTTGCTTTAGACAAATCTGCTTTCTAATATAGTAGCCACCAGCCATGGAGCTGAAATGTACTAGTCTGAATTGAGACATGCTTTAAATGTAAAATACAAATTGGGTTTCAAAGCCTTAGAATTAAAAAAAAATGTGAAACACCTAAATTTTATTTTTTTTTTATTTTTGTTTTTTTTTTTTTTGAGCCAGAGTCTTGCTCTGTTGCCCAGGCTGGAGTGCAGTGGCACTATCTCGGGTCATTGCAACTTCCGCCTCCTGGGTTCACGTGATTCTCATGCCTGAGCCACCCGAGTAGCTGGGATTATAGCTGTGTGCCTCCACGCCCAGGCAATTTTTGTATTTTTAGTAGAGACAGGGTTTCACCATGTTGGCCGGCTGGTTTCGAACTCCTAACCTCAAATGTTCCACCTGGCTCAGCCTCCCAAAGTGCTGGGATTACAGGCGTGAGCCACTGCGCCGGGCCAATAATTTTTTACATTGATTACATGTTGGATAATATTTTAGGTATATTAGGTTAAATAATATTGAAATTAATATTATCTATTTCTTTTCATGCATTTTGTTTTATTTTGAGATGGAGTCTTGCTCTGTTGCCCAGACTGGAGTGCAGTGGCGCAATCTCAGCTCACTGCAACCTCTGCCTCCCGGGTTCAAGCAATTCTCCCGTCTCAGCCTCCTGAATAGCTGGGACTAAAGGTGCCAGCCACCACGCCCGGCTGATTTTTGTATTAGAGATGGGGTTTCACCATATTGGCCAGGCTGGTCCCAAACTGCTGACCTTATGATCTTCCTGCCTCAGCCTCCCAAAGTGCTGGGATTACAGGCATGAGCCACTACCTCCTTCTTTTAATCAAGATAATTTATGCTATCAGTGTATTTAACTTGCCTGCCATTCTCTATCTTCAGCGTTTTTTGCTGTCTATTTTGGGAAGATGAACAGAGGTCTCCATTAGTAAAATAGCTGATGAAGTTTATTATTGTTGGCAAAGGGATGCGCTCCCGTGTTGAGATTTCTTCAGATCAGGAGCCTCAGAGGCTCCTGAATTCCTTTCTTAATCTACATAATTAATCATAGGTAGCTGTTTTTGGTTCCCTTTTCATGTAACCTTTTTGTTTTTACAGTTTTTCAGGTTATTTTCAAGTCTTAAATTTTGTTGATATATGTACTTAGTTCATAGTAAGCCCTCAGTGTATATTTGTTGAATGATGTGTAATCTTAGTAACTGCTAACTTCATCATTTCTGATTTTGGTTCAAACTGAATTTAAATGATTTTTTTAAAGAAGTTATGTTTTGATCTTGGTCAAGTTCAGATATTGTCACAAAACTTTATGCATGCATAGAGGGAACTGTATAGAACTTAAACTCTGCAACGAGAAAGTCAGAATAGTTTTGTTCTTTTTTTTTTTTTTTTTTGAGTCTAGCTCTGTTGCCCAGGTTGGAGTGCAGTGGCACAATCTTGGCTCACTGCAACCTCTGCCTCTTAGGTTCAGGCGATTCTTGTGCCTCAGTAATTATTGTAGCTGAGATTACAGCCATGCACCACCACGCCCGGCTAATTTTGTATTTTTAGTAGAGATGGCGATTTGCCGTGTTGACTAGGCTGACCTTGAGCTCCTGATCTCAGGTGATCTGCCTGCCTCAGCCTCCCAAAGTGCTAGGATTACAGGTGTGAGCCACCATGCCCGGCCCAGAATAGTTTTGGGTGGCCATTTGGAACTGTTAACTTATTCCATTTCAAAGAGAACTGTTAGATAATACATACAAATGGGTGAACCTAACAAGCCAAGAACATTACTGGTATGTAAACAGTAGTAGTAGACACTTGTGTATTCTTAAAGAAATCTTCACATCCTCATTGTCCTTTTTCTTTTTTCAAACTCAGAACAGTTACATGCTCAATACTAATGAATGCTGAATGCTTGCCTTGAATAATTTTTTTTTCTTATTAGAGCTTACTCCATAATTGGCTGGGCGTGCTGGCTCTTGACTGTAATCCCAGCACTTTGGGAGGCTGAGGCGGGTGGATCACTTGAGGGCAGGAGTTCGAGACCAGCCCGGCCAACATGGTGAAACCATCTCCACTAAAAACACAAAAATTAGCAGGGCATGGTGGCTGGTGCCTGTAATCCCAGCTATTCTGGAGGCTGAGGCAGGAGAATCCCTTGAACCCAGGGTGGGGGTGTGTGTGGAGGTTGCAGTGAGCCAAGATCACGCCACTGCACTCCAGCCTGGGCAACAGAAACTCCATCTAAAAAAAAAAAAAAAAACTTGTAATAATTATTGTAATGTATAATGTAATTGGTAAATTTGCAGACTTTTTGAATTTGTGGAACAAGTATCTAGTGATTTGGAATAATTTTACTTTGTAGATTTAGTTGCGTAGATCTTTTTAAAAAGTATATTGTTTGAAGTTAAGACATTTTTTTGATTGCAGTAGCAGCCTTGACTATTTGGTACTTGTTGGAATCAAATTACAACTTAGATCTTTTAGTTGTGGTAAGCATCTTATAAGTTTATATCTTATAAATTTGAGATCCCTAGAGATGGAAAAATTAGAAGTGGGGAGTGGTGATGCACATACGTGCTGTATGGAAAACGTGTTGGCTGACAATAAGATATATTCTAATTCTTAAAAGTATACGTTTACATAGACACGTGTATAATTTTACACACACGTAAGTATGATATAAAAACTTAGTCTGTTGTATTTTTTTTTCCCCTGGTTGCTCTTCACCACCTGGGTCTCTCACCTCCGCCTCCATATTAGGTAACCTTTGTTTGTAGCACATATACGTGGTTCCATATATTTCACTATGCTCGTAGAATTGTATATAGGTACGCATTCAGTTACAAGTATAGGGTTTTTCAGTATTACTGTATAAAAATAGGATCATCCACATCTTAACTATTTTCATGTGGAGTATGATTTATTTTTTAAGGTTATATAATCATAACAATGTATTAAATTCAGCCATTCCCCAGTTAATAGACATACACTTTGTTTTCAGTTTTTTGTCGCTCCACATAACTATTTCCATTGGATAGATATCAAAGAATGGGATAGCTTGGTGAAAGGGAACCTTTAAAAAAACAAAAAACTGTAATAAATGTTGAAAGATTGCTTTCCAAAAAGGCTTCTGATGCTTCCTGTGTTCTCCATCAATAATAAATGGCAGCTTTTTCTTTTTATCTGGGCCAGAAGTTGGCTTTATGATCTTTAATTTTTGCCAGTCTGTTGGATGTAAAGGGATATCTCATTGGAACTTGATCCCAGTTGTGAATTTTAATGTTGTTTGCCATTTGAACTTGTTCTTTTAAGACTTGCCTTTGTTTGCCATTTGATTTTGTTTTTCTAAGAATTGCCTGTCTTTTGCCCATTTTTTTGTTGGGGTGTCCTTTGTCAGTTTTGAAAATCTTTCTGTATTATGGATATTAAGCCTCTGACCTGATGTAAGAGTGTCCACTCTCCCACCTATTTATTTAGGTTATTAATTTTGAGATAGGATCTCAAAATAAATAATACTGTGTCACCCAGGTTGCAGTGCAGTGATAGGATCATGGCTCATTGCAGTCTTGACCTTCCAGGTTCAAGCGATCCTCCTGCCTCAGCCTCTGGAGTATCTGAGACTACAGACATGTGCCACCATGCCCAGCTAATTTAAAAAAATTTTCTGTAGAGATAGGTCTTGTTATGTTGCCCAGGCTGGCCTCCAACTCCTGGACTCAAGTGATCTTCCTGCCTCGGCCTCCCAAAGTGCTGGGATTACAGGTGTGAGCCACACTGTGCCCTGCCTCCCCATCCTTTTAACTTCTTTTCTTATATTGCTGGTCATAGTGAGATTTTAGTTTTTAACATAATTTTTTTTTTCCATTAAGGCTTCTGGGTTTCCAGTCCTGGTTAAGACAGTCTGTGCCCAGATTATACATACAATTTCTTAGGTTACTTTGGAGTTTTATTTTTACATTTAAATAGTACGTTAATATTTTTGCATATTTGTATGTATAGGCAGTTATGCTAGTGCCATGTATTAATCATCTCTGTTTGAAAGTTGTTTTTCTTGCATGTGTGTCTCTCCTTAGCTGTATCTCCCTCACTTCTAGGATTGGGATGAGAGGTTGATGCTCAGCATCCTGGAGGGCTGGATCCCATTCCAGATTGATAGACCCTCCTGAGAATTACTCCAAAGAGTCTGGGGTGTCCTGGGAATACCATACAGAGATCTCGAGAAGGGAACATTGTGATTTGCTTTTTGGCAAATAAGGCCAGTTAGGGATCTTATTTTCCTTACATTACTGTCTTGGATCCTCTCTTGTTATACACAGTAAGTAGTGGGATCTGAGACCTTACAGTGAAACCACTGTATTGTAGTGCCTTCATTTAGTGAGGCTTTTTTTTTTCCTTGCCCTGATAAGGAGCCCTTTATATAATCTGTTAACTATGTAGACAGTCCAGAAACTTTATTATGAATCTTTTAAATTACTTTACTTATCATAAAAGCTCCAGGAAGATTTACCATGGTAGTTGTGGGGAGGGAGTAGCTTTAAGTACTCCTAGCACATCTTTGAGTGTCAGGGAGTACCCCAGTTTAAGAATCTTCACCTCCTTTATTTTGCAAATAGAGAAATTGTTGTTTCAGGAGACCGGTCTGTTGATCTGTCTCCCTATGTTGCCCAGGCTGGCTGGCCTCGAACTACTAGGCTCAAGTGATCTTCCCCGCTCAGTCTCCTGAGTGGGTTGGGATTACAGACCCTCAGGCATCCTTCTTGAGAACTTTAAAGTTGCCTAGATAACGATGATCACCCAGATCTGGGAGACAAGTCAGACTTTTGCAGCTTGAGTTTCTGTTTTTTTTTGAGACAGAGTCTTGCTCTGTCGCCCAGGCTGGAGTGCAGTGGCGTGGTCTTGGCCCACTGAAACCTCTGCCTCTCGGGTTCAAGTGATTCTCCTCCCTCAGGCTCCCAGGTAGCTGGGACTTCAGGTGTGTACCACCATGCCGAGCTAATTTTTGCATTTTTAGTAGAGATAGGGTTTCGCCATGTTGGCCTCGAACTCCTGACCTCAGGTGATCTGCCTGCCTCGACCTCCCAAAGTGCTGGGATTACAGGTGTGAGCTGTCGTGCCCAGCCTTCAGCCCGAGTTTCTTATCTGAACTATAAAGCACAGAAACACAGTTTCTCAGTTCTGGTGATGGCACATAGGTCGTAGTACCATTCTAGATATATGTGAGAGAAGTTAATTCATTACACACAGCGGATGCCTTATTGCATCGGGCTGTATTCTCCTAGAATCCTGGTTAAAAAAGATTGTTTGCTGTGTTCAGTTTTCTCTTTCATTTTGAAAATCCTGTTAAATGGATCATGCTGTGTAGGGTGCAGAGCAGGACAACAGATGAGATTCTGACTGTGGACGTGTTGATTTTAGGTGTCAGTAAACTATGGGTGGAGATGTCTGAATAGTTGGAAGTTGGGTTTAGAATCAACAGAATAGATTGTTTTTCCATATATAGATTTGGGAAATTAGTGGAAGATCAACCAATTTTTGTATTTTTAGTAGAGACGGGGTTTCACCATGTTGGCCAGGTTGGTCTCAAACTCCTGACCTCAGGTGATCCACCTGCCTCGGCCTCCCAAATTGTTGGGATTACAGGCGTGAGCCACCGTGCCTGGCCTCAATGCAATTTCATTATACCTAAAACAGCATCAGTTGTCAGAGGCACTGTACCATGAAGAAAGAAGAAATGTGCCAATTAATCTGAACAATGGTTGTCTTTATTTTTTAATATTCTTATGTAGTTATTGAAAAATATCCTAACAGTCCCATACATAAAATGGGAAGTTCAAGCAAAAGAAATTCATTAAAACATATTCATATTCAGATACCTGTGTTTCTTCTCAAAATATCTTCCTCAGTGCCATGGAGAGTATTGATGTTGTAAACCTACTTTAAAAGGGCTCTCCTGGCCGGGCGCGATGGCTCACGCCTGTAATCCCAGCACTTTGGGGGCTGAGGTGGGTGGATCACGAGGTCAGGAGTTCGAGACCAGCCTGGCTAATATGGTGAAACCCTGTCTCTACTACAAATAAAAAAGTTAGCCGGGCATGGTGGCACGTGCCTCTAGTCCCAGCTACTCGGAAGGCTAAGGCAGAAGAATCGCTTGAACTGGGAGGTGGAGGTTACAGTGAGCTGATATCAGGCCATTGCACTCCGGCCTGGGCAACAGAGCGAGACTCCATCTCAAAAAAAAAAAAAAAGTACATTCCTCTGTTGTCTCCAGGATTTTCTTCCAGTAATTTTTACTCATTTTGTGAGCTTTGATCCTGGTGCTTTCTAGATTTTATCAGAAGGTGTTAACAAACAAACATTTTGATAAGAAACCGCGGTCATTCCTAAAGTGGTTCTTCGTTGGTTTGCTGACTGAAATGCTCAGGGGTTACCATCAGGTGCCACAGAAAATCGCAAGCAAACCAAGTTTGAGTACTAAAGAGTGACATTTATGTCCTGACTGACATGTGGCTATCAGCTATTCCAAGATGCCATCCATTGTAAGAAGCATCCTGATTTCAGAGATGTTAAATCATTCAAATTGATGGGCTGGAAAGGTAGACTGGGGCCAGAGTATGAATCAATAAATAAACTGATAATTGATCAAGGGATAAAAAGTGATAATAAAATCCACTGTGGCAGTTCTTGGGGAAGAAAAAACCCGAGGTACTGAATTTTGCATGAATTATGTTAGTACCTTTTTCTCATGGGCTATATATTTTGTAATCAAATTTATCCACATCAGTAATATTTAACTGATGTAGTTGGGGTAAATGGAGAGTTAACCTAGTCAGAGGAAAGACCCTTCACTATCTAACAAACAGCCCAGTGTCTCTAATAAAGAAGGATTTATTTTAATCAGTTTATCTTTAGAAATACAGTAAGTACTTTACCACAAGTTTGCATCAGGAATTAAGCCATGAACTGCACTTTTTTCTTTTTTTAACACATTTGAGAAGGCATAAAAAAAGTAATTTCTGACTGTTGTGCCAAATCTAGAGAGAAAAATAAAATGTTTAAATTTCATGCCAGCGATTCATGAGAAGAGAATTAAAAAGAAAAACAGTAGTCTTAAAGCTGGAGTGACAAACTATGTAAGAATACTTGATCAGGTTTGAGGGAAGCAGTAATGTGCGTCTGATACTTCCTTTTGCTTCCTTAAGAGAATAAATGTGAACTAGAGGTATGATTCCTGACAGGTCTCCTGCTTTACCATGAAACTTTTAATAGGTTGGAATCTTGAGACTGGAGTCATTAAAAAGTTGGGTTAAGCCAAGGGTAGTTCCTAATCTCTATTTAGGGGGATTGTACTGTATATATATATATATATATATATATATATTTTTTTTTCTGGCCTTTTGTTGGCATTAAAAAAGAAAAAAGGCAGTTTGTTTTGCAATCAGAAAACTCTTCTAAGAAGAATTTTGAAATATGAGAGTTACACTTTTAGGGTGTAAATCTTCGATTTTTTGGTTCTGGACTTGCATTTTAAAACTTCGGATTCAGGCTGTGCTGTTTCTGATTACATTTGGTAGTCTGCCAAATACTAAGGTTTTAAAGTTTCTGTTTACTCCTTTATAAAGTTTGTTTACTCCTTTATAAGGAATGTAAATTTACTGTTGTAATGAATTGAAATGGTAGGAAGGCATCAGTGGGTCTTAAAAAAAATCTAAAGTAACAGATGAATTAGTAATCATGGTTACTTTCCAGTCAAAGGAATTTTTCTAGACTAGGATGGTATATTCTTAATGGGTTTATTAGGAATGTTCCTGAAGGGACATCTGTACAGATTTCTAAGCCACAACTCAATCAAGATACCTGATCTATTGATCAGTATTTCAAACATTAAAATTTTCTTTCAGCTTGAATCCAGGTTTTGGACAAGATAATTGCCTTACCAGTTGTGAGTTAGTTTTTGATACTTTGGGAACCTTGCCTTAAATATCTTTTTATGATAGGTGCCTTATTTCCTCTGATTAACATTACTACCAGACTCAATCTTTTAGAGTTTAAAACTATATGAATTGGCAAAAGTATTTCATCATTTGGTTCGTAGTGATTTAGTGAAAAGAGCTCAAGACAGATGAGATTTTAAATTTGTACTTTTAACCTAGGGAGTGAAACTTTGGGGCTATATAAGATGTGTATTGTTTCAACTTTCCTTCTTTAAAATGAGTGCTCTTATAAAATGAGTGGTTTATAAATGATATTTTGTCTGCCCTCATACAGTGTCATTAGGTCACTGTTCCACAGCCAGGGTCCATAATACATCTGTTCAGATTTTTTGCTATATTTGTAATATTAATCTTTTAACTCCTGAAATATATTCATACCATGTTTCTTTCTGTTTAGCCTATAGGATTTTTTTTCCACAACGGCTCCTGTCAAGTTGAGAAACTTTTTGTTTTTCAGCTATATTCTGTAATTTCAAAAATATATTCATAAAGTAAGCAGATATCCTGTGTACTTTTTTCCCCCACAGGCCATTTAAGCACCCGTCTAAAAAAAAATGAGTAGATCTTCATAGTAAGGTAGGATCTACAAGACACAAACTGAAGAGAAAAGCGAAGTTCAGAACAAATTGTAGCAAATGTTTAACAATTTAAAGGAGATTTGTATATTATTAAAATTACATTTTTTCCTGTGAATTACTTGTTCACCTAGTTCATATCCATCGATACCTTTTCCATCAGCTTGTTCTTACTCACCTAAGAATATTTGAATTGGGGATTTAACCCTGTTGTATGCTGTTTCACCCTCTGCCCCCTTTTCTCCTTTGTATGTGATGCTTTTATATTTTAGCTTCTGGGTAGTATACTTTTATCAAACTTTGTGGCTTTTGGGTTTTGCTTTTTTGGTTAGAAAGGCCTTCCTTACTGCAAGTTATAGATAATTGGCTCCTGATTTCTCCTGGAATTGTTACTGATTTTTTTTTGAAGTTTGAATGTTTTATCTATTGATTTTTTTTTTTTTCTGATGAAGACATCCATTTCTGTTTTCCCCAAGAATTATTTAAATGTTCCAATACCATTTTAAAAAGAGTCCATTCCTTCCCCATTTGTAAATTCCTAAACGACTTTAGGCCTACTTTTGGAATCTGTTCTGTTCCTTTAAAATATCTTTTCCATCTTCATTATTGTAGTTTTAAAATAATCTTTAAGGTTTGGTAAGTATAGAGTGTTATTGTTCCCTCCCATCCCAGCCCCCCCACCCCATTTTAGAAGTTTCCTTTTTTAAAATTTTTTGAGATAGGCTTATTTTATTAGGTCCCCCCACCCCAAACACATACACACTGTTAATATTTCAATGGGATGCCATTGAAATTATAGGTTAATTTTAGGGGCATATTGAAATTTTTATAATATCAAGGTGTCTAAGAACATGATGGTGTTTTACATTTTCCTAAATTTTGTATTTATATTTATTAGAGCTTCAGACATTTTTTGTACATAGCTTTTGTGCATATGTCTGTTGTTGAGGACACTTGTAGGATTTATTTTTTGGTTGTTGCTGTAAGTAGAATTTTTTTGTATAAAATTTTTATTTTACAGCTGCCTGTTGTTTACATGTAGAAGGCTAATGGATTGTTAGTTAACTTGCTGCTTAAGTGGATCTTTGACTAGAACCTTTTTTTAAAAAATTGTTTTATACTAGATTGCTTTTGAAATTAGTTCTTCGGATAGTGCTTTTTCACTGCTCAAGGATTCCTTCTACTCCTTCCATCCCTACTTTCATTTTACACTTAATTTATGGCATTTTTTGTTTGTTTTTTTTTAGACAGAGTTTCACTCTTGTTGCCTAGGCTGGAGTGCAATGCGCTTTCTCGGCTCACTGCAGCCTCCACCTCCTGGGATCAAGTGATTCTCCTGCCTCAGCCTCCCAAGTAGCTGGGATTATAGTCATGCGCCACCACACCCTGCTAATGTTGTATTTTTAGTAGAGACGGGGTTTCTCCGTTTTGGTCAGGCTGGTCTTGAACTTTGCCTGCCTTGGCCTCCCAAAGTGCTGGGATTACAGGCGTGAGCCACCGCGCCCGGCCTAATTTATGGCATTTTTAGTTTTTTATTACATGATGCCTGTTTGTTTTGTCAGAGTTATGTGGGCATTTTAAGATATTTTTTTTTCCGCCTATCCATAGCAAGCTGTGAACATTTTAAGATTTTGAATACACTTCAGATGTGTTATACTGCCTGGTTATTAATGATTATCTTAAATTATAGTTAAGAGTTTCAAATGTAAACATTATTGGACTGTGCGAGTGAACAAGACAAGTGACCATTTAATAAGGATGCCTTGAAATCTTCTGTGTTTGCATATGTATGGGAAGAAGAAAAAGACATGTCAAAGGCTTTGTTCTGAGAAATATGGGACCTGAGCCAGGTGGGTGTGAATAGGAAGAGAGACAGTCGAAATCCCCAAAGATTGGATGGAGACTTAAAGGCATAAAGCCCCCTGCCATGTGCAGACAAATGTGGCTGTTATGGTGTCTCCTATCGGATTTTGGCGAAGACCCAGCCCTGTCAATTTGGGTCTCTTGAGCAGGCGGGGAGACCTACCATCATTCTGGTGGCTTGGGAATACAAAAATACATTTAAAAGTATTGACTGTGTCCTGTGTCAAGTGGACTAAATTTTAGAGAAATCTGGCCATTAGAAACACCTTTGTCTAGAATTTAGGACTTGGGGATTAGATTTTATGGAGTAGGATGTTAGAAATCGTTCACTACAGTCCAAATAGATTTTAAGGACTTGGTGTCAGGCCTTACTCTAGTAAATCTTATGGCAGAATGATACTAGCAATAAGAGTAGATGCTCAAGGGCCGGGGCGTGGTGGCTCACGCCTGTAATCCCAGCACTTTGGGAAGCCAAGGTGGGCGGATCACGAGGTCGGAGTTCGAGACCAGCCTGGCGGACATGGTGAAACCCAGTCTCTGCTAAATATACAAAAATTAGCTGGGCGTGGTGGCGTGTGCCTGTAATCCCAGCTACTTGGGAGGCTGAGGCAGGAGAAGTGCTTGAACCAGGGAGTTGGAGGTTGCGGCCAGCTGAGATTGCACCACTGCACTCCAGCCTGGCAACAGAGTGAGACTCCATCTCAAAAAAAAAAAAGAAAGTAGTTGTACAGAGCTGTGTTTTAAAGTTTGTGAAAAATGTGCACTCAAAGTTGATACTGATGTTTATGGTGGAAGCGTTTGTGGGAAAGGTGGAAGTGGTGATTTTTAGATAGAAAAAAGGTTTTTATTACAAAGGAGAGTGAGAGATTATTATAAAGGTGAGAAAGGAGTGAAAGTTCCTAGTGATTTAGAGTTCTGATTTGAACTAATCCACTATGAATTATACAGAGACTAGAAAGATTAATTTGTGAGACTTTTCAAACTTTGTGAGAGTTTGTTGAAGAACTAGAACACGTTAGTGGAGGTTGAAAATATGGCTGTCTTCTGATGGAAGAGATGCTTTACTAATATTCATAAACATGGAAATTCCCAGTTTCTGAAATTTGTTAAAAAATGGCAAGGGTATAATACAGTTATATTTGCTGGTAACATAACTGAATGTGCTGACCAAAGTGATTTTTGAAAGCGAATGTGGTCCAGGTGTGGTGGCTCATGCCTATAATCTCAGCACTTTGGGAGGCTGAGGCGAGTGGATCAGCTGAGGTCAGGAGTTCGAGACCAGCCTGGCCCACATGGCAAAACTCTGTCTCTACTAAAAATACAAAAAAATTAGCTGGGTGTGGTGGTGTAGTCCCAGCTACTGGGGAGGTTGAGGTAGGAGGATCGCTTGAGCCAGGGAGGTGGAGGTTGCTGTGAGCCCAGATAACACCACTGTACTCCAGCCTGGGCAACAGAGCGAGACTGCCTCAAAAAAAAAAAAAAAAAAAAAGACGTGAATGTGCCCTACTAGAAATAGAGAAACTGGCCAGAAAGTCATTATTATAGCATGGTCAGATAATCAGAGCCTGAACTACAGTGGCAACTCTTAATATTTAAATTTAGGGAGGATTAATTAATAAATATCTCCAGAATTGCAAGGCAGGAGCTACTATAGCAGTCTTTTTTGTTTTTTTCTTTGAGATGGAGTTTTGCTGTTGTCGCCCAGGCTGGAGTGTAGTGGTGTAGCCTCGGCTCACTGCAACCTCTGCCTCTTGGGTTCAAGCGATCCTCCTGCCTCGGCCTCCCGAGTAGCTGGGATTACAGGCAGCTGCTACCACATCTGGCTAATTTTTGCATTTTTAGAAGAGATGGAGTTTCACCATGTTGGCCAGGCTGGTCTCGAACTCCTGACCTCAGGTGATCTGCCTGCTCTGGCCTCCCAAAGTGCTGGCATTTCAGGCGTGAGTCACTGCACCGGGCCTACCATAGCAATCTTCAAGAGAAAGATATCCTGGGTTTTAGGCCTCAGTGAGGATGTTTGCATAGAAATGTCCCGTGGCACACAAATAAATGAGACAACAGGCAGTTGGAGCTGAAGAAGAGAACTGAGCCATTCCCACTGCCAGTTTATATTTTATAGTCTTAATTTGCTTAGAAAAATGTCTAACACAGAGTATGCCCTTAAAAATTAGTTGTTGTGGGTTTTTTTTTTTTTTTTTTTTGGAGATGGGGCCACTCTGTCACCCAGGCTGGAGTGCAGCAGCATGGTTATGGCTCACTGCAACCTCTGCCTCCCAGGCTCAAGTGATCCTCCCGCCTCAGCCTTCCAAGTAGCTGGGACCACAGACACGCCACCAGGCCTGGCTAATTTTTTTATATTTTTGGTAGAGATGGGATTCCACTGTCTTGCCTAGGATGGTCTCGAACTCTTGAGCTCAAGGTGTCCGCCTTTCTTGTTCTTCCAAAGTGCTGGGTGCCTGGGCTTGCTTTGTTTTTTATTACTTAAGTTACCCTTCTTCCATTTACTTTGTAAGTTTCAAAAAAAAAAAAAAACAACTTTTTTGTTGTTGTAAGTTGCCTTTTCCCTTTATTCTCTTCTTTCTTTTGGGTTTATTCCTTCAAATCTCTTTACTGTTAGTTAATGGACTTTTGGGAAGGAGTGAGATAAACAGATGTGTTCATTTTTGTCTTACTTTGACCAGGTACTATACATGTGTTTATATAGCTAGTGTGCCTTGGACATTATGGAGTCTAGTGTGATAAAGATGTTTTAGAAAAGTATTTCCTATGTACACCATGGTTGAAAGTGTGTGTAAGCATTTGACTAACATTCAGTAATTTGCAGTTCTGATTCATAGTAATATAAAGTCATTTAATGTTAATTGTAATTATATAAGTGCCAAGGACTGCTTGCCTATGGTTACACAGTGGTGGAATCAGGATTTCAGCAACAGTAATTCTACACCCAAGTCCTTTGCTCTTTCTTGAGTATGTCAGATCTTATGGTTTCTTTCAGCTGTATTAATCAAAGGAAGATAGAATAAGAAGGCTAATTTTAATAGTAATTTTAAGGCTGAAAAATGACCGCCAATTGTTATTGAGAATCTGTATTCATTCCAACATAATCGTGAACAGTGTACTCACTATAGCCCAATTTTCTTTTAAGGGAAGGGAAAGAGAAGTATGTAGGAAAAATAAGATTAAGTTAATGGCAAAGATAGTATTCAAAATGGAGTCATGCATTTTACTGAAGGTGAACTATAATGTTGATAACATTTATAACAAAATTGGGTTCTTACTTTGTGCCAGGTACTGTGCTAAACATTACTTCATTTACTTCTGATAAATTTTTCATTAGGTGGATGATACTGTAATTAATTTCATTAGATCAAAACTGTATTCAAGAATATACAAGTGATAGAGCTTGGGTATGAATCCTGGCAGCCAGTACTCCAGAGCTTGAACTCTTTGTCACAGTAGTAAATACTGAACTCTTAGTCACAATACTAAATAACTGCCTTGCTGAACTAATACCTGAGGTGTTCCAGGGATGTACATTTACTTTTGCTAATTCCCAGGTAGATGACACCGGGTGAAAAATGAGGTTCAGAGAGGTTAAGTAACTTAAAAGATCATGTGTCTCATAAATAGAATAGATGGAAATCAAACTCACATCTGCCTAATTCCAAACCTTGTGTTCTTTTAGTACTCCCTATTATCTTTGAACTAATACAACCTTTTAGAGTTACGAAGTGCTTTAATATCTATGCTTTTATAATGTTTTTGTGTCTTGCAGGGATTTATCAAAGATGTTCATGAAGACTCCCTTACAGTTGTTTTTGAAAATAAGTAAGTTATTTTTGTTGACAAAGGCCTTAATTTTAGAGATGGCAGTGCCAAACTTTTTGCTTTTGGGTGTTCCTACTGCCAGTGGAAAAATGATTTTGCTTTTAGGGAGTGGGGAGGTTTGGTTGTTTGATCATAAGTCTAGTTTTGATAATTCTTTATCTGTTTTTCTGTCCATAATTGTCACTTTTTTCATAACCCTCTTCGCCAGAACATGTATGGATATGAATCAGTTTTGCAGAAATAGATGGCACAAATTAGATGATAATATGCTTAATATTTAAAAGCCCAGAATTTTCAAATGAGGTTGTAGAAGGTCTTCCAGTTGACTACTGGTCATCAGAATAAGTATTAAGCCATTTTTAATTGCCTGAGGGGTATGCAGTCTAAAAATGGGAAAGACAGCATGCTGGGTTTGGTTAGGAAGGGCTATAAAAGAGCGCTGGGCTGCGTGCGGTGGCTCATGCCTGTAATCCCAGCACTTTGGGAGGCCGAGGCGGGCAGATCACTTGAGGTCAGGAGTGTGAGACAGCCTGGC
The DNA here is from genome assembly GCF_000001405.40 of Homo sapiens. Classification (NCBI taxonomy): domain Eukaryota; kingdom Metazoa; phylum Chordata; class Mammalia; order Primates; family Hominidae; genus Homo; species Homo sapiens. The sequence goes on from NC_000003.12 coordinate 180,933,922, forward strand.
CAACATGGTGAAACCCTGTCTCTACTAAAAAATACAAAAAAATTAGCTAGTCATGGTGGGGGGGCGCCTGTAATTCCAGCTACTTAGGAGACTGAGGCAGGAGAATTGTTTGAACCCAGGAGGTGGAGGTTGCAGTGAGCTGAGACGGCGCCATTGCACTCCAGCCTGGACGACAAGAGCAAAACTCCATCTCCAAGAGCACTGTTTAATTGATGGTCAGAAAAAAACTGTTCAGCTTCCACTTTTAAGCTGTTTCTGGAATTGCCTGAAAAGATCTTTGCCTAACAGCTGCTTCATGTAGAAACAAGTGTTGAGATGATTTCTATCTTTGAGCAGCTGCCATTTGGACAGTAATGGTGAAAAGAAAGCATCCCCAAATCTTTTACTTGTCAGCTGCTACTTTGCCCAGCCTTGGCAGATAGAAACTTGAGGGACATTTTATGTCATAGTATACTTCCCAGACATATAAATGACCTATGAGAAATTAGAGTAGGGAATAATTTTTTACTTTATAATTTCAGCTTTTAAAATACAACATGAAAAATGTCAGTTAACTGCTAAATTGGTTTAATACATTCGTATTTGCTACAGAGTTAAAAGTAAGCTTTTTCTAGGTTCTAATTATAATGTATATATCCACTGTAGGAAAGATAAATGGAACGTGAGAAAATGAAATCTTTTGTAATTCAGCTATTCAAAATAATTGCTGATAATTTTCTGTATTTCTGTGAACATGTATACTAAAAAGAATTACACAGTTTATATTGTTTTGTAATATATGAAATTGTGTTTCCTTTATTGATAGGTCATGTAGTTGTGAAACTATTTGAAATAAGTTGATACCACTACTATTTATTGGGCAGCTGTCCGAATCAAAGTTAGTCATCACTGTGAACTTAGCTTATTTCATTTGCAGAATAATGTATGTATTGCTCTTATGATGAGTAATTTGGGAGAATGTGTACTGCTGTTAGGATGAGTAATTTGGGAGGTAATGTACAATTGTTAACAATTATGTTAATTATGAACTTATTAAGAGTCATACAAAATCTGTTCTACTTCAGTAACTAATTTCTTGGGAAATTATTAATAGTATGAATGTTGTTTTCCTTCTCTTTAGGGAAAGCTAAATGATAAACTAACTTGAAAAAATATGCAACACCAGGCGTAGACTATATATTTTTAAGTTGTTAATACACCTTTTCTAATCCTTCAGTTGGCAACCAGAACGCCAGGTTCCATTTAATGAAGTTAGATTACCACCACCACCTGATATAAAAAAAGAAATTAGTGAAGGAGATGAAGTAGAGGTATGTATTTTTAAGTTTATTTTCTTGTGTCTATTTTTTTGATTTAAATAAATACTCTTTTAGGAGAATTAGCTTAGTTGATGGAGGATAAATCTAATTCATTTTCTCTATTCTTTCTATTGGTGGTAATAGCTGTGTAATACAGCAGTGCTTGAGTTTTGGAGTTAGAATCGGTCTCACCTGTCCCATTTTTAGCTTTGTAGACTTTAAATTTATCATTATAATTTGGAAGTCATGGATGATAGTGCATTTGAATTCTTAAAAGAACCTAGCATTGAACGCTATGCACTATGGTGTTACCCTTTTCCTTCTTTTTGCTAATTACTTTAAATAATTTGTCTTAACGATTTGCCTGGGTGTCTTTATGAGGTGTTAATAGTTATTTTACTATAGTGATCATTAACAGAGTTCATATGTAACAACGTGAAATATTGTAACTAGCTTTCTGCCTTCTACAATATTCTAGAAATGTCTGAGGAAAAATTTAAAAGTACAGAAAAGCAAAAAAAATACAGGAGGAGGGAAAGAAAAATCACAGCTCACAGATGAATAAAACATTGTTCATGTCGTGCATGTTCTTTCAGGCTTGTCTCAGCATCCCAAAATGATGGGATTACAGGCGTGAGCCACCGTGCCCGGCCCTACAAACATTTTATTTTATTTTATTTATTTATTTTTTGAGATGGAGTTTCCCTCGTCTTCCAGGTTGCAGTGCAATGGCGCGATCTTGGCTCACTGCAACCTCTGCCTCCCAGGTTCAAGCGATTCACCTGCCTCAGCCTCCTGAATAGCTGGAACTACAGGCGTGTGTCACCACGCCTGGCTAATTTTTGTATTGTTAGTAGAGACGGGCTTTCATGATGTTGGCCAGGCTGTTCTCGAACTCCTGACCTCAGGTGATCTGCCCACTTTGTCCCCCCAAAATGCTGGGATTACAGGTGTGAGCCACCGCGCCTAGCCATTTACAAACATTTTAAACTTACATATTCTGTACTAAGCACTTTGCAAATGATTTAGTTATCTGCCAATTTTATTTTACTTTATTTTATTTTTTGAGATGGAGTCTCACTCTGTCGCCTAAGCTGGAGTTCAATGGAGCAATCTCAGTTCACTCCAACCTCCTCTTCCCAGGTTCAAGCGATTCTCCTGCCACAGCCTTCTGAGTATCTGGGATTATAGGTACCCACCATCACGCCCAGCTAATTGTTTTACTTGTAGTAGAGACAGGGTTTCGCCTTGTTGGCCAGGCTGGTCTTGAACTCCTGACCTCAGGTGATCCGCCCACCTTGGCCTCCCAAAGTTCTGGGATTACAGGTGTGAGCCACCATACATGGCCTGATTTTTTAATGACAAATTTTCTTTGAGCTCTCATTAATCTAGATAGTATGCTAGGAAGTCAAAAATTGCAGCACTTCAATCCCTGACAACCTTAACTTAGTGTACCCACTTTGGTGGAAGTCAAAGATAAAAGAGTGAGTAAAGTGAATGCTTTACTCATTCATGAGGGACTTGGCTCATGGCACCCTGACATAATTTATACTTTGCTTTAGTAAAAGCAAAATAGTACACAGTGAACTTAGTGCAAATAATTAAAATCCAGGCAGAATTTTTAAATGGCAGTAAGTTAAGAAGTAACTTTTTGTAAGGATACCTGTAACTATCTGTGTGTATTAGAGTTCTTGAGGAAAATGTTACTGGTGGCATCTGGGGGAGACACGAGGAAACAAAGTGGTGAAGTGACTGCTGCAAATCAAGGAGTGTGAAGTGGAGTCCTTGGTGGGTGCTATATATGGCAGTGATGCTGCAGATTACTGTGTTCATTTGGACTTTAGATTTTATTGAAAATGTTTTTCTCAATATTGTATCTCTAATAGTTTTCTGTGAGAATAAAGGGCTTGATTCATTTTCATTTTTCAAAATTTATTTCTGATACAGTGTTTTTTGGATTTTGAGTAAGCAAAAGTTAGGTCAAGCAAGGAATGATGTAGGTTTGGACATGTTCTAGAATTAGAAATGTGTGGCACTCAGTTTTGAGAGTAATGCTTCTTACACTTTTTTGTTGTTTAGACACTTAAAATTGGTAGCGTCAAGTCTCAGATTAAAGGGAAAACTACTCTTGGTGGGGTGGTGAGGGTGTTGTTACAGTGTACTTTTTCCATTCCTGTCCAGGAGGGTCCTTCCCTGTTCCTGAACAGTCTGGCTCACCCCTGTGGTCTGCCTCCGCTTTTGTGAAGAAGACATTGGTGTTAGAGATTGAATGATTTAGAAATTGAATCTAGAGTTTTTTTTAAATTTCACGTTATGTTTTATGATTCAGCTCTGGTCAAATTTGCTCTCTAGAATTTTGTAAGTCATTATCTGAAATTAAAATGTGATTTTTTTTCACTTTTGAAAAATTTAAAAATTAATATAAGGAAAAAGTTTAAGCATAATCTTGCCACCCATAGGATTTTGTTTTTTTGTCACCGTTTATTAAGGATTTATCCATATTACGTAGAGTGTTTAGAAATTCGGAGTTAGTGCTTTCCCAGGTAACGTTTCGAAAGCCTCTTCCCCTTCTTTAAATTTAAAGTAATAAAGCTTAATGTAAAAAATGAAATGGTAAAAAATTATATAAAGTACAAAGTAAACCTTCCATCTTAATGTAGGTGTACTTGTCCACCCACCCTATCTTAAATCTCATTTACCAGAGTTGATTCTCTTGTAAGTTTTTTATTTGCATGTATAAAGGACATATTTAAGTTGAAAAAAAATTGGGATTAAGTTATATATTTGTGACTTTTGTATTCACTTAATTAGGACAGCAAACATTTTCGTGTCTTCTCATTTAAATTTACCTCATTTTTTGTAACCACCTCAAAATTATTTGGTGTGGATATATCAAATTAAAAGACATTGAAATTACCAGATTTTTTGCTGTTAGCAAAAGAAAACAATGCCAGAGTTAAAGTTAATATTCTTATGCAAGTCTGGTAGTATAATTCCTAAGAGGTTAATGTTTTTAAAAGTATTAAAATGTACCATTTCATCCTCCAAAAATGTCTTCAGAATTACTTTATACTTTTATTAACACTGGAGGTATCTTTTTCATACATTAAGTGACTGTATTATATTGTTCATATGTACAGTTTTGTAAACTTGGTGGATGGAAACTGATGTCTCATGAATTCTCATTTCCTTAATGAATAGTAGTATGGGAACATCACTTAAATTAGTTGGTTGGCTCTTAACCCCTTGTTCTGTGAATTGTCTATTTTTTGTTTGTGCAGTTTTTGGTGTAGGAAGTCCTTGCATTTTATGGCTGAGTTTTATTTTTTTATTTTATTTTATTTTTGAGATGGAGTTTTGCTCCTGTTGCTCAGGCTGGAGTGCAATGGTGCGATCTCGGCTCACTACAACCTCCACCTCCCGGGTTCAAGCGATTCTCCTGCCTCAGCCTCCCTAGTAGCTGGGATTACAGGCATGCGCCATCATACCCGGCTGATTTTGTATTTTCAGTAGCGACGGGGTTTCTCCATGTTGGTCAGGCTGGTCTCAAACTCCCGACCTCAGGTGATCAGCCTGCCTTGGCCTCCCAAAGTTCTGGGATTACAGGTGTGAGCCACTGTGCCCAGCCCTGAGTTTTTATCTTTTTTGTGTTTTTTTCTTAGGCAATTTTTTTATTTTTTATTTTTTATTTTTTGAGATGGAGTCTCACTAAGTTGCTCAGGTTGGAGTACAGTGGCACAATCTCAGTTCACTGCAACCTCCACCTCCCGATTTTAAGTGATTGTCGTGCCTTGGCCTCTGAGTAGCTGGAATTACAGGTGTGAGCCACAATGCCCAGCTAATTTTTTTATTTTTAGTAGAGATGGTGTTTTGTGATGTTGGCCAGGCTGGTCTCGAACTTCTGGCTTCAAGTGAACACCCGCCTCGGCCTCCCAAAGTGCTGAGATTATAGGCGTGAGACACTGCGCAGGCTTACTTTTACATTTTTAAATTATGTTTTCTACATCTGCTTCCCTGCACTATTTTTCCCTTATACCGGTGGGGGGGTGTGGGTGGTAATCCTTTTAGGTTGCTTCATATCTGATCGCCTTAGTTATGAAATGTAATTTTTTGGTCAATAAACACTTTTTCTTAAAATTTTTCTGGGATTGTGCAAAATAGCAGAGGTAAACTGTCATTCTTCAATCATACTTAGAGATGGTCAGGCTCGATTGTTTACTGGTTTATTATAAAGGATACAAGTCAGGAACTGCCAAATGAAAGAGATGCATGAGGCAAGGTCGGGGTGAGGGAAGGGGCTTGGAAAGTAGAGCTTCCATGACTTCTTTGAGCATGCCACATTTCCAGCCCATCAATAGATTCACCAGCCCGGGAGCTCTACCATCATACTTTTTAAACAGATTATTTCAGAGTCACAAAACGGTTTGTGTCCTCTTCTTAACTGTGTGAATACTTTATTAGCTTGTCCAAGGTTAGTCTGGAGGTTGGGAAGCTGATAACCAGTTTCATTTTTTGTTTTTCCAAATGTATTCAGAGGGTTTGGTCAGTTTTGTGCCAGACTCACAACATTCTTCTGCAGCTCTAGGAATCCTTTGAAGGAAAGAAAAGGTGACTTTGCCCTTAGTAATAAATTTAGAACAAAAATGATCCAAGAGAGAGCTTTATTAAGCTTGTAAGGTGATTTTTAAAGACTTGAGCCATAAGAAATTTCCATTCTTGTAGGTCAGAAATGGTTAAGTATTGACAGTTTCATATGGTTTACACTAACATTTTGTTACATTAAAAATATATTGGTTGCTTAAATACAGGGTTTGCCTTTCTAGCCCCTTAGGAAATTTACATGAAGTTACAGCACATAAAGTAATGTCATGGCCCAGCAGTGGACCCAAGAAGACAACATATGATTTATAGTAGAAAGTTAATTTTGAAAAGGTCTAAAATGGAAATATTTATTTTTATACCTAATTAGTGGTTTTTTATTTGCCTTTTAAAAATGGTGTCATCTCTTTAAAAATCTTCATAACACTTAATAGTAAATATTTCATAAGTATTTGCTTAATGATTGATTTTTGCTGACTAAAGATTGCTAGAAAAATATGCTCCGCCTGTAAAGTTTGAAGGTAATGTGAAAATGAAGAGTTCTTTAGATTTCGTTTACATTGGGTATCTAGTACAGTGTTTTGGGCTCTTGGAAGGGCAGTAGAAATATCCCTCCTCCCTCATTTCACATGTAACATTTTTGCTTTTTATTTTAGATATCTGCCTTGCTCAGCAAGTAATATATAAGCAACACACATAGACACGTTACATAGTAAGCCTGACATCTAAGGTGATAACGTGTTTAGTTTTTGTTTTTTTCTGTTTTCTTTTTTTTTTGGAGATGGAGTTTCGGTCTTGTCCAGGCTCTAGTGCAATGGCGCCATCTCGGCTCAGCGCAACCTCCGCCTCCTGGGTTCAAGTGATTCTCCTGCCTCAGCCTCCCAAGTAGCAGAGATTACAGGCATGTGCCACCACACCCAGCTAATTTTGTATTTTTGGTAGAGACGGGTTTTCTCCACATTGGTCAGGCTGGTCTCGAACTCCTGACCTCAGGTGATCCACCCGCCTCGGCCTCCCAAAGTGCCAGGATTACAGGCTTGAGCCACCACGCGCAGCCCTGATAATGTTTTTTGTAAGGTTTCTTCCTTGCATTTAGCATATTTGAAATTTTAAAAACCTGTTTTTGAACTGTGAGGTTTTCTGGTTTAGTATTCATAGTTAAAATAGGAATTGGCAAGTTTTTGTTCTTGTGGCATATGCCTTTCCTTTTCTAGTCATATGGCGGATTGTCAGGCATTATGGTTATATATCTATATATTATATTAAAATGTTGGGATAGGCGCCTTGAGAGAAATTGGATTAAAAAAGAGAATAAAAATTATCTGAGGTAAGACACTCCTTTCTTTTACAACTTTTTAGATTTTTTTTTTTTTCCAAATTTTATTTTTTTGAGACAGGGTCTTACTCTGTCACCCAGGCTGGAGTACAATGGTGCCATCATGGCTCACTTACAGCCTTGACCTCCCGGGCTCAAGGGATCTTCCCTGTCTCAGCTTCTTGAGTAGCTGGGATCATAGGCGTGTGCTACCATGCTGGGCTAATTTTTGTATTTTTTGTAGAGATGAGGTTTTGCCATGGTGCCCAAGCGAGTCTTGAACTCCTGGGCTCAAGCAGTCACCCACCTCAGCCTCCCAAAGTGGTGTGTGCTACCATGCCTAGTCTAATTCAGTATTTTATTTATATAAAAGATATACATGGATTATTTACTCTACTTTTTAAAAAGTTTTAAGTTTGATTCTTTTGGCCAGTCTGAAGTTTTTAGCTGTCTGTATTTAGATGTAGTTTTTCTCATCATACCAAGATACCAAGACCATTGTTAGTCTTACTGCTTGGGAAACGCTCGCACATAAAGGAGAGACGAACATATTCTTTGTTACTTGTTTTTGTCTTGCAGAGTGGCCAGTTTCTAGGACTTGATATAGTAAAGAAAGCTGGTAGGAAACTGATTTGTTAAAGTGTCAGCCTTAAAGGTGAATGAGATAATACTATTATTTAGGTAGAGAAATCATACATGTTCATTCCAGATGTTAAACTTTTCTAATGCGCATTTTCTTCTTAAAATGTCATAATACAAAATGGCAGATACATAATAGCAGTACTCAATAAATGTATTTCACATGTTGAAAATGGGTCCTTATGATTGATTATTTAGTTTAATAGTAAATAATAGGAAAATTTCTTTGGAAAAATGGAAATATAGTTAATTTACTGAAGACTGGTAAAAATTCTCTGTCTTTGATACTTATTCTTAATTTGGCTACTTGAAAGGCATAGGTTGGGCCAGGTGCAGTGGCTCACACCTGTAATCCCAGCACTTTGGGAGGCCGAGGCGGGCAGATCATGAGGTCAGGAGATTGAGACCATCCTGGCTAACACGGTGAAACCCCATCTCTACTAAAAATACAAAAAATTAGCCAGGTGTGGTAGCGGGTGCCTGTAGTCCCAGCTACTCGGGAGGCTGAGGCAGGAGAATGGCGTGAACCCCGGAGGTGGAGCTCGCAGTGAGCTGAGATTGCGCCACTGCACTCCAGCCTGGGCGACAGAGCGAGACTCCGTCTCAAAAAAAAAAAAAAAAAAAAAAAAAAAAGGCATAGGTTGAACATTATGAACTTGAATGAAAAATTGATGACTTTAGGATCCAGATTGGAATTACATTTAAATCACTCACATTTGTTTGCTTGAGTTTAGAGATTTTTTTTGAAACAGAATTTGACTTGGGATCATTTGGTGGAAAGAATCCTGAAATAGGCTTTTGGAATTTGATTCTTCCTATTTATTTCATCCTGTACTCCATAAAACGATAGTGATTAAAATGAGTGCTATTGTGTTTTTAGGCTTCTCATCATGGTCACTCCACAGTCTCCTGGATTTTAGTATGTTAGAGCAGTGTGTGGGCCATTTGAGAGTGTGAATTGTTCCTGCGAAATAGTTTGCAGAGTTAAGTAAAATCTGAGGAAAAGGAATTTCTGTGGGGCGCTGTTATTCAATGACAGATTCGTAAATCAATTCAGTAATTAACATTTAGGATATAGTACACTAGAGCACAGTTTTAATGCTGGCTTATTGAAGTGATATTTTATTGTGTGAGATATACTCTTCATTTTGTATAGGATATGATTTGATCCATAGCACTGTAAGTGGGGGTGTTTTCTTTTTTCCTTCTTCCTAAGATGGAGTCTTGCTTGTCGACCAGGCTGGAGTGCAGTGGCGTGATCTCGGCTCACTGCAACCTCTGCCTCCTAGGTTAAAGTGATTCTCCTGCCTCAGCCTCCTGAGTAGCTGGGATTACAGGCACTCGCCACCATGCCCGGCTAATTTTCGTATTTTTAGTAGAGACGGGGTTTCACCATATTGGTCAGGCTGGTCTCAAACTCCTGACCTCAGGTGATCCACCCGCCTTGGCATCCCGAAGTGCTGAGATTACAGGTGTGAGCCACTGTGCCCGGCTTTTTTTTTTTTTTTTTTTTTTTTTTTAAGAAGGAGTCTTGCTCTGTCATCCAGGCTGGAGGGCAGTGGTGCGATCTTGGCTCACCTCCCAGGTTCAGGCGATTCTCCTGCCTCAACCTCCCAAGTAGCTGGGATTACGGGCGCCCGCCCACCACCATGCCCAGCTAATTTTTGTACTTTTAGTAGAGACGGGGTTTTGCCATGTTGGCCAGGTTGGTCTCAAACTCCTGACCTCAGGTGATCCACCCGCCTCAGCCTCCCAGAGTGCTGGGATTACAGGTGTGGGCTGTGCAGCCAAATTTGTAGTGTTTTTGATTCAGGCTTAGGAATTTAGGTTTAGTCACTTTATGAGAGTAACTTGGTCTTTCAGGGGTGAAGTTATGAAGCTTACAGAAGTGGATATTAAGTTTAAAATGGAGTTCAGCATTTCATCGTTCAGTGAGAAAAGCCTCCAGGCAGTTGAGATGGTTTATTTAGAAAGCCAGATTCATGAATGATTATGCTTTGGTGAAAATAGAATAAGGGGGTTAGGTAGTTTTAAGACATAACATTTTCAGCAAATGAGGCTTGATTTACCCACATTAACAAGAGATATTCGAACTGCCTCTCTGAGATAGTTACTCGAATGGGCACCTTCTTTTGGTTGTTAGGATATTCTTTTTTTTTTTGAGATGCAGTTTCGCTCTTGTTGCCTAGGCTGGAGGGCAATGGCGCGATCTCAGCTCACCGCAGCCTCCGCCTCCCAGGTTCAAGCAATTCTCCTACCTCAGCCTCCCGAGTAGCTGGGATTACAGGCATGCACCACCACGCCTGGCTAATTTTGTATTTTTAGTAGAGACAGGGTTTCTCCATGTTGAGGCTGGTCTCGAACTCCTGACCTCAGGTGATCCACCCACCTCGGCCTCCCAAAGTGCTGGGATTACAGGCGTGAGCCACCGCGCCCGGCCTAGAATATTCTTTTTGTAACCCTCAGTATACTTGGGAAAACAGTCATCACTGATCGTTTACCAAATAATTTTGTAGCAGAAAGAATGAAAGGGTAGTAAGGTCGTTATTGGACCTTTTTTTTTTTTGAGACAGGGTCTCGCTCTGTCACCCAGTTTAGAGTATAGTGGCATGATCATGGCTCACTGCAGCCTTGACCTCCCAGTCTCAAGTGATCCTCCTTCCTCAGCCTCCCAAGTAGCTGGGACTAGAGGCATGCACCAACCACACCTGGCTAATTAAAAAAAAATTTTTTTTATAGAGACGAAATCTTCCTGTGTTGTCCAGGTTGGTCTCAAACTCCTGGGCTCAAGCAGTCCTCCTGCCTCAGCCTCCAAAAGTGCTGGGATTACAGGCATGAGCCACTGTGCCCCCCATTATTAGACTTTTTTAAAGGCCATTATTGACTCCATGCTGGAGTATAGTGAAGCAAACACAACTCACTGCAGCCTTGACTTCCTGGGCTCAAGAGATCCTTCCACCCTACCCCAGGCCCCCAAGTAGCTGAGATTACAGGCACATGCCACCATGCCTGGCTAACTTTTGTATTTTGCATAGTGATGGTGTTTCACCATGTTGTCCAGGCTGGTCTCGAACTCTGGAGCCAAAGTGATCTGCCCACCTCAGCCTCCCAGAGTACTCGGATTACGGGCGTGAGCCCCACCACGCATGGCCTTATTAGACATTTTAGTGAGGGTTTAAACATAGCAAATCTAACTTTTTCATATTTTCCAGGTTTTGATGATATATGTATCTACAATGAATGCAGTTCTCTAAATGTAACTAACTGCTCACTGTTATACATGAACCTAGAACATACCAATCTTATAAATATTGATAGCAGATTTAAAATATATCTCTAATAAATTCTAGCTTATTCTGGTTATTCTTACAGTTGGATCATCAGAATGCAGTCCTTGAATACTTTGGAACTTTTAATGACATCTCATTCTATTGAAGAAGGGATAGCCATCTCTGTGCTGTAATTTTAGCACATTTAGTCAGTTGGATTGACTAATCTATTGAATATTTTTGCATTTCATTATCTTTCTTTTTCGAGTTACCTTTGTATACACATCTGCTTTTGACATTTCCACTTACGAAGTACATTTTGGCACACAAACATTTCTTAAAATTTTATCTTCAATTTTTATTTTACCTTTTTTTTCCCCCTGGACAGGGTCTCGTTCTGTCACCCAGGGTTGAGTGTAGTGGTACAATCTTGGCTCACTGCAGTCTCAACTTCCCAGGCTCCAGCAATCCTTCCACCCTAGCCTTCCATGTAGGTGGCACCACAGGTGCACGCTACGACACCTGGCTAATTTCTTTTGTATTTTTGATAGAGATGGGGTTTCATCATGTTGTCCAGGGTGGTCTTGAACTCCTGAGCTCTCAAGCAGTCGACCTGCTTTGGCTCCCCAAAGTTTTGGGATTATAGGTGTAAGCCACCGTGCCTGACCACAAACATCTTAAAAGATGGAAGAATACTGTCATATACCCTTTTAGCAAACCAGGATGATCTGGGTTCTTGTTGGAGGATTTTGCATGATGGAGTCTCAGTTGAGTCATTAACTGGATGAGAATACACATCATCTTTCCCTCTTCTCCTTAGAAATACATTGTTTGAGAACAATGTTTGAGAAATACATCGTTTGAGAAATACATCGTTTGAGAAATACATTGAGAACATTCATCTAAGATGTCACCATCTCAGACTTCATAGTCTGAGGTTTTGCTTTGTAAGATAATTTCACATTTATCAGTACTCTTTGCATCTGTTGTCTGATATCTCTAATAATTAGAAAGGCCTTCCTCTGTAAATTTTTCTTCTCTTCGCAATTATGAGTGAAAAAAATTCATAATTATCAACTGGTCAACGGTAGCTAAAAGCAGACTACAAGGATGGTGTCTTTGGTCTTTTTGAACTGTTTTGAAAGAGATGTGATACCTCAGGCTATGCAGTAAGGAAACTGTATGAACATTAACAGTTTATTTCACTGTTGTATCCTCTAGGTGATGCCATCATTCCTCTGTTCCATTTTAGTCTTTATTTAAAGCATAGCTGAGAATAACTGATGAATGTTGATGAAATTGTAAAGTGTTTCAAGATATAGGAAAAATAAGATCACTAGATTCTACCTTACATTTATAAAAGGGCCCAGTGGATACATATAATAATTACAGAATAAGGGTGAGTTCTGTTCTAGTCTTAGAGAAGTAAACTTTCTTGTTTTTTGGAATATGTCGTAAGGAAGAATATAAGTCATGAGATATTGATCCCTTTGAATAGTTAGATCTGTTTATAAAAGAAATGGAAAAGCTAAAATTGAGTTTAACGGACCCTGATTGGTATATTGGACTTCCTGCTTTTTCTCATAGCTTTTTTCTAATCATGGTATACGATAAAGTTCATTAGTAGGTTTTGGTTTATTCATTTCCAGTTCCAGTATTCCTACCACTTCCAAGATTACTCTCAAATCATCCTGATAGAAGCTTCAGGCTTTCTAAAAGTCTTTGTTTTTAGTTGTTTGTGTTTATCTCCCAGATGGCTGTTAACAGCCACTGATAGGTTTCCCTGATGATCTCTGCAAGGACAGTCAATCTTGGTTTTTATTGGTTTTTAGTTTCTTCTCAGCCCCCCTTTTCTACCTTTCTCTATACTGAAAATATAATACGTTAAAGAAGCTCTGCTGTGTCATAAGAAATAACTCTAATCCCAAGTGAAAGCTTCTGTGACCTATTACGTTAATAAAACTGATATTTATAGATATAAAGAATATGACTTGTTTTTTTGTGGATAGTTTTTATTTTGTTTTTTTTGAGATGGAGTTTTGCTCTAGGTGCCTAGGCTGGAGTGCAATGGTGTGATCTCTGCTCACTGCATCCTCCACCCTCTGGACATGATTCTCCTGCCTCAGCCCTCCGAGTAGATGAGATTACAGGCACCTGCCACCATGCCCGGCTAATTTTTATATTTTAGTAGAGACAGGGTTTACCGTGTTGGTCAGCCTTGTCTCGAACTCCTGACCTCAGGTTATCCACCCACCTTGGCCTCCCAAAGTGCTGGGATTACAGGTGTGAGCCACTGCGTCCGGCCTGGATAGGAATTTTGTAAGATACTTAATGTATTCTGCTAGATGGACTGAATGTGTGTAATTTTTTTGTTCAGTTAAACAATTTTAGTACATTTGATTTAGGTTCTTTAGCACGGGATCTAAATGTCATATCCTCGATGGAATTTAAAAATTACGTTAATCACTTTCTGAGAACAATTTTTAATATTAACAATGTTGACAGAAACAGGAAGACCTGTGTTTTACATTATTTAAAACTCCTTTGTAAGAGCATTTCTTTAAAATAATACTTATGTTTAGTAAACCTCATGAATATGGAATTAATTTCTAAGAAGCTAAATTGCCCAAAAAAGTAGTTTTATTTTTAAGTAGTAAATTTAAGTTACATATCACTTTCTTTAAATTGCATTTAATATGCCAATTTAAATAAAATAGCATTTTTCATTCTTAAGTTTATTGGGATTGGGTATTAATAAAAAGTCATTTACAGCATTGAAATCTTTTGGGATGAATGGATATAGGCATTTTTTTTTCTTCTCAGGTATATTCAAGAGCAAATGACCAAGAGCCATGTGGGTGGTGGTTGGCTAAAGTTCGGATGATGAAAGGAGAAGTAAGTACTCTTCACACTTGCTTTGTGACTAGTTTCTAAGGAAGTACCTCAGTGCTTGGTTTTTGTAAATCTTATTTCAACTGTTAGTTTTATTTCTAAAAGCCTACCTGAGAAATAGTTGATCAGACATTTCCATTAGCATTAATTTCTGTTTGTGTTCTGTATTGGCAAACACCAAAGCTGCTCTCCAGAGGTACACCTCAAGCATGTAAGGACCGCCAAGGTTCATGCTTGTAAGAACCTATAATCTAGTTTAGGCAAATCAGATTGATGTAGCTAAGCTGTGCTTAGTATTTTATGCCACATGGGGGAGGGTCCGTTGGTTAAGCTGAGCAAGGTAATTAGAACTTCATTTAAACTTCATTATTTTTGTTCAGATGGGATTTTTAAAGTATTTTGATGTCTTTTAGTTTTATGTCATTGAATATGCTGCTTGTGACGCTACTTACAATGAAATAGTCACATTTGAACGACTTCGGCCTGTCAATCAAAATAAAACTGTCAAAAAAAATACCTTCTTTAAATGCACAGTGGATGTTCCTGAGGATTTGAGAGAGGCGTGAGTAATTTTATATACTATTGAATTGTTCTGTGAATTAAGAAGATTTTTCAGTCCTACAAAACATTTTCCCTAATGCCCAATCAAACCTTCTGATGGAAAATCATCTTAATGAACAAAGGTTTTAGTGGGGCTTGTCAAAATGAAACACTGACTTTGTATTGTGACTCTCCTCTGACTTTAATCTGTTATTGAGTTCTTACACATAAATTGATTTCTCTCTAGGTGTGCTAATGAAAATGCACATAAAGATTTTAAGAAAGCAGTAGGAGCATGCAGAATTTTTTACCATCCAGAAACAACACAGCTAATGATACTGGTAAGATAGTACCATATTATAAGGTAGCTTATTAATGGATATTGCACAGATTTTATAATTACATATTTCAGAAGAGAAAAGCTAAGATCAACTTAGTGTATAGTGAATTTATTAATATAGTGTGGGAGAAAAATTTGTTTGCAGCTATAAAATGTTAATTACATTCTTAACATCATAAAATTCTTAATGTGTGAGATTCCGGATTTTTCCCCAATCAAACATATTCTGAATAGCAGATCTAAATAATACAGGAATTCAGAAAGGAAAGTGTGATTACTCAGAGTAGTGAGTGTTAGGTGAAAGAAGTGTAGTAGATGAGAAGCAAGGAAGGCTTTGCATAGAAGATGGGATGGTGTTTGTGCTATTTGGAAGAATGATTAAAGTTTTGAGTAATTAGCTTGTTTGTTTATAGTCTGCCAGTGAAGCAACTGTGAAGAGAGTAAACATCTTAAGTGACATGCATTTGCGAAGTATTCGTACGAAGTTGATGCTTATGTCCAGAAATGAAGAGGCCACTAAGCATTTAGAAGTAAGTGGGTTTACTTACAAAAGAGTTTTCTGTGTCCCATTTAGTTTTTGTTTGTTTTTTGGAGACAGATTCTGGCTCTGTTGCCCAGGCTAGAGTGCAGTGGCACAATCTTGGCTTACTGCAACCTCCACCTCCCGGATTCAAGCGGTTCTCCTGCCTCAGCCTCCGTGTAGCTGGGATTGCAGGTGTGCCCCACCAAGCCCAGCTAATTTTTGTATTTTAGTAGAGGTGGGGTTTTGCCATGTTGGCCAGGCTGGTCTCGAGCTCCTGGGCTCAAGTGATTGCCCGCCTCAGCCTCTCAAAGTGCTGGGATTACAGGCATGAGCCACCGAACCTGGCCCCCATTTAGTTTTATATTTTTCAAGTTCCTTGCTTCAAACGAAGGCAGCCCAGGACCTCTGTTTCGTGACTGTTTGGAGTTGTGTCCGTAGAACAATTGCTTTTCCATTTTACCTTTTATCAAACATAGCCTTTCCTTTGCGAAATGCCTGTTGACTTGTTGGTAGGACTTAGATGACAGGTGCCAAAGAGCTAAGAAACTAGGGATACTCAGTAGACTGTATTGCTAGTTCTTTACTTTGTATTTAACCTTTTTATTTTTTTAACTGCCTTGTCATCTGTCAGTCATGATATCTTTCATCAGTAACTAGTTCACTGTAACAACTCTTGTGTGAGAGGAGAGGAGGACTAGGAGTGAGGCATCATGTGGCATGTAGTATTAAAATATTAAGCTTATCATTATATCTCTGTCTTATCCTAAGGTACTCTGTTTTGTCCTGTTCTTCCCTGCTACACTAGTAGGATACTTGTTCTTCCCACTCACTCACACTTTCTAGATCTAGATGAACACATGTGCATGCACACACTGTGATGTCTCAGAGAAATTAAGATATGTTTATTATCCTTAGGACAAATTTGGAAATGTTCTCATTAATTTAAAAATTCTGAACAAGGGATATGTGAACAAATCTGCCTGTATCTGGAAAAGTGTTTTAGACTAATAAAATAGATGAATAAAACAGTTTCTTTTCCCCATTCATTTTATGACATTAGATGAGTTTCCTTTGTTTCTTAAGAAACTTGAGTTTTGGCCTTTTTAAAAAAATTTATGTGGGTTTTCGGTGGTTTTTTCTTCTTGGGTTTTTCTTTATACTGTGGTAAAGTACATATGAAACTTAGCATCTTAACCATTTTTAAGTGTACACTTAGTATTAAGTATGTTTACATTATTGATCAATCTTCAGTACATCTCATCTTGTAAAACTGCAAATCTATACCCTTTAGACAGCTGCTCATTTTCCCCTTTCCACAGCCCCTGACAACCATCATTCTATTTTCTGTTGCTATAAATTTGACTATTTTAGATACCTCATGTAAGTAAAATCATTTTAGTCTTTTTTGTGACTGGCATATTTTACTTAGCATCAAGGTTCATCTATGTAGCATGTGTCAGAATTTCCTTTTTAAGGCAGAATGTATATACCACATTATGTTCATTCATTAATTGGTCTGTGGATTTGGGTTGCTTTCACCTCTTTACTGTCGTAAATAATGCTATGAACATGGATTTGCAATAAAACATTTTGTGGCCGCGTGTGGTAGCTCATGCCTATAATCCCAGCACTTTGGGAGGCTGAAGTGGGAGGATTGCTTTAGCCCAAAAGTTCGAGACCAGCCTGGGTAACATAGTGAGAGCTCGTCTCTACAAAAAATAAATTAAAAAAAAAAAATTAGCTGGGCTCAGTGGTGCGTGCCTGTATTTCCAACTATTCAGGAGGCTGAAGTGGGACGATTGCTTGAGCCCAGGAGATTGAGTTGGCAGTGAGCCATGATCACGCCACTGCACCCTAGCCTTGGTGACAGAGTGAGACCCTGTCTGGAAAAAAACCAAACCATACAAAAAAGCCATTTTGTATTTTGATCTTTTATATTACTAATTTTCCTTTTTTATTAGTGCACAAAACAACTTGCAGCAGCTTTTCATGAGGAATTTGTTGTGAGAGAAGATTTAATGGGCCTGGCAATAGGAACACATGGTAGTAACATCCAGCAAGCTAGGAAGGTTCCTGGAGTTACCGCCATTGAGCTAGATGAAGATACTGGAACATTCAGAATCTACGGAGAGGTAAGTTCTCTTTCTCCTGCCTTGGCCTTTAGTGTATTAACCATCTATTGTTTGATTATATTTTTATCTGAAATTCCAGTTTCCCATGAAACATTTTTGAGGTAGAATTTATTCAATTAGCATCAGTCAGCCTAGTAGTCTTACTTATGAAGCTGAATTGAAGTTAACTTTGTATTGAGGGGAGTGAAAGATTTACTAAGTAATTAAATATGTAGTTTTTTTATTGAGGTTTCTTAACCGCTTCTGAGTTTACTTCAGTTTTATACCCGTTAACAAATAATCTATCGAAGTATTTTTTTGAATGTTTACTGTGTGCCAGGCACTGGCAGGAGTAAATGGCATATATTAGAATAGCTTTTCTAGAACTTGAGTTTGTATAATACTTCGTCACTGGTTAATCATGACGTTTGCAGGGGTAGAAAATTAGTAAGTTATTTTTAAAATGTTATTCAGCCAGGTGCAGTGGCACACACCTGCAGTCCCAGCTACTTGGGAATCTGAGGCAGGAGGATTGCTTGAGCCTATGAGTTTGAATCTAGCCAGGGCAACATAGAGTTTAGAAAAGTATATATAAATTTTTATATATACATACACATGCATCTTATCTATATTTTTATATATGTAAATTGAGACCATCCTTCAAATTAGAGTAACTGGATTTTTATTTTTTAAAGAGACAAGATTTTGCCATGTTGCACAGGCTTGTCTCGAACTCCTGAGCTCAAGCAATCCACCTGCCTCAGCCTTCCAAAGTGCCGGGACTATAGGCGTGAGCCACCGTGCCTGGCCTGGAGTTTTTTTTGAATGACAATTTTGTGTCTTGACTTTTCATACATAGCTCTTATGAACAGCTGCTTTCACATAGTAAAGCTGACTAGAAGCTTCACTTTTAATTTCAAAACCTTTAAAAGTAGACAGTATAACATAGTAATTAAGAAGACAGACAGACACGGTGGCTCACGTCTGTAACCCCAGCAAGTTTGGATGCTGAAGCAGGAAGATCACTTGAGTCCAGGAATGAGAGGCTGCAGTGAGCTATGATCATGCCATTGTCCTCTAGCCTGAGCAACAGAGAGCAAGGTCCTGTCTTGTTGAGAAGGAGGAGGGAAAAAAAAAAAAGACGAGCTTTGGAGCTATACTGCCTGGATTGGAATTCACTTTAAGTAGGCTGCTTTGAGTAGGCTTGGAGTTTGTTACTTGTATAAGTGTTCTCATTATAAAATAATAATAGTGCTTACCTTAATACAGTTCTTAAGGATTAGATGCATTGTAAAAAATGTTGATTGCATATGGTATATCATGTAGTGTGCACACAATAATTTGAGCTATGGTTTTAAAATTTAAAAAAAATTTTATTTGCTTTTTTTTTTTTTTTTTTTTAAAGAGACAGGGTCTACTCTGTTGCTCAGGCTGGAGTGCAGTGGCGTGATCATAGCTCACTGCAGCCTCCAACCCCTGGGCTCAAGCCATCCTCTGGCCTCAGCCTCTTGAATAGCTAGGACTACAGGCATGTGCTGCCATGCTGGGCTAATTTAAATATATATCTGTATATTTTGTAGAGATGGAGGTTTCCTATGTTGCCCAGGCTGGTCTCAAACTCTTGGCCTTAAACGATCCTCCTATATTGGCCTCCCAAAGTGCAGGGATTACAGGCGTGAGCCCACTGCATCTGGCCTTATCTGTGGTTATTAAAGAACACACGTTAAAAGTGAAAGTGACTTTATTGAGAAGTAGAAAGTCTGTGTAGAGACTCACTCCCAACCCTCTAGTTGTTTAAAATTGTACTCATTAGAAATTATGAATTTTGATAATCTTACCAGTAGGTACTTTTAAAAAATGCATCTCTGCAAAAATAGCTTTTTAAGTCATATACCTGATTTTGAGAATAAATAAATCAGACAATTTTAACAATTTGTATTGTTAACATTTAACATGAGAATTTCAAGCAGGAGGTATAGACTAGTATATTTAGGATTGGGTTAAAGTTTTGGCTGTTCAGCAGCTGTGTAATTTAAACTCTGACACTAAATTTCTCAGCAGCTTAAAGATTTTAGAGATGTTATTTTATTTTTGGTTTTAATAGTACTGACTGATTTGGGGTTTTTAAAAATGATTTTTTTTTAAGTACTTTGTGAATCACTTCACCTGAAATCTCTCCCCAGTGGAATGAGCATAATCTTTTAGTAGAACATAATCATTCAGAATTTTCTCTTTTCTCATCTTCTTGTTTTGGATTATGGGTTGCTCCGAGATTGAAACAGGATTTCATTTTTACTTTTCCCCTCATCTACAGAGTGCTGATGCTGTAAAAAAGGCTAGAGGTTTCTTGGAATTTGTGGAGGATTTTATTCAGGTTCCTAGGAATCTCGTTGGTAGGTACTTTTACTAAATGTTAAATAAGTTAATAAACATTATTTAGTTACATATAGCGACTTAATTGAAAACTAGTCTTGTAGTCTGATAACCTTATTCCAGTTATGTGTAGATTTATTTAGATAGCAATACTTCTTTTCTTTTTTTGGTGATAACATTTTGTGTAACTTGTTATTGTCATATGTTAAAAAGTAAAGATGTTTCTTCTGTACAGGATGACTCACTAATAAGGCCCAGGGTTTTTATAAGTTTGTCATTACAGTTTTTCATCAGTCTTTTCATCCCTTGGGATCTTCCCTATTATTCTCACTCCTTTACTCTCTTTTTATCACTGATATATATTCATCAAAATTATGATAGTACTTTTTGAGAAGGTATTGGTGATATTTGTTTTGTTTAGTGCAGAAGAAAAATAACAGTGAACTAACAATAGGGTAATAAACTTCTACACAGTAGGTCCTGAATAGTAGGTTGTTGCAAGGCATAGAATAATAAGAAGTTGTGGGCAGGAGAGAAGGATGATAATATGAGGGGAGGTTTCACTGTTTATTATTTGACACCATTATTGAAACTGTTGTACCCATGGATTATAGTTAAGTGACAAGAATTTGCATTTGAAGCTATGGTTAAATGAGCATTATAGCTTGGAATGAGTTAATTTATAGCTCTGTTATTAATATGCACTACATCTGTGCTGTCTTTTTGCTATTTGAGGCAATTGGGAAGGCTTTGGTTATGTGTTAAGTATGCAGTGACTATACTAAAAATTGACTTACCTAAACATTTAATATAAAAAGAAGCATCAAGATAATGTAGTGTAGTTTTACTAGGAGGGGGACGAGTTTTTGTTCCCTGTTATCTCTCATTATTTTTTTTTGACGCTAGGGAAATACTTTCAGCTTCTTGGGTTCCATTTATATAATGCGGCCTGTTCTGCCTTTAGGAAATGATGTTTAGCTACGGACATTCTATTTGTTAAATTGTATAAAACAAACGTTAATAGAAAAATAAATACTTCCATTCTAAAAAGATTTTTTTTTTTTTTTTTTTTTTGGTCATTAGTAAGTAGTATATTCAGGAAAAGTAGTTTAAAACACAGGAATTTGTTTCTTGGAATTTAACTGTTAGTATTTATGTAAAAATAAATTTTTTTTTTTTTTTTTTGGAGATGGAGTCTTGCTTTGTCACTCAGGCTGGAGTGCAGTTGCAGCGATGCAATCTCGGCTCACTGCAACCTCTGCCTCCTGGGTTCAAGCGATTCTACTGCCTCAGCCTCCCAAGTAGCTGGGACTACAGGCGCCTGCCACCACGCCTGGCTAATTTTTGTATTTTTAGTAGAGATGTGGTTTCACCATATTGGCCAGGCTGGTCTTGAACTCCTGCTCCTGATCTTGTGATCCGCCCACCTCGGCCTCCCAAAGTGCTGGGATTACAGGCGTGATCCACCGCGCCCGGATGTAAAAAGCCTTTCAATTCTCCTCAAACATTTGGATAGGTATGACATTACTGCCAATTGTGTAAGCTCTACTTTATTAGTTCTTGGTATACCGTTGTTCACTGTAGACTGAACTGCTAGAAAGATGAGATGTTAAAATTCAATATAAACTTGAAGAATTTTGTATAATTATAATTATACAAAATATAGGTAGGGTGCACAATGTTATCAAATGTTTATCAGTATCAAATGAAATCACCTTTGATAAGCTGCTTTTGAAAATGCTGCCTTTTTAAAGAAATCGTTAATTATTGACATCTGTCAGTACTAACATTGTGGTAGCTGCTCTACAGATGTAATTTTGACTTAACTAAGGTTTCCTCACTTGTAAAAATGATTTGGCAGTGGGTTTGTGAAAGGGAACCAGGTTTCTTTTCAATCCAAGTCTGTCAATTATAAAAGATAGCCTTGGTCTTAGAGAGTTGTGGTAGGTGTTGTGAGTAAAAGTTTCTGATATTTCAAAAATAAGAAAATTGGGTATATTTGTAGTTCTTTGTTCTCTTTATTCACTGAAGTGAGTACCTGTTGTCTCTTTTCCTGTATCCTGTCTACGTTGGCTTTGGTGATGTGGGTTGTGTGCTCTATAGGAAATACACATTAGCAGTGACTATTACACACTGGTGAAATACTCAGGAGTAGTACAAGAATTTCTATTGGTTGTCATGTGTAAAAATACAGTGTTTCCCTCCATAATGTTTTATGGATGAAGCAGGCTTTTGAATAATAGTACATTCTTAGTCCAAATGAAAGAAAAAGAGAACTGAGGATTAAAAGGGAATGAGAACACTTGGGTAAGTTCCAGAGAGGATTTCCTTACACATTCGGGTTCTGAGAGTTCTAAGATGACCATTCCCACCCCTCCCAAATCAAAGGGAAAAATATCTGAACGTTGATTTGAAAATGGTTCAAAACCTTTCACCTCCAGAAGCCTTCCTTAATCACTTCTCTCTGTCCCTTCAGCATTTATATTCAGTGCTCAATTTATACTACAGGTCTACTTCAGTTTGTCAATATGGTCTGGAATTTAAACTATGGAAATGATCATTTAAAATATTGACGGTCTGTGGTGGGACTAAATAAAACTTGCAGGTAGGTTCCTGCCAAGGACCCCAGAAGGGTGATGGATGATCACTCAAAACTGGTATAGTTCACAAGAAGGAAGTGGCAAAGGTTCTGGGGGAGGAATATGGTATGTCAACCTAATCTTTGTTTTTCGAAAGACATTTGCTTACTTTTAGCAGGGTCAAGGATGGAGTTGCTGCTTGAGCTTCACTGTGTTAACAATGAAGGTTGCTTTTATGTGCTGCTGCTAGGGCTGCTCAGAGAAGATACACGTCATGTGAATTCCCTGCCCTACTTTTTTTTTTTTTAACATGTTCAATTGCTGCTGCTTTTAAATTTAGGCTTATTAATGGGGAAGGAGGCTTGAGAGTAGGAATACAAGAGAGAAAAACCCATTATAGTCCTTTTATTGTACTGACCAGTCTACTGTTGTCGTTCTTATTCATTCTTTAATAGAAACTGTTCAGGCATGCAACAGGAAAATCTTCCATTTTAACTCTTTCAACCAAGGTTTAAGTTTTTGTGAAAAGTGATATACTTAAATTAACTGAGGATGTGGACTTGATAACAAATATGCTGTCGCTGTTCACTGTCTAAGGGATACATCGGTTCCATATGGTGAAGGTTACTTAATAGTACTTGTTAATAGGTACACAACTCAGTGTTGCTTTGTTATTTATGTGAGTATGTGCTAATCTTTAGATAGTCCTTTAGGGAAAGAGAGCCTTTTGACCCCTTTATTTATTAATATACTCAATAACTGCTGTTTGACAGACTTACAAGTTAAGTGTAGAAAGTTAAATACTTGAATTTTATGTAATTTTACAATATTTTATACCTAGCAAGACAGCATATCATGTACATGCTTTATGTCATTTTTTATATAGCTGTGGAGTACTTGAAAAACTTCTTGGTGTAAAATATAATACATGTAAATATTCATTCTAAAGTTATCTTCAAGTCATAGAAATCTCTTGGACCCATAGAAACTTGAAAATAAAAGCAAGATTGATGAATTTGCTACTTATGTGAATTAATAAAGTGCTAATGATTAATGTCAAAATAGTTTTTCTCTTTGCCTTTATGTATACATCCAAGGTTTTGAAATGGGTTGGATATTTTAAAAATATGAAAATGATATAAGCATATTTTAAAAGTCTAGATTTTGAGAATTCCTTACATGTGAGCACTGTTGTCAGTCCCAGTTAGTAACCTTAGGCGTGCTGAAAGAGAAGTAAGTTTCAGACCAAGGGTGAAATTTCTTGGTAGTCTGTAGGGCGAGTTAATTGATAGTAAAAAGATGGGAGCTTCACTTGATGGTTGTAATTTAGTAGCAAGTTACAAATAATTGGGGCTGACACTGAAAGAATAGCAGAATTGAGTTTTAGCTTACCATTGTATTTGTTTTCTCTTACTAAAGGAAAAGTAATTGGAAAAAATGGCAAAGTTATTCAAGAAATAGTGGACAAATCTGGTGTGGTTCGAGTGAGAATTGAAGGGGACAATGAAAATAAATTACCCAGAGAAGACGTAAGTATTTAAAATGTAATCTGCCTCTTTAAAATGTCCTTTTTTTGGCCAACTTAATAGTTGTAAACATTTTGTCTGTTTTATCTGATACAGAGGGTTTTTCTTCTTTTTAAAATTATGTTTTTATAATATTATTTCATACACTTAGAAAACAAGTCATTTTCTACTATGTGGGCCTTGTTCTTAGTTGTTTTGATAGTACTTCAGTAAAAAAAGCCAGTTCTTGACATAAAGATTTCTATTTGATAATCTTAACAGTTATTTTTCATACGTAGAGTGTAAAGCTGTAGAACTTGATACTCCAAAAGGAATTTTTTTTTTCAATAGTTTTTGGGGTATAGGTGGTTTTTGGTTACATGGTTAAGCTGCTTCAGTGGTGATTTCTGAGATTTTAGTGCACCTGTCACCTGAGCACTGTACACTGTATCCAATATGTAGTCTTTTATCTCTCACCCCCCTCCCAACCTTCCTCCACACTGAGTCTCCAAAGTCCATTATAGCATTCTTTTGCCTTTGCGTCTTCATAGCTAAGCTCCCACTTACAAGTGAGAACATATGATATTTGGTTTTCCATTCCTGAATTACTTCATTTAGAATAATGGCCTCCATCCAAGTTGCTGCAAAAGACATTATTTTGTTCCTTTTTATGGCTGAGTAATATTCCATGGTATATATATACCACATTTTTTTTGTATCCACCCATTGGTTGATGGGCACTGAGGTTGGTTCCATATCTTTGCCATTGTGAACTGTGCTGACAAAGGAATTCTTGATTGTACTCTCCTTAACTATTTTATAGAATCTGAAAGTATTGACCATTTCTTAATTGAAATCCCCTTACACTTTTACATTGCTATAGAATCTGAAAGTATTGACTTTTTTTTTTTTTTTTTTCCTGGAGACAGAGTCTTACTCTGTCACCAGGGTGGAGTGCAGTGGCATGATCTCGGCTCACTGCAACCTCTGCCTCCCTCATTCAAGCGAGTCTCCTGCCTCAGCTTCCTGAGTAGCTGGGACTACAGGTGTGCGCCATCACGCCCAGCTAATTTTTGCATTTTTAGTAGAGATGGGGTTTCACCATGTTGGCCAGGATGGTCTCGATCTCTTGACCTTGTGATCCACCTGCCTCCACCTCCCAAAGTGCTGGGATTACGGGCGTGAGCCACCGTGCCCGGCCTTGACCATTTCTTAATTGAAATCCCCTTAACGCTTTTACGTTGCTATAGAATCTGAAAGTATTGACCATTTCTTAATTGAAATCCCATTACGTTGCTGTTAATTCGTTAATTCTGATCCTAGCTTTCTAAAATTTTTTGTCGTGTTTCTTCCCACATGTTGATGATGTTTTGTCTCCTTAAAATTCCTGTTTTTTGGTCATATCATTAATGCTGTACAATGAGTTTTTTATGAGAATGTTTAGTGTTTTTTTTTTTCCTGAGATTTTGATTATCCTTAGAACAGAAACTATTCTTATACATTAGCAGAAGATTCTGGCAGTTAACAAATAGATGTTATTTGGAATTAGGTAACTAGATGAAATTGGCTGGCTCGGTTGCTAATTTTATGACTTCAGCAAGTTACTTTGTTAACTGTAAAACTGGTAATACTATTTCTTAGTCAATTTTTAAATGAGTATTAAATCAAATACATGAAATGAATAATCCAGACCTGAAAACAGGCTATGTGCTTAAGATTTTTTTAGGTTCTTGCCCTCCCACCCCCCTTTTTATTCACTTTGAATGCCCTTTTATCTGCTTGTGAACTCCTGAGGACAGTGTTAAGACTTCTTCACTCCCTAATCTTAAATAAGGAGTTTCCCTTGTTTCATGCTTTCATAGTTGAAATGACTTCTTCAAAGCCACTGTGAACCTCTGTAATAGCTGTGCTATATCCCTAGCACTTGCCCTGTTGCCTAAGTTTTAAATGAACCATATCTAAAAATCATTACTCTTAAAAATTACTTTGAAAATAATTGAGTCATATATAGAACTAAAATGTCTTAAACCACGCTTAGTTTCATATTTAGAACAAAAAAATCCCTAAACCATTCTGTTTAACTGTTAGAAACCATTCTGTAAAATGAAGAAAATGGGAGACATGGAAACTGATTGGGGGAGTTAAGCTTTACTCTCATTTTTCTCAGCCATTAAGAAGCTGGAAGTATGTTTCTTTAAAGAAGAAAAATTCACAGTGTGCCATCTTATTTCTCTTTTCTGCCACTTTTTAAAAATCTTCTTATTCAGAAGTTCAGCAAAGTAAACCAAGTCTGGCCTAATACTTTGATTTACTTGAATACCTCTACGTATCTTAATAATTCCTTTAATTTTACATTGTGTAAATATTTATGCTCTGGAGGTGATATTTCTTTTAGTGGTCAGGAAGTACCTCTTGTAGTACACAGACACTCAAGATTTTGTTACCTGAGCACATACTGTAGGGATAACTGGGTTAATGTGCTTTATTATGCTTTAAAGCTATACCTACTAAGGTGATGTATCTATCTAGTCTGTAAGTTTATAGACAGTTTGAAGGAAAATCGTTGTTTTTTGTTTCTGGAGACAGATTCTTGCTCTCTTGTCCAGGCTGGAGGGCAGTGGCACAGTCTTGGCTCACTGCAATCTCTGCCTCCCAGGCTCAAGCTATCTTCCTACCTCAGCCTCCCAAGTAGCTGGGACTACAGGCATGTGCTACCCTGCCAGCTAATTTTTGTATATTTTGTAGAGATGGGCTTTCTCCATGCTGCCCAGGCTGGTCTCGAACTCATGAACTCAAGTGATCCACCTGCCTCAGCCTCCCAAAGTGCTAGGATTACAGGTGTGAGTCACCATGACCTGCCAGAAAATCATTTTAACTTTAAAAGTTGATTTATATACTTGGAAAATTAAATTAATTATAAATCAGAAAACTTGATATAAACTGATTTTTTAAAATTATTTTTAAAGTGTTTAGCACACAGAAGACAATTTACAACAGTAAATTGGGGTGCAAATATGACAAGTTATTGAAAATCTGAGTATTTCAACTTACATGGATTTTAGCATTTTTTTCTCCTTAAATCTTGAAGTTTAGTACATGTAAATTGCTGCGTGTTTCAGAAGAGTTTTCCTAATTATATATTGGGGCTGGGTACAGTGGCTCACGCCTGTAACCTCTTTACGAAGTCAATAATCCCAGCGCTTTGGGAAGCCAAGGCAGGAGGATTGCTTGAGGCAAGGAGTTGGGCAACAGAGCAAGACCCTGTCTCTACAAAAAATAAAAAGTAATAGCTGGTTGTGGTGACACGCATCTATAGTCCCAGCTACTCTGGAGGCTGAGACAGGAGAATCACTTGAGCCCAGGAGTTTGATGCTGCAGTGAGCTGTGATTGTAACACTGCACTGTAGCCTGGGCAACAGAGCAAGACGTCATCTCAAAAAAAAAAAAAAAAAAAAAAAAAAAAGGTGTGTGTGTGTGTGCCTGCCTGTCAGTTTCATGTCACTTTTAGGCTAGAACTTTGTTAAAATATTAAACACTGAATACTTTTTTTTTTTTTTAAACAGGGTATGGTTCCATTTGTATTTGTTGGCACTAAAGAAAGCATTGGAAATGTGCAGGTTCTTCTAGAGTATCATATTGCCTATCTAAAGGTTTGTATACGGTTCATACTATATTCTGATATTGTTGCTGCATTTACTACATAAATGTTGTACATTTGCTACAAATTTAAAATGTCCTCACATTAAACATTTTATATTTGAAGTAAACTTCAAATCTTTAAATATTTTTTGTTAATTCAGCTTCAGATTTGCCATTGTTCTACATGAGAATTTAAAAAGTCCTTTGTCATCATAAAATGATTGGCCTTGTGTGCATAATTTCTCTTCTTTCTGAGCTTTTATATTTCTTTCTTTCTTAAGAAATGATTCCTTTGTCTTCATGCAATTTGACTCTCAGATCACTTATGTATCTGCATGTTCATACTGGAGCCATTTTGTTTTTACTTTTGTACTTTACATACAAATAGGGTACAGAACCAGGAGTGACATTGGGCTTCCTTGGTAACTTTGGCATTATGCAAATCATCTGCATCATCTCCACTGACATTACTCGATAATTTGTAACCATTGTTAACAAAATAGTCTATTTGAGTTGATACATAAAGAGCAAGGGTTTTTAGAAAAATATGACCCATAAATTATTAAACATTTTAATTTTATTTTCTACTCTTTCCCTTTTATTCCTGCTGTGTTTCTTTTTAAAGTATAATAATATCCTCACCTGTTCTCTGCCTCTAGTATGTTTTCCTCCCAGTCTGTCGTATCATTGTTGCTGTTACTATTTTGAGATCACTCTGATAATGTCATTTCTTTTCTTTTGAAATTCATCTTTATATGAAAAGTCGCAATTAAAGCTGGCATTTTGAAGCCAGTGCTTTATCTTTCAGTACTCATCTTTTAACCAAGAGCTTTCTCTAGACATCTAACCTTTGCATCCTGTAATGACCTCAATTTCTGAATGACAAAGTCTAGCACTCCTTCTAGGTCACAACTCGTGTCACTGCTTTGATAGGAAAGTAGCTTGTTAATAGTACCTTTCATAGATGCTACCTGTATCTCATTCAGCAATTCTAACTCCTTGAGGGCAAAATCTGGTAATATTGTATAATTGTTAGCTATTTAATAAATAACTTATTTTAAAGCTGTCTGTTAAACATCCCCTTGATTGGGGAGAGTCCATGTCTTCTTTTATATTGTATGCCTATAGTAGCATGTTTGGCACACTCTAGACCATTCAGTAAATGTTGAACAGAAACAGCAAATGACCTCATCAATTCTGTTGACTAGGAACACAATGCTCTTTACCATCTAATTGCCTAAGGTCACAGCTTTGATAGGGAGTACAGCTTTAGCTTTAGGCTTTAGGAAAACAAAAAGTTATATATAAGAAGACTTACTCTTTTTTGTTTTGATTGTAGGAAGTAGAACAGCTAAGAATGGAACGCCTACAGATTGATGAACAGCTGCGACAGATTGGTATGGGTTTCAGACCTTCTTCCACCAGAGGGCCTGAAAAAGAGAAAGGATATGCCACTGATGAAAGTACCGTCTCTTCTGTACAAGGTTCTAGGTCTTATAGCGGAAGAGGCAGAGGTCGTCGGGGACCTAATTACACCTCCGGTTATGGTAAAAAAAAATTTTTTTTTTTTTTTTTTGGTAATAGTAATAATAGTAGTTATAGTTTAGGTGCTCTAACACATTTTCTTATAATTAGTTCATTACTCTGTCTTGGCTTTGAGGGTAGAAGGTAGTTCTGAAGGTTTAGTACACGTCTTAATAGTAGTGATAGTATACATTAAAATGACAGTAAAATATATAAAATTTCCAAGCAGTTATGTAATGAAGCAAAGCATGTTTTTAAGTTGGTAGTTCATTGTCATGTTTATTATATTTACAAAGAATACATATGTAACTTGTTTTTCAAATACTTTACTAGTACAGTTTTATACATTTCCCAGTAAATACCTAGTAATGGTGGTGGTGATACTTCTAGGAATCATCTTTTGTCTACCCTCTTTAAGTAAAAAATGAAAAGTGTGCGAATCACTGCCAAGATTGCATATAGCAAGTCTTTTTACTAGCTTTTAAAAAATATTTTACTTACTCATTTGGCGTATTTGAATATATTAACATCTCACATCTGGAATTATTTTATTTAACAACATTTCACTAAAATGAAGACTCTGAAAGCCAGAATCTAATTTAACACTTTATAAATGAACATTTTCTAAAATGTATTTCACTGTGAGGATTGGGTCTAACCCAGATAGGAAGGGGGACAGTGGAGTGGTGATAGTCAACAATTCTCTAATCCTAAATTCTCCCTTATTCTTCTTCAGCTTTGGAGTTGTTCCATTTTTCTACATTTGGACTTGGATCTTAGCAGTGACCTGATTTGTTTTTTTCCTTCGCCCCTTCTCTTTATTTTCTCTTTTCCTTTTCTTTTCTTCACTCCTATACTTACTCCCTTTTGAGGAAATATAAAACCTTTTCCAAAATGTAAGGCATTTAAGGAAAATAGAAATAAATGCAAATTTCATGCTTTAATTGAAGGATCATCTAATGCTGACAAAGTTATATTAAACCTGAACTATCTTCAATTTGTTGTAGAGTTGTAAGTTTGTGTCCCTGCCCTTTAATATCATATCTTTATGTTCTCATTTTCTTATATATGTTTTTATTTAATGCAGTATTGAAACCTAAACAGCAAAATTCTAATAAAGAAGTGTTCAGCATATAAAGGGATGAAAATTGCAGACTATTATTATATTTCTGAAAATGTTTAATGCAAAAGACAGTTAACCAGTAATCACATAGAAATCAAATATATTCTCATTGATTTTTGAACCATACATTATTAGCATAGATAATCAGACTTGGCTTATTGGATGATGCGTATGATGAATTCATTGAATAATTTTATTAGCTTTTGTGGGAAGTCGGCTTATTGATGAGAGCTTACTCTGGCAAAATGCTTTTGTTGAGAGTAGATAATTATGTGAGAGGTAGAGAAACATCTGGATTCAAGAAAGCTGTGCAAATTGTTCAGTAGATGGCACTCTTAGCTCTGAATCTTAGTGGAATTGATAACATTTTATTTCTTGAAATAGTTACTGAACCTGAGTGGGCTTGGAAAAGCAAGAAAAACCATTTGAATTTGGTTGTAGACGTTCATGTATACATTATATCAGAGGGACTTGTAGTTGATTTATATATATATATATATATATATATATAATGAGTACTGTAGTTTTATCAGTTTAATAGGAACTATAAGAAACATTTCCCAGTATAACATCTCTGAAGTTGGTATGTGTGTTAAATTGGACATCTTACAACTTTAGCAGCATTTTCTTTTTTAATGGCACATAAAATAATGTCTTAAAATTGATGGCCTCTTGGAGTCGATAAAACGTGATTATTTTTAGCTGTTAAGCTTAGCACAACCAACCATTGAAAAATGATATAAACCATCTTCATAAGGTGATTTTAGAAGTTTGAGGGGAAAATATGATTTTAAAATTGGTTAAAAACACGATGTCATTATGTTTTGTTACTTTTTTTTTTTTGAGACGGAGTTTCGCTCTTGTTGCCCAGGCTGGAGTGCAGTGGCACAATCTCGGCTCACCGCAACCTCTCCCTCCTGGGTTCAAGTGATTCTCCTGCCTCAGCTTCCTGAGTAGCTGGGATTACAGGCATGCACCACCATGCCTGACTAATTTTGTATTTTTAGTAGAGACAGGGTTTCTCCATGTTGGTCAGGCTCGTCTCAAACTCCAGACCTCAGGTGATCTGTCTACCTCGCCTCCCAAAGTGCTGGGATTACAGGCGTGAGCCACCAGCCTGGCCTAGTGTCATTACTTTTAAAGCTTGTTTAAAAAAACGACTTTGAATCACCAACCTGTGTTTTACAAAATTGAGAGGCTGGAATAAATGGTTTCCCTGATTTTATTAGAGTATTTGTTTTCTATTGCAGTAATAAATTATCACAAACTTAGAGGCTTGACCACAGAAATTTATTATCTTATAGTTCTGTTGGTCAGAAGGCTGACATGGGTCTCACTAGGCTAAAATCTTGTCAGCTGGGCTACGTTTCTTTCTGGAAAGTCTAGCGGGGATTCCCCTTTCAGTAGTTTAGAAAATTTCTCTACTTTTAAAGACCCAGTGAGATTAGTTTGGACCCACCTGGATAATCCAGGATAATCTCTCTATCTCAAGGTCCTTAACCTTAGTCACATTTGCAGAGTCCTTTTTGCTATCACAGAAACATTTAATATGTGTTATTAACAGTTATTTAATATGAGTAATGTTGAGCACTAGCCAATACATTAAAATTTTGGGGGGTACGGCCTCAATATCTGTTTTACCTGCTGAAATCTATGATTTAGACATTCCCTCTAAGTCTCTTGAATACTATATGTAGGTTAAATTTAAGGAAGACTTTACTTGCTGTGACACGGGGTTAGATAAATACTACACTGGATTTCTAAGGATACTTCAATATGAACTTTTGAGAGAGTCTTCAGAATGAAGTATTCTTCATTTGCCCTGAATTTTGGTAATGTTTTCAGGTAGGGTATAGGTTTGTAAATAAATTCAGAAGTTCTTAAACATTCTGAAAGGCTTTTTTTTTCACTATTCAAGGAAAGATAAATTGCCTTCATTACAACTTTTATGACATCCTGTTAATAAAGTACTTTTTGTCATTTGGTGAAATAAATGTTAGGGGAAATTAATTCCCTTCCCTGAGATTCTAATCCCAACAAAGAATTGAAAGTGAGTAATAGAAATTTGATGTATTCTTTGAAAAATACACATCCAACTAATTACCTAATTGTTTTTATAATTGACTAGTTACATCTATTAACACCATGTAGAGAAAAGGTAGGCATCCTAGAGTTATCGTTAAAGGAGAAAGGAAGTGAGGCACCTTCATGTATAAAACTTTACATTTTATTCCCTGCACCTTAATACTTAAAACTTCTTATGTCTGAAGAGCTCTTGTTTGCATTTTTCCTCAAATGATTGCAGAGTTTAAATATAGGGAACTTCAAGGTATTTCATGAAATCACTCTTATCTGAGAGTTTAGCAAATGAACTTCAAAATAATGCAGCAAATTATTTGGTTGAGAAAATTGTTATACACTCTGCCAGGCATTTGAGGACATATAAGATGGAGTTCCACCCTTTATCATAGACCAATTTTGAAGTAATTCCACAGGGGGAAAAAATAACAACATGGCACAGTCTGTGATAGATGTGGGGCGATTTTAGGATAACAAAAAATGGGGAGAGATCTGTCTTAGTTGCAGTGGTCTGAAGTTAGAATTTGAACTAGGCCCTGAAGGAGATATATTTGGTCATATAAGAGGGAAAGAAGAAGTGGCATCCCAGAACTAACAAGTGGAAATGAATATGATAGTGATTGAGTCATATGTATCTGACATTTGAGTTACAGTAATTATTAAATAATGATAATGTAGGCCTCTGATTATATCTTTGTGGTGTTTAAATAAATTTTTGAAAGGTCACCATTACAATAGTTGCAGTGTTAGAAATGGTCTGTAAACTTTTAAAGGCAATGCTGAATATTTGTCTCACTGGTCATGGCTTCAGTTCTGTTGTCAGGTGAGAGACCTTCTGTTTCAGAGAAACCTTAAATTCTGTTTAGTAATTGCAAATATTAGGTTGGTGCAAAAGTAATTGCAGTTTTTGCCATTAAAAGTAAGAAAAGCAAAAAGTAAAAGTAGTTACTTTTAATGGCAAAAACCGCAATTTAAGATGCTAGTAAAACATGCCATCATTTTATATACAACCTACTGGAAAAATTACTTCTAGCTTATAATAAAGATGCCATCAATTATAAGAAATATCTTGATTTCAGAGATGTTAACATGTGAAAAGTATACCCTAGAATCAATGAAATTATGGTGAAATACACTATACAGTTAAACTATTCAGTTTTCTAAATATGATTAATTTACTCAAATATTGAAGTTATTTTTATTGTACTAATAATTTAGGTTACTAAAACCCAAATCAGCAGAAACATTTGACTATCCATACTAAGTACATTCTAATATTGATAAATGATGTTCTGTATGGTTTTTTTTTTTTGGTGCCAAAACCTAGGAATTAATGTTCTGTATATTTTCTGTAATTTTTCTGTTGACTGCATTTCTGCACATCAGTTTTTTTTTTAACTTCCATGACTTTGTATTTCCTGGATATTATCCCCTTTTGCTGATGAGATGGTCACACCTTTGACTATATTACATGACATAGCACATCTTAGCAGACTGCAGTGAGGGATTCTTCTGCTGGTTTTGAAGAAGTGAGCGGCCTTCTGCACATCAGTTTATTTTTTAATCTGTATTAACTAGTAGATACTATACTAGTATATTAATAGTATAATAATTGATTATTCCTTAGTACGTTTCAGATTGATTTTAACTTTCATGGATCTTTCTTTGAAGCAGCCAAACAGTATTGCTTATTTAAACAATAATTTGTAGGACATAATTTTGAACATTTTAAAAGGCTTTTTATAGAAATCTAAGTGGTTTATGTTCTTTTCTTTTCCAAGGTACAAATTCTGAGCTGTCTAACCCCTCTGAAACGGAATCTGAGCGTAAAGACGAGCTGAGTGATTGGTCATTGGCAGGAGAAGATGATCGAGACAGCCGACATCAGCGTGACAGCAGGAGACGCCCAGGAGGAAGAGGCAGAAGTGTTTCAGGGGGTCGAGGTCGTGGTGGACCACGTGGTGGCAAATCCTCCATCAGTTCTGGTAGTCTTTTCTATACTCTGTCAGCATCCATTATTTGTAAACAGTTTAATTTTACAAAAGTTAATTCATCTCCCAGGGCCACCCATTTTTGGAAGTTTCTCTTGCTACTCATTGTCTTAGAGAAAGTAGTGGACCATATAGCAGTATCAGGAAAAGCCCTCGTAGAGTGTTTCTCAGTGAAGGTTTACTTAGAATATACTGGTCAGAACTTTAGTTGGCAGCTTTTCTTTATATGATGAGGGTCAGATGTTTCTCTCTTCAGGTTTTGGAGGCTTATTTAATTAGAATTTTTTTTGTTTTCCCTAGAATTTTGGGGTTATGTTTTTTTGTTTGCCAGACAGACCCAGAGATTTCTAATGCACAGAGAGATGTCAGTACTTTTCTATACTTAATATTGAAAACGAAGTGAAGAGCATTCTTAGCTACACTATGTAGTACTTTGGGAACAGGGAAAAATTGTGGAATTAACTAAGTTTTTTAATTGTTGGAGGAACTGTGCTGTAAAGAGGAGTGTTTGGATGACTAAAGATTTGAGGGTGTAGGAAACGTTTTACTTAATTACTTCTGTCTTCTAAAATTTTTTTATGCTTTACATTAAGTTGTAGGAGTTTCCAGAATATCCTTGGTTACCATAACGGGCTAGGGAGTTAATTGCCAGGGATAGATACATAGACTATATTAAGGATATAACTTTAACATATCATTATGGTATACCACGTTAAGAAACCCGCACCTTCCTTAATGTTATACCCATGAAAACTTATGTAGTATTTTAATATTATAGAAAGTGTGTGTAGATACATTAAATATAGATGCCAACTGTGCTTACAAATTACAAAAACTGGAACAAATCAGGGCAAAAATTAGGAACTTGTTCTTTGTTTGTTTAGATTTTCTCCCTTTCCACAGTAATACTCTTTGAGCCTTAAGTTTAGTTTACAGGCTTTCAGGGTAATAGTTTTTATATTTTAGTACACTTTGTACAGTTACCAAGGTGTTTAAAATTACAGTATACTGAATTGCAAAATAAATGTACTTGACCTAGTGTTTTATGATTAATGGATACGCTTAGTGTCTTTTGCAAAGATGCTTAGCTTGCTAGCTGTTACCAAAGGAATCTTAGGAAAAATCGGAATTAGGTGAATTTCTTCTATAAATTTGATTGTTGGAGGTAATAAATGCACATAGGTAAGATGGGTATTTTTCTTATGAATTGTACCTTACAGTTTTTCCTTTTCCACCTTCACATCACCTTCCATAATGTTTCTAAAGATGGAGTACTAGTCAGCATTCGTTTCAACATTTTCCTTTCATAACCAGTTAGAAGTTCAACCTTATTTAATTGGCTGCTTTGTTTCAACTTGTCTTGATTGCTTCAGTTCAGTTACGGATTTCTATTATGTCATG
This sequence comes from Homo sapiens, assembly GCF_000001405.40. Taxonomy (NCBI): domain Eukaryota; kingdom Metazoa; phylum Chordata; class Mammalia; order Primates; family Hominidae; genus Homo; species Homo sapiens. Next base: position 180,969,662 of record NC_000003.12, read on the forward strand.
GAATGCAGGTATTGAATATTATTTGGGAAACAGTCCATCAACATCAACACAACAAAGCTGCAGTCATTTTGAACTCAGTTAAGGGGATGAAAGCTCGCTCTTATAATTATTTCTTAACAGCTGAATATTTGTTTCTTTTCATTTTTGTTTTTCTAGTCTCTGGGCAGGATTACCTTGAAATGTGAATGCAAGAATTAGCATTTAATACACTATTTTCTAATGTATATTTTAAAAACAAGGCACAGGAAATGTTAGGAAGCCAAGATGTCTGCTTACTTTCTGCTTTAATTTTTCATCACCACTTAAAGTTTTATCATATTTAATTATCTTTGTTATTTTCCAGGTAAATAATATTGAAAACATTTTATTTGAAGACAGTGCATTTTTATTGGGGGAGACTGAAGTTTATTTGTCATTGATATAGTTCAATATAGATCAAACATTCATAATTGCAGTACTCTTAAACGAATATTTCTTGCCTCTGACATGAATATAGTGCTCAAAGATCCAGACAGCAATCCATACAGCTTACTTGATAATACAGAATCAGATCAGACTGCAGACACTGATGCCAGCGAATCTCATCACAGTACTAACCGTCGTAGGCGGTCTCGTAGACGAAGGACTGATGAAGATGCTGTTCTGATGGATGGAATGACTGAATCTGATACAGCTTCAGTTAATGAAAATGGGCTAGGTATGTAAGCACTTAGGGAAGAGAAATATATATATATATATATATATATATATATATATATATAATTGTAAACTATTGTTAGTATATGAAGCTTTTTTCAAAGAAATATGCAATTCACAAATTGACTTTTTCTTAGTGTTTACTTTGAACAAGGTAGATAGCTTTTTGTCTATCTTAAATGTTTAGTTCTCAGATTTGTTATAGCCAAATTATTTGAAACTTGGAGGGTTAAAGTGCCCTTTGATGCCATTAAATCAGTACAAATATTCAGCTGGCAAGGTACTTAGTGCTTTTATTGTCCCCAAGCTAAAATCAGGCTTTCATCTTGCCTCTTTTAAAATAATTATAAATGACACTGGTAAAGGTACATATATCAAGAGTAGGCATTAATTTTCAAGGGCTAAAATGTCATTAACTTCGGTATAAACCAAACTGTACTAGAGAGGAAGACTGTGTCCCTGAATGATGGCAGTTTAAGTCTGAGTTTTACTGTGAGTTAAAACCCTCTGAATTTCCAGATGATAATTCCATTTTTAATCCATTTGGAATGCTGAAAGCTACAAAAATGTATTTCCTGTCAGTAAACATTTGTTGTTTTATTTTTGTGTTTAATTAAAAGTTTATTTTTCCCCTTTAAATCTTTGAAGGAAAGAAGGTTTTTTTGTTTTTTTGTTTGTTTTTGTCAGAATAGTTCATGGTAAACTTTGCAATTACAGATGATAGTGAAAAAAAACCCCAGCGACGCAATCGTAGCCGCAGGCGTCGCTTCAGGGGTCAGGCAGAAGATAGACAGCCAGGTAACTTGAGTGGACCTGTGGACACCATCAGGTCACAAGCATGAAAAAAATGTCTATGTCTGCTTTCTAAATATATTATACTTACATGTACACATGTGTGCATATACATTCAAAATTTGCATTGCATAAATTGTTTATTCAACTAATAAGACTACTACTATTAAGAAAATGCATTCTTCCTTCACAGTGTGTTAGTAACTTGTCTAATTGAACTAATGTTGTGTCCTAATTGTTTACATGGAAATACTGTTGAGAAGACCATTTTGTTCACTTGGCAGTTTCTTCACACTTGAGATGGGGCCTGCCATCCGAGGGACTGTGTTGTAGATTGTGATCAAGGTTGATTGGCAAAACTGGGCAGCTTTTGCATGGTGCCTGCTTACTATATCTGAATTCAGCACCTCATTTTTGTGGGAGTTGTAATACCCACAATTAAAAAAAAAGTATAAAAGAGAAAAATATTTGAAGGTGTCTTTAACCTAATGCGAGGAATGCATGTTGTTTTTGTTTGTTTATTGTAGTGTGATGCCTTTTCCCTTACACCTACTAACTATTCAAATTAATAATACTTACTTAGTTTTAGAATGTTTATTTTATGTAGTCATTAATTTTTAGTAACTTCAAAGAAACTTGTTTGCTGTGTCTATTATTTTGAACATAATTCCATTTCCTGTGTACAGAGAATCACATGTATATTCACAATGAAGCAATTGTGTGCACCAGAAATAAACCCCTTTCAAACTAATCAATTTTTGCATTCTTTCCAAAACCAGTTCTTTCATGTGTTTTCCCCAAATAAAGAATGTAAATTCTGGCATCTTTACTATTTTAAATTTAGTGGTTGTAGAGACATTTGGGAAAACTGGTTAAGAGAATTAGTTCCCATCCCTAAAAGTTCATGTTTTAAAGATAGTTGGAAATTTTTAGAGCAATTAAATATTGTCAAAAAATAGAAAGTGTCCAGAAAATATTTGTTTTCCTTCCCCTTCTTTCCTCCCCTCCTTTAATGTTGGAAATATATTTTAGGGCTGGGTGCAGTGGCTCATACCTGTAATCCCAGCACTTTGGGAGGCCAGGTAGCAGGATTGCTTGAGCCCAGGAGTTTGAGACCAGCTTGGGCAGTGGGATCCTGTCTAGAGAAAATACAGAAATTAGCTGGGTGTGGTAGTGCGCACCTGTAGTCCCAGCTACTCTTGAGACTGAGGCAGGAGAATCACTTTAGCCTGGGAGGTCGAGGCCGCAGTGAAGGGTGATCGTGCCACTGCACGCTAGCCTGGGTGACAGTGAGACCCTGTCTCAAAAAAAAATGTTTTAGATGAAGAGATTATTTCATTTTTTGAAGGTGGTACAGCAGTGAATACATTTCTGGCCCTACTGTAAACAAGAAAATTCAGGCTATCAGTATGAACTTAACAGAATATATTACAACATTTATTAACTAGATGTATGGTGGTTTATTACCAAGTCAACAGGTATAAAAGGAGTAACAGTGGGGTTTGTTGGAGAAGAGGCAAAAATTTCTGTATGGTATTAATTGCAACTTGAGTAGTTTGGAGGCTTCAACAGTTTGACAATGATTTCTGTTCCATACTACATCTATTCCTGTTTTACTTCTTTGGGATTACTACTTCCCTCTTTTAAAACTCCTCACATTCCCTAGCTTGCCCCTTCTCCCAAAAGATAGGGTGGGTAAAACAAGCACAAAACTGTTAACCCTTGATCCTAGTAGCAGTTCTAGGAGGCAGCCTCCCTCTAAAGCTAATATCAATATTCTGTTTAAAACACTCATTTAATTTGATCTCATCTGCTCAAAATTTCTTGTTGCTCTTAGTGTAAATTAAGCAGTGAATATTCTTTACCACACTTAGAATGTGACAATACACACTGGTGTCCAGTTGATTAACTTGGATCCATTCGAGGAAATTCTAGAGTCCATGTCATTACAGAAATTGCCTGTATTTTTTTCTAGATATTGTTAATTATTAATCTGTATTGGACTTTTAAGGGGCTTGTATTATAAGGACTGGCTATAAACAGGTTTTTATTTGAATTAACAGAGGTTTCTTTTGGCTTCCTTTTATTTAGGTAGCGGATACCCCAGCTAAGTGCTTGTTAATTTAGTTGATAACTATATCAAAATATTATTCTGTCTCTGTACACAGTGGATGAAAGGTTCTAGAATTGTTTCAACAATGTGTTAGGTTGGTGCAGTTTTTGCACCCACCTCAAAATGGCAAAAACCACAATTACTTTTGCACCAACTTAATTTAGCAGCAGGCTTTCCAATTAGATGTTTTCCTAGGTGTCACTGAGGGCCGAACTTGGAAACAGTGCATTCACTATGCTGTTCCCCACACTGGCTAGAATTGTTCTTGTAATAGGTTTGCTACCATGTATGTAGACATAATAAAGTGGATTATGACAATAGCCCTTTTTCCAATATTGTAAACTCTTTTTAATGTAGTTATAAATATATTAGCAATGAATTTAAATAATTTAAAAAGCTTCAAGATGAGCGTACTGTTTCTTACAGTTTGGAAGGAAGGAGGCAGTTTCAGATTTGAAACATCTTTAGTGGTTTTCTAGTAAATGATGTATGTAAGTTCTGAAATAGGTTGTTCCTTTGTGGTTTTAAAAGATTTACATAATAGTTCTAGAAAGTTCTTGGATCTTATGAAAGTGTTAGCATGTTATTTCATAATTAAGAAACGTGAATTGTAAATACCATCCAGCTTTTTATTATACCAGAATGATTTAGTTGTTTTCATAGAATTTATACTTTATGGACCAATTCTCCCCATACCTAGTGACTTTAAATAAATAATTTAAAATTTACTGGAGATTTCATTCTTTACATAATTAACTTGCTCCCATAATTTAAAGTATATATTGTACTTTTACATATCAGGGATTTTCTGAAACAGTTTGCAATAGAAAATACTTGAAAGAAAAAAGGGTGGTTCTTTTGGTATTTCTTAAAATCAGTGAATTCTAAGTTTCAATTCTTTTTTTTTTTTTTTGAAACAGAGTTTCACTATTATTGCCCAGGCTGGAGTGCAGTGGCACAGTCTTGGCTCATTGCACCCTCCACCTCCCGGGTTCAAGCAATGCTCTTGCCTCAGCCTCCCAGGTAGCTGGAATTACAGGCTGTGTCACCACGCCTGGCTAATTCTGACGGGGTTTCACCATGTTGGTCAGGCTGGTCTCGAACTCCTGACCTCAGGTGATCTGCCCACCTTGGCCTCCCAAAGTGCTGGGTTTACAGGTGTGAGCCACCATGCCCGGCCCTAAGTTTCAGTTCTTGAAGAGAGAGTGTTGATGTATAAAGTGAGTCAGTCCACATACTGTAGAACATAGGTCATTTGTTGAAGTTGGGTTGACGTGACAGTAGGGTGTTAGGTTGGGTTTAGTCTTTTTCCTAATCCACTACTGCCACTTCTTTGCAAATACACATTTCAGATCGTCCCTACCAAGATTGGCAAAGGGGGTGTGGGAGGGGTGTCATTGAATACACTCTGGACCTTTTCCCACTCTGATCAATGTCCACATTTTTAGGGTGGTGGTCTGTCATCTTTAGTTTGCTTGTAGTTTCTTATTTTAATCACTCAGAATCGTTTCTAGTGTGAAACGTTAAAACAAAACCATAGAATAAACCACACTTGGATATCTTAATTGTGCTTTAAAAAAAAACACACACACACATTTGAGTAAATATTTTTGTATCTGAAATTTTCAAATTTAAGTATATCATACTGTGATTTGGACCAAATTTGCCCCATTCCCCCCTCCCCCCGACTCCCCGATAATTGCAAACACTGGGCTTAGAACACTGCGTTTGTATTTCCTTTTACTGGTTGTGGGTTTCTCTAACAACTTTGTTCCACAACATTAGGGTCAACCAGAAGCAAATAGCTGGATTCTTGGGAAAGAGGAATTTAATCTAGATTTCCTCAATCTCAAGCTTGAAATTTTCTTCAGCACCAAAAGCCCAGGTAGATTTTTAAAGCTTTGTTTTTGGTTGGAGGTGATACCCAGCTTAAGAAAATTTTGACACTGGGTGACCCACCACTAGTTTAATAGTGAAATTACCCTTTATCCATAAATAAACTTTAGAAATATTTTTTCAACACCTGTAATTTTTTTCTCATCTTTAACAGTCACAGTTGCAGATTATATTTCTAGAGCTGAGTCTCAGAGCAGACAAAGAAACCTCCCAAGGGAAACTTTGGCTAAAAACAAGAAAGAAATGGTAAGGAGAATTTAACCTGTAGGTTTTTTTTTTTTTTAATTTTTGGTATGGTTTAGCTTTATTTTTTTACTACTTTTACTGTGTGATCACTTGTTTCCACAAATAGACAATACTATTTTAGTTAAAGACTCTTGAATATGTTCTTGGCCCCAGGTAACTAAAGATATGCATGCTTGAGCCTGAAATACTTTTTAGTTAGAGCTTCAAATAGCATTTATAAAATTCATTCTGCCCAAAGATACTGGGCATAGAGACTATTGCCTAATTCAGGAGCAATAGGCTATATACCTCTTCTCATTGATGGATATAGACCTTTTAAATTTTAGTTCTTTTAAATGCTTTACAGTATTTGATATGTAAATGTGATTTCTCAAAATAAGGTGAGTAAAGTAGGTGATTATTTGTTTAATATTAACTGTTTATGTCATTTTCATGGTGAGCTTTCCAGTGTTTTAAAATTAGGTACAGTTTTCATTAGTTTAGATGTTTTCTGTGGTTTGGGCACTGCTAGGTACTAGAGATACAAAGTTGAAAGACCCATAGAGTGGAATACTTTGTTATTTGTTTTGAATTTTAAAGATGTTTTAATACTTTGATCCATTGTGGTATATAAAACTGAAATTTTTAATTAGCTAATTAGTGTTTATGTAGCTGTTTTCCTCCTCAGCTATAGATTTCATTTATAAAGAAGTTGAAAAAGTTGTCTCCCTTTGGCAGGCAAAAGATGTGATTGAAGAGCATGGTCCTTCAGAAAAGGCAATAAACGGCCCAACTAGTGCTTCTGGCGATGACATTTCTAAGCTACAGCGTACTCCAGGAGAAGAAAAGATTAATACCTTAAAAGAAGAAAACACTCAAGAAGCAGCAGTCCTGAATGGTGTTTCATAAACTGAAGAAGTTCCTAGTTTACAGTTCTTTTACATTACATTTACAATAGTGCTTGTACAAGCTTGCCAAAGATAGAATATGGATCGCCAGTCTTTACATCGCACTTTCAGTTCCTCCATTTGGAATTCAAAAAGGGGAGGGATCCTGAAGAAATCATATGTTAAACATACTTTGACACCTACTGTGTTATAAAATATATCATCAGATGTGCCTTGAGAATAGTATATGTAACATTAAAAAAAAGTTGCTGGCTATAGGAAATGTTATTTTGTTTTCAAAATATGGCAGAGATGGGGGGTGGTGGGTGGGGTGGGATCCCTAACGTAATATTCTTTATGAAAGCATTAGCTGCTTTTGTTACATTTTTAATATGCAACCACTTCTTCACCTGAGGAAAACTAGAATGAAATGCAGTCTAAAATATTTTGCACTGAATTGTAATTTCTTCATTAGTTTAGTCTGGAAACTGGTCTGTTTTAATGTGTTTTTTAAATGCTGTATGTAGAGGAAAATCTGCAGACCACTGGAATACATTTGTTAAACTCTCATCTGCAGGGACACTGGGCGATACTTGGCAGTGACTGTTCTACCTTGAGGCTTTGTTTGGTTTATTTATTAAAGTGTACAGTATTTAAAAATCAAACATAGCTTTAGTTAAAACACTAAGCTGAATTAGTCATGTCCATTCAGACATAACCTGAACTACTGAAAAGATCAATTTCCAGAAGGTTTATTCTGTATAAACTACATGTTAGTCTTCAGTAGAGTATCTTTTTTTTTTCCTTTTTTTTTTTTTTATTTCGGTTGTTTGATGTGCAATATGTTTTTGTATGCAGGTAGTAAATAAACTTTGATCTTCCATTTGCTGAATTTTTTTAACTTTCTACTTTTTACACCAATTGTTGCAAAATAGTTGGAGCTATTAATAGGCTTAGGATAGTATACTTTGCTTTTTAAAAAGCATTTATACTTGCTCATAAATAGCATTAAAATGTCAGTTGGCCATTTAATCATTTTGTAATGAATCATCTGAAATCTTTACACAAGTTTAGGCTGTTAGATGCATAGGTAATTAATAATACATGTGATAATTAGCAAAAAAACCTAACAAAATTCTAATCAAAGGCAACTTTGGAAGACAATGGGGGATAGAAGGGATGACAAGCAATTTTTAAATAATAGGCCAATGATTTGCTTTATTCATTCTCAACTTATTTTGAAGGCTCTCATATCAGTGACCAAAAATCAGTTATTAAACTTTATGTATATATTTTAGCCAGAGCTTAATTTTTATGAAGATAAAGACATGAAGTTTAACAATGGACAACAGTTAGTACAGCTAATTGTGAGGTCAAGTAATTGTTAGACATAGGGGAAGGCTTTGTTCCACAATATTATATGGACCACTGAACAAGAATGACAGCCCTTTGTTATCACTTGGCATATGAAAAGTGTTGTGTGCATAGTTTGTGTTAATTTTTTATGTGCATAAAAATGTGATTTTAATTTATATGCTCTGAAGGATAATTCAGGGTATAGTTAAAAATGTACAATGTGCCAGTTCAGTATATATAACCCTAGCCCTCAAATTATTCTGATTAAGGTTAAAATGTGCTGGTATTACGTGCTTTTTCCTGAGGCCTTCTGATTGGTTCTTGGTAACAGAATTTTAAAGTAAGGTGTGAGTAGTGCAACTCCTGTCCTTTATATATAAAGATATCAAGTAATTTCATGTCCTGATATTTAAAAAAATTACCCACAAATGTGTTTTTTTAAATCGATCAAAGCTAGCAACAGGTTAAATTGTCTCAGTTCTCTTACATAATTGGGTTAAAAATTATAAGGTATTAGAAGAATTTTAATTAATGCCAAATTGGTAAATATGGTGTAAAAAAAAAAAAAAAGACTTTTCATTTTCTCCCACATAGAATAGTCAGATATATTAAACATCCCTTTTCCATAAAGATGGTTTCAATGGGAATGGAAGAAACAAAATCTTAAAAGAGTGAGTATAGCTGAACCAATTCTTCATTCTAGCAATAACCACACTAAGTTCATTACTTTACAAATGACTAAACCCAATGTCTTGTCCTTTAAAAAATATAGGTAGTGCAGAATTGTGATAAATACGCATTTGTTTTTTTAGAGAGCCCCACTCCCCAAAGGGTAGCCATTAATTCAGGTAGCCTTTTAAATGTATTTGAGAGGGTTCCGTCTTTTTGGCTGCTATCCTAGTTAGGTGAGATGTTGCTATGGGAAGAACTTGCCACTATACACTAAACAGACACTTAAGCAAAAGATGTATTCTGGAGCCTGGCACAGTAGCTTATGTCTTTGGTTCTAGCTACTCAGGAGCCTGAGGTGGGAGCATCATTTGAACTCAGTTCTGGGCCACTGAGACCCTCTTTAAAGAGAAGGAAAAAAAGGTATTCTGGAAGATCTTGTGCAGTTGCAACAATGTTTCAGCATATATATGTGAATTCATATATGACACCTGAACGGAATCATGAAGTAACAGCTGAGATTATATGGTGGCAAAAATGACCTGCTTTTCCTGAAGCTTTGGGAGGCCTAGGATTCTTGCTTTAGGCATCACCTTTGTTAAGCCTTAAAGGGGGCTACAACTTGTGCAAAATGGTGTCTCTGGTAACACTTCAGAAATAATTGGCAAAAGTGTAATAGGAATACACAAATCTTTATTTTGAAATAATCTTGTATTTTAATGTGGAATTAGAAGCAGCACATCAAACTGGTGAGTTCACAGAAACTTACCTGAGATGATGCTGGGTTCCATTGCTGTTGTGCTAAGTCACGTATTTTTGTAGCTGCTGTTAGCTGTGTCTAGCGTTTTGTAACCTAAGGAGGGTCTTATAGAAGTTGGTATGTTAACTAAATCTTGGACTGGGAAACAGCACCATTTGTATCCTCTGCAAACAGATTTACGCTTTTGAGGCTCAAACCAACTAGTGTTCTCATGGGCTGTTGCCTAAGGACAGATAAACATGGAAAACAGGCTATGTCCAGGGACAGATGATTGGTGGTTAAGAATTACAGTAAAGGAAAATTACACCTGGATTTTCTTCTGTAAAGTTTCAAGGAACTTGGATTTGAACTGTGAATCTACTGTTTTGGCAAAAAATCTCAAAGAAAAGGATGTTTGTTACTGTCTCAGTCTTCCTGTCTTTGCTACACGATTTGGATCCCTTACGCTTTTTCGTTAAGAATATCTGTCTGCTATAGTGAATTTGCTAGCCCCTTATTTTTTTTTTTAATTTTAGTTCTTTATTAGAACGTGTACTTGAATGGACTGTAGTTGCTCATAACCCATGTTAATCTCTGATAGTATTTGGGTTTTATTTCAGGAGCTTTTGCAATAAAGCAGTAACTGCAATCTGCTAAAGTCAGACTGTTAGCAAGTGGTGTTAAAACTGATTTAAGTCCATTACACTGAACAGTAGGAAATTACCACTTTTGTAAGGCTCAAAAATGATCAACTATTAACAGTTTCTTATGGTTCAGTCTAATTACAAATTTTTAAAAAGTTTATCAGTGTATCATTTCAGATTCATCTGTATCTTCTGTAATATTATTTCCAGTACTGAGGTAAGGTACACAAAAATTCCCCTGGAAAAACTATATTCTAGTTTTGTAAGATGATTTCCCACAGTCCATTTGCTTATTTCTTCCTTTGATAATTCAAAAAGATGCTTTAGGTAATGGTACAGAATTAGAAGCTGCTATTTTAGCTCTATTAACTTTTTCTCTATGGTTTCAATTTTATCCAACCAGAGAGGGCTGGCCTAGTTGGTATCTTTAAGGCCCTTCCAGTAGTAATTTGAGTCTAGTCACATGTCAGACCCTGAGCAACACCTAACCAAATGCCCAAGTATTCTCATAAGGAGTATGCTGAATTTAAGTGGTGTTTGTTTTACATATGTATCCATCCCAGACATTTTCAACTATGCTGAATGCAATCTATAAGATATTCCAAACAAGGACAAAGTAATTTTTCACAAGTCTTACAGCCCCACTATTAAGTATGCTACTAATTAGCTTCTTGAATTTCTTTGTATTTCAGTGATTGGGATGTTCTTTTTTTTTGGGAAAGTTTTTTTACCCCTTTGTACCCTCTTAATTGGATTAACTGTAAAATGTACATATTAATTTTCTAGTTTTAGAGACCATTTTCATTAAAAATATTTTCCAATAGTTTTTCTAGATAAACAATTTATACTTAATTGTTGCTTGGTTGCTTACATTTCAACCTCTAGGCTTCCTTTTTCAGCTAACTTGGCTGTCTTCAGGTTGTAAAGAAAAATGTAAACATATATTTGAAATTTCATTAACTGAAACTGCTGTAAGGTGTTAGCAAATGTTAACCATAACAGATTATCCCATATCATTGGACTGTTCTATTATTGGGTCAGGAATAATAGGTGACACAGGATAGAAGCTCTTCCTATATATATCTTGTTGCTAAGGCAGTAGTTGGCTCTAAGCTGATAAACAGCACACTGTACAGCAGTCCAAAAACTAAAACCAGAGCTTAGGTCATTCAAGTTAACTGGTACTCAAGGTTACTCATTCCAGGATACTTTACATAACCAAAAACCTAGGAGAGCATTCTACATTGTAATTTTTTTTTTACTTTGTTTACATAAAATTTACAGGGTTTTGTTTTTTTAAGCTTAGTCTGTTCTTTGACATTGTTGATTCATGTTCTAAATTTTCATCAGATTTAACATGTTTGGAGGTTCTTGTGCACTCAATGTGAACCTACTACAAGCTTCTGAACTGCAAAACCTTTTTTTTAGGTCACTGTCAACAGAAAGATGCCTTATAGAATTTCTCATGATTGAAACAGAACTCTGCATTCTAACCTAAAACCCCTCTAACCCTTTAAATGAAGCATTATGCCTGCGTGAAATTTTATTTTTAGACATTTCTGATACTAGGTTTTCTTTACGGGGGGGCATACATATTCAGTATACTGAATTTATACAGCTTTCAGTGTGGCAATATATTAAGAAGCTAGTTCCCTAATTTTTCTCAGTTCTCATTGGTTTTCCATTTAAATGTTTCCGTAAGTACTCTCATCATTTGGAAAATACTTGATGGCAGGAGAACTTGCTTAAAACTAAAGGTGGAGAAAGAGTTAACTTCCAGGACAACCCATTATAGCTCACTTCTTACCAACAAAGCAGTTTTTATACAGCACCTTAGGACTCATTTCTAATGTCAACCCAGATGGCCAGTAAAGGCAAGGGAAGAGGCTAAGTGACTCACAAAAATCTCTGATATTGAGGTCTAATGTGAAGGCTATAGATAGGAATTCCCCACAAACTTCTAATGAGGACTAATATGAACAGCAAATTGGAGAAGACACCAAGGACCTAATTTTAGTTTCACTAGCCGTGGGACCTTAGAAAAAAGACCATTTGCTCTGGACTTTTGTTTCCCAAGCCATAAAATGTGGAAGAATCTTCACAATTTCAAGTTGGTCATGTATATTTCCCTTTTACAGAGAAAGCTGAAGCCTCGAGGCTCAGATTTACCTGGCTTCTGTTTACCTGGCTTCTGCAGAAGTTTAACTTGTAACCTACCTCTCATTCCCAAAGTGTGTTTAATCATGCCGCCTTCTTTAAAATATATCTGGAAGCACCAATGAGTAAAGACAAAGGCCCCAAGCTAGATCTGTAGAGATAAGTACTAGACTCACATCTCAGTACTATCAAGGAAAACATGCTTAGGTTATCAGAATTGTGAAGGCCATAGTACAAAAAGTTAAGAGAACGGAACTCAGGATCTGAGAAAGATCAGCCATTCTCAGCATGTTGCCTTGGCTGCTTAACCTTACTAAACTTCCATTTCCTCACATGTAAAATGTACATCATAATAACTAGTCTACTGAGATAAGGGAAGAATACTTAGCACAGTGCTAGTACACTGTAAGTACTCAAATGTTACAGATCCAAGTATTTTGTAAGAAAATACCAGCAAAAGATAAAAGTTTTTTTATGGATCGTATTTGTATCAATCACCTACATGATCTAGAGCCCTCACATGGATAACATTTAAATGTTCAGTTTGCCTAATAGCCTTCAATGAAACACGGATTCTTCTACTTAAAAAAGGTAAGCCTGGAGAAAATAAAACTGATTACTATGCAAGAAAAAAATGTGCTCTGCTGTGCTCCTTGGTATTTTTAAGTGGTTTCCATTGTCTTAACACCTGTCTTAAAACGGGTATGTTGTTTGCACTGAACCCTCAAAAGTATTTATACCTATTAAGTTAAATTTCCCTTTTTAGAGTTAATGCTTCATTGCCTGTCGGCATATTATCACTATCTGTCTTTGAAAAATTTTCTTTTAAGTCTCAACTATTTCTTCATAAAGCTCTTGTTCAGAGAAACATTTTTTGATTTGTCCAATGGACTGAAATAAAAGGTTAGTAAACCAAAATACAGTTGATCCTCATTATTAGTAGAATTCCTTATCTGTGAATTTGCCTACTCACTAAAATTTGTAACTCCAAAATCAACATCCTTTTCTGGTCATTTGTGAGTATTTGCAGAGTGACAAAAAATTTAAACCACTTTATGTGCACAAGGCAATGCTCTACCTTGTTTAAGCTCTCACACCATAAACAGATATCCTTTTTGTGGTCTATTTAGTGCCAAGTTTCATGTTTGTGCTTTTTGTTGGTGATTTTGCTGTTTTAAGATGGTTCCTAAGAGTAGTAGTGAAGCATGCTACCTAGTGTTCCCAAATGCAAAGAAGGCCGTGATGTCCCAAGCATGAGTTAGTTATAGTGCTGTTGGCTGTTAATTGAAAGTTAATGAAATACTAAAGAATGTTTTCAAGCAGAAACAGGTCGATCAAGGTTATATACTGACTGGCAGACAATATTGTGACCAAAGGGTCACAGAATCTGTATTTCTCTTAGGAACTTGTTCCTTATTTGCTAATTCAGTGTTCATAGCCACCTTAAAGAACAGAATTACCACAAACAAGAACCAGCTGTACTTTCATGTCTCCTTGTCCCTGGAAATAATTTATCCTGCATAAAAGCCTTAGAAGCTAGTGTTTCATCATACACTAAATCATAACAGACTCCATCAGATTTTAAACGAGGGTATTGGATAGAAAACACAAAGAGCAGATATACCTTTACTTTATAAGGCAGATAAATATTACCTCCACTATTTTTTTAACCTCAAAAGTCCTTGTATCCTCCAATAATTAAGAAACTTATGATGACTTAAGGAAGTTTAGACGGTAGGTAGTATAATTTATCATCTTAGAGCTACACATAAGAAATACTCCTGTTGAGAAATACATACTAGTTTATACCAGATGTTTTATACAGGTCCTCTTAAGATCCTTATATATTTTATGTTAGACAAACAGTAAGTAATTTGCCTTTAAACATCATTTAAATTTATTAGTGTATAAATTCTAAAGAGTCCAAATTAAATATGTTGATATTGAGAACATTTCAGTTTTCAGTTTTGCTAACAGGGTTTAAGCTTAATCATAACAATTGCAGAAGTTTGATTATGTCAAGAAATAGCCAACTGAAGGAATAATTTATAAATGGTCATTACCTTTAAGGGGCTAGCTGAATACAATGTAAATACTCATGCCTGTAATCCCAGTACTTTGGGAGGCTGAGGCGGGAGGACTGCTTAAACCCAGGAGGTTGAGGCTGCAATGAACTGTGATTGTACCAGACCTGTACTCTGAAATCTTTATCATACTATTTTTAATGCATGAAATAAAAATGGTTTATATGTACATAGAATACACACACACACACACCCCTAGGTCAATTTCTTAGGTCTCAGTTGTGGTTAAATTCACTTTTAAATACAAGGTTCCAAGTATCCAAGTTGCCAGGCCAGTTGCCTGTACCTGGAACAGCCTTTCCACCGAATAAGAAGAGTCCCTACTTAAACAGCTTAAGCTAATTTCCATCATACTATTTATCACAGTCTAATTACCAGTTTATCAGTCTCCCATTAAAGTGGGGGCTCCCTGAGAGCAAGGACTGTCATCTTCACTTTGCCTTGAAAAGTAGACATAGGTCCCAAATTATCTGCTAAATGAGTAATGAACAATATTTCTATTCAGAAGGTGTGTGCTTGCCCATAATTAATACGCAAATATTCTAAACTATAATCTGATTTAAAATCCCCAAATTTAAACAAGAAAATTATACCAAGGCTTTGAGATTTAGCTTGTGCTAAATCATTTTTTAAAATTGTAGCTCTGAGGCATTTTATTATAAAAACTTAGTACTCATATACATAAACTAATACGAACTTAAAATTCATCATACATTTACTTCATTTTTTAGCTTGACCTTCTAGTAAATCTTTAGCTTCATTGATTTTGGCTGCTATATAAGGAGATCCTCCTATAGGAAGAAAGAAAAAAGAACAGTTACAATATGGATTCTCAATTTCTGCTTGGTAAAAAGCTACTCTTGTTTCAAGGACTCCAATGCTTATCTGAGGGAGATTTAGCAGAAACAGTGTTTTAATTTTTAAAAAATAACCCTGACACTGCAACTGGATGACCAAATATATGGTAATATATGTGACCAATGAGAAATGAAGTAATTTACGTGGGAGATATTTCTACAAAAATAACACCTTTTTAGAAAGCTTAAACTGATAGAAATAGGATTTCTATCATATATATTAGATATATATGTATATGCCTTTGAACTGGTGTTAGCCTATTCATGATTACAGGTCATAAATGAACATCAATTATACCATGTTATTTTAATACCATGATATTCTCAGAGGCTTCTGAGCTGTTTACTGGAAAGATCCCAGTTTGCTTTACATCCTTTTTCTGTCCAGTTTTTCTTTTCCTGTTATCTACTGTCCCTTCACAATGTCATCTACAGCTGCTTTCCTACGAATCTGCTGGAGGAGTGATTCTCAAAGTATGGTCCTAAGACCAGCAAGAAATAACAGGAAATTTAGTATAAATGCATATTTATGGGGCTCCACTGCCGACCTACTGAGTCAGAAGCCCTCCATATAAAACAAGCTAAATTTCATAAAAGATACTGTGAAGTAGATATCAAACAATTATAACCCTGTTTAAAATGTCAAAACCCTTTTTATTAATGAAAGCCCTCTCCTGTATAAGTAAAAGGATACAAACACTAGAACATGAATTCTGTGGTCTATTTTTTGGTATTCAAAGAAATTCTTGCTTTCCTTCAACACAGCCAAGGCTGCATAGAAGTCTATCACAAACGAATAAATAAATCCCATAAGTTTCTATCTAGGTAATCTCCGTTTCAAGGTATCTAAAATGGATAAGGAAAAATTACATTTTAGTTTTACGAAATTTAACGTTTTAATTATAATAAATGTAGGCCAGAAAAACCCACAAAACATAGTAATAGTAGCACTTACATCTGCTCATTCTGTAAGTAAAGTTTTCACTTAATTTCTTTTAAGACACCAAAAATATATGGCTCCAGCCTAGGAGACAGGACTTACAGATTTAAGTGTTACCTTTCTAATAGCCAGGAATTTGAGATAAAATTATCCCATTAATAACTATTGGTCACACCAACAACATCAACGAGAATTTAATGACTACTTACCTTTGTCAGGATGATTTAAAAGCATAATTCGTCGATGAGCATCTCTTATTTTCCCTTTATTGGCAGTAGGGCTAATTAAAAAAAGAAATGGTATTTACTTCATCCTACTTCTGCATCACATCAAAAAACTGTACATAAAGGCCAATTAAAGACACTGTGAAACTGTAGTAAATTAACACAACAGTATGAAAAGCTGTTTAGAAACCTCAACACACCCAATGCGTATCCTAAATTGGGAAACTACTTAGAAAAGTAAGGCACTCTCAAAAATGTGTTGAACTTGCAGTACCCATTACAACAGTCCTTTTATTGATAAGAAACGCATGTTTAAGGATTTGAAAATGAAGAAGGAAGAGTTTTGTTTTTTTTTTTTTTTGAGATAGTCTCACTCTGTCCCCTAGGCTGGAGTGCAGTGGCTTGATCTTGGTTCACTGCAACCTCGGCCTCCCGGGTTCAAGCGATTCTCCTGCCTCAGCCTTCCGAGTAGCTGGGATTACAGGTGTGTGCCATTACGCCTGGCTAATTTTTGTATTTTAAGTAGAGACGGGGTTTCACCATGTTTGCCAGGCTGGTCTTGAACTCCTGACCTCAAGTAATCCACTGGCCTTGGCCTCCCAAAGTGCTGGGATTACAGACGTGAGTCACCGCGCCCGGTTGAAGGCAGAATTTCACCACAAAAAAAATGTCAGTTACAGAGAACAACACTGAACACTGTGATAATCTGCTGAGGAGTCTATCTTTAAATAAATGAAAAAGTGCCTGTGTTTTAGTAAACACTCTAGGAAAAAAGAAAAAGTGCTTAAGTGCTAGTGTGCCTTCTCATTTGAAGGATTGTTTACATCTTAAAAATAACATGAAGGAACAGTACAGTTTCATTGATTAGAATTGGTAATATCAATCTTCCTAGGACAAAATCCCCCATGACCCTCTCCTATTAAAGGAGAGAAGGTCTTTCTTATATTTCCTCATGGCTCTACAGTGGTAGAAAAATGCTAAAAATATTAGAGATTATTTTACCTTACACCTAGTATTAATGCTGCTTCCCGTTTTGTCATTTTGGGTTCAAACCCACCTCTATAATAGCCACCACTGAAGGCCTGAAAGAAGAAATGCATTTGTAAAGAAAGGTTAATAAAATAAAGTTGCTTTAAAAAAGACGTCTGGAAATATTCACAGAACTAAGAAAAACTAAGACATTTCAGAGGACTTTTAGTGCAATTCCCGAGGTATTTTAGCTAAAGCTGAATAAAGTTTATAAATAAGTAGCAACAAGTAGTATTTTAATGATCATTAAACAGATTCATTTTTTTCCAGTCAATATGAACTATCTTAGAAATATAAGACAAAATAACAGTGTCTGAAAGCCAGGTCTTCCGGGAGTAAAGGAAAGATCATTCCAAATTAGCCATATTCTAGATAAAAATCTGCAAGAAGTGGCTCAAGAACAGAAGTCTTTTGAGACAAGAGGTTCAAGTGTATTTGAAACAAGACTTTAAGATATATATACAGAAAATACCACTATTAGGTCCTCTGACCTTGCCATGTCAGAAATCATATTGGTAAAGCCTACAATCACTCTATTCTGTTACACTTAATCACAACATATTCAACAGGTGATCACAGCCAAATCTATTCTTAACTGTGACCACAGAGAGTATGACCATAACATCAAGCCAAACCCTATAGCCTAATTAACTAGAGTGCTACCTATGTATGATGTTTGGGAGTGCCAGGGCCACATGGTCAGATCGGATCACTTTAGAATCATATACCTCTGTGTGTGCGATGCAGAGCAGATGAAGGAAAACAAGAATATGTACAGATGATGCTGAAGGTGATGGTATGTGAAAAAGTGAAACTTGGGTCTAGTGGGGTACTAGAATTGTCAAAACCCCATCCAACTCTGTCACATATAACATCTGATGTTTCAGGGTAGCACCATCACAAAGTTCAGAACTTCTATACTCTCCTTGCAGGAAGCAGGAGAATGGGTCCAAAGCAATCACTTAGAACTTCATGGATATTTGGAAATTTACCCTTCCCTAAGTGTGGCTCTAGGTTTCAAATAGAAGCAGCAAAGAATTAACAAAGTCTTACAGATTTTGGTAGGCTTTGAAAAACTTGTTTTACTTGAGGCTCCATATGCTTCATGGCTTGCAAAACGTAACGGCCTAAAACCAAAAGCAACAGAATAAGTAAACTAAATCTCCAATCTCCCCGACTTCACTTCCATCCCCAAACCATAAACAAACCTGCAAATCCTGCAGCAGCAATGGTCAGTCCAACTGCTACCACTGTACTGGCCTGGTAAGGGGGAGAAGAGTAAATATTTACTTCTCTAATTCCCACCCTTTCTCATTTTGCCCATTCTTCCATCCCCAACTCATTACAAACTGCATTTTAATAGGAGAAACAACTTTTTTTTTTCTTTTTTTTTTTTTTTTTTTAAGAGACGGAGTCTTGCTATGTTGCTTAGGCTGGTCTTGAACTCCTGGCCTCAAGCAATCCTCCCACCTTGGCCTCCCAAAGTGCTAAGATTATAGGCATAAGCCACCATGCCTGGCAGAGAAACAACTTTTAAGGCGGAAATATTCTGTCCAGTAATCTTTAAAACTACTGCATCTGTTATGCTGAATGCATTAAAGTTACAGGATTCATCATATGGGAAAGAGGGCAAGTTCGACTTGCTTATTTATCTTTACAATAGTGAAAAAGATGATTCCCTCCCTTTGAAAACTTCTTTCATCACCAGACAAATTAAGTCACATTAAAGTTCAATCAAAAGTAGTGGAAATAGGCCAGGCGCGGTGGCTCACGCCTGTAATTCCAGCATTTTGGGAGGCGAGGCGGGCGTATCACTAGGTCGGGAGATCGAGACCATCCTGGCTACCATGGTGAAACCCCGTCTCTACTAAAAATACAAAAAAAAAAAAAATTAGCTGGGCGTGGTGGTGGGCGCCTGTAATCCCAGCTACTTGGGAGGCTGAGGCAGGAGAATGGCGAACCCGGGAGGCGGAGCTTGTAGTGAGCCAAGATTGTGCCACTGCACTCCAGCCTAGGCGACCGAGCAAGACTCTGTCTCAAAAAAAAAAAAAAAAATGTGGAAATAAGGTTTCTGCTACAGAAGGAAAAACTGTTTACAGACGGCTCCTGTAAAATTCTAACAACGCATTTTCGAGGCTAAACGTGGGCTAAACTAGGAGACTAATACCTTTGGCACTGCCCTGTTGTTTCCTAACAAGACAGGCCCAAATATGTTCAGGAAGCATGGAGAAGACATCTGTCAGCAAAAGCCAAAGAGAAGGACATAGCAAAGTGGAGCTAGTGCTGTGAAGATGTGTTAGGGCAAGGGCACTTATAATCAAATACGTTTCCACTAATCTCCGAGTCCATGACAGCCTCTGACCTTACAGGAGTTCCAGGCAAGCAACACCTGCAGAGCCCGTGCGGACAAGAAGCTGGAGAACCGTGCAGAAAGACGATGTAAAAACACAAACCCCCAAGAGAGCGAGCCAACAGGGTTGTGTCCTGGTGAGTGTGACTCCCCAATAACCGAAACCTCCCGCCCGCAGTCGCACTAAGGAGCACAACTTCAACTCCACACCTCCGAGGCGGGGAGCTGAGGTTGAGGCCTGGGCCGGAGGTCGCCAAGAAGACCGGAAGGCCGCACTCACCATGGCTCCGGCTGGGCTCCCTTGCTTCCACCGGGAGCACGGCTCATCCCAGCTCAGAGGCCGCGGCCAACACCTGCACGCCTTTACCAGAGAGCGACGCAACCCCCAACCTCAAGCACAGGCGCCCTACGCAACACGGCAGGAGCAGCCGCAAACTAGGCCGGAAAACTGTCGTAAAAGGGGACGCGGAGGAGAAGGAAAGTCGCTCAAGCAGTGGACAGAGCGGAGAAAGCGACTTCGGGTTGGTTGAAGGGTGGGCGGATCTCTTTATTTCTGGGTGTAGGGGTGGGGCTTCTCTGTGTTTTCTGTCCTTTGCTCCTGGGCGGTGGGTATTTGGAAATTCTTGCAGGGAAGGGCATGGGCAGCCTTACTCAGACCGATTTTTTCCCCCTACATCTTAGCACCTCGTTTTGCCTTTATTTTATGTTAATAATTGTCAAGGGTAATGAATGTAGTTAAACATGCTGTGACATTTCCACCACGAACCCAAACAAATATGTTGTAACCCAGTGTAGGAAACGAGATGCCCAGAAAAACAAATGAAACCAACCACACTGTGTTTCAGGGATTGCTCGGTAGCATTTTTTAATGTAAAAGAACTTCATTTAAGGATGTGACTTGACAAGACTTTGTGAATATTTGGGTTTTCGTTTTGTAGAATGGGATTAAAGACAGTTCATATTCTGAACATGGAATGTCAAGATCCTACAACTGAAAAGGGCTATTTAAAAGTTTTCCTCCTCACCCAAAATAAAAAGTAGGGCTGGATTTTGCCCTTACGTGGACATCAGTTTCATACATCCCTACATAAATGCTTGAGAAGAAAAAAATAATGGAGACAATAATGGAATTTTACAATGCAACGTTTGCATGATCAAAATAAGTTTGGAGTTACTTCCCACTCAGAATTTACAGTGTTAAATATCCGTTTACATTGCAATGCAATTCTGCTTTGATGAGTTTGTTAGTTATTAAACAAATATGCAAAATTTTTGGGTTTGTTTTCCTCATCTGTAAAAGCAGTTTGCATTTGATAATCCAAGAGCTCTTCTAGCGCTAAGGTTTTTGTGATGTAATTTATTGTCAACACATGATTTAAGGTGACATCCAGCACTAAGACACTAGCATTAAGTTTATAACTTCCTCTTTTGCCTCTCTTTTATCTGGTTTTTACCCAACAATTACAAAATAAATAATCAAGTGAGGCATAAGACCTTGGGACCAAATTGGCATCAACAAGCTAGAATGCTATCTGGAAAAATTTATTATGCATATTTTTGGTATGTACAAACTGTGTAATGCAGTTTCTGGAGGAATAGATTTACAGTAGACTCTAATTAGCTTTGAGACTTTACAAAACCCAGACTCAGGAAATTGGGAGTAGCAACACAGCAAGACATTTTGTTGAGCTGGAGATAGCTCTTTTTTTGGTGGCAGATCAAACTGGAGGTAACCTGGCTCTGTCACTTACTAATACTGTGACTTGGAAAAGTTATTTCTGATTGAGTTTCTTCCTCATTTGTAAAATGAAGGTAATGATAACTACCTTGCCGAGTTTTTGTGAACGTAGAGATTATGCACATATTGTGTTCTGCTTATGGTCATCACTCAGTGTGGGGCTATTATTATGAGGGAAGCCAGAGTGCAAATTGGAGTGTAGAAGCCTTCCTCATTCTCATGATACCTCACTCATGAATCTTAAGTCTGGTTGCCTCTTACCTACCTGCCAAGATCCTAGAAACAGCCTTGAAAAGTAATCTTTTTAAATGTCCACTGACTGATGAATGGATAATCATTCCTCATTTCTTCTAGCTTCTGGTGACTGCCAGCATTCCTTGACTTGTGACTGAATCACTGCAGTCTTGTAAGCCAGCATCTTGAAATCTCACTCTGCTCCAACTTTTCCATCTTCACATTGTCCTTCTCTTCTGTTTGTAAAATCTCCTTCTGGTTTCCTCTTAAAGGATATATGTAATTGCATTTACCAGCTACCCAGATAATCCAGGATAATCTCCCCTTCTTAAGATCCTTAACTTAATCATAGTTTCCAACACTTTGCCATATAAGGTAACATTCACAGGTTCCAAGTATTAGGACCTGAAATCTTTGGAACACATTATTTAGTTTACTATAGAAAGTAATAAAAGACAAAAGAGGGGGTAGGGACAAAAGAATGAGAAAGGACTCAAGCACATCTTCTTAGTTTCTCATCCCAAATTTTTAAATCAGGTAAGTCACTTCTCCTTGGGAAGAAATAAGTGAGAGTTGAGAGCGGTAGCTAAGAGTGTTCTTGCACTGTGGCTTTCAAACATTTTTTGACTGTCATCCTTAGTAAGAAATATATTTTACACTGTGACCCAAGGAGCAAATACATACTTGCACGCACAGATATACATAGTAGATTTATTTATGAGATAATACTTATCCTTACTTCATGAAATGCATGCTGGTCTTTTCTGTTTCTTAAAAAAATAAGTGCTAGAAAACCTACTAAACTCACAGCCCACTAATTGATCATCACCTAAAGTTTGGAAATTATCACTGCAAAAATCCACACTTGGAACTATAATGCCAGGCAAATAAGGGGTTCCCCCACCAACTAAAAGCCATACGCCAGACATTGTACTAAATGCTTTACATAGATTGTTTCATTTCACCCTGTGAAAGTAACATTTACTTCACTATATTGCTATATTGCTTTGCTATATTGCTGGATGTATTTTGCTTTTCCCCAGATCCTCTCTCTACCTTTTTTTCCTGCTCTGTGCTCCAGAGGAACAGAAAGGTTAGGAGGGTGACCTTAATGAACTGTATCCATGAGCAGCTCTCTCGTTTTCTGGCTTAGGGTTCATTTAGGTCTGTGATCAGGAGATCAGAAGGCAGGAGGAAAGTGAATTCATGGTTTTTATTTCTACCTCTCACTTTCTGGTGATTGTTGTAAGCTGACTGAATTGGTCTGCTGAAGAATACAGCTCCTGTTGTGTGCAAGTGTTCTGGTCATTACTCCTTCCTGTTGCTCCTTCACATTTAAGTATAGTCATGCCTTTGCTACTGGCCCCTGCTTGCTAGGCACAGGGCACTGGAACATTTTGTGCCAGTTTCCCTTAATCCTGTCCACATCTTTGTAAACAGTCCTCTTATTAAACTCTCCATTTGGCCGTGGTGTGAATGTTTGTCTTCCCCCAAATTAATATGTTCAAAGCTAATAACCAATGCGATGGTATAAGGAGATGGGGCCTTTGGGAAGTGATTAGATCATAATGGTAGAGCCCTTGTGAATCAGATTAGCGCCTTCATAAAGAGGCACGAGAGAGACCCTCACCCCTTCCACCCTGTGAGAACACAGTGAGAAGGAACTGTCTGTGAAACAGAAAGGGCCCTTACCAGACACACATGCTGCCTTTGTCTTGGACTTAAGGGTGAAAAGATGGCTGTCTATGAAGAAATGGGCCCTCATCAGACACCAAATCAGTTAGGACCTCACTCAAACTTCCCAGCTTTCCAGAACGCTGAGAAACAAATTTCTGTTTTTATAAGCTGCCAGTTTATGGTATTTTGTTATAGCGGCCCAGACTAAGGCAGTGTACCATCTGTTTCCAACATGAATAGTGACTATTATTTTTATGCTATTTTTTTTTTTTGAGTCAAAGTCTTGCTCTGTTCCCCAGGCTGAAGTGCAGTGGCATGATCATGGCTCACTGCAGCCTCTAACTCCTGGCATCAAGTGATCCTCCCTTCTTAGCTTCCCAAGTTACTGGGACTACAGGCATGAGCCACTGAGCCCAGTTTGATGATGACTTTAATAAGAGGCCGTTGCAATAATTCAAATGAAAAATGATAGTAGCAGTGGTGGTAGAGTGAAGTGGCTGGACTCCTGCTTATATATTTAAGGTATAGCTGAAAAAATTTGCTGATGGATGAGGTATAGTGTGTGAGAGAAAGAAAAGTCAAGAGTGACTCCAAAGCTTGAGGCTTTAGCAGCTGGAAGGATGGATTTGCCGCTGAATGGAACTAGAAAAACTTCAGGAAGAGCAAGCAGGAAGTGGAAGGCTTTTGCCATGTTAAGTTTGAAATGCCAATGAGATATCCAAGTAGTGCTGTCCAATAGGCAGTTGGACATACAACTCTGGTGTCAAAAGAGAGGTTTGGGAGTCATCAGCCCATGGAACAGGTAAAGTCATCTTTGCATGAGTGGAGACAGAAAGAAGAGGAATAAGAACTGTGTTTTGGGATACACCTGTGTTTGGAATCTGGGGACATGAGGAAAAAAAGAGAAAATTATTTAATAGACTGAAAAAGGGTAGGCATAAACCAGGTAAGTGTGGTGTCTTGGTAGCCAAGTGAAGAAAGTGTTCAATGGAGGAAGGAGTGATTAACTGTGTCAAATGCTGCTAATATTCTTCTGAGGGAGAGCCTTTGGAAACCAAAAAGCAAAACAAGCAAACAAACAAATGTTGCTAGTAGTCAAATAATAAAGAATTGAGAATTGACTATCGGAGATCATATTCATGAGAATTTCTGTGGTGTGATGGGAATGAAAGTCTGATTGGAGTGAGTTCAAAAGAGGATGGGAGGATAGAGAGTGGAGATATGGATTATAAGAAATCTCTTTTGGCCGGGCACAGTGGCTCACACCTGTAATCCCAGCACTTTGGGAGGCCGAGGCGGGCGGATCACGAGGTCAGGAGATTGAGACCGTCCTGGCTAACACGGTGAAACCCCAACCCTACTAAAAATACAAAAATTATCTGGGCGTGGTGGCATGTGCCTGTAGTCCCAGCTACTCAGGAGGCTGAGGCAGGAGAATCGCTTGAACCAGGGAGGCGGAGGTTGCAGTGAGCCGAGATTGTACCACTGCACTCCAGCCTTGCAACAGAGGGAGACTCTGTCTCAAAAAAAAAAAAAAGAGAAAGAAAAGCATTTTTAGCTACTATAGGAATAGGAATGATCTTATAGAGGAGAAAATTTGGAAAAATTCATTGAATTATGTAATTTAAGAATGAGAAGAAAATGTAGAGACCATATTTCCCCCAGAAGCTTTATTTTATAAATGAGGAAACTGGGCCTCAGATTGGTTGACAGACTTTTCCAAAGCCCTGACAGAGTCCAGTAATTGTTTGCCTTTCTGTTCACTTTCTAGATATGTATAATGTTAGGGTCATAAAATGAGTTGGTCCTAGAATTGTCTTTGCCTATGTTTTCTTACCACTCTTTCTAGGGATTATTCGAGATCTGGATTAGTGACATCTGAATTCCTCATTAGTAGCTATTTAAACCCAGGGGATCTATCTTGTGTAGGCAGCTGTTCACATAATGCTGTATGGAAAAGCCCTTTGCCTAAAATTCAGTGGCGCTTGGTAGATACTCGCTTCCTTTCCCTTCTTCTTTGTTCCACCCATTTTTGTCTCTTCTTCTCTCCTTTCTTTCAATGATCCTGCCATCTCCTGACAATCTACTGTGAAAAGAAAATAAAAATATGGGACCCCAATTCACTACTCCAAAAGAAAAAAAAATGAAGCTGAAAGCTGACTAATGCAAAAAGCTGACTTTCCTTTTGTTCCTAAGCAGATAGCTACAGATACAAGGTTAAATATCTCCATAGGTAGCTCCTCTATGTTCACCTTATCTTCTGCAAAGTGTTGGTTAACTGAGCATGAGACAAATGCATCATTGACTATTCTCTTGCCTGCCCTTTTTCTCTTGCAACATGTGGATTACCATATTTTCCCTCTTTCCCCTCCAGCCCATGTTTCTCCTTTAAATATTGAAGCTCTCAAAATTATCTTTGAAGGACAGCGTAGACCACAGACTGTTTCTGTGATTCTGTGTTTATTTCTTCCAGGCATGTCCTTAACCTTAGCAAAATAACTTCTAAATTGATTGAGATGTGTCTCAGATACCTTTTGGTTTACACTACCATTAGGAATTCATCTTATGTCTCCTGTCTGAATGTGAAATTCTTGGTGAATGATCAGACTGAGATATGATCAACAGACTCCTCTATGAAGTGTTTTAAGAGATCATTTTGGTATTAATAACTAGTCAAAGGAAGATTTTAATTGGAGTGCAAAAAAAGAAAGGAAGGAAGGAGAAGATATTTAGAGCAAGAGAGGTTGAGGACAGGCCCAAGTAGGAATGATGTGAGGACCCAAGACACTGGGAAAGAAGAGGGGATGCTGGGAAGCCAGAAGGGAACACCCATGGTCCAATCACTTTTTCTTCCAGCTGGCCTCATCTGCATCCAAGTCAGGTGACCTTGCTCTGCCCTGTGGATATTATAAAATAATTTATAACTGTTTCTCCTGTGATTTTCTCACCCCTTTTCTCAATTTGCTTCATTTTTCTCTCACTGCATCTGTTTTATTTTATTGTATTATTTTTTGAGACTTAGCCTTGTATCACCCAGGCTGGAATGCAGTGGTACAATCATAGCTTACTGCAGCCTCGAACTCCTGGGCTCAAGGAATCCTCCTGCCTTAACCTGCTGAGTAGCAGGGACTATAGGTGTGTGCCCCCACACACAGCTAATTAAAAAAATTTTTTTTTGTAGTGATGGTGTCTTACTATGTTGTCCAGGTTGGTCTGGAACTCTTAGCCTCAAGTGATCCTTGGACCTTGGCCTCCCAAAGTGTTGGTATTACAGGCATGAGCCACCATGCCCAGCCTGCATCTGTTTTAGACTGGGTTCCTACTTTCCTTTCTAATTACAAAGACGTGTGTGTGTGTGTGTGTGTGTGTGTGTGTGTGTGTAAGTCTAGAGCATGTGGGTGGTGGACCAGTGAGAGAACTGCAATGTGTTTGATCAGAATGACAGCATCCAGGAAACATATATTTCAGGATAAAGGCTTTGCTCTTTTCTCAAGCAGCGAGGAAAGAAAATTGAGACACTGTGGATTTCAGAGAAAACTTGAAAATTGAGTTAGCTTAAGTGCCATTCCAAAATGGAGATTCCTCAACTGACCCTCCATTTCATTCCATCTTAGCATGCCTTTGCCCATTGCCTTCCTCAGTCTTTTTTTCTCCTTCCTTAGCCTGGGTTCCAATTATATGCAGCAGCTTTATGTGTTAAATAAATTGAGCTCTCCCTGCTGAGCTGTCAGCGAATGGAACTGACCAACAGAACAATCTATGTAAGTGCATCTTGTGCCTGGGCCAGACAGACAAGCACAATTATTTGATTGCTGGAGATTGCTACTAAATGAGGATGAAATAGCTGGTCTGAGACTTGTTGGTGAATATTATTAATAATATAGTGTCATGCATTAATAACACAGTGTCATGGGAAACAAAGCTACACTGGAGGGTCTGTCTGAAATCCCATTTGAAATCACATTTTCAGGGGGCTAGATGGTTGAGGAGATGAGCAATAATAAAGCAACTTTAAGCACAAATTTAGGAGTTTCACTTTGACTTAGGCTGAAGTTAAGAGAATATACATCACTGTTATACGTTATTTGGTGGCCAGAATAAAGCATGGGATACATCCCTGTCTAATTGTCATAAAAATTGTGCTTCTATAATATTCTACTATGAAAAATCATCTTCACTGTCATCATTAGAGGGCTTTGCAAAAACTCCATAAAATTCTTTCTGGCACCTATTATGCCCTCAGTTACTACATGCATAGCAAACTTCTTTAGCCCGGCACCACAGACAGTCTTTCCAGACTTCTCTTCCACTTCTCCCCTTCATAAACCTCATAGCCTTGTCAAATGGGATTTGTCACCACTATTCTTCAAATGTGCTCTGAAGTCCACTGCCCCCTGGGCTTTTAGCCAAGTCACTCCTGCTTTTCCAAGTGCCCTTCCCAAATCCCATCTCTGTCCCTCAATTAAATGTCCAGATCAAATGTGCCTTCTGCAAAGCTTTCTTTGTTCACTCAAGTCGGGAACAGGTGTCTACAAACTTTATGTAAAGGAACATATAGTAAATATGTTAGGCTGTGCAGCCTGCATATAATCTCTGTATTCTTTCTTCTTTTTAGATGAAAATATTAAAATGATCCTTAGCTTGTAGATCATTCAAAAACAGACCACAGGATGAATTTGGCTTATGGAGCATAGCTTGCCAAACCATGGTCTAGAGTGATCTCTCCTTTCTCCAAACTCCTGTACAATTTTGTTTGTGTCATACTGCCAGTTTCTATATAATGTATAGAAATTATTGGTATAGAAGTGTTTTCTCTATTAGACTGAAGATCCTTGAAAGAAAGCATGTCACATATACTTCTTCTTTTTTTTAGGTTAATTTTTTTTTTTTTTTTTTTTTTTTTTTTTTTATGAGATGGAGTCTCGCTCTGTTGCCCAGACCTGAGTGCAGTGGTGCAATCTCGGCTCACTGCAAGCTCTGCCTCCCGGGTTCATGCCATTCTCTCACCTCAGCCTCCTGAGTAGCTGGGACTACAGGCGCCCGCCACCATGCCCAGATAATTTTGTTTTTGTATTTTTAGTAGAGACGGGATTTCACCGTGTTAGCCAGGATGGTCTTAATCTCCTGACCTCATGATCCACCTGCCTTGGCCTCCCGAAGTGCTGGGATTACAGCCGTGAGCCACCGTGCCTGGCCTTTAGTTCTTTAAAAAAAAAAATTTTTTTTATACTTTAAGTTCTGGGAAACATGTGCAGAATGTGCAGGTTTGTTACATAAGTATACACATGCCATGGTGGTTTGCTGCACCCATCAACCCATCATCTACATTAGGTATTTCTCCTAATGCTATCCCTCCTCTAGCCCTCCACCCCCCCCGACAGGCCCTGGTGTGTGATGTTCCCCTCCTTGTGTTCATGTGTTCTCATTGTTCAACTCCCACTTATGAGTGACAATATGCGGTGTTTGGTTTTCTGTTCCCGTGTTAGTTTGCAGAGAATTATGGTTTCTAGTTTCATCCATGTCCCCGCAAAGGACATGAACTCATCCTTTTTTATGGCTGTATAGCATTCCATGGTATATATGTGCCACATTTTCTTTATCCAGTCTATCATTGATGGGCATTTGGTTTGGTTCCAAGTCTTTGCTATTGTGAACAGTGCTGCAATAAACATACGTGTGCATGTGTCTTTATAGTAGAATGATTTATAATCCTTTGGGTATATACCCAGTAATGGGATTGCTGGGTCAAATGGTATTTCTGGTTCTAGATCCTTGAGGAAACACCACACCGTCTTCCACAATGGTTGAACTAATTTACACTCCCACCAACGGTATAAAAGCATTCCTATTTCTACACATCCTCTCCAGCATTTGTTGTTTCCTTACTTTTTAATGATCGCCATTCTAACTGGCATGAGATGGTATCTTGTTGTGGTTTTGGTTTGCATTTCTCTAATGACCAGTGATGATGAGCTTTTTTTCATGTTTGTTGGCTGCATAAATGTCTTCTTTTGAGAAGTGGCTGTTTATATCCTTTGCCCACTTTTTGATGGGGTTGTTTGTTTTTTCTTGTAAATTTGCTTAAGATCTTTGTAGATTCTGGATATTAGCCCTTTGTCAGATGAATAGATTGCAAAAGTTTTCTCCCATGCTGTAGGTTGCCTGTTCACTCTGATGATAGTTTCTTTTGCTGTGCAGAAGCTCTTTAGTTTAATTACATCCCATTTGTCAATTTTGGCTTTTGTTACCATTGCTTTCGGTGTTTTAGTCATGAAGTCTTTGCCCATGCCTGTGTCCTGAATGGTATTGCCTAGGTTTTCTTCTAGGGTTTTTATGGTTTTAGGTTGTACATTTAAGTCTTTAATTCATCATATGTTAATTTTTGTATAAGGTGTAAAGAAGGGGTCCAGTTTCAGCTTTCTACATATGGCTAGCCAGTTTTCCCAACACCATTTATTAAATAGGGAATCCTTTCCCCCTTGCTTGTTTTTGTCAGGTTTGTCAAAGATTAGATGGTTGTAGATGTGTGGTGTTATTTCCGAGGCCTCTGTTCTGTTCCATTGGTCTTTATATCTGTTTTGGTACCAGTTCCATGCTGTTTTTGTTACTGTAGCCTTGTAGTATAGTTTGAAATCAGATAGTATGATACCTCCAGGTTTGTTCTTTTTGCTTAGGATTGTCGTGGCTATACAGGCTCTTTTTTGGTTCAATATGAAATTTAAAGTAGTTTTTTCTAATTCTGTGAAGAAAGTCAATGGTAGCTTGATGGGCATGGCATTGAATCTATAAATTACTTTGGGCAGTATGGCCATTTTCAAGATATTGATTGTTCCAATCCATGAGCATGGAATGTTTTTCCATTTGTTTGTGTCCTCTCTTATTTCCTTGAGCAGTGGTTTGTAGTTCTCCTTGAAGAGGTCCTTCACATCCCTTGCAAGTTGTATTTCTAGGTATTTTATTCTCTTTGTAGCTATTGTGAATGGGAGTTCACTCATGATTTGGCTCTCTGTTTGTCTATTATGGGTGTGTAGGAATGCTTGTGATTTTTGCACATTGATTTTGTATCCTGAGACTTTGCTGAAGTTGCTTATCAGCTTAAGGAGATTTTGGGCTGAGATGATGGGGTTTTCTTTTCTTTTTCTTTTTTTTTCTTTTTGAGACAGAGTCTCTCTCTGTCACCCAGGCTGGAGTTCAGTGGCTCAGTATCGGCTCACTGCAAGCTCCACCTCCTGGGTTCACACCATTCTCCTGCCTCAGCCTCCTGAGTAGCTGGGACTACGGGCGACCCCCACCTCGCCTGGCTAATTTTTTGTATTTTTAGTAGAGTTGGGGTTTCACCGTGTTAACCAGGATGGTCTCGATCTCCTGACCTCATGATCCGCCTGCCTCAGCCTCCCAAAGTGCTGGGATTACAGGCGTAAGCCACCATGCCTGGCAGATGATGAGGTTTTCTAAATATACAATCATGTCATCTGCAAACAGAGACAATGTGACTTCCTCTCTTCCTATTTGAATACCCTTTATTTATTTCTCTTTCCTGATTGCCCTGGGCAGAACTTCCAATACTATGTTGAATAGGAGGGGTGAGAGAGGGCATCCTTGCCTTGTGCTTGTTTTCAAAGGGAATGCTTCCAGCTTTTGCCCATTTAGTATGATATTGGCTGTGGGTCTGTCATAAATAGTGCTTATTATTTTGAGACAAATTCCATCAATACCTAGTTTATTGAGAGTTTTTAGCATGAAGTGGTGTTGGATTTTATCAAAGGCCTTTTCTGCATCTATTGACATAATCATGTGTTTTTTGTCATTGGTTCTGTTTATTTGATGGATTATGTTTATTGATTTGCATATGTTGAACTAGCCTTGCATTCCAGGGATGAAGCTGACTTGATCGTGGTGGATAAGCTTTTTGATGTGCTGCTGGATTTGGTTTGCCAGTATTTTATTGAGGATTTTTGTATCAGTGTTCATCAGGGATATTGGCCTGAAATTTTTTTTGTCTTGCCTTTGCCAGGTTTTGGTTTCAGGATGATGCTGGCCTCATAACATGAGTTAGAGAGGAGTCCCTCTTTTTCTGTTGTTTGGCATAGTTTCAGAAGGAATGGTACCAGCTCCTCTTTGTACCTGTGGTAGAATTTGGCTGGGAATCCGTCTGGTCCTGGGCTTTTTTGGTTGGTAGGCTATTAATTACTGCTTCAATTTCAGAACTTGTTATTGGTCTATTCAGGGATTCAACTTCTTCCTGGTTTAGTCTTGGGAAGGTGTATGTGTCCATGAATTAATCAATTTCTTCTAGATTTTCTAGTTTATTTGTGCAGAGGTGCTTATAGTATTCTCTGATGGTAGCTTGTATTTCTGTGGAATCAGTGGTAATATCCCCTTTATCATTTTTTATTGTGTCTATTTGATTCTTCTCTCTTTTCTTCTTTATTAGTCTAGCCAACAGTCTATTTATTATTTTGATCCTTTCAAAAAACCAGCTCCTGGATTCATTGATTTTTGGAAGGGCTTTTCATGTCTCTATCTCCTTCAGTTCTGCTCTGATCTTAGTTATTTCTTGTCTTCTGCGAGCTTTTGAATTTGTTTGCTTTTGCTTCTGTAATTCTTTTAATTGAGATGTTAGGGTGTAGATTTAAATCTTTGCTGCTTTCTCCTGTAAGCATTTAGTGCTATAAATTTCCCTCTAAACACGGCTTTAGCTGTGTCCCAGAGATTCTGGTACATTGTGTCTTTGTTCTCATTGGTTTCAAAGAACTTTATTTCTGCCTTCATTTCGTTATTTACCCAGTTGTCATTCAGGAGCAGGCTGTTCAGTTTCCACGTAGCTGTGTGGTTTTGAGTGAGTTTCTTAATCCTGAGTTCTAATTTGATTGCACTGTTGTCTGAAAGACTGTTTTGATTTCAGTCCCTTTGCATTTACTGAGGAGTGTTTTACTTCCAATTATGTGGTCAATTTTAGAATAAATGTGATGTGGTGCTGAGAAGAATTTTTGGGGTGGAGAGTTCTATAGATATCTATTAGGTCTGCTTGGTCCAGAGCTGAGTTCAAGTCCTGAATATCCTTGTCAATTTTCTGTCTCTTTGATCTGTCTGATATTGACAGTGGTGTGTTAAAATTTCCCACTATTATTGTGTGGGAGTCTAAGTCACTTTGTAGGTCTCTAAGAACTTGCTTTTTGAATCTGAGTGCTCCTGTATTGGGTGCATGTGTATTTAGGAGAGTTAGCTCTTCTTGTTGCATTGATCCCTTTACCATTATGTAATGACCTTCTTTGTCTTTTTTGATCTTTGTTTGTTTAAAGTATGTTTTATCAGAGACCAGGATTGTAACCCCTGCCTTTCCTTTTTTTTTTTTTTTTTTTTTTTTTTTGCTTTCCATTTGCTTGGTAAATATTCCTCCATCCCTTTATTTTGAGCCTATATGTGTCTTTGCACATGAGATGGGTCTTCTGAATACAGCACACCGATGGGTCTTGACTCTTTATCCAATTTGCCAGTCTGTGTCTTTTAATTGGGAAATTTAGCCCATTTACATTTAAGGTTAATATTGTTATGTGTGAGTTTGATCCTGTCATTATGGTACTAGCTGGTTATTCTGGCCATTAGTTGGTTAGTTTCTTCATAATGTCGATGGTCTTTTCAATTTGGCATGTTTTTGCAGTGGCTGGTACCGATTTTTCCATTCCACGTTTAATGCTCCCTTCAGGAGCTCTTGTAAGGCAGGCCTGGTGGTAACAAAATCTCTCAGCATTTGCTCCTCTGTAAAGGATTTTATTTCTCCTTTGCATATGAAGCTTAGTTTGGCTGGATATGAAATTATGGGTTGAAAATTATTTTCTTTAAGAAAGTTGAATATCAGCCCCCACTGTCTTCTGGCTTGTAAGGTTTCTGCAGAGAGATCCGCTGTTAATCTGATGGGCTTCCCTTTGTGGGTAACCTGACCTTTCTATCTGGCTGCCCTTAACATTTTTTCCTTCATTTCAACCTTGGTGAATCTGACAATTATGTGTCTTGGGGTTGCCCTTCTTGAGGAGTATCTTTGTGGTGTGCTCTGTATTTCCTGAATTTAAATGTTGGCTTGTCTTGCTAGTTTGGGGAAGTTCTCCTGGATAATATCCTGAAGAGTGTTTTCCAACTTGGCTCCATTCTCCCCATCACGTTCAAGTACACCAATCAAACATAGGTTTGGTCTTTTCACATAGTGCCATATTTCTTGGAGGCTTTGTTCATTCTTATTCATTCTTTTTTATCTAATCTTGTCTTCACGCTTTATTTCATTGAGTTGATCTTCAATCTCTGATACCCTTTCTTCCACTTGATTGATTCAGTTATTGATACTTGTGTATGCTTCATGAAGTTCTCATGCTGTGTTTATCAGCTCCATCAGGTCATTTATCTTCTTCTCTAAACTGGTTATTCCAGTTAGCGATTCCTCTAACCTCTTTTCAAGGTTCTTAGCTTGCTTGCATTGGGTTAGAACATGCTCCTTTAGCTTGAAGGGGTTTGTTATTACCCACCTTCTGAAGCCTAGTTCTGTCAATTCATCAAACTCATTCTCTCTCCAGTTTTGCTCCCTTGCTGGCAAGGAGTTGTGATCCTTTGGAGGAGAAGAGAAGTTCTGGTTTTTGCAATTTGCAGCCTTTTTGCACTGGCTTTTCCTCATCTTCGTGGATTTATCTACCTTTGGTCTTTGTTGTTGGTGACCTTTGGATGGGGTGTCTGTGTGAATGTCCTTTTTGTTAATGTTGATGCTTTCTCTTTCTGTTTGTTAGTTTTCCTTCTAACGGTCAGGCCCCTCTTCTGCAGGTCTGCTGGAGTTTGCTGGAGGTGCACTCCAGACTCTGTTTGCCTGCCTATCACCAACAGAGGCTGCAGAACAGCAAAGATTGCTGTCTGTAACTTCCTCTGGAAGCTTCATCCCAGAGGGGCACCTGCCAGATGCCAGCCGGAGCTCTCCTCTATGAGGTATCTGTCGACTCCTGCTGGGAGGTATCTCCAGTCAGGAGGCACGGGGGTGAGGGACCCACTTGAGGAGGCAGTCTGTCTGTTAGCAGAGCTTGATCGCTGTGCTGGGAGATCCATTGCTCTCTTCAGAGCTGCCAGGCAGGAATGTTTAAGTCTGCTGAAGCTGCACCCACAGCTGCCCCTTCCCCTGATGCTCTGTCCCAGGGAGATGGGAGTTTTATCTATAAGCCCCTGAATGGGGCTGCTGCCTTTCTTTCAGCGATGTCCTGCCCAGAGAGGAGGAATCTAGAGAGGCAGTCTGGCTACAGGGGCTTTGCAGAGCTATGGTGGGCTCTGCCCAGTTCAAACTTCTGGGCGACTTTGTTTATACTGTGAGGGGAAAACTGCCTACTCAAACCTCAGTAATGACAGACGCCCCTCCCCCCACCAAGCTTGAGTGTCCCAGTTTGACTTTAGACTGCTATGCTGGCAGTGAGAATTTTAAGCAAGTGGATCTTAGCTTGCTGGGCTCCACAGGGGGGTGGGACCCAGTGAGCTAGACCACTTGGCTCCCTGGCTTCAGCCCCCTTTCCAGGGGAGTGAACGGTTCTGTCTTGCTGGCATTTTGGATGCCACTGGGGTATGAAAAAAACTCCTGCAGCTAGATCGGTGACTGCCCGAATAGCTGCTCAGTTTTGTGCTTGAAATCCAGGGCCCTGGTGGCATAGTCACCTGAAGGAATCTCCTGGTCTGTGGGTTGTGAAGACCATGGGAAAAGCATAGTATCTGAGCCAGAGTAAACCATTCCTCATGGCCCAGTCCTTCATGGTTTCCCTTGGCTAGGGGAGGGAGTTTCGCCACCCCTTGCACTTCCCGGGTGAGGCGATGCCCCACCTTGCTTCGGCTTGCCATCCGTGAGCTGTACCCACTGTCTAACCAGTCCCAATGAGATGAGTTGGGTACCTCAGTTGGAAATGCAGAAATCACCCTTATTTTACTTAACGATGGCCCGAAACTGCAGGAGTAGTTATGCTGGTATATTGTTATACATGTTCTATTATTATTGTTGTTCATCTCTTACTGTGCCTAAATTTATAAATTAAGCTATATCCATAGGTATGCATGTGTAGAAAAAATAGGCTGAGCACGGTGGCTCACGCCTGTAATCCCAGCACTTTGGGAGGCCAAGGTGGGTGGAGCACTTGAGGTCAGGAGTTCGAGACCAGCCTGGCCAACATGGTGAAACCCCATCTCTACTAAAAATACAAAAATTACCCAGGCATGGTGGTGGGTGCCTATAATCTCAGCTACTTGGGAGTCTGAGGCAGGAGAATTGTTTGAACCTGGAAGGCAGAGGTTGCAGTGAGCTAAGATCACAGCACTGCATTCCAGCCTGGGCGACAGAGCAAGACTGTGTCTCAAAAAAAAGAAGAAGAAGAAGAAGAAAAAATAGTATAGTCATGTGTCATTTAATGACAGGTATACATTCTGAGAAGTGTGTCCTCAGGCAATTTTGTTATTGCGTGAACATCATAGAGTGTACTTAGACAAACCTAGATGGTAGAGCCTACTACACACTTAGGATATGTGGTGTGGACTACTGCTCCTGTGCTACAAACCTGTATGTATAGCGTGTCACTGCACTGAATACTGTGGGCAATTGTAACACAGTGGTAAGAATTTGTGTATCTAAACATAGAAAAATTACAGTACAAATATGGTATAAAAGATTTAAAAATGGTACACCTGTATAGAGCACTTAGCATGAATGGACCTTGCAGGATTAGAATTTGCTCTGGGTGAGCCAATGAGTGAGTGGTGAGTGAATGTGAAGGTCTAGGACATCATTGTATTTTTCTTTCTCCAATAATAAATTAACCTTAGCTTACTGCAACCTTTTTACTTTACACACTTGAAAAATTTTTTAATTTTTGACTCTCCTGTAGTAACACTTAGCTTCAAACACAAACACATTGTATACCTCTACAAAAATTTTCTACAAATACAAAAATTTCTACAAATATTTTCTTTCTTCATCTCTTTATTCTATAAGATTTTTTCCATTTTTAATTTTTTTGGTTTTTGTTTTTTTACTTTTTAAACTTTTTTGTTTAAACACACACATTAGCCTAGGCCTACACAGGGTCAGGATCATTATTATCATTTTCCGTCTCTATATTTTGTCTCATGGAAAGATCTTCAGTGGCAATGAACCCATGGAACTGTTGTCTCCTGTGGTAATAATGTCTTCTTCTGGAATACCTCCTGAAAGACATGCCTGAGACTGTTTTACAGTTAACTTCTTTTTAAAGGTAGAAGGAGTGCACTCTATAACAGTGTTAAAAAAAAGTACAGCATAGTAAATACATAAACCAGTAATGTAGTCATTTATTATCATTATCAAGTATTATGAGCATATATATATTTTTGAGATGGAGTCTTGCCCTGTTGTCTAGGCTGGAGTGCAGTGGCATGATCTCGGCTCACCGCAACCTCTGTCTCCCGGGTTCCAGTGATTCTCATGCCTCAGCCGCCTGAGTAGCTGGGATTACAGGTGCGTGCCACCATGCCTGGCTAATTTTTATAATTTTTGTAGAGACGGGGTTTCGCCATGTTGGCCAGGCTGGTCTCGAACTCCTGCCTTCAAGTGATCCGCCCACCTTGGCCTCCCCAAGTGTTAGGATAACAGGCGTGAGCCACTGTGCCTGGCCTGTACATAATTTTATATGTTAGACTTTCATATGACTGGCAGTGCAGTAGGTTTGTATACATCAGCATCACCACAAATAGGTGAGTAATATGTTGCTCTATGGTTGCTATGACGTCACTAGGCAATAGGAATCTTTTAGCCCCGTCATCATCTTTTGGGACAACGTTGTATATGTGGTTTGTCACTGACCAAAACATAGTTATGTGGCACATGACTGTATATATAAGGCTTTGTACTATCCATGGTCTCAGTCACGCACTGGGGGTCTTGGAACCTATGCCTTGAGAATTAGGGGGACTACTCTAACTGCATTTAGTAATCTTGTTGTCAGTCAAGATAAATTGGTGATCATAATTGTCACTTAGGTACATTACAGATGATAAAAAAAAGTCTACTAGAGGCAATATCTTGATCACAAGCTAAATTAAGCAACATTTAGACTAGACACATAGAGCTCAATAATTGGTGGTAGTTTATAAAAATAACTTACCTACTAGGTAAATGAGTAAAGATTTGACTTAAGGTCTATTTGAATTCTAAGCCTATGATCTTTCCCATGTAATCAAAATAATGTTGGGTCATATTGAGTTCTATGCTGAGCACAGATTTGCATTGAAATTAACAACAGTGAACTGAAAAATAAAAATAAGAAATAAAAACAATCTACACATACAATTAGCTGAAACACATCAAGATATTTTATGGCTGTGGACCCCAACTCCCAGGTCACAGACTGGGTATCAATCTGTGGTACCGGTTAGGAACCAGGCCACACAATAGGGGTTGAGCAGTGGGGGAACAAAGCTTTATCTGTATTTACAGCCACTCCCCATCACGCGCATTACCACCTGAACTCAGCCTCCTGTCAGATCAGTGGCAGTGGTGGCATTAGATTCTCATAGGAGCATGAACTGTGAATGTGAAATATGCATGTGAGGGATCTAGGTAACATGCTTCTTATAAGAATCTAATGCCTGATGGTCTGTCACTGTCTCCCATCACCCCCAGATGGGACTGTCTAGTTGAAGGAAAACAAGCTCAGGGCTCCCACTGATTCCATATTATGGTGAGTTGTATAATTATTTCATTACATTTTACAATGTAACAATGATAGAAATAAAGTGCACAATAAATATAATGCAGTTGCATCATCCTGAAACCATCCTCCCTCCCTCCGGTCTGTGGAAAAATTGTATTCCACAAAACTGGTCTCTGGTGTTGGTGCCAAAAAGGTTGGGGACCACTGTTTTATGGCAGTCTCTAAAGGAAATATCACGAGGGAATAAGTTCTTAATAGTCAGAATTTCCTTATGGTCATCTTTCTTTACTGCATCTTTCTTTTTTTTTTTTTTTTGAGATGGAGTCTCGCTCTGTTGCCCAGACTGGAGTGCAGTGGTGCAATCTCGGCTCACTGCAACGTTCACTTCCTGGGTTCAAGTGATTCTCCTGCCTCAGTCTCCCAAATAGCTGGGATTACAGGCACCCGCCACTGAGCCCAGCTAATTTTTGTATTTTTAGTAGAGACGGGGTTTCGCCATGTTGGCCAGGCTATTCTCGAACTCCTGACCTCAGGTGATCTGCCCACCTTGACCTCCCAAAGTGCTGGGATTACAGGCACCTGGGATTACACCACACTTGGCCCTTATTGGATCTTTCTTAATGTCTGTCTCACACAAAATCCATTGCCAGACAAAATTCAGTCTCCCAATTGTCTCCCAATTCTGTTTACTCAAGCTCTTTTTCTTCTTGCCACCACTCTTCAAGCTATGTCATTCCCTTCTTCGGTCACTCTCTGCCCATTCAATGTTTTTCCCATTTCCTTATTTTCCCTCCCTTCCTCATCTACACTATGGTAGGCTGTTCTTTGGTGGGTAACCTATGCAAACCTACTCACAAAGGCCAAGGTAACTGAGAGGCTGAAGAAATAGGCTGACAAATCAATTTTTTTTCAGAAAGAAACATTAAACAGGGACTTATGGCTGGGAGTGGTGTGACTCACACCTGTAATCTCAGCACTTTGGGAGGCTATGGTTCCATCCCCTTAGGTTCCAACCCCTTAGGAGGCTGAGGTGGGAGGATTGCTTGACCCCAGGAGGCAGAGGTTGCAGTGAGCTAAGATTGCACCACTGCACTCCAGGTGACAGAGTGAGACCCCATCTCAAAAAAAAAAAAAAAAAAAAAAAAAAAGGGAGAATTACAAACAGAAGCCAGAAGCCATGTCTTAGGTGGTTGCAAGACAGTGGATCCTTGGACCGTTATCCTTTAGACACAGGGTGTATATACCATAGGGAAGAGATAAACTTGCTTCAGAAGGAATGTGTGAGACAACTGGAGTTGACACCTCAGAAGAAGGCAAGAATGGTGTGTGTGTCATAGCCTGTAATTTGCTTAAGGGCAGGATTTATGGTAAGTATTTTCTCTTACACATGGAAAAGAAGATAAAATAAAAATCTTAAAGGCATTTCTGGAACCAGGGTTAATCAGAAATTAATATGACAAAATAGCATCCAAGGTGGAGTTGCTTAAGCCTCAACATAGGCCAAATTCTAAGATAGACCCCAAGAATTCCACCTATCCTGGTGTACACCACTTAAATGATTTTCACCCCCTTGGGTGTGGACTGGAACTATGAAGACGGTGAGATAGTCATGTAACTGCCCTCCAGGTTCACCTTTCCCGCTGCCTAGATAGCCGACTTATCTAGACAGGGGAATTACAATAGAGAAAGAGTAATGACACAGAGCCAGCTATGTGGGAGACCAGAGTTTCATTATTACTCAAATCAGTCTCCCTGAGCATTCGAGAACCTGAGTTTTTAAGGATAATTTGGTGGGTGGGTGGGGGTGCCAGTGAGTCAGGAGTGCTGACTGGTCAGGTCAGAGATGAAATCATAGGGAGTCAAAGCTGAGCCAGTTCTTGCGTGGGGGCCACAAGATCAGATGAGCCAGTTCATCCATCTGGGTGGTGCCAGCTGATCCATCAAGTACAGGGTCTGCAAAATATCTCAAACTCTGGTCTTAGGTTTTATAATAGTGATGTTATCCCCCAGAGCAATTTGGGGAGAGTCAGAATCTTGTAGCCTGCAGCCGCATGACTCCTAAACAATAATTTCTAATCTTGTGGCTAACTTTTAGTCTTACAAAGGCAGTCTAGTCCCCAGGCAAGAAGGAGGTTTATTTTGGAAAAGAGCTGTTATCATTGTTTTAAACTATAAACTAAGTTCCTCCCAAAGGTAGTTTGGTCTGTGCCCAGAAATGAACAAAGACAGCTTGGAGGTTAGAGGCAAGGTGCAGTTGGTTAGGTCAGATCTCTTTCACTGTCTCAGTTATAATTTTGCAATGGCAATTTCAGTCACTCCCTTGATTAGATGACATAATTTGGTAAAGGTGATGAGATATTCACTCTTGTGGTTACATTACTTTATATAAGACACCATCATAGCAGACTGTAGTGTGATTTTTCTGGCTTGCTTTGAAGAAGGAAGCTGTCATGTTGTGAGAGGGCCATGTGGCTAGGACCTGAGAGTGACCTCTAGGAGTTGACAGCCAGTAAAAAAAAGGAAACTTCAGCTCTATAACTGCAATGGCTGAATTCTGCCAACAACTTGAATGAACCTAGAAGAGGTCCCAAGCTTCAGATGAGAGCGCAGCCCTGGCTGACATCTTGATTTAAGCCTTGTGAGATCCTGAGCAGAAAATCCAGATACATTGTGCCCAGACTTCTGACCTACATAAACTATGAGATAATAGACGTTGTTGCATGGCAATA
The DNA here is from genome assembly GCF_000001405.40 of Homo sapiens. Classification (NCBI taxonomy): domain Eukaryota; kingdom Metazoa; phylum Chordata; class Mammalia; order Primates; family Hominidae; genus Homo; species Homo sapiens. Next base: position 181,010,391 of record NC_000003.12, read on the forward strand.
CATTTATAGTAACTTATTAAACAGCAATAGAAAATTAATGCATGTACATTAACTTAGTTTGTGTGATAAGGTCCAGAAGTATCTGGGAAAAAAAGTGGTTCTGATCTTTTATTTCCACTACAATGCACAAATAAGACACCTAAGGATGTGGCATTCTTCTGTGACAATAGTGGCTCCCTATATCTGCGACTCTCAAAGGCAAAGGGAAAGGCTTACGTAGTTTGTCAAAGCCCCCAGGTAGCTGGGATATGCTTTGGGTTGTGAACTACTGCATTATAACATTTCAGGGACTGCTTCAACTGGGTCTGCCTCCCATCTCTGGATTAGGTTATACACTGACTATTTGATTTTAATGAGCTGGAAATTTTAAGTCAACAAAGGTGACTTAAAAGTCATGTTCCCTCTTCCTGATAAAATTCAATGCCAGACAATATCTAGATATGAATTGCTCCTATGGTTTTGTGAAAATAAGTAATTCAAAATCTAAACAGTTGGAACTTTAAAATATTTGAGCCTTAAGGGAATGTAGTTATGGGACCCTGTTCACATGACAGGCAGCAGTAATCTAGGTAGCTGTAACCTTAATTTTCTGATTAGATTAGCCTTCTTCCTCACCCACATTGGTAAAATATTGTAAATGACTGAAGAGCGCCAAGGAAGGCCCCTTTTCTCTTAACTGTTGATCTTTATTATAGATTAACTTCCCTCCTTCCTCTCTCACACAAAGACTGTATGACTATCACATTGTCTAAGATATAATGTTAAGTACATGCTTTTAAATTGGAAAGGAAAAGAAAACAAGTTGTATGAAAAAGACTTCCGAGTTGGTGCTAAAATGAGGCAAGACTTTGGGGCTATGGGGTTGAAATGAATATATTTGTAAGTAAGAAGGACATGAATTTGGGGGGACCAGAGGCAGAATGCTATAGTTTGAATATTTGTCCCCTCCAAAACTCTAGTTGATTTTTTAAAAAAAATTTATTTATTTATTTTTGTTTCAGTAGGTTTTTGGAAAACAGGTGGTGTTTGGTTACATGATAAGTTCTTTCGTGGTGATTTCTGACATTTTGGTGCACCCATCACCCAAGCAGTGTACACTGTACCCAATGTGTAGTCTTTCATCCTTCACCCTGCTCCCACCCTTTTCTCTGAGTTTCCAAAGTCCATTGCATCATTCTTATGTCTTTGTGTCCTCATAGCTTAGCTCCCACTTATGAGTGAGAACATATAATGTTTCGTTTTCCATTGCTGCGTTACTTCACTTAGAATAATGATGTTAAATTCCATCCAGGTTGCAGCAAATGCCATTATTTCATTCCTTTTTATGGCTGAGTAGTATTCCATGGTATACATATATATACCACATTTTCTTTATCCACTCGTTGATTGATGGGCATTTGGGCTGATTCCATGTTTTTGCTATTGCGAATTGTGCTGCTATAAACATGCATATGCAGATATGTTTTTCGCATAATGACTTCTTTTCCTCGGGTAGACACCCAGTAGTGGGATTCCTGGATCAAATGGTAGATCTACTTTTAGTTCTTTAAGGAATCTCCACACTGTTTTCCGTAGTGGTTGTACTAGTTTACATTCTCACCAGCAGTGTAAAAGTGTTCCCTTTTCACCGCATCCACGCCAGCTTTTACTATTTTGTGATTTTTTGATCATGGCCATTCGTGCAGGAGTGAGGTGGTGTTGCATTGTGGTTTTGATTTGCGTTTCCCTGGTAATTAGTGATGCTGACTGTTTTTTTCATAAGTTTTTGTATCTTCTTTTGAGAATTGTCTATTGATGTCCTTAGCCCACTTTTTGATGGGATTGTTTCTTTTTTCTTACTGATCTGCTTTAGTTCCTTGTAGATTCTGGATATTAGTCCTTTGTCAGATTTATAGATTGCAAAGATTTTTCTTAGAGTGGCAGTATTAAGAGGTGAGACTTTTTTTTTTTTTTTTTTTGAGACGGAGTCTTGCTCTGTTGCCCAGGCTGGAGTGCAGTGGCGTGATCTCGGCTCACTGCAACCTTTGCCTCCTGGGTTCAAGCGATTCTCCTGCCTCAACCTCCCGAGTAGCTGGGACTACAGGCGTGTGCCACTATACCTGGCTAATTTTTGTAATTTTAGTAGAGATGGGGTTTTACCATGTTGGCCAGGCTGGTCTTGAACTTCTGACCTCAGATGATCCACCCACCTCGGCCTCCCAAAGTGCTGAGATTACAGACGTGAGTCACCACACCCAGCCATCTGTTCATATTTTTACCATTTCCTTCCTTTGATTTATTTTGTTTATTTTGCTCTTCATATTCAAACTTCTTGAGATGTTTAACTGGTTAATTTCTAGCCTTTCCTCTTTTCTGATGTATGCAAATGTTATAAATTCTGATGTATGCAAATTCTGTAAACTCCCTCTAAAGATTGCTTTGGTTGTATCTCACAATTTTGGTTTCTTATGTAGTGTTTTCATTATTGTACAATTCCTAATATTTTCAGATTTTTATTGAGATTTATTTTTCTTTGATCCACATTGGTTGTAAAGTACATTTATTCATTATCAAACTTATGGAGATTTTATATTACTTTACTTTTGAATTGACTTCTAGCTTAATTACAATGTGGTTTGAAAACATATTCTATATTATTTCATTTTTTGAAATGTCTTGAGATCTGATTTATGGTTCAGCATAGGATCACATTAATAAATATTTTATATGTAATTGAAAAGGATATGTCATCTACCATTGTTTAATATATATCATTAGGCTGTTTACTAATAATGTGATACAAATCTGCTATATATTGCTGATTATCTGTTTGTTGTGTCAGACTATAAGAGAGGTTTGTTAAAATATTTTACTATAATTGTGGATTTTTCTATTTCAGCTTTTGGTTCTTTTGCTTTTTGTTTTTTGTGTTTTGAAGCTATGTTAGCTTACATAGAAATTCAGAATTATTATATATTCCTGGTTGGATTGCTCTTTTATTTTTATGAAATATTTTTTAAAATCTCCGCTAATACTTTTTGCTTAAAGTTTTCTTTCCTGACATTAATATGTCTACAGCAATTTTCTTTTGGTTAGCCTTTGTGTGCTGTGTCTTTTCACGTCATTTCACTTTCTACCCTATTCCTTTATATTTAATTACTTTTATACCTTTGGAGTTAAAAAAATCCAATTTGACAATTTTAGCCTTTTAATTTGACTATTTAGTTCATTTATATTTGATCTAATTTATGGCATCTTATTTGTTTTCTCTTCAACCTTCTTATTTCATGTTCTCTTTGCCCTTTTTTCTTGCCTTCTTTTGGATGTCAAGCTTTCATTTTTAAAATTCCGTTCCTGCATCTCTATTATTTGTTGGTTATGCATTCTTTGACAGTCTTCTTCTAGTGGTTAACCTTGGTAACCAGCATGAATCTTTAACTTATGAAAATGTAATATAAATTAGTACTTTTTCCATCTCCTAAAAGGCTTTTCCCCTTTCTGCCTTTTGTGTTATTGCTGTCATCTATTTTAATTCTACATATATTTTAAATACTAGAAACTTTATTTTTACTTTATATAATAAATATTCATTAAGATTTATCTAGATATTTATCTTTTCTGTTGCTTTTTATTTCTTTTGTTTTTTACCTACATTTTCATCTCTTTCATGATTATATTCCTTCCACCTGAAGAAATACTTTTAGTATTTCTTTTAGTCTTCACTAAAAGATCTATTGATCTATTGATCAATCTATTGATTGCCACAGTTTTTGTTTATTTGAAAACATATTTGTTTAATTTTACAATTACTGCATATAGTTTCTAGCTCACTGACAAACGTTCAATAAAAAAGTATAGCTGTTTTAAATTTACATCTGATTAATTCAAACTCTGAAACCTTTATGGCTCTGTTTCTCTTGTTTGTTATTTTTACTTATTCTTGTTCATGTTCTCTTGCCTTCCTTTGTATCTGCTTATACTGGATCTTCTGCCGGACATACTTGAAAAATTATTTGTAGAAATTATTTGAGAACTTGTAAGATGTTACCTTCTTCCAAAGAGGATTTTTTTTTTCTTTAAATGTCTACAAACACTAACCTTTGGGTTATCATTAATCTGGCATTTTCTGGACCACTGAGATGACTTAAATCTGGAATTCCATTCCTGGTTCTCCCAGGTACAGCTCTTTGGGATGCCAATGCAAAAATGGAGGGTTTACTAGAGCCCTCATCATTGGGGGGCTGGGACTCACTCAATTTTGTCACCCTAGCTGCACGAGCCTGTCAAAAATGTATTCTTTAGTGTCTCAGCTACTTTATCCAAAATTGGCAAATGTCATCAGAGTAACAGGGTCAATATTTGGGTAGCCTCTTTGGATTTCTGACATTGTTGATACCTCAGAAAAGTTATTTTCACAATCTTGTTAGCTCTTTGATCTATCTGTGTCAGTGTTTTAAATATTATTCATTTTTTGGCAGTTTTCCTTTGTTGGTAGGGTAGTGTGAAAAATCATTTAGTCAACCGTGAGTAAACTCCAAAATCTTCCTGTTCTTTATAGCGAAATAAAAAATAAGCAAGATCTGACTACATACAACTAAAGACATTCAATAAAGAATGTGTAGAAATTACATGTTGTTTTCTCCTGTTGCAAAAATATCACTCATCTTCTGGGAATGGACATAGGAAACCTTGTATGCCATGCTTAGATATGCAATAGTCATCCAGTCTACTTCCAATGAGTAGAACCATTATTTACACAGTAGTTAGAGATCTCTGGCCTCATGAATAGAATTTTCCTTGGGAACTCTTATATTATGTGCTATAAATGGAATGGATATGGCTATGTGTCGTTTTAAATATAGTTAATAATGTTGGAGGAGAGAGAGAGAGAGAGAAACTGGTTTGCTGATGATATTACTGTAAACCTAATCCGATTTATAAGTAGACCTGTGGGATAAACTGTCATGGGGGTTAATTTCATGATAGTGGTGACTGGATGTGATGGGAGATGGAGAGGAGAGCTTGGTATTTTGGATTTCTGTTTAAGCCCTGTGGAGAGAAGAACTTCAAGCAAAAGCTGAAGGAGTGCTTTAATGATGGGTTTGCTGAAATGAGGGCACCAGCAATGCTGTTATGATTTTCAGTGACAAGTGAGACCCAGAAAGGCCACAAGAGGGTCTGGCGCTGAGAACTCTATGGGGATCAAATGTCATTTTCATAACTTGGTATTGTGACAATTAGACATCCAAAGAGAGCTCAACAGGCAACTGGAATTATGGTACAGGGTATGGGCTGGAATTTAGTATGGAAAATACAAATTTGGCAGTCCTCAGCCTAGAGGTAAGAGTGACACCTTCAAAAACAAAGACATTAATTGTTAAAAATAGTGATTCTAGGCTGGGAGCAGTGGCTCACGCCTGTAGTCCCAGCACTTTGGGAAGCCGTGGTGGGTGGATCACTTGAGGCCAGAAGTTCGAGACCAGCTGGGCCAACATGGCAAAACCCTGTCTCTACTAAAAAATACAGAAATTAGCTGGGCATGGTGGTGTGTGCCTGTAGTCCCAGCTACTTGGGAGGCTGAGGCACCAGAATTGCTTGAACCTGGGAGGCGCAGGTTGGAGTGAGCTGAGATCGTGCCACTGCACTTCAGCCTGGGCGATAGAGCAAGACTCTGCCAAAATAATAATAATAATAATAATAATTCTATAGAAACTATAAAAATCCGATTGTTTTAAAAACATAGTTCAAACATTTCTTTATTCTTGGACATATCCCCGAATTGAGATGACCTGGATTATTTAAAAACAAAGGAGTTCTGTACGTGCAAATTAAAGGACAGTGAAACAGTAACCTGAACCCCACTGAAAGAAATCTATCAGGTGGCAGAGTAGTGATGGGCTTATAGGTGGTGGACTTATTGAAGGTGAAGACAATGAAGGCAAACATGGAATAAAGAACTGAATTGGCTGGGCGCGGTGGCTCACGCCTATAATCCCAGCATTTTGGAAGCAGCCTCAGCAGGCGAGCGGGTCACCTGAGGTCTGGAGTTCAAGACCAGCCTGGCCAACATGGTGAAACCTCGTCTCTACTAAAAATACAAAAATTAGCCAGATTGTGATGGCACATGCCTGTAATCCCAGCTACTCGGGAGGCTGAGGCAGGAGAATCACTTGAACCTGGGAGGCGGAGGTTGCAGTGAGCTGAGATCACAGCACTGCACTCCAACCTGGGTGACAGAGCGAGACTCTGTCTCAAAAAAAGAAAGAAAGAAAGAAAAAGGACTGAATCATTTGTTTTCAATAAACTAGAATGTAGTTTATAATAAATTAACCACAATAGCTAGAAAGACATGTTGGGGCCGGGTGTGGTGGCTCACGCCTGTAATCCCAGCACTTTGGGAGGCTGAGGCAGGTGGATCACGAGGTCAGGAGTTCAAGACCAGCCTGGTCAGTATGGTGAAACCCTGTCTCTACTAAAAATACAAAAAAAAATTAGCCAAGCATGGTGGCGCACGCCTGTAATACCAGCTACTTGGGAGGCTGAGGCAGGAGAATTGCTTAAACCTGGGAGGCAGAGGTTTCAGTGAGCCGAGATCTTGCCACTGCTCTCCAGGCTGGGTTAAGAACACCTGAGATTTCCTCTCCATTCTCCCACTATGCCCAATCGCCTCAGGTAGGAAAACACTCACTAACCACAGGCCCAGGGAATCCAAATTTTCCCTGGGCCTTGCCCAGTGTTTGGCAAAAACATATTTACTAGGTCCCTGACATCCTGGCTAAGTTCCCTGAAGTTCCAATAGGTAGCACTGCACAATTTCACGTAGCCCTTACTTTGAGTTGGGTTCATTTCCTTGATATATCACTTAGCCACATATCTGTTACTAGAAAACATTCTTCATTAGGAGCTACTTAATTCCACAGTCCACAACTTGGTTTATCTAGGTTAGTTGCCATTTTTTCTTTTTTTCTTTTTTTTTTTTTTTTTTTGAGACAGAGTCTCACTCTGTTGCCTGGCTGGAGTGCAGTGGCGCGATCTCGGCTCACTGCAATCCCTGCCTCCCACATTCAAGCAATTCTTCTGTCTCATCCTCCCAAGTAGCTGGGACTACAGGCGCATGCCACCACACCCAGCTAATTTTTGTATTTTAGTGGAGATGGGGTTTCACCATGTTGGCCAGGCTGTCTTGAACTCCTGACCTTGTGATCTGCTTGCCTTGGCCTCCCAAAGTGCTGGGATTACAGGTGTGAGCCACCACGCCTGGCTACTTGTCATTTTTTTCTAAGAGCTCCTACTGTACAGCCCTGCCAGCAGGACACATCTATGAGTGGGTGGTCCCAACTGCCATGGCTTATTTGAACATATGATGCTTTTACTTCATCCCTATTTTGACTTTATGGCCAAAATTTCTTAATACCCAAACTCTCTGGTTGAAACAGACTATATTATTCTTAGCTCCTGGCCTGCTCTATCTTATTATCTTTTATCTCAATCCCCATATCTAATGAGTCACTTCCCTTTGCTAATTGTGGCTTTGAATTATCTTCTCTTTTCGTCATTCTTGCTGCTACTGTCTTAGTTTAGATCCTCATCGTTTCTTGGCTGAATTATTAACTAACAAAGTAAGTGACTATGAAAATGGTATGGTGGAGTAAGCTGGGTTTTTCTGAAGGAAATATTTACTTACTTGAACTGGAGAAGGGAGAATTTTCTCCTTTAAAAAAAAAAAAGTAAAGGGGTATTGGACATAAACTCAGGAACATGGGCTTACATGGAGATTCCACTCGTGTGAGTGGAGAGGCTTTTTCTTCACTGAGCCCTGGTAGGAGGCATGCATGGATTCAAAGTCAGATTTTCCCTTATTATTTCTTTTTTTTTCTAAAAATATTTTAATGAAAAAGTTATCTTTCTGTAAACATTTCATTATACTACAAATGAAACATCTGAATCCATTACAGAACACTTCTGAATTCTTAAAAATCAGAAACCATATTGAAGTTTTAAAGTAATTTTGAATATTTAGATAGGCTAACAGTCCTTACATTACCCTTGCACACTGGCATGCTTATTCACTATTTTGTGACATCAATTATTGGAATTCCAAGAGATACTGTCATTATTTAGGCTTCAAATTGTGACTACTATATACTGGAACTCTTAAAACCAAGCCTATTTCAATTATTTAGTTACTTAACAAATATACTTTATTACCACATATTCTCCTTTAGGACATGAGTATAAATACAGCTTTTTAGAACTGCAATATTGGAAGCAGTAACCTACAAATTGGTTTAAAAAAATCAGTTAAATCTGCCTCAACCAATTATATAACAATTTTTTTTTTTTACTGCTGCTACAACTTATGAGAATACTGTATTTTTCAGAAACAACAATGGAAAGCAATGTTATTTCATAAAGAAATGAATTAGAAAGAACAATGCTGTTAAAATATAAAAATGTTTCATGGTTTAGGAAATTTGCTTCACTAAAACCATGTTGTGAAAGAAATTCATCAAAGGCTGTTACCTTACTCAACACATGTATAGAAATTGGGTTCTGATTTAGATACAGAGCCAACCAGTTATTTTCTGAGAACACCGGCAAACTGACTGCTCTTCATGTAGGAAATTGATAATTTAGAAACTAGTTTGCATTTTCCGTATTTGTCTCCAAAGGCTTTTTTTTTTTTTTTAGTAAACTAACCACCTGAAGTGTTAAGCCCTTTTGGGGCAGCAAAAACAGCCGTTATTAACCATCAACAACCAGTTTGAACAGATAATTCAGTATTCTTTGGGAAAATGTCTTCTTACAAAGGAGCACTAATTAGGCCCCCAGCTGCTTCTGGTTAACAGATGAACCAAAACAAAAAAGAAACCAAAATGTAACCTATTGGTCCAATGAATTCCCTGAATTTATATGCAAGAGTAACTTATGAGGCCACTTGAAGACCAACTTTTATTCGTGACGTCTGGTAACTTTTCTTTTTTGAGATGGGGTCTGTCACCCAGGCTGGAATACAGTGGGGCAGTCAGCTCACTGCAGCCTCGACCTCCTGAGATAAAGGGATCCTCCTACCTCAGCCTCCCAAGTAGCTGGGACTACAGATGTGTACCACCAAGCCTGGCTAATTTTTATATTTTTTGTAGACAGGGTCTTGCTATGTTGCCCAGACTTGTCTCAAACTCCTGGACTCGGGATCCATCTGCCGTGGCCCCCTAAAGTGCTGGGATTACAGGCGTGAGCCACAGTACCTGGCCCTGATAACTTTTAATGTTCTTTTGAAGATGTTTTTCCTAATATGAGGATTGGCAGTTTACTGAGTCTGCTGTGTGTCATGCTTATTACAAAAACGGTTTTCACCAAAGCTGAAGCTACTTTCTCTTACCAAAAATTGAGTTTACCCTGAAGACACTAATAATGAATTGTATACACCAGGGGTCACAACTGACTCAAGAGGAATACTTATGGCTACTGCAGGGGAATTTTTAAAACTAAGGTTTAAAATGTGTTGGACATGGTACCAACGTAGTTTTCAGCTGAAGATTTTTACCAGTGTGCCTACTAGAGAGGGACAAAGTTGTGAAATATGTAATATAGACTTGTAGGGAAACAAATGGTGTCATCAGATTTTACTGTCAACTAGAAACCTTACCCAGCCAGAAATCTTTGTATTTTAGATAGTAGGAAAGATGTTCCTCATTTAGACAAGTGGGGTTCTCATTCAACCTGCAAATCAAAAAGATTACTCTTATCTTGCTTTACAAAAAAGTACTCTTTAATTAGTGAAAAAATTCAAATTCAAGCCTTGCCTAATGCTTATTGCCCTTCCTTGCAGGTCTAAATGCTAGACCTAGTGACTGTGGCAACTATCTCTCACTGATGTTCCAGAAAGAGAAGAACTCCTTCCTGCTAGACTTTCTTCGATATTTCAGTTGTGATAAGCAGATTTAACTAGCGTTTGGAAAGTTGCTCACTATCATCAATGCATGTTATGCCTTCACTTCTCTGGATTTGAAGCTCTTGCTGCTTGCTGCCTTGTCATTCTTTATTTATGCTGACTTGTCCATACACAAAAGCCTGCTGAAGTCCTGTCTTAGTGAGTTTCATTTGATCCACACTGTACTTAAAAAGCACATCTTACATCCTTTAAAGCTGGTTAAATCGCTCTCCTCATGGCTTACTTTTCCACACTGTTCACAAGAGCTAAGCTAATACAACTTATAAACAGGTCACATACACAGATTTCACCTACTTATATGTTGTAAACATCAACTTACTGTAAATGTTTTCACTATAATGCTAGTTCCAGAACATAAATTTTCTTATTATTTCTAAGAGCAATTCTAGGGAAAGTTACATTCTGTGTTGGAGTTTCCTTTCCTCAAGTCTTCCATAGTCTTTTAAAAGTGTTACTCTACACTGTGGAATTGAGGGAAACATTATTTCCTCTTTAAGGTTAAAGTGGGGACATCAGCAGACTCTCCAGTGAATTAATCCTCAGCAGAGTGGTGTCTCCAAAGGAGTAATCCAGAAGAGGCAGTACCACAGCGATGAGAGGAGGGGCAGGTAGAACATATGGAGGAAATTATTCCTGATCATGGCTGTGGCAACTCACTAGGAAACTCCCAGAAATTATACTGGGAGTGGCAGAAGTAAAAGAATATACTTTCAACTTCCAGCTAGTAGGCCAGTGGGGCTCACATCGTAATAACTTGGGTAAGAATAATCTCTGATAGTATGCACAGGCTGGTCAGGCTGGTGACATATGGGTTATATTCAGTATATAATTTTGAATTACTTTGGATAGCTTAAGGATGGCCGTGAATTTACTTGGTTTATAATCAGAGAAGTGTTTATTTATAAATAATCTATCTATCACTAACTGATACCTTAGTAAGAAAAAAAGTTAACTCAAATCCTCCTCTCCTTCACATTTTAGGGAAATGCAGTAGAATATAAAAATAAATTATAACAAGTTATGGAGGACATCTGTTTAAAAATGGACCACAAGGATATCAGATTTGAATAATTTCTCATTTTCTCTTTGCACAGAATTTTATTGAATCAGCAAGACTATATCCTTTCTAAAAATAAATTCATCAAAAGAGCATCATTTCCTTAAAGTCATTCCTTATGCTATTGTAAATGGCATTTTTAAAACTTAAAATATTGAGATATAATTTATATGCCATAAAATTAGCCATTTAAAAAGGTACACTTCAGTGGTTTTAAATATATTCACAAAGCTGGGCAACCATCTCCACTATCTAATTCCAAGACATATTTGTTATCCCCCAAAGAAACCTCGTACCCATTTGCAGTCACTCTCTATTATCCCCTTCCCTGATCCCCTGGTAAGCACTAATCTACTTTCCATCTTTATAGATTTGTCTATTCTGTATTTATATGAATGAAATCATACATATGTGGCCATTAGTGTCAGGCTTCTTTCACTAAGTATAATGTTTTCCGGTATCATTCATGTCATAGTAGTATGTATTAGTTCTTCATTCCTTTTTATGGTTGAATAAAAATTTATTGTATGGCTGCACCACATTTTGGATATCTATTCATCAGCTGCTGGAATTTGAGTTTCTACTTTTTGACTATTATGAAATAACTCTGCTATGAACATATCTGTACAATTTTTGTATAAACATTTTTTCAATTATTTTGGACATACATCTAGGAGAGGAATTCCTGGATCACTTGGTAATTCTATGTTTAATTTTTAAGCAGCTATCAAACTGTTTTCCATGGTGGCTGCACTGTTTTATATACCTACCAGCTATGTATGGTTCTAATTTCTCTGCATCCTCACCAACACTTGTTATTTTCCAAGTTTTTTTTCATTATATTCATCCTATGAGGTGCAAAGCGATGTCCTGTTTTGGTTTCTATTCGCATTTTCTTGCTGACTAATAATGTTGAGCATTGTTTTCGTCTTTCATCTGTTTATTGACCATTTGTATATCTTCTTTGTAAAATTGTCTGTTTAAATTCCTATTTAAAAATTGGGCCATCATTTTTATTATTGAGTTGTAAGAGTTCTTTACTCTGGATACTAAATCTTTATCAGATACATGATTTGCAAATATTTTCTTCCATTCTATGGGTTACCTTTTTTCCTTTCTTTCTCCTTTCCTTCCCCTTCCCCTTCCCTTCCCTTCATTTTGAGACAGCATCTCACTCTGTCACTCAGGCTGGAGTGCAGTGGCATGATTATGGCTCACTGCAACCTCAACCTTTCAGGCTCAAGTGATCCTACTGCCTTAGCCTCTAGAGTAGCTGGGACCACAGGTGCATGCCACCACACGCAGCTAATTTTTAAATTTTTTTGTAGAGATGGGGTCTCACTATGTTGCCCAGACTGATCTTCAACTCCTGGCTCAAGTGGTCTGCCTGCTTCTGCCTCCCAAAGTGCTGGGATTACAGGCATGAGCCAGCATGCCTAGCCAGATCTTTTAAAATGAAATGTAGGCATTTACAGATACAGGTTTACCTGAGTCCTGTTCCACTGAATTCCACACTTTTGATATATTGTGTTTTTGTCTTCAGTTAAAGAATTTCCCAATTTCCTTTCTGAGATTTCCTTTGACCCATTGATTATTTTGAACTGTGTTTTACACATGTTCCACATATTTGTGATCCCCAATTTCCTTCTGCTATGAATTTCCAGTTTCATTCCATTGTCATCAGAGAACATACTTAGTATGCTTTTAATCCCTTAAATTAATGAGACTTGTTTTATGGCCTAACCTGACCTTTCCTGGGGAATGTTTCATGTGCACTTGAGAAGAATGTATTATATATTTTTCTGTGATTAAGTGAAATGTTCTTTAGATATCTGTTAGGTCTAGTTGGTTTATAGCATTGTTCAAGACTTCTGTTTCCTTACTGATATTCTGTCTAGCTGTTTATTATTGAAATAAAATTATTGAAAATATCAGTATTAAAATTTCCAACTATTATTGTTGAATTGCACATTTCTCCTTTCAGTTCTGTTAGTTTTTTTCTTCATGTATTTTGTGGCTTTGTTGTTAGATGCATAGGCATTTATAATTGTTATATCTTTTTGTTGACTGACCTTTTTATCATTATGAAACATTACTTTGTCTTTGGTAACAATTTTTGTCTTAAATTCTTTTTCGTCTGATATTAGGATTGCTGCTCCAGTTCTCTTTTCATTATCATTTGTATGGTATATCTATTTTTATTCCTCTACTTTCAACCTATTTGTGTCTTTGACTCTGAAATGCATCTATTGTATATAGTATATAGTTCAATTATGCTTATTTACCAGTCTCTACCTCTTGATTGAAAACTTTAATCTGTTTACATTTAATGTAATAACTGATAAGATAGGATTCACATCTGCCATCTTGCTATTTGTTTTTTATAGATCATGTCTTTTTTGTTCCTCAATTTCTCCATTATTGCTTCCTTTTGTGTTAAATATATATTTTTAGTATACCATTTTAATTCTTTAATCATTTCTTTTGCTATATATTTTAAAGTTATTTTCTTAATAGTTGCTCAGGGGATTACCATTAACATCTTAATATGTATTAATCTAATTTGATTAATACCAACTTAATTTCAGTAGTATACAAAAGCTTTGCTTCTATATAGGTCTGCTCCTCCCACCCTCTATACTATTTTTGTTGCAAATTACATTTTCATACATTGTATGCCTGCCAGGTTAGATTTATAATTATTGTATTATGCAGTTGTCTTTTAAATTAGATAGAAAAAAAGGCAGTTATAAACAAAAAATACATTTATACTGTCTCATAGTTACCTATGTAGTTACCTTTATTGGTGCTGTTCTTTTCTGAAAAAGTTAAATAAAGTTATTTACCTGTAACTATATAGGTAAATGTAAGATGCAGTATAAATGTATTTTTTGTTTATAACTGCCTTTTTTCTATCTAATTTCAATGTATTTTAGTATCTTTTAAATGTATGTTAGTATCTTTCATAGAGGTAGTCAGAGGATAATGGTCTAAAGTTTTTACTATCTGAGAATGTCCTAATAGCTTAATATCTCCTTAGTCTTTGAAGGGTAGTTTTGCTGGACATAAAATTCTTTTTTTTTTTTTTTTTTTTGAGAAAGGGTCTCATTCTGTTGCCCAGGCTGGAATGCAATGGTATGATCATGGCTCACTGCAGCCTCAACCTGCCAGACTCAGGTGATCCTCCCACCCCGGCCTCTTGAATAGCTGGGATTATCATGCCCAGTTAATTTTTTGTATTTCTTTTTTTTTGTAGAGACAGGGTTTTTCCATGTTGCCCAGGCTGGTGTAGAACTTCTGGACTCAAGTGATTCATCCACCTTGGCATCCCAAAGTGCTAGGATTACAGGCATGAGCCACTTTGCCTGGCCATATATAAAATTATTGCTTTAAAGTTTCTTTCTCATTTTTTTCAGCTTTATTGAGGTGTAATTGACTAATAAAAATTGTATATATTTAAGGTGTACACATGATGTTTGATATATGTATACATTGTGAAATTATTACCACACTCAAGCTAGTTAACATATCCATTACCTCACATAAGTAATTTTAAAAAATTTCTTCCAGCACATTGGTTTTTTTTTGTTTGTTGGGATTGTTTTTGTTTTTGTTTTTGAGATGGGGTCTCACTCTGTCACCCAGGCTGGAATGCAGTGGTGAGATCATAGCTCAGTGCAGCCTATCTCCCAGGCTCAAGTGATCCCCTTGCCTCAGCTTTCTAAGTAGCTGGGATTACAGGAACACATCACCACCCAAACTGGCTAACTGAAGTTTTTTTTTTTTTTTGTAGAGATGAGGAACACATCACCACCAAAACTGGCTAACTGAAGTTTTTTTTTTTTTTTCTAGAGATGAGGTCTCCCTATGTTGCCCAGGCTGGTCTCAAACTCTTGGGCTCAAGTGATCATCCTGCCTTGGCCTGCCAAAGTGCTGGAATTACAGGCATGAGCCACCATGCCTGGTTCTTTCAGTGCTTAGAATATGACATCCCACTCCCTTCTGGCCTCCAAGGTTTTGGATAAGAAATTAAGAGTTAATGCTAGTGAGTAGCCCCTGTATGTGATGAGTCACTTCCCTCTTGCATGTTGATAAAGACAAGCCTTTTGATTTCCTAGTTATAAGTTCCTAATAATTTTGAAATCTTATTTACTGTGTAATTTCTTTTTTGACCCATGGGTTATTTAGAAGTGTGTTGCCTGATTTTCCAAATATTTGAGGACTTTCAGATTGCTTTATGTTACTTATTTCTAATTCAATTTTCTTATACACAGGGAACATGCACTGTATGATGTGAATTCTTTAAATATATTATAACTTAATTTATGTTCCAGAATGTTGTCTATCTTGATGAATGTTTTATGTGTACTTTGCAAAAATGTGAATATCATTGAGCCCAGTGTTCTGTAGGTAAGGTTGGTTGATAGTGTTTTTCAAGTGTTCTATATCCTTAATGATTTTTTTGTCTGCTTTTTCTATCAATCATGAGAGAAGAGTGTTAAATCTACAACTATTATTTTAGATTTTTTTCTATTTCTTTTTTTCAGTGTATCCAGATTTTGCTTCATGTATTTTGAGCTCTGCTACTAAGAATCCACACATTTAAGATCATTATGTTTCATGATAAATTGCTGCACTTAGGAAATGTTTCTATTTCTGATAATATTCATTGTTCTAAAGCCTACTTTGGCATTATTATAGCCATGCCTGCATTCTTATAATTAGTGTTTGTATGAGTTTCAAATTTCTTCAAATGGCTTTTATGCTTGTTTTTTTTATCTCTTCTAATCTGTTCATCTAGAGAATTATAAGAAGAATGTTCCTAATTTTGAACCATCCCTGTGTTCCTGGGTTAATATCTACTTAAATATGACATATTATTCTTTTAATAGACTTGTGAATTCAAATTTGCTCATATATAATTTTAACTTAGTTTTTTTTGTAATTTCATGGATTCTGTGACAATTTAAATAACTTAAGAATTACTTGTTACTTAAAGATTTTATAGAATTAACAAGAAAAGCTCCCTGGGCCTTTTTCTTTTATTTTTTACTTGGGAAAAACTGGGAATGCAGATCTTTGATCATCACTTTAATTTATTCTATTCAGTTTATTTACTTCTTCTTGAGTCACTTTTGGTAATTTTTCTTACGTAACAAATTAACTATTTCATCTAGATCATCTAATGCTGAGTTTAGAGTTGAATATAATAGCAGTCTTTAGAATACACATACCCTTGAGGATATATGACAACTTTCCTAAGTGTCTATAGGCCCTAATTGTTATATGAGAATGTAAGAATAGCATAGCTTTTATCTGAATCTTATCGTGGTATATTACTTCAAGGTGTCAAAATCCCAGTGTATCAAACAAAAGAGAAATTTGAAATATTGGGCTTAGCAAATCCTCTTTTAATCAAGACATACCTTTCAAATTGCTTTCTTTGTCTCTTCACGTACTCTCTCTTTCCTCCAGGAAAAATTTGTTTCCGTGCTTCTTGTGATTTTTCTCTTTCATGCAGCAGGTTTTTCTCAAATATCTGGTAATTTTTGCTGCTCATTCATGATTGAAAAGAAAGGAAAATGAAGGCTGACTGGGAACTCTGTGTGAGGGGCCAGCCATTGTGCTAGAGGACCCCAAATGCCAGGATTGAGAAAACATCACTGATATGATTTGGCTTTGTGTCCTCACCCAAATCTCATCTCCAACTGTGCTCCCTACGTGTCAAGGGAGAGAGCTGGTGGGAGGTGACTGGATCATGGGGGCGGTTTCCCCCATGCTGTTCTTGTGATAGCGAGTGAGTTCCATGAGACCTGATGGTTTTATAAGGGGCTCTTCCCCCTTTGCTCTCTCTATCTTTCCTGCTGCCTTGTGAAGAAGGTGGCTGCTTCCCCTTCCGTCATGTTTGTAAGTTTCTGAGGCTTCCTAGCCATGTGGAACTGTGAGTCAAATTAACCTCCTTTATTTATACTATCACCAGTCTTGGGTGGTATTTTTGTAGCAGTATGAAAACGTAATAATACAGTCACCATGGGTTACTGTTATTCACACTAACAGCCTTGACCTTCTCTGATAGGTCGTTCAATTTCTTTAGAATGATTTTGTTGACGAAATGGTGGCAGTGGTGTTGGCATGTAGATCTTTAATCAATTTCGTGAATATCCCTGAGTTTAGTCTTATTCTTATTTCTACCTTCAATCATAGCTGCTGCCTCCAAGTCCTGATCATCTCCAGAATTCTGTTTGTTTTGCAGTAGTTTGTTTTGGTGACTTTGGAGCCAAAGGTGTTCCATTTATTCTTAATTTATAGATAATTGCAGTAATTTTATCTTGTAAATTCATAGAATATAAAAGCAACATCTTGGTCAGGTGTGGTGGCTCATGCCTGTAATCCCAGCATATTGGGAGGCCTGAGGCAGGTGGATCACCTGAGGTCAGGAGTTCGAGACCAGCCTGGCAAACATGGCGAAACTCTGTCTCTACTAAAAATAAAAAAATTAGCTGGGTGCAGTGGGTACCTGTAATCTCAGCTACTCGGGAGGCTGAGGCAGGAGAATCACTTGAATTCCGGAGGTGGAGGTTGCAGTGAACCGAGATCACGCCACTGCATTCCAGCCTGGGTGATGGAGTGAGACTCTGTCTCAAAAAATAAAAATAAATACAAATAAAAGCAATATATTGGAGATAGGTGAGTCATTACTGCAGGCAGACATACTGGGAAGAATGATGACAGGCAACTGGTGAACTGGCAGCAAAGAAGTAAAACAAAAGACCCCTTAAATTCAGGCACAAGAACTGAAGCTAACATGCAGAGGAGTTACAGTTCTACATTGCTCAGAAGCCTCGGGGAGTTTCACCATTGGACACCACTGTGTTTCCCCAACAGGCTGATCATCAGCATCACCTGGGGAGATAAACACACATTTCCAAGCCCCACTCCACACTTTCTGCATCAAAAGACTGTTCTAGTGGTGAGGTACAAAAACTTGTGCTTTTAGAAAACACTCTTTAGGAGATTCTGAAGATCAGTGAGGTTGGGAACTATCATAATTGATATTAGTAATGAAAAATTTAAGTCATTAAAGAAAAGGTTTAATTATTTTCTGTTTAAGAAGGCAGGTAAACAAAGAATACATCATGTTAAGGTTTCCACCTAAAATAGTTAATATTAATAATTAAAAATTTTGTTGCTTAGGGGAGATAAACTTAGCTGTCTGGAAAACATACTGAATTTGATTAACTGATTGCTTAAGGTTTCAGAAAACTGAGATTTTACCACTGTCATCTAGGCCTGCAACCTTAGAAGATGGCAGGCAGATAAGCTTCTTTGATCATGCACAGTCCTTACTTTTGTGGTCTTTTTTCCACTATGTTCAAGTCTGAGCTACAATATTGAATAGTCCTGTCAGTTTAGTAAAAATCATTGCTGAAAATCAAATGACTGTATGTCTGAAAGTATATCTTTGTGCTCTATTCTGTTCCATTGATGAATGTATAAATCCTTATACAAACACAATATGTCTTGATTACTATAGCTTTATAATAAGTCTTCAAGTCAAGTAGTGTGAGTCCTCCAGTTTTGTTTTATTTATTTGTTTTTGAAATTACTTTGGTTATTCCAGGTCCTTTGCATTTTTATACTCTGTACCCATTAAACAGTACCTCCCCATTCTTGCCTTCTGCTAGCTCTCGTGGTAACTACTATTCTACTTTCTGCTCTATAAATTTGATTATCTTAGTTACCTCATATAAGCTCTCTAATCTGTTCCATTGCTCTATTCTTTCACCAATACCATTTCCATATGAACTTTAGAATCAGTTTGTCAATAGCCACAAAATAACTTGCTGGTAAACAGGGTGCTGTGGCTCATTCCTATAATCCCAACAATTCGGGAGGCTGAGATGGGAGGGTCACTTGTGGCCACAAGTTTGAGACCAGCCCAGACAACATAGTGAGACTCCATTTCTACAGAACATAAAAAAAAATTGCTTGGCATGGTGGCATGTGCCTATAGTCCCAACAACCTGGTAGGCTGAGGTAAGAGGATTGCTTGAGGCCAGGGGTTCGAGGCTGCAGTGAGTCATGGTCATACCACTGCACTCCATTCCAAGTGTCAGAGCGAGACCCTGACTCCAAACAAACAAACAAAATCTTGCTGGTATTTTGATTGAGATTGCATTGGATTTATACATCAAATTTGGAAGAATTTACAGCTTAGCAATATTGAGTCTTTGTATTTATGAACGTAAGATATCTCTTCGGATATTGTACTTTTACCTAAATAGTTCTATGCTTTTTGGTGTGACTTTTATTTTTTTAACTGAGATTTTTCATATTTTTATTAATTGTAAACATATTTCCTTTACATCCTTGAGCATAATTTTATAATTACTTTAAAACCATTGTCTGCTATATCTAACACCTGGGTCATCCTGAGGTCACACTTATTTACTGTTTCTTAAGTTGTGTTTTTTCTGTTTCTTCATATGTTAAGTAATTTTGGATTGTATCCTGGACATTGTGAAAAATACATTGTTGATACTCTGGATTTTGTTATTTTAAAAATTGTGGTAAAATTTGCAAAACATAGAATTCACCATTTTAACTGTTTTAAGGTACAATTCATTGGTGTTTAGTACATTTGCAACATTGTTTAACTATATCACTATCTAAATCTAGAACATTTTCATTACCTTAAAAGGAAACCTGTACCAGTTCACCACTCTCTCCCCATTCTTTCTCTATCCCCATCCCCTGGCAGCCACTAATCTTCATTCCTTCTTCATAGACTTGCCCACTCTGGATATTTCATATAAATATAATAATGCAATATGTGGCTTTTTGTGTCTGCCTTCTTTCATTTAGCTTGTTGTTTTCAAGGTTCATGCATGTTGCAACACATATGAGTACCTTATTCCTTTTTTATGGCTGAATAATATTCCACGACATGGAAATACCATGTTTTGTTTATCCATTCATCAGTTGATGGACATTTGATTTGTTTCTACCCTTTGGCTACTGTAAATAGTGCTGCTAGAAACATTCATGTAGAAGTTTTTGTTTGAATGTCTATTTTTAATTTTTTTAATACATACTTAGGGGTGCACATGGTAAATTTATGTTTTACTTTCTGAGCAGCTGCAAAACAATTTTTCTAAGCAACTGCACAATTTTATTTCCCACCAAAGTTCAGCCTGAGAAAACTCCTGAGCATGTGCGAAAAAGAAAAGAAGAAAAGAAAAGTAAAGAAAAGAAAAAAGGAAAAAGGGCAAGCTCCTGAGTGGATCTCTCAGGGAGCCACCAGACAGGTAAAAACATACAACCAAAGTTTTTGAGAACAAGGTCCATATTGATCTCTCTGGCCCTTGCAAGCTGCACCAGGAATGTGGGCTGCCATTTTCATGTCCACTGCCTGACTGGGGAAGTGGGAGATGGTAGATGGGTTAAAATGCTACGACACTCTTTTATCAAAGTTTAGCAACTTCTTTCTGTTTAAGTTTTCCCATCATTGTTGTAAGTTTTTTATTAGATTCCAGAGTTCTGAAAAAGTTGATTCTAACATTTTTTTGGCTTAATTGTTACTTTAATGGAAGGACTGAGTTTTAGAGTTCCCTACTCTGCCATTTTTTGTAATATCAGTCCTGTTATTTATTTGGAAGATATTGATTTCTTTTGTTTTATCAAGTGGTTATTTTGACTCAGCTCAAACTAAAAAGTTGGCCTTCCTGTGGAGAATGATAGCTTTAATTTCAGTTTGTTATTTTATCTTATCTGGTCTGGCTGACATTTGTCCTGTACAAACATGGTATAAAAGTCAGCCAGAGATTTGGGCAGAGTTTATACACAAAATTTGGGACACTTTTTTATGGCTGTTTTCTTTCTGGGATGTCTTTTACTCTGCAAATCTTGTGGTTACCTTGATGCCCAGAGTGGGAAAGTCCATGGAGAAAGTAGCTGGTTTCAGTTTTTAGTTATCCAAATGTCATGAACTTGGGCCTCGGTTTTTTGCCTTTTAAGAAAAACTTATTATTATGGTAAAATACATATAAAAGTTACCATCTTAACTATTTTAAGTGTTCGTTGGTATTAAATACATTCATAATGTTGTGCAACCATCACCATCTTCCATCTCCAGAACTCTTTTCATCTTAACAAACTGAAACTCTCTATCCATTAGATAATAACTCCCTTCCCTCCAGCCCCTTGCAAGCACCATTCTACTACTAATGCTGCTATGAACATGGGTATACAAATATCTATTTGAGAACCTGCTTTCAATATTTTGAACATATACCCAGAACTGAAATTGCTGCATCATATGGTAATTCTATTTTTAATTATTTTAAGGAATCACCATACTATTTCCCACAGCTGCAATACCATTTTTGGTTTTTAACAACATTGCATAAGGGTTCCAGTTTTTCTACATCCTTGCCAACACCTATTATTTTCTTTTTTTTTTTTATAATAGCCATCTTAATGAGTATAAGGTGATATCTCATTGTAGCTTTTATTTGCATTTCTCTAATCATTAATGAGGTTGAATCTTCTTATGTGCTTATTGCCTCTTTGTATATCTCTGTGGAAAAATGTCTGTCAAATCGTTTGCCCATTTTTGAGTTGGGTTGTTTGTTTGTTTTTGTTAAGTTTTAGTTTTCTATATATTCTGGATATCAACCTCTTATCAGACATATCATTTGCAAATATTTTCTCTCATTCTCTAGGATGCCTTTTTACTCTGTTCATAATGCCTTTTCATACACAAAATTTAAAAATTTTTCATGAATCTACTTTAGTTTTTTGTTTGCCTGAGCCTTTGCTTTCATATTCAAAAAATCACTGCCGAATCCAGTGTCATGAAGGTTTTGACCTATGTTTTCTTCCAAGAGTTTTATAGTTTGAAGTCTTTAATCCAACTTGAGTTAACTTTTGTATATGATGTTAGGTAAGGGTTCAACTTTATTGCATGTGGACCTAACAGTTTTTCAAGCACCATTTGTTGAAGCAGTTTTTTGTCTTTTTTGGGGGAGTGGGGTACGGAGTCTCACTCTGTGGCCCTGGCTGGAGGGCAGTGGTATGACCCCAGCTCACTGCAACCTCTGCCTCTCGGGTTCAATCAATTCTCCTGCCTTGGCCTCCCAAGTAGCTGGGATTGCAGGCGTGGGCCACCATGCTTGGCTAATTTTTTGTGTTTTTAGTAGAGATGGGGTTTCACCATGTTGGCCAGGCTGGTCTCAAACTCTTGACCTCAAATTATCTGCCTTGGCCTTCCAAAGTGCCGGGATTACAGGCTTGAGCCACAGCAACCAGCCATTGTCTTTAATGAAAAGAGGAGTCAGTAGGGTGAGGTTTCAGGCATCATCTTGTAGGGAAAGTTGTATTGAGTATTTGGCATCCGTATTTGTCTACTAGTGGTACCATAACAAAATACTTAAGCCTGGGTGGCTTAAGCAACATAAATTTATTTCTCACAGCTCTGGAGGCTGGAAGTAGCAGATCAAGGTGCTAGCAGGGTTGGTTTCTCCTGAGACCTCTCTCCTTGGGATGCAGATTGCTATCTTCTTCCTATGTCCTCACTTGGCCTTTCCTCTATGCTTGTACTCCCCTGTAGTCTCTTCTTATAAGGACACCCATCCAATTAGATTAGGGCCACACCCTTATGATCTCATTTAACATTCATTACCTTTTTAAAGGTCCTGTCTCCAAATACAGTCATATTGGGGATTAGGGCTTCAACATATGAATTTTGAGGTGACACAATTCAATCCATAAGAACATCTTCTTGGTCTCCTGATAGAATTGAAATCAAAGAAAGCTGTGCTTGTTCTTACTAGGCAGGTATGCAATTTTTTTAAAATAAAGGATAAAGGAAAACTCAAAATCAGCTTCTCAAAGAAAATACCTGTATTGTGTCACTAGCCACTCCTGCCTGGTTGAGTGACAATTGGATACAAGAACTTTCTTTGGATTTGCTTTCCTGTTAGTGAAAACAAGAACTTGTTATACAGAAGCAGTCAACTGAATATTTTCAACTGATTACTAGTATTTAAAAGCAAAGAAGTTATAATAGGAGTTAAAGTTTATGAATGCTTTTTTTCCTCTCGAAGTAGAACAAATGTAGATGCTGCTAGCAATGAAGAATCCAGAATTCTTAGAATTTATTTTACAGAGGGAAATTGAACTACTCAATAAATATCATATTTTCCTCTTAGATGGTGTTTCTGTATGCATATACTGCCTCAACTGGAGAATGTTCTTTGAACACAAATATTTCAGACTGGTGTCAGAAGTGTCAGGCTGTAGCAGATGTATTTAGTTATGGTAAAGCTAGTTAAGTTCAATGTTTTCAGAATGGGAGGGTGCTCTTGACTTACCAGTCCATGTCACTAGATTCCTAGCAACATGCTGCCTCATTGTCCATTTACCCTTATCCTCTTGAACAAGAAACTGGCTTCCACATGTTGCTAATCAAGAACTCATCTGTTGTGCCAAATTCTAGGCCTGCTTTAACGATTTGTGAGCCTCCTAAGGTGGTTTTATTGGTTCACTTTGTGCCAAGTCAAGGGGATTGTATTTCCCTTGCCAAAATATTGGGACTCACGGTCCTGATAATGGGATAGAAAAATCAAAATTGGCCAGGCATGATGGCTTATGTCTGTAATCCCAACACTTTGGGAGACTGAGGCAGGCAGATCACTTGAGCCCAGGAGTTTGAGACCAGCCTGGGCAACATGGCAAAATCCTAAAATAAAATTTGTATTTTTGTACTAAAAATACAAAAATTAGCTGAGCATGGTGGTGCACATCTGTGGTTCCAGCTACTTGGGAGGCTGGGGTGGGAGGATCGCTTGAGCCCAAGAAGTTGAGGCTGCAGTGAGCTGTGATCATGCCACTATACTTCAGCCTGGATGACAGAGTGAGATTCTGTCTCACCAAAATTATAAATAAAAAAGAACATTCCAGCAAATCGAGGGTATATGACATGGTATGTGGTAGCTAAAAGGACAGACCTAAAATGCCCAGCAGAGAAAGTAAGAGTATAATGTATTGTCTTTTGGTCTGAACATTTTATGGGGAGCAAGCCCTCTTGAAATGGATTGATTCTGAATATTCTGTACATCTTTGGAACAACTTTAGAAATAAAACAGAAGGTTCCGGTTCAATTAAGACCCTGATAAATTAATTAGAATACCCACGAGAAGTCCACAGCTTCAAGTGCGCTTTTTAAAACTCATAGCCAATATGAATGTTTTTCACCCTGCTTTCTAAAATCCTTTAAAGCAAACTATAGGAATCTTTCATTTGGTTGTGTTTCTGACTGAATTACTGTCTGCTATTTGAAAATCATAATTAGTTTTGAAATTTACATTTAAATATAAATTTTGCACTACTACACTGATTGGTCTGAATCTAGAATAAGAAGAGAATTATTCTTATAGTTTGGTCTTATTATTAACTCCAATGCTTCATCTATTACATGAATACCAAATGTATCTTTAAAACCCTGATTGGTGTACAGAGGATTCAACTACTTGTTATTCTTTCCTCAGCTCTTCTTATCTACAGCACCTCTCATTTGTTAGGACACAGTTTTAATTTCCGTAGCCACTGTGGTTTTTCTGTGCTTTCTTAAAGGAAAACCGCTAAGGTTGATAGGTTCAAATTAGACTTTTCTTCCTAAGTGCATCTATGCTTGCCAACATCTTCCTGCTTCCTTACATGCTTTTGATTTTCATGCTTGATGCACTGCCAGTTGACTTAAGGACCAAGCAATTACAATAATATCAGTCCTTAGATCTGATTGTATAAATCCAGAACAGTATGCTACTTTTCTTTGTACTTAAAGAGTATAACAAGAAGAGTGCCCAAGAATCAATTTAAGGACAATAAATTGTTGAGTTAAAGCATCACTATCATTAAGAGGTATTTTCAAAATGCTTGGTATTTTTCAGTGGATGCAATAATTAGATCTAGGTTCTCAGCTCACTCCTTCCATGACTTATTGGGCAACTTTAGGTAAGTCACCCTAATGCCCCTGAGCTTCCTCATTTGTAAAATGAGAGGTTGAACTGGATGTTTCTTCAGGTTCTTTTAGATTCCTAAATTTTCTGATTAATAAAATTATTCTGCAGAGTAGTTTTTCAAGTTAAATCCACTTCGATGAATGAAAATGGAAACACAGTGGTATTAAAACTAACTTAGGAGCAATGTCAGCAAGATGGCAGAATAGTTTTTCAGCCCCCTGTCCCTTCACAGAAACACCAATTCTGACAAGCATCATAGATGAGAGTACCTTTGTGGGAGCCCAGATTTCCAGCAGAGAGTTCTTAGCACCCCATTGGAGGTGAAAAAAAAAGAAAAACTTCAGCTGAATTAAATTTAAAGGAGTTTAATTGAACAATGAGCAATACGTGAATTGGGCAGCCCCCAGAATCACAGCAGATTCACAGAGAATCCAGTGCAGCCACATGGTAGAAGTCGATTTATAGACAAACAAAGGGAAATGACATACAGAAATTGGATGTAAGGTACAGAATGGCTGCATTGGTTATAGCTCGGCATTTGCCTTATTTGAACATTGTTTGAACACTCAGCAGTGTATGCATGGTTGAAGTATGACTGCTAGGGTTGGCCAAGACTTAGCTGTTATTACAGATGTATCCTCCTAAGTTAGGTTTTCAGTCCTAGGTTGCTGTTAATCTGCAAGGACTCGGATATAGAATTATGGAGTACTTCTCAGGCCATAATTAGTTTGCTTTAACAATTCCCCACTTTTGGTCATTTACTCAATTTTGAGAGATTGACCAAAACTTTAGTTATGGATGTCACTATCACCATTGTCAATGTACTTATTTGGTCTTGAAACCCAGTGGAAAACAGTAGACCAGTGAGTTTTGGAAAGGTAGGAACAAGGACTGAGTAGAGGGACCTCCTTATGCTGGAAAGTCCTGTTTACTGGAGAAAAACAAAACCTGATCTGTTCTAGGATCTATGTGTTTTCTTAAAGTCTTAGTTTGATTATGTCACTTTTAGCAAGAGTGACTCCATTTTAGTTTAGCTTGGCCGATTGGGGCCTAGTATGTGAAGTTAATCCAAAACGATGGCCTCCCATAATTTTGTTTAAAAAATTCCCCTCTTTTGGTCAGGTTCTTGCTTAGGTGAGAGTGTGACCAAAACTTAGGGCCTTAGCGCCACTCTTTGTTACCATCATTTTGGGTTTCCCATCTCAGCATATCATTCATAGGTTATGGTATCCTTATGGTCACATATTTCTTTCAGCTTTTGTCATTCCAGTTGAAGAGAGACCATTTGATGTTCTAGAGATGGCTGCATACAAACATTTAAAACCTTTGAGAGAATACAGCGCACTATTATTGTGACTATCAGGAGGATAATGCCAAGAGTTTAGAGTAAGCTCCTTACTCAGGGTCGACATAAACCAAATCACCAAAAATCAAATAGAAAAAAGAATGAGCTAGATAAAGTGACTACTCACTTAACTAACCAATCTCTTCATTAATCCCCTACAAATGAATCTCTATAATCTTCATTTGATGTATTTCTTCATAGGCCACAAGTGTCAGCAGTGGCACAGATAGTTTTCTGTTTCGCCAATTCTATTATTTAGCATAACCTTTATAAGAGAATTTAAAGTCTGTTGTGTAACCACAGCCTTTACAGTAAAATCTGCTATAGAGCCTATCATGAGGGGTACATTTCTAATTATTGCCTCTTTTATTCTGAACCATGAAAAAAGGACCTAACAAATGATGTCCTTCTAGAAGAGTGAAGGCCTCCTGGCAATGTTCTCTTTTACCCATGATGTGGGTTAAGAGGGGTTTTGACTGATTGTGAGGCAATGTATGTGCCGTTAAAGTTTCTCACCTACATTGGGTCTTCATCTTTTATCTATCAAAGTATAAAGTTATTCATGTATAAGGCTGGCTGCAAAATCCTTCACAAATCAAAGTATACCCTATAAGTGCACATAGTAGACCCCCTTTTCATTTCTGTTGTTCATAGAGACATAAATAAGGAAAAAATATTCAAAGACAAGAGTCTCATGCTAGTAGAAGTCTTGATCCATGATCTTGGGAAAAGCTGTTAACATCAAGGATACCAGTTTTACCTTAAGGGTTCCAATGGGTGTACAGTTCCAAGAGTGTGGAGGGACCCTTTTCAGTTGTGAGACTATGAACCCAAGATTCAAGGTTCCAAAGTTTTGTTGCAGGGTGGATGGCAAGGACAGTCTTTCTCTGATATTCTCAGAAGATCCAGTCTTCAGGGTCTAGATTGTGAAGGGGTTGGTTGTTCTTAATGAACCGTAAAAGCTTTCTTTACCTGGTGAAAATATACTGTGGCCTAATAATTAACTGTTATAACATAAAACATGCATTGAAAATGACAATTGAATGAAATCTCTTTATAAATGTAAACAGCCCATCAGATAGCCAAATGTACTTGAAGGTTTGATTGTCATCCTAGGAATATGGAACCAAATATTGGTTTTAAACTATTTTCACAATTTATAAGTCACTACGTCAATATATTTAATTTAGATCATTTTATCTTTTCCATGATGAGTCATGGAATGCAGAACCTTTAATAACAAAAGCTTTAAGGATTCAGGAAGGACATGGTGGATGCCCTGGTTCTCCATGAGTCCATCCTTAACATTGGACTTATGTCCTCTTGAATACCAGTTGTTTCCCCAGTTTAGGTGCATAGCACTGATAACTAATGGGTTATCATAGGTAATTTGACTTAGACCATGGAGTTCAAATTGTATATCTAAACAATTTCAGTATCAGCTGGTTTAACATGAAAATCTGGCAAAGTATTTTCCTGGTATTTAATTAATTTTTTGTTCTACTTGGATTAGCAGTTTTATACGAGGAAATCTGGTAATTTCTGTGGTGTAGAATAACTTCACATAATAACCATAATTATGATTGATAGCATATACTCAGACATGTTAGAATTTTAGAAATCCCATCCAAGTTTGGAACATATATTAATATCATTCACTAAAATATAACCTGAAAATTAAACATTATTTTTATTTTGACAATGCTTCCCATGTAACTTAACATGTTAAATAATTCTGTTTATGTCTCTTTTGGATGTTTCAAGGGCCCTCTGTAGCACTTCAAAGAGGTCAGAAAAGACTGTTTTGAAGCTGAAATTTGATTTTGGGAAGCCTATTAAATATGTTAAAGGTTTAAAACACTTGATATTATGAACTAGAATCCCAGGCTACCATAAGTCATTCAATTAGCAAAAATGATGACTCAAAAATTTTTAAAAAGGCAAAAACCTTTACTCATTGATAGAGGGAAGACTTAGATTTCCAAGCAATCTATGTTTTGTCTTTCCCTTCCTTTTTTTTTGGTAGTGTATTTAAAAGTCAAACAAAAAATATTTATTATCTTTTAATATTCCATGAAAATCTTGTTCAAGAGAGAAGCCAAATTTCACCTTTGCATTAGTGGACTATTAATGTCAACCCCAATTTTTAATAAAACCTCATAGACAAATCTATCCAACCTTAATCAGTTTGACCATAAGATGAGGGTTTTATAAACCTTTTATAACCCCTTACAAATTTTTGTTATTAAAAAGCAGATTAGTGCTTTAAGAAAACCCTGTTCTGCTTTTATTTCTATGTTTAATTTATGGAAAAACTGGATAATACCCCTTTAAATTTAGTCAATATTTTCATACATAGAAATTATTTTACAAGATTAATTTTTACAAACCTTCCACAACTTGTTCAAACCTTTAGATTTTTCCTATCTCACTTAAAGCAATCCTTTAACCCATTAAACTTAAGCAAAAGAATTTCACATTCCCATGACTTTTAATAATCTTTTACCAAAAACACATGTCACTCTCTTTACATGCCTTGCATGTAAAACTGTTTTTTCAGTAGTTTCAAATACATGTTACACTGTTAACCCTTAGTGACTTTTACTTTTGGTGGAAAACTCTGATTAGTTTAGGATTTTAATTATGTACTAGGTGTTGAGCCTAGGACCTAGACAGAAATACAGATAAGATCTGACTCTTTCCAGCATCTCGCTCCACATATCCCAGGCCTTAACTAAGTGTAAAGCAGTCAAGTTGTACAGTTAATGATCATAGTGGCATTTTATAAAGCATTTAGGAGGCCTAATCAGCTTTAAATTGCACAACATTTCTTGCATAAATTCCCTTTCACAAATTATTTCACAACTTACATAGAACATCTTATGACATGCTTAGACTTTTTGAATTGTCCTAAACATTCCTCTTTTTAAACAACCAGTCATTTTTACTTTAGTTTTAGGACAAGAATTTACCATAAAAGATCCTTTCTTATATAAAATCTCTTTTCTTTAGTACCTTCTTTGCATAGCTAGGGGGCATGGCTAATTTCACATGTTCCCAGGCCTAGGATCTAATGCTTCAAAATAAATTGAACAATATTTTAAAAGCCAAAGAAGCAGTTTATGACTTTAAAGCATTTAGCAAACCTAATATCTGACCTGCATAATTTATACCAAATGTTTACATTTTGAAGACATTTTTATTATATCAATAATTTTTAAAACTGTCTTTATTTCCCAAAGATTACTTAAGTCATATGAGGTAAAAGGCATTAAACTTTTTACTTTTCTGACAAAATATTTGATTTAAGCTTGTATTATTTTTAAACCAATTAGTTAAAGCTCTTTCATATGTAAACATCATGCACATAATACATATAAATACATAGACAAACAGAAGATAAAGGACTCATTTTCCAAGCCAGGAATTGGACCTTAAACCCAGGTCACCATTGTGAAAAGAGAAAGCAGAGCCACATGGTTACAAGGTCAAGCTCCCAAGGACATGACTGACCAGTTTGCTGAGCCATCTTGCAAAGCAGGCTTACAGGTGTCCTAAGCCCATGTTCTATCCTAAGGTACCCCTCTTTATGCTAAAACAATACAGAAAGACATACAAAACACACCATATTGGTTACAACTTAAGATGAGCCTCACAAGCCCTTTTTCCCATTTATCAAAACTTTACAGGAGATAAACAGTGATTTTTATCATTTATTCAACCAGTTTCCCCTAATGTGAACATCTTACATGAATATGATATATTTGTCAAAACTAAGACATGAACTCTGGACAGGTAACTATTAACTAAATTAGAGACCCTATTTGCCTTTCACCAGTTTTCTCACTAATATCCTTTTTCTGTTACTTGTTTTCATGACTTTGATAGCTTTGAAGATTACTGCTCAGGTAATCAAAGTCAGGTAGTTAAAGTCCTTCACTTTGGGTTTGTCTGATATTTTTTAATTATTAGACTGGAGTTATGGGTTTTGTGAAACAATACCACAAAGGTAAGGTGTTCTCTCACTGCATTATATTAGATGGTACATTATATTAACATGACTTACCACTGATGATATTAACTTCAATTTCTTGGCCAAGGTAATGTCTGCTAGGTTTCTCTACAGAAAATTACTATCTTCCTCTTTTTTTTTTTTTTATTATACTTGAAGTCCTAGGGTACATGTGCACAATGTGCAGGTTTGTTACATATGAATACATGTGCCATGTTGGTGTGCTGCACCCATTAACTCGTCATTTACATTAGGTATTCCTCCTAATGCTATCCGTCCCCCCTCCGCCCACCCCATGACAGGCCCCAGTGTGTGATGTTCCCCACCCTGTGTCCAAGTGTTCTTATTGTTCAATTCTCATCTATGAGTGAGAACATGCGATGTTTGGTTTTCTGTCCTTGCAATAGTATGCTCAGAATGATGGTTTCCAGCATCATCCACATCCCTACAAAGGACATGAACTCATCCTTTTTTATGGCTGCATAGTATTCCATGGTGTATATGTGCCACATTTTCTTAATCCAGCCTATCATTGATGGACATTTGGGTTGGTTCCAAGTCTTTGCTATTGTGAATAGTGCCATAATAAACATACATGTGCATGTGTCTTTATAGTAGCATGATTTATAATCCTTTGGGTATATACCCAGTTGTTTCCTGACTTTTTAATGATTGCCATTCTAACTGGTGTGAGATGGTATCTCACTGTGGTTTTGATTTGCATTTCTCTGATAGCCAGTGATGATGAGCATTTTTTCATGTGTCTGTTGGCCGCATAAATGTCTTCTTTTGAGAAGAGTCTGTTCATATCCTTCACCCACTTGTTGATGGGGTTGTTTGATTTTTTTCTTGTAAATTTGTTTAAGTTTGTTGTAGATTCTGGATATTAGCCCTTTGTCAGATGGGTAGATTGTAAAAATTTTCTCCCGTTCTGTAGGTTGCCTGTTCACTCTGATCATAGTTTCTTTTGCTGTGCAGAAGCTCTTTAGTTTAATTAGATCCCATTTGTCTATTTTGGCTTTTGTTGACATTGCTTTTTGTGTTTTAGACGTGAAATCCTTGCCCATGACTATGTCCTGAATGGTATTGCCTAGGTTTTCTTATAGGGTTTTTATGGTTTTAGGTCTAACATTTAAGTCTTTAATCCATCTTGAATTAATTTTTGTATAAGGTGTAAGGAAGGGATCCAGTTTCAGCTTTCTACATATGGCTAGTCAGTTTTCCCAGCACCATTTATTAAATAGGGAATCCTTTCCCCATTTCTTGTTTTTGTCAGGTTTGTCAAAGATCAGATGGTTGTAGATGTGTGGTATTATTTCTGAGGGCTCTGTTCTGTTCCATTGGTCTATATGTCTGTTTTGGTACCAGTACCACGCTGTTTTGGTTACTGTAGCCTTGTAGTATAGTTTGAAGTCAGGTAGCATGATGCCTCCAGCTTTGTTCTTTTTGCTTAGGATTGTCTTGGCAATGTGGGCTCTTTTTTGGTTCCATATGAACTTTAGTAATTTTTTCAAATTCTGTGAAGAAAGTCATTGGTAGCTTGATGGGGATGGCATTAAATCTATAAATTACCTTGGGCAGTATGGCCATTTTCACGATATTGATTCTTCCTATCTATGAGCGTGGAGTGTTCTTTTATTTGTTTGTGTCCTCTTTTATTTCGTTGAGCAGTGGTTTATATTTCTCCTTGAAGAGGTCCTTCACATCCCTTGTAAGTTGGATTCCTAGGTATTTTATTCTCTTTAAAGCAATTGTGAATGGGAGTTCATTCATGATTTGGCTCTGTGTTCATCTGTTATTGGTGTATAGGAATGCTTGTGATTTTTGCACATTAATTTTGTATCCTGTGACTTTGCTGAGGTTGCTTATCAGCTTAAGGAGATTTTGAGCTGAGACAATGGGGTTTTCTAAATCTACAATCATGTCATCTGCAAACAGAAACAATTTGACTTCCTCTTTTCCTAATTGAATACCCTTTATTTCTTTCTCCTGCCTGATTGCTCAGGCCAGAGCTTCCAACACTGTGTTGAATAGGAGTGGTGAGAGAGGGCATCCCTGTCTTGTGGCGTTTTCAAAGGGAATGCTTCCAGTTTTTGCCCATTCAGTATGATATTTGCTGTGGGTTTGTCATAAATAGCTCTTATTATTTTGAGATACGTCCCATCAATACCTAGTTTATTGAGAGTTTTTAGCATGAAGCACTGTTGAATTTTGTTGAAGGCCTTTTCTGCATCTATTGAGATAATCATGTGGTTTTTGTCATTGGTTCTGTTTATATGCTGGATTACGTTTATTGATTTGTGTATGTTGAATCAGCCTTGGATCCCAGGGATGAAGCCAACTTAATTATGGTGGATATGCTTTTTGATGTGCTGCTGGATTTGGTTTGCCAGTATTTTATTGAGGATTTTTGCATCGATGTTCATCAGGGATATTGGTCTAAAATTCTCTTTTTTTGTTGTGTCTCTGGGGAAGAT
Source organism: Homo sapiens (assembly GCF_000001405.40). Classification (NCBI taxonomy): domain Eukaryota; kingdom Metazoa; phylum Chordata; class Mammalia; order Primates; family Hominidae; genus Homo; species Homo sapiens. The sequence goes on from NC_000003.12 coordinate 181,043,240, forward strand.
GCTGGCCTCATAAAATGAGTTAGGGAGGATTCCATCTTTTTCCATTGATTGGAATAGTTTCAGAAGGAATGGTACCAGCTCCTCTTTGTACCTCTGGTAGAATTCAGCTGTGAATCTGTCTGGTCCTGGACTTTTTTCGCTGTTAGGCTATTAATTATTGCCTCAATTTCAGAGCCGATTATTGGTCTATTCAGGGATCCACATCTTTCCTGGTTTAGTCTTGGGAGGGTGTATGTGTCCAGGAATTTATCCATTTCTTCTAGATTTTCTAGTTTATTTGCATAGAGGTGTTTATAGTATTCTCTGATGGTAGTTTGTATTTCCATGGGATCGGTGGTGATATCCCCTTTATCATTTTTTATTGTGTCTCTTTGATTCTTCTCTCTTTTCTTCTTTATTAGTCTGGCCAACAGTCTACTTATTATGTTGATCTTTTCAAAAAACCAGCTCCTGGATTCATTGATTTTTGGAAGGGTTTTTCATGTCTCTATCTCCTTCAGTTCTGCTTTGATCTTAGCTATTTCTTGCCTTCTGCTAGCTTTTGAATGTGTTTGCTCTTGCTTCTCTAGTTCTTTTAATTGTGATGTTAGGGTGTCAATTTTAGATCTTTCCTGCTTTCTCCTGTGGGCATTTAATGCTATAAATTTCCCTCTACACACTGCTTTAAATGTGTCCCAGAGATTCTGGTATGTTATGTCTTTGTTCTCATTGGTTTCAAAGAACATCTTTATTTCTGCCTTCATTTCATTATGTACCAGGTAGTCATTCAGGAGCAGGTTGTTCAGTTTCCATGTAGTTGAGCGGTTTTGAGTGAGTTTCTTAATCCTCAGTTGTAATTTGATTGCACTGTGGTTTGAAAGACAGTTTGTTATAATTTCTGTTCTTTTACATTTGCTGAGGAGTTCTTTACTTCCAACTATGTAGTCAATTTTGGAATAAGTGCGATGTGGTGCTGAGAAGAATGTATATTCTGTTGATTTGGGGTGGAGAGTTCTGTAGATGTATATTAGGCTGAGTTCAGGTCCTGGATATCCTTGTTAACTTTCTGTCTCATTGATCTGTCTAATGTTGACAGTCAGGTGTTAAAGTCTCCCATTATTTTTGTATGGGAGTGTAAGTCTCTTTGTAGGTCTTTAAGGACTTGCTTTATGAATCTGGGTGCTGCTGTATTGGGTGCATATATATTTAGGATAGTTAGCTCTTCTTGTTGAATTGATCCCTTTACCATTATGTAATGGCCTTCTTTGTCTCTTTTGATCTTTGTTGGTTTAAAGTCCATTTTTTTTTTAACTGTAGAAATTTATTTTTGTAAGAGACTAGGATTGCAACTCCTGCTTTTTTTTTGTTTTCCATTTGCTTGGTAGATCTTCCTCCATCCATTTATTTTGAGCCTATGTGTCTCTGCAAGTGAGATTGGTCTCCTGAATATGGCACACTGATGGGTCTTTACTCTTTATCCAGTTTGCCAGTCTGTGTCTTTTAATTGGGGCATTTAGCCCATTTACATTTAAGGTTAATATGTTATGTGTAAATTTGATCCTGTCATTATGATGTTACCTGGTTATTTTGCTCATTAGTTGATGCAGTTTCTTCCCAAAATTGATGGTCTTTACAATTTGGCATGTTTTTGCAGTGGCTGGTACCGGTTGTTCCTTTTCATGTTTAGTGCATCCTTCGGGAGCTCTTGTAAGGCAAGCCTGGTGGTGACAAAATCTCTCAGCATTTGCTTGTCTGTAAAGGATTTTATTTCTCCTTCACTTATGAAGCTTAGTTTGGCTGGATATGAAATTCTGGGTTGAAAATTCTTTTCTTTAAGAATGTTGATTATTGGCCCCCACTCTCTTCTGGTTTGTAGAGTTTCTGCTGAGACATCTGCAGTTAGTCTGATGGGCTTCCCTTTGTGGGTAAGCTGACCTTTCTCTCTGGCTGCCCTTAGTATTTTTTCCTTCATTTCAACCTTGGTGAATCTGACAATTATGTGTCTTGGGGTTGCTCTTCTCAAGGAGTAGTTTGTGACATTTTCTGTATTTCCTGAATTTGAATGTTAGCCTGCCCTGCTAGGTTGGGGAAGTTCTCCTGGACAATATCCTGAAGAGTGTTTTCCAACTTGGTTCCATTCTCCCCGTTACTTTCAGGTATACCAATGAAATGTAAATTTGGTCTTTTCACATAGTCCCATATTTCTTGGAGGCTTTGTTCATTTCTTCTTATTCCTTTTTCTCTAAACTTCTCTTCTCACTTCATTTCATTCATTTGATCTTCAATCACTGATACTCTTGTTCCACTTGATCGAATCGGCTACTGAAGCTTGTTCATGCATCATGTAGTTCTTGTGCCATGGTTTTCAGCTCCATCAGGCCATTTAAGGTCTTCTCTATGCTGTTTATTTTAGTTAGCCCTTCATCTAATCTTTTTTCAAGGTTTTTAGCTTCTTCGAGATGGGTTTGAACATTCTCCTTCAGCTCTGAGAAGTTTGTTATTACCGATTTTCTGAAGCCTACTTCTGTCATCTCGTCAAAGTCATTCTTCATCCAACATTGTTCCGTTGCTGGCGAGGAGCTGCAATCCTTTGGAGGAGAAGAGGTGCTCTGATTTTTAGAATTTTCAGCTTTTCTGCTCTGGGTTCTCCCCATCTTTGTGGTTTTATCTACCTTTGGTCTTTGATGATGGTGACCTATAGATGGAGTTTTGGTGTGGATGTTCTTTTTGCTGATGTTGATGCTATTCCTTTCTGTTTGTTAGTTTTCCTTCTAACAGTCAGGACCCTCAGCTGCAGGTCTGTTGGAGTTTGCTAGAGGTCCACTCCAGACCCTGTTTGCCTGGGTGTCACCAGCGGAGGCTGCAGAACAGCAAATATTGCAGAACAGTAAATGTTGCTGCCTGATCCTTCCTCTGGAAGCTTCGTCTCAGAGGGGTACCCTGCTCTATGAGGTGTCAGTCAGCCCCTACAGGGAGATGTCTCTCAGTTAGGCTACTCGGGGGTCAGGGACCCACTTGAGAGGCAGTCTGTCCATTGTCAGATCTCAAACTCCATGCTGTGAGAACAATTGCTCTCTTCAAACCTGTCAGATAGGGGCATTTAAGTCTGCAGAAGTTTCTGCTGCCTTTTGTTCAGCTATGCCCTTCCCCCCAGAGGTGGAGTCTACAAAGGCAGGCAGGCCTCCTTGAGCTGCAGCAGGCTCCACCCAGTTCGAGCTTCCCAGCCGCTTTGTTTACCTACTCAAGCCTCAGCAATGGCAGATGCCCCTCCCCCAGCCTTGCTGCCACCTCGCAGTTTGATCTCGGACTGCTGTGCTAGCAGTGAGCAAGGCTCCATGGGTGTGGGACCCGCTGAGCCATGTGCGGGATATAATCTCCTGGTGTGCCGTTTGCTAAGAATGTTGGAAAAGTGCAGTATTAGGGTGGGAGTGTCCTGATTTTCCAGGTACCGTCTGTCACGGCTTCCCTTGTCTAGGAAAGGGAATTCCCCAACCCCTTGCACTTCTCGGTTGAGGCGATGCCCCACCCTGCTTTGGCTCACACTCTGTGGGCTGCACCCACTGTCCAACAAGTCCCAATGAGATGAACCCAGTACCTCAGTTGGAAATGCAGAAATCACCTGTCTTCTGCGTCGCTGATGCTGGGAGCTGTAGACTGGAGCTGTTCCTATTCGGCCATCTCGGAACGATCTCCATGATCTTCCCCTTTTCTTTCTTTATTCTTTGGAAGCTATACACTAAGTTTAGTCTAGACTCCAGAGGACTTAAATTAAGCTCCACTTCTTGAAGAAGAACTATCTACATATATTGTTTGGAATTCTTCTGTGAAGAAAATGTATCCCTTCACTCCCATTTATTTAGTAATATATTTATGTAAGTATTGATCCATACATATTTATTTTATACTTTGGGTTACAATCCACTACTATTTTATTTATTGCTCAAATTGTTCCAGTTTTGGCCATTTGTAGTTCTTTCAGGTGGGCTTTTGTGTCTTTTAACATATTCCTGGCATGTCATCTGGCATTACAAGAGTTCCAGGCTTCTCTTGTATTTTCCCCTCCTCAGACCTTAGAAGAAGCTATTTTCCCAAATATTATCCAAATAAATGTTTCCAAATGTTGCTTCCTCAACATTCATTCCTTTTTCTCTTGGTCACTACCTGATTTTCACTTGAGTATCTACTCCTTTTTGACTCAGCCCGTGTGTTTGTGGATACTTGACTTCACCCCTGACACTAGGAACGGATCTGCATATGCAGCAATGCAATCTCATCACCTCGCCAAGGTGTAGGTTTAGAGGTGATACATAGGCTAAGGAATGGGACAAAAGCACTGCAAAAGATGTTTTCTGGCAATATCTAAGAAATAGTCTCTTGGCCAGGTGTCATGGCTGATGCCTGTAATCCTAGCACTTTGGGAGGCTGAGGCAGGTGGATTGCTTAGCCCAGGAGTTCTAGACTGGCCTGGGCAACATAGCAAGACCTCATCTCTACCGAAAATTAAAAAAAAAATTGGCTGGGTGTGGTGGCATGTGCCTGTAGTCCTAGCTACTGGGGAGGCTAAGGTGGGAGGATCCCTTGAGCCCAGGAGTTTGAGGCTGCAATGAGCTATGATTGTGCACTGAACTCCATCTTGGGTGACAGAGTGAAACCTCATTTCTTAAAAAAAAAAAGAATCTCTTTATCTTTCTCATCTTCTGGGTCATTTTGTTTAGATAAGCATCCTGGAAGTTCTGTAGCCATATTAGCAATAGTAACGATAGTAGTCACAGTAGTCATATTGCTACCATTAGTGAAGTTGGCCTTAGGATAAAGCTGATATCATGCAAGGAAAAGCCAAGAAAGACTGAGAAACGGCATTTGCTTTTAGCCACTGAATCAAGTAACTCAGAATCCTGACCTACCACCAGATTTCTAGTACATGAGCAATAAACCCTAAGTGTATGAAAGCTAATTTGAGTTGGATTCTATGTGACTTGCAATGTAATGCATGCTATCTCGTACAAGAGGTAAGAAAAGAACTCAGGCTAATAGAATAGGTCAAATGCTATATCAGCTTGAAAGAGCTGATGTGAGAAGTAGAGACTAGGAATGTGGCACAGGATAAGAACTGGAGATGTTAAATTAGAATTATGAGAGTTTGGAACACTAGACAGAAGGGGTAGAGCTGGAAGCAATTATCTGAGCTAAGGAGCTGTTTTTGAGGGTTGGAGGAAGAAACTAAGGACATCAGCCTCGAGTAGAGCTTCTGGATGTTTGCATTCCACATAGACTTGGCTCTAAAGATTGAGGTCAAAAAAGTAGCTTAACATCACTACCTTTGTCTTTGATTTTTCTCCAGATAAATGCAGACCACCAAATGTGAAGGCTGACTTGCTATTCAAAATATACTAAGAACCATTTCACACTGTATACATATATCAAGATATCACATTATACCCCATAAATGTATACAATTATAATTTGTCAATAAAAAATAATACTAATAAAAAATATTAAGACTTTTGCTTTCTCCCACGATAATTTACTGCTATGGGAATTACTTTCCTATCATAAGTAAATAGACAGTCAAGCAACTATATTCAGAGACTGTACAACAAATAGCATAGGACCATGATCCCTAACAGAAGGGAAAGAAATGAGACAAGGATTGTGATGACACCAATTTTCTTTTTTTTTTTTGAGATGAAGCCTTGCTCTTGTCTCCCAGGCTAGAGTGCAATGGCATGATCTCAGCTCACTGCAACCTCCGCCTCCCGAGTTCAAGCGATTCTCCTGCTTCAGCCTCTTGAGTAGCTGGGATTAAAGGCATGTGCCACCAAGCCCGGCTAATTTTTTTTACTTTTAGTAGAGACGGGTTTCACCATGTTGGCCAGGCTGGTCTAGATCTCCTGGCCTCAGGTGATCCGCCCACTTCAGCCTCCCAAAGTGCTGGGATTACAGGCGTGAGCCACTGCACCTGGCTGATGACACCAATTGTCTTCCTGGAGGTAGTTTCCACAGCGCAGGGAGCAAAAACTGAAGCTGAGCCTTGTGGTCTTCTTGCATTGAAGTGATAGATCAGGAAAACCTTGGCAGCTAGAATTTGCGGGGCAGAGTTTACAGAAAGGGGAGCTGCAACTAAGAGAGCTCCAGACATTTGCACAGGGCTCTCCTCAGGTCTTTGACGAGTATGAATAGGTGCATGTATGACAGGAAACTTCCTGAGGCTAGGGAAGAGGAATCAGAAAGCAATAGGCCAAACAATTGGGTTAGTTCACAAAAGGCTGAGAATAGTTTATGTTCTACTAGTCTGAGTGAAGACAACTCCTAATACACATGGTGAGTCCTCAGAAGTGTCATGACTTAACATTCAGACTAAATTAGTTTTACAGTCAAGGCTTATCTGAATCATCTGTAACAGCATAAAAGACAATCTCAGGGCTGGGCACAGTGGCTCATGCCTGTAATCCCAGCACTTTGGGAGGCCGAAGCAGACGGAGGTCACCTGAGGTCAGGAGTTCGAGACCAGCCTGGCCAACATGGTGAAACCCTGTCTCTACTAAAAATACAAAAATTAGCTGGGCATGGTGGCACATGCCTGTAATCCCAGCTACTCAGGAGGCTGAAGCAGGAGAATTGCTTGAACCCAGGTGGCGGAGGTTGCAGTGAGCTGAGATTCCAGCCTGGGTGACAGAGTGAGACTGTCTCAAAAAAAAAAAAAAAAAAAAAAGGAAAGCCTCAAAAGGATTATCGTTAATTAACTGTGTCCCTGAAAAAAAACTAACACTTTTTAAAGGTAAACAACAGAATCTAGCCCTCTACAAAATTGTACATATTAAAACTTTAAAAAATCACAATGTCTGACATTGAATGATAATTTATTAGGTATAGAAATAGGCAGAAAAAAGGATCCATAAATAGGAGAAAAATCAACTGATGGGGATGTATCCAGAAATGGTGAAAATGGTAGATAAGGACCAGAAGTAGCTATTATAAATCCTACAAATATACTCAAGGATATATGATGAAGAGAGACACTGAAGATATAGAAAGACCTAAATGAAATTTCTACACATGAAAAATACAATGTTGGAAATAACAAAATATATTGACTGAACTTCTGCTTAGGATGTAGAGATGAACATGCCTAACCATGCCTAACTATGAGCAGAAAACAGAACAATTTCTAAGTCATAACTTTTCTTGAGTCCATCAAAGAACTGACATTATAAAGCAAGAGTTAAAAGCCCTTCTGAGGAGAGGTGGGACACAGAAATTGGTCTACGTTTGGCAGAGCTTGAGAGGAAAAGGATTTTTGGCTGTCAAAAAAGTTCCCCCCGCCAAAAAAAAAGCAGGTAAAACAACAGCTAAAATTTTACTAATTTTTTAAAGGCTGACTGAGCTAACAATTTGAAATGATAGGGAGTTCCAGATGCAAGAGGGGATCACATTTACCTGTGAACTCTTTTTCACAAGCCTCCTTTTGGTATCCTGGGAAAGATTAGAGTCAGGATAGGACACTGGTTGTTTTTCATTAATTTTTTCCATCAAATTGGGAAGTTTTGGGCCATTATTTCTTTTTGTTGTTGTTGTTGTTGTTTGTTTGTTGGGGCCATTATTTCTTTAATATTCTTGCTGCTTGCCCTGTAAAACGGTTCTTTGCCTGGGCCTGGAGGGAGGGTGGGAGGATTTCTTGCTCCTCTCCCAGCAGCTGGAGGCTTTTTGCTTTGTGTGAGAGGAGGGAGCAGGGAACAGGCACCAGCCAATGGCTTGAGAGGAAGGAGGTGAAGCTAGGATCCCCCAGGTTTCCTCAGAGCTAGTGCTTTGAGTGGAAAACAAAGGGAACTTGAATTCTGCAAAACACCTAGACATAAGGGAAAAAGGCAGATTTTTTTTAAGTGAGTGTTTTATTGAGATATAATTTAACTAGCCCAAAATTCATCCTTTTAAAGGGTAGAATTCAGTGGGTTTTAGTATAGCCACAGATTTCTGCAACCTTCACCACTATAAGTTCCAGAACATTTTCATCACCCCTCAAAAAGCCCTGTACCCCTTAGCCAACACCCTTCCCATTTCCCCACCTTCCCCAACCCTAGGCAACCATTAATTTACTTTCTCTCTGTATAAATTTACCTATTGTGAACCTTTCATAGGAATGGAATCATACAAAAATGCAGTTGTGACTGGTGTTCACAAAAAGAGTCAAACTCTGTAAAATATTTTAAGAGATTTATTCTGAGCTAAATATGAGTGACCATGGCCCGTGACATAAACCTCAGGAGGTCCTGAGAACATGTGCCCAAAGTGGTCAGAGTACAGATTGGTTTTATATATTTTAGGGAGGCATGAGACATCAATCAAATACATTTAAGAAATACATTGGTTTGGTTCAGAAAGGTGGGACAACAAAAGTGGGGGCTTCCAGACTATAGGTAAATTTAAACATTTTCTGGTTGACAATTGGCTGAGTTTATCTGAAGACCTGGGATCAATGGAAAGGAAATGTTCAGCTTAAGATAAAGGATGTGGAGACCAAGTTTTATTTTACAGGGGAATCTCTCAGATAGCCGACTTCAGAGAGAGAGAGCAGGTTATGAAATGTTTTTTTATCAGACCTAAAAGGGTGCCTGGTACTTAGTTGATTATCTCCTGGATCTGGAAAGAAAGGAAGGGAAACACATTCTCTGTAGAATGTGGGTTTTTCCCACAAAAGACTTTGCAGGGCAATTCAAGGTATGTCAAGGAAATATATTTGGGGTTAAATATTTTTTTCCTTGTCTCATGATGTTATGCCAGAGTCAGATTGAAAAGTAAGTCACAATATATAGGGTTAAATAAAACCCATCTGATGAGAATTTATGGTTTGTAGGGCATGACTCCCTAGACCCCTTAGATAGGAATTTGGGCAAAATCAAAAATTAGAGCTTAGTCCTCACTGGCTTCTTTCACTTATTTAGCATAATGTTTTCAAGGATCATCCATGTCGAAGTATGTATGGATACTTCCTTTCTTTTTATTGGTGAATAATATTTCACTGGTATGTATGTTGACAGAGCAGGAGCATTGCCATCTTGGACAAGCACCGCCATTCTAAAGTTCCCCTTGATCAAAAACCACCTAAATCCAAAGGGCTTCAGCCTAATGGGTAAGGTCAGCATGACTGTAAACCACAAATGACATCTCCTACCAGAAACATTCCAACCATAAGATAAACCCCTCCCCGACCAGAGACATGCAGTCCTGAGATAACTTCCCCTCCAGCTGGAGGGATGTCAGCCCCAAGATTACTTCCCCTCCAACCAGAGACATTCCAACTCTGCAATAGGCTTCTCCCCTGCACAGAAACATTCCAAGCCTGTGATAAGGTCTCTCAACCTAAAACCAATAAATACTCTTAGTCTGTAAGAGGGAGTACTCCTGACTGAAATCAGCCAGAAGACCCTCTCAGGTCTTATACAGGTTTATAAGTATCCCAAATAAACCTGTCTTTGACAGTTGAACCACTTTTTTGTGTGTTTGTTTCCTTTTTCTTTAACTCTTACAGATATATCACAGTTTTTTAAACCGGTTCATTAATTAAGGAACATTTTGATTATTTCTATTTTTGGCTTTTATTAATACTGTTGCTATGAACATTTATGCACTCTTTTTTTTTTTTGAGACTGAGTCTCACTCTGTCACCCAGGCTGGAGTGATCTTGGCTCACTACAACCTCCACTTTCTGGACTCAAGCCATCCTCCCACCTCAGCCCCACAAGTAGCTGGGACTACAGGCCTATGCCACAAGGTCTGGCTAATTTTTGTATTTTTTTTGTAGAGACAGGATTTTACCATGTTGCCCAGGCTGGTCTTGAACTCCTGAGCTCAAGTGAGCCACTAGCCTTGGCCTCCCAAAGTGCTGGGATTACAGGTGTGAACCACCACACCTGGCCTATGTACATGTTTTTGTATAGACTATGTTTTGTTTTCTGTTGGGTATATACATTGGAGTGTAATTTATCAGTCTTGTGATAATCTTATGTTTAACATTTTGAAGAAATGCCAAACTGTTTTCCAGAGTGGCTGCGCTGACTTTTAGAATAGTGGAATAAAGACATCTGAATATTCACTTTTCCATAAAAGCAATGACTACACTGGCAAATATTGCCAAAATAAACTTTTTCAGAACTCTAGAAATTAACCAAATGTTTGCAACAATTTGAGGGGTGTTCACTGAAAAAAAAGGGGGGCTCCTAAATCTTGGTAAGAAGAGTGAGTTTTGTGGCATTTGTCCTATTCCCATCCCCCTCTTGCCAGCTCCATGGTAACCTTGCAAACCAGAAGCTTCGTAGTCTCAGTATTTGTAAAAACCAGTAGCCTAGCAGCCACTGGAGGGAATAGACCAGGTTTGGAGCGCCAGGGCTAAAAGCTCTATCCTTAGTGAATTGTCGCTATTTGACCTGTCTGGAAGATTTCTGAAAAATTACAAACCATTCACAGGGCTTGAAATTTGACTTCAGAGCTCACTTCGCAGGAAAAGACCTATCTCCAGTGTGTTTTCAAAAACTATCAGTATACTTGCTTAACATTGTAATTGCCCAAAGTGATGATACCAATTGGGACAAACCAGAGGCTTTTACCACTGAGTAACCTCCCAGGTGTTAGCAGGGAAAGTTATCTCATTCAGGGACTAGGCACTTTACATATATTACCCTGTTTAACGTTTAACTTTGAGGTGCATGTGTCTCAGAAATACTAAAAGTTGAGAGTTAAACCATCAAATGCTAAGAGTCTATGCTTTGTCCTGTTAGCAATGTCAACCCACCCTCCTATTGAGGCAATCAGTCACAGAGGCATTCCCTGCTCTCCACAAGCCAGTCTATTCTTCAAGAAGGCCTCCATTGGTCTTCGTATTGAGCACTCCAGGTCTTTGATTAGTGGAATGCAGTTCAGATCTCTGGTCTGCTGTGGGTTGGGAATTGACGTTTTGCTTGACTTGGTCTCATGCTACCATTCCACACTGATTGGAATGGACACCCCTGATAAAAACTCCAGAGCCCTCTTAGTGTTTTGGATGTTGCCCATTGGTCCTCCTGATGGCCCCTCTGAGCTAACCTCTGAAACACATCATTCTGCATTCTGTCTAGGTTTGGCTTCTACTTCCCTCTTTCTGGATTCATGTTGCTGAGACCCCACCATACCTTAGACCCATATGATTTAGGATGGAAGATAGCCTAGTTGGCATGGCCCTCTCAGGAACAATACTTTGTGTTCCCACTCTGTTCCTTGCCCTTCAATCCAGTCTGGCACATGCATGTGCTCAACCATCAGACTGACTGTGAGTAAAGCTACTGATAAATGGATTCTCCTGCCTAATCATCCCACTCCTTTCTTCTTGTTTTCTGTATTATTACTCTGATTTACCTCTGTGTCTCAAAACTTTAGACTTGGCTACCTTAATTCTGATCCTGTTTGCAGTCCTTTGAACTTGGTTCCCTGGATGTTTAACTTTAGCTCCACCTACTATTGGATTTTCCTCTGGCATTCCTTTGTCCTATGCTGCCTTAACCTTGACCCTTGGAATTTATTCCAGATTTCAGTATCTTGGCCAATGCTTGTGTAGGCCAGGTCACACATGCTGCCAGCACAGGGATTTCAACAGAGAAAACTCTCTTTTTGTTCTTCCTCAGTGTTCTTATAAGGCCTTGATACTGAATGGAGACTAGAAAAGGCTTCTATGCACAAAAACATTTGGAATCAGTTTCTTAAACCAAATAGAGAAAGAATTTTCACAAAAGAAGTTGCTACCCTCATGTAACTTAACTTAAATCCTCGTTTGTTGTGATAGGCACAGGGGAAATGCAGTTTTTATAAATACGAGTCAGAGATAGGAAATATATTTTTCATGGTTACAATGATGTATATTTTTGTTAGAAAAACCCTTCAGGATACAGTGCTCCCAGCTGAGCTAGTGGCTTGTCTACCAATTGGTAATGAGCCTGGCCATTGTGAATCGCTGCCAATGTGAGATGGATTAGAGGAGAAATCTCTTTCTTGAAAAACAATGATAGTTACCATTTATTGAACACTTACTATAACCAGATACTGTTCTATCCATTTATTATCTCCACAGGGGATTGACTCAACTGTTAGGCTATTGGATTAAATGATCTCCATAGGTCCTTCTGGCCCTATGACTCTATGAGTTAGGAAACAGCAATAGATAATTTGTCTGGTGTAATGTATTTTGTTGGCTCTCACTTCCATTATTTTCTCTGGAAAATATCCTCTATAGCTATAACCGTATAAAAAGCTTAAGCTCGGGTAGTAATGGTTGGTCTAACCAGTGCTCCCGGCCAGACCCTAGCTATCTCTGCAAGTTGCAACATTATGGGTACAAGGGGAAGAGACTGTGTCATTAGGGACCTGAAATGGTAGCTGCCTCTATGTAGAAGCATGGAAGAACATACCCCTTTATAAGTCTGGTTGTCTGGGAACATAAACAGAGCAAAAGAACCCAGATGAAAGCATTTGACTAAGGGCCATCTCCCTTGATTTTTAAAATTCTGGGTTCTCAGTAAAATTGTGAGATACCTTAAGACTAGAAAAGAGAAGTGTCTCTATTGTCTTTTTTAATCCTCCCAGTTATCTTTTTAGAAGTTGTCCAGTCTTTTGCCAAAAATACATTCCTTATTACTAGTAAGCCTAGGCTGAAAATAAGAATTTAACAAAATGTTGTTTTCTGACTTGATCTTGGGGTGTTTTTTTAAACTACTATTTTGCATGTTCACAGCAAAGTTCTTAGCGCTTGTTCATTCCCTCAGATCCTTTTTTTTTTCAATTAAATAGCTGGGAAAATGTGTAAAACTATTAGCTCTAGGCTAAATAAAATGAAAAAGGTAATATTTAGATTAATACACTTTTAATGAACATTTTTTGGGGGGGTAACAAGCAGAGGAACAAAAATAAAATTGCTGTATGGCTGCTGCACTTCAGAAAAAGAGTCAAGTTTAATGATAAATCTGGCCTTAGAGAACCAGCCAGAATGGATAGGGTCTGAATAGGATTTAAAAACCCAACTGTGTGCAGAAATTAGAGTTTTGCCCCTGAATCATATGGAATTACAGTGCTGGGTGCGTGTGCCATGCCTACACAATAAAGCCCAGAGGAAGCAGCTATTTCTGTTGGTTTTATTAAACCAACCAAGCAATTTAATTCTTTTGTTCAGGAGAGTTCTACTTCATTGATTAACAAAAGCAGGGATATAATTTTTTCAGCCTTTTTGAAAAGCCTGAAATGTCAAGCCTTTTAAAGCAGATTATTCTGCCTCTGTGCAGTGAATACAGCCAGAGTAACCTTTTGTCTACAATTAAATATTCTAGCATAAATATAAAAGAAAATCAGAGATGGGAAAGATTGACTCACGAGAGATTGGAGAGGTAGATTCACACAGTGATAGTGCAAGCAGCTTGCTTCTAATTAAATATGCGACTGAGTCTCAATGCATTTGCTTTCAGCCGCAGAGAGAAGAAGCTGCCCAAGAATGGAAAGGAAGAAATATATCACATCATCTGTCTGTCCACAGGCTTTCCTTGGGGCTTATGAAGGTATTTTAGAATTTTTATATTGGCATTTTTCAGGGGAGATAAAGGTGAACCCTCAAGGGCAGTCAGACAACAGTCTTGAAAGTTTGGGCTTCCTTGTTGGTACACTAACCTGACTTTAATAGCTTTCTTATTAGTCAATAACCAAGGTTAATATCAATGACTTTGTTTTTAGATTTGAAGCCATCATGTATGATATTGCCAGACGTATTGCTGTGCTTTGGGTGACCTTTTGTTATTTTGAATTGGGGCTACTTATTGATTTTTCTCTTTTTCGCTTACTTTATGATAAATTCTTTAATGCATATTTTGGTATTTGTACCTTATAAGTATGAACCCAGAAAGCAAAATTCAAGTATCCTTAGCTATTTCTAACAAAATGCATTTTAGAAAATGATAAGGTTTGCAGTTGGAGACTTAGCTTTATTTATATTCATAAGCCTTTCATCTTTATACATACTCATGGCATTTTCAGGGAAGTACTTAAATATGGCACTTATAAAATGCTGATGACATAAAATATGGTTGATCCTCTTAGGGTTTGCTGCTTACACAGAAAAATCGGAAAATAATAAGAATGAAATTTCTCTACTCTATAACTTTACCTTTCCATTTCAGATTTTGACATTACTGAAATTATTGGAATTACTTTGAGGAACTTTGCCTGTTGAGTGTCTTATATGCACATAAGAACTTTTCCCATTTGCAGGTGAAATTTGTATTTGTTTATGAAAATAATTGATTGGATTGAAACAACATCGGAATTCAGTTGGCTTTTAGTTTGTATATTTACTGTACTTAATGTGCCATGGGTTGTGATTTTGAATAGAATCATAGACATCCTGTGCATTTTGGAAGCTTGCCACTGGGAAAGGCTTAATATTTGTAAATTAATAGTTTGCACTCCTCAAAAAGTGGTTAGGGCAATAATTGAATGTTAGCAATAAAGCTTAAAATTTTCCATCTTTTGAGATTTCTCCCTCTTTTAATAAGTAACTTTGTCAAGCAACATTCTCTATTGAAGGGAAGAAAACTTTCAATTGGGTCTTAATATACTATTCACCTTTCCCTTTATTAATATAAAGATTATGTTTAGTACTGTGTTTAACAAGAAATGTACTTACACAAGTATTTAATCTTAGCTTTCTTAAGGAAATAGGCAAATATCTTAGTTACTAATATTAAATATATTAAAGCTTACACATAAAGCACTAAAGGATGTCAGAATTGAGAATTTTTTAATGAAAGAAAAAATATTTTGATGATTAATAAATTAAAATGTTCTGGGCTGATTTATAGAGAAATATTCCACCAAAGGTATCAGTCTTCATGTCAACTTGCCCTTCCTAACAGTTCTATAATTATCATTGAGTTTTAAAAATGTTTAAATTGGATTTTCATGTCTAGGATTAAGTGTATATTATAGATAAAAATGTAGAATATGTATATATTTTGTATTTTCATGTGAAATATAATCTCTAATACTACATAAATTGTAATGTATTACATTGCTAATGGAAATAAAAATATGCTGATACTTTTCTGGGAGGGAGGTTGTTTCACTGATCAGATATTTTTCCTGTGAGAGGGAGAACATAGTGATTAAATACTATTGCTCTGGCAAGAAAAATAACAGCAAACCAACTAAACCAAAAAAAGCAAGTAAAGAACAAAACAAAAAACAATTAAAATTACATTAATGTAACAATAATCCGTCAAATTCCACAGCTTATTATTGAAATTTTCCATACTGAGATTTATTTTTGTTTGCAATATCCGATATACAGTTGTCTTGGATATAGATTTATATTTTAAAGTAGTTAGCATGCAGTTGACCAAGCCTTTGTTCATTTGAGGGAGTATGTGTGAAGGGTTAGAACTAAAGGATAAATTAACTCTGTTGAATTATTTCTGAAGTTGTTTGCTTCCAGTGAAAAACAAGAAACATGATTTGGTAATACATATTTAAACCGACTCTTGCTACACATTTTTTCATGTTGCTCTTCCACAGCTTTTCATTTAGCTACACTAAAACAAAAGAGGATCACCTTACTTTTGAAAACATTATTTTTAGTATATCTGAAATCAGATATCTGATTAAATTATTATTCAACAATAGGCTTGGATTGACTTTGGCATTTTTTTTCTTTGAGGAAAACCACTGATCTGCAGAATCTATGTTTGAAATGACAATTTACATATTTATTATTATTTCAAAAGGCCCAGAAACTTTTGCTTACCAGACAGTTAGAGTTATAACAGTGAGTTCAAATTAGTGATTCTGGGGAATGTTTTGATACTGTTTTCTAATAACGAATAAACTACACCCACATCATCACAGAAACAAACATACGTGTTTCTCTCATTTCATTGTCAATGCTTGGTGCTAGCTAATGCTTTTGATTCTATGATCATTATTCTAAAGAAAACACTTATTATAACAACAGTTGGTTTCTTATAAAAGGAATATTTTAATTCATGAGATTTTTCAATGTAGTTATTAAAATATTAAGTATTTAACTGAGTAGCTGTAGAAAAGTCAAATTAATTATAAATTATACTTTAGGTTCACATTTATTTACATTTATACCTATGATCAATTTTTAAATTATGCTTTAAATTATACATACCATTAAAAGCAAGGTTTGATCATATAAAGAACAATTCATAATTAAAATTATGCATTAGAAGAATAACAGAATTAACTTGAATTATAATACAAAGAATACTTTGTCACTTGTTATTGATATAACTAAAAATTATTTTATTTAGGAGAAAACAGAAGCCCTTAAAATGCACATTTTCCAGGTGAATAGTATAGAAATACTGAAGAGCAACAACTGTATTTTTTTTGTTGTTAATTTAGATAACACTCTTGCTATGAAAATATGTAGAGCGAATTTTGGCTAAACACAAGCTGAAGAGATTACAGCCAAGTTTTCACTATTGGGCACTACATAAAATCTTTATTGCACATTTTTTACTTCATTACATTTTTTTCTTATCACCACCTGCCTTTTTATTAAAACTTTAAGCTATAGCATTAAAATCTTTAAATCTATACTTTTTCCAATAACTACATCAGTATTTCCATACCAATTAAATTCATTGAAAAAATAAAAAGCCTTATTTAAGATTATGAAAACACATGTTTTCCATATTGGCTTTTATTTCAATATTTCCTTTCATGTTTTCCATTTCTGCGGAAGTAAGGAGCTGGAAGGGATGTACTACTTTTGCGTTAGTGCCACCCGGCCTTGGAGAGTAGAATAAATGCTGCTCCAGCGACAAGTCACCATTTTGAAGATGGGCCAGATGTGTGGCAATATTATGGTGGGCAGGGAAGTCTCAAAATAAGATGCTACAATCTGTCTATGACTCACCAGCGTGTGTGTGTGTGTGTGTGTGTGTGTGTGTGTGTGGTGGTGGTGGTGGTGGTGTGTGTGTGTGTCCTTAAGGAATGTTTTTGGCCAAATGGTGCTTAAAAATACTGACAATATTTTACCTCAGCTTGAATCTTGTGATTATCAACTGTAGATTTTCAAGAAAGATGCAAAAAGGCAAATGACTCAAAGCATATGTAACTAATTTAGGACCTGTTATCAACAAGGAACACAAATTGGAAATATTGCTGCATTATCCTAAAGAGAACCCTGGGAAATAATCACTTAAAAATATATATATATTTGTTGAACTAGTTGGTCTAGTTACACAATGGAAATACAAGCATTTGACTTTTTGTTCCTTCTGCCATTGTTGTGGTCTTCCCTATAATGATGAGCTACTATGCTTTCCTGTGTTTACTCAAAGATACAGAAAAAGGCATTATCCTCATTTCCCAATCTGGAGTGCTAAAGAGATAGGGTCATGGACACGTAAGGGGTTTAAAAGATGAGATGATGGATTCACTTTTATATTTTCCATGCTTTTACTTTAATGCTGTGATTTTACCATATTAGGAAAGGTCTTTATATTCAACATGTTTGATTGACATTTTCATTTCGTGTCTTGACTCTTTTTGGGAAAGTTATTGCTAGAGGCTTGGAGCGGGGTTCTGGCTTTCGCAAAACAACTGTGAGTTCATCCTCCCCTGTGTGGAGATAAAGAGGAAGGGTCATGAGGGAGCAGGTTAGATTTGGGGCCCAAATGCTTGTTTTAGGAAATAAGGAGGATGAGGGGAGTAGATGTGGATAGGAAATGTAAAGTAAATATAGGGAGCTTTCTGAGAGATGCTGCAACCAAGAGACTCTCTTCTTTACCCCCTCTAAGGTACCTGCTCTAAGTGGTGTGGACTTTCAGTATGAAGAAGGGTCAAATGTATTTTGCTCAGAAAATTCAATGGGTTTTATTTAGTTTTCAAATTCAATCCATCAATAGATCATGTAATTATATGCTAAAATTCAAAAAGTATAAAAGGTTAAACAGTGAAAACTTGTTATCTCGCGTGGACCCCTCACCACTTAGTTCCTTTGAAGGCACTTTGTTGCCTTCGAAGAGGCAACAAATGTGATTAATTTCTTAATTATCATTAATTATTCCAGCGATATTTTATGTATTTCTAAACAAATTCTCATGTATACATATTTTTTCTTTTACATAATATTAGCATAACATACCTCCCATTTGCATCTTGTTTTTTCACTTCATATATGGAACTCTTTCCTTATTCTTATGCAAAAGGTGTTCCTGTTCTATTTTTATGGTTGCATAGTATTCTGTTTTCAGTATGCACCATAAATCATTTAATCAGTTGCCTATTGATAGATGTTTAGGTTGCTTCCAATCTTTTGCTCTTATAAAAAAAGGCAAGAATCAGACCGGGTGCAGTGGCTCATGCCTGTAATCCCAGCACTTTGGGAGGTCGAGGTGGGTGGATCACTTGAGGTCAGGAGTTCGAGACCAGCCTCGCCAACATGGTGAAACCTCCTGTCTACTAAAAACATAAAAATTAGCCAGGTGGTGGTGGTGCATGCCTGTAATCCCAGCTACTGGGGAGGCTGAGGTAGGAGAATCGCTTGAAGCTGGGAGGTGGCGGTTGAAATGAGCCGAGATCGCACCACTGCACTCCTGCCTGAGCGACAAGAGCAAAACTCCATCTCAAACAAACAAACACCAAGAATCATTGTGCATTACTGGCTAGGAAGTAAAATGGTACAGCCACTGTGAAAATAGTATGGTTTCTCAAAACGTTAAAGATATAATTACCATATGATTCAGAAATTCCACTCCTAGGTATATAACCAAAATAATTGCAAGCTGGAACTAAAACAGATATATCTCGTATACCAATGTTCATAGTGGCATTATTCACAATAGATAAAAGGTGGAAACAGCCTAAATGTCCATCAACAAATGAATGGATCAACAAAATGTGGTATATACATACAATGAAGTATTATTAAACCTTAGACAGGAAAGAAATTCCGATACATGTTACAATATGGATGAGTCTTGAACACATGCTAAGTGAACTGTCAGATACAATGAACAAATATTGTATGATTCTATTTATATGAAGTACCTAGGATAAGCAAATTCTGTCTCTATAGACAGAAAGTAGAAAGTGGTTACCAGAGGATAGGGGAAAGGGGGAAAGGGCAGTTAGTGTTTAATGGGTACAGAGTTCGAGAAAATGAAAAAGTTCTGGAAGTGGATACTGGTGATGATTACACAACAATGTGAATGTACTTAATGCCACTGAACTTTACATTCAAAAATTGTCAAAATGGTAAAATTTGTTACATATATTTTACCAGAATAAAAATATCACCCAAAAGTACAACAGTGAGCAACCATGTACACCTGTGATTTTGCATGTATGGAGTACATTTTCTTAATAAATTCCTAGGATGTGCAAATACATGTGCATTTGTAATATAGTTACTTAGTTAAAGATTGTTAGTTATCTTTCTACCAATTGTGTATGATGCTGCCTGTTTCCTCGTATCCTAACATGATGTATTTAATTAAACTTTTCTCTCTCTGGCAACTTGATAGGTGAAAACTCAATTGCTCTTTTTAAGAACAATTAAAGGAAACGGTGCTTGTAAACTTCTTTGAGGGTCTGGAATTGAGATCCTTATGTGTATGAATGGGGAAGATGAGGCGTACTTGACCTTTTAGCCTATGATCAAATGGAAGCCGTATTTGAGCTGATAATGTGAAGAGCTGAGTGATATGTTGTTCGTTAATTTTCAAATGGCCTTAACTAAAGATGGGTTAAACAGTTTGCCTAAATGACATATATGGTATGGTTTCAACTGTACACTTTACAGTTTAAGGTAATTTCAACTTTCTTCTTGGTTGTTAATTTATCAAACATTTAATAATAAATAAGACATAGTGCCTGCTTATGAGGAACTTACAGTGGGTTGGGGGAGGGTACCCAATAAGCAGGCAATTGCAATATAGGGTAATATTGGGGAGATTGTGGATTGATAAAGAAATAGAGTGGGTGGGTCTTTATCCCCAATTTGGGTGCTGAGAAGAAAGGAAAATATTTTAGAAAGGGCCATATCTGAACTGAGTCGTTCATCACAAAGAGGAGTTAGGCAAGTGGAGTGGGAGAGAAGAGAAAGGGAAGGGACGTTTGAAGACTCTGGAAAAAGAAAAGACACAGTCATTGCAAGTTGCAGAGGCAAGAGAAAGTATGAAACCTTGAGGGTATCCCAGATAGTTGGGGTGGGCTGCAGCTTAGAATGGAAGAGTTCCTCTGATGAGCACCTGCTTCCTATTATCTCCAAAAAGTTCAGAACTTGGACATATTTGGGGTTCTTTCTCTTGTCCAGGGGCATCTCCCAAATATGTAGCTTGAAAAAGGGTTTTCACTTTCACCCTTGGTAAGACTGTTATCTCCATAGGGTTAGAGAGAATATTTGTAAATATTTTGAAATTCTTTTGACACCAGGACTGTAGTATGTGTAACAGGCCTACCTCTCCATGATCCAGAAATTCGACTCCTAGGTATATAACCCAAAGAATTGAAAGCTGGAACTAAAACAGATAATCATATACCTTGTATACCAATGTTCATAGTGGCATTATTCACAATAGATAAGAGGTGGAAACAGCCTAAATATCCATCATTTAGTCTCCAGATTTTATCACAAAATTAAATGCTCATTTTAACAATCTAATAATAAAGATTCTACCCGTGCTTAAAAACATGCCCTGCTTTCTTCCCATTTCCTTGATTCCTTTTTACTCTTTAATTTACATCCTCTTATTCCTTTTTCAAACCCTCCTGAAATTCCATCTGCATTACCAAGCCTTTCTTTGAAGTATTTCCTAGTTCTGTCGTTCCCCTGGCCTATAAATCAGTTGTTTCTTCTCCAATCATTTGCTGAGGGTTGATTCTGTGCTGGATACTGGATAAAATATGCTGAGGATACAAGGATGAACAAGACCAGTCCATGACCTCAGGTTAATATTCTCGGAACATTTTATTACTTCTATTATAGTGCTTATCACAGCCTGCCTTGTATTACAGACCATAATTAGTCTGAGCATTTTGATTCATATGTGTAGTCTGTGGCCATAGCACAGTGCCTAGGACACACAAGTGTATGTTGTCAAGACTTTTCAATTACTAATAGAGAGAGAGGATATTTATTGAGCATTTATTCTGTACACTGCACTTGGATAAGTACTTTACAGCTATCTCATTTAACTTTTCTCAAAACCTTGCAGAGCCAGAATGATTAGTTCCTCCATTTCACACACAGGAAACTGAGAAACAGAGCACTTAAGTTATTTTGCCCAGGATCAATCACACTGCTAAGAAGTAGCAGAGCCCAGATTTAGACCCGCAGAGTCTAGTTCCAGGGCACTTGGTTTTGGTTGTGATTCTAGACTAATTTTCTTCTCTCACCATTCCAGTCTACAAGGCACACAATCAACAGCACAACTTTAGTCCATGTGTAATTTTGTTTTACTCTATGTCCCCAAGGTTCTGTGGCCTGTGTTTGTATGTTATAATAAATATGAGTCCACAGCTAGGTTGCAGCATCCAGGCTGTAAACTGTAGACAACAGGTAACATCTATATTTATCTAGTTTTATGTGAAGCTTGTAGACTGATGTCTGCATTTGTGTGAGCCTTTAAATGCCATTTGATGATTATAATGAAGCTGATTTATGCTGCTTACCAGATGGGTCTCCAAGGCTGCTTGGAAACTGTGGCACAAAATGTAAGGGCAACTTGAAGATAGCTGTGATATGACCATTGATCTTTAGAGCTTGCTTTTAGCAAGTCCTTGGCGTGATTTAGACAAGGCCTTCACAAACTTGTTCACTGAAGTTTACCTACAACAGTGGACAGTGAAGCACCTACTCCTGAGATCTGGCAATGAAACACGGAATAATCAAAGCATGTCATTCCCTGTAAGTCTCCAGATTTTATTGCAAAATTAAATGCTTATTTTTAACAATCTAACAATAATTAAAGACTATCCATGCTTAAAAATGACAAGGTTTTCAAGCCAGGTGTGGTGGCTCATGCCTGGAATCCCAGCACTTTGGGAGGCTGAGGTGGCTCACCTGAGATCAGGAGTTTGAGACTAGCCTGGCCAACATGGCGAAACCCCGTCTGTACAAAAAATACAAAAACTTAGCTGGGCATGGTGGTGCACACCTGTAATCCCAGCTACTCGGGAGGCTGAGGCAGGAGAATCACTTAAACCTGAAAGGCGGAGGTTGCAGTGAGCCAAGATCAAGCCACTGCACTCCAGCTTGGGTGACAGAGTGAGACTCTGTCTCAAAAAAAAAAAAAAAAAAAAAAACAGACGACAAGGTTTTCAATTATTTATGATCAAATAAAATGGAGGAGGTGTGGTGTTATTTTCTGCAACCCGAGGATTTGCTGGCGTATCATCTCATCATAATTCACTTGGAGGAGCACTGGTCAAATGAAACTGATGTAGTTTAGAACACGTGGTCACATAAAACAGTTGTCATACCAAGTCAGAGTTAAGAGGGTCCACAAGGCAGTCTCTGCAAATCTGAAGTCTAGTGCTGACTATCCTTTAAATTGATTTATTTCAATAATGGTCATCTGATGTTCCTGTATGTCTGGACAGATGGGAGCTCTATTACTACAAGCAATGTGGGACCAGTGTAACATAACTAAGGAGATTAGCAGAGTCCCCCTGACCCTTGTAATTCTAAGTTAATCTGGCTTGAACCCCAGTCTTCAGTGTTCCCCATAATTTATTTGCATTCCTAAGGGCTTGTTTTCTTGCAGCTTCCTCTGTTGTAATGTTTTGCATCTGTAAGTGTTTTGTTTTGTTCTTTGTCAACCTGGATGAAAATTCAGTGCCTCTACTAGTTTACTATCCCAAATCCACTCACATCAACCATTTCCTGAGTTTCTAACTTTATTGAATGTTTGAGGACTTCAGTCTCTCAATGATTTCATTAATTGCTCCCTCTTCTTTCTCTACCCTGACCTTCTTTTCTTCTACTCCTTCTCTCTTCAGAGCAAACAAATTTCTCTCTCTGTCTCATGCTGTGTAGTTTCACCCTCTCCCCTGAATCCTTGGCCTTAAGTGACATCCCTGCCCTGCAGGACTCATCCACCCCAAGTGGGCCTACTAAAGCATTTTCTCAACAAAGGCAATTCTCTCGCTAAGAGGAATTCTCATACCAGCTGCCAGGAGAATAAAATGTGCTTCATCTAACCCCCCTAATAATAAAGCAACAAAGGTTGAGAGTGATTTATTTTCTTTTAAAAAATAAATTAGAACAGACTCAAGGTTATCTTGGTAATAATAGCACTGTCTCTCTCCCCTGCATTCCAATATGCTGTCTTGAATGGGAGTGAAAGGCATGAAGTTACAGCTCGCTCAAAGGGAATTGAGCATAGGGGTGCTATCTGTATGTTGCAGGGGACAAAAGAGCTTCTCTACTTTGCCTGATTACTGGTGAGTAGTTATCTAGCATCTGCTTCTACATCCCCAAAGTCGAATTTACAACCTCTTAAGCCAGGACATCGTGCATAGGGCAATACTAACAATTTAGAAAATTATTCTTTGTATTGAGCTGATTATCAGTCTTCTGGAGCTTCCATCCTGGTATTCTAACTATTTCATGAAGTCAGACCTGACTAATTTGATTTGAGTTACATTAGTCCAGCATCATATACTATCCATCCTAAACATACATCTGATAAGCCACTTTCTTGCTCAAAATGTCTTAGTGGCTCACCATTACACAGAGAATGAAATCTTAGCTCCTTAGCAGAACAGTGTCCTTGATTTTTTTTTTTTTTTTTTTTTTTTTGAGACACAGTCTCACTCTGTTACCCAGGCTGGAGTGCAGTGGTGCCTGCAATCTCAGCCTTCCAGGTTCAAGTGATTTGCATGTCTCAGCATCCCCGAGTAGCTGGGATTACAGGCGGGTGCCACCACGCCCAGCTAACTTTTTTGTATTTTAAGTAGACACGGGGTTTCACCATGTTGACCAGGCTGGTCTTGAACTCCGGACCTCAAGTGATCTGCCCATCTCAGCCTCCCAAAGTGCTGGGATTACAGGTGTGAGCCACCGCATCCAGCCGCCACTTATTTTTATTTTGCTTTCCTAAGATCGTGACAGCTCCTTAACCTGCCCATCTCTCCTCAGCATCCTGTTTATTCTCCAATGGAACTTTTACCTTGAAGTCTTTTTTTGCTATCTCTAGTCAGATGAGTTGTTGCTATCACTTGTCTTCTTGTCACTTTAGACCTGCTCTGTCCAATACTGTAGCCACTAGTCACATGTGACTTTTGACCACTTGTGATGTGACTGGTCCAGATTGAGATGTTCTGTAAGCGTAAATTAAATGCTAGATTTCAAAGACTTAGTACAAAAAACAGAATGTAAATATGTCATAAGTAGGTTTTATTTTACACCGATTATATGTTGAAATGACAATATGTTGGTTATATTAGTTTATATAAAACCTATTACATTAATTTCATATAAAAAATCTTTTAAATCTGGCTACTAGAAAACTTGAAATTACATGCGTGGCTCTTATTTGGCTTGCATTAAAATTCTATTGAAGAATCCTGCTTTAAACCACTATATGTGATTCAATGCTAAGCACCTTGAATTACCACTCTTTGTGTGCATTTCAGCCCCAGCAACAACAGTTTAAGCAGTCTGAGGTCAGGAACTTGTAACCTGCTATATTCCTCACTGCTACAAAATTTGTCAGGTGTGCAATACATGCTAATGAAATAAAATAGAAAACATTTCTATCAGAAGAGGTCAGAAATTCAAATGACTACAGAAACCAGGCAGGTAGCATAATTATATGAAGTAAGCTGGGTTTCATAGAAATCTTGATGTCAGGGACATGATGGGGTTGGGAGAATGTTGGCAGGGATTATAGTCATCTGAATATTCATTGCTGTGTAAAGAGACAACCACTATGCCACCCTAGCCAAATTATTACATAGGAATAGAGGCCCGGGTTGCCAAATTTTCCAAAATTTTGAGAGAAACTGGATATTTGGATCTTTATGTGAATTAAACTGATTTTCATATATTGATTTAACTCATATAAATTTTGTGTGGACTAAGCAAAGCAAGTCAGTGGCCTTGCTGCAGCCTAAAAGTTGCCTAAAGAAGTTTGTGCTTCTCATCTAGAGGGTAAAATAAAATTTACAATACCATACTACAGAAGAGTAGAAGAACAAGGTTTATTATTGTGGCTTTGATCAAGAAGAGGCTGGAATCAGAAGCTCAAATTTGCAGATCATTCAATAAACTATTGGTAAATGATATTTCCAAACACTCCCAAATACTTTAAGTTAAAAAACATTCCCTTCTGCAGAATTTCTCAAGATGTAAGTCCTTAAGGGAAAAAAAGGGGGAGTTTGAAGGGTCTACAAAATAAGTTTATTGACAGGAGTGTGAAACTGCCAACTTAATGCAAAAGAGAATAAAATGTCTCTCATTCCACAGTTTGTAACTGCTTACAGTTTAGGAAATGACCAAAAAACCCCATCACTGTCTGAGTTTTCAGAGCTCTTATGACTTGTGTGTTTAGAGAGGAAGTCTTGTGGCTGACTAGTTTAGCACACATGAGGTGACAAGCTTAGAATGAGCTGAATGCTGGTTAGAATAATGTTATTTTTAAATGGCAGTATGCTGCTTCTAAGGTAGATTAGCATTACCCCTGCTTTGGTTTTCAATTCTCTGAAATACAAAATCCGTTCTCCAAGTGATGCAAAAGAATTCTGGCTTAGGATAGTATTGCATGTTGAATAAATTCTTATTAGTAATTTATTTTTTTGTCATTTTATGATGCTCAGTAACCTGTAGTCATAACAATATCAGAATTAGCCTACCAAAGGGTCATTATTCTGTGGAGTTGGAAAATAAGTGGAGATGTAAAATTGCACTTTAATTTACATTTTGTTATTTTCCATGTAAATTGAGTACCTGAAATCAAAGATTCTATTTACAATATTGTTTTTGAAAGTCATCCATCATGTATAAATGAGTAGATAAGAATTTCTAAAGCTCTCCTAAGCAAATAGGAAGAAGGAGCATGTTATAAGACGAATCAACGTAATATTTTCTCTTTTTTTTCTTTAATTTTTAAATTTTACTTTAAGTTCCGGGATACATGTGCAGAATGTGCCGGTTTGTTACATAGGTATACATGTGCCATGGTGGTTTGCTGCACCTATTGACCCCTCCTCTAAGTTCTCTCCCCTCATCCCCCACCCCCCCAACAGGCCCTAGTGTGTGTTGTTCCCCACCATGTGTTCTCATTGTTCAACTTCCACTTACGAGTGAGAACATGCGGTGTTTGGTTTTCTGTTCCTGTGTTTATTTGCTGAGGATGATGGCTTCTAGCTTCATCCATGTCCCTGCAAAGGACACGATCTCATTCCTTTTTATGGCTGCGTAGTATTCCATGGTGTACATGTACCGCATTTTCTTTATCCAGTCTATTATTGATGGGCATTTGGGTTGGTTCCAACTCTTTGCTATTGTAAATAGTGCTGCACTAAACATACATGTGCATGCGTCTTTATAGTAGAATGATTTATATTCCTTTGGGTATATACCCAGTAATGGGATTGCTGGGCCAAATGGTATTTCTGGTTCTAGATCCTTGAGGAATCACCACACTGTCTTCTACAATGGTTGAACTAATTCACATTCCCACCAACAGTGTAAAAGCATTCCTATTTCTCCACAGCCTCGCCAGCATCTATTGCTTCTTGACTTTTTAATAATCACCATTCTGACTGGTGTGCGATGGTATCTTATTGTGGTTTTGATTTACATTGCTCTAATGATCAGTGATGTTGAGCTTTTTTTCATGTTTGTTGGTCACGTAAATGTCTTCTTTTGAGAAGTGTCTGTTCATATCCTTTGCCCACTTTTTGTTGGGATTGTTTTTTTCTTGTACATTTGTTTAAGTTCTTTGTAAATTCTGGATATTAGACATTTGTCAGATGGGTAGATTACAAAAATTTTCTCCCATTCTGTAGGTTGCCTGTTCACTCTGATGATAGTTTCCTTTGCTGTGCAGAAGCTCTTTAGCTTAATTAGATCCTGTTTATCAATTTTGGCTTTTGTTGCAATTGCTTTTGGCATTTTTGTCATGAAGTCTTTGCCCATGCCTATGTCCTGAATGGTATTGCCTAGGTTTTCTTCTAGGGTTTTTATGATTTTGGGTTTTACATTTAAGGGTTTAATCCATCTTGAGTTAATTTTTGTATAAGGTGTAAGGAAGGGATCCAGTTTTGGCTTTCTACATATGGCTAGCCAGTTTTCTCATCACCATTTATTGAATAGGAGATCCTTTCCCCATTGCTTGTTTTTGTTAGGTTTGTTAAAGATCAGATGGTTGTAGATGTGTGGTATTATTTCTGAGGTCTGTTCTGTTCCATTGGTCTGTATGTCTGTTTTGGTACCAGTAGCATGCTGCTTTGGTTACTTTAACCTTGTAGTATAGTTTGAAGTCAGGTAGCATGATGCCTCCAGCTTTGTTCTTTTTGCTTAGGATTGTCTTGGCTATACAGGGACTTCTTTGATTCCACATGAAATTTAAAGTAGTTTTTTCTAATTCTGTGAAGAATGTCAATGGTAGTTTGATGGGAATAGCATTGAATCTATAAATTACTTTGGGCAGTATGGCCATTTTCACGATATTGATTCTTCCTATCCATGAGGATGGAATGTTTTTCCATTTATTTGTGTCCCCTCTTATTTCCTTGAGCCGTGTTTTGTAGTTCTCCTTGAAGAAGCCTTTCACTTCCCTTGTTAGGTGTATTCCTAGGTATTTTATTCTCTTTGTAGCAATTGTGATTGAGAGTTCATTCATGATTTGGCTCTCTGCTTATCTATTATTTGTGTAAAGGAATGCTTGCGATTTTTGCACATTGATTTTGTATCCTGAAGCTTTGCTGAAGTTGCTTATCAGTTTAAGGAGTTTTTGGACTGAGATGATGGGGTTTTCTAATTATGAAATCATGTCATCTGCAAAAGAGATAATTTGACTTCCTCTTTTCCTATTTGAATACACTTTATTTCTTTCTCTTGACTGATTGCCCTGGCCAGAACTTCCAATACTATATTGAATAGGAGTGGTGAGAGAGGGCATCCTTGTTGTGTACTGGTTTTCAAAGGGAATGCTTCCAGCTTTTGACCATTCAATATGCTATTGGCATGTGTTTGTCACAAATAGTTCTTATTATTTTGAGATATGTTCCATCAATACCTAGTTTATTGAGAGTTTTTAACATGAAAGAACATTGAATTTTATCAAAGGCCTTTTCTCCATCTATTGAGATAATCATGTAGTTTTTGTCTTTGGTTCTGTTTATGTGATGGATTATACATGTCTTCAGTTCTGTTTATGTGATGAATTTGCATTATTTTGAACCAGCCTTGCATCCCAGGGATGAAGCTGACTTGACCGTGGTGGATAAGTTTTTTGATGTGCTGCTGGATTCAATTTGCCAATATTTTATTGAGGATTTCACATTGATATTCATCAAGGATATTGGTCTGAAGTTTTCTTTTTTTGTTGTGTCTCTTCCTGGTTTTGGGTATCAGGATGATACTGGCTTCATAAAATGAGTTAGGGAGGAGTCCCTCCTTTTAAATTATTTGGAATAGTTTCAGAAGGAAGGGTACCAGCTCCTCTTCATACCTCTGCTGGAATTCGGCTGTGAATCCATCTGGTCCTGGGCTTTTTTTGGTTGGTAGGCTATTAGTTACTGCCTCAATTTCAGAACTTGTTATCGGTCTATTAAGAGATTGGACTTCTTCCTGGTTCAGTCATGGGAGGGTGTATGTGTACAGGAATTTATCCATTTCTTCTACATTTTCTAGTTTATTTGCATAGAGATGTTTATAGTATTCTCTGATGGTAGTTTGTATTTCTTGGGGTCATTGGTGATATCCCCTTCATCGTTTTTGTATTGTGTCTATTTGATTCTTCTCTCTTTTCTTTTTTATTAATCTAGCTAGCTGTCTATCTATTTTGTTAATTTTTTTCAAAAAACCAGCTCCTGGATTCATTGATTTTTTTTGGAGGGTTTTTTGTGTCTCTATCTCCTTCAATTCTGCTCTGATTTTAGTTATTTCTTGTCTTCTGCTGGCTTTTGGATTAGATTGCTCTTGCTTCTCTAGCTCTTTTACTTATGATATTAAGGTGTCAATTTGAGATCTTTCTAGCTTTCTGATGTGGGCATTTAGTGCTATAAATTTCCCTCTTAACACTGCTTTAGCTGTATCCCAGAGATTCTGGTACATTGTCTCTTTGTTCTCATTGGTTTCAAAGAACTTCTTGATCTCTGCCTTAATTTCATTATTTACCTAGGAGTCATTCAGGAGCAGGTTGTTCAATTTCCATGTAATCGTGTGGTTTTGAGTGAGTTTCTTAATCCTGAGTTCTAATTTGATTGCACTGTGGTCTGAGAGACTGTTTGTTATGATTTCACTTCTTTTGGATTTGCTGAGGAGTGTTTTACTTCCAATTATGTGGTTGATTTTAGAATAAGTGCCATGTGACACTGAGAAGAATGTATATTCTGTTGATTTGGGGTGGAGCATTCTGTAGATGCCTATTAGGTCCACTTGATCCAGAGCTGAATTCAAGATCTGAATATCCTTGTTAATTTTCTGTCTCATTGATCTGCCTAGTATTGACAAAGGGGTGTTAAATTCTCCCACTATTATTGTGTGTGAGTCTAAGTCTCTTTGTAGATCTCTAAGAACTTGTTTTATGAATTGGAGTCCTCCTATATTGGGTGCATATATATTTAGAATAGTTAGCTCTTCTTGTTGAATTGTTTCCTTTACCATTATGTAATGCCTTTCTTTGTCTTTTTTAATCTTTGTTGGTTTAAAGTCTGCTTTGTCAGAGACTAGGATTGCAACCCCTGCTTTTTTTGCTTTTCATTTGCTTAGTAAATTTTCTTCCATCTCTTTATTCTGAGCCTATGTATGTCTCTGCACATGAGATGGGTCTCCTGAATACAGCACCTCGATGGGTCTTGCCTCTTTATCCAATTTGCCAGTCTGTGTCTTTTAATTGGGGAATTTAGCTCCTTTACATTTAAGGTTAGTATTGTTATGTGTGAATTTGATCCTGTCATCATGATGCTATCTGGTTATTTTGCACATTAGTTGATGCTGTTTCTTCATAGTGTCATTGGTCTTTATATTTTGGTGTATGTTTGCAGTGGCTGGTACTGGTTTTTCCTTTCGATATTTACTGCATCTTTCAGGAACTCCTCCAAGGCAGGCCTGGTGGTAAAAATCCCTCAGCATTTGCTTGCCTGGAAAGGATTTTATTTCTCCTTCACTTATGAAGCTTAGTTTGGGTGGATATGAAATTCTGGGTTAAAAATTCTTTTCTTTAAGAATGTTGAATATTGGTCCCCAGTCTCTTCTGGCTTATAGAGTTTCTGCTTGAGATATCTGCTGTTAGCCTGATGGGCTTCCCTTTGTAGGTTGCCTGGCCTTTCTCTCTGGCTGCCCTTAACATTTTTTCCTTCATTTTGATCTTGGAAAATCTGATGATTATGTGTCTTGGGGTTGATATTCTCATGTAGTACCTTAGTGGTGTGCTCTGTATTTTCTGAATTTTCACATTGGCCTGTCTTGCTAGGTTGGAGACGTTCTCCTGGGTAATATCTTGAAGTGTGTTTCCCATCTTATTTCCATTCTCCCCATCTCACTCAGGTACTCCAATCAATTGTAGGTTCAATCTTTTTATGAAGTCTCATATTTCTTGGAGACTTTTTTCATTCCTTTTTCATTCTTTTTTCTCTAGTCTTGTCTGCATGCCTTATTTCAGCAAGGTGGTCTTCAAACTCTGTTATCCTTTTTTTCTACTTGATTGATTCAGCTACTGATACTTGTGTATGCTTCACAAAGTTCTTATACTGTGTTTTTCAGCTCCATCAGGTCATTTATGATCCTCTCTAAACTGGTTATTCTAGTTAGCAGCTCCTCTAACCTTTTATCCAGGTTCTTAGCTTCTTTGCATTGGGTTAGAACATGTTCCTTTAGCTCAGTGTAGTTTTTTATTACCCATCTTCTGAAGTCTACTTCTGTCAATTTGTCCATCTCATCCTCCATCCAGTTCTATGCCCATGCTGAGAGATGTTGCGATCATTTGGAGGAGAAGAGGTACTCTGGCTTTTTGGGTTTTCAGCGTTTTCACATTGATTCTTTCTCATCTTTGTGAGTTTGTCTAGTTTCGATCTTTAAGGCTGCTGACCTTTGGATGGGGTTTTTTGTGGGGGCCTTTTTGTTATTGATGATGCTGTTGTTGTTGCTTTCTGTTTGTTTTTCTTTTAGTGGTCAGATCCCTCTTCTGTAGGGCTGCTGCAGTTTGCTGGGGGTTCACTTCAGGCTTTATTCATCTGATTCACTCCCACACCTGGAGATGCCACTCAAGGAGGCTGCAGAGCAGCAAAGATGTGTGCCTGCTCCTTCTTCTGGGACTCTGACCTTGAGGGGCACCAACCTGATGTCAGTAGGATCACTCCTGTATTGGGTGTCTGACAACCCCTGTTGAAGGGTCTCACCCAGTTGGATGGCACAGGGAACAGGACCCATTTAATGAAGCACTTTGACTGCCCCTTGGTGGAGGGGGTGTGCTTCACTGTGGGGAAACACACTTGTCTGGGCTGCCTGGATTCCTCAGAACTACCAGGAGGAAAGGCTAAGTCTGCTGGTCCACAGAGACTCTGACCACCCCTCTCCCTAGGGTCTCAGGCTCTGGGAGACCCTGGTTCTGTCCCTGAGCCTCTGGCTGGAGTTATTGAAGTTCCTGCAGGGAAGCCCTGCCCGGTGAGGAATGAGGTGTAGAGTCAGGCCTGAAGAGGCAATCTGGCTGCAGTCTGCCAAGCCAATGTGTTGGGCTGTGGAGGACACATCATGGGACCAAGCCATCCAGCCTCCCTGGCTCCAGCAGGGGAAAAGCATGGCCTGGAGCTATAGAGATGAATGCTGCCCTCCCCTGACCCAGGGAGCTTAGCATGTTAGGCAGTTGTGAGTCCCAGTGCTGGCTGCTGCCCCTCCCCCAAGGAGCTCAAGCTGCTTAGACAGCAGGCAGCTACAGCTGTGGTGCTTGTTGCCCCTCTCCCTGGAAGCTCAACAGCTGAGAGGCTGTTGAGAATCTGTGCAGCTTGGGGGTTGGGATGCTAGGCCCCAACAGCATGGGTTCACAAGTGGGATCTTCTGATCCGGGGGTTGCACAGTTCTGTGGAAAAAGCACGGTTTCCTCAGTTGGGTAGCATGCTCACTCACTGCCTCCCTTGGCTGGGGGTTAGGGGCTCCCCTGACCCATGTGGCTCTCAGGTGGGCTACTGTACCACACTTCTCTTCCTTCCTCTCCATGTATATCGCACCAGCCTCCTAGTCAGTTTTGATGAGAGAACTTGAATACCTTGGTTGCCGGTGAAGGATTCACATGCTTACTCTGGTTCTTTTCCATGGGAGCCTCTGATTGCTGCTGTTTCTAGTCAGCCATCTTGGCCCTGCCCTCCTTCATAATATTTTCTTTACCCAGACAAATTATACTGTGTATTAACAGCTAAGAACAGTTAGTAAAGAAATTTGACATGTATTCTGATTGTTAGTTGAGTAAATATCAATGAGTTGAAAATTCATTCTGATCTGTGGCTAGCCTTTGATGAAGTTTTAAAATCTTTCTGTTCCTCAGTTTCCTCATCTTTAAAGTAGTTGTAATGATCCCATTTATCTCATAAGCATAATCATATACTGGTATAGGACATGGTGAGACTCCTGGAAAAGTGTTCTGAGATATGAGCAGATGGATGTGGTTGTTATTTCCATAGTATGTTAGTAAGACAAACATGTTACAAGAACAGCCTGGGTTGCTTTATGGCATCTTACTGTTTACAAAATTAAAGAGCAGCTGTTATATTATTATTTAGCCCCACAAACTTGTTATTAAGATTAGAATAACTACACAAATTAAGATGATCATATATAAACTATATATTTGCATAAATGATAAAATAATAATGGAAATCTCTTAATGGGAAAGAACCACTCAGACATCTAAATAACAATAAACTGTCATTTTCTATATTCCCTTCCAGTTCTAGTCCAATACTTTTGACCTTTTTAGATTAGAATGGTAGAGGAGGAAAAGTAACTTTTTCCTCAACCCTCATGGGTTCTTAGTTGGAATGAATCCCCATAACAAAAGACAGATTAACTAGAGAAAAACAAACAGAAGTTTACTAATATATTTCGTATATATGTGGGAGATACCTAGGGGCTGAGTAATTCTCAAAGAGGTAGTTTTGAATTCTAGCTTATATAGCATCTTCAGCAAAGAATAGTAAATTTTTAGAGTAGTGACAGAACAAAGGAAGAGAACTGTGTCTGTAGGGACAGGAAATTGTGAGAAGGCAAATAAATGGCACATAAGGGCTAGTTAGTAAATCTTGTTCATGTAGAGTCATCTGATGCCATCTCCAGGCCAATAAGAGTCTAAAATTGTCTTCAGTGCTTAACCTTTGTCCTCCCTGCTAGAGAAGGGGGGAGGGATACTCTTGTCTTTCTAAATTTATATCCTGCTTTTAGGCAATTAGAAAGCAGAGAGCTTTCCTGCCCTCTCAATTGCCTTGGGTTCAAAACAGTCCTTAAGCCAAAGAAGCATATTTTGGGGTGGCATGTTCTTGTCTCCCACATAATCATAATAGAGATAAAATTTACTACTCTCTTTTGTAACAATATACTCTATTTCCCCATATTTTGCATAGTTTTTCAAACTGCCATTTTATATGACTGTGTAATGTTCCATTAGATACAAGTATTATAATGTACTTGACCATATTCCTATTGCTGGTAATCTGTCTTTATCTAAAAAGGAGTAATGAAAAGTTAAAAGTGTTCCACTGTAGCTGGTAGAAATTGGTCAATGATGAGGAAAGGCTGTAAAGTGTCACTTTAACTCTGGGGTCTTGTACATAGGAGTGCAGCTGAGGACAGTAAGTGAAGATACAGATTTGGGAAATATCAGCACGTAGATAAGTCATTCAAGACATGGGGACTTGAAATGAGGCAGGATTAGTGTAGATAGTTCAAAGAGTAACTGAGGACAGGAATCTAAAGGACAGCCACATTTAAGGACAAGCAGAGGGAACAAAGTTCAAAGGAGATGAAGAAGGAGTAGTCAGAAAGAAAGAGTAATGTCACAGAAGCCTGCTGAGGCCTGTGTTAGTCTATGACTTACACAGGGGCAGAACTGACTCTGGAATCTAGGG
This sequence comes from Homo sapiens, assembly GCF_000001405.40. Lineage (NCBI taxonomy): Eukaryota > Metazoa > Chordata > Mammalia > Primates > Hominidae > Homo > Homo sapiens. Next base: position 181,077,545 of record NC_000003.12, read on the forward strand.
CTATTGATTTCAACTCCAGGTAGAGTTCTCCCACCTTGTAGGTAGGCACGATTCTCTCCTTTAACACTGTTTTCTACCTGGTTCCCATCAAGGACAGGATGCCTTCAGCTACAGATCTGTTTTGATTCCTTTAAATTGTGTTAGTCTCTCAATTTAAACACATAAACAAAGTCTAAGAAGGGACAGCTTGGTATAAAAGTTGTTTTGTGTATTTCTACTGGTATCTTACAGCAGTGATTGGCAAAAACTGGTTCAAGGACATTGGAAGTTCAGTTTCAGTAGCCCTAAATTGGGGTCCAGGCTTTTATTTTTTAATGATTTCCCAGGTACTTCTGATGAACATTCAGGTTTGGGAAACTTTGGCTTATTTATCCGAAGAGCATAAAATCTTCACAGAAGATTTTAGAATGGGACATCTAGAGGTTTGCTATACCAGGAGTAAAGAGATGAAGCATAGTCCAATTTTCATGACAACTTATTCTCATAAAGAAGTGGTCCAGAGCACTTGTATTTGCAGATCTTTTTTTCTTTGTTCAGAATATTAGGCAGGGTTCTGAGGAAATTGAAAAGAAGACAGCATGAATGAATGACTGAATGCACTCAATCTATAGAGGGAATGAGATCCCCAGATAGATATTAACAGAAAGAACATGTTTAAAGATAATCACAGCCAGTGGGAAAGGCAGAGTGGTATCCTCTGAGGGAGGAGCCTTGCAGGCTCCCTCACTTGCATCCTGTTTTCATTTCTTGGACCGCTTCATGGAAACTGTGTGTTGCTGTGGAACATGCCTTGGACTTGGCATGAGATGCCTTGAATTGAATGTCCACGGATATGGTTTGGCTCTCTGTCCCCACCCAAATCTTTTGTTGGATTGTAATCCCCAATGTTGGCAGAGGGACTTGGTGGGAGATGATTGGATTATGGGTGCAGATTTCCCCCTTGCTGTTCTGGTGGTGACAGTGAATTCTCATGAGATCTGGTTGTTTAAAAGTATGTAGCAGCTGGGCGCAGTGGCTCATGCCTGTAGTCCCAGCACTTTGGGAGGCCAAGGGGGGCAGATCACCTGAAGTCAGGAGTTCGAGACCAGCCTGGCCAACATGGTGAAACACTGTCTCTACTAAAAATACAAAATTAGTTGGGCATGTTGGTGTGCACCTGTAATCCCAGCTACTCAGGAGACTGAGGCATGAGAATCGCTTGCACCTGGGAGGCGGAGGTTGCAGTGAGCCAAGATGGTGCCAATGTACTGTGGCCCGGGCAACAAGAGCAAAATTCCATCTCCAAAAAAAAAAAAAGAATGTGCATAACACTTCCCCTTTTGCTGTCTCTACTAAAAATACAAAATTAGCCAGGCATGATGGCGCATGCCTGTAATCCCAGTTACTTGGGAGGGTGAGGCAGGAGAATCGCTTGAACCCGGGAGGCGGAGGTTGCAGTGAGCCGAGATGGCGCCACTGCACTCCAGCCTCAGTGAAAGAGCAAGACTCTGTCTCAAAAAAAAAAAAAAAAAGGGATTACAGGCTAACTGTAACAAACAGAACAATCAGATCAGATTAATGTCTAGATTCTTGGGTCTTATGTCCTAATAAACAAAAGGTTAGTACTGACAATATGATACGTAAAAGATATGTCTATGACAGCTAAGGTGAGACAGAAGCAAAATAGATTTATTGTAGAAAGAAATGGCACAAGAAAACATTGGCATGCAAGTGCTTTTGATAACCATCTCTTATGAGATTTACAATAAATAGCATCTTTGGATTTATTTTGAATATGAAAAAAAAAAGAACGTACTTTGTAATATTCTCCCCAGCCCTTAAGAAGGTACTTTGTAATGTTCTCCCCGCCCTTGAGAATGTACTTTGTATGCCTATCCCAAACCTGTAAGAACTAATGATAATCCCACCACCCTTTGCTTACTCTCTTTTCGGACCTAGCCCGCCTGCACCCAGGTGATTAAAAAGCTTTATTGCTCAAAAAACAAACAAACAAACAAAACAAAACAAAACAAAAACCAATAGCCTCTTCCATTGCCTCTTTACAGGCACACTACCCAAATACCATCACTTTAAACTTTTAGCTAAGCTAGAAATATGACCTTTTAACTTAAATACTTATCTTTACTCCTTTTGTTCTAAGGGGGATGCTTTTGATTTTATTATAAAAGCTTAGGTGTTTTAAAAATCTTTCGTTTAGTCTTATTTTTCCCTTTATTTTATGTGGCCTTTTAGAAACAACAGGTGTTTCTTTGTGGTGAAGTTTGCCTTAATTAATTGAGTGAAAGGAGAGGAAGGTGACTTGTTCTGGTAGATTGGACAGACTCAGGAGGCTCTTTAGCTAGCATTGTAACAAACCGTGTTCTATTTGATGAATGGATGGATCTTATCTATTTAGAGTCTTAGCTAGATGGAAAGAGTAATATTGAAAGACTATGCCTTAAATAATATACTGGAGCTAAAAATATGAATTTGAGTGTCTGATTTTTTTCCATTGGCTGAGAGTTTAAATTCATAAGTACTCTATCACCATTTTTCATTGTCAGTGATTTCCTGGAGACTTTAGATTTAAGGCTTAGTTTTGCCATTTATTTTTAGGTCTCTGCCAATTTGTCCATTAAATTAATAACATCAATTTTAAGCTTAAGTTCAAATGCATCTCTTAAAATATGAATACTATTCTAATTTTCTTTGGTCAGCTCAATTTCAGAGCCTTTAGTGGCCCTCACTGAAGGAGTTAAGGGATTAGAAATGGAACTGGGACCAAGACAAGGCAGATGTTCCCCTGTTATCAATATTGAATGTTGTGTGTAGCATGCTGTCTTAAGAGAATATATTATATATATTTTCCCTTACACGCACATATGTGCATGTATATGTACACATACATATGTGTGTGAGTGTGTATACAAAAAAACTATCATAGAACTTCCTTACTTTCATTTTCATAGTAGAGTCATTTTTTCACGTTGGAACATACAAATTTATCGTATTCTTTTAAATAGCTGCAAGGTATTTCTTTGGATGAACATGACATTCATTTAGTAAGAAATATTTATTGAGCTTATTGGGAAGCTGAGGCGGGAGAATTGCTTGAGCCCAGGAGGTGGAGGTTGCAGTGCGCTGAGATTGCGCCACTGCATGCCAGCCTGGGTGACAGAGTGAGACTCTGTCTCAAAACAAACAAACAAACAAACAAAAACTACTATATGATCCAATCTCACTTCTGGGAATGTATTCACATAATTGAAATAAGGATAGCATCCCTATATTCATTGCAGCATTATTCACAATAGCGAAGATGTGGAAAACATCTAAATTTCCATGGACAGATGAGTAGATAAAGAAAATGTGGAATATATTTACAACGGAATACTATTCAGCGTTAAGAAAAAGAAGGAAGTTCAGCCGGGCGTGGTGGCTCACGCCTGTAATCCCAGCACTTTGGGAAGCCGAGGTGGGTGGATCATGAGGTCAAGAGATCGAGACTATCCTGGCCAACATGGTGAAACCTTGTCTCTACTGAAAATACAAAAATTAGCTAGATGTGGTAGCAGGCGCCTGTAATCCCAGCTACTTGGGAGGCTGAGGCAGGAGAATCACTTGAACCCGGGAGGAGGAGGTTGCAGTGAGCCGAGATCGCGCCACTGCACTCCAGCCTCAGTGAAAGAGCGAGACTCTGTCTCAAAAAAAAAAAAAAAAAAAAAAAAAAAAAAGAGATTACAGGCTAACTGTAACAAACAGAACAATCAGATCAGATTAATGTCTAGATTCTTAGGTCTTATGTCCTAATAAACAAAAGGTTAGTACTGACAATATGATACGTAAAAGATATGTCTATGACAGCTAAGATGAAACAGAAGCCAAATAGATTTATTGTAGAAAGAAATGGCACAAGAAAACATTGGCATGCAAGTCCTTTTGATAACCATCTCTTATGAGACTTATAATAAATAGCATCTTTGGATTTATTTTGAATATGAAAAAAAAAAAAGAACGTACTTTGTAATATTCTCCCCAGCCCTTAAGAAGGTACTTTGTAATGTTCTCCCCGCCCTTGAGAATGTACTTTGTATGCCTATCCCAAACCTGTAAGAACTAATGATAATCCCACCACCCTTTGCTTACTCTCTTTTTGGACTCAGCCCGCCTGCACCCAGGTGATTAAAAAGCTTTATTGTTCAAAAAACAAAACAAAACAAAACAAAACAAAAACCAATAGCCTCTTCTATTGCCTCTTTACAGGCACACTACCCAAATACCATCACTTTAAACTTTTAAAAGTGTTTTTTTTCTGGTATTTTGTAAACATGTGCTTATGTTGCAATCTCGTGTTTTTTTCAGTTAGGCAGTCTGTTTCCTGTTTGATAGTTGTAGGTTTGCTCTTTTTCCTTCTCGACTCCTCCTATTATAATTATATTATATTTATTGCTGAAGTCAATAATCAGTTTATCATATTAATACTATCTAAAGATTGTTCACCACTGAGCTAAAAGGTATGCTCTGATTATATTTCTTCTTTTATTCAAATCTTAGTTTTTCTTCAAGTAAACAAAGTAGGCCAAATCCGGCCTGTCACTTTTCTTTGCAAATAAAGTTTTATTGGAACACAGGCTCATTCACTTACTTATTGTCTAGGGCAGCTTTTGTGATACAACAGTAGAACTCAATAGTTGTGATAGAAATTATATGGTCTGCAAAACTTAAAATATTACTCTCTGACCTTTTATGGAAAAAGTTTGCTGACGCCTATGCTACTTAGTAATGATTGCACTTTTTCATTTTCTTTGTTTATGTAATTTATTAAAATTTCAGTTCAAAATATTTTAAAATTTCTTTTGAAATTTACTTGAACCATTAATTATTTATCTAAGTGTGGTGCTTAACTTTGCAGCATTTGGAGATTTTCTGTTAATTTTTTTGGTAATTGATTTTTATCTTAATTCTGGTATGGCCAAGAGAACATAAGTAAATAAATTCTAATCTTTAAAATGTATTGAAATGTGTTTTATGGAATGATATGTGGTCAATTACAGTAAATTCCCTACATATGCTTTAAAAGAATGCATATTCTGCAGTTTTTAGGATCAATGTTCTATATATGCTTGAGGGTCGATTTCTTAATTGCACTATTAACATTTTCTGTATTCTTACTGATTTTTGTTTATCAGTTTTTGAAAAAGGTACGTTAAGCTCTCCCACTATGATTGTGGATTTGTCTATTTTTCCTTAAAATTGTTGTATTTTAAAAATACACTTTGAGGTTATGCTTTTAGGTGAGTACAAATTTAAAATTGTTATATTTTCCTGGTGAAGTGACTTTTTTCATTATAAAATCTCCCTCTTTACCTCAAGTAATTTTAATTATCCAAAAACATTAGTATAATTTTTTCTTGTGTTTAAATTGTATTGTATATTTTTTCCATTCTTTCATTTTCAACTATTCTACATGTTTATTTTTAAAGCATATCTCTTGTAAGCAGCTTATAGTTGTATCTTTAAAATAAAAATTCAGTTGATAATCCAGTTTAATTACAAAATATTAATTTAATTTACAGTTGAAGTAATTACTGGTATATTTATTTAAAACATACCATTAATTTTTTCCCCTTTACTCACTTATTCTATGTGCTTGAATTAGTCATTATTGCTGCATAACAGATTAACAACTTACAGTCTTAAAAACAACACACATTTATCATTTCACAGTTTTTGTGAGTCATGATTCTGGGAACAGTGTAGCTGGGTCCTTTGCTCCAGGGTCTCTCACAAAACTGCAAATTAAGGTGTTGGCTGGGGCTGCAGCTATCTTTTTTTTTTTTTTTTTTTGAGATGGAGTCTTGCTCTGTTGCCTAGGCTGGAGTGCAATGGCATGATCTCAGTTCACTGCAACCTCTGCCTCCTCGTTTCAAGTGATTCTCCTGCCACTGCCTCCTGAGTAGCTGAGACTACAGGCGCCCACTGCCACACCTGGCTGATTTTTGTATTTTTAGTAGAGATGGGGTTTCACCATATTGGCCAGGCTGGTCTTGAACTCCTGACCTTGTGATCTGCCCGTCTGGGCCTCCCAAAGTGCTAGGATTACAGGCATGAGCCACTGTGCCTGGCCGGGGCTCCACCTATCTTAAGATTCATTATCAATCTCATGTAGTTGTTGGAAAAGATTTTAATATTCTTTTGTAGTTCTGTAAGTTGCACTTGATTCTTTGTCATAGATATCAGTTCTCTGGCAAACTTTTTCACCTTGACTCTTATTTTCCTAAACGTATTAATCATAGTTACTTTAAAGTTTGTGTCTGATAAATCTAATAAATGATCACCTGCTCGTCTGTTTCTGTTGTCTAGTTTTTTTGGTTTGATCCTTACTCTTGGTATTATAAATTATAGAGTTTCTGGATGATTTTCAAAGATGATTTTCTTTAGTTTCCAGCATGCACTTATAGTAGAAGCAGATCACTTTAACCATACTAATATCGATGTTATTGGGAGAATTAGAATTTGGACTGTAGCTTTTGTAAGATCTGGTTACCACTTCACCCTTACTAATAGAGGGTAATTCTGCAGGAGTGTTTTCTGTATAGGAAACTCAGAAACTAAATTATAAATGGAGGGTTTCATGGAAATATTAAGGATTTCTAGGCTATGTGTTTTTAAGTATGCACTTATTTACCTAAGGATTATCCAAGGCCAATATTGAATTTGAAGTTGGACTCTCCCAGCCTCTGAAAGGCTTCTGAGAATTTCTCCCCTCCCACCAAGTTGCTTACATTTTCCGAATAGATATTAAGTCTAATATTAGACTCCAGAAACAAAATTGAGAAGGTAAAACTACAACCAAGGATGCTAAATAATAATGTAAATTTCTGGCATTAAATATGAATGATATATATATTATATGTGACACAGTACAACTGTGGACATAATTAAGAACATTCAAATTTTTACCATGTCAGGGTGAATTTTACAGAACTGCCATAATCATCGCCTCTCCTTTTTCACACACACTTGTGCTGCTGTTGAGGGATGGAGGGGCCTTATTCACCCAGAAATGCTCTAGGTGCCCTCCCAGTCATATGCGCCGCATCAAGGTTCTTGGGAATCAACAGGAAGTAAGTCATAGGAATCAATACAGGAGTCTGTATTGAAGTCTGAAACCTGGGTTCTAATCCTGGCTCTGCTTCTAATTATTTGGATAGTCTTGTTAATTCATTTAGCTTTTAAAAAAATACACTTTTAAAAATAGCAGCTTTAGTTCCACAGCAAAATTGAGATGAAGATACAGAGATTTTCCATATATTCCCTGGCCCCACACATGCACAGCCTCTCCTACTATCAACATCTCCACTAGAGTAGTACATTTGTCATAGTTAACCAACCTACATTGACACATCATAATCACCTAAACTCTGTAATTGACATTTGGGTTCACTATAGGTGTACATTCTGTGTGTTTGGTTATGTATACTGCCGTGTATCCAGCATTACAGTATATAGTGCAGTTTCCCTGCCCTAAAAATCCTTTGTGTTCTGCCTCTTCATCCCTCTCTCCCCTTCCCAAACTCTGGCAACCACTGGTCTTTTTTACTGTCTCCATAGTTTTGCCTATTTCAGAATGTCAAATCATTTAGCTTTAAAAAGTTTTGTAGGACTCAATATTTTCATCTATAAGTGAGGCCAATGATTTCCATCCTACCTTCCCCGGCTGGTAGTTGGTAGTACCAAGCATGAAATGTGAAAATGCTTCACAGTCAGTACAATTCTGTGTAAATACTGTTGCCACCACGATGCCATGATGTCACTGGTATTTCAGAGGAGGAGACATTTTTTTTTTCTAGTAGCTCTTTAAATGCTTGTACTCAGTTGTGTGAGAAAAGGAAATTTTCAGAAAAATTAGCCTGGTGGTTTGCCATTGGTTTGTTTCAAAGTTAGTAGTATTTGTTCTGTTATCCTTTAGTTTTTCTTTGAAACAAGTCCTGATCACTCGTTAATGATCTCTTGTAGTATTTTGGTGGCAAATTTACCTAGTTTTGTGGGGTTTGACTTAGAATAGCCTTTTGGTAGGCTCTCAAAACTGTTATGATTGCTTCCAAAGGCTACTCTCCCTACAGGACCTGATTCAAAACTCCCTGTGTGCTAATGGGACCTGACATCCACGTCACAGGAAGTCTCTCCTCCCCACTAGACAAACTCAATCATGTAGGTCAGAACTTCCTAATTTGAGTGGGCATCAGCATCACCTGGAGGGCCTGTTAAAACACTGATTGCTGGGCACCACCTAACTATTCCCATTTCAGTATGTCTGGGGTGCAGGTCCAAGAATTTGTGTTTCTAATGGGTTCCCTGCTGGTATTGATGCTGTTGGCTCACAACCTGGGGAGGGTTTCTTAAAGTGTTTCAAAGGACTGCCTTGTTCAGAAACTCCTGGAGCCAATGTGAAGCCTGGATTTCACTAGGGTTATAAATTTGGGGCTTGGAAGAAGATATTGTAGACATATGACATTAATGAAGTTCTCTGACCTATTTGAGTGGACAGTTTGACAGTTTCACATTGTGTGATCCAGGGAAGTCACACTGTGAGCTTAGTGACCTTGCCTCGTCACCACACCCCTAAGGTGGTGACACAGGACTGTTTGAGGCTGGAAGAGATCATGGACACGAGAGGCCCGTGTAAACATGGGGGTGCTTCTCCAGGACTGGGTGTTCCTGTTTCTAACAAATGTTATTATGGGACTGAAGGGGAGAGCCGAGTTCAGGGCCATCCACAGGGAACGCAGAGCTGTCAGTCACTTCCTTACAGAAACAGAACAATACACACTGTTTATTTCTCTTCAGTCTGTGGGATTTTTTTCAACATCGATTTTACACATCTGGTTCTGAGAAGAATCCATACTGTTACCATTCACCTGGCCACCCTAACTGTAACATTTCAGTGTTTGGGGAATTCTAACAACTGAAATCAATGGCTTTTTTGATCCAGCAGATTCTTCCATCTTCTTAATCTTGCTGCATCCCCCTCTCACTTGGCAGACTCTGCCTGAGCCCTCACACTGCTGCTTCCTTCACATCAGTGGACTTTCCAGCCTCTTCTCTTCACACTGGCCCTTTAAGAAGACATTTAAAGCAATTATTCAGTTCAGTTTCGTTATATTCTGCTCTCAGAGCTACTGTAATAGCGTACTTGAAAGAAGCTGGTTGTGTTGAATTTTGTGTTTGCTTTCCAGTTACCGGAATGGCACCTTCACCCCTTCTCATCTCTGCTCATTTTATTATTTACCTGAATGATTTTTCTGTTTCAAGAAAGCAAGTGGAACATGAAAGGCCAAATATTTCTGTCTGTTCAGTTCAAGAATTTTTCAGTCAATGGTCTACTGTTTTAAAGTATCATTGCAAAGAAAATTGAGACCATTAATCTTCTCTAAAACATCTTTTGTGTTCTAATAAACATATTTTTCCATTTCTTAGTACTTTACAATTCTGATTGCTTTTGATTATATATTTGTAGAGATATTTTTTTCTGAAAAGTAAAAAGCCGTTAAATATATTTATTTTCCTCTTTCTTAAGGAAGTCTCTGATATAGTCACACCCACACATGAATGAATGAACAATTGGGAATGACTGTCCCAGCTGGGACGCCACTGGAATTTTCTTACCTTTCCAATTTCCTTTCCTTGATAGTGCCCTTCCCACTCACCACTGTAGACCCAAAAGCTATTTGTGGAGCTTTCCCAACCAAGGGGAGACGAGCTCCTGCTTCCTGATCTAACTTTAATGCAGTCCAGGGCAAGATTTGATAAAGGGATGGAGGGGTAGTCAGCCTGATAGTAGCAAAGAAGAAGGAAAGAGGAGGTGGTCCGAAAGACCATTCAATGGTCTTTCCACTTACTGCTGCTTTGGTTCCAGCATCATCTTATTCTGAGCCTCTCCTATGTCTACTAAGTCCTCATTCTGGAAGCTCCTGCTCCAGCACTTACCATAATACAGGACACCTGGTGCTTTGTGTACTCACTGCAAAGAAACTGTTACTCCATTCATGGCCTATCAATGGTACCTAAGTAGTCTATATCTTTATAGCTTTAGATCACCATGGTGGTCTTCAGAAAGTTCATGGACCTACTGAAACAAACAAGGACTTGTTTGAATATTCATTTGTGTTTTCCTGGGAAGACAGTCCACAGCTTTCATCAGATTCTTATAGAGCCATATGACCCAAAGATATTTTAAAAGATGAAGAAGTAACTACTGATGTGGTAGTAGAAGGCCTGGAGACAGTGTGCAACAATAAATATTTATTGAGCACCTGCAATATGCCAGGTACTGTTCTAGACTCTTGATATATCTATGAACAACAACAAAAACCCCCTCCCAAATCCTTACTTCATGAAGTTTACGTTGCAGTGGGTAGAGAAAGACAACAAACCATATACACAATACTTCACACACAATATCGGAGAGTATAAGTGCCATAGGAAAATAAAGCAGAGTGAGGGGGATCAGGGATGAGGTGGGGGAGAACTGTGATTTCAGGGTAGACCTCATTGAGAAAGTGACATTTTAGTAAAATCCCGAAGAGGGAAGGAATCAGGTGGCCATATGAGGGAAGAATGTACCAGGCAGAGGGAACAGCTAGTACAATAACTTTAGGGTGGGAGCAAGCCTGGTGTGTTCAGAGTGGTGGGGTGGAGTGAGTGAGACAGAGGGGCAGGCAGTGAGTCAGAGGGTATGTGGAGTGGGTGCGTGGATGAATCCGGGTCTCATATGCCTCTGTGCGCGACTCTGGGAGCCCCTTGAAGAACTTTAAGCAGAGGAGAGATATGACCTGACTTAGGGTAGATTCGGATCACTCTGATGTGTTAAAAACAGACTAGGGGTTAAGGGCAGGAGCAGGGAGACTAGGCTGCTTTGCAGTCATCCCGGGAAGACAGGATGATACAGCATGGACAGAATGGTCACAGAGGAGTCCTGGGGGCTGGGTAGATTTTGAATATATTTGGAAGTAGATCCAACAAGTTTGCTGAGAGGTCAGATGTGAATTGTCAGAGAAAGAGAGAGCCAAGGATGACTCTAAGACTTTCGGCCTGAACAACTAAAAGGATGGAATTAATGGGAAAAACTAGGGATTTTAGGTCAGACAGGACATGGATCTCAGTTCTGCCATTTACTGGCTACATTGTGACCTGACTTATGGGCAAGTAACTTAACCTTTCTGAATCTCAATGTTTTATTTGCAAACTAGGGACAATCATTCCTATCTTGTAACAATGCTATGAGGAGTTAATGTGCTTGGGGTATGGTCCATTGAACAGATGCTAATCTCTTTCCACAATTTTCTTTTAGTGAATGAAGGAGGGAAGAAAGGAGAGACAGAGAAAATATGGGTGAGTAGTGTCTCCATCTGAGATTTTTTTCTCAGTAAGATCATGTCTTTTTGGCTCCATTGTCTAAATATGTTTTATGGTATCCGAGGATTTATCTTTCCATCAGCCCCATGTTTTCTCCTGCCAGGTTCCTGGGGATACTAACTTAGGGTTCAATTTATTATCTTTGACACGTTATTTTATTATTTATCTTAAAATATGTTTTTATAGTGAAGAAGAAATTCTCACCTGATACTATCCATTATCCATGCATACTGTTCACAAACAGGCATAGCCAATAAGTTTATTGGGCTTCATTGATGAGGCTATTGGTGTATTAAACATTTTATGTCAGGTAGAAATTCCTGTTGAGTTATTACATAGCCATTTAAGAATGTTTTACTGATATTTGGTATGATTAGTGAGGATTTTTTATGGGTTGGCATGATTATTATTTTTCTTGTTTAAGACACTGAAATATGGTCTACCACTATCTGATTACCAGTTACCAAACATGCTTGCAGGAGTAGCTAGATTTGGGATAACAAAGTATGCCAAGATTGGGAATTCAACAACTGAAGGAGGAGTGAGTATGAACTGATTGGGTTATAAGAATACATGCTTCTTCTTTGATTCAAAATCCCTCAATCCAAGGCATTTCAATGTTTCTGAAATTAGAGTATGTTTTATCACCTATATATATATATATTTAACATGATAACATTTCTGTTAGGGTTTTTGGTAGATTCCAGATTCCTTCTCTACCCCAATTCAAAACCAACTGAAAAATAAAACAAAAAATATTGCAGATAGAGAATAAATCTGCCAGTGTTATCAGCAATAGATTGGCTTAGTTTGAGTATTCTAAGCAGTAACAATTTCCTAGGTTCTTAGGTTGATGCCTCCTACTGATCTGGATGGAGAAAAAAGCAGAATGAAATTTAATCTTCCCTGCTTGGGACTTGGCTTAATTTGCTTTACTAAATTGAGATTTGTTGTCCACTGGCTCCAGTCTCCCAACTGGCTAGCTAACTCCACCTCCAGGGTGTGAAAGGAGAGGCTGGTCCCAATCCAGGAGTATTGAATTTTTCCTCGCTAGTGTTATAGGTGCCACAGAGTCACTCTGAGTCCTTAAGAGAATGTGATGGCACCTCCCCTTTGATAGGGATGTGGCTTAGTGTCTCCTGGAGGCCCTGAGGTTAGCCAATTTTTTTATGGTAGGGGGGATGGTTAGGTAGGGGCTTTGTTTTCTAGGAAAGGGAATGTGATTCCTAATATTTTATGTTTTGAGTATCTGAAAAGAGATATTGTCTGTAAAGAGGCTCTGGAAGAGAAGATGGGAATGAATGAGTACTAGATTTTTCCTTTCTGCTTTTGGAAATCTAGGCTCAGTGCCAAGACATACTTACTAGGAGATGAAACATATCTCCAGTGGTATAATTATTTAGCACATGACACTTATAAGGAGATCATAGGAACCTGTATGCATATAGTCTGGGGGAGGGATCTGTGGTTAAAAGGGTAGGTAGGGGAAAATGTAAAGATATATGCATAGTTTAGCATTTACTTATTTATTTATTAATTTTTACTTTATTTTCAGGAGTACATGTGCAGGTTTGTTATATAGGTAAATTGTGTGTCATGGGGATTTGGTGTACAAAATATTTTATCACCAGGGTAATAAACATAATATCTGATAAGTAGTTTTTCAATCCTCACCCCACTCTCACCCTTTACCATTAAGTAGGCCCTGGTGTCTGTGTACTCAATGTTTAGATCCCACTTATAAGGAACAATATGAGGTGTTTAGTTTTCTGTTCCTGCGTTAGTTCACTTAGAAAAATGGCCTCCAGCTCCATCCATGTTGCTGCAAAAGACATGATCTCATTCTTTTTCATGGCTGTGTAGCATTCCATGGCATATATGTACCACATTTTCTTTACCCAGTCTACCATTGATGGGTATCTATGTCGATTTTATGTCTTTGCTATTGTGAATAGTGTGGTGATGAACATATGGGTGTATGTGTCTTTATGGTAAAATGATCTATATTTCTTTGGGTATATATCCAATAATGGGATTTCTGGATTGAATGGTAGTTCTATTTTAAGTTATTTGAGAAATTACCAAACTGCTTTCCACAGTGGCTGAACTAACTTACATTCCCACCAGCTGTGTATGAGCATTCCCTTTTTTCTACAACCTCACCAGCATCTGTTATTTTTTGACTTATTAAAAATAGCCATCCTGACTGGTATGAGATGGTATCTCATTGTGGTTTTAATTTGCATTTCTCTGATGGTTAGTGATGTTGAACATTTTTTCATATGCTTGTTGGCTGCATGTGTGTCTTCTTTTGGAAAATGTCTTTTTATGTCCTTTGTCCACTTTTTAATGGTGCTGTTTGTTTTTTGCTTAATTTGTTTACATTCTTTATGGATTCTGGATATTAGACCTTTGCCAGATGCATATATGCAAATACTCCCTCACATTCTGTGAGAGATATTTCTCCCCTCTGAGAGATATTTCTTTCATTCTGTCTGTTTACTCTGTTGATAGTTTCTTTTGCTGTGTGGAAGCTCTTTAGTTTAATTAGGTTTCATTCGTTAGTTTTTGTTTTTGTTGCAATTGCTTTTATTGTCTTCTTCATGAAATCGTTGCCAGTGCCTATGTCCAGGATGGTATTTCCTAGGTTATGTTCCAGGGTTTTTATAGTTTTAGGTTTTACATTCATGTCTTTAACCCATCTTAAGTTGATTTTTATATATGGTGTAAGGGAAGAGTCCAGTTTCAATCTTCTGCATGTGGCTAGCCAGTTATCCCAGCACCATTTATTGAATAGGGAATCTTTCCCATTGCTTATTTTTGTTAACATTGTTGAAGATCAGATGGCTGTAGGAGTGCAGCATTGTTTCTGGGCTCTCTATTCTGTTCCATTGGTCTATGTGTCTATTTTTGTACCAGTACCATGCTGTTTTGGTTACAGTAGTTTTGTAGTATAGTTTGAGGTTGGGTGATGTGATGCCTCCAGCTTTGTTCATTTTCCTTAGGATTGCCTTGAGTATTTAGGCTCTTTTTTGGTTCCATATGAATTTTAAAATAGTATTTTCTAATTCTGTGAAGGATGTCTTTGGTAGTTTGATAGAAATAGCATTGAATCTGTAGATTGCTTTGGGAAATATGGCCATTTTAACAATATTGATTATTTCTATCCATAAGCATAGAATTTTTTTTTTAATTTGTGTCATCTGTGATTTCTTTGAGCAGTGTTTTGTAATTCTCATTGTAGAGCTCTTCACCTCTCTGGTTAGCTGTATTCCTAGGTATTTTGTTCTTTTTGTGGCTATTGTGAATGAGATTGTGTTCTCGATGTGGCTCTCAGCTTGGATGTTGTTGGTGCATAGAAGTGCAACTGATTTTTCTACATTGATTTTGTATCCTAAAACCTTGCGGAAGTTGTTTATCAGATCTAGGAGCTTTTGAGCAGAGTCTATCGGGTTTTCTAGGTATAATTTTTTTTTTTTTGCATTCAAAATACAGTTGTGAACAGATACGGCTTGATTATTTTTACTCCTTTTTAAAACAGGAAAAAAATTCAAGCAGTACAAAAGAGAATAAAAATATCTGCCTTCAAGCTCTTTCTCTGAAAGTTCCCCTCTCAGGTGGAATCACTATTACCTTTAATCACTGTTAGGTTTTTGTGAATCCTTCCAGAGATATTTGTGCATAACAAATATTTTGTTTGTTTTACACAAAAGGATAAGTGTTAAAGATGCTTCTAGAATAATACATTGGGTGGTCCTTATTAACCTTATAAGCATTTATGATACATGACCTCAATATAAGCTCCCCATGTGGTACTTGATGATAAGAAAAAAACTTTTTATTACGGATACAGTTACAAAACTTAAAATCTGCTAAAGAGAAAATAATTTAAGAATAATGGATATTGAAAGGGCCATCACTTGTACCAGTGTGTTTTGAAGCACATATTTTACATTTGTTTTTCCTACAGTGTCTCTGTGATATGCTTTCCTGGTTACCAGGTAATAGACAAAATGAGAATAAAACTCCCTGGAGAACTGAAATGGAATTGTGTGTTATTGCAGATTTTCTCCACAGATGGCATTCATTGTCACCAGTTTCCTTAGGGCAATTTGGAAACTCAGAGGCCCTGAATATAAGAGATAATATATATTTACTGGGTAGCTGGTACTTTCCTCTAAGTATGTCTTTATCTACTTATAATTATGGTATACTGTCTTCTAAAAACTGAATTTGGAAGGTAAATGATAGAGTTAATTTATTAGAAATATGCAACAAATGTATAAATGTATAAATTCTGGCAGGAGTGCTGTGAGAAAGAGGTATAAAGACAGTGATATTTTTGAAAAATGAGACCTTGTTCTTAAGAGCAAGTCAAAACACAAGTCTCACAACTCTACATTCCGTATTTTTTGGTTAAAAAAATTTCCCAACCATAACAACAAAAAGCAGGTAGGAGCTGGGTGCAGTGGCTCATGCCTGTAATCCTAGCACTTTGGGAGGCTGAGGTGGGGAGATCACGAGGTCAGGAGATAGAGACCATCCTGGCTAACACTGTGAAACCCCGTCTCTGCTAAAAAATACAAAAAAAAAATTAGCCGGGCATGGTGGTGGGCACCTGTAGTCCCAGCTACTCAGGAGGCTGAGGCAGGAGAATGGCGTGAACCCAGGAGGCGGAGCTTGCAGTGAGCTGAGATCATGCCACTGCACTCCAGCCTGGGCGACAGAGCGAGACTCCATCTCAACAACGACAAAAAAGCAGGTAGGAGTGGGGAAGTCGCTTGGAGAAATGGAAAATGCTCTGCAGTAGAAATAGACTTGAATTGTTTTCCCAGCTTTCCTTGCACATGTACATCCTTGATCTTGACCAGTTTTTCAATCTCTTCAGGTGTCAGCTTTTCTTTATTTGTCAGGCTGAGTAGTAATCTCTCATGTTCTTTCAAAATCCAACATTCTATCATCTTAGGAAGGAACTTCAAATAATTCATTCTCTCTTCATCTCAATAAAAACTGCATTTGACATTGAGATTCTTGTTCGATAATCTATTAGGTCAAGATTGTTAATTGTATTCTTCAAATCCTTCATATTCCTTATATCCCTTCTAATTTAATGTCTGCTTGTTCTATCAACTATTGATAGAGGTGTGTTAAAATCTCTCACTATGATTGTAGGTTTTTCCACTTCTCTTTTCAGTTCTTTGTACGTATTTAAGCTAGGTTGTTAAGTTTATGCAAATGTTCAATTGTTTAATCTTCTTGGTGAATTAAAACTTTATATATGAAATGTGTCTCCTCACCTCCAGTAATGACTTTTGCGTTAAAGTCTGCTGAACTGACTGATTTGGGGATATATTAATGTATAAGATATATCAATTTTGGGGCTCACATTTTTGCATGGCATTTATTTTTTCATACTTGTACTTTCATTGTTTCTATATTCTTATGTATAAGATGTGCCTTTGTAAGTAGTTTATGTTTTTGTCCATTTCTGCTTCTATAACAAAATATCTCACACTGGGCAACTTAGAGAGAACAGAAATTTATTTTCTTATGATACTGGAGGCTGGAAAGTCGAAGGTCAAGGCACCGGTAGATTTATTTCTGGTTAGGGCTGCTTTCTGCTTCCAAGAAAGCACATAGTGGAATTGGCAAATGGTGTGTCCTCATGTGACAGAATCAAAAAGGCAAAAGGGGCCACTTAGTTTCCTCAAGTCCTTTTATATGGATACTAATCCCATTCATGAGGGGAAAGCCTACATGAGTTAATCACACTCTAAAAGCCTCACCTTCTAATAGTATCACATTGGATCTTACGTTCCAACATGTGAATTTGGAGGGACACGTATATTCAAAACATAACAGCTTATGTTTGTGTGTTTTTGGAAGTCTGCTCTGACGTTTTTTAATTGAATGATTTAGTTCATTTACATTTATTCTAATTAGAGGTCTAATTAAGTTTCTATCTTACTATGTGTTTTCTATTTGTATCATGTACTAAGTACTATATATACTAAGCTAGTGTTAATTCTTTTTTTGTGCCTCTTTTTTATTGAGTATTTTAAATTATTTTTACCTTTATTATATTAGTAGTTATACATACTTTTACTCCCCTTTAATGTTAAATGTAGCTATTATAACATGCAACTTTGATTTACTAAAGTCTAATATAAGTTTTGCTTTTACCACTTTCTTGGCAATGCAAGGATCTTAGTATATTTTAACTCCATTAAACCTTCTTTCAACTTACCATTTTCATTGTTATGGTTTATGTTTTATACCTCTGCACTTCAATCTGGGACCTTTTATTAGCCTAAAGAATACATTTCAGTATTTCTATTTTTAAAAGTTTGCTGGTGGTGACTCAATTTTGTCTGTCAAAATCTCATTTTTCACTTTAATTCTTAAAGGATAGTTTGCTGACTATAGACCTCTAGACTGGTCGTCAATTTTCTCAATTTCCACAAAGTTTGGACAAAAAGTAGCTGGTTTAAGTTGTAACAGGAAAGTTAAGGAAAGGTTCTTGTTATAGAAATTATTGACCATGATGCAGAATGTCTTACATCATATTCTACAGACTTTTAGTTCCATGAGCTTCCCTAAGAAAAAAAGGACTCCATAACCTCATAATCTCATGGAAACATGCAACCTCTGTCTCACTTGTTGGAATTCACTGTGCATTTTAGACCTTGAAGAGGCTGCTGTTATGAAATCCATTTAACTTTGTTATTCAGCATTCCACAAAAATATTTGATTAGGAAGCTATTGTTCTGGGTAAACACTAATAAATATTTCAAGCATCTGGTGATATAAACTGTGCATTTTGGGAATGCTTCTTTAAGGGCTTAAGGACTCTACAGCTCTGGGGTGCAAATAAGAATTCCTTACTGTGTGAGGGTTTTGTTGTTGTTGTTGTTTGTTTGTTTGTTTGTTTTTAAAGTTTAAGCTATTCTTTGTCATCTGAATACTTTAAAATCTGTTGTTCCAGTTTCTGGCTATGGATAAAGTCTTCCATGGAATTCAGTTTCATGATTGCTGTCACAAGATAGCATGACTAGTAAATACAACCAGTTCTGATGCAACTAGGTAAAGCCCTTATAAATTCAGATTTGCATTCACTTAAAGACATTCATAATCTGTGCAGAGAGGGGCATCTTGATAACCCTCATGTCACATTTTTTTGTAAAATAAATAAACAGGAAATTATATTTACTGTACTGTGAGGACTTCATTAATTCAGGAAGGGCATGGGGGAGACAGTAAATCAACTTTATCTAAAAATCTGGTGGGATTTATTTATAAAACAATATATTGCTTCCTGAATTTTTTTTTTTTTTTTTGCTCAGACACCTGTGACCCTTTCATTTAAGTCTTCATGCAAAATGGGACATTTTCCTATCATCTTGCTCTGCTTCCCTTTCTGTCTTCAAGCCCAGCTGGCAGTAAGGTCTGATACTAGAAATTACCACTAAAAACACCCCAAACCTGTTGTATCCATCAGATCCTATAGAGAAAGCAGAGAATCTCAGACTAGATGTACATGGACAGTGTTGCTGGTGACCTTGAGTGATTAGAGGATCTAAGAAATGGCTTTAGGCACCTCAACCAACAAAAGAGCTGCCTCATATGTCAAAATGTGCCAGTGTGGCAGCCAGTAGCTTCCAGGCTCTCTTCTTTCCTTGAGAATTTTCAAGGAACTCAGGAAGCAAGCCCTTGTTGCAATCCCCTTCTTATCTTTAATGCTGCACACATACAGCTCTGACACGCATTATATTATTAGTTCCTACTTTCTCAATTTTAATTAAAAACAGAAATGAACTATTTTAATCTACCGTTTTTAAGAGTCAGCATTATTGCATGTGATTATCCACTGAAATGGGGTTGGCACAGAAAAATAATGATATTTAAAATATTATCTCTACTGTTTTAGCTTGCTCTCCCAGCAAATCTTAATTTACTCCAAAAATCTCTTTACATGTGATCCTAAATAAATAGGCATTTATCTAGTAGATCAGGAATCTAGATGTTAACCTTTCAAGTGTTATTTGAGCTGTCTTCTGTCATCATAAACCTTAAAATCTTTTGGCATTTACAACTGTACAGTTTTTTTAAAATCCCACATACAAATAAGATAGTTTATAAGTAGAGTGGTTATCAGGCTCTGTGTTTTGCCCAGGAGAGTCCTAGTTTATCCCTACTGTCCTAGGCCAAACATGAATAGTAACCTCTTTCACTTTCAGAAGTGTCTTGGTATGGAGAATAAGTTATATGGTTACCCTGTTTAAAATACGATTTAATCCAATTATAGGAATTATTATGAAACAAAGAATTAGTCATTTTGGTACTTAAGGAAAATGGTTGTTTTTGATTCATCCATAAACACTTTCAACTAAGTCCATGGTTCTGATTGCACATCAGAATCACATTTATACCACTCATAGACCAATTGCATACAAATCTCTGGGGGTGGGGAACAGGCATCAGTTTTTTAAAAAGCGTCACAGAGAATTCCAATATGCAGTTAAAATTAAGAACCACTGGATTATATAGCTTGTACATTTAAACTGGCTTTTTGGGGGGATTATTCAAAGATGTTTTAAATAATTTTTTTTAGACAGCATGCCTATCTAATTTTCTAATTAATTAAATTAGAAACTTGTTAAGTATGTACAATAGACCAAATCAATAAATGCTTTTGAAGCAACTACTGTAAGTAATTGACCAAATGCCTTAGTGGCCAATTTCATCACAAAGATCATTCTAAAAATTTAGCTATTTTTGGTTTCTTGGTTTTTTGCTAACTTTCTGCTAATAGTTAAATAAACATTTAGTGGTGAATGTGTATGTTGGAACTCTGCTTATAAATGGTTGATGCAGTTTCTCGGTTAATATAGATAAAAGGCAATTCCACAGATGAATATTGTCTTGAGAATTGTTAAAGTAACTCATAGGAAATTCAGGGATATCTGGTGCTTCAGAAGATTCTGTAGAGAAATAAACAGTGATGCATCAAACATCTTAGTCCATTTGGGGATGCTATAATAAAGAACCTTAGACTGGGTAATTTATAAAGAACAGAAATTTATTGCTTAAAGTACTGGAGACTGAGAAGTCCAAAATCAAGGCATTGATTCTGTGTCTGGCAAGGGCTTGCTCTCTGCTTTAAAGATGGTACCTTCTTGCTTCATTCTCATGTAGCAAAAGGCGCAAAGGTAGAGCCCTCATGACCTGATACCCACAAAAGGCTCCAACTTTTAATACTATCACATTGAATATTAGGTTCTGACATATGAATTTGGGGAAGACACCAACATTTATAGTGTAACACTGAACATTCATCATAGTGTAAGATTTGTTAGCCCATAGGAATGGGAGCTACAAAATTACAAAGGGTTTAGGGGTGTCTTACTGTGGGGGACAAACAATAGCACGAAAACTTTCATCTAGATATTTCCTAAAAGGTACCAAGAAAAGACAGGTCCTCAGGATGGACCTTGCAGTGAGTTAAAGAAATTCTGTGCTTCTAGTCGCCATACAAACTTGTTACATTCTTCAGAAGAAAGGGAGAGTCTTCAATATTAAGTTTTTACTGTTTAAAATAACTCTTTACTATTTAAAAATGATTTTGTTAAGCTTATGATTAATTCATAGCCCCTGTAAGTCACTACTTTTATTCTGGATGTGTTTAACATATTAGGGCTTCATTTTATTTTGATTTAAAGACTGACATCTTCTCTTTACTCTACTCAATTATTATACTTTGAAGAAACTGACACATTACACGAAGTTCTCCATAAAGAAGTCAAGGTCGGTTTGTTCTACAATTTTTTTAGAGTAGATGATGTTCTATAATAAAATTTCCTCTGAGATCTTAAGGTGAAAGTGTTGAGCTATATTAAGATTACATGACTTCAAAAAGACACAGAGTAAGCATTTGAAAGATCTCAAAACTGAAGATAATGTACCATATGTTAGAAGGAATTTATCTCAATTCAAATATGCTTTTAAAAATATAGAAATTAATTTCTTTGAAGAATTTGTTTTAGCAAAAGATGCTTTTGGAAGATCAGTTTCACCCAAAGAATATATGAATAAGCTGATTTTAGCCTATTTCACTTGTGACCTGTTATTCATATAATCAAATACATAGGCCTAAGGATGACTTACTGGGCCCTGAGATTTTGAAAATGAATGTGTTGAAAAATAAAAAAAAATTCTAGGACAGTGGTTCTCAAAGTGTGGTTGCTGGGCCAGCAGCATTGGGATTACCTGGGAACTTATTACAAATGCAAATTCTTGATCCTCAACCAAGACCTCCTCAGTCATATCTCTGGTATTGTGCCTAGCAATCTCTTTTAATGAGGCTCTAGGTGATCCTGACGCATCCTAAAATTTTAGATTTCTAGGGATTGAACTGTGAGGTTAGTGAGATAAGGAGGAAATTATTTGGTAAAGCTAGATGATGTGGAATCTTGACTAGTTTTACTGTGTCTCTTTAAGAATTCATTTGTAGAATGCATTTTAAAGACTGTATGTGCCCATGGATGGTTATAATTGCTTATTGTTATTGAACAATGGGATAATTTTTATGAGCAAATTTACATGTAACTTATGTGCATCTGCTTCATCTTGCTTAATTTCTTTCTTATTTCTCTCAATGAATAAATGCAGTTTACATTTTAACAATAAATATCTAGCCAACAGCTGATCCTTTGAATATCTCTTTTGCTTCTATTTAAGTTATATGGATATTTATAAGTTTTTTTAATATAAAGTTTTATTGAATAGCTCATTTCTTAGATAAACCCTCACTACACTGAGCAGTAGTTTTCTGTGATTTTTTTTTTTACTTCTAATATGAGATTTTCCTAGATACATAATAAATTTACATAAACATACATGTATATTTTATGTAAATATACTTTAAAAATATACAGTGTCTAGCACATAGGAAGCATATCACCCAACAAAACAGACAAAGCTCTTGCCCCTATGGCCTTACTTTCTAGCAAATATCACATAATATAAATCAAATTTAAAAGTGAAAGTCATAAGAAATACTTAAACTGATGACCTTTATTTTATTGTGATAGACCCTCGTAGTACAGTTTCCATGTGTCATCTGGAATTATTTATCTATTAGTTATAAAGGTGACATTGTCAATAATCTATCTTTGAGGATCTATCTGAATCTCTTATCTGAGTTCCTACCTGTAGTCTTTGGCCCCATGTATCCAGTAACTGTCCTCTGCTTCTTTGATCAGTATTTTTAACTATAAGTTCAGCAATGGTAGACTCAAAAGGATTCAAATAATTTACAATAGAAATGCCATCTGAGTGCAGCCATTTTTGTCTAGGGCTTTTCTGTGATTTATGTGTCAGGACCAGGGAGAAGAAATGATTAATAAATATGTAGATGCTTAGGGAGATGAAGAGAAGATCTACAGCACTTAATAACTTAATCTTCTCAAGGATGGGCTCTTTGTCCATATAGAAATTGTGATTTTTGTGGCCTTTAAAATTCCTGCTTTCACATTATGAAAGTGATAACGTGATTTTGTTTTCAAAGAATACTCACTGCCTATCCTGGAGTTTCATGTGATTGTTCATCTGCATATGGTGGATCTAGTGAGCACCTGTGGTCTTTTTGAGTCCCCAAGGCCCCATCCCACCTGTGTCTTTTCAAGCACCCCCTTGAATATTTCAAAGGAAATCCACCATTAATTGCAGGATATGGAGAAATTCTTCCATTATTACTGTATTTGAAATTATTGTTTTACTCAATTCCAAATACTTTGGTTACATTCTCCCTCCCCCATAATCCTAGCATTATGAATATTTCTTATGCACACTACTTTTGATCAGTGTATTCATGGTATATAATTGTCTTCAGGGAAGTTGAACAGAGACCCTTGTGGGTGAAGACTGTACAGAGATACCCATATGGGTGAGGACTGTACAGTCTTTTTGTACAGAGACTGTACAGAGATGATCTATACAATAGTGAGTATGGGGTGAAGAGCCCTTTTGACAAAGGTAGCACCTGAGCCAGCCTGGATGGAGGATAGTGGCTGGGAAAAAATTTCCTTAACTGGAATGTTCCAAAGTAAAGGGAATTGTTTTCCAGCAATATAGTCCATAAGAAAGGGAAAACTGGATTAACTTGTCCAGCTTGAGCCCTTTGAGAGCCTTAAGTCCTTGGGACAAGCAGGAAGCTAGTCCTAAACAGTGCCTCAAACCAGGTAGGCAGGAGAGTCTCCTTCCACAGGTTTTTACTTAGATAACCCAACAAAGTGAACTATAAGAACCACAGGAGTTAAGTACTCAATTCATTTTCCAGCTGGATGTGTACCTGGGGGAAAGAGGCTCTCAATGACCCAGTGCAAGTGGCAAGTCTATATTTTTGTATTTTACTTAAACTCTTCTATATTATCATTTGGGTGTGGATTTGTATAAGTATCACCTTACTAATGAGGATTTTGAAATTTCACTGATGGAAATTCCTTTTGGTAGCAGAGTTCCTAAACCAGTAGATTTGGCTTTTTCCCATGTCAGCTGGATTCCAAGGTAGGGAGCTACTCTTGGGCAGACCCATTTCCCACTCCTGTTCCCGGGTCCTTGTGTAGCCTTGGATAAGAAGCTGGCTAAGGATGGGTGAGGACAACATAGAGTTAATAATTCATGGACACCTAGTGTCTGCATTCGGGAATAGATGGGAGAATGGATGCCTTTCTTCAGCTCCCTCAGTTCCTTGGGATGACAGGTGGTTGGCTGTTAGGCCCTTTGCTGGCAACTTCTTTCTAATCATATGTACTTTCTACTCCATCCTCCTGCTGACATTTTCACCTGCCTGCAGAAACCACAATTAAGGATTTTATAATATTTTGTAGTTATAAGAGGATGAGATTCTTTACAACTTGCCTATTGTTTAATTTTTCAGAAATCCAACCTTTGACCACCTTCTTTGTAACATACATATAAACCTATAGGATGGCCTATATAATAGTATGTATATGTTTAACATCACACAAGATAGCTTCAAGGGGGACTGAGATTCATTTTATATTGATACAATCTGTAAGAGAACTATTTTACAATTACTTGCTTAATAGGAAAAAATCTGTAAATAAGGAAATAATTTTAATTTTGGTTCTGAAATGTAAACAAAGTTTCTGTGAGTTGTATGCAGTTGTAACAGGATTCTGAGTATTGCAGAGTTGTAGGATACCTTTAGAGCTAGAAGTAAACTCAGAGATCACCTAAGCCAATCATCTCATTTTTCGTAATATAAATTTTGGCTGTGATTAATATCTTTCTAAATACCGGTAAGAAAACAAACCCAAAATGAACATATGGCTCATAAGTTCAATCGTATAATTTCTCTGAAATATTCACCTGTTAGAGTAAATTGAACACTGAGTAGTATTTAGTATTTATCATATATTCTATAATGTTAGCTATTTTAAAGTATGTCCTTTAATCCTTCCTGAACAAAGTGTTGTTTTTTCTTTGTTTTTTTTTGTTTTTTTTTTTTTAAAAGATAGGATCTTTCTCTCTACATTCATGCTGGAGTGCAGTGGCCTGGTCATAACTCTCTGTGTCCTTGAACTCCTGGGCTCAAGTGTTCCTCCCACCTCCATCTCCTGAGCAGCTGGGACTACAGGGGTGCAACACCTTGCCTGGCTATATTTATTATTATTTACATTTTTTTGGTAGAGACAGAGTCTCACAATGTTGCCCATGCTGGTCTTGAATTCTTGGCCTCAAGCAATCCTCCTGCCTTGGTCTCCAAAAATGCTGGGATTACAGGTGTGAGCCATTGCACCCAGCCCAAACCAAATTATTTATTTATTTATTATTTTTTTTTTGAGACGGAGTCTCTCTCTGTCGCCCAGGCTGGAGTGCAGTGGCGCGATCTCGGCTCACTGCAAGCTCTGCCTCCCGGGTTCACGCCATTCTCCTGCCTCAGCCTCCCAAGTAGCTGGGACTACAGGCGCCCGCCACTACGCCCGGCTAATTTTTTATATTTTTAGTAGAGATGGGGTTTCACCGTGTTAGCCAGGATGGTCTCGATCTGCTGACCTCGTGATCCACCCACCTCGGCCTCCCAAAGTGCTGGGATCCTGGCCCAAACCAAATTTTATTATCTCAGTTTTACAGTCTAATCTCTGAGCTGTACTCATTTAGATATGTTTGGAAACAACTTACTCTGGTTTACAAGGTACACAACTAGAAATATAGGCAATCCCTACATGTAAAAAGTCATAATCCAAAACTATTTGAATTCAGAAAGCAATTCCTTATGGGAACAATGTTAGAAGTGTCGGTTAAATTCCCAGTTTAGCCTCCAAAATTCCAAATTTTTCCACTTGTATCTAGTTGCAGTTCTGCGCATTTACGGCAGATTTAGAAAGCAACCTGTTGCCATCCAAATACTTAGTGAGAGATTATTTGTTTTAAATTTTGGTGCCTGAGTAAATTTGGGGATGATGAGGCAGTAGAGGGTAATGTCTGCTGAAACTTCTGTTGTTAGAATTTCTTTGTGTCTTTTATCTCATAGCTTTTCTTTTCTTTGATGCAAATGTGTAATTGGTATACTTTTCTTATGCTTATTTGCTATAATTAGGCTGGTGTGTTTATTTTTCTCAAATTGAACAGAGAATGTAGGAAGAGAAAGATAAATTTATATGAGATAAAAGGGCAAGAATTAGAAAAGAGTTAGGAAAGGAAATGTAAAAAGGTTGCTGCCTGAGATAATTTGAAGGGGAGAAGTGTTTAGAGGAGAGTGGATTATTTGTCTTTGAAGAAGAGTCAAGGAAGTGGTGAGGGGAGAGACATGGTCTTTAACACATTTGTAAACTAACCACCAGGTGGTGCCATCATCTAAGGACAGCTTAGTTGCTTTTCAGGATGTGCTGAAAGCTTGCTGTGGGTGCAAAAGTTACACAGAGTGGAAAGAGTGAGGCAGGGACCTTACAGCTTCCTGTTCATATGTAAGTTGTGAAAACCCTATAAGAAGAAGCCTAGTCAGTGTTTATTAAATTAGTGAGTGATGACTTATCAGCAAGTATTAATATTTTACCAAATTCAATTAAAAATGTTTTTAAAATTTCTTTAAATTTTTGTTCTTCTCTTTAAAAGAGGCTTCACTGTTTTAGTTATCAATATATAAGTAAAATTAAAAATTTGTAGTCTCTGTAATTGTTTTCATAGAATTGTTATTTTTATGTGACTTTCTGCACAGCTTTTAAAAAGTGGCTTCATATCTAGAGAATCCTTTCGTGAAAGTTTGGGACACCATGCAAAAAGAACAGAAAAGAAAACTGGGGAAAGATTAGTGATCACAAGGTGAAGGGAACACAAATTTTGAGACTCAATCAGACTCAATCAAATTTTGAGAAACACCAGTTTTTTTAGGGACGAAATAGATATAGTTAAAAATGTGATTGTTGGTGGTAACATTTGCACTTAAAACTACTGAGACTTGGGAAAAACGTGAGATGTTTACAAACTAATATGAGGCAAATGGGGATTTTCCCAAAGTGAAACAGAAGACTGGATAGATCTTGACTATCCATTCTATCCTATTTTAAATGGAAAAATAAAAGTACTTGTTTGGTAATCTCTAAAAGTTTTTATTAGAATATTTAGAATGTATATGCCTATTTTTACTGTAATTGGTGTGAGACCATATGAAAATAAGATATAGAGATAAAATAATTTATTTTTGTTAGTAATTTTGTGATGTGGAGTTTAAATTTGGGGAATGTTAATTTTCTAGCATTAATCTAACACTGAATCTGTTTTTCAAGTCAATAGGTAAATAGCAATTATACTTAGAAAATGATAACAAAGAACTTTCAACAAAGGAAATAAAAAGCTTTGTTAGCATGAAGAACTAAGTTTGTAGTTACTTGCCCAGACAAAGGATGAACCCTCATTTAGGTTTCTATTGATTGCAGAGTAGCCCATCAATAAAAGAAGCTTTTCTAAGGAAGATAATATGACAGCAGGAAAAACATAATTTTGCGCCTCTAACCTCAAACTCCATCCACATTAGTGGCAGTTCTTTAAAAAAAAAAAGCAACCCCAGGTATTCCCATTGCTTTGCAACTAGTGTATTTCTTAAGAGTATTATGAGGAAGAAAAATGCCTCTGGGAAATGAGAAAGCTACGTGGTGTCCAAACTTGAACTTTCTGCTAGATCTCATGCCCATATTTGCCTTTGCCTACTGGGTGTCTTCACTTGGAATTTGCACATGCATCTTTGAATTGTTATGTCTGAGACATTTCTTATCACCAAGGAGTTTTCCAGCGGATATTCTGATTATAATGATTTATTTTTTAGTTTCTTGTTTGGATTGTGCTCTGTACACTTCCTCCTTCTTCTTTAAACTATCGCCTACCCCATCCCCACCTCCCCCCAGCCCACCTTGGGTTGCCATGTCTGGGTTTACATGATCCTGTGCTATGCTCTATTTCTGCCATTACAGCTCTTATCACACCATTTGCTTGTTAATATCGCCCACTGGAATGTAAGCTGTGTGATAGGGGGCCAAATTTACTTTATCAATTGCTGCATCATTAGCAACTACCCATGCCTGGTATATGTTAAATCAATAATATTTGTTGAATAAAACAGACCAAAAACTTCATATTTTTGGCAAAGAATTGGCATAAACAGCACAGGAGATACAAAAGGCGGATGGGATTAATCTTGCTGCACCACCAGCCCCTCACTGCCAATAGAGGAGAATGAGGGTGGGTTGGGTGGAGGCAGATGAAGAGTGAGAGGTGGGAGGTGATGGTGGTAGTGGAGACAGATGACACAGAAAATCAGCTTCTTCCTGGTGAGTAATGGAGCTTTCCCCGACAACCTCCCCCCACCCCTTTCTCTTCCTATTCTCTCTAGTTCTAATTATCACCAGCTGGAGCCACTTAATCCTAACAGTTTACATGTTACTAAAGCATCTGTGAGAATGCAGTGCAGGCTTCAGCTAGCACCAAAACAATTTTTTTTTCTGATTTCGCTTGCTATACCTTTACCTCTTAGAATTTATTAATCTGAGGGATGGGAAAAACGACACAAATTACATTATTTATTAGAGATACGAGTCTGTCTCCTTGTGGCACATCCCCGAAACTGGTCTCATCTGGGCTCATCCTGAATTGCATTTAATGCAGCATCACTATTTAATTTATGGATTTAAGTTCCAAAAAGTTAAGGACAAAAATAAATGTGCATCAAGGACAAAAACAAATGTGCAACAACAAAAAAATATGCATCAAGATGCCTGTCTATCCATTCTCCTGAAAGAAACCAAAAGCGGGCTTATGAGGACCAAATTCATGTGAAAAAGCCATTTCGTGAATTAGGGAGATAGTGTTCAACTTGTAGATTTTGACATTTGGATATTTAAGACTTTGGAAGACATTGGAAATTAGTTGATTTGCCCATCATCTTTGAACACATAGAACTACTTTTGTGCCTACTCAGCCCTTCCTCTCCCTGGAGTGCCTCCTCGACATGCTTTGCCTGGGTATCTTCTGTGTGAACTGTGAGACTTATCTCAGCAATCACTTGAGCAGTCTATCCCTGCTGTCTGCAGACATTTCTTTAGCACTGTGACCACTGCTGTTCCCCCAACACTCCCATGCTCTGTTTTCATGGCAACATATGTCTCTTCAACCAGTTCTCCTCAGAAACTCTGGAATCTTTCAGAAAACAGTCTGAGAAATTCTCTCTACTTGATGAGTCAGGCAGTGCTGACCCTTCTCACAGAATTTATCATCAATGCCCAAAGAGAGTAGAGCTTGACTCGCTTCCTTCTGTTCTATGCATTCTAGTTCCCTTTTAAATGTTGCACTAGCCCCAGCCTCAGCCGCAGCCCTCTTTAGTATTAAGATGGTGTCTATTGGCCAGGTGCAGTGGCTCATGCCTGTAATCCCAGGGCTTTGAGAGGCCCAAGGGGGGACTTGAGGCCAGGAGTTTGAGACCAGCCTAGCCAACATGGCAAAACCACATCTCTACCAAAAATACAACAAAATTAGCTGGGCGTACTGGCACACGACAATAGTCTCAGCTGCTCAGGAGGCTGAGGCATGAGAATCATTTGAACCCAGGAGGCGGAGGTTGCAGTGAGCTGAGATCCCACCACTGCACTCCGGCCTGGGTGACAAAGCTAGATTCCATCTCCAAAAAAAAAAAAAAAAAAAAAAAGATGGTGTCTGTTGAGCACAGTGTGTCTCAGTGAGTGGGCTCATGGACTTTCCTTCTGAGAGAAAACTCAACAAGCTTTTATGACCTGAATGTTTGTGTCCCAACAAATTCATATGTTGAAGTCCTACCCCGCAGTGTGATGGTATTTGGAGGTAGGGCCTTTAGGAGGTGATTGGGTTTAGGTGAGGGTAAGCCCTCAAGATGGGATTAATGTTCTTATAAGAAGAGGAACAGACCAGAACACATAGAACTACTTTGCAAAGTAGTTCTTTGCCAGGTGAGGACATGGAGAGAGGTGGTCATCTGAAAGCCAGGAAGAGGGCCCTCACCAGGAGCCAAACTGGTTGGTACCTTGATCTTAGACTTTATAGCCTTCAAATCTGTGAAAAATAAATATCTATCGTTTAAGCCACCCAGTCTATGACATATTGTTATAGCGGCCTGCGCTAAGACACAAGCCAAAGCTCACTTTTATACAGCATTGGAGCACTGCCTCCAGGGCCGGCTAGCCCAGGTTGGAATGCCAGTTCCTCTCTGTACAACTGTAAGACTTAGGGGAAGTTTCCTAACTTGTATGTGTCTCAGTTTCCCATCTGTAAAATGGGATTGATAATTATATCTATCTATAGTTGTTATGAGGAATAAATGAGTTAATCCATATAAAGCACTCAAAACAGTACAGGGCACAGTAAGGGCTCAACACATGTTAACCTCATTATATATGTTAACGTACAGCTGAACTTGGCGCACCGCTGATTCTGATGAATGTGATCATCATCACTCGCTCCTGGCCTTCTGCGGTTCTTGCAACTCTGTTGACATTCCTGCATCCTGGGATATACAACACATACTCAACCATAAACCCTACGAGCCTGTTGTCTTGTGGAGGAAGCAGCCGAGCAGCACAGCTCTGGGATAGATCTCTCTTCCTCCCACATCTCTCTGAACACTTCTTTCCTTCGTATCCTCCCACAGGCCCACAATTTAAAAATTCTTATTTCTCCCAGAATACTAGAAAAGTGGTTGAAAGCACATGGGTCCCAGCTACTGTTCTAAAATTCACATCTAATTATGCCACTTACCGTTTGAAAACACCTTTGATACTTTCTCATCTCCCATGGGATAAAATATGAACTTTCTAGAATGACTTTCATGTATCTTTCCTTATTTTGTAGTCCTGCCATCTCATGGCATTCCTTCCCATTGCCCTTCATTCTCATACTTGCACACCTCTTAACTTTGTTACCTCCATGTCTTCTGCACCCTCTCCCCTCTACTAAGTTCTTTTCTTTGCCTGGTAATCTCTTACTGTCCTTGAAGATTCAGCTCAAAGTTCCCCTTTTGGCTGAGTGTAGTGGCTCACGCCTGTAATCTCAACACTTTGGGAAGCCGAGGTGGGTGGATCACTTGAGGTCAGGAGTTCGAGACCAGCCTGGTCAACACGGTGAAACCCCATCTCTACTAAAATACAAAAATTAGCTGGGCATGGTAGTGGGCGCTTGTAATCCCAGCTATGCTACTTGGGAGGCTGAGGCAGGAGAATCACTTGAACCCGGGAGGTAGAGGTTGCAGTGAGCTGAAATTGTGCCACTGCACTCCAGCCTGGGTGACAGGGCGAGACTCCATCTCAAAAAAAAAAAAAAAAAAAAAAAGTCCACTTTCATGCTTTCTTTGACATTCTTAGCTGTTCACTTGTCTAATACAATTTTTACACCTACTTCTTCCTGGTTAGGGATCTCCAGTAAGAGAGAACTCCATTTAAAAGTTGTCTGCAGTGTCCTCTGTATGGGAGGAGATAGCATGGGAGGAGATAGATATGCTCTCTCCTTTGGAGTACAGAGTCATGTATTCAGCTGTCCCCTTGACACCTCCACTTGGCTGACCCAAAGGCAATTCACAGTTGATGTGTTCCTCACAGATTTCCAACCAAGACCTGATCTTCCTTAGTCTCTCCTATTTCAGTGAATGATCCTACTATCCATCTAGTTATATAAATTAGAAACTCCAGAGTCAGTCTTAATACATCCTCTTATTATTATTATATGTAATTATAAATAATTATAGATTATTTTTGTTCTGTGAAAAATTATTCAAGAAGCTCTTTTTAATTATATTTTGGGGGCTGAACTTGTTTGTAGCTGCTGCGAGGAATGGTTTTGAATCTTTTCCTAGAGAGAAGTATGTATACCTTTCTTTCTCTCCTATACATTACCGTGTGGCTATATTATTAAATTAACTATATTTTGCTCAATTAGTAAGTGGATTTTAGGGGTGAGTGAAATGATTTCTCTCTGTGTTAAATTGGTAAAATTCCATGTGAAAAGCACTGTTGTATGAAGGCTTTTTCCTAAGTACAAACCTATAATATTAGCTTGTTATTGTGTTGTACAGTTCCCTCCTATAATTGTGGGTGTGAAGTTTGCATTTTACTGTTTGTGTTTTATTTACTCTACTGTGGAGAT
This sequence comes from Homo sapiens, assembly GCF_000001405.40. NCBI lineage: Eukaryota > Metazoa > Chordata > Mammalia > Primates > Hominidae > Homo > Homo sapiens. Next base: position 181,109,621 of record NC_000003.12, read on the forward strand.
GTTCTTGGCCACACATTTCTAAATCCCTTAGGTTTCCCACTTTATGGCTTTTTGACAACCAATTTGGGGTTTGTAAGATATGATATATAATTTATAATGAAGTCGAACATGTGTTCATCTCTATTTTTATTTCAATTATAGTTATCAAGAATCACAAAAATGTACATTGATAAAGTACTATACCATCAGCAAAGATTTTTATAACAAGATGTGGAACTTCAAACAGGAGTTATATGACACAGTATAATAAATGGTGGCATCGTTTTTTTGAAATGTGAAAGCCAGATCTTTTATATGCTGTATTTTCTAGACTACTACTGGGTCCTCCCAAAAAAAGAAGGGCTGGGGAGGTGAAAAGTAAACATTTTAAGTTCTGAAAATTATTATAGTAAAAATGGAAACTACTTAGATAAGATATCTAAGATAAAAAGGCAAAAGGATAAATTTATTTTAGGGGGAGGCTCTAATTCCCATTTCACCATTTGGCTTAATGTCATGGGTGACAACGTCTACCCTATTGTGAGGCTAGATGCAAAAGAATGTTTTCTTTGACAAAAATGTTCAAAATTAAGTTATTGGAGTTGGGGGAGTCTCATTGAAAAAGCATTTGTGAATTTTATCACGGAAGGATATTTGGTCATCTTCTCATTCAGCTTTTGGAAAGATCTGGTAAGGAGGAAGGACCTGAACGGATCCACATCCTGAAGAATTTGCCATACACAGAAGGAAGAAAGGAAAACATATTGAGTAGGGAGATAAAGGAAGGGTATAATATATAGACAAAGTGTAGAGGTAAATACTCATCATTCAGGCTTGGAGGATGGCAAGTAGACCAGTTTGATTGGCCTAGAGATGTTTGGAATTTGACTGTTTACCTGTAAGAGTGGTGGGAGAAGTTGAGACCAGATTGTGAAGTAACCAGAATAGTACCAATATCAAATGTTTATATCTTACTCTGTAGAAAGGAGGGAGGCATTGTTCTTGGAGGGAAGAGATGGTGTCTTAGGACTTTTTCCCTCTGCTGTTTTTAACACAGTACCTGGTACACTGAAGGCATTCAGTAATACCCGAATAGAATGAATGAGTAAAGAGGAGTAGCTTCCATGACTCATAAGTTTCTATCTCCAACGTAGATCTCTCCTTTGGAGTACAGAGTCATGTATTCAGCTGTCCCCTTGACACCTTCACTTGGCTGACCCAAAGGCAATTCACAGTTGATGTGTTCCTCACAGATTTCCAACCAAGACCTGATCTTCTTCAGTCTCTCCTATTTCAGTGAATGATCCTACTATCCATCTAGTTATATAAATTAGAAACTCCAGAGTCAGTCTTAATACATCCTTTTACCCACCATCTCCAATATGCCACCAAGTGGTACTGATGTCACCTTCTAAATATGTCTCAAATCAACCCATTTCTCCCGATCTTCACTGGTCAGTGCTGCAAACAATCCACCCCAGGATCACTGCACTCACTTCTAACTGGTCTCTTTGCAAGCACTTTGATTTTCCTTCAGAATAATCTCTATGCAGCAACCAAAGAGATTTTTTTTCTATTGGCAAATATGATTATGTTCCTCCAAACTTAAGAGCGTAAGTAACTTCCTATTCCTCATAGGGTGAGACCAAATCTTTGACACGGCCTGCTGGTCCTTTACTCTGTAACCCCACTTCCTTCCCAGGCTTGTTTAGCTTTCCCTTTAACTGCTGCTCTTTCTTTTGGTTTCCACTGGGTCCCCATTTCTTCACCCTCCTGACTAGATTAGTTCCTCCTTTGTATGGAGCACCATGTGCCTTGGTTTTGTAGCACCTATTATAGCTGAAACTGTTCATTAATTGTTTTGTTTGGTTATTAACATTCGTTTTTTCCACAGATTGAGTTCTATGAAGGTAGGATCTGTTCAGCATTAAATTTCCAGTAGTTAGCACAGCAACTGGTGGGCATTCAGTGAATTGAATTACTAATTACATAATTATGTATCTATATAAATTTATATATACACACATAATCTAGTGGCGGCATGGAAACTGAACAGGTATGTGAAGAATTGGAGACTATTAGAACATTCCCACCATCAGCCAGGCACAGTGGTTCGTGCCTGTAATTCCGGTGCTTTGGGAGGCTGAGGCAGGAGTATCACTTGACTCCAGGATTTGGAGACCAGCCTGGGCAAGCTATCAAGACCCCGTCAGTACAAAAAATATAAAATAAGCTGGGCGTAGTGGCACACGCCTGGAGTCCCAGCTACTCGGGAGGCTGAAGTGGGAGGATCACTTGAGCCCAGGAGGTCGAGGCTGCAGTGAGCTATGATTGTGCCACTGCACTCCAGCCACAGTGTCAGAGTGAGACTCTGTCTCTTAAAAAAAAAAAAGAAAAAATATTCCTACACAGTGTGACAAGAGTTTGAGCTGCATCTGTGGCAATGGCAAGTGAAATCTTGGATGTGGGAGCTATTGTGAAGAAAGTGGTGAATAGAGAGGCAAGAAAAACACAGTGAGCTCAATTTTCTGTAAACAGTGGTAATTTCTGGACATCTGCAAGAGAATTAGTGTGATATAGATGATGGCCACTCTTCTTTCTCTCTCCTTCTCTCTCTGTTTTGCATGCATGCACTCACACAAACACAACACAAACACACTCAGAGAAGCCTCCAATTTGTGTGTGTTCAGGTGGGACTGAGAAGACTGACGTGGAAGCAGGCACTTCTACACTGTATTTATATTAAGACTGCCCTTTGATTTGCAGCTGTGGCATCTATTTGCAGAGTTTGGCTAATTTTTCATTTTAGATTCATGTTCTTCCTGTTGTTTTAGCTCAGAAATAAACAGTATGCTCAGAGCTATCAATGAGGAAAAGGGCTGAAAAATCTCATTTTTAGCTCTATTAAGCTAGTCTGTGATTTGTCAGAGCATAGTCAGAGTCCATCCTTATGGATTTACTACTGCCGGATATCAAGTTCGCAAAATGCAAAGTACCCTTGGATTGCTGTGTGTTACAGAGGCTACGATCTAATTCTTATGAAGAACACAAGGGATATGCTAAACAGATTTTTTTCTAACTTTTAAAAATAATAAAACCAAAACATTATACCAATCTTCTGTGTTTTTTATTTTGCATATTTTCTTCTAGTCTTTGTGCATTTACATATATGTCTCACAGTTATCTTTCCCATTTTATTTACTATTTTTCACCTCACATACAAAGTATTTTCTCATGTTTCTGTACATTCTTCCTAAATATCCTTTTTCATGAATCCGTATTTCAACAGATTTATTTATCTTGATTTATTTTATCATTCTTCTACACTGACTGTTTTAGATTTATTCCCCAATTTTTACTGTTAGATGATGGTGTAGTACATACAGCTTTTTCCTTTGCTAATTTATTTACCCAAGCTAAATTTCCCAATGTGGGAATTCAAAGTTAAATAGTATAGACCTCTTGAACTCTTTTTTAAACTTATTATAATACAGTTTTAAATTGACACATAATAATTGTACAAGTTTATGGGGTATATAAAATGTATAATGTTTTGGTACATATAATGTATAATGATCACATCAGGGTAATTAGCATATTCATCGTCTCAAACACTTATCATTCCTTTGTGTTGGGAACATTCAATACCCTCCTTCTAGCTATTGGAAACTATATAATACATTGTTGTTAACTATAGTTCATCCTACAGTGGTATAGAGCACTAGAACCTATTCCTCCTATCTAGCTTTGAACTCTTGATACATATTGTTAAATTGCTTTCCCAAGCAATTTAGCAAACTATTATGTTTATATAATGTCAAACCATTATGACAATTCATACCAAAAGTGTATGAAAGCAGACAAATATATTTGCACAATGTCATGTACAATGTCCTTTTTTAGGTCATGTACAGTAAATGGCATCTTTGAGAGATAAAGATATGACATTGTAAAGTTAAACTTGGGATTATGCTGTGGTTGGAAAAATATAGAAACACAAACAGGAGAAAACTCTTTGAAGGATGTAAAATTGCAGATTAAGAAATTCAGGAAGCTCAGGAGATACTTAAAGATATTAAAGAGATACTAAAAATGGAAAACTGGTTGAGGTTGAATGAGAGAGCTGCAAGAGAAGAAAGAAATCTTTTAGGATGAGCTTTGTATTCATTTTCTGGGGCCACTGTAACAAAGTACTATAAGCCTGTGTGGATTAAGCAACAGAAATGTATTGTCTCACAGTTCTGGAGGCTAGATATTAGAAACCAAGGTATTGGCAGGGTTGGCTCCTTCTGAGGGCTGTGAGGGAGAATCTGTTCCAAGCTGCTGTCCTAGTTTTTGGTAGCTTCCAGCATTCCTTGGCTTGTAGGTGATGTTCTCTCTGTGACTTCCTTCAATTGCCTTCCCTCTATGCATCTCGGTCTCTGTGTCCAAATTCCCCCCTTTAATAAAGGACACAGTCGTATTGGATTAGGGCCCACTGTAATGGCCTTATTTCAACTTGGTCATCTGCAAAGACCCTATTTCCAAATAAGGCCACATTCTTAGATACTGAGGGATACGTGAATCCCATTATCCTTCTGGGAGACCGAGTTCAATTAGTAACAAACCTCAAATGCAAATTTATGAGCAGACAAGATGGATTAAGCGCAGGACAGTGGGGAGAGATTGTGCTTTAAAGTCAGGCAGTGCTAGGGTTGAGTCCCAATTGAGCTATTTATTGCTTCTGTGATCTTGAGTATGCTATTTATTGTCTCTGAGCCTCTAGTTGCCTCATCTTAAAATGGACTAATTTTACCTATTTTGCAGTGTTATGAGGATTGGAGCTAATGAAAGCAAAATATCTTAGTACAGTGTCTGACCTCATGAGTGTTTGATAAGAGGTGGCTTAAAAAATGTCACTCTTGGCCGGCCACGGTGGCTCATGCTGGCTGGCATCCCAGCACTTTGGGAGGCCAAGGCAGGCAGATCACGAGGTCAGGAGATCAAGACCATCCTGGCTAACATGGTGAAACCCTGTCTCTACTAAAAATACAAAAATATTAGCCGGGTGTGGTGGCACACACCTGTACTCCCAGCTACTTGGGAGGCTGAGGCAGGAGAATGGCGTGAACCCAGGAGGCAGAGCTTGCAGTGAGCTGAGATGGTGCCACTGCACCCTCGCCTGGGCAACAGAGCGAGACTCTGTCTCAAAAAGAAAAAAAAAATGTCACTCTTAAGGAAAAAAAAAATCTATCGTCAGAGGTGGTGGGATTCCTTGCCAGAGGATCCTTTCTGAATGTAGATCTCAACAGCACAGGTAATCTTTGTTTAGGGAAGATTTCTCCTAATGACCCTTTAGGATCCCAAGTGGTAGACAAAGTACAACTGACCTAAATACATACAGACTGGATCTGCAGCAATCACCAAAGTTTTTTTCTTTCTCTTATTCTCATTTTCTCTGACAGCCTCCTTTTTCAGTCATAGAACTCCTTCAGAGTTCATGACTAAAAATGACGTGGAGTGTCAAGGTGGTAAGGCAAGGTGGAGTTTAGGATTTAGTGATATCTTGTTTTAGATGCTAATTTTATTGGTGTGGATTTGACATTAGTAAGCATCCCTAATAGTCTTCAAAAAGTGTTTTTTAAAAATAGAGACACACAACAGGTCAAGTGTTTGGCACCATTTTCTGCATTGACTTGAGGTTAAGGAAAAATTCAGCCTGGGAGGCAGCAGATTGCTTTCTAGTTTGACTGATGGCCTTTCTACAGTAGGATGGATCACACTCCAAGTAGGAGACAGTGAGGAGGAAACTCAGGATTTGCTCAGAATCCTGAATAATCTTTTGCTAAAGGGATTTGAATATGACAAAATCTGAGGAAGAGACATTATTTGTATGTACACTTTTTGGTCTTCTGGTTTTAATCTGCAGGCACAAAGAATGATCAATATAGTCTCAGGTAATAATGGGAGAGGATATAATGTTTATTTGGCAGGTGAAGAAGGGACAACTTTGGTGTGTTTTAGATGAAGATATTAGAGTAATGTGTGAACTTCCATTGGCATACCCAGATAGGAACAGGTCTTTTTGTTCAGGAACAAAGTGGAGCTACTTATCTGCTCTGTGAAACAGCTTCAAAGTCACCCATTTGTCATTTGAATCCACCTGGTTTAGACATTTATCTTTTACAAATGATTTAACTTGGGAAATTTTTTTTTAAAGATACTAGAGATCATTGAGAATGGCTGAAACAATGTTATGAAACAAACTGTGTAAGGTTTACTAAAGTTATAATAAACAACAAACTACTCCTAAGATTCTAAATGTTTGTTTCTAGGCTGGTCTCATTGGGAGATTAGTGAAAGCTTTCGAATGGTTTAAATAAAGAAATACCTTTCCCTGGTCCAGGGTGCATTTCCTTTTGTATAGTTGTAGTTGCAGCTGTGCATTGTCTAGTTGTAATTGTAGCTGTAGTCTATGCTGATTCACACTCTGTGTATCTTCTGTACTAGTTTTGTCGTGGACTTGAATCAGAGTCTAAATATTCCTGGCATAGAATTCTCAGCCTCGGCTGGGTGCAGTGGCTCACACCTGTAATCCCAGTACTTTGGGAGGCTGAGGCGGGTGGATCACGAGGTCAGGAGATCGAGACCATACTGGCTAACACAGTGAAACCCTGTCTCTACTAAAAATACAAAAAAAAAAATTAGCCGGGCGTGGTGGCGGGCACCTGTAGTTCCAGCTACTCGGGAGGCTGAGGCAGGAGAATGGTGTGAACCTGGGAGGTGGAGCTTGCAGTGAGCCGAGATCACACCATTGCACTCCAGCCTGGGCGACAGAGCAAGACTCCGTCTCAAAAAAAAAAAAAAAAAAAAAGAATTCTCAGCCTCACCAGTTGCTCCGAGTTAGAACTTCAGGAATAAAATTTTGGAATGTGGAATGAAACTCTTGGAACTTGTGCTATTTTCCATGTATTTTTTTCCAGAGGGATGGAGAGGTCATCTCTGGTTTGATAGAGACAATATTCAGTCAGAGCTTGGATAAGACATGCCATTTTCTGAAGTTAGCACCATGGGAGACACTGGAAATTTTTTACTTTATGTTGACTATTCTAAGATATCTCTGAGTTTTATCACTATCGTGGTGTTCCAGGGACCTGAAGATCCACTAAGGGTTTTAGTTGTGCTCAGGAGGCTTGAGCTTGGCCTCCTGGTGATTGACCAATGGCTAAGTCCTCATCTGAATTATGGGCCCACAAGAAGGCCTAACAATCTCAGCAATACCAGTAGGTCATCTACACTTAATGCTCTAGTGGTCCAAACACTGTATTAAGCACTTAGGTACCCTGGGCTCTTATACCAAGAGATGTAGGCAAGGAAGCAGACCCTGTTTTTTTCTCTCCCACCCTGGGTTTCAGGGGAAGATACCCTTAAAGTCTTCATTCTTTTGTAGGAAGTATGCAGCTGGCATCAGAAGCTGGAAGATAGGATCTTCCCGGATCACAGCTCCTGTTCAGAAAGTCTGAGGATGTCAGACTGAGACTGTTGAGTCTGAGGATGTCAGACTGAGATTGTTGAGTCTCAGGATGTTGCAGGACAGGATGGATGAAGAATGCTAGTCCTGGCAGTTGGGGCCTAAGGCCAGGGCCCTTTTTTATCACTTTCTTGTGTTGCCTCTCTGCCCAAGAAAAAATCTGTCTCTTGCATACAGCTCCTCTAATACGTGTCCATTAGAAGGAAGGAGTTTCTTTAATGAGCTCTATGGTTTTATCTTGCTCATAACAGCTTAGTTTAATGCCACTGAAACTGTAACATTTTTTTGTGCCTAATATCAACTGACAAATATAAAGTTATTCCTAATTTATTAATTCAAATGATATATTGCAAAATAAAATCTGCTTAATATGAAAAGAAGTAATCACTATGACTGTTGCTTTTTCCTTTACAAAAGTCAGGATAATTGTTAACAATGTTCTTTAGAAAGTTCCCCCATATATTTCTTTAATGAATGATCCATCTTTAATGAATGATCCATCATTTCCCAACAGATTTGAAATACCACTTTTTTATATATGCTCCCACATATGCCTGGTTTGTTTCTGGGCCCCATTTATTTCACTGACTTATTTTTCCATTTCTGTACCAGAACAAATTTTTTTTTTTGGTGTTTTGTTTGTTTGTTTGTTTGTTTATTTATTTATTTAGAGACAGAGTCTCACCCTGTTGCCCAGGCTGGAGTGCAGTGGTGTGATCTCGGCTTACTGCAACCTCCGCCTCCCGGGTTCAAATGATTCTCCTGCTTCAGCCTCCCGAGTAGCTGGGATTACAGGTGCCCGCCACCATGCCCAGCTAATTTTTGTATTTTTAGTAGAAACGGGGTTTCACCATGTTGGCCAGGCTGGTCTCAAACTCCTGACACTGTGATCCGCCCACCTCGGCTTCCCAAAGGGTCAGGATTACAGGCATGAGCCATCGCACCCAGCCACAAATTTTTTTAATGTACACTGTAAGGCATATTTTGAATGTGTAGGACTAGACTCGATTATTTACTTTTAAATGATTTTTGACAATTCTGCATTTATTCTTTTGAAATGTCTCTTTAATTTAAAACAAATCTGTTAATATCAATGAGATTTTGCTTGGACTTGAACTGCTAGATTAACTAGCAGGGAGGTGTTGATATCCTTACGATATTAAATATTCCTATCATTAACATGATATATTTCTCCACTTTAGATATCTACTTTCCTCTTCTTCAGCAAAATGTTATTACTTTCTTTATGCAAAGATCACTTTGTGCATTTTTCCAAATATTTCCTTGCTTACTCACATTTTGTTAGAAAACTATAAAATTTTTATTGTATCTTTGTTTTATAAATTGAATTTTCAAAAGTTATATGATCCTCTTGTTATTGCCGGAATAGAAAAGGTATTGGTTTTGATATATTTACCTTATATTCAAAATTCTAATAAACTATCTTAGTACCTCCAATTTATTTTAGTTGATTTTCTTGCAATTTCAGATTACCTTGGTTAGACATTCATATCATCTTTAAATAGCTTAGTCTCTGTCTGATATTTATACCCCGATTTTCTTTTTCCTGATAAATCTTATAGTCTAGGACCAACAGGGTAATAGTTGTGGAGGGTGGGTATCCTTGTCTTATTTCCAGATGAAATGAGATTGTCTTATTTCCAGATGAAAAGAGAACATCTGCATTGTATGTTCCGTTGTCTTCTGTTAAATGCTGTCTTGTGTTGGAGAAGTTTAAATTATAGAGGACTTACTTATTCTTCAAAATTTTGATAGAACTTTTATATAAAAATATCTGGGCCTGGTGTCTTTTGGGGGAATAAACTTTTGACTACATTTTCCATTTTTCTGTGGTTATTGGTTTGAACTTTCAAATGTTCAGTTACTTTTTGCATTTTGGTAATTTAAATTTTCATGTATAATAATCCTTTCTTATAGCTTCAACATCATTGATTAGGGAGTTTTAACATAGTATTATTTTGTAATAAAAAACTCTATCTTATAATTGCTTCTCTTCATCTTTTTATTATTTATGTCTTTGCTCTTTCTTGGTTAGACTTGTTAAATATATTTCTTTTTTTAAAAACAGGGTCCCAAGTAGCTGGGATTATAGGTGCGTGCCACCATGCCTGGGCTACATATTTCTGTTTTAGTAGTCTTTCGAAAAAAGTAGCTCTGTATTTTAAAGTCTGGCATTTTTGTGTGCTATTTTTTATTCCACGCATTTTGTTTATTAAGAAAGTTACCGTCCCACCAACAGTGTAAAAGTGTTCCTATTTCTCCACATCCTCTCCAGCACCTGTTGTTTCCTGACTTTTTAATGATTGCCATTCTAACTGGTGTGAAATGGTATCTCATTGTGGTTTTGATTTGCATTTCTCTGATGGCCAGTGATGCTGAACATTTTTTCATGTGTTTTTTGTCTGCATAAATGTCTTCTTTTCAGAAGTGTCTGTTCATGTCCTTTGCCCACTTTTTGATGGGGTTGTTTGTTTTTTTCTTGTAAATTTGTTTGAGTTCATTGTAGATTCTGGATATTAGCCCTTTGTCAGATGAGTAGGTCACGAAAATTTTCTCCCATTTTGTAGGTTGCCTGTTCACTCTGATGGTAGTTTCTTTTGTCGTAAACTAGTTCAACCACTGTGGAAGTCAGTGTGGCTATTCCTCAGGGATCTAGAACTAGAAATACCATTTGACCCAGCCATCCCATTACTGGGTATATACCCAAAGGACTATAAATCATGCTGCTATAAAGACACATGCGCACGTATGTTTATTGCGGCATTATTCACAATAGCAAAGACTTGGAACCAACCCAAATGTCCAATAATGATAGACTGGATTAAGAAAATGTGGCACATATACACCATGGAATACTATGCAGCCATAAAAAATGATGAGTTCATGTCCTTTGTAGGGACATGGATGAAATTGGAAATCATCATTCTCAGTAAACTATCGCAAGAACAAAAAACCAAACACTGCATATTCTCACTCATAGGTGGAAATTGAACAATGAGAACACATGGACACAGGAAGAGGAACATCACACTCTGGGACAGTTGTGAGGTGGGGAGAGGGGGAAGGGATAGCATTGGGAGATATACCTAATGCTAGATGATGAGTTAGTGGGTGCAGCGCACCAGCATGGCACATGTATACATATGAAACTAACCTGCACATTGTGCACATGTACCCTAAAACTTAAAGTATAATAATAATAAATAAATAAATAAATAAATAAATAAATAAAGTTACCTTTGGATTTATTTTCTTGTTCTCTTTCTGGTTCATTAGTTGAATGTTCCCTTCCCTTACCTTCCCCTCCCCTCCCCTCCCCTCCCTTCCCCTCCTTTCCCCTCACCTCCCCTCCTCTCCCCTCCCCTCCTCTCCCCTCCCGTCCTCTCCCCTCCCCTCCCCTCCCCTCCTCTCCCCTTCTTTTCCCTTCCCTTCCTTCCTTTCTCTCTCTTTCTTTCTCTCTCTTTCTCCCTTTCTCTCTCTTTCTTCCTTCATTCCTTCTTCCTTCCTTCCTCTCTCTTTTCTTTCTTTCTCTTTTCTCCTTCTTTCCTTCCTTCCTTCATTTCTGTGTCTCTCTCTTTCTCTCCTTCTTTCTTTCTCTCTCTCTCTCTCCCTTCCTTCTTTTCTTTTCTTTTTTTTCTTTTTCTTGCTCTGTTGCCCAGGCTGCAGTGGGATTAAAGTGATTCTCCTGTCTCAGCCTCCCAAGTAGCTGGGACTACAGGCGTGCACCACCATGCTAGGCTAATTTTTGTATTTTTAGTAGAGATGGGGTTTCACCATGTTGGGCAGGCTGGTCTTGAACTCCTGACCTCAGGTGATCCACCCACTTTGGCCTCCCAAAGTGCTGTGATTACTGGCATGAGCCACCATGCCTGGCCGATTTTCAGTTCTTTTCTAATAAATGTAGAGTTTTTATTTTCTTCCAAGTGCCACATTGGGTGCACACCATAAATTTTACTATATGTTCTCATAGTTATTTATTTATAAGTAAAACAATGTTAGTAGCTTTTAAAACACTACTTCTGTGAATTTATATTACTGGATTATGATAATATCTAATGTGGCTTATAAATTTCAAATCTGGGGAATTTTTTGCGAGTTTTATTATGACTTAACATGTGCCCAGTTCTTCTGCAGTATTTCAGAGTTGTTTGAAAGGAAAGACAGTCTTTCTATATTTGGTATTCATTCTATATATGTTAATAAAATAAATTTGGTAATAGTATTATTCAAATCTTCTATAAATTCTTTTATTTTTTTGTCTACTTAAACTTTTTTTTCAGATTGAGAGAGATGAGTTAAGGTTTTCTGTTATAAATTTGACTTTGATAAATCCACATTTTTTCTAATAGCTTTTACTTTATATTTTGATAATATGATATCAGGCATGAGCTTTCATGACTATAGTTATCTTCTTGAGGAAATTACAGTTCATATCATTATAAATTCTTCCTTGTCTGATTTCATGCTTTTTGACTTGAATTCTACTTTTTATAATGACAATAATGGCACACGTCCTTTCTTTTATTGTGATTTCTCTGGCATATATTTATCTATGCTTTATTTTTCATCTTTCTCAGTTGTTTATGGTAATTACCATGTTGCTAGACATTAAACTGAAACTTTATTTTGCTTTTATTAATATATTTTATCTTATTCTCATCATCTATTTCTGTTCTTTATTTAACATTTTTAATGAAGATATCAAAACATTTTCCTATGTGAAAAAAGTAATCGTTAACTGTATCCTAACCCCACAGCATTCCAATTTTTCAACCCTCATACCAGTATTTGTTGTAATCATAGGGGTTTTGTTTCTAAAATGTTATGTATTAATAGTTACATTTATAATGACTTTGTTTTTTAGAAAAAACTTTCTTTTTTTAGTTTAATATTTACAGAAAATTTGAAAATAGTACATATAGTTATCATGCACCTCACACCCAGCTTCCCCTATTATTAACATCTTACAGTGGTATGATACATTTATTACAACTAAGGAACCAAATTGATATAGTATTATTGAATAAAGTTCACACTTGATTCAGATTTTCTCAGTTTTTTAAAAATCTTAAGTAACTTTACTAGAAAGTTTGTCTAATTTTAGGCATAGAAATAAAAGGCTAGCACATTTGATGAGTAAACGAAGATTATATTATTTTCAAATACCAGACATAAATATTTTAAATGGAAAGATTTTAGGCCTAAAATATGACATTGAATTCATGACCTCAGGAATCCAGCAGGTTGTAATTTCCAGACACTGTAAGTACAATAGAAACCATCAACTAAAGTGTAACCAACCAGTAATATCTAGCCACCTGCAAATTTCATTAAGAACTTTTAAATTAACTTCTAGATAAAATAGAAAGTTCAAACTGAAATTACTTTTAAAGGCATGGAAAAGTGCTAATGAAGAAGCATGGTCACTGAAGCCAAAAACCTGAGTTCAAATGAATAATTCTACCAATATTAGCTTAATACTGTAGAAAAACAGTAATTTTGAACACATGTAGGTATTATTCTCAGCAGTGGAGTATTATGAATTCAGAAATGTGTGCAAAAACATAAACTTGGTTTTCTTTTCATTTTAACTTTTATTTTAGATTCAGGGCTACATGGGTAGGTTTTTAAAATAAATAAATAAATAAATAAATAAATAATATATATATATTTTTTAGATGGAGTCTCTCTCTGTTACCCAGGCTGGAATGCAGTGGCACAATCTTGGCTCACTGCAATACCTGCCTCCTGGGTTCAAACGATTCTCCTGCCTCAGCCTCCCCAGTAGCTGGGATTACAGGTGCCTGCCACCACACCTGGCTAATTTTTGTATTTTTAGTAGAGATGGGGTTTCACCATGTTGGCCTGGCTGGTCTCAAACTCCTGACCTCAATGATCTGCCCACCTTGACCTCCCAAAGTGCTGAGATTACAGGCATGAGCCACAGTGCCTGGCTGATTTTTTATATAGGTAAACTACTTGTCATGGGGGGTTTCTGTGTACAGATTATTTCATCACCCAGGTAATAAGCATAGTACCCAATAAGTAGTTTTTAGACCCTCATTCTTGTCCCATCCTCCACCCTCAGGTAGGCTCCAGTGTCTATCATTCCCTTCTTTGTGTCCATGTGCACCCAATGTTTAGCTCTCACTTATAAGTGAGAACATGTGGTAGTTGGTTTTCTGGCTCTGCATTCGTTTGCTTAGGATGATGATCTCCAGCTCCATCCATGTTGCTGCAAAGGACATGATCTCATTCATTTTTTTTGACTATGTAGTATTCTATGGTGGATATGTCCCACATTTTATTTATCCAGCCTACTGTTGATGGGCATCTAGGGTTGATTCCATGTCTTTGCTGTTGTGAATAGGGCTGTGATAAACAAACACATACATCCCTTTACTGAGTATTTACCCAAAAGAATATAAACAACTTATTCAAAAGAATATAAATTGTTTATATTCTTTTGGTTAAATACACAGTAATGGGATTGGTGGGTTGAATGGTAGTTCTGTTTTAAGTTCTTTGAGAAATCTCAAAACTGCTTCCCACAGTGGCTGAACTAATTTTCATTCCCACCAGCAGTGTATAAGCATTTTCTTTTTTCTGCAACCTTGCCAGCATCTGTTATTTTTTGACTTTTTAATAGTAGCCATTCTTACTGGTATGAGATGATATCTCACTGTGGTTTTGATTTGCATTTCTCTAATGATTAGTGATGTTGAGCATTTTTTCATATGCTTGTGGACTGAGCGTATGTCTTCTTTTGAGAAGTGTCTGTCCTTTGCCCACTTTTTAATGGGGTAGTTTGTTTTTTGCTTGTTAATTTAAATTCCTTATAGATTCTGGATATTAGACCTTTGTCAGATGCACAGCATACATATATTTTCTCCCATTCTGTAGGTTGTCTGTTTACTCTGTTGATAGTTTCTCTTGCTATGCAGAAGCTTTTTAGTTTAATTAGGTCTCATTTGTCAGTTTTTGTTTTTGTTGTAATTGCTTTTAGTGTTTTCCCATGCAATCTTTGCTAGGGCCTATGCCCAAGATGGTATTTCCTAAGTTATCTTCCAGGGTTTTTATAATTTTAGGTTTTACATTCAAGTCTTTAATCCATCTTGAGTTGATTTTTGTATGTGGTCTAAGGAAGGGGTCCAGTTTCAATCTTCTGCATGTGGCTAATAGGGAAAGACTCTCTATTCAATATTCAACAGGGAGTCTTTCCCTATTCAATGGTGAGTCTCTCCCTATTGCTTATTTTTGTCAACTTTGTCAAAGATCAGATAGTTGTAGATGTGTGGCATTGCTTCTGGGATCTCTATTCTGTTTCATTGGTCTATTTGTCTGTTTTTGTACCAGAACCATGCTGTTTTGGTTGCTGTAACCTTGTAGTATAGTTTGAAGTCAGGTGATGTGATGTCTCCAGCTTTTTTTGTTTGTTTTTGTTTTTTGGTTATGATTGCCTTTGTGCCTTAGCTATCCAGACATTTTTTTTTGCTTCTGTATGAATTTTAAAATAGTTTTTTTTCTAATCATGTGAAGAATGCCATTGGTAGTTTGATAGGAATAGTATTGACTCTGTAAATTGCTTTGGGCAGTATGGACATTTTAACACTATTGATTCTTTCTATCCATGAACATGGAATGTTTTTCCATTTGTTTGTGTCATCTGTGATTTCTTTGAGCAGTGTTTTGTGATTTCTCATTATAGAGGCCTTTCGCCTCCCTGGTTTGCTGTATTCCTAGGTGTTTTATTCCTTTTGTGGCTATTGTGAATGCAATCGTGTTCTCGATGTGGCTCTCAGCTTAGACAATGTTGGTATATAGAAATGCTACTAATTTTTGTACATTGAGTTTATATCCTGAAACTTTGCTGAAGTTGCTTATCAAATCTAAGACCTTTTGGGGAGAGACTATGGAGTTTTCTAGGTATAGAATCATATCATCTGCAAATATTGTTTGACTTTCTTTCTATTTGGATGTCTCTTATTTCTTTCTCTTGCCTGATTGCTCTGGCTAGGACTTACAGTACTATGTTGAATAGGAGTGGGCATCTTTGTCTTGTTCTGGACCTCAAGGATTCAGATTTCCTTAGTTTTTATCCTATGTACTTTTTCTGTTCCAGGAGCTCATCCAGGATACCACATTACATTTAGTTGTCATGTCTCCTTAGACTTCTCTTGGTTACAACAATTTCTTAGACTTCCCTTGTTTTTAATGAGTGTATTAGTTTTCTGTGGCTGCTGTTACTAATTACCATGAAATTTATTGCTTAAAATGATATAAATTTGTTCTCTCACAGTTCTGGATGCTAGAAGTCTGAAGTCCCACAGGGCCACAGTCTGTCAGGGGACTTTAGGGGGAATCACTCCTTGCCTCATCCAGCTTCTGGCATTCCTGGACTTGGGGCTGCATCACTCTAATCTCTGCTTCCATCTTCACATTGCCTTCTCCTATGTGTGTCCTTTGTTAAATCTCTCTCTACCTCTATTTTATAAGGGCACATGGGGTTTAGGGCCCACCACATTTAGGGCCCACCCAGATAATCCAAGTAATCTCATCTCAACATCAAAGGCTTTTTATTTTTTTTTCCAAATAAGGTAATGTTTACAAGTTCCGGGACCTGACATCCTTGGGTGTCCGTTATCCAACTTATTACCATAACCTTGACAGTTTTGAGGAATACTGGAAAGGTATTTTATAGAATGCCTTCTATTACACTTTCACTGTTATTTTTCTCATAATTAGACTGGGGTTATGGATTTCTAGAAGGTAAAACACAGAAGTAAAGTGACATTTTCATCACATCATATCAATGGTAGATATAATCTGCATTACTTATCACTGTTGATGTTGATCTTGATCACCTGGCTGAGGTGATGTTTGCTAGATTTTTTTATTGCAAAATTAATTTTCGTTTCCGATCTTTCATACTACCTTCTTTGTAAAGAGGTCAGTTTGCAGAGGACACACTTAAGGAGTGGGCAATTATGCTCCTTTTCCATGAGGTATCATATCTACAATAAATTATTTGGAATTTTTCCATAGAGGGGAAATGAAACTTGTCTCATCTCTCTCATTTGTTTACTTATTCAATCATTTACTTATTTCAGAATAGACTCACAGGTATATATTTTATACTTTGGGTAATAACTCTGTACTGCCTTATTTATTTTATTGTGAAAATTATTTTATCTTTGGCCATTGGGAGCTTTTTCACTTGGCTCTTGTGTCCCTTTGACACATTCCTATCAGGGTAGGGTTTTTTTTGTTGTTGTTATTGTTGTTTTTTGTGGGTTTTTTTTTTCACTTCCTAATTTTCTGGCATTACTAGATCCTCCAGGCTCATCTTGTATATTTCCTACCTTAGTCATAGAATTAGCCATTTCTTCAAGAAGCCCTGTATCCTTTTCCTGGATAAGGGAATTACAAACCAAGAACTCGGTGCTAGGTGTGCTTATGTTATGGGGGTGCTGTTTCTCTTAGGTCCTCTCAGCTGACAGAGCAAGAAAATATATGTGTGTATACTAACCTGGTACATATACTTATCTATAAATGCTTCCATATGTAAATTATCTATATTAAGCTAAACGTGAATTCATACTGATAACTCCAGTTATAATCCATTACCATTTGGATTATTCCTGCCTGCTCCACTTGTGTATCTGTAATTTTCTACTCCAACAGTAAGAAACATGGCTACTGACATCTACCATTATTTATTTAATTGTTCAATTCCAATATATATGTGTAGCAGTATCAGAATGGTTAACTCATACCCTATTGGGAAATAACTTTGTTAACTGGAGTACAGTGCTTATATACACTTTCTATGCCTTTAGCCTTACAGACTTCACTCATTACTAAAGAACCTTAGGTCAGCACCTTTTCCCCCTGCTTCTTTCAGTGGGGTGTTTTATACATTTTAAACAAGAATTAGATACTTTTGTCACAATCATAATTCCTTTATGGAAACCCCCAATCTCTTAAATGACTTTTTAACTCAAATACATTAACATTCACTTTTTGTTCTGTAAAGTTCTATAGGTTATGGCAAATGCATAATGTCATATATCTACCATTTCATTGTCAAACAGAACACTTTCACTGCCCTAAAAATCTCCTGGACTAACAATTACCTATTCCATTTTGTCGCTACCCCTAATTCCTGGTTAACCACTGATCTTTTTACTGTCTCTATAATTTTGCCTTTTTCAGATTGTAACGTAATTGAAGTCATACAGTATGAAGACTTTTTCAAACTGGCTTCTTTGATATATCGATAAGCTTTTGAAATTTATTAATGTCTGTTTTTTGTTTTCTATCATTTCCTTTAATTGTTCTTAGAATTTTCATCTCTGCTTACAATAACCATATGTTTTTGCATTTTGTCTACTTTTTTCCACTAGAACTCTTTATATATTAATTACAGTTGTTTAAGATTCCTTATGTGATAATTTCAAAGTCTGTGTCATATCTGAGTCTGGTTTTGATATTTGCTTTGTCTCTTTAGATTGTATTTTTACTTGCTTTGGAGCATGCCTTGTCATTTTTTGTTTAAAGCTGGACATGATGTATTGGGTAATAGGAGCTGAGACAAATAAGCCATTGGTATGAGTTTTTTTTTGTCATTCTGGCTAGGAGTTTAATATTTCCCATAATTGTAAATGCCAGAGGCTTTGGTTTCCTCTAGTGTCTTTATTTTTCCCATCCATGTTGGCTTTGGGTTTCTGAAAGAAGATCTTCTTAGAGAAGAGTCTGTGTCTTGCAGCTCTTTTCATTGTAATCTGCTGTTTATTATACTGGAACCCTGTTGATGTAGTGGTAAGATGTGGAGATGGGAAAGCATTTTATAATTTTGAGATGAAGTCTCAGTTTTTTAATGTGCTTGTGTCTCTGTCCTGTGACATTCACAAATGTTTCTTAGCTTTTTTCCTCTTCTACTTATATGAGACAGGAAAGTTAGAGGGAGCTAAATTTGGATAACTGCTTTTCTCCCAGGCTGGATAAGACTTTGAATTGAAGAATAGTATTAAAAAACCTCACCAAAATTCTTTTAACTTTGAAAACATATTTTCCATTATTAGAACAGAATTCTTGGGCCGGGTATGGTGGCTCATGCCTATAGTCCCAGCACTTTGGGGGGCTGAGGTGGGCAGATCACTTGAGGTCAGGAGTTCGAGATGAGCCTGACCAACATGGCAAAACCCTGTCGCTACTAAAAATAGAAAAATTAGCCAGGCATGGTGGCAGGTGCCTGTAATCCCAGCTACTCAGGAAGCTGAAGTAGGAGAATCTCTTGAACCCGGGAGGCAGAGGTTGCAGTGAGCAGAGATCACACCACTGCATTCCAGCCTGGGTGACAGAATGAGACTTCATCTCAAAAAAAAAAAAAAAAAAATTCTTTTAGAAACTGTGAGATGTAAATTGATTCTAAGAAAGTATGACAATATGAAAATTGTACCAGGAATCACAGTGCTCTTTTTAACTGATTCTTCCCCAGCAATACAATGAAGCAGGTTTACAAAATAAACTGATTGATTTTAAAAATATATAAATATGGCTATTTCAAAAAATTATAAGAAACAGAAAAGTATAGGCAAAAGAATAAAAGTCATATAAATCCCATCAGCAGAGATTACCACTGTTAATAATAATTGTTTTGTTGTAGTTAAAGTATGTTTTATTTTATCTGGTTGAAATAACATATTTTATTCAATTTTGAAACTTCATTTTTTTGCTTAAAACTTTATCATAAGCATTTCCTTATGTCATTAAATATCTTTATAAGCATTTTGTTGGTTGCATATTATTTCATGTTATGCAACCTCATTCAAAAAATGCAGACAAGAAGGTCTAAGAGAGATTGTGAGACTGCTTCTTAGAGATAAATTCACACATCAAATTTACATGAACAAATACAGCCTTGCCTCAATTTGAAGTCAGATAGGAGTGTTGAAGTCATCCTGTGTGGGTATGATATATAGAACACACGTCTTAATGCCACAGAGTGAAAGAGGTAAATATTAGTATGTGGAAAGGTTATTCAGGGAATCCATGAGCAACTTTGAGGTGTAGCCACTCCAGAGAACTTTAGGGCAACCTGTGTGACTGGTGAGAGTGAAGTTGGCTTATCCATTAAGTACTTCATTAAAGAGCTCTTTCTTGATTGATACGTGGTATACCCCATGCATTTCCTTGAGGCAGTGTGGACACAGGCAGGGTCTGTGGATTTGGCAGTCTGGCATCAGGCAGGGTCTGTGGATTCAAATGCATGGTGCTTAACTTTGATTATTTCTTTCCATATGAAATAATAGGAAAGCCCTATTTTCCTCTCAATCCATTCATTTAACCCCAAATCCTCAGCCTCTCCAAGGCACCACACACACCCAGAGCCAACAATATGCTAAGGACTGTGTGAATTAAATAAAACATAAGATAATGTTCTCATTTTGAAGAGGCTTGGGGGAAAGGATAAGTAAACAGACAAATTGCAATGAAATGTTATAAGTAATATATAGACATAGATATGAAAAAGTAAAAAAAGAAGGGAGTAACTCTACCTGGGAAGATAACTTTTTCCTTTAATTTTTAGTTGACATGTAATAACTGTACATATTTATGGATACAAAGAGATTTTTCAATATGTGTATGCAATGTTTAATGATGTGTAAACAATATATAATGATCAAATCAGGGTAATTAGCATATCTATCACACCTCAAATATCACTTCTTTGTGTTGTGAGCATTCAAAAGCTTCTCTTCAGGAGTCAAATTATCTTTGTTTGCAGATGAAATGATCCTATATCTAGAAAACCTCATTGTCTCAGCCCAAAAGCTTCTTAAGCTGATAAACAACTTCAGTCAAATCTCAGGATACAAAATCAATGTGCAAAAATTGCTAGCATTCCTATACACCACCAACAGGCAACCAGAGAGCCAAATCATGAATGAACTCCCATTCGCAATTGCTACAACAACAAAAAACACCTAGGATACAGCTAACGAGGGAAGTAAAGAACCTCTTCAAGGAGAACTACAAACCACTGCTCAAAGAAATCAGAGAGGACACAAACAAATGGAAAAACATTTCATGCTCATGATAGGAAGAATCAATATCATAAAAATGGCCACACTGCCCAAAGTAATTTGTAGATTCAATGCTATTCCCGTTAAAATACTATTGACATTCTTCACAGAATTAGAAAAAACTATCTCAAAATTCATATGGAATCAAAAAGGGCCCAAATAGCCAAGACAATCCTAAGCAAAAAGAACAAAGCTGGAGGCATCATGCTATCTGACTTCAAACTGTACTACAAGGCTACGGTAACCAAAACAGCATGGTGTTGGTACAAGAACAAACACATTGACCAATGGAACAGAATACAGAACTCAGAAATAAGACCACACACCTACAATCATCTGATCTTCAACAAACCTGACAAAAGCAAGCAATGGGAAAAAGATTCCCTATTTAATAAATGGTGCTGGGAGAATTGGCTACCCATATGCAGAAAGTTGAAACTGGACCCTTTTCTTACACCATACAAAAAAATTAATTCAAGATGGATTAAAGACTTAAATGTAAAACCCAAAACTATAAAAACCTAGAAAAAAATCTAGGCAATACCATTCATGACATAGGTATGGTCGAGGATTTCATGATGAAATGCCAAAAGCAATTGCAACAAAAGTCAAAATTGACAAATGGGATCTAATTAAACTAATGAGCTTCTGCACAGTGAAAGAAACTATCATCAGAGTGAAGAGACAACCTATAGAATGGGAGACAATTTTTGTAATCTATCCATCTGACAAAGGTCTAATGTCCAGAGTCTACAAAGAACTTCAACAAATTCACAAGAGGAAAAAAAAATACCACTAATATCTGCAATTCTACTCTGTACTTCCATGAGCTCAAAAAGACTTTTTAACTCTCACATATGAGTGAGAACATGCAGTATTTATCTTTCTGTGCCTGACTTATTTTGCTTAGCACAATAACCTCTGGGTTCATGCATGTTGCCATCAATGTGAGAATTTCATTCTTTGTTATGGCTGAATAGTATTCCACTATGTATGTATACCAACTTTTCTTTATCCATTTATCTGTTGATGGACACTTAGATTGATTCCATGGTCCTGGCTATTGTGAATAGTGCAGCAGGAAACACGGGAGTGCAAGTTTCTCTTTGATATACTGATTTCCTTTCCTTTGGGTAAATACCCACTAGTGAGGTTGCTGGATTGTATGGTAGCTTTATTTTTAGTTTTTTGAGAAACATGGAAAGGTAACTTTTGTCCTGCATTTTATGGGCTGAGTGGGCATCTGAAACATAAAGAAGGGGTGAGGAAGTCTAGGTTATTCGCTGTGTGCACTCTTATGTCCATTCTTTGCCCAGCTCTGCCTTGTTTTGTATCCTAAGGGGCTGTCTTTTATAGTATACATCATCCAGGATCTCTTTTGGCTTCCAGATGGATTCACCCAATGGCAGATAGAGTAGGAAATTGGTTAGAAGGTAGTAAGAGACAGAGATTGAGATGTTTCTTTCCCTGTTCTGTTCCACCTTTGCTGAATTATTCTGTCAGTGGCTGGCCTCTCTACATCTGGAATGGTAAACTTGAGGCTGATGTGATCATCATTATGTTTTGGGAAGATAGTAGGTGACAGTGTCAAGTTAGTGAAATGGGAAAAACCGGACTAGGGGGACTAAAGAGTAGAAACCATTACAGTAGTTCACACAAGAGGTGAGGGGGTATGTATTGAGATGGTGGAGGTGGGCACGTTTGAGGTAGATACTATGAGATTTAGTGATGAATTAATATAAAACGTAGGAGAGGAGATGATTGTGACATAAAGTTTTATCATTTGGTGACTAAGGGAGTTGACAACAGAAATATGGAAAGATGGAGATGCGGGGGAGAAGGGAAAAGATAATGAGTTTGGAATAAAATTTTGACCAGATTTAGGTCTTTGTTACCAGATGGACATTGTTGCCAGAAGATTATTGCCAGTTTATACCTCTACGTCCTTGCATTTATCAAATACTTTTAAATTATTATAATGAGTACCTTGAAAACCTTTTGTGTGTCTTAACTACTGCACACTACTTGTATTCATTCATTTTATGTTGCTATAACAGAATACCACCAACTGAGTAATTTACAATGAACATAAATGTATTTGGCTCATGGTTCTGGAGATTGAGAAGTCCAAGAGCATGGCACTGGCATCTGGCAAGGGCCTCTGTGCTGTGTCATTCCATGGTGGAAAGTGGAAAAACAAGAGAGGATGAGAGCAAGCGATCAAGAGTGGGCTGAACTGGATTTTTTACAACCTGTTTGGGAAGGTTTTATTCTATTTTATACAACCTATTCCCATGATAATGACATTAATCCATTCATGAGAGCAGAGCCCGCCTGGCCTAATCACCTCCTAACAGTCCCACCTCTTAATACTATAACAATGGCAATTAAATTTCAACACGAGTTTTGGAGAGGACATTCAAACCTTAGCACTACTGTACAGGGGTTATAAGATGAGAGTCATTAGCAATGGAAGAGTTAATCTGTGCCTCTCAAACAATTTATTGACAATAGGATGAAGGAATCTTGCAGCCAATTCTTTAAAAACATCAAACAAATAATAAGTGTAAGTATTTTTAGTGAATACAGAAGGGTGGAGACAATTTGAGGCACTTCAGAATAAATGCAAAAATAGAGAGATTCTGTTGTCTATATAAGTTTTTCCAAATTTGGTATTATTCCTAGAAAATTTTATTTTTAAAAGAATAACTTTATACACTATTATTGAAGTCAATTTCCAATGCTAAAGTGTGAGGAATGATTTTCCTTTTCCTGTCATTTGTCACCAAGGAGGCTGCACTTGCACTGCTGTGATTATTTCAAGGTGAAAGGTGAGAAGAAATGTTCCTTATGGTTTATTCAGCTGGGATGTCAGTATTGGTAATCTCAGTCGCTATGGTATTTGAGCCTGTTGGCTCTGAAAGGATTTACTCTTTTGCACAAAGAAAGAGCAGAATGGCAGTGGTAAAGATAAAAAGAAATGAGATTCAGAAAAAGTGGATTTCTGTGTCCACAAAATAGCTTTTTATTCAGGAAAGCTTTAATGGGAATTAGTAGTATTGTTTCACATAAAGGGGTAGATTAATGTGGTGCCATGAAAGGTAGATGTATTTATAGTTTAAAAATTTATACTTCTCTTTGACATCATTTGGTGAATTAAAGAGTCAAGGATGGGTATAGGCTATTTCTTGTTATTATTAAAACATTTCTATTTTACATTTATAAAGACACGTATAGGTTTAGTTTAAATATTATACCTTCAAGAACTCTTTAATGTGCTTGAGATAATAGAAGAGAGAAGATCAGTCAATCCAGGCACTGAGAAACTGCAGGTACTTTCCTTTCTGTGACTTTATTGAAGGGCCAATCCTCTCATTGTTTAATTACAACTTCTGAAAATGATGGCAGCAGACAAGCTTTTCAGGGGGTCATTTTATATGTGCTGGGAAAGTTGCAATGAATAAGAAAATACAGTGTCAGCTGTCTAGTTTTCAGGCTTAGAGACAAAGGCCTTTAGAAATATATAGATCTTCTTTTTATTTTAATTGCTTAAGATCTTGGAGATGGGATTTTAGATATCTGATCCCATGAATTCATTTTACAGATGAGAAAACTGAGAAACTGAGGTCTGGAGATGTCAAGTAACCTGTCTGAGGTCTCATGGCTAGTTCATGGCAAAGCTAGGACAATTTGCTTTAAGCTCAATATTATTATAATATTAAATATTATACCTTCAAGAATTCTTTAATGTGCCTGAGATAATAGAAGAGAGAAGATCAGTCAATCCAGGCACTGAGAAACTAGAAGTACTTTCCTTTCTGTGACTTTATTGAGGGCCTTTTAATAATAAATATATATAATATTTAAAATATTAAATGTTATTAAATGTTTAATATTTTAAATATTAAATGTTATTGTTTAATATGTAAGATATTAAATGTTATTAAGTGTTTAATATGTAAGATATTAAATGTTATTAAGTGTTTAATATGTAAGATATTAAATGTTATTAAGTGTTTAATATGTAAGATATTAAATGTTATTAAGTGTTTAATATGTAAGATATTAAATGTTATTAGTGTTCAATATGTAAGATATTAAATGTTATTAGTGTTCAATATGTAAGATATTAAATGTTATTAAGTGTTCAATATGTAAGATATTAAATGTTATTAAGTGTTCAATATGTAAGATATTAAATGTTATTAAGTGTTCAATATGTAAGATATTAAATGTTATTAAGTGTTCAATATGTAAGATATTAAATGTTATTAAGTGTTCAATATGTAAGATATTAAATGTTATTAAGTGTTCAATATGTAAGATATTAAATGTTATTAAGTGTTCAATATGTAAGATATTAAATGTTAAGTGTTCAATATGTAAGATATTAAATGTTAAGTGTTCAATATGTAAGATATTAAATGTTATTAAGTGTTCAATATGTAAGATATTAAATGTTATTAAGTGTTTAATATGTAAGATATTAAATGTTATTAAGTGTTTAATATGTAAGATATTAAATGTTATTAAGTGTTTAATATGTAAGATATTAAATGTTATTAAGTGTTTAATATGTAAGATATTAAATGTTATTAAGTGTTTAATATGTAAGATATTAAATGTTATTAAGTGTTTAATATGTAAGATATTAAATGTTATTAAGTGTTTAATATGTAAGATATTAAATGTTATTAAGTGTTTAATATTTCTGGGGCATCACAGAACTCACTCTGGACACAGCAGAAGAAAAGTGAAGAAAAGTGGAGAGGAAGGGTGCTAGTAGGGCCACTCTTCTACACTACAGTCTTTGGGCTTTTAAAACTTAACATTCACATTTACTGTTGTGTCAATGTAGAGCTCACTATCTGTTTAACTGTGAAGGTTAAAGTCAGAAAATCAGATGAGTGAAGTGAAAAAGGAAGAGGAGTGATGTGTGAGTCAGAAGCTTGCTTACTTGGACTTTTACTTGTTGTGGGATTTGGGGTAGTTACAACTTCTCAGGAGTTCAGGTTCCTCAGCTAACACTTTGGTATCATCATGATGGATATTTCTTGGCCACCCAACATCCATTTCTCCTTTTTTGGTGACAAAACTTGATTTCCTTTTGGGGATTTTCTCCTCCCATTTGGAGAGACTGTCATATATGGTGTCCTGCCTTTTTCTGGCCAAGGGGTAGACACGTCTTTCAAACTAGCTGATCAGAGTCTCTCTCTGGGGCTTTATTTCCTGAGAGAATTACCATAGGTTAGAAAAACAAAGCAAAACAAAAAAACACTTTTTATTTCTGGCTCATGGTGGTGATTCCCTGTGAGATATCCATCAGTTCTTCCTACTTGGATCCATGGAGTTACCTTTGTTTCTGTTTCTACCCAGATAAATAGATATTTCCTCTCTAGCTTTCCTTCAGTTCTTTGAATTAGCTCAGTATCTTTCTGTCATTTCAAGTTTCTGCTTAATTTAGCTAGATTTGGTTTTTTTTGTTTTTTGTTTTTTTTTTGAGATGGAGTCTTGCTCTGTTGCCCAGGCTGGAGTGCAGTGGCGCAGTCTCGGCTCACTGCAACCTCTGCCTCCCGGGTGCACGCCATTCTCCTGCCTCAGCCTCCTGAGTAGCTGGGACTACAGGCGCCCACCACAACGCCCGGCTAATTTTTTGTATTTTTAGTAGAGACGGGGTTTCACCGTGTTAGCTAGGTGAAACCCCGTCTCCTTACCTCACGATCTCCTGACCTCATGATCCGCCCGCCTTGGCCTCCCAAAGTGCTGGGATTACAGGCGTGAGCCACCGCGCCTGGCCACTAGATTTGGTTTCTATTGCTTACAACCTAGAATGATATACACTCATAAAGTTATCATGAGGCTAAAGTGAAAAGTAGGCCTCAAATCAGTTGGATATTATTTATTATATATGCACATTACATCTTTCATTCTTCAGTGCTTTCTAAATTGTGTATTTTAGAGGTTCTGATATGTAGGCTGTTTGGTATTACATATCTCAGTCAACTGGGTATAGTGCATGCCTTTAGAGTCTGTGAATTTTTGGCTAGAAAGTTAATACCCTCCATCCCATTATTTAAGGTTCAAGAATAGACAGAATATTAATTCTTTAGGGAGGGAAGACAGTAAAGAAAAAAATAAGCGGTCGGGCACAGTGGCTCACGCCTGTAATCCCAGCACTTTGGAAGGCCGAGGCGGGCGGATCACCTGAGGTCAGGAGTTCAAGACCAGCCTGGGCAACATGGTGAAACCCCATCTTTACTAAAAATACAAAAATTAGCCAGGCATGGTAGTGGCGTGCGCCTGTAATCCCAGTTACCCAGGAGGCTCAGGCAGGAGAATCGCTGGAACACGGGAGGCAGAGGCTGCAGTGAGCCGAGATTGTGCCACTGCACTCCAGCCTGGGTGATAAAGCAAGACTCCTTCACACACACACACACACACACACACACACACACACACACAAAAGAAAGAAAAAAATAAGCATAACGTCTCAAAGACTGCCAAGAATAACTGGGCAGACTAGGTTAGGCCAGAGAGGTGCCTATAAGTAGGGGCTCTGCTTTCTCACGTGGGATGATGTCAAACATGGGGCCTGAAGCCAAATGAAGAATTTGAGAGCTCCAGAGTTTGTTTTGCTCTCCAGGTACTCGATGTTTGTGCTGTTCATGTCCAGAGATGACTATCGTTTGTATTCCTCCCTCATTTCCTTGTCATTCCTTTTCTGCAGCTGTCTAGAGTAACCTTCTAAAATGATATTGTGACCTCCTAGATGTTGGCAAGACCCCTGTGAGACACAGTGTACACACTTTGATCATTTGATCATTTTGAGGGAGAATGTTTTATATAAACACATAAGGCAGTGGTTCTCAAGCTTTAGCGAGCATCAGAATCACTTAAGGAGCTCATGAAAATGCAGATTTTTCGACTCCATTCCTGGAGTTTCTGACTCATTTAGTCTAGGGTAAGGTCTAAGAATCCACATTTCTAACCGCACTACTAATTTGGGGATCAACTTTGAGAACCACAAATGTAGGGTAACAATTTGAAAAATAATTGACATGCTTATCACTTACATTTTGGGGTACATGACCTTGAGGCAGAGGAGAAGATTAAATTAGGATTGTAACTGCAAGGGTGCAAAGAGAAAGAAAATGTTAATAGTTAGGTATTACCAAAATAGAATTTTCAAGCATGCAGCAAGGTAACAGGCTCGAAAGTGAGACTAGGTTGGCAAAGAAAAGGAGTTTGTAAATTCTTTTATCTCCTCTTCTAACAAATAAAGAGGCAAGCCTGATGAACCTAATCTTGGAGTATTTGTTTTGTTTATTTGATTATAGAGTCTTAGATATAGAAGGTCTTGGCAAAACAGTAAGAAAAAAAGGGAAAAGTTGTGTTTTTTTAACCCTGGTGGACTGAGGGTGGGAAAGCCAACGATCGGATGTGTGGCTTTCTCTAGGCCGAAGTCTTAGGGAGTGAGGTCATAGACCTAGGGACCCCTTCCCTAATTCCCATTGCAGTCTGGAGGGAGATAACCTCAACAACCTTCATAGCCATATCAAAATCATCTTGGAGGTTCAACATAGTTGGGCAGAGAGAGGATCTGAGTTTAGGTAACTTGAATCTCCATTAGATCCTATGTAGTGTGGAAAGAATCCAGAAGTTCCACTGTGCTCTATGGAGGGAGGGGGAAGCTAGTTGAAGGTGCTGATTGGTAGGCTTATTTGAAGGGTTCTTCCATGTGATGGGGACCAAGTCCACAGAAGGGCTGCAAGGTAGATACCTGGATTGGAGTTGAACTGGGAGTCCCATGCTACTTTAGGACCCAGTGAGAATTAGGATGGGACTCAGTTAAGCAAGAGGAGGTGACTGGTGCTCACCAGAGCACTGCCCCAGCCAAGAAAACACCTGTGGCCTTCAGCAGAAGCAGATGTCCACAGAATGATCAGGGGTTGGACCAGTCATACCAAACTGGTCAGCAATCCAGAGAGCAACCAGACCAGCCACGTTTGATAGAGAGCAACAAGAGCCCAGAAGATAACTTAATGTTCCCCTCTAACACCATTAGGCCATAAAGCCATGTTTCTGTCCCATACACTTCTATGCTTTCTTTGAGAGGAGTGGGAGGGCTCAGACCTTTAAAAAATAGAGATTTACTTGAATTTCTTAAGTAAAGACTGAGCTGAGTTATTGGTTTTAACTGAGGTTACCAAAGAGGACTAGTGTCTTATCCTCCCTTCTCCACCCTGCCTCCACATTCCTGCCCTCGCCACTACAGTTACAGAGAAATTAAAAAACCTTTCATTGTACAACTGAGGGTGGAATTGTTGGCTTATATATTGGAAAAATTCAAGAGTATCAGGTACTGTTGCATCTAGGGATTCAAAGAATGTTTCTAGGATTCTCTTTCCATTTCTTAGGTCTGTTTTATTCCATGTTAACTTTATTTTTAGGCAGAATGTAATGAGTGGTGGTAAAGAGGGTTACCAGCAGCTCATTATGCTTAGTGATATCTTAGCATCCTGATCAACCCTCTAAAAGGACCCTGGCCATGCTGGGTAACATGCCCTCCCACATGATGCCAAGAGTCGGGCTATATAACTGATATCCTCACCTGCTGGGTGAGGAGCCTTTTTTTTTTCAAAACAAAACAAAACAAACAAAGCAATGCTAGGCTAACAAATGTAATAGGTGTTACTAGTTGTGGCTGTAGACTCTACTGTTTTCATGATTTTGCCTGATGGCTGAGAGAAAACAGGCTACATAAAATTATGAGGAAGTACCCCAGCCACATTTGCATATGTGTTCCTGGAATTTGAAATCTTCAAGAGGCTTGCTAAGGGAGTTGGAGGAACCAGGTCTCCCCCATTTGTGACATCACATAATTTTGAGTGCAGACAAAAAGTCTTTGTTAGGAAAATACTAGAGACATGATGCCATTAGTTAGCTTAATTCTAGTGTCTGCCAGGTTTTCCACCCTCCTTCTTCACTTGGTTAACTAATCCTTTAAGACTTACTTCAGGCAGAACCTCCTCTAGGAAGCCTTCCCTTTGCTGCATTAAGTGTCTTTCTATGACTCCCATAATGTCCCTGTGAATGTGTTCACATAAATTATTGTCTAAATCAGGACAGATTTGAAATTGAAATTAACACTAATTTTAAAAATTAGGCTAGAATAATAGGAATACATTGGATTGTCTTGGGCAACGGGATGCATGGTTCTTCTACTTTTCGATGCCCTACTATGGTAATTGCTTACTTGTCTGTCTTCCCAACTAGCTGGTGAGCCATTTGATAATGGAGATTATTTCTTATTCCAAGTGCTCAACAGAGTGCTGTCAAGTGTTTGTTTAATGTTAAACAAAGAAGCTCCCTCTAGCCCTTGAGGAGTGGCAGATTTACTTAGTCTCTCTACTCTAGAGAGTGAATACATCCTTCAGGTGCATTTGATCATTTCCTTTCCTTTGCTTAATCTGGATGTTGGCATATATATCTATACACACACACGCATATGATCTTCCTTCCATGTTTCTCCAATGTGTATGAGGCTAATTACACGATTCTATTTAGCGAGATCTGAACCACCAACAAAAGAGAATCAGGCTGCTTCTACTAATGTTTAGATCCGGTAACTAACCCCTTCCTTTGGCTTTATTTGAAAATTCTTATTTCATATATATCACACTATAAACCAACAGCCTAAACATAGTAATAGCTTAATTTATTTTGCTTTTTTTATGGCAGGGTTGTATATAAATGCATTTCAAAATATAATCTTCTAAACTCATAGATATTCATAATCATTTAGAAATGATAAAAAAGTTGTCAAATACTTGTAATTATATAAATTGTCACTCAAATTACAGGAAGCTTAGAAAAGCTTTATTGCTGTTTAGTTTTGTTTGAATGCTCCTGAGTGTGCTATTGAGAGCTTTGATAAATCAAGAGGGCTGAAAGATGGAAATGGTCATAGTGTTTAAGTTGTGTTACACTTAAATCCATTTAATTAACTATTTTCACAAACATGGTGTTCTTTTGTAAGAAACATTTTTAAAAATCATTCTGTTCTGTGTTTTCCTTCACAGAATAAAAAAAAATTATCCCTGCATGCTTTTGTATTTCTCATTCTTTGGTTTTCTTCCAATGCATGTATATAATTATATGTTCATGTTGTCATGGTGATTCAGGGCTAGAATTGTGACTGTTGTAATCACTTGCCTAAGCCTGGAACCCGCTGTCCAGCACAGCAAAATCAGCAATGTAATGGTAGACAGTCAATGTATTCTTTTATATGAATTAATCTGTTGTTAAGATATTCCTGAAAATATTTTTTCAACTGCCAGAATTTACTTGATAAATATATAGTATCAATATGTATTACAGAATTTAAAAATGTAGTTTCTCAGCTCTTTACATTTAATTTCAATATGGTCCTCATGATTTTTGAGTCACATTAAGTCAGATGGTACCTTTCTTGCCAGATGACCTGGGTTTTTTTTCCTCCTAAACATATAGTTTCTTCAAAAGGGGAATATATATATTTTAAATTTATAAAAATAATACATGGGCATTTTAAATACCCAAAAAGTACATCAATTTATAAAATAAAAGTTTTCTCCACTTTAGTCCTTCCTCACTCTTAATACCACAAGATAAATAGCATTATGACTGCAAATATCCTTCTAACTTTTTTTTACTATAGACTAAATCACACTTTATAAATTGTTCACCACCTGATTTTTTTCACTCAGTGTATCACTGATGACTTTAATGTCAGTGCATATTGATCTACTTTATACTTTTAAACATCTGCATAGTTTTCTATTGCACAGATATAGTACAATATCTTTGATAAGTTCCCCAGTGCCTGACACTTATATTTTAAACTATACCACAATACAGAAAAGTGCGTAAAATATATAGTTCAATGAATAATTAAAAAACAAGCACCAGGCCGGGCACTGTGGCTCACACCTGTAATCCCAGCACTTTGGGAGGCCGAGGTGGGTGGATCACGAGGTCAGGAGATCGAGACCATCCTGGCTAACATGGTGAAACCCTGTCTCTACTGAAAATACAAAAAATTAGCTGGCCATGGTGGCAGGCACCTGTAGTCCCAGCTACTCGGGAGGCTGAGGCAGGAGAATGGCGTGAACCCGGGAGGCGGAGCTTGCAGTGAGCCGAGATCGCGCCACTGCACTCTAGCCTAGGCGACAGAGCGAGACTCCATCTCAAAAAACAAAACAAAACAAAACAAAACAAAACAAAACAAAACAAAACAAGCACCTATGTAAACTGCCACCCACATCAAGAAATAGAACATGATTTTAACTCTATAAGCTCCCTGAGTTGATCATCACACCTCTTTTCTTATCTTAGAAGTAACCACTATGCTGATTTTGGGGAAAATTATTTGTGAGTTTCATTAGAGTTTTCCAATTATGTATGTCTCTTATTCAGAATTGCCTGTTATTGAACTTTGTATAAATACAATCATCATGTATTCCTTTTGTGTATGACTTCTTTTGCTCAGCATTATGTTTGTGAGATTCACCAATGTGGTTTTATGTAGCTTCATAATAGTTTGTCATATAAACATACCATAGTTTAAATTTGGGCTGTTTGTAGCTTGAGGCCACAATAAACAAAATTATTGTGAACATCTTTGTATATATGTCTTAGTGTGTATATGCAAACTTTTATTTAGGGTATATTCTCAACATGTAAACATTGGATAATGTCTTCAATCTCACTAGATAAAGCACACAAAGGCATACAAAAAATTGAGAAGAGTTTTTTTTTTTTAAGAAAAATACTGACCATTTCATAAAAACAGTCAGACTTTGTGGCATTTTAGCCTGGTGCTCCTTTCATTCCCATCCCCCTCCCCAGCTCTATCAGCATGGTAGCTCTACTAGAGTAGGGCTAACTGTGAGAACCGGCCGCTTTTCTGCTGGAAGAGGCTAACTTGATTTTTGTGCAGTATGAAAAAAAACCTATGGCACTAGGCATTGTCAGAAACAGTAGCAATCTAAGTGGGAAATGAACAGAGAAGGCCAACATCACCGATAACATGAGGCTGTGATCCTAGTTTGGGCAAGGAACAGACTAGCAAACTAGCCAGAAACCTAGTAGAGTTATTCAGGGAATGAGACAGCCTTGGTTGTCACCTATAAGCTCCCCTATATTCCTGGTGGGATGGAAATCTATGGATAGAATATTCTGCAGCTAAAAAAAGGATTGAGATCATGTCCTTTGCAGGGACATGGATGGAGCTGGAAGCCATTATCCTCAGCAAACTAACACAGGAACAGAAAACCAAACACTGAATGTTCTTATAAGTGGGAGCTGAACAATGGGAACACATGGATACAGGTAGATGAACAACACACACTGAGGCATATTTGGGGGAGTGGGTAGGGGGAGGGAGAGCACCAAGATAGACAGCTAATGCATGGGGGGTTTAATACCCTGGTGATGGGTTAATAGGTGCAGCAAACCACCATGGCACATGTTTACCTATGTAACAAACCTGCACGTTCTCCACATGTATCCTGGAACTTAAAATAAAATAAAATAAAATTAATAATGGACATCTCAAAAACAATGGAGGCCAGAAGACAATGGGATGATATATTTATAAAAAGAGAGGAAATTCAGCCTCATCAAGACATCGTGTCCTATCTAAGGGGTGAAAAAAACTGAGAAGCACTGGCAAAGTTCACAGTCTAGGGTCACATGCTCATCGAAAGACTGAGACCTAATCACAGGACTAAATAATGCTTCCCCTCTCCCACACCTTACCACATTACTAAAGGACTATTTGCCATGTTTCTTTTATGCAGTGTATCATGTCTGGCTATCAATAAAAATTTATAAAGTCATACTAAAGGCAAAAATATTGTTTGAAGAGACTAAAAAAGCATCAGAACTAGAGTTAGATATGTCAGGAATGTTGAAATTATCAGACCAGGAATTTTAAAAAACAATGCTTCATGTTCCAAGGGCTTTAATGGGAAACAGTAGACAACATGCTAACACTGATGGATATTGTAAGCAGAGAGATAGAAATTTTAAGAAACATAAAAAAGAAATGCTAGAAATAAAAAACACTGTAACAGAAACAAAGAATGTCTTCAGTGAGCTCATTAGTAGATTGGACATGGCTGACTGAGGGTCATGAGATGACCCTTGCTATCCATATATCTCTGGTTGAATGTGATGTGTTATGAATGCACAGAAGATAATTGATATTGCTTAGCGGAAAATACAAACTGTGAAAAACTTGTAAATTGGAGAATGGATAAGTACAGGTAAAATTTTAAAAATTACTTTTCTTATTTTTAATTGATTTAACATAACAATTTGTTCAAAATAATAACAGCAACAATATAATTGAATATATATGTGTCTGTATATATATGTATATATCTACACATATATACACATATGTGTGTGTATGTATATGTATATATGTATGTATAAGTAAAATAAATGACAGTATGTATAAGTAAAATAAATGACAGCAATGATACAGGGGATAGGAGAGTGGAATTAGAATTATTTCATTATTGTAAGGTACTTGTAATACCCATTAAGTGGGATAATGTTATTTAAAAGTAGACTTGGATTAGTTGTAAATGTATATTAAAAATTGCAGGGCAACCACTTAGAGAATACAGGAATATAATTGGTAGGCCAAGAAAGGAGAAAAAATAGAATCTAAAAGATATTTAAATATGCAAAAAGCAGAAAAAATATGGAAGACAAAAATAGGAACAAAGAACAAAGACAAAGAATAGAAAATAATAACAAATCTGGTATATAGTAATCCAATTACTATCAATGAACTTCTTAAACATCAATGGCATAAATATGTTAGTTAAACAACAGATTGTCAGAATGGATTAAAAAATGACCCAATTACATGTTGTCTAGAAGAAATACACTTTAGATATATAAAGACACATACAGATGAAAATAAAAGGATGGAAAAAAAACAGAACATGCTAATATTAATCAAAAGAAAGTGGGGCTGAGAGTGATGGTTCAAGCCTGTAATCCCAGTGCTTTGGGAGACCAAGGTGGGTGGGTTACTTGAGCTTAGGAGTTCAAGACCAGCCTGGACAACATAGTGAGATCTTGTCTCTACAAAAAATAAAATAAAACTCGCCTGCTGTGGTAGTGTGCACCTGTAGTTTAGCTACTTTGAGGGGCAGTAGCTGTATTATTTTCAGACAAAATAGACTTCAAAGCAACAGAGCAAGGAAAGTTATTGGGGATAAAGGGAGGTATTACACAATGATAAAGCAGTCAATATTTCAAGAAGACAATTCTTAATGGGCATGTGCAAAAATTGGTAGAAGTGCAAGGAGAAATAGATGAATCTGCTGTTAAAGTTAGAGACTTCAACAGCCCTCTATAAGAAATGTACAGATCTAGCAGGTAGCAAATCAGTAAAGACATAGTCGAACCCAACAACATCATTAAGCAGCTGGACATAATGGACATCTACAGACAACTTCATCCCAGAACAGCATAATACACATTTTTCTCAAGCTTACAAGGAACCAAGATAGACCACATCCTAGGCCACAAAACATACCTTAATACATTTAACAAATAGAAACCATACAATGTCTATTTTTCAGGCCACAATGGATTTAACTAGAAAACAATAACAGAAAGATAGTCCCCCAAATCCCCATATACTTACAGGTTAAACAACACACTTCTAAATACCACATGGTTAAAAGAAGAAATTTCAAGAGAAATTTAAAAATATTTTGAAGTCAATAAAAATGGAAACACAACTGATCAAAATTTGTGGAATACAGTGAAAGTAGTGCTTAGAGGGAAACTTATAGTATTGAATGTGTATACCAGCAAATAAGAAAGATATAAAATAAATAACCTAGGATTCCACCTTAGGAAACTAGAAAAAGAAGAGAAAATTAAATCCAAAGTAAGCAGAAAAAATAAATGATAAAAATTAGAGCATAAATACATAAAATTGAAAACAGAAAATCAGTAAAGAAAATCAGCAAAACAAAAAGCTGGTTCCTTGAAGACCAATAAAATTGATGTCTCTAGGCAGGTTAACTAAGAAAAAAAGAGAAAACACAATTTGAGAATATCAGAAATGAAAGACAAGACATCACTACAGAGTCCATAGATATTAAGAGCATAAAAAAGGAATATTAACAACTCCATACCCACAAATTTGGTAGCCTAGATGAAATGGACCAGTTTCTTGAAAGACACAATCTGCCAAAACTCACTCAAGAAGTAATAGACAATTTGAATAGGCCTATATCTATTAAATTCATTAAATCAGTAATTAATAACTTTCCAAAACAGAAAGCACCAGGTCCAAATGAGTTCACTGGTGAATTCTACCTAACGTTTAAGGAAAAAATTGTTCCAATTCTCTATAATCTCTTCCAGAAGGTAGAAGCAGAGGTAACTGTAACCAAGTGGGATATATTCCTGGTATGGAAGGATGTTTCAACATATGAAAATAAATTAAGGTAATTAATTACATCAACAGGCTAAAGAGAAAATCACATGATTATATCAATAGATGCAGAAAAGGCATTTTATGAATTCCAACACCCGTTCATGATAACACTCTGCAAACTAGTAATAGGAACTTCCTCCACTTGATAAAGAACATCTACAAAAAGCCTACAAGCTAACATCATACCTAATGGTGAGAAACTTGAAGTTTTTCCACTAAGGTCAGGAAAAAGTCAAGGATGTCCCCTTTCACCACTGCTTTTCAACATTGTACTGGAAGGCCTAACTAATGCAATAAAAGGCTATGAAAGCTATGCAGACTGGGAAGGAAGAAATACAACTTTCTTTGTTCACAGGTGGTATGATCATCTATTTAGAAAATCCAAAAAAAAAAAAGGACAAAATCACTTCTGGAACTGATAAGCAATTTTAGCAAGGCTGCAGGATACAAGGCCAATGTGCAAAAGTCAATTGCTTTCCTATAGAATTGGCCTTCCAGACTATACAATCCCAGATGAGTATAGAATTGGACCATATCAGCCCAATGTTCCTGTTGGTATGGACTATGTGATACCTAAAACAGGGTTTTACGGTAAGCTGTGTTCATTCTTTTATACAAATGAAGAAGTTGCAAAGAATACTCATTGCAGCAGCCTTCCTCATTATCAGAAATTAAATAAATTTCTGAATAAATTGGCAGAAGAATGCAGACAGAAGAAGAAAACTTAAGAAGTGCAAGTAGATTTAATGATTTCAAAGAAAATAGTGGTTCTTTGTTTTTAATGTTAACCTTTTTTAAATACAATACTGATAGAAGAAAACTATTGTACTCTTTTGTTTTAGTGGAGAAATAATAGATGTCTGTTCATGTGTTAAATGTTATAGCAAAAAAAAAAATACACATATGGTTAAGTTAATGAATAGTTTTTGTTTTATCAGAATGGCAACGGACAGAAGTACTTTGCAGAGATTGACTTCCTAAGCTACTTAAGACAACTTGCACCACTAAGAAAAAAATGTAGAACCATTTGGAAAAATGAAATTTAGTAGTTCCAAGTTTCAAAGAAATGTCAACATTTTATTCCATTCAATAAAGAACAAAACCAATAGTATTTTTATTACTTTCATCTGAAACATTCCATGTTTTAATATGGAAAAAAAAAAAGAATTGGCCCTCCATGTTGGTGGTTTCCACATTCGTGGATTCAATGAGCTGTGGATCAAAAATATTCAGAAAAAAGATGGTTATATCTGTTCTGAACATGTATGGACTGTTTTTGGTCATTATTCCCTAAACAATACAGTATAACTATTTGTATAGCATTTACATTTTATTAAGTATTATAAATAATCTAGAGAAGATTTAAAGTATTTGAGAAGATACGTATAGGTTATATGCAAATACTACACCATTTTAAGGGACTTGAGCATCCATGGGTTTTGGTATCCACAGGGGTCCTGGAAGCAATCCCTCAGATACTGAGGAATGACTATACCGGCAATGAAAAAGTGGAATTTGAAATTAATAATATATTAACATTTACACTAGTAGCCCTTAAAATGAATACTTGGAGAAATAAATCTAACAAAATAAGTACAAGATCTATATGAGGAAAGGTACAAAAGTCTGATGGAAGACATTAAGAATAACTCAAAAAAAAAAAAAGGAGAAATATTCCATGTACATGGATAGGAAGACTCAATATTGTCAAGATGTTAGTTCTTCCCAAATTGATTTATAGGTTCAATGCAATCTCAGTCAATATCCCAGTAAATTATTTTGTGGATATGGATAAACTGATTTTAAAGTTTATATGAAAACGCAAAAGCCCCGTAATAGCCAAGTCAATGTTGAAAGAGAAGAACAAAGTCACAGGACTGACACTACCTGACTTCAAGACTTACTATAAAGTTACAGTAACCACGACCATATGGTATTGGTGAAAAGACAGACAAACGGATCAATGGAACAGAATATACAGCCCAGAAATAGACCACATAAATATAGTCAACTGACCTTTGACAAAGAAGCAAAAGTAATAGAATGGAAAAAAGTTAGTTTCTTCAACAAATGATGCTGGAACAACCGGACATTCATCTAAAAAATAAATTTAGACACCCTTGACAAAAATGAACTCGAAATGGATCATAGACCTAAATGTAAAACATGAAACTATGTAACTCCTAGAAGATAACGTAGAAGAAAACCAATATGATCTTGAGTATGGTAATGATATTTTAGATATAAAACCAAGGGCATGATCCATAAAAGAAACAACTGGTAAGCTGGGCTTTATAAAATTCAAAATTTCTGCTCTGTGAAAGACACCATCAAGAGAATGAGAAGATAAGCCACAAATTGGGAGAAAATATTTGCAAAAAACACATTGATAAAGGACTGCTATCTGAAATATACAAAATACCTTCAAATTCAACAATAAGAAAATGAACAATCTGATTAAAAATCAGCAAAAGAACTCAACAGACACCTCACCAAAGAATATTTACAGATTGTTTTTAAAAATATTTATTTATTTATTTATTCAGTACCGTTAGGAGTGCAAGAGATTTTGGGTTATATGCATGAATGGTATAGTGGTGAAGTCTGGGCTTTCAGTGTACCTGTCAACTGAATAGTGTATATTGTACCTAATAGATAATTTTTCATCCCTTACCCCACTCCCACTCTCCCCCTTCTGAGTCTCCAGTGTCCATTATGCCACTCTATATGTTACTGTGTACCCACAGCTTAGCTCCCACTTATAAGTGAGAACATGTGGTATTTGGTTTTCTATTCCTGCACTTAAACATAGGAAAAGATGTTCAACATTATATACCATTAGAGAAATGCAAATTACAGCAAGATACCACTACAGACAGCTTAGAGTGGCCAAAATCAAATACTGGTGAGGATGTGAAGCAATAAAAACTTTCATTCATTGATGATGGGAATACAAAATGGTACAGCTATTTTGGAAGACAGATTTGCAGTATTTTACAAAAGTAAACATATTCTTACCATATGATCCCAGCAATTGTGCTCCTTAGTCTTTACCCAGATTAGTTGAAAACTTATATCCAAACACAAACTTGCACAAATATCGCTATAGAATCTTTATTTAATTGTCAAAACTTGGAAGCAGCTAATATGTCCTTTAGTAGGTGAATGGATAAATAAACTGTGGTATATCCATACTACAGAATATTATTCAGCACTAAAAAGAAATGAACTACCAGGCCATGAAAGGACAAGAGGAACCTTAAGTACATATTACTATGTGAAAAGAACCAATCTGAGAATGATACATATTGTGTAATTCCAACTATATGACATACTGAAAAAGGCAAAACTATGGAGAAAGTAAAAAGCTTAGTGATTGCCGGGGATAGAGGGGAGGGAGGAATAAATAGGTGGAGCACAAAGGATTTAGGGCAGTGAAACCCTTCTGTATGATACTATAATGGTGGATCATTTCATTATACATTGTCAAAACCATATGCTATACAATGCCAAGTGAAACTCTCATGTAAACTATGGACAGAGTGATATTGATGTGTCAGTGTAGGTTCATTGACTGTAACAAATGTACCACTTTAGCGTGGAAGGTTGATAGTGGGGGTTTATATTAGGGTTTCTCTTTGTGTTGTATATAACATGGGTTTTGACAAATGTATAATGACATGATCCACCAATATTGGGTTTTGACAAATGTATAATGACATGATCCACCAATATTGGGTTTTGACAAATGTATAATGACATGATCCACCCTTATAGTATCATACAGAATCAAAACCACAATGTGATACCACCTTACTCCTGCAAATATGACCATAATCAAAACATTAAAAAAAATAGATGTTGATGTGGATGTGGTGAAAAGGGTACACTTCTACACTGCTGGTGGGAATGTAAATACAACCACTATGGAAAACAGTGTGGAGATTTCCTTAAAGAACTGAAAGTAGATCTACCATTTGATCCAGCAATCCCACTACTGGGTATCTATCCAGAGGAAAAGACATCATTATACAAAAAAGACACTTACACACGCATGTTTATAGCAGAACAACTTGCAATTGCAAAAATATGGAACAAGCCCAAATGCCCATCAATCAGCAAGTGGATAAAGAAAATGTGGTATGTATATATATATATATATATTCATGTATAGTATGGATATATAGTATATATATAGTATATATACAGTATATATACTATGGATAGTATATAGACGGTATATAGACATACTATGGATAGTATATAGACGGTATATAGACATACTATGGATAGTATATAGACGGTATATAGACATACTATGGATAGTATATAGACGGTATATAGACATACTATGGATAGTATATAGACGGTATATAGACATACTATGGATAGTATATATACGGTATATAGACATACTATGGATAGTATATATACGGTATATAGACATACTATGGATAGTATATATATACGGTATATAGACATACTATGGATAGTATATATATACGGTATATAGACATACTATGGATAGTATATATATACGGTATATATACTATGGATAGTATATATATATACAGTATATATATACTATCCATAGTATATATATACAGTATATATACTATACTGTATATATACAGTATATATACTATACTGTATATATACTATCCATAGTATATATATATACTGTATATATACTATCCATAGTATATATATATACTGTATATATACTATCCATAGTATATATATACTGTATATATACTATCCATAGTATATATATACTGTATATATGCTATCCATAGTATATATATACTGTATATATGCTATCCATAGTATATATATACTGTATATATGCTATCCATAGTATATATATACTGTATATATGCTATCCATAGTATATATATACTGTATATATGCTATCCATAGTATATATATACTGTATATATGCTATCCATAGTATATATATATTGTATATATGCTATCCATAGTATATATACTGTATATATGCTATCCATAGTATATATACTGTATATACTATGTATATATAGTATATATACATAGTATATAATAGTGTGTATATATATAGTATATATACACTATATATATACTATAGTATATAATAGTTTTTTATATATATATATAATATTCAGCCATAAAAAGGAATGAAATAATGGCATTTGCAGCAACCTGGATGGATTTGGAGACCATTATTCTAAGTGAAGTAACTCAGGGATGAAAAACCAAACATTGTTTGGTCTCACTTATAAGTGGGAGCTAAGCTATGAGAACACAAAGGTATAAGAATGATATAATGGACTTTGAGAACTCGGAGGGACAAGTGGGAGGGGTGAGGAATAAAAGACTGCACATTGGGTACAGTGTACACTGCTTGGGTGATGGGTGCACCAGAAACTCAGAAATGACCACTAAAGAGCTTATCCATGTAACCAAACACCACCTGTTCCCCCAAAATCTACTGAAATAAACAAATAAACAAACAAATTCAAAAACCCAGGGAAACACACCCCCCTAGAGCTGCAAAAAAACCCAACCAAACAAACCCACAATGAGATATCACATACTATTAACATGCTAAAAAATAATCAATTCAAGATGGATTAAAGACTTAAACATTAGACCTAAAACCATAAAAACTCTAGAAGAAAATCTAGGCATTACCATTCAGGACATAGGCATGGGCAAGGACTTCATGTCTAAAACACCAAAAGCAATGGCAACAAAAGCCAAAATTGACAAATGGGATCTAATTTAACTAAAGAGCTTCTGCACAGCAAAAGAAACTACCATCAGAGTGAACAGGCAACCTACAACATGGGAGAAAATTTTTGCAACCTACTCATCTGACAAAGGGCTAATATCCAGAATCTACAATGAACTCCAACAAATTTACAAGAAAAAAACAAACAACCCCATCAAAAAGTGGGCGAAGGACATGAACAGACACTTCTGAAA
Organism: Homo sapiens; assembly: GCF_000001405.40. Classification (NCBI taxonomy): domain Eukaryota; kingdom Metazoa; phylum Chordata; class Mammalia; order Primates; family Hominidae; genus Homo; species Homo sapiens. The sequence continues at coordinate 181,151,703 of NC_000003.12, forward strand.
AGAAGACATTTATGCAGCCAAAAAACACATGAAAAAATGCTCATCTTCACTGGCCATCAGAGAAATGCAAATCAAAACCACAATGAGATACCATCTCACACCAGTTAGAATGGCAATCATTAAAAAGTCAGGAAACAACAGGTGCTGGAGAGGATGTGGAGAAATAGGAACACTTTTACACTGTTGGTGGGACTGTAAACTAGTTCAACCATTGTGGAAGTCAGTGTGGCTATTCCTCAGGGATCTAGAACTAGAAATACCATTTGACCCAGCCATCCCATTACTGGGTATATACCCAAAGGACTATAAATCATGCTGCTATAAAGACACGTGCACACGTATGTTTATTGCGGCATTATTCACAATAGCAAAGACTTGGAACCAACCCAAATGTCCAACAATGATAGACTGGATTAAGAAAATGTGGCACATATACACCATGGAATAGTATGCAGCCATAAAAAATGATGAGTTCATGTCCTTTGTAGGGACATGGATGAATTTGGAAATCATCATTCTCAGTAAACTATCACAAGAACAAAAAACCAAACACCGCATATTCTCACTCATAGGTGGGAATTGAACAATGAGATCACATGAACACAGGAAGGGGAATATCACACTCTGGGGACTGTGGTGGGGTGGGGGGAGGGGGGAGGGATAGCATTGGGAGATATACCTAATGCTAGATGACGAGTTAGTGGGTGCAGCACACCAGCATGGCACATGTATACATATGTAACTAACCTGCACAATGTGCACAAGTACCCTAAAACTTAAAGTATAATAAAAAATAAATAAATAAAAACAGAAAAAACAAAAAAAACAAAAAACAAAAAAAATAAATATAAATACATGAAAAATAACAACAATACCAAGTGCTGGCAAGGATACAGAGCAACTAGAACCCTCACACATTGATGGTGGAGAAGAAAATGGTACAGCCACTCTGGAAAACAGTGTGGCATTTTCTCATAAAGTTAATCATATGCTTACCATATGACCCAGCAATCCCACTCAAAGTGTCTACCCAACAGAAGTGAACACTTATGTTCATACGAAAACCTATACATAAATGTTTCTAATAGCTTTATTGATAATTGCCAAAAACTGAAAACAACCCAAATGTTCTTCAAGTAGTGAATGGATGAACAAACCATCATACCTTCACACCATAGAATGCTACTCAGCCAATAAAAAGGAACTATTGATATATGCAATAACATGGATGAATGGCAAATGTATTATAATACATGAAAGGAGCCAGACTCAAAAGGCTACATAATTCCACTTACATGACACTCTTCTGGAAAAGACAAAACAATAGAGACAGAAAACAGACCAGTGGTTGTCATGGGTTAAGGTAGGGTGAGTTAATGAAAGGAGCAAACAAGAGAATTGGGGTAGAGAGCAGGAATGGAACTGCTCTGTGTCTTGATTGTGGTGGTTATACAACTGTATGCATTGTCAAAATTCATGGAACTGTTCACCAAAAACTATGTTGCATTTACTTGTATATGAATTTTAAAAGAAATTTTTAAAAGTTTTTTAAAAAGGAAAGAAGAGAAAAGCTTCATTTTAAACTTGATTAGCTGGTCAGAAATTATTAACTGGTCTTCATTTTTTAAAATTGCCTATTTTCTATTTCCTCTGCTAAAATTAAGCTCCATAAGAACAGAAGCTTTGTATGGTTTGTCTGCTGATGTATCTCCAGCATCTAAAACAGTGGTGACAAGCACAGCAATGAACTCACTGAATGTTTACTTAGTGCATTTCATATATTTTATCTTATTAGATGCTTAAAACAACTCATTGAAGTAGATACTGTCAGTATCCCCATTTTACAGATTAGGAGACTGAGACCCAGCAAGGTTGGGTAACTTGTCCCAAACCATACATTATTAAGAGGTGGAGCCATGATTTGAGCCCAGTCAATTTGATTGGACCCATACCTTTCACTACTAGTGTAGACACTTGGCTAAAGGGCACAGGAGCAAGAAAAAACATACCTGGATAAAACGAAGAGAACAAAGAGAATCTGGAACTTCTGGCTAGATGCAGAAATCTGACATAGCTTTGGGTTGTTTCCCTCAGGCAAGGAGAGCTTTTTCTCTGTTTTTATGTATTGTGTGCATGTGGGTTAGTTGTATTAAGTATGTGAGAACTGGCAGAGAGTGCAATGGACTTCTACGGTTTTTATCTGCCCAGTAAATCCTCTTCCCTTCTTTTGGCAATAGACATGTCCACTTCCTTGCTTTGAGCATTGTTTTCCCCTGTAAGGTCATGCTGTTTCTCCTGCTTATGTGGGCCTGTCCATTAGAACATTTCCCTGGGATTCTTATATACTAGAGTAGGAAAGAGAAGCCCATCCTTTCTTCTTCTGCATAAGTGTATTTGGATTGGCACTTTAACTTAGAATTCTGTGAAGCAGTAGGGAATTATTCAAGATTGACTGAGCCCATATTATGGAATGAAATTAGACACAGTTCACAATAGAATTAAGTTAAGCAAAACTCGTATGCATTAAACTACAATAATTATGCTGGCTTTAATTTCCAATTATCTCCTAATTAAAAAGCATTAGGAAAAACATTTAGACATACATTTGGACAAATGTGACTGTTCTTCTGGTCCAAGAGAAATCCCTTTCTTGTGCTAAATTCCACTGGTCTGTGAGGTCTTCAGCATTCTTGTCTTAGGAGTCTCTGCTGGGATTAGTTATTTCCTTTCATCAGAGCACTTAATATTTATAGCAGGCTGAAATATGACTCTCCAAAGATATTAGGCCCTAATTTTTGGAACCCGTAAATGTCACTTTATTTGGGAAAAAAAGTCTCTGCAGATGTAATAAAGAATCTTGAGATGTGGAGGTTATCCTGGATTATCTCAGTGGGACCTAGAGTATCATCATATGTATCCTTCTAAGAGAGCTTTTACACATACAGAGAAGAAGGCAATATGAAACAGAGCAGAGAGATTTCAAGATGGGCCTTGAGGACTGGAGTGATGCAGCCACAAGTCAAGGAATGTGGGCAGCCACAAGAAGCTGAAAGAGGCAAGGAATGGATTCTCTCTACAATCTCTGGAGGACATGCAGCCATTCCAATCCTTGTTTTTCATCTAATAATACTGATTTCAGACATTTGGCCTCCAAAACTGTAGGGAATAAATTTCTGTGTTTTTAATTTTTTTTTTTTTTTGTAGAGATGGAGGTCTCACTATGTTGCCCAGGCTGGTCTCAAACTTGTGGCCTCGAGTAATCCTCCTTTCTTGGCCTCCCAAGACACTGGAATTACAAGGCATGAGCCACCATGCCTAGCCTAAATTTCTGTTATTTAAGCCACCAAAATTTGTGGTAATTTGGTATTTGTTTCAGGTAATAGTGCTGTATTAGCTGTATTAGCACTATTACCTGAAACAAATACCAAGTTCCTATTCCTATTTATCCTATTTATCCCAAATTCCTCTGGATACAAAATTTTTATCAATAGCATTGCAATTTTCTCTAAAAAGATTTTGCAAAATGCTAACTGCCTGCTCTATTTATTGACTCACATGGCAGTGCAAGTTTGTACTTCTCTCTCACCCTTTCTTTCCCTCTTTCCCTCTCTCTTACCAGCATACTCTTTGTTCTGGCTTTGTGATGCTTTATTTTGGTCTGTTTCTGTGTTTTCTGTCCTTCTGAGACAAATTAGGAGTCTTATTCTTGTTTATCTTATAAAAAAGATAACATTATTATTGGAGGTCAAACGGATATGGATTTCCTAATGAGAAGAAGTGAGAATGTCCCCCATGGTTGCAAAGGCCTGATCGTTACTGTTTCATCATTTTATGTTTAATACCATAAAAGGAACACTTTCTTCCTGAGATGTCTTAAGATTTTTTTCTATACTTGGAAATAAATGTGGGTATCCAGGATGAAAAGGCCTAGGATAAAATCCCAGTTCTCACACTTCTTAATTGTGTGACCTCTTGTAAAGTGCTTCGCTTTTACCTAAAGCGTTGGAATTTCTCATCTATAAAATAGGGATAGCAGTAAGGTTGCTGTAAGGAGTAGAGAAGTTAATGTATTCAGATCACTTAGAACAGTACCCGGCCCATAGCAAGTGCTTGACAAATGCTGCTGTTATCATCATCATCATCAACATCATCATTGTCATTGTCTAGCATGAGGGCTGTACTATCTTATGTGTGTCTGCATCTGAGCAGGGACAGTTGACTTACCATCTCTTTAAACTGGCACTCCTACTGTAAGTGGTAGGCCCAAGGAAGGACATGCCTTTCTTTTCACATCTGACCAGGAGGGATTGATAAAAGGCTTTCTGTCTGAGGTGTGTCTCATTTTTACTAGCCATTATTGTCTGTTAGAAACAATAATTTGGTTGAATTACTTAAAATAATATTTGAATTTCTCAATTTCATTTTGTAGTATAGACATTCACACAAAATTTTCACAAACCAGATTTGAAATCAAGGGATTATAATTTTGTTATATCCATTCATTCAACATGTATTTACTGAACTCCTATGGAGTGCCCAGTCCTGTGCTAAGTCCTGGGGGCATAGCAGTGAACAGAATGCTAAATCATGCAGGAAATCAAAGTCCTGGGAAGAAGTTTGGATTTTATCCTAAATGCAGTGGGAAACCTTGGAAAGGACTTAGGCCATGGAGTTTTAAGAGTGTAACTTTATTTTTGCTTTTAAGGATATTTTTAAAAATTCATTGTGGTAAAAACACTTCAAATGATATCTACCCTCTGAACAAATCTGTAAGTGTAGAACACATTATTGTTACTTAGAGGTACAATGTTGTACAACAGAATGTATTTATCTAGCTGGACAGAAACTTTAGGTTGTTAGATTAGTAACTCCCCATTTCTCCATCCCCACAACCTCTGCAAACCACTGTTTCACTCTCTGATTCTACGAATTGACTATTTTTGATGCCTTATATAAGAGGACTGCAGTATTTCTTTTTCTATGACTTGATTATTTCACTTTAGCATAATTTTCTCAAGGTTCATCCAGCTTGCCACACATTGTAGAACTTCCCTCTTTTTCTTTCTTTTTTTATTTTATTTTTTAATTTTTTGAGACAGAGTCTTGCTCTGTTGCTAGGCTGGAGTACAGTGGCATGATCTCAGCTCACTGCAACCTCCGCCTCCCGGGTTCCAGCGATTCTCCTGCCTCAGCCTCCCAAGTAGCTGGGATTTACAGGCACCTGCTACCACACCTGGCTAATTTTTGTATTTTCAGTAGAGGCGAGGTTTCACCGTGTTGGCCAGGATAGTCTCGATCTCTTGACCTCATGATCCGCCCACCTCAGCTTCCCAAAGTGTTGGGATTACAGGCGTGAGCCCTGCACCTGGCCGAACTTCCCTTTTTTTCTTAAAGCTGAATAGTATTCCATTGTAAATATATTCCACATTTTCTTTATCTACTCATCTGTCCATGGAAATTTAGTTTTTTTCCACATCTTCGCTATTGTGAATAATGCTGCAATGAATATAGGGATGCTATCCTTATTTCAATTATGTGAATACATTCCCAGAAGTGAGATTGGATCATATAGTAGTTTTGTTTGTTTGTTTGTTTGTTTTGAGACAGAGTCTCGCTCTGTCACCCAGGCTGGCATGCAGTGGCGCAATCTCAGCTCACTGCAACCTCCACCTCCTGGACTCAAGCAATTCTCCTGCCTCAGCTTCCCAAGTAGCTGGGATTACAGGCGTGTGCCACCACACCCAGCTAATTCTTGTATTTCTAGTGGAGACAGGGTTTTGCCATGTTGGCCAGGCTGGTCTCGAACTCCTGGCCTCAAGTGATCTTCCCGCCTTGGCCTCCCAAAGTGCTGGGATTATGGGCATGAGCCACCGCACCCAGCCAGTAGTTCTAATTTTTAATTTTTTGAAGCACCTCTATACTATTTTCCATAGAGGCATCATCATTTTGCATTCACACCAACAGTGTGCAAGGGTTCCAATTTCTATGCATCCTTTCCAACACTTGTATTTTGCTTTTATGATAGTAGCCATCCTGACAAGTATGATGTGATATCTCATTGTGGTTTTCACTTGTATATTTCTTTTTTTTTTTATTATACTTTAAGTTTTAGGGTACATGTGCACAACGTGCAGGTTAGTTACATATGTATACATGTGCCATGTTGGTGTGCTGCACCCAGTAACTCATCATTTAACATTAGGTATATCTCCAAATGCTATCCCTCCCCCCTCCCCCCACCCCACAACAGGCCCCGATGTGTGATGTTCCCCTTTCTGTGTCCATGTGTTCTCACTGTTCAATTCCCACCTATGAGTGAGAACATGCGGTGTTTGGTTTTTTGTCCTTGCGATAGTTTGCTGAGAATGATGGTTTCCAGCTTCATCCATGTCCCTACAAAGGACATGAACTCATCCTTTTTTATGGCTGCATAGTATTCCATGGTGTATATGTGCCACATTTTCTTAATCCAGTCTATCATTGCTGGACATTTGGGTTGGTTCCAAGTCTTTGCTATTGTGAATAGTGCCACAATAAACATACGTGTGCATGTGTCTTTATAGCAACATAATTTATAATCCTTTGGGTATATACCCAGTAATGGGATGGCTGGGTCAAATGGTATTTCTAGTTCTAGATCCCTGAGGAATAGCCACACTGACTTCCACAATGGTTGAACTAGTTTACAGTCCCACCAACAGTGTAAAAGTGTTCCTATTTCTCCACATCCTCTCCAGCACCTGTTGTTTCCTGACTTTTTAATGATCGCCATTCTAACTGGTGTGAGATGGTATCTCATTGTGGTTTTGATTTGCATTTCTCTAATGGCCAGTGATGATGAGCATTTTTTTCATGTGTCTTTTGGCTGCATAAATGTCTTCTTTTGAGAAGTGTCTGTTCATATCCTTCACCCACTTTTGATGGGGTTGTTTGTTTTTTTCTTGTAAATTTGTTGGAGTTCATTGTAGATTCTGGATATTAGCCCTTTGTCAGATGAGTAGATTGCAAAAATTTTTTCCCATTCTGTAGGTTGCCTGTTCACTCTGATGGTAGTTTCTTTTGCTGTGCAGAAGCTCTTTAGTTAAATTAGATCCCATTTGTCAATTTTGGCTTTTGTTGCCATTGCTTTTGGTGTTTTAGACATGAAGTACTTGCCCATGCCTATGTCCTGAATGGTATTGCCTAGGTTTTCTTCTAGGGTTTTTATGGTTTTAGGTCTAACATTTAAGTCTTTAATCCATCTCAAATTAATTTTTGTATAAGGTGTAAGGAAGGGATCCAGTTTCAGCTTTCTACATATGGCTAGCCAGTTTTCCCAGCACCATTTATTAAATAGGGAATCCTTTCCCCATTTCTTGTTTTTGTCAGGTTTGTCAAAGCTCAGATGGTTGTAGATAAGAGCTATCTATGACAAACCCACAGCCAATATCATACTGAATGGGCAAAAACTGGAAGCATTCCCTTTGAAAACGGGCATAAGACAAGGATGCCCTCTATCACCACTCCTATTCAACATAGTGTTGGAAGTTCTGGCCAGGGCAATCAGGCAGGAGAAGGAAAGAAAGGGTATTCAATTAGGAAAAGAGGAAGTCAAATTGTCCCTGTTTGCAGATGACATGACTGTATATCTAGAAAACCCCATCGTCTCAGCCCAAAATCTCCTTAAGCTGATAGGCAACTTCAGCAAAGTTTCAGGATACAAAATCAATGTGCAAAAATCACAAGCATTCTTATACACCAATAACAGACAAACAGAGAGTCAAATCATGAGTGAACTCCCATTCACAATTGCTTCAAAGAGAATAAAATACCTAGGAATCCAACTTACAAGGGATGTGAAGGGCCTCTTCAAGGAGAACTACAAACCACTGCTCAATAAAATAAAAGAGGATACAAACAAATGGAAGAACATTCCATGCTCATGGGTAGGAAGAATCAATATCATGAAAATGGCCATACTGCCCAAGGTAATTTATAGATTCAATGCCATCCCCATCAAGCTACCAATGGCTTTCTTCACAGAATTGGAAAAAACTACTTTAAAGTTAATATGGAACCAAAAAAGAGCCTGCATTGCCAAGTCAATCCTAAACCAAAAGAACAAAGCTGGAGGCATCACACTACCTGACTTCAAACTGTACTGCAAGGCTACAGTAACAAAAACAGCATGGTACTAGTACCAAAACAGAGATATAGACCAATGGAACAGAACAGAGCCCTCAGTAATAATGTCACTTGTATATTTCTATGATTAGTGACTTACAGTATTTTCTCATAAACCTGTTGGCCATTTGTATGTCCTCTTCAAAGAAATGTCTGTTCAAGCCATTAGCTAATTTTTAATCAGGTTGTTTACTTATTTATTTTTTACTACTGAGTTGTAGGAGTTTCTTACACATTTTGGAGATTAACTCTGTATTACATATTTACTTTGCAAATATTTTGTCACATTCTGTAGGTTGTCTTTTCACTCTATTGATTGCTCTAATTGCTGTGTAAAAGTTTTTTAGTTTGATATAGTTTCACATGTCTATTTTTATTTTTGTATCTGTGTTTTGGTGTCATATCATGAATTCATTACCAAGACCAATGTCATGAAACTTTTTCCCCATGTTTTCTTCTGGGAGTTTTAGGTCTCTATTTTTTAATTTATTTATTTTTCATTATACTTTAAGTTTTAGGGTACATGTGCACAAAGTCCAGGTTTGTTACATATGTATACATGTGCCATGTTGGTGTGCTGCACCCATTAACTCATCATGTACATTAGGTATATCTCCTAATGCTATCCCTCCCCCCTCCCCCCACCCCACAGCAGGCCCTGGTGTGTGATGTTCCCCACCCAGTGTCCAAGTGTTCTCATTGTTCAATTCCCACCTATGAGTGAGAACATGCGGTGTTTGGTTTTTTGTCCTTGCGATAGTTTGCTGAGAATGATGGTCTTACATTTAAATCTTTAATTCATTTTAATTTTATTTTTGTATATAGTGTAATATGAGTCCAATTTCATTCTCTGGTATGTGGATATCCAGTTTTTCCAACACTGTTTATTGACAAGACTGCCCTTCCCCATTGTATAGCTTGGCACCCTTGTCAACAGATGATCGGTTGACCATAAATGAGAGGATTTATTTCTGGGCTTTCTATTTTGTTCCATTGCTCTACATACCTGTCCTTAGGCCAGTACCATGTTGGTTTCCCCCGTAGCTTTATTAAGGTATAATTAATAAATTATATATATTTTGATGTTTTAATATATATCTACACACTGTGAAAGAATTACCACAATCAAGCTAATTGATATGGCCATCACTTCACATAGTTACCTTTGTTCTTTTGTGGTAGGAACATTTAAGACCTACTCTTTTAGCAAATTTCAACTATACAATACTGTATTATTAACTATAGTCACTATGTTGTACATTAGATCTCCAGAACTTATTCATCCTGCATAACTGAAACTTAGTACCCTTTGACCAACATCTCTTCATTTTTCCTACCTGTCCCATCCCCAACCACTCTATGACTTCTACAGTCTGCATTTATGAGTTCAACTTTTCTAGATTCTACAAATAAGTGAGGTCATGAGGTATTTGTCTTTCTGTGCATGGATTATTTCACTTAACATAATATCCTACAAGCTCATCCATGTTGTCACAAATGACAGCAGGATTTTCTTTTTTCAAAGTTGAATAATATTCCATTGTATAGTGTATATAAAGTGATATCACTGTGTGTATACACAGACACACATACGCACACACATAGATCATCCCTGACTTACAATGGTTCCACTTAATGATTTTTCAACTTTATGATGGTATGAAAATAAGTTGTATTCAGTTCTCTCCTTAACTTATAATGGGGTTACATCTGGGTAAATCTCTCATAAGTTGAAAATACTATAAGTTAAAAATACACTGTCAACTTATGGTATTTTCACTGTAACATGGGCTTACTGGGACATAATCCCATCATAAGTTGAGGAATGTGTTAGGCCATTCTTGTGTTGCTATAAAGGAATACTTGAGACTGGGTAATTTATAGAGAAAAGAGGCTTAACTGACTCCTGGTTCTGCAGGCTGTACAGGAAGCATGGCACTGGCATCTGCCTGGCTTCTGGGGAGGGCTCGAGGAGCTTTTACTCATGGCAGCAGGTGAAGCAGGAACAGGCATGTCACATGGCAGGAGCTGGAGCAAGAGAGAGAAGTGGGTAAACAGCCAGATCTTATAAGAACTCGCTAGCATGAGGACAGCACCAAGCCGTCAGAGATTTGCCCCCGTGGCCCAAACACCTCTCACCAGGCCCCATCTTCAACATTTGGGGATTACATTTCAACATGAGATTTGGATGGGATAAATATCCAAACCATATCAAGGAACGTCTCTCTCATACTCTTGCCTTTCTCTTTCTCTGTTTCTCTCTCTCTCTCTCTTTCACTCTCTCTCTCTCTTTCTCTCTCATCGTATATATAGAAAAATTATGTCATCTGCAAACAGAGACAACTTTCCTTTTCTATTTGGGTGCTTTTTATTTCTTTCTCTTGTCAAATTGCTCTGACTAGATTTCTAGTATATGTTGAATTGAAGCAGCAAAAGTGGGCATCCTTGCCTTGTTTCTGAACTTAGAGGAAAAGCTTTCAGTTTTTGTTTGTTTGTTTGTTTGTTTTTACTTTTGAGTGTAATGTTAGCTGTGGGCTTTTCATGCATGGCCTTTATAATGTTGAGCTAATTTCCTTCTATACCTAGTTGGTTGAGAGTTTTTATCATGAAAGGATATTAAATTTTGTCAAACACTTTCTGCATGTACTGAGACAATCATGTGATTTTTATTCTTCATTCTGCTAATGTGGTATCACATTAATTGATTTTCATATGGTGAACTACATTGCATCCAAGTGATTGATCCTATTTGGTCATGGTGCCTGATTCTTTTAATATGCTGTTGAATTCATTTTGCTAGTATTTTGTTGACATTTTTGCATTTATGTTTATCAGGGATATTGGCCTGTAGTTTTCTAGTAAAGTCTTTGTCTGTCTTTGGTATGAAGGCAATACTTTTCTTAAAAATTTAGTTCGGAAGTGTTCCCTTCTCTTTAATTTTTGACAGACTTTGAGAAGGATTGGTGTTAATGCTTGTTTAAATGTTTGGTGAAGCCATCTGATATTGGGCTTTTCTTTTTTGAGAGGCTTTTAATTACAGATTCAACCTTCATACTAAAGTCATAATGCTCAGATTTTATATATCTTCATAATTTAGTCTTGGTAGCTTGTATGCTTCTCTAATTTATTCATTTCTTCTAGATTATCCAATTTGTTGGTGTACAATTATTTGTAGTAGTTTTTTTATACTCCTTTGTATTTCTGTGGCATCAGTTTTAAGTCTTTTCTTTCATTTTTTGATTTTATGTATTTGAGTGTTTCCCCTTTTTTCTTAGTTAATATAGCTAAGAGTTTATCAATTTTGTTTATCTTTAAAAAGAACAAATTTGACCAGGCGCAGTGGCTCATGCCTGTAATCCCAGCACTTCGGGAGGCTGAGGCAGGAGGATCACCTAGCCAATATGGTGAAACCCTGTCTCTAATAAAAATACAAAAAAAAAAACAAAAAAAAAACCCACCAAAAATTAGCTGGGCGTAGTGGCGGGTGCCTGTAATTCCAGCTACTTGGGAGGCTGAGGCAGGAGAATCACTTGAACCCAGGAGGTGGAGGTTGCCTTGAGCCAAGATCACGCCATTGCACTCCAGCCTGGGCGGCAGAGCGAGACTCCATCTCAAAAACAAAGAAACAAGCAAACAAAACAAATTTTACTCTGTTTATTTTTTTCTGTATTTTCTATTTCATTTATTTCTTCTCTAATCTTTATTTCCTTCTTTCTGTGAACTTTGGGCTTAGCTTGTTTTCCTTTTCCAGTACCTTGATGTGTAAAGTTAGATCGTTTATTTGAGATCTTTCTTTGTTTTTAGTGTAAACATTTATTGCTATGAACTTCCCTGTTAGTGTTGCTTTTTCTGCATCTCATAAGTTTTGATAGGTTGTATTTTTATTTTCATTTGTCTTGAGGTATTTTCCAATTTCTTTTCTGATTTCTATTTTGACCACTGATTGCTCAAGAATGTGTTGTTTAATTTCCTCATATTCGTAAATTTTCTAATTTTCAGTTTGCTGTTGATTTCTAGTTTTATTTCACTGTGGTAAGAAAAGACACTTGATATGATTCAGGTTCAACCTTCTTATATTTGTGAAGAGTTATTTTGTCTCTAGGATGATCCATCCTGGAGAAAGATCTATGTGCAGTTGAGAAGAATGTGTATTCTGCTGCTATTAGGTAGAATGTGCAGTGTAGTTATGTAAAATCTGTTTGGTCTGTATTGTTATTCAAGTCTTCTTTCGCCTTATTAATCTTCTATCCAGATGTTCTGTTCATTATTGAAAGTGGGGTATTGAAGTCTCCTACTGTTATTGTGTTGTTGTCTACTTCTTCCTTCAGTTCTGTCAGTGTTTGCTTTGCATATTTTGGTGCTGTGATGTTGGGTTCATATATAATTGTTATATCTTCTTTGTGTATTCACCCTTTGTCATTGTGAAATATTCTTCTTTGTCTCTTGTGGCAGTTTTGACTTAACATTTATTTTGTCTGATGTAAGTATAACCACTCTGTTCTATTTGGTTACCATTTGCATGGAATTTTTTTTCCCCATTCCTCCAATTTCAGGCCACATATGTCCTTGAATCTAAAGTGAGATTTTGGTAGAGACCATATAGTTGGGTCTTGTTTTTTATCCACTCAACCACTCTATATCTTTTGGTTGGAATGCTTATTCCATTTACATTTATAGTAGTTATTCACTGGAAAGGCATTACTATTGGCATTTAGTTAGTTGATTTCTGTTCATGTTTTAGATCTTTTTTGTTTGTTTTTACTCTCTTGCTGTCTTCCTTTGTGTTTTAGTGATTTTTTTTGTATTAATATGCTTTGATTCCTTTCTCTTTTTTGTAACTTCTATAGGTTTTGTAGTTACCTTGGAGCTTATATATCTTATAGTAATAACAATCTATTTTAAGCTGATAACAAGTTAAATTACATATATAAATGCTACACTTTAACTCTTCCCCCCACACTTTATGTTATTGTTGTCACAATTTACATCTATTTATATTGTATATATTTTAATATATTTTTATAGTTATTTTAAGTATTTTTGTCTTTTAACTTTTATACTAGAATTAAAATGCATTGACCTATCACCATTACAGTAATATAGTATTCTGTATCTATCTGTATATTTACCTTTACCAAGTTTTATACTTTCTTGTGCTTTCATGTTGCTGTTTAGTGGCCTTTTGTTTGAACTTGAGGAACTTCCTTTAACATTTCTTGTAATGCAGATCAAGTGGTGGTATACACCCCCAGCTTTTGTTTGCCTGGGAAAGTCTTTATCTCTCTTTATTTCTGAAGAAGAGTTTTGCCAGGTATAGTATTCTTGGTTGGCAGTTCTTTTCTTTCAGTGCTTTGAGTATGTCATTCCTCTCCCTTCTTGGCTGCAAGGTTCCTGCTGAAAAAATATACTAATAGTCTTATAAGGGTTCTTTTGTATGTGACTAGTTACTTTTCTCTTGATGCTTTCAAAATATTTTCTTTGTCTTTGACTTTTGATAATTTTGATAATTTGATTATAATGTGTCTACATTTGAATGTCTTGAGTTCATCTTATTTGCTGTTCTTGGGTTTTTTTTAGATCTGGATTTCTATTTCCATCCCCAGACTTGGAAGTTTCTAGCCATTTTTTCTTCAAATAATGTTTCTGGACCTTTCTCTCTCTTTTCCTTCTGATATTCTCATAATGCAAATATTGGCATGCTTGGCGGTGTCACATAATTCCCTTAAATTTTCTTCCCTCTTTGTCCCAATCTATTTGGCCTTCCATAATAAAAATGCCATAGATTGTGTTTTTTAAACAACAGACATTTATTTCTCACAGTTATGGAGGCTAAGAAATCCAAGATAAAAGCACTAGGAAGTTTGATGTTTGGCTGGGACCTGCTTCTTGGTTCATAGGTGGCCTTCTTCTTGTCATGTCTTCATGTGGTAGAAGGAGCACAAAAGAGATCCTGGTATCCCTTTTATAAGGGTATTAATCTCATTCATGAGGACTTTACCCTCATGACCTAATTACCTTCCAAAATCCCAACTCCTAATACTATCACATTGCAGAGTAGAATTTCAAGTTATAAATTTTGGAACATTCAGTCCATTGCACTCTTTTTCATTAATTTTTCTTTTTGCTCCTCTCACTAAATTATTTCCAGAGACTTGGCTTTAATTTTGTTGATTCTTCCTTCTTCATGATTTAGTTTGCTATTGAGCTTCTCTAGGGAATTTTTCAGTTCAGTTATTGTGTTCCTTAGCTCTATGATTTCTGTTTGGTACTTTTTAATATTTCCTATCTCTTTGTTGAAATTTTCACTTTGTTCATGCATGGTTCTCTTGATATCAGGGAGCATTTTTATGAGAGTTATTTTTAAGTTTGTTACAGAAATCATATAACTGTTTCATTTGAGTTGGTTTCTGAAGATTTATTTTGTTTCCTTGTTTGGAACATCTTTGCCTGATTCTTTATTTTTCTTGACTCTCTGGCTTGATGCCTGCCCATTAGATAAGGCAGGTGCTTCTCCCAATCTTTATGGACTGGGCTTGTACAGGAAAAGACCACCATCAATCATCCTGGTCAGAGATTCTCATGGCCTCTACTAGTGCTTTCCCTGCCCAGAGAGAAGTAGACAGCTGTGGGTTTTGTTCACTCACTCTGTGCTGAGCTGGATGCAGGGAGTGATGGTGTCTACCAGCCCTATCTGCCATCTTCAGTATCCTCTGGGCAGCTACACTGTGCTGAATCCATCAGAGCTTTAAGGTTGGAGAGACAAATGGTAGTTCTTTAACAAGCCCCAGAGAAACTGGAGCACTGGACTCATGGATTAATACTTTCCCTTACCAGGAGAAAGCTGAGAGCTGAGATTTTAATCTGCTCACTCAGTGCTGAGTTGATGGGGAGATCAATGGTATCCATCAGCCCAAGCTGCCATCTTCATTCCCTCCCAGGCCACAAGACTATGTCAGACTTGTCAGAACTCTAAGACTGGCAACATAGTAGTTGGTCATCTAGGGAGTCCCCTGGAAAAGTTGGAGCATCACAGGAAAAGCAAACCAACCTTTTTTCTCCCCTAGGTAAACTGGGGAGCCAGGGGAACCCTTCTTGATTATATGGCACTGCAATGGGTGCAGGATCTCCAGCAAGAGGATGTTCCAAATCTACCTACTGGCATTGCTGAGTCTAGTTTTGCATTCTTCCAGGGTACAGAGCCTTTCAATTAGTTTCTAATTTCTGAAAAATGGAATTTGTGAATTGTTGCTGAATCGGCATGCTTATGGGGAATAGAAGAGTCAAGGGTCCTGCTCCACTATCTTGTTGATGTCACTCTTGAAAGGATTACTTTCATGGCATTAAGAAGACTGGAGACAAAGGAGAACATTGCTAGAGGAAGAAGGGTAATGAGATAAGTCAGTTATTAGCTATTGCACCAGTTCCGAGATAGATAATAATGTATGGACAAGGGTCCCAGAAGCATACAAGAGAAGTAGACAGATTATGTATTTGGGAGGTAAAATCAACAGGGCTATTGATTAATTGGATCTAAAGTCTGAGGGTAAGGGAGGGATCAATAATTATGTCAGTATTTTAAAGTAATAATAAAACAGTTGTTGTAACTCATAACATCAGTCGTGATTCTTGATAATAATTTTTACCTATGCCCTATGCACGTAGGTCATATGCAGCTATAATATATAGCTATCTGTGTTTCCAAATCAGTTTGATTTGGCTCTAACATCAAAGTTGTTTCATTGCTTAAATAACTCTGCCTTGATTAGTATCACTAATAGCTATGTGTAAATAAAAGTGTTTTAAATTTTGATTAGGACAGTTAAACTTTGCTAATTCAGACTGATTGTATAATTGACTTAAAAGGTTTGAGTTATGTAACAATTTCAATAAAATAAGTTTTATTACTTTGAAGTTCATAGAGCATATCAGACTAGATTAAGAAATACTGTCAAGTAGAAACCCCATAGGATTTACTTTAATGGTTGATTAAATGGTTTTAATTAACGTGGCAAGTGTTTGTAATTTCTGTTTCTAAAATGGTTAAAATTTTTATTATCTCGTAGATTAAACACATCCGTATCAGTTTTATTTACATTATTTCCTTGGTAAGACCCTTTTAAAACTAGATAAAACAAATGTTATCTCACGTTCAAGTTACTTCTATTTGTTATTAATGGAGTACCAATAGCAAAGCTTTACATTTTTATAACATCTCAGTCAATATTTAAATGTGTTCAAGGTATGCAACATGAAATAAATTTACTTATGAACTGAAGCATGAACAGACTGCAAAGCATCTGTAATCTTGCTTATTGCTCTGTGTTATTATCCTGAGTAAGCATTTGTGATTTAACATCCATCCATGACACTCTGGCAATCTTACTTGTTATCTCGCAAGCAGGCCCTTCACAGTTTTTGACAGACATCTAGATAAACTATGAAACAATATTTGTGAATCTGACCTTAGGAAAATGAAGCTACTTCTCTTCTTCAATGATGGAACTCTGCAGCCTTTGTGTTCTCCCATCTGAAACAAAATATCTATGGACCTAGGATTTCAAAACCAAGGGTGTATTCAGGGTTGACTTGGGGGTGGCCAGTCCCACAAAGCTTTTCTCTTTTTCACCAGAAAAGACTCTTAACTTCCTCTCAGGCTAAAGCAGGTTTAGATTTGAAGGTCATAAAGGCTTAGCTGATAGTTTATTATTATTATTTCTACCTTTATACAGCTTCTATTCTGGTAAAGGAGATAGATGCCAAATAATAAACATAATATACAAGTAAAGTATATATAATAGTTTAATAAATTTTATAGAGAAAAGCAATGAAGAAAGATACTCCTTTGTAGGGAGTGGGGAGTGGGATATTCCATTTTTATTTCCAAATTAAAATAAGTAATTAGATTTTCAATGTTATTTTGTCATATTAAAAATTGCAATCAACTGCACAGCTACAATCATAACTACTGTTCCTGAGTGTCTACAGTATGGCAGATGTGGGCTAGATATTATATTTATTTATCATACTAATACAAATATAGCACACTTACTATGCTACAAATAATATGTTAAGCACTTTATGCAATGTTACCTCGCCTATCTTACCACACAGAAAGTGAAATAGAATATCCCTATTTTTCAGAGGAAAAAGTTAAGACTCTGTGAGGTTAGGAAAGTTGTCCAAGGTGACACAGTCCTTAGGGACAAAATAGGAAATCATAATTGAAGTCAGTCTGGCTTTGAAGCTCACAGCTGTTTCCTAGAACCTGTATCACCGTCAAAAGTGTGATTCTATCCTTTGTTTCTCCTGCCTCAACACCAGGAGCTATTTGTCTTTTTCTGAACGTATTTTATTAATGCTATCATTTATTCTTTTTTTTTTTTTTTTTTTTTTGAGACAGAGTTTCACTCTTGTAGCCCAGGCTGGAGTGCAATGGCACAATCTTGGCTCACTGCAACCTCTGCCTCCTGGGTTCAAGCGATTCTCCTGCCTCAGCCTCCTGAGTAGTTGGGATTACAGGCGCCCGCCATGACATCCGGCTAATTTTTTGTATTTTTTTAGTAGAGACGGGATTTCACCATGTTGGCCAGGTTGGTCTTGAACTCCTGACCTCAGGTGATCCACCCACCTCGGCCTCCCAAAGTGCTGGGATTACAGGTGTGAGCCACTGCGCCCAGCCTCATTTATTATTTCATTCAACAAAAATGCATTGTGCTGAGTTGATTTTCAAAGATGGAGAAGTTATAGGCCCTTCCATGAAGGATCCTGTGGTCTGATGGGGAAATAGACATACAAAAATTTACTTTTGTAAAATCCAATTCATTTTATAATAGAGGTATGAATGCCATGGCAAAGCTCTGAAGCCCTTCTGATGTAATCTCTGAATTTAGAGAAGTCAAATGCCTCAAGCTTTTTGTGGTTGTTACCTTCACTCAGAAATGCATTTTAGATCATGACCAATATGCATGCACACACACATACAAGTGCAGCAAAATTGTTATTAAAAACGCTTATGCCTAGTACAGACATTGTATTCTGATATTTTCAAGTTTTTATTCTTCTCTTGAAAGAAAACCTGCCTCGGCCTCCCAAAGTGCTGGGATTACAGGTGTGAGCCACCAAATCTGTTCACATACCAATCTGTCTCTCTTCCAAGGCCTGTGGATACATACAGTGCCATTCTGCAAATTAACAAATGATGTCCCCTCTGGACAGACGAATTACAAAATGACATCCCTTCCTCCCACCTGTTGAAGTCCAGCCCCAGGGCATGCAACTCAGTCAGCATAACTCCTGACTGAAGTTTACCCCCATTTGCCCCTCTGGTATCTGGGTGAAGTGTACAAATTGCACAGCTGACTGCATATAGCAGCCCTTCCCTTTTTTCCCTCCCTTGCTGCCTCTCCCCTTCATTTCTCTCTTTATCCTCTCCCTTTCCCTCCCCTCCCATTTTTTCTCCTCTCCTTTTTTCCCTTTTCTTTAATTCTGTTATACTGGATGATAATAAAATAAAATAATTGAGGAGTTTAGGAAACAAGATTTTTATATTCCTTTTTGGAATTGTAGTAAAATATACAAAACATAAAATTTACCATTTTAACAATTTTTAAGTATACAACTTGTGGCATGAAGTACATTCACATTGTTGTGCAATCACCACTACCATCCATCTGCAGAGCTTTTTCATCTTTCCTAAATGAAACTCTGTTCCTATAAAACACTACCCCTTCATTCCCTCCTCCAAGTCCCCAGAAGCCACCATTCTACTTTCCGTCTTTATGAATTTGACTGCTCTAGGTACCTCGTATAAGTGGACTCATACCATAGTTGTCCTTTTGTGAGTAGCTTATTTTACTTAGAATAATATCTCCGAGGTTCATGCATGTTGTAGGGTGTGTCAGAATTTCCTTACTTTTTAATGCTAATATTCCCTTCTATGTATATACCAAATTTTGCTTATCCATTCATCCATTGGTGGACTTTTGGGTTGCTTCTACCTTTTAGCTATTGTGAATAGTGCTGTTATGAACACTGGTGTACAGATATTTGTTTGAATCCCTGCTTTCAGTTCTTTTGGGCATATACACAGAAGTGCAATTGCTGAATCATATGGTACTTTCATGTTCTTGACCTTTGCTTTTTATGAATTGAAGTTTCTTGAAAAGTCTAGCTTTGATACGTTTTCCTTCAACAAAGACATAATACACATGTAATTCCTGTACTGAGTAATCCAAATTGAGTTCACTCTTCTCCACCTTTAACTTTGCCCTGTTGCATTCCTGACTGTTAATGATACCTTGGAAGATTCCATAACTTCCCAGACACTTAGTTACTAAAGACTAGTACAGTCTAATTAAAACACTCTAGGCTCTCCTCCTCTCCACTGTTTCCCTGAACCCTGGATCAGGTTTGACTGAGGAACAAGGAGGGGTGGGAGGATAGGGTCTGCTCTCCCATCAACCTCCCTTCCTGCCCCCAGGTTCTAGCTCCCCTGTGGGTAGGAAGAAAGGAAGGGACAAGTGCTTACTTATTACCCCCTTTTAAAAGAATTCACATAGAGAGTCCCTTTGTTAGATGCAACCTAGTCTCTCTATTTAGACACTCCTGCAATTGATTAGATCACTACTTGGACCTTGTTACTGAGATTTCTTATGATTTGTCCGTTTTGTCTGTTGCTCCTAATTGATTGGACTGAAGCTGTTGGTTTTGCACACAGCCTGTATAAGTTGATTTTTACATTTATCTTTTCAGAAGGCTAACTCTTGGTTTCATTGATTTCTCTAACCTGGACATATTGGCATATACATATCTTTCCAAGTTCATTCCTGAGTCATTTTTCTGAATTCTCCATTGTCAAAATGCCTTTGGTAACCCATATGCTGATAGCTTCTTAGGTCAGGAAATTTTGTGAATCCAATATATTTGGATTTTCCTTCTTTAAATTTTAGAATTTAAGCTTACTTCCCAGTTCTGGAAGTACAGCTCATTTCCAGATCTTAGTGCTGAGCACCAGAGTGAATTTTGGCATAGATTCTGACTTTATGCTACACTGTATGCTACACATACAGTGCTATCAAATAGAGGTAGGCCAGGTTACAGGGAAACCAAACAGCATACAGTGCTATGAAATGGTGCACCTACTGCAACTCCTTCTTCATGAACTGTTATAAGAGTAAGAGTTTAAACAATTATTTAGGCCAGGTGCGGTGGCTCACACCTATAATTCCAGCACTTTGGGAGGCTGAGGTGGGTGGATCATCTGAGCTCAGGAGTTCGAGACCAGCCTGACCAACATGGAGAAACCCCGTCTCTACTAAAAATACAAAATTAGCCGGGCGTAGTGCTGCATGCCTATAATCCCAGCTACTTGGGAGGCTGAGGCAGGAGAATCACTTGAACCCAGGAGGCGGAGGTTTCAGTGAGCCAAGATCGCGCCATTGCACTCCAGCCTGGGCAACAAGAGCGAAACTCTGTCTTAAATAATAATAATAATAATTTAAAATGTTTTATGGAAATTAAAAATTATAACAAGAAAATTAAAACCATTTGAAAGTACTTTATCCAAAAAGAAATACTATTGCCATTTTAAACACATACATAGGTATTATATATATATTTGAGATACCGTAATATATGGTTTCATGTCCTGATTTTTTAACCTAGTATGAATATTTCTCTATGTCATTAAGAATTATTTGAAGGCATGATCTTTAATGGACATATTAAATTGTGTTGTATTTATCATGATTCAGTTAATAATTATCTAGGTTTAGAGCATTTATAATAATAGCAATATCCAATAATTATTCAGTACTTACTATGTGCTAGTCAGTGCTTTAATGCCTTACATATATTTCCTCTTCATTTAATTCTCATAACACTTTTGAGATCCCCATTTTGCAGGCAAGAAAACTGAGGTATAGAGAGGTTAACAACCAAAGTCTCACCTTGCGATTGGAAGTTGGTCAAGTTGTAATTGTTACTCTAGCTAGTCTGGCTCTCTAATTTGTAATCTAACCACTGGCTCTCTACTTTGTAATCTTAACCACTATCCTACCTGACTCACTGTATGATAAGTATCTTCTTGGGGAAAAAAAATCTTTATCTGCATTTCTGATAGTTTCTACTGGGAGGGTTCCTAGAGGTGAAATAACTAGGTCGAGAGCTAGGAAAACTTTTAAACTTAAAGGCATGTTGTCCAGTTGCCCTCCAGAATGTTCCCACCAGTCCATGTTCACACCAATAGTGGGAAGAGCCTGCCTGTGCACTCCCACCGCTGTTGTTTAATTCCTCTTTAATAACCCTGAATTTGGGATCTTCCTGAATGGTTAAGAGAATCCAAGGATCCAGGGCTCCCTTAAGAACATAGAAAGTCCAATTTTATACAAATGTGGAGTCATTTGTATATATACCTCAGATAATACTACATCTTTGTTTTATTGGTCCATACATAAACGAACTTCCTTATCTTATCATCAGTAGATGTGAGAAATTGCTAACATGAGTGTGTACGACGACTGATTGTGTCAAGTCTGAAGGTCATTACACCTGTCGAGGCTGCCTTTCAAAATGTAGCCCTATTTTGACAACTGCTGTCATGGGTGGTATTTATGGTATTTTCTCAAGCTTTTAGGCAGTTGGAAGTAATTTTACATTAATGATCTTATATTACTCTTTGGTTTAAAAAATGGCATTGTAAAAATGCATCCTGCTCACATATTTTTTCCCTTGATTAGCGTTATAGAATGTACATAAAATGTTACACTGCATCTGCATTTCCAGGTAATAGTAACTTTTAGTAACCCTGGTTTTTATCGTTCGAAGATAATTTCTTTACTACTCCCAGTGAAAAACTGATATTATCAGGCAGAAATCCCCTAGACTTTTTAATAGAAAAGTTGAAAAAAATTCCAAGGAAATATCACAGGGAAAAAGGATTTTGGTAATTTCTACAGTGATTTGGACAAGTTCAATGAGGAATTGAAAATATTCCTTGTGACTGTGTGAAAATTAATCACTCACCCTTCACTGGCACTTTGGATTAGTATTTCGTCCTCACTATTTTCTGAAAGAATCTTGATTGAATCAGAGGTTTCACTGTGCTTCATTAAGGTTCTGTGTCTGTGCAGGTACCGCTTGGACTTTGAATTGCTTTAGATTCTAAGTATATAAATCAGGCAAGAAGCTGGTAACCTGGAGCAAATAACAAATGCACACTTACTGTGAACTATCTGGAAGCCTGTGTTGGTTGTGATTCCTTTTCTTTTTATTTTTAAGCGTGACTGTTGGTAGAAGCTTTGTCTTGAACACAATGCTGTTGTTAATAGCGAATGAAATGACTGGAACTGTGCTGGGGGAAAAAAAGTAGGCTGAAGGTTTATAGCAGACCACTGCAAACCAAATGTTGCAATTATCTGCAGCTGAAAACAAGTAGCTTTTAATGTGTCCATTTGGCCAAGAAGAGGGAGGAGAATTACAGACTATTGCTCTTTCCTCTCTCATTCTCATACTCTGTCTTCTTCTTTATGTAGTTTATCATCCACAATTTCAGGATGTATTTTCCTTCTTTAAGCTGTTTTATCTGTAGGCTTATGAGGTCACTCATGTGTGAATTCCTTTGTTAGTCATCTCACCTTTTGCCTTGATGATAGAAAATTGATCAGGCCTAAAGTACAAGTTCAATAGACATCCCCCTTGGTCCTTTGTCTAGGAGAATAGCTACCATTGAAGGCCATGAGCAGGTTGCTATTAATATGACAGCCTGCTCTATCTCCCACTGTAATTTATAATGAAATACCTAATCTCCATTATTTTGATCCAAGCAGGCGATCCCATGAAAAAGTCTTTTCATCCAGTTCCCAATGGCTGTTACATGAGAAATGGCAAACCAATAATTTTTGTCAAGTTTTTTAAGCCAACAGAAATGCTTTTCCACTGCTACAGTTTCAAAAGGCACAGATAAAGCTCATTCACTGAGATGAATGAAAAAGCCATCTGGGGTTTTTCTTTTTGACTTCCTTTCCTTTTCTCCATCCTAGTAATCAAATTTGAGCAAAATCAAATGGGGCTTTCTATGAAAGTACCTTTTGTTGATCTGAACGAGCTGGTAATTTACAAAATACCCTTCCTTTGTGAGGAAGGCTAAAGAAAAAAAGAATCAGTAGCTTTTAAAGCTGGGCCTTAGTGGGACTCTAAATGCAATGAAAGCAGTCTGTGTTGAGAGACTGAAATGCATTTCAAAGCCAGGCCTGATTCGGGGTACAAGGAAGAACAGACCTATGTGCATTTTGTAGGAAGAAAACTGTGAATGGAAAAAGGAGAAGGGGAGAGAAACGGGGGAAATCTGGATAATACATTAAAGTAACCATAATTTTGGAGATGCATTCATCTTATTGAAAATATGTACGTAACCAGTGATACCGAAGTCGGATATTTGCTCAATCAGGATGCTCAACAATTTGAGCCTTTAAAGTTTGGAGCTGCATGGGTTTGTGGAGAAAGTCGGCTCGTGATGTGTGTGATGTTTTTCTCCAACTTTTTCTTTTTCTTCTATGCTTTGGGATCTTGTGGGAAGTACCTCAAGAAAACCTGAAGATGCTAATTTTTAGACAACTAATACTTCCTATTTTCCCTCCTTTTGCCTGCTAGATTTCCTCATGGTTGTGATTCCTCTTCACTCTTTTGAATTTGGAAGGATGGCATACACATCTGAAAAATAGTAAGTAATGTGTGATTTATTTTTCAATTACTGTTACTAATTGTAATAAAGCTGAAATTTGATTACTGGAGGAGTTTGAAATCATCATGCATGCCTTGAAGGAAAATGGGTTTTGTGAAACATTTGCATTATTTGGTGTGAATTACCTTTGGTGTGATTTAACTGTTTATCACACAATTACTGTTGTGATAATGAATGTGTTATTCACTATTGCTAAATTTACCCAGTATATTCTGTAATAACTAAGTATTTGTGCCATATAATATATGCATTCTTAGTGCAACAGTTTAAGAAACAATGCAAAAATTGCAGGGAACTGTCTTTGGAGATGCTAAGTTTTCTTGTTTTATATACCACACAATCTTCCTCACACATTTATAGTTTTAATTCATAGTAATAATGTTTTCTAGAGACCTTTCTATTTATGCCTGAAATGAAATTCTCATATAAATTATGTGAGCTTATTTCTTCAAAATGAATATCCAGAGAGAGGCAAGAATTATTCTGACATTATTAAACTGCATTTTTAATGCAGTTTAAGTGACATTTCTTATAATTTAATCAAGCATTATAATTAAAATAACAAAGCTTTGATTAGAGACTTTTTTTTTCATTTGGGAAAGTGAAAAGTTCATTTTTACCTTCCTAAAAATAAGACAGACATATGCTATCTGAAGACATGATACCTTGGATTAGAGTACATGCCACAAGTATTTTTTAAAACATAGATGCAGCATTGGCATTTCTGAGTAACTACAGTGCATATTTTAAATATATAAATGCCTTAGAATGAAGCAATATGGGGCAGAATTAGTTCTGAAATCTCTGAGGTAGCTTGAACAGTATTTGCATTAGGGCTGGCACTGCTAAAGCAAGCAGATCCTGGGAATTTCATGTAGGCAAACATGAGATCCTTGTTTCTGGAGACAAGAAAAAAAAAGATTAATTAAAACCAAGTCCTATGTTGTTTAACCCTTAAAATAACAGTCAGTAT
This sequence comes from Homo sapiens, assembly GCF_000001405.40. Classification (NCBI taxonomy): domain Eukaryota; kingdom Metazoa; phylum Chordata; class Mammalia; order Primates; family Hominidae; genus Homo; species Homo sapiens. The sequence continues at coordinate 181,176,578 of NC_000003.12, forward strand.
TTATAGGGATGCTGAAATGGGGAAAAGGATTCAGATTATTTCACAGAGGTCTCTGCGAGGGCCAAACCCTTTCCCTTCTAACTATTCCTCACATCGAATATAAATTCCTGGAAGTTTGTATTTAAGATGACGTCTGTTTTCTGAGCTTTTGCAGCTGCAGGTCTCTTTTCCAACTTCCTACATTTATCTTTGCCTGTGTTTTTGAGCCATTTGCTGCCTCCTAATGCCTAACTTTAAAATAGCATGCATGGCAGCCTGCCAAGACGGTGGCAGTGGCATATTGGTTTGTATTGGTGTTGAAGTTGCAAAGTTTTTGTTACCGATAATTTATAACAATTGCAACAAAAGAGATTATCAAAACCCGAGGGGATAGGAGACAGGAAGGAGAACAAAACTGCTGCACTTCTTGATGGATCAAAGTGTGATTCTTCCTGCAATAGCGAGTTGGGTTGTTGTGTTGTCTACATGGGTATGATGCTCTAGATGACCTGCACATTGTCACTGTAGTGATTGCCTGTAATGTTAGATTGACAGAAAAGTGCAATATAAAAGAGGGTTTGTCTAGGGGATGTAATTAATTATACATATGATGCAAAATTTTTTTCTCAGGCTATTGACTTCTTTTATATAAATTAAGATTGTTGTTAAATTAAGGTTTTTTTTTTTTTTTTTTTAGTTCTTGAAAGAAAAAGTTTATTATTTAAGAGTGTCGTTGTTGTTTTGTTGTTAATACAAATTAGTACCTGGGAAATAATGCTTTGTCTTTTGCTGGCTAGTTTCATATCTACTCAATCTTGTAAGCCTTTTGCAAAAGTTCTCTTCTATAATTCCTTTAAGCACTTTTGGTAAAAGCTGGGGGTACTTCGTTTTGTCGCAGTTGTAAAGGATCTCTGTGAAGACAGCGTTAAGAAACAGGTAATTAGGCCCTGAAATCAGCTAAGGTTCCTGCTTACTCCACTTATCAAGATTAGCGGTTCTGAAACTCTTGTTAGTATAGCAATCTACTAACAAGAATAATGTTGTACCTATGCTGAGAGGAAGAGAAATCCTCTTGCTCTCAGCATAAGTACAAACATTAAGCAACTGCATTTTGGGGAGCTGGAGAGGTAATTATTTTCAATTAGCCTTTGGGACAAAGGAAACCGTCTCACACATTTTGCTTGTGGACTTCATATTCTCAAGTATAACAACTGATATGTTACACACTTCACTCTTTGCTAAGCCAATACAAAAATAAAAACAAACCAACAAAAAATCACTCCTGGAAAGTTTAGAAATATAGATCCACAAAGGTGATCCACAGAGACACCACAAAGTATCTTTAAAACTTCTCAGAGGAAAGGAAATGAGTGACACATTTGTAAAGACTGAAGCATCTGAGATTGACTTTAAAGTTCTATTTTTCTTCTAGTAAAATTAAAACTTTATTGAGCTTCTCGTCAGAAACTTGGAGCTGCTTTTCCATTACAGTGATGCTATTGAGGTTTCAATGCTTTCAGGGCCTACTAATAGAACCCAAAAGTGGAGAGAAGGCTCATGAAGCACCGCTCTTCTCTGGATGGAGGTCCTGGTCCCTGCTTAAGCTCTGCCAGTAGAAGCTATTACCTAAAGGTGTTCTTTTATTATCTTAGGCAGGACATGCCCCTGCTTTGACATATCAGCAGGCAGTAACAGATTGCTTGACTAATCAGTCTGCATTCTCTAGGGTTCAGGATGCAGGAAAGTAGTTGGCCTGGTGTTCACTCCAACTTTACATTGATGCCTCTGGACTCATTACCGGCATCTTTGCACTTTGCTTTCCTCAGGTGTCAAAAGAGAATGTTATGTGTCCTTTGCTTGTTTCTTGTCTTGCCTTCTACAGGCTGGGCAGACATACTGGGATGTACTTTTTGGCATGAATATGATGGTCGGTCTAGTTAGCTTAGCTGGTGATGACATAATGGCAAAGAAGACCAACAGACACTGATGTCACTCCTAACCCCAGATGGGAGCCAACTTTAGATGACAAAGGGGATGAAGCAGGTATTGATCAATGCCCAAACCATTCCAATTATTAGTCAGACAACTCTCAGCATGGCAGCAGCAGCATCCAAAAGGGAGAAAAATGTGCCAACTCCCATCATGTCTTCAAATGCAGAATGGGGAAACTGGGAGCATAGTAAACAGAAAAAAATCTATTTTGTAGCACCACCTTTTACAAGCATTTTGATGCATGCTGTAATACAATACAGTAGATATAAATAATGTCCAGATAATTAAGAATAGAGAAAATATAAATTGGTTTGAGACTTAGGAGGGAAAAGAACAACATACATATGAAGGCCATATATTTTTAACGTTTTTTTGAGTCATAGACTTGGCTCAAGGTTTTTAACAGCTAAAACAAAAGTGGAAAAAAGTCATCTAGAGGATAACTTCCATATAGTGAGCATTTTATACAGCCCGAATGGTTACAACAACCTCAAAGCCACTTATTGTTACCGTTGTTTTCTGGTGGAAAAAATGCAGAATCAGAAGGATTCAGTTACCAGCCGCTGGTTACGCAGGCAACACATGCCTCTGTGGGATTAAATCCAGGTCTCTCTGACTCTCATAGCCTTGACTGCCTTTGGGTAACATAGAAGTCAGCTGTCCCTGCAGTCTCCTCCACGTGCATACCCTCTTTCCGTGACTGCCCAAGGCCAATCCAGAATCACGGATGTCAGCTCTACACTGAAGTTCTCTAATGGAATCCACTTTCATAGAGAGTGAGTGGGCAATGTGGACTTTACTGAGTGGGAAGTTGAGGGGATGAACTTTGCATATCCCACATCAAGCCACTTAAACATTCCTGTTAAACATTCTGGTCTGTAAAGTACCTTTTTCGTTTGCTAAAATTGGAGGTTCCTCTCTTTGATCCTTCTTTCATGCTCCACCCAGCTTCCCTAGCTGCTTTCTTCTATTCCTGTGTCCCCCTTTCTCTCCTCATTAAAACATAATAGGGAGCCATATGGTTTTGCCCCAGCTTCTAAAAACTAAGCTTGCATGTCTAAACCCAGTGCCATGCTTAGCACACCTCCAAAACCCTTCTCTGTGACAGTTCTTACTCTACTTAGTAGAAATGAGGATGACGTAGCAATTGAAATAATCCCATTGCACGTTTTACTTCAGGGAAAAACATACCAGTCTCTTGGCTTTTGAGGCATTTAGTTTTGGAAAAATATTCTTCAGTGGGACGTTAAGGAGGATTCAGGGGACAGTGTCTCCATCAACAGGCATTACAGAAAATTTCATTACTCTTTTGCTTGTAGCTACCCCCTGATGACTGAGTCCAAGGTGCCACAGGAAAAAAAAAAAAAACTTAGAACATGTTAGTGTATATGGGGCCACAACCACATAATTAAAGGATAGCTTTAAATAGAAAATTAAGGATGGAGGGAGGGATGAAGCTAAGAATGAGAAAAGAAATAAAGGGAACTTACCTAGTAATAGAACACGAGAAATGAATTTGAGTCTCCCTTTCAGTGTGTCCCACAATTTCATTGTATACTGTATAGAAAACTATATCCTATATTTACATATTAAATAGACAATGTCAAGTTTATTTAAACGATAATAGAATGCTGATGCCTAGAAAGGGAAAGGCAGGCCAGAGACTCTGAAGAATGGAAACCAAGCCTTCTTCAGGCTTAATATCACCCAGGTTTAGATTGTGATAATACACATTAAATCATGTGATTAGGTAGTAGGGCTTTTATCAGTTCGGTTTCTATGTACTCTTTTAAAAATTTTGAAAAGAGAAGAATCAACTGTAATAGCTCAACATATACAATTTGTTTTGAGTTTGGGGCATGGAGTGAAAATTGAGAAACATTTTATAAAACCTTTTGAAACCCCAGGCTTAGAAAGCTTTCAGAGTCATTTGTCTGCACTCAGGTGGATTTTCTGCATAGGTTTCCTTTTAAGTTACTCAGGTCTTTACTTCTGCTTTTTTGGCTTAAACAGTTGATATTATATGGTTGTTGGAGCCTTGAACTTGATTGTCAGCCAGTGTAGCTCTTTTAGGAGAGGATGTCAAATCTGCCAGCCATCCAAAATTGCCTACATTGTCATTGCTCTAATGAGTATGTCCTTCAAGAGTCAATGGAAGGCTAAAAATAAATGCCTTTTGATGTTTACAGACTCCTTATAAAGTGCTCTGAAACCAATATGAAAGATTATAATTTTTTCTCTCTCACTAAGACAGTTACAAGAACAGATTTAATAATATGTATTTTCTTTTGTCAGGAGAACAAGCTCTCTTAACAAATATATGCTAGATCATTAGGGGTGAAAAGACATGGGCACAGTGACAAAAGTGTACTATGAAAAAAAAATAGCTATTTCCAATTTCATTTGTAAACTGAAGGGCAAAGTACTTCATCCAGTGGAATCATTTAGTATCTTAATAGTTCAAAGGTAGAAGCCAGCAGGACACAGTGAAATAAACATGTGAGCACAAGAAAAATTGTGCTTCTCCAGCCTTGCTGTGCAGAAAGTTTGAAATTTGGGTACAGGTCGTGCAGGAATTTCAGGATTTCTCTCATCTGCTGGGTAAGTCAGCTCTGGAAATATGGCTCCTTAAGCACACAGTAGAGCCCTTTCCTGTCAAGCTTACTTGGATGACTCCTCTGAAACAACTTGGTTTTAAAAAAAAATGGGGCTACTAGGCATGGCCAAAGAGAAAGTCACTTGTATTTCCTCAAAGAAAATTCAAAACTAGACAAGCTACTTTTCTGGCCTCAAAAAAAAAAAAAAAAAAAAAAAGGCCGTGTGCAGTGGCTCATGCCTGTAATCCCAGTACTTTGGGAGGCCAAGGCGGGTGGATCACAAGGTCAGGAGATTGAGACCATCCTGGCTAACACGGTGAAACCGTTTCTATTAAAAAAAAAAACCAAATAATTAGCTGGGTGTGGTGGTGGGCGCCTGTAGTCCCAGCTACCTGGGAGGCTGAGGCAGGAGAATGACGTGAATCCGGGAGGCAGAGCTTGCAGTGAGCCGAGATCATGCTGCTGCACTCCAGCCTGGGCAACACAGCGAGACTCCGTCTCAAAAAAAAAAAAAAAAAAAAAAAAAAAAAAGTCCAGCTGCCTACAAGGACAGCATAATCCATCATCAATGCAGTGAAAATAGAAAAACAAATTTAAAAAGAAATTTTCCCCTTTCTATCCTTCATTCCTCTACCCTCCCTTCTAAAATTAAAAATATATTTCTTCTATTTTTTTTTTATTTTTTATTTTGGAAAGGAAAGTAAAGAGGAATGAAGGATAGAAAGGGGAAAATTCCAGGCATAAGATACATTTTAGAACAATTCACTTGTGTTTTGAATCCTTTCTCTAATTTGCTCAAAGTGTTTATTAATGGCCACTTTATACCTAGAGAGTCAAAAAGGTTTAAAGGCTTTACAACATAAAGTCACACAATTTTAGAGCTTCTTTTTGCCTCTAGCAGTGGGATTGCCAGCTGGGAGGGCGAGCAGTACAAGGAAAGGGTGACCCTTCTGGAGAGCGTGTCAGGATCTCCAGGTTTCTGTTTGTGGTTTCAGAAAGTCTGTGAGCCTATCTACTATAATACTATAATGTCATATTTGAAAAATGCAAAAGTACCATTGTTTTGGGTGCGGAATTGGTGGGTTCTTGGTCTCACTGACTTCAAGAATGAAGCCGCGGACGCTCGCAGTGAGTGTTACAGTTCTTAAAGGCGGCGTGTCCGGAGTTTGTTCCTTCTGATGTTCAGATGTGTTTGGAGTTTCTTCCTTCTGGTGGGTTCATGGTCTCGCTGGCTCAGGAGTGAAGCTGCAGACCTTCGCGTGAGTGTTACAGCTCTTAAGGCAGCACGTCTGGAGTTGTTCATTCCTCCCAGTGGGTTCGTAGTCTCACTGGCTTCAGGAGTGAAGCTGTGGACCTTTGCGGTGAGTGTTACAGCTCATAAAGGCAGTGTGGACCCAAAGAGTGAGCAGCAGCAAGATTTATTGCGAAGAGCAAAAGCACAAGGCTTCCACACTGTGGAAGGCGACCCAAGCAGGTTGCAGCTGCTGGTTTGGGCAGCCTGCTTTTATTCCCTTATCTGGCACCACCCACATCCTGCTGATTGGTCCATTTTACAGAGAGCCGATTGGTCTGTTTTACAGAGAGCTGATTGGTCCATTTTGACAGGGTGTTGATTGGTGTGTTTACAATCCCTGAGCTAGACACAAAAGTTCTCCACGTCCGGACTACATTAGCTAGATAGAGAGTGTCCATGGGTGTATTTACAAACACTGAGCTAGACACAGAGTGCTGATTGGTGTATTTACAATCCCTTAGCTAGACTTAAAGATTCTCCCAGTCCCCACCAGACTCAGGAGCCCAGCTGGATTCACCCAGTGGATCCCTCACAGGGGCTGCAGGTGGAGCTGCAGGTGGAGCTGCCTGCCAGTCCCACACTTTGCGTCTGCACTCCTCAGCCCTTGGGCGGTTGATGGGACTGGGCGCAGTGGAGCAGGGAGCGGCACTTGTAGGGGAGGCTCTGGCTGCACAGCAGCCCACGTCAGTGGGGGGAGGCTCAGGCATGGCAGGCCACAGGTCCCGAGCCATGCCACGCGGGGAGGCAGCTAAGGCCGGGGGAGAAATTGAGCACAGCAGCTGCTGGCCCAGGTGCTAAGCCCCTCCCTGCCCGGGGCTTGTGAGCCAGCCAGCTGCTTGGAGTGGGGGGACCGCAGAGCTCACGCCCACCCGGAACTCACGCTGGCCCGCAAGCGCCGCGCGCAGCCCCGGTTCCTGCCCGCGCCTCTCCCTCCACACCTCCCAGCAAGCTGAGGGAGCCGGCTCCGGCCTTGGCCAGCCCAGAAAGGGGCTCCCACAGTGCAGCAGCAGGCTGAAGGCTTCCTCAAACGCTGCCAGAGTGGGTGCCAAGGCCAAGGAGGCGCGGAGAGCGAGTGAGGGCTGCCAGCACCCTGTCACCTCTCAGTTTCAATGATTTGAACATCACAAACTAACGTTCCACAGAATTGTCTTGGTCAGATCCTAATGGGAATATGCAGAGGGTAAGTCATTCTCAGCCTGCAATAGCTTCTGGATAAAGTGTGGGCAGCTCTTTCAGAATGTAGTTGGTGCTGGGGGAAGCATAAGACTTTACATGTTTATTAAAAATAGGGTATAGGTTAAAATAGGGTAAGAAAAACTGGTTTAGATCAGAATGAATAACAGACTTGGGGAGTGTTCTTTATTCAGTAAGTATTTGTAGAGCACTCTATTGAGTATGACACTCAGATGAGGATGTCTTACATTTACATGTAAAGAACTGGACATGTAAATGTGAGCTCAGATGAATCCTGGGCTCAAGGCAGATTTAGAACCATCTTTCAACAGAAATGTCAAGCAAGTCAAGGACCAATAAAGGCCCTTTGTTGTGTTTAGCAACAAAGAGATTGTGATTGATTTCAGCGAAAGCAGTTTGGGTAGAGGAACAACATGCAAGCCAGTTTGAAGTGGGTTAAGAAGAGAGTGGGAGGTCAGACAGGGGAGATTGCACCCATGGACAACCCTTTCAGGCAGATATGCTAGGAAGGGGAAGAAAGGGAAAGGGTCAAAGCTGAAGTAGAACACAGGAATCAAGGGAGAGTTTTTAAGATGGGAGATAATTGAAAGCAAAGTATTTCTATACATATGACACAGCGAAGTAACTATTGTTTAGTGTTCTTTCATGAGGTGGTCAGTCAGGTGTGGCCACTAGAGAGCACAAAGGGGAGGTGAAGGAAAACGAAGTTTATTGTATTCAGATGTCCTAGAGAGACAGGGTCACGTGGTGGGAGGATGGAGGGACGGAGGGAGGAGCACCAAGGGAGCCAGCTCAACCAAGCAAGCAAGGATCAGAGAGACCAAGAGAACAAGTGCCTTGATCAGGGGTCAGTACGGGGTACACAAGCAAAAGGCAGGAGGGGATTTCATTGGTGCATTTGAATGTCACTAGGTCAAAATCAGAGGATGGCAACAACCAGAACTTGGGGCAGTGGCCAGCCTTATCACACTGGTGTACCTGGCTACCTGGGCAGGGTGCTCATAGACCATTTGTTGGCATTGAGGCAGCAGGAAATACGATGTTTTAAAATTTACAAAACAACTATTAATTCACTGAGTGTTTATTGAAAACACACTACGAGGTGAAATACGAGATAAGAAATGCATAGTTCTTGCTCTCATGGAGTTTGCAAACTAGGTCACTCAATAAGGTCAATCACTAATATAATAGGCTTGAGATAATATGGCTCATCCAAGTAGTATGAACAGTGCTATATGGATTAAAGTGTTGAAGGTTATTTATTCATGTTGGATTAGGAAAGATATTTCTGAGAAAGTGGACCTTAAAGAATGAAATATTCCAACAGTAGGAGGTGGGAAATCAAAGCACAAAGGATGTGGAAGGCCATAGGGTATGATGTTGGATGTTGGGTTATTATACCATAGTCTCAAAAGATATTTTTTTTGGAAGGGAGAGTAGAGGAAAGAGGAATAAAGGACAGAAAGGGGAAAATTCAAGGCATAAGATAAATTTTAGAACAATTCACTTGTGTTTTGAATCCTTTTGCTAATTTGCTCAAAGTGTTTAGTTAATTCAACAGTTATGTACTTAGTGCTTACTATGCGTAAGGCAGACGCATAATCTCAAGGAGCTCCCAGCCAAGTGTATGTTAAGTTCTATAAGACAAGGAAATACCCAGTGATAAGAGATTACATAGGAGACATACGTGTGTGGAGGGAACAGAAAACTCAAAGAGTAGCCTTTCCAGAAGAGAGAGAGAAATAGTTTCAAATATTACCCATGGAATAGAGTAAAAGGATACCTGAAATGGGTCTGTGGGCTTTTGCAACATGGAGGAAACTGCAGGAGCAGTTTCATTGAAGAAATTGGGAGCAAAATTATAACTGTTATAGACTGAATATTGATTAGGAAGTGAGGGATTGAGGACAGGGAAAGAGGAGAAATACTTTTAGAGGTAAATATATGGCAGCTGCTGAGGGCAAAGTAAGAAAGAATAAGATAAAAAAGATCCTATGATTTTAAATCTCAGTGAATAATGGCATCACTTGGCAAAACAGGGAAATCAGGACAAATACTTAATTTTAAGGGAGCTTTGGTTTCTCCTTGATTAAGTTTGAAATATGGATAGACATTTAGTCCATGATTGAAAAAAAAGGATACAAAAAATTTAAAGAAATGTTAGGTCTAGATACAGCTTATTTAGATGTGCATAAGCTAGGTAGTTGCAGCCAGGGTCCTAGAAGATAGAACAGTGGAGGAGAGAGAAGAGTATAAAGCACAGGAGAAAAGGATGAGAAAGAAGGTTAAAGGTCAGAGGAACTGACTGACAAGAAGTGGTCAGAAAAGCAAAGGAAACCATCAGAGGGAGTTGTTATGGCAGTTAAGGAGAGTTTTGTTTTAATGGTTGTGTAATCTTCAATGGTTAGACTGTTTGCTCTAAAGCAGAATAAAGACCAAGAAAATGCCATTGATTGTGACAGCTAATAATTGTTGATAATCTTGACAAGCATTTGTTCCCAAATGGGGACAGGCATTGTAGTAGATTGATTAAAACAACAGACACTGGATTGCAAGGAGTTAAGGCGTGAATGGGATTTCTTTTTTATTACCGCAGAGAAGGTGATAGAAAACCTTAATATGAGGTTGTCGCAAGGTTGAGAGAAGACCTGAGCATATTTCTATGAATAACTGTATGTGTAGAGGAATAAAGTCATTGGAGGTGACACTTGAAAGGAAAAGGTAGAAAAATGATGAAGCAAAGTTGGGGAGACAGTATGATTTAGCTTCTATCTCAGTGTTTCTGTCAGAATTTAATGAAGTCATGGATATAACATATCTGACATATAATAGGTTTTCAGTAAGTATGACCTATTGGTATTTTGGAGTCAGATGAAATGAGGAAGGCATTTATCAAGTGCCTACTCTGTGCCAAACTTGTGCTGTTTCACTTTCCCTCCACAACAACTCTCTGAGCTGGGTGTTGTCAGCCACATGTTGTACCTGATAAAACCAGAGGTGAGGCCTTGCTTTGGGTCACAACCAAGTAACTGCAGAGTTTGGATTTGAACGTAAGTCCCTCAGAGACTAAAGATACCACTAGGCCTTACAATTTTATGAATAATTTTGGTTTCATACAAGAGTAAAGGAAACAAGGGAAGTAATTTGAAGAAGCTTTTACCGAACAGGTTGTGTGTTCTTTGTGAAAGAGAAGGTGAGATATTTGCTGAGAGTGAGGAAGTCCGGGTAGGAGAGGAGACTGAGGAGCGTGAAGAAGACTTGAAGTAGCAAATGTAGGGAGTTTGGGCATGATTAAGAAAGAAAACAAGTGGAGGTAGCATGGACTTTCAGTGAACCTTGTTTTATAAGGATTTCTCAAAATAAAGTCTCTGATACTGCAACAGGGTCTTTCAAGTCAGGGATCAGCAAACTTTTTTCTGTAAAGTGCCAGACAGTAAATGCAGGTATTTTAGACTTTGTAGGCCACGTGGTCTACGTTGCAACTGCTCAACTTAGCTGTTGTAGCATAAAAGCAGCTATAAGGTAATATGTAAATAAATGAGTGAGGCTGTGTTCCAATAAAACTTTATTAATGTTAAAAAACTACTAATGTTAGAACATTTGAATATTCATATTTCTTGAAATGTTCTTCTTTTGATTTTTTTCCAAGAACTTAAAATGTAAAACCATTTCTAGCTCAAAGACAGTACAAAAACAGGCAGTGAGCCAGATTTGGCTGTGTTTGTTAAATTACACATTCCTGGGTTTCACTCTAGAAGGATCCAATCAGAATAATTGAGGGCAGAGCCCAGAAATCTGCATTTAAAAAAGGGCTCTTGCATTATTTTTTTAATCTACTCTAAGACTATTGCTTAAAGACAGAACTGTAAGTGAAGAGTGATTGTACATGGTTCCTTGAAAAATGCAGAGTCTCTAGGTCTCAAAATCACTGAATTTGCAACACTTGGCAGCACAGGACTAGAAGCCATGGAAGGGCCACAGTGGTCTGGAACTTGGCATGGAAGGAATGGCAGAAGATGCATGGGTGAAAGATTCTGTATTTGTGGCTAGTGCTTCACTGAATGACCATCCGGAGGGCCCAGACTTGGCAGGAAGGCAAAGGAAGACAGAAGGAGGCTGATGTACTAAAAACAAAACCAGGAGGACTACAGGAATTTGGGCTCATGATGACAGTGAAAACCAGACTTGGAAGGTCAAGGGTCATGGGTAGAAGGACAGGCATTTGTGATTACAGCAGACATTCAGAACAGGTGTAAGCTCTGTTGATGTATAAGGTAGAGCCATATCAGGAATGGACCGGTGTCATGGAGGTGGGTGTTCTTGGAGGTGAGAGGTGGAGAACTCGTGAGGCCAGTGTCTAAGTAGGATTGGGTCAACACAACCGGATTGAGTGCCTAAGATATTCAAGATGCAGATAGCCATGTGAGTAACAGAAGATACTTGTCAGCATGGGTTAGGACAAGGGGGCCGGGAGAACGGTGTGTAATATTTTGACAGGTAGAGAACAGGAAAGGAGATAGAAAAAAGAAGAGATGTTCATTAGTCATCTGCTCTGTGCTTCTTTAGTGGGCCCTGACACATGTAAACTCGTTTGACCTTTAAACAAACTGAGGAGAGCATTATTACTTTTTAGAAGTAAAGAATCTGAAGTCTTTGCTTTTGTTTTTTTCCTGAACACAAATTCACTTGAAATTTAAAAGTAAAAATGTTTAAATAGGCCAGGCGCGGTGGCTCATGCCTCTAATCCCAGCACGCTGGGAGGCCGAGGCGAGCAGATCACGAGGTCAGGAGATCGAGACCATCCTGGCTAACATGGTGAAACCCCGTCTCTACTAAAAAAAATACAAAAAAATTAGCTGGGCATGGTGGTGGTCACCTGTAGTCCCAGCTACTTGGGAGGCTAAGTCAGGAGAATGACCTGAACCCAGGAGGCAGAGCTTGCAGTGAGCCGAGATCGCGCCACTGCACTCCAGCCTGGGTGACAGAGATATCATCTCAAAAAAAAAAAACAAACAAAAAAAAAACACAAAACAAAAACATTTTAACCTACTAGTGATATGTGAGAAAGTAAATATTATATATATTATTGTATATGACACACATTATATACATATATATTTTTACATTTTATACAAATATAAATTACATTGCTAAACAGATAATTGGAAATCTGTGCCATCGAAATAGGCAAACAAATGTGTTAAATATTTAATCATTCCTAATATTTTCAAGTCATAACATATGGAGACAAAATAATTGATATTTGTGGTTAATTATCAGAAAACTTATATGAGAATAAAGAAAGAAATGAAATAGACTAAATTTAACATAAAAAGAGACCTCATATACATTATCAATAATATTAATATTAGACTTTGAATATTGAAGTCTATTCTAAAAAATACATGATAACCGTTACTACAAATGACTCTAGTATATTATCCCAAATTTATAGATGATGAAACTGAGGCTCCGAGAGGACAAAAACTTGTCCAGCATCACAGATCTGGGATATGAATTCAGATCAATCTGTGAAAAGATCATATTCTTTTCACTACTCCATTTGTGAAGTCCCAGTACTGTGATAAAATGTCTTTTAACTTGATTTCAACATCTTCTGAAAATGATAAAAGGAACTGGCAGATTCTCAAAAGTTTATTATAAAACTCAGTTGGGCTATGCAGGTGTTAAGAAAAAGTCCAAGACATTCCTCTATAACTTTACATTCAGATGTTAAATTGTGCAAAATTTCTAAAATCCTTGAAGGAAGCCTTAAAACTGAAACAGGTAGAAGAAAGTCAGAAAGCTGAGTAGACGTTTAAGGCAGTGAGGAAGAAAGTTGCATGTCAACTTCATTTATGCTGGATGTATATGGTGGATTTGTTGGAAAAACGAGATGAAATTAAACATCATCAGGGAAGCAGCACACAGGAATATTGGCCACCCATATCCTATGTTTCAGGTTGTTTTAAGCTATCAGAAAGAAGTCTTACAAAGTCATAAATTCCTTATTGTTTTGAAATGACTTTACCCAGGATAAATGAAACTCAACAACTGTGTTTCAGGAAACCTAATCCTTGATTATCTCTGGCTGGAATGTGCCTTCCCATTTCCCTAATGTCTCACCTCTGCCCACAACATAATGAGTTCCACTTTTCTTGCTAAAACTCTCTTGTCTTTTGACTTTACCCATTCCTATCTTTGGATTGTCATTAACACATCCTCCCATTTTCATCTTGCTTTGCCCTTTGTGGGGAGATGTATCTTTATGTACTCTTTGCTCTCGTAAATCTTGTACAACAGTACACCTCGATTCTAGTTTTTTGTTTTTTATATTATCCAAGACCTTTTACAACTTCCTTCAACTCACTCTTGGAACTTTAGTTTTTATTCTTTGTTTTCCCTGGTGCTTATTAGGACATTATTGTCCGCATTCTCCAGAATGGTCTTTCTGTCCTTCTCCTCCCTGTTTTTCTTTATTCCTTCATGCCACCTTCTTTTCTATCTTTCTCATATTTGTGCCTTCAGATCCCCATTTTTCTCTCTTTTAAAACTGGAGGCCGAATAAGCTTCTTCCTATGATATTCTTTTTCCATAGCTTTCTTCTGAAATTCTTTTTTATCTCTGAACCTTAATTCTCTTTTATTCTTATTAAATATCCTCCCCAAAAGTCCATTAATTTTTCTTCATCCTTCAACTAAAAAGCTTCCCTTCAATCTATTCCAAACGCATCAGATATTTGATTCACTTCCTCACCTCTGACTTTATTCTTGACCTTTTCCCAACTACTTTCTTACTATCCTCTACACTGAAATTGTACTTACCAAAGTTGTTCTAATGACTTCCTCTGGAACAAATTGGATGTTCTTTCATCTGGGATCCTATCTTTCCTGGAAATAACTCTATCCATGGACTGGTAGATCATCTTTGAGATACTATTGAAGCAAGATGGGATTCTTCTAAAAAAAAGAAAAAAACTAACAAAATATCTTCTAAAGTGTGCACCATTTTGTTTATTTTTTATGGATGTCAGAGATAACTTGCTATTTACATTTTCAATGGCTATCTTTAAAAACATATTATGGTTTTAAACATAGTTTGAGTTGGTTTGAATGGTCAGTAAATGGTTTTCTGAATTAGGGCAGGATCCTTTTCCCTTAAGGTCAGACTTCTGAGTCAGTGTTATAACCCTCACCACACAAACACACTGAATTCCTGTTAAGTTAATTTGCAAGTTGTCACCACAGTTGGCCAATCTAAATAAATTACTTTTTGAAAATAATTTTCTTAGTCATCTTCATTCTTTTAAACAAACTTCCAACCTACACAAACTCAAATTCAGTCAAAAATTAGAATTTTAAATATTTCTGAATTAACCTTGAAAGAATAAAAATTTCCTTCAAAAATTCCTATTAATGATAAAAATTACATTAGCCTTTATTTGGTTCCATAAATGTATTTTGTACTCTTGTGACTGTTCTTGACAAATTTTAATCATCATTATGAACAATTAGAGTAAAAAGTTACAGTGATGGGGAAAATGATTTAGAAAGTATAAAGGTTGTGGTTCTGTAACAAAAGGCTTAGAATTTCAAGTTCAGTTCAGTCTGCCATGGTCTATTTTTCCTGCTAAGTGTGAGGAGGTGTAGCCTTAGACTTCTCTGATTTCTTCGTGCAGGTTTATGTCACTAGCTATTAACATTATTTAAATATAGCTTTCTTAATTCCTGAGAACAGTGCTGAAAATAGTGTTTTGACTAATAAAATGGAGAAGACAAAGAATCCAAAGACAAAGGCAAGGTATGCACTGACTGATGTATGTCATTTTAATAACATAATTACTTGATAAGCACTTACATGATTTAGTTACTGATCTTCAACCTTTCAGAGCTAGAGAATGAGTTGGTGATGTATTACACCCAGAGACTGCCAAAAATGAGCAGTAATGCTGTATTCTGTGGTATTTTAGGAGACATATTCCTGAGTTGTATCATTAAGTAGCCTATCATATAAAGCCGGACAGTTTAGTGAAAACATCTCACAGCAGAACCAGGTTGCTTTTTTGACTCAGTGATTTCCTCAGTTTCTCCAGGCTGGACACATTTTAGAGCAGTAAAAAAAAATATTGCACTGTCTGTTCTTCTGATTTATGAGTAACTGGGAATAATTCAGAAGTGCAGTCTATTCAACATTCTACCAGGATTATGCAACTAAGAACGTTCTCCAGAACATCTAGTCCAGGCACTGTCACTATGTTGAACTTAGACTCATCTGAAAGAGGAGTGTTTTTTATGCACAGGAAGAGAAAACACTGATGATGTTTCTGAGGACTAAACATATCAGTCTATTTGCAGCAAGATGCTATGGTTTGAGCAAATGACTGAGTGTGATCCTGTCCAACTTCTCTTACACAGGAGAGGTCAGGTTAAGATGACCATTGCAAGTAATCTCTATGAGGTAAATGTCAACATCCATTTGTCAATTAACTTGTATTTATTGAGTACTTATTGGATGCAGACACTCTGTCAGGTGCCCGGGACGAAACAGGGAGCAAGAAATTGTCCTTAGTCTGTTAGAGGCTAGAGGTAATTAAGATTATAGGTAATTCCTGGTTTTATTGACAATTACAATGTAGTGTTGCAGTAGTTTTGAGTGGAGGATGCAATAAGAACACACAGGAAAGACATTCAGCCTGGTCTGGAGGTGGATGGGGATGGTTCAGAAGAGGTTCTTGGAAGAAGTAGTGCTCAACCAGATTCTGAATAATGAACAGTGTTGGCCAGGTAAAGAGATGGCAGAGCAGGAAGAATATTCTAGGAAGTGAGAACAATGTGCAGAATTCTGAAGGTGAGAAAGTGACCCACTCAGAATATGTTGTACAGTGAGAGGAGAGGAGTGGGGAAAAATGAAGATGGAGAGAAAAGCAAAGTCCAGATCATGATGTCTGTATATCCTGCTGAGGAGTGTCGTATTTATTCTAAGGATCATAGGGAGCAATGGGAGTGTTATGAACAGGAGTGACATAGACATTAGTGTTTATTATTAGGTTGAAAGATCACCTTAGTTATATAATCACAGCGAAGTGAAGTGGGAGCAGGGATGGAAATAGAAGGCAGGGTTTGGTCAGGAGGCTTGTACAGTCATCTAGTAAAGACATAATGGTGCCTTGAGATGAGGAAAATGGGTAGATATGGGGGAGATGTAAGGGGTGGAATTAATGGAATATGATGATCATCTATTGGGAATGAGAGAGATGGAACACTGAGAGAACACTGAGAGAGAAGGACTCTTGGGTCTGTTCCAGGCCATGTGAAAGAAGGTGGCACCATTTAGTGAGAGAGGACAGGGAAGAGTGGTATGTTTGTGGGTACATCATTGAGTTCAACTTTGAATGTGTTGACTTGAAATGAATATGTAAAAGAAGGTAGGGCAGTCCCACTTCCGTTTTGTTGTTGTTGTTGTTGTTGTTTTTGTTGTTGTTTGTGTGTTTTTTGTTTTTGAGAGGGAGTCTTGCTCTGTCGCCCAGGCTGGAGTGCAGTGGTGTGATCTCAGCTCACTGCAACCTCTGCCTCCTGGGTTCAAGTGATTCTCCTGCCTCAGCCTCCCAAGTAGCTGGGATTACAGGCACGTGCCACCACGCCCAGCTGATTTTTGTATTTTTAGTAGAGATGGGGTTTCACCATATTGGCCAGGCCGGTCTCAACCTCCTGACCCCAGGTGATCTGCCCGCCTCGGCATCCCAAAGTGTTGGGATTATAGGTGTGACCCACTGCACCTGGTCTCCACTCCTGTTTTGGGTAGTTGTTAAGGGATGTTTCTTATAGGCCAATTATAGAAGTAGTATCAAGAAATCTCCTCAGCATTACTTTTATATTTTAGAACTATTTCCCAAAGAAAAGCTGACTACTCATAAAAATACAGTTGAAGCTTGGGCAGGGGCTTTGTTTCAGTTCTGTCCAAGTTGGAAATGAAAAGGTGCATGGGTGAGCAGGTTCAGCTGGCATTGGAATTTCACTGCCATGAATTGCCAGTGGGCCATCTGATCCATCTCCTTGAAGGAGCAGACAGGCTAGGTACTGTGGTGCCTAGGCAGGCTGAGTAATTAGAAATATAATCAAGGTAAAAACTGAAGTTAAGGGATGTGTTGAGGTGGTGACAGAGAGAGGTAATCTAGAGAGGAGAATCTGAATGTGTTACAAAAGGGAAGGAGTAAAGCAAGTAATATGAGCTGGATTACCAAGCAAGAGACTTGCAGATTCAGAGACCTAAAGCAGAGAGGAATGGGTTGGGTTTGTAAGCAAGAGAGCTGCCCTTTTCCCTTGCTTTCTCAGGAGATTGAGGCTGTCTCAGAGATTGAGGCTGATGCTAGAGGCTGTCTTTTGGGCATTCTTAGAGGCATGGTGCTTGCTGCAGTCATGAAGTCAGCAATGGGGCAGATACCTGTGTTTAAGTCCTTAGGTCCCCTTTAAGCCTGGAAACTCTTCAATTTCGGGGGTATTTTTAGTATTAGAAAGTTATGTCTGACTGCCGCTTCTGTGGGTGAATTACTTGCTTAGGATTTTGAGATAGGGAAGGATGGGTAGAGCGAGGACCTATCGGATGTGTAGGCAAAGCTGGTGGCCAAACTCTAAAGAAGAGCTAAGCATGGGCCTTCTAGGAAACTTCAGGGTTGTGGGAATCCTTCTGTGAGAGGTTGAGAGTAAAGGTTTGGTGTGGGCCTTCGGTGACAGCAGAAACTTCTTGATGTGGCCCTCTGTGAAGTTTCAAGAAGGTGGTCTCTTGGGTTGCCGGCCCTAGTAGGGGACTTTATTAGCATTTCTCTTGGAGAAAACTTGGTTGGGTAAAAGCACTGAACTTCTGTGATGGGTATTAGAATGCAAAGCTTTCCTTTGTTCATTTATTTGACTATGGAATTCTGTTTTTTGTGAAGCAATTTAAGGGCCCAGTTTTCTACAAAACACACTTTCCATGTATATGTATGTAACAAACATGCACGTTGTACACATGTACCCTAAAACTTAAAGTATAAAAAAAGTCTCATTTAGCTCAAAAAAAAAAAAAGAAGTGCTGTATTCAAAAATAGAGTTATTACTGAAGATCTTGAATCATTGGCAATCTAAAAATGTTTTGGATGCAGAATGTCTTAAGCAAAATGTGCAGTATGAATTGCATATGTGATATCACTGACTGACCAACTGGAAGTTGGAGAGGAAAGTTACCCACGTAACCAAATAACCACAATTGTTGAAAATACTCTTTTGAGAAATAGTATTAGACGATGTAAATCTCAGTATGTTATTGATTGTATAGATATTGTTAGTGATATCTGGGGGCAAGGAGGACCTTTTTAAAATTTTTTTAATTAAAAAAAAATTTTTCTGAGATGGAACCTTTCTCTGTTGCCCAGGCTGTAGTGCAGTGGTGCCATCTTGGCTCACTGCAACCTCCACCTCCCGGGTTCAAGCGATTCTTCTGCCTCAGCTTCCCGAGTATCTGGGAATACAGGCGCCCACCATCATGCCTGGCTAATTTTTGTATTTTTAGTAGAGACAGGGTTTCGCCATGTTGACTCGGCTGGTCTCCAGCTTCTGGCCTCAGGTGATCCACCCGCCTTGGCCTCCCAAAGTGCTAAGATTACAGGCATGAGCCACCGCACCTGGCCGTAAATTCTTTTTCTAATTCTAAATGGCTTTAACATATCTTAAGCTTTTACCATTATAGTCATTGTAGGTTATTATCATTCTAGATAAAAATACCATCATAATTACCCATACCAAAACACCTGTTAATATACCATCTTAAAATATTCTCTCATTTTATTAGCTTGGTTAGTAGCCAGAAGAGACAGTACTGCACATAACTTAACAGGCTCCAACAGTAGTCTTTTCAGATTCACCTCTCTGTTTTGTTACCTACTAGCTCTGTGATCTTAGGTAAGTTACTTAACTCCTCTGTGCCTAGTTTTCTCATTGTAAAATGAAAACACGATTTTTGGAATGCAGTTCTGAATACTTCTGTGAAGCATGTTGATGCTTTGTAAAAAGATAGTACCAAAGGAAAGAAACACTTCTTCAAAAATGGAAACCTTGATAATTTGCAATTTTTTCTAGTGTTTCTCTCATTGCCAACTGTGTGAGCTGCTTTGAAGCCTTTCTAGCCTTTATCTTATGTGTGCTGGAAAAAAATAAAATCTATTTTGAAATTCCTATTGATTCTTCAGAATTCTGAATTAGCATTCCTGATGTTCACTTACATGCATTCTCTTTATCTTTGATATCACTTCCCTTTTAAAGCAATATAAATGATGTGATATGAGAACTGAACTGTCCCACTGCCTGGGTAGGGTTTGACCATTTGGGAACAATCTAAAATACTTAGCATTCATCAGTTGGAATAATTAAATGTGCAGGACCAGGATTAAGAACCCAGACTGATAGTTCTTCCCCTTGAACTCCTGTGAGCTCTTTAAGCTTCTACTTCCAGAAAGGAAGATTAAGGTGGAGAAGTAGTGAGAGATATTGAAGATATGGTATGATATTAACTAGACCCCCATAGCTGAAAATGAGACTGTTTGTTAATATCTAAAGATGACTGGAGAAGTTATGGCAGCTACCTGAGATATTTCCAATGGAAAAGGGAGATTTGACAAAGCAGAGATAGAAGGCCGTGCAGGGAGGAAGTTAAGTGCTATTTGCTCTTGCCTTAAGGAGCCCTGCTCGTCCAGTGAACTGATTGCATCCATTTATTTGTCTATATTTCCAGTGGAAAATGAACTTCTGAATGGCAGGAACTATATATCTTAATTTCTCCTTCAGCTTTGTCTTCTTAGCAGTCGGCATACTGTGGCTAATCTTATGTTTTCACTGGGTGTTAAATATAAATAGCAGGTTTGGCTTGCAGGGTGAATTTTCTCAAGCAAAATGATGTAATCATTGTCTTAAAAGAGCATGAAATAAAATGAAGGTAGTTTATAGATTAAATATAGTTGCTCAAGCTTAACGCTGAGATTATTTTCAGGTTTAAAAATTGTAAAGATTTACCAAATGGAATGGTAAAGTAGTAGGGAGAGCTGATACCACTTTATTCAATACGTACAAAGTAAAAAATACCCTGACTCTTAGACCTGGAAATAATCTGATGTGTCTTTTTAGGCCAGTCATTGCCTCCATCCAAAATAACCCCAAATGGCTACAGTAACCAAAAGAGCATAGTGTTTGTACAAGAACACATAGACCAATGGAACAGAATAGAGAACTCAGAAATAAGACCACACACCTATAACCATCTGATCTTTAACAAACCTGACAAAAACAAGCAACGGGGAAAGGTTTCTCTATTCCATAAATTGTGCTGGGAGAACTGGCTAGCCACATGCAGAAAATCACAACTAGACAACTTCCTTACACTATATACAAAAGTCAACTCAAGATAGATTAAAGACTTAAATGTAAAGCCCAAAACTATAAAAACCCTAAAGTAAAACCTAGTAAATACCCTAGGACATAGGCATGGGCAAAGATTTCATGACAAAGATGCCAAAAGCAATCGCAACAGAAGCGAAAATTGATAAATGGGATGTAATTAAACTAAAGATATTCTGCACAGCAAAAGAAACTATCAACAGAGTAAATACAACAACCTACAGAATAGAAAAAATTTTTTGCAATCTATTCTTCTGACAAAGGTCTAATATCCAGCGTCTATAAGAAACTTAAACATATTTACAAGAAAAAACCAAACAACTCCATTAAAAGGTGGGCAAAGGACATGAACTTCTCAAAAGAAGACATACATGTGGCCGAAAAACGTATGAAAAGAAGCTCAATATCTCAGATCATTAGAGAAATGCAAATCAATACCACAATGAGACACCATCTTATACCAGTCAGAATGGCTGTTATTAAAAAGTCAAAAAACAGATGCTGGCAGAGTTGTGGAGAAAAAAGGAATGCTTTTACACTGTTGGTGGGAACTAGCGTAAACTAGTTCAACCATTGTGGAAAACAGTGTGGGATTCCTCAAAGACCTAGAGGCAGAAATACCATTTGACCAAGCAATCCCATTACTAGGTATATACCTGAAGGAATAGAATTTGTTCTATTATAAAGACACATACATGTGTATGTTCATTGCAGCACTATTCATAATAGCAAAGACATGGAATCATCCTAAATGGCCATCAGTGATAGACTGGATAAAGAAAATGTGGTACATATACACCATAGAATACTATGCAACCATAAAAAGGAACAAGATCATGTCTTTGCAGGGATATAGGTAGAACTTGAGGCCATTGTCTTCAGCAAACTAACGCAGGAACAGAAAACCAAATACTGCATGTTTTCACTTATAAGTGGGAGCTAGATGATGATAACACATGGTCACATGGTGGAGAACAACACACACTGAGGCCTGCCAGAGGGCAGGATGTGGGAGGAGGGAAAAGATCACGAAGAATAGCTAGTGGAGGCTGGGCTTAACACCTAAGTGATGGGATGGGATCTGTGCAGCAAACCACCATGACACATGTTTACCTAGGTCACAAACTTGCATATCCTGCACATGTACCCCTAAACTTAAAATAACAGTTGGAAATAAAAAATAAATAAACAAAATAGCCCAAAATGATAATCTTATAAAGAGTTGTATTTTCAAATATCTCAATAAGTGAAGTTTTATAAACTACCTGGGAAATTTTAATTTTAATTCATAATTTTCTTCATTTTTCAAAGTAATTGAGGCTTCCCTTGGTAATTAATTTCACTTTTTAAAAAAATCCTGGAAACCTGTGAATTAATTTCACTATTAATTAAGGAAGTTTATTTTTTATTTTTATTATTTTTTATTTAAAGAAGGCTAAATTTGCTCACAGTTCTTCAGGCTTATAGGAAGCATGGTGCTGGCATCTGCTTGGCTTCTGGGAAGGCCTCGGGAATCTTACAATCATGGCAGAAGGCAAAGGGGAAGCAGGTGTCTCACATGGTGGGAACAGGAGCAAGAGAGAGTCAGGGGAGGTGCCATACACTTAAAAAAAAAACAAAAACATATCTCCTGAGAACTCACTCACTATCATGAGGACAGCACCAAGCCATGAGGGATCCACCCACATGACCAAAATGCCTCCCATCAGGCCACACCTCCAACATTGGGGATTACAATTCAACATAAGATTTGGCATGCCAGGTGCAGTGGCTCACACCTGTGATCCCAGCACTTTGGGAGGCCGAGGTGGGCAGATTACCTGAGGTCAGGAGTTCGAGACCAGCCTGGCCAACATGGTGAAACCCAATCTCTACTAAAAATACAAAAATTAGCTGGGCATGGTGGCACATGCTTGTAATCCCAGCTACTCAGGAGGCTGAGGCAGGAGAATTGCTTGAGCCCAGGAGGTGGAGGTCGCAGTGAGCCAAGATTGTGCCACTGCACTTCAGCCTGGCCAACCAGCGAGACTCTGTCTCAAAAAAAAAAAAAAGGTTTGACAAAGACATATATTCACACTATATCATTCCACCCATGTGCCCCCAAATCTTGTGTCCTTCTCACATTGTGAAATAAAATCATGCCTTCCCAATTGTCCCCCAATTCTGAACTTGTTTCAGTCTTAACTCAAAAATCCAAAGTCCAAAATGTCATTGAAGACAAGGCAAGTCTCTTCCACCTATGAGCCTGTAAAATAAAAAACTAATTATTTGCTCCTAAGACACAATGGCAATGCAGGCATTGGGTAAGCATTCCCATCCCCAAAGTGAGAAATTGGCCAAAAGAAAGGGGCTACAGGCCCCATGCAAGTTCAAAATGCAATCGTTAGACCTTAAAGCTTCAAAATAATCTTATTTGACTCAAAGTCCCAGGTCCAGGGCTCACTGCTGCAAGTGGTGGGCTCCTAAGGCCTTCAGCAGCTCTGCCCCTGCATCTTTGCAGCATACAGCCCCAGACTGTTGAGTGTCTAGGCTGTTTGCAGGTGCAGAATGCAAGCTGCCTGTAGATCTACCATTCTGGATTCTGGAGGACAGTGGGCCCTTCTCACAGTTCCACTTGGCAGTGCTCCAGTGGAGATTATGTGGGGCTTCTAACCCCATATTTCCCCTCTACACTCCCTTGGATGAGGTTCTCTGTGGGAGTTCTGCCCCTGCAGCCAGTTTCTGCTTGGGCACCCAGGTTTTCTTATACATCCTCTGAAACTGAAGTGGAAGTTGCCAAGCCCCCACCACTCTTATACTCTGTGCACCTACCTATAGGCATAACACCTTGTGGAAGCTGCCAAGACTTATGATGGCCTATGCTCTCCAGAGCAGTGGCCTGAGCTGTGCATGGAGCCCTGTGAGCTGAGGCTGGAGTGGGAAGGGCTGGGAATGTGGGGAGCAGTGTCCCGAGGCTGTGCAGGGCTAGAGGGCCCTGGGTATGGCTCACAAAACCACTCTTCTCTCCTAGACCTCTGGGCCTGTGATGGGAGGGTCTGCCTCTGACATCTCTGAAATGTGGGCCTTTTCCCATCATCTTTGTTATTAGCACTTACCTCCCTTTTAGGTATGCAGATTTCTCTAGCAAGTGATTGCTCCACAGCCTGCTTGAATTCCTCCCCTGAAAATGTGTTCTTTCTCTGCCACATGGCCAGGCTGCAAATTTTCCAAACTTTTCTTTCAGTGTAAAGAAAATTCTTTCAGAATTTTCTACTTCCCCTTTCAGTGTAACTTCCAACTTTAAGTCATTTCTTTGCTCCTGCATCTGAACATAAGCTGTTAGAAGCAGCCATGCCTCTGACACTTCTTCATCACTTTGGTACTGAGAAATTTCTTCCACCAGATACCCTAGGTCATCATTCTCAAGTTCAAACTTCCACAGATCCCTAGGACATGAACAGAATGCAGCCAAGATCTCTGCTAAGGCATAACACATGTGATCTTTGCTCCCAATAAGTTCCTCATTTCCACCTGAGACCTTGGTGGCCTGTCCTTCACTGTCCATATCACTATCAGCATTTTGGTCACAGCCATTTAACCAGTCTCTACAAAGTTCCAAGCTTTCCCTCTTCTTCTTTTCTTCTTCTGAGCCCTCCAAACTCTTCCAACCCCTGCCTGTTACCCAGTTCCAAAGCTGCTTCTATATCATCAGGTATCTTTATAACAATGCACCACTCCTCAGTACCAATTTTCTGTATTAGTCTGTTCTTGTATTGCTATAAAGACGTATGTAAGACTTGGTAATTTATAAAGAAAAGAGGTTTAATTGGCTCACGCTTCTGCAGGCTTTACAAGCAGCATGATGATGGCATCTGTTTGGCTTCTGAGAGGGCCTCAGGAAGCTTACAATCATGGCAGAAGGTGAAGGGGGATCAGGCATCTCACGTGGTGGAAGCAGGAGCAAGGGAGAAGGTTCTTTATTTGGAACCTGAATCATTCTTCATTTTCTCCCAAATACCTACACAGTGATGTTACATGCTCCAAATGTATTTTGGAATTTTACAAAAAAAAAAAGCCCCAACTATTTTCCTTATAATCCAGATTGGATGTGTGCATTATACTAAGGATTTAACTTGTTGAGTAAGTGGTAGTATAACTTTCCAGTTCTTTTTTTTTTTTTTTTTTTTGACGCAGTCTGTCTCTGTTACCCAAGCTGGAGTGCAGTGGTGCGATCTTGGCTCACTGCAAGCTCTGCCTCCTGGGTTCATGCCATTCTCCTGCCTCAGCCTCCCGAGGAGCTGGGACTGCAGGCGTCCGCCACCACGCCTGGCTAATTTTTTGTATTTTTAGTAGAGACGGGGTTTCACTGTGTTAGCCAGGATGGTCTCGATCTCCTGACCTCGTGATCCACCTGCCTTGGCCTCCCAAATTGCTGGGATTAGAGGCATGAGCCACTGCGCCCAGCCTTCCAGTTCTTTTATTTAATATTCTATATTGGAATGGTGCCTGAAAGGTAGAGGCACCTGTTTTTTGTTTGTTTGTTTGTTTTTCCTGTGCTAGAATCACATGCTTCTTTGACTATCAGTGGTGGAGATGGAACACGGCTAACCACATGGCGGGGGCAGTTCTGGGACCTCCTGATATGACCCATCAGCAGATCAGTTAACAGTAAGCACATGATTGAGTAATTCAATAATACTGTCCTAATTAAGAATCCCATGGTTGGGCATGGTGGCTCATACCTGTAATCCCAGCACTTTGGGAGGCTGAGGTGGGTGGATCACTTGAGGTCAGGAGTTCGAGACCCACCTGGCCATCATGGTGAAACCCTGTCTCTACTAAAAAATACAAAAATTAGCCGGGTGTGGTGGTGCACACTTGTAATCCTAGCTACTCCAGAGGCTGAGGCACAGAATCGCTTGAACCCGCTAGGCAGAGGTTGCAGTGAGCCGAGACTGCGCCACTACACTCCAACCTGGATAACAAAGTGAGACTCTGTATCAAAAAACAAAAATAAAAAAAGAATCCCCAAAGAAAATTCTTCAATTCTGCAAATGCTGAATAGTTGTAATAATTATTAGAGTATTTTTATTGCACTTTGTTTCACAGGTACCCTACAATTATAGTATTCAAATTAGCTGTTCATTGCAAGAAACATTTCAGAGTGGTTATCATTATTATTCTCATTTTGAAGATGAGGAAACCTGTAAGGATTTGGTTTATGACATTTGTGAATTCAAAGGCTCCTTTCTACATTCCATTATTCACACTATTAATTTAAGATATTTGGGTAATTTGAAAAGGAAATAAAAAAGGCATTTCACACAAACACTAATATATCTGGTAGTAATTAACTTCTGAAAAATGTTCATTCCTAGGGCTATACGGTTTTAGACCCTTAATATTTAGGCATGTTCAATGGGCTCACAGAAAGTATAATTAGGGGAGTGGTCATATTATTCCCTGTTCATTATTTCATTTAGGATTTGCTACTTGTTAAACAGAGGTTAGAATACATAGAACATATACATCCAACTTTTTAAAACCTGAAAAGCTCAATTAGCTGAGTAATTCCTGAATAATTGTGATTAAACAAATATGAGGAAAAAAATTAAAGTTCTCAGTTTGACATTAAACATTTAAAATAAGGAAGTGGTAGAGATACAGATTTTATATCAGTGTCTCAGAGCTTTTGTCCAAATATGTTCTCCATATTTTTTCTTTTTTGAGACAGTCTCTCACTCTGTCACCCAGGTTGGAGTGCATGGGTGGCGTGATTTCAGCTCACTGCAGCCTTCACCTCTTGGGCTCAAGTGATACTCCCACCTCAGCCTCCCAAGTAGCTAGGACTACAGGTGTAAGCCACCACACCCTGCTAATTTTTGTATATTCAGTAGAGATGGGGTTTTGACATCTTGCCCAGTCTGGTCTCAAACTCCTGGATCGAGTGATTCACCTGCCTCAACCTCCCAAAGTGCTGGGATTACAGGCATGAACCACCAGCCCCAGCCCCATATATGTTCTTTTACTGGGTTCTTCAATATTTCTGGACATCACTTCCTTTTATATTTATTCAATGGAAAGCCAGAGCAAAGAAACAGAACTCAGACAGTCACCAATATGTATGGAATAGCTGCTGGGGTCAGAACGTGGTCTCAATGCTCAGGGGAACCATGAAGAAACCAAGTTCCAGATTCTTACCAACAATAAAATCTGCTCTCTAAGGGGGAGTAGGAATAGATTGAACAAATAGAAATCCTTTGACCTTACTACTGCTCTACAGAGTGGGATGAGATGATTCTGTAAGGCAAGGACAGCAAAGGCCCAGGAAGAGAAGCAGCAGCAGATCTAAACAATGGAAGGAGAAACAGACAAATTGTGTCAAAGATGTGTGTTAGTCTGATGATGAATTCTCTTCTAATTCCAGAAATGAAACTGAAACTTTAATTTCCAGAGTCTTGGCTCTTTAAATGAGTGAGTATTTATGAAAGGACACAGTCTACCACAGTATGTAGAAACATTGTTGCCAACTCTCATCTCTCCAAGATAAGGAAGGTTCCCTAATTAAAGAAGCTTAATTGGTTACAGTTTCTCACCACTCCAGATAAGTTTTATACCCACCAGAAGGGAAGATGATGGCTGGAATTGTTTCAACAGTTGAAAGACTCTTGGGGAAATGAGCCCTTTCTTGTCCAGTGAGAGGAAGGACAGCACATCCATCAGCCAATCAGTGGGTAGATGGGCAGTAGGTTCTCTTGAAGGCTGGTTTGTAGAGGTGGCCCTTGGCATCTTCTCTTATAAGACCCACAGATGTAGCCCTGACCCTTATCTAAGTGACCAGTTAGTCAGTGGCTGGACTGTCCAGTTGAAAACAACTTCCAATCCTTTTAAAATTTGTAGCTAAATAACAGTTGCACATATATTTCAAATACTGCATTTGGGCTTAAATTCAGACGTCTGTAATATAAGAAACCTGCATTGCGTGCAACTACTATAACTTCGACTACTTTAGAGAGCAGTCTGTTGATCAAAGAAAGAAAATTCCATTACAAAGCATTAGTTTCTAGGGGTGTAATAGACAGTATGGTGAGCTGAGTAGGTTTTCTTCCTGGGAGCAGAGAGTACTTACTACACAACAATGTGTTAAGAATTAAGAACAGTTAGAGAAAAAGAGGGACTAATTGGCAGAGAACATTGCCATGCTTAGTTTTGAATTTTAAGTGGATGTTAGGAGAAATTTGAAGTTGTTGTTCTGGAAAGGGTTTAGACAATGACACTTGATACAGGTAAATTTTGCTGCAGTTTAGAGGAATCCAATGGCAAAAGGAATGTGATGTGGAGATTATGTAGATATTAGGTTTTTAGGATAGAGGGGAGACAGGTGACATTCTTCCCATTTTACAGATGGGAAAATGCTGTGATTTGAATGTGTCCCCCAAAGTTAATGTGTTAGGAACTTAATCCTCAATGCAAGTGTTGAGAGGTGGAACTTTTAGGAGGTGATCAGGTCATGAGGGCTCTGTCCTCATGAATGATTCAATGCCATTATCACTGGAATGGGTTAGTTATAGACGGAGTGAGCTCCTGATACAAAGGATGAGTTCAGCTCCCTTCTTCTCCCTCTCTCGTGTGCTCTCTTACTTTCCCACCTTCTCCATGGGATGATGCAGCACAGAGTCCCTTGCACATGTGAGCTCCTCGATCTTGAACTTCCCAGCCTCCTGAACTATAAGAAATAAACCTCTGTTCTTTATAAATTACTCTGTCTCAGTATTCTGTTATAGCAGCACAAAAATGAAGGAAGACACAAAACTTAAGCTCAGAGAGGTTAATTCTATTTCCCGAGGTTTTATGGCTAATGAGGATGATGGATCTGGGGCTTAAACCAAGTTGTTTCTGATTTCAAATCCCATGCTTTTATTCTGAAGATAATCAGGTAATTCTAACAAATATAGTGGATGAAACAATTATAGAAATCTAACGATGGATTCAGAAATAAGAAACAAATTTGCTTAAGAAAATTGAAAGACAGTAACAATACAATGCATTGGGGAATAATTTCTGTGTGGGTCTTCACTACAATTGCTAGATGTTAACTTAGTTTACATGAACAAGATTTAATGGATCAAGAGTATTTCTCAAAGTTGAGTAAGGTATAGACGCCTTATTATTATTTCCATTTATTTTAATATTTAAGAGATGCTTTTCCTTTTTGTTTTTTTATAATTAGGCAAAAGATGGCCATTTGTGTGGTTCCAAATTCAAAACCATTTATTTATATA
Source organism: Homo sapiens (assembly GCF_000001405.40). Classification (NCBI taxonomy): domain Eukaryota; kingdom Metazoa; phylum Chordata; class Mammalia; order Primates; family Hominidae; genus Homo; species Homo sapiens. Next base: position 181,205,316 of record NC_000003.12, read on the forward strand.
AAATTCAAAACTATGGCTGGGTGCAGTGGTTCACTCCTGTAATCCCAGCACTTTGGGAGGCCGACGTGGGTAAATCATGAGGTCAGGAGATCGAGACCATCCTGGCTAACACGGTGGAACCCCATCTCTACTAAAAATACAAAAAGTTAGCTGGGTGTGGTGGTGGGTGCCTGTAGTCCCAGCTACTCAGGAGGCTGAGGCAGGAGAGTGGCGTGAACTCAGAAGGCGGAGCTTGCAGTGAGCCGAGATCGCACCACTG